>NC_000018.10:8760000-10010000 GCF_000001405.40 Homo sapiens | reverse complement strand
TCTGGACATTCCACGGAAAGCACCGGACCCTGGAGAGGACCACGGGGAGCTGACAAGCAGGGCGCTCAGGCACGGGAGGAGTCAACTGTATTGAGGCGGCAGGAGGGAGAGGAGTTTCCGCAGCAGGACAGGCCTGCACGGGGTGCAGCAGCCAAACACCAGGAGGAGAGAATTCCATGGGGCAACTTGGGAAGCCACTGTTAAGACGTCATCAAGGCCAAGCTTTGAGCCCAGGCATTCGTAGCACTCCCACAAACCAGAGGAGCCTGCCCACCGCGCCTGCTCAGAGCCCCACATGTCCCTGCAGCCGCGCAGGCTGCAAAACAAGGCGCGGAGGAGGTGAATCTGACCCTTGGCCCTGGGCGGTGGAGGAAGAAGCACAGCAAATGCAGCCTGTGTGAGTGGGGGTCCCCGGCCCCTGTGCCCTCTATGCATTAGGGATGTGAGGTGGGGCTTCCTGGCCCGTCTCTTCCACGGGCTACCCCAGGACCCTCAGCAGCCGCACCCCTAGAAGATTCCTGAGCGTGTCCGCGGGAACTTCCCTTCTCCCAGGCAGCCTTTCAGCTGCACCTACCACCTCCTTCTCCTCTCAGACTCCCTCATGTGGGCACCATGACACTGAAGACTGGCAGGGCCCCCTCCTTGGCCTTGCTTATGGTTCACTGGGAGAACGTGAGTCTCCTCCTTCTGTTACTGTCCTCCAATGCTCAAAGCTAGCCGCCTTAGGGTGCCAGATGAATGCAGGAACCTGACAGAACGGGGAAAACTCAGTCTCATAATGTCTGTAATAGAAGAGCTTTCTTAGTTCTTGGCCCCAAATGCACCCTCCTTAAAGGCCAGTCCAGACCAGAGGGCAGAGGGGAAGCTGTGCCCTTCCATACCCTCTTTCAACCTCCCTCCCTGCCATACCACCAAAACAAAAACAAGCCCATCATCACCTTCAGCTAAACACAAAAGCACCTTGGACATTCACAAAGTAATAAGTGCTCGGAAAGGCCACCGCACCTTTAATCTGCTCTAGCCAAGTGTGGGATTTCAGCTCAAGCAACCAAGCACCTATACATACATGTAAAGAAATAACACATACACATGGATAACTAAATGGGATAAGTCAGCCTGTGAAAGTACCAAAAGAATAATGCCCTTTGATGATAAATCAACCATCTTCGTGGAATGCCTGTGAGGGAACATGGGAGCTAAACAAGGGCTTAAGGCCAGAGTGGCAGAAGGCTCCATTTACACTTGCACCCCCCCGACCAGAACGCACCTCACACATAATTGTACCTATTTACTTCTTTGACGATAAGGTCCCATGTAGTTTTTGCTCAATATCGTAGCCAGAGGTATTTCAGACATCCTGGTCAATAGTAGGTATATAGCCAATATTGGATGGATGGATGGATGGATGGATGGATGGATGGATGGATGGGTGAATGGGTGGGTGAGTGGAGTAGATGGGTGAGTGGATGGGAGTGTAGGTAGATAGATGGGTGGGTGGGTGCATGGGTGGGTGGATGGATAGGTGGATGGTTAGATTGGTGGAAAGAGTGGGTGGATGGGTAGGTGGGTAGGTGGGTGGATGGATGGGTGAATGGGTGGGTTGATAGGTGGGTTGTGTAGATAGTATGGTTGGGTGGATGAATAGGTGGATAGATGGGTGGGTGGGTGGGTAGATAGATGAAAAGATGGGTGGGTGGATAGACAGATGGGTGGATGGATGGGTAGGTGAGTGAGTGAGTGGCTGAATAGGTGGGTGGATGGGTGGATGAATAGGTGAGTGGATGGTTGGATGGATGGATAGGTGGTTAGGTGACTGGATGGATGTATATGTGGGTGGATGAGGTAGATGGATAGGTGGGTAGATAGGTGGGTCGGTATGTGGATGGATGGATGGAAAGGTGGATGGAAGGATTAGTGGATGATGCGTGTCTACATTTTGGGTTGGATGCATGGTTGGATGGAAGGATGGACATGAGAACTGCACGAGCAAATTTTGTTCATTGTAGGCATCAAGATAGATCGTTGCTCACTTTCCTTGATATTTTTCCAAAACTGCTTATCTATTAAACATTCCTTGGGGAGTATAGATGTAACAAAGTAAACAAAATAGTAATCACTAAAGTTCCTTTTCATTGAGAGCACCACGTAATGAGAAATGCAAATAAGGTAGAAGGGACAGACAGAATAAAAGGCAGCAGCTGGAGGGTCTACATGCCAAGTGATTACATGGGCAAGAATGATGGTAAACAAAGTTATGGACAGATTCAGTCTAGAATTGCTTGGGGACAGTGTGGCATAGGGGAAAGCCCTGGATTAGCGTCTAAGTATCTGGGTTCGAGTCTGCCACTTACTTGCTCTCATACAAAGGGCAACTCACTCAATCTCCTTGGTGCTTTAGTTGCTTCATCTATAAAAGGGCGACAATAATAATAATATTTAGTTAGTCTTCCTGGTGGATAAGACAGCATGAAGATGGAAGCTCTCTGTCAACTGGCAAGCACCTTACAAAGGCTGATACTCATTATCAAACCTTTAGCCAACCTGTGGACACACAAATGTCACAAACAGCATCCTCCTTACCCATTTCCAGATGAAGAGCTGAGACACAGGGCATCAGCTAAGTTACCTTGGGTTGATGCCAGGGAAAGCTGTGAAGGGCTGGCCATCTCCTCGCCCCTGACCATCATACTGTGCCCCAATGCTGCCTGGAGCATCAGTGGAAGGAGGCAGCCAGCTAGGACCTTCAAAGAAAAAAAGGATTTCCCAGCTTTAGCAGACATAGGTAGCCTCGTAAGGGTGCTTTATAAAGTGGAAATTTCACATACAAACACTGCTGCCTTTTGCTATGTCCTTGGCACCTGCCTGTCTGGGTAGGAGATGTGAGGCTGTGTGCCACCTACTCCAGTGTTAATATCTTCAGCCTTTGAGCAGTGCTCATTGGATCTCAGGATTCTCAAAAATAGTTGGATTTTGACCTGAAAGGGACCTTGAAAATTACCTAGTTCAACTGTATCACTATAAAAACAAGAAAACAGTGCAAAAGAAGTGGCGTGATTTATTGAATATTCACAATCTGTTGCCCCTGGGAATTTCGAAGTTGACATTGCATTTAGCACTAAAGAAATAAAAATGAGGCATGAAATTCTAATTTATGGATTCTTTTGCGTACACAGATGGGAGGGAAATGCGGGACTGCTGTTTATCAAACACTGCTGCCCATGGCAGCACAATAGTGTCTCCTGACTGACGAGGACTTTGGGGGAAGTTACACAAGAGTCAGGGCCATGTTCTGCCTTTGGTCTTCAGGCACAATTCTCTGGATTTTGCCACAAGGCCAGATGGCAGGATATGGCTGCAGAAAGATTAAAATGCACTTCTTACTCATGGACAAAGAAATCATGAGCATCTCAAATCTCAAAACCCTCTCCTTAGGCTCTTGTCTCCACCCCCATCATAAGCAACTGCAAAGACCATTTCTGTGTGTCTAACACACTTCCCTGAAGTGCCAGCAAAGCCCTGGGCCATCTGTCTCAGGCATAGCTTCTGACCTTGAGCTAAAGCCCATTGTAGATTGAAATACAATATTTGTAGATTCACTGCCCCCATGAGGCTTTTAAAAATAAAGCTCAGGGAGTAGCACAAAGACTGCTGAAGAGCAAAGGGAGGGTTTGGGGCTGTGCGTGGCCTCTGTGTTAGGTGGAGCCCATGACCAGCCAGGTGGAGTTGGGTGTCACCAGCCACATATTAAACCAATGCTCCCTTGGATTGTTTCAGTAGATAGTGAGGAAATGGAGCAGCAAAAGATTCCATGTGCAAAAATGGAGGGCTCAAAATGTGACATCTGGAGGATTGATCCTCTCCAATCTTTGCCTTTTGCTTTGTGTTAACAACAATATTGTCATCAATATCCTTGTAATTAACATTTTCAACATCAATATCAGCACTGGATTTACCTCTGCCTTACAAGAGAATAGAGTATGTTTCCTTAAGCCCACAAAAATAATAAGTTGAAAAATTTGTGAACTTAAAGAGAAATTACGTTGAATTAAAATCAAAGCACAATTAATTACTCCTATAGTGTGTCACGCATTGTGCTAGATATTGGGTATATGCGGGAGTGTGAAAGCTGTACAGTCTTGAGCAAGTTCCTTGCCATCTTAGTAACTAAGGTATCTTGTGTGCAAGGTGTAGTCAATGGATGCAAATACTTAACCTTGTATAGTTTTAAAGGACAAAATATGGTGAATATGAGGAATTTGGGTTCTCAACGATTAGAAGCTGCTAAGCTGCAGTCCTGCCCTTGAGAACATCACAAGCAGAGCCCCTATTATCTGTGTCCTTGTGCAGCCTCCTTCCTGCATACACTTTGAAGACAAGGGTTTTCACACAGGGTGTCTGAGGGCCACAGGCTATCTAGACCCCCTGAAGGACAGTCGACATCTGCACACAACCCTGATGGAGGAACTGGCCAGCTCTGGTCTGTGCCTGCCGCCTGCCGTTTGACGCTGTGAAGAAGGAAAAATCCTCCAGATATACTTAGCCAGCTGAGCACTGGTTCACAGGTAGCAGATGGAGCTTGCTAAAGCTGTGCAATGACTGGCATGGCAGACCCCCAGTGGTCTACAGACCTGCCAGCCTCATCTGGGTGAGTGGGCCTGTTCATATGATGTAGCTGAACCTTGTTTCAATGTCCCCAGCACTGTAGATTCCAGTTAATTAGTCTGATGTAATTATACATCTTACAACACCACACAGGCAAGAGTTTCATATCCTCTTCCTTCATTGTCTGGACCAGAAAACATTACATTATATATATATATGTGTGTGTGTGTGTGTGTGTGTGTGTGTGTGTGTGTATACATACATATATACATATATATTACATTATATATAAATATATATATTATATATATAAGTGCTGGCCAGCAGCACTTAGGGTAACCAGAGCTGCTGGCCAAAGAACCTTGTCCACCATCAAGGAAGTTCGAAAAACAACACCTGTGATCTGGGGAACCCAGTCATTTATCTTGTTCTCCCTGACCAGAGGGATAAGAGATACACTCTTTAATATATTACATTATATTTTTATATATATATAAAACATTACATTATATATATATAACATTATATTTTATATATATATAACATTACTATAATATATTTTTTCTGGTCCAGACAATGAAGGAAGAGGATATGAAACTCTTGCCTGTGTGGTGTCCTAAGATGTATAATTACATCGGACTAATTAACTGGAATCTACAGTTATTTTATATATATATATATATAAAGGATGAAAGGTTATTGCTAAACTGTCTTAACAGGGCTCTTGCTAAAACTGGATTTTACAAGGAAATGCACATATGGGTCTAGGAGAAGGTTCAGGGGCCTGACTTCAGTTTGGTCAAACAAAAAATCTTTGTCAAAATCTTGGTCACTTATTTATAAACAACTCAATTTAACATCAACCTGGGACACCTCCAAGGCACTGTGTGCTCCAAAGCCTGAACAGTCACAATTGCTATCCCTGAGGCAAACTGCATAGAGCACAAAATAGTTACAGTACAGGTAAGTGTCCTAAAAGAAATACAAAAACAAAACTAGGAAAGACTTTATGCAGGAAGGGGCATTTCAGGAGCATTCTAGACAGGAAAAATGAGCCTGGCCATGGAGACAGGAAGCTCTTCACGCCCAGAAAGAAGAAGGGGCAGCACCTGCCAGGAGTGGGTGCAGCACACCCCTGCCTCGTTCTCTGGGAACTGCCCACCTGCTCATCGGAGGAACCTTCAGTCCCCATATTAGTGCTGACTGTGGCATCTTTGGATGGTCCCGGGATGGACACTTGCTCCCCATCTCTGGAGCATGGGCTGCAGTGGGTCTACATATGGCTCTGCTGTAACCAGGAATCTGCGGAGCCGTGAAGATGCACCCTCCACCATCTGGAAAAGGCAGCACAGGAGAGCGGGTGCTGAGAGAGGAGATGGCAGCCAACATACAGAAGGAGGAGAGATGCAGAGCAAACCATGACGACTGAGGTGCTGCAGATCCCACCAGGGATATTCCAGGCCCCACAGCACTGGCCAGCAGCACTTAGGATAACCAGAGTTGCTGGCCAAAGAACATTGTCCACCATCAAGAAAGTTTGAAAAACAACACCGTGATCTGGGCAACCCAGTCACTTATCTTGTTCTCCCTGACCAGAGGGATAAGAGATACACTCTTTAAGAGAGGTTCCAATCTAGACAAAAAAATGAATATAATTTATTTATTTTATAAAAATAATGTCCTTTTCTTCACTAGTACCCATCTCAGTGGGCTTACACACTTCAGCTAGTGCTATCCTGATCTCTTCTGGTATAAATAGTCCCTTTTCAGTGACCCCGTCTCTTTCAAGCCAATTTCCTCTCCTTTCTGCTGCTCTCCCTCCCTCTATCCTCTGGGAGAGAGGGTTTGGGGAGACAGGTGGCTTGGGAGGAGACTGGCAGGGGTCCTCTTACCCATGCAGTAGTGTCTGAATCCTGCTGACTCTGCAAAGAATGCCTGCTCTAACCACTTTCTGGATTCAGGACCCCTAAGGAGAACTTATCCATCCAGCTTGCTGACAAGTCTTGCCAGCACCCACACCTGGGGTCCAAGCCCAAGTCATTCACCTCCAGCTATAAATAAATACCCTGGTTGCTGCAGATTCCAGACCTTTGTCAATCTCCTTGCCCCTCTGCATCCCTCATCTCTACTCCCTGCAGGCCAAGCCAGGTCTGTAAGAAGTTCACTGTATTAAAGAAAAAATTATTCAATGATACCTTGTTAAGGCACAGTAAGGTAGACTTTATTCAGGACCATCACAATAGGTATAGGGACCACAGCTGTGGGATTTTGCAGTGGGGGAGAGAGATTGGGGTCAACTCTGAATGCATCCTGAGCAAGTAGGAAGGTATAGCCAAGGAGCAGGGGTGTCAGTGAATGGAAAATTACTAAGAGTAAACATCCAGGATAAAGTGGATTCTGGCTACGCTGACCTAACAGAGTCCTTGCTGAAGACAGGGTAGGGTGATCATACATCACCTAGAGGATGGTGGAGGATAGGGAACTGGATCAAATATCAAGAATTATTAGACATCAAGGACAGAAGGTTCTTAAACTGTCTTAACAGGGTTCTTGCTAAAACGAGATTTTACATGGAAGTGCATGCATGGGCCAAGGAGAAGCTTCAGGAGCCTGACTAAAGGTTGGTCAAACAAAAAATCTTTGTCAACTGCCTTGGCTCACCCAACTCTGCACTCCTGCTCTTGGGCCATGTGAGATCTTGGAGCCTCCCTGGAGTCTGCAGTCTCCTTCAAGGTGTGCTGGGTAAATGTACCATATGCCACGGTGATATAAAGTCTCTCCTTACCTCGCTAACTTTGTAATGCAAGTCCAATGCACATTGAAGTGCTGCCTCGGGAGCAAGAGGGACAGGAAAGAGCACACTGTCAACCAACTGTCTTGAGTCTCTTTCATCTCCCTTCTTCTTTTCAGAGTCCATGGGGTGAGAGAGGACAGGCTTTCTTCTTCCTCTTTCTTGCATCATTTCCCTCCAGCCCCCAGAAGGCCCTAATTTAGGTTAAATTTATTCCTAAGTATTTTTATAGTGTTGTAAATGAAATTGTTTTCTCAATTTCTATTCCTGATAGTTTATTGTTATTGTATTAAAATGCTACTAATTTTTGTATGTTGATTTTTATCCCGCAACTTTACTGAATTCGTTTATTGGTTCTAACAGTTTTCTGGTAAAGTCTTTAGGATTTTCCGTAGATAAGATTATGTCATCAGCAAACAGAGATAATTTAACTTCTTCCTTTCCAATTTGGGTCACTTTTGTTTCTTTCTCTTGCCTAATTGCTTTGGTTAGGACTTCCAGTTTGTAGAATAGAAGTGGTGAGAGTAGGTGTGTTTGTCTTGTTTCTGATCTCAGAGGAAAATCTTCCAGCTTTTCCCCATTGACTATGATGGTAGCTATAGGTTTGTTACATATCGTCTTTATTGTGTTCACGTACATTCTTTATATATCTAATTTGCTGAGATCTCTTATCATAAAAGGATAATGAACTTTGACAAATGCATCTCTGCATCCACTGAGATGATCATATGATTTGTATTCTTAACTGTTTTAACTGCTGTATCACGGTTATTGATTTGCATATGTTGAATCATCTTTGCATCCCAGATATAGAGCCCACTTAATAATGGTGAATGACCCTGCTAACGTGCTGCTAGATTCAGTTTGCTAGTATTTTGTTGAGAATTTCTGCATCTAAGTTCATCAGGGATACTGGCCTGTAATGTTTGTTTCTTGCAGTGGGTTTGTCTGGCTTTGGTATCAGTCTAATGTTGGCCTTGTAAATGAGTTTGGAAGTGTTCCCTTCTCTTCAGTTTTTTGAAAGAATTTGAGGATTAGCATTAATTGCCCTTAAGGTCTTGGTAGAATTCACTAGTCCAGCCATCAGGCTCTGGGCTTTTCTATCTTGGGAGATTTTTTTATACCCAATTCAATCTTCTTACTAATTATAGGTCTGTTTAAATTTTCTATTTCCTCTTGATCCAGTCCTGGGAGGTTGTATGTTTCTAGGAATTTATTCATTTATTTTATATTATCCAATTTTTTGTGTATAATTGTTTACAGTAGTCTCATATGATCCTTCATATTTCTCTGGTGTTAGTTGTAATGTCTCTCATTTCTGATTTTATTTATTTGAATCTACTCTTTTTTTCTTAGTCTAGTTAAAGGTTTGTCAATTTTATCTTTCGGCTGGGTGTGGTGGCTCATGCTTGTAATCTCAGCAGTTTGGGAGGCTGAGGCAGCAGATCCCTTGAGCTCAGGAGTTCAAGACCAGCCTGGGCAACAAAACCCCATCTCTACAAAAAAAAAAAAAAAAAGTAATTGGGCATGGTGGTATGCACCTGTAGTTCCAGCTACATGGGAGGCTGAAGTGGGAGGATTGCTTAAGCCTGGGAGGTTGAGGCTGCAGTGAGCCAAGATTGCACCACTGCACTCCAGCCTGGGCAACAAAGCAAGACCCTGTCTCAAAAAAACAACTTTTAGTTACATTAATCTTTTTATTGTTCTTCTAGCTTCTGTTTCTTTTATTTCTGCTCTGATCTCCATTTCCTTCCTTCTGCTAACTTTGGACTTAGTTTGTTCTTTTTCTAGTTCCTTGAGGTATGAAGTTATGTTGTTTATTTGAGATCCTTCCTTTTTCTTAACATAGGTATTTATCACTATCAACTTTCCTCTTAGCACTGCTTTTTCTGCGTCACATAAGTTTTGGTATGTTGTGTTTCCATTTCCATTTGTCTCAAGTTATTTTTTTATTTCTTCTTTGGCTCATTGTTGTTCATGAGCATGTTGTTTAATTTTCACATATTTGTGAATTTTCTAATTTTCTTCATTGATATGGTTTGGCTGTGTCCCCATGCAAATCTCAACTTGAATTGTGTCTCCCAGAATTCCCATGTGTTGTGGGAGGGACCCAGAGGAAGGTAATTGAATCATGGGGGCAGGTCTTTCCCATGCTATTCTCATGATAGTGAATAAGTCTCACGAGATCTGATGTGATTTATCAGGGGTTTCCGCTTTTGCTTCTTCCTCATTTTCTCTTGCTATCGCCATGTAAGAAGTACCTTTTGCCTCCCGCCATGATTCTGAGGCCTCCCCAGCCGTGTGGAATGAAAACAGACTACTACATTCATGTTACTGATTTCTAGTTTTATACTATGTGGTTGGAAAAGATACTTGATATGACTTTAATCCTCTTAAATTTATTAAGACTTGTTTTGTGGCCTAACATATGATCTATCCTGGATAATGTTCCATGTACACTAGGAAAGAATTTGTTCTGATGCTGTTGGATGGAATGTTCTATATAGGTCTGTTAGGCCCATTTGGCTGATAGTGTTATTCAGGTCTACTGTTTCCTTAAACAGTAGAAAAGAAAATTATCTGTCTGAATGATCCATTCATTGTTGAAAGTGGGGTTTTGAAGTCTCCTACTATTTTTGTATTGCTATCTATTTCTCCCTCCAGTACTGTCAATATTTGCTTTTTATTTAGGTGCTCTAAAGTTGGGTGCATATATATTTGCAATGATTATATCCTCTTGATGAATTTATCCCTTTATAATTACATAGTGACTTTCATTGTCTCTTGTGACAGACTTTGACTGAAAGTCTAGTTTATTTAATATAAATATAGCCACTCTTGCTCTCTTTTTGTTACCAATTGCATGGGATATCTTTTTCCATGTCTTCAATTCAGCCTATGTGTGTCCTTAAAACTAAAGTGAGTCTCTTGTAAGCAGCATATTTTTGGATCCTTTTTAAAAATCTGATCAGCCACTCTGTCTTTTGATTGGAGAATCTCTTTACATTTAAAGTAATTCGTGATCATAAGTAAGTACTCATTATTGCCATTTTGTTAATTTTTTTACTGTTTTGTAATTCCTTGGTTTCTTTCTCTCTTGCTATTTTGTCATTGTAAAATTTTTTGACACAATAATTGTACATATTTATGGGATACAATGTGATGTGATTTGTTGATTTTTTTGTAGTGGTATGCTTTGATTCCTTTATTTTTTCTGTCTCTACTAGGGTTTTTTTTTCTTTGTAGTTATCATGATGATTACATAAAACATCTTAGAATTTTCATAGGCTTTTTAAGCTGATAACAGCTTAACTACAATCACATAGAAAGTCTCTATATTTTTACTTACACACACACACAATTTATGTTATTGATATCACACTTTATACCTTTGTAATTGAGTATCCATTAATAATTATAGCTATAGTTGTTTTTAATATTTGTGTCTTTTAACTTTCATAATAGAGTTATAAGTGATTTATGCCCCACATTACAGTATTGGAGAATTCTAAATTTGACTACATATTAGTTTTAACCAGTAAGTTTTATGCTTTCATATGTTTTCATGTTGTTAGCATACACTTTCATTTCAATTTGAAGAACTCTCTTTAGCATTTCCTGTAAGGAAGTTCTAGTGGTAATGAACTTCTTCATCTTTTATTTGTCTGGGAAAGTCTTTATCTCCCCTTTATTTCAGAAGGACAATTTTGCTGGTTTTAGTATTCTTTATTGGCAGGATTTTTTTTCTCTTAATGATTTGAATATATCATTCTACTATGTCCTGCACTGCAAGGTGTCTGCTGAGAAATTCACTATTAAACTTATGGAAGTTCCCTTATATGCAATGAGTCCATTTTCTTTTGCTGTTTTCAAAATTATTTCTTTGTGACTTTTGAGAATTTGTTTAGTGTCTTAGTGAAGTTCTCTTTATGTTTAATATATTTTGGGTTTTTGGAATTTCGTGGATCTGGATGTTCATTTCCTTGTCTAGTTTTGGGACGTTTTCTGTCATTATTTCTTTAAATAAACTTTCTTCCCCATTCTCTTTCTCTGCTCCTTCTGGGACTCTCATAATGTATATATTGGTTCACCTCATGGTGTCACACAAGTCCCCTAGGCTTTCTGCACCCTTTTTCCTTTTTCTCCTTTTTGTTCCTCTGACTGGATAGACTAGTGACCTAGTCTATCAAGCTTGTTGACCTGTCTTCAAGCTTGTTCATTCTTTCTTCTTCTTGATTGAGACTGCTGTTAAAGATCTCTATCAAATTTTTCAGTTTAGTCATTGTGTTCTTCAGCTGCAGACTTTCTGTTTTGTTCTTTTAATCATCTGTATATCTTTGCTGAACTTCTCATTTTGTTCTTGTACTGCTGTTCTGATTTTGTTTAGTTGTCTATCTTTTTCTCTTGTAACTCACTGAGCTCCTTTAAGATGATAATTTTAACTTGTCAGGCAGTTAATAGATCTCAATATGTTTAGGGTCAGTTTCTGGTGCTTTATTTTGTCCTTTTGGTGATGGCATGTTTCCATGATTATTTATGATTCTTGTGGCCATGCATTGGTGTCTATGCACTTGAAGAAGTACACACGTCTTTTGGTCTTTACAAATAGGCCTCAACAGTGAAAGCTCTGCATCAGTTAGCCTGTCCAGAGAGTCTATGCAGGCTGGCTGGTAGGGTGTGCAGATGGGCTGGCCTGGTGCCAAGGTCAGGGGGTGGGCAGCCCTGGTGCCTGTGTCCACATGGGCTGGCCTAGAGCCTAGGGAGATGGGAGCTGGCATGATGCTGGGGTGGGCCTGAAGCCTAGGTTCACAGGGGCCAACCTGAAGCCTGAGTCTATGGGGGTCAACCTGGAGCCTGGGACACAGGGGCCAGAGGGCATTGTGGTAGGCCTGAAATCTGACTCTACAGAGGCTTGCCTGAAGGCTGAGTCCTTGGGAGATACCCTGGTGCTGGGACAGGCCTAGAAACTGGGTTCATGGGTGACAACCTGGAGCATGGGGCTGTGGGAACTGGCCTGGCATCAGGGTTCACTGGGATAAGCCTGGTGCTGGGGTCCACAACAAAGTCAGGTGTTCACCTCACTCTCCTTCTCCCATGTAGAGGGTCTTTTTCTGTGTGCTGCATAAGCTTAGGGGAAAGGTGACACAAGTAATGTGAAATTGTCCCTCCTACTCTCTTCAATATGTGTTTTATTTGCTTCACACAAGTGCAGTAATCTCACACCTAGATTCCTTAACTCTTCTGAAGGTAAGTTTATGTGTTGATTGTGGTTCAAACTTACTTTTCTGCAAGGAGACGAGCATTGGAGACTCCTATTGTACCATCTTGCTGACATCACTTTCCAAATTCTGAAGCTTCATTTCTTTGTAATGTTTTTGTAACGATCTGTCACTATGTGCCTGAGTGACTCACAGAGCACCTGTAAGGTGCCATGCACGCCCTGGGAAGACCAAGATGCATAACAGGATAATGTTCTGGCTTCAAGGAACTCAGTTTCCTGAGAGGGAAGCTGGGAGGGTTTCTGGAAAGCAGGCTTTAATGTTGGGGTAGAAGAGATATAGCCAAGGGCACTGTGACGTGCATGTGAGTGTGTGTGCACCCATGCATGCATGTGAGTTTGTGTGTGCATGCATGTGTGTATGTGTGTGTGCATGTGAGTTTATGTGTGCATTCATGTGAGTGTGTGTGTACATGCGTGTGTGTGTGTGCATGTGCACATGCACATATGTGTGTGTCTTTGGGAAGAGATGGGCCAAGGAGAAAGACAGATAAGGAAAGAAGTTAAGAACTGGACAATTAGAGGTACTGGGGTAGGTTATACCCATGCTGAGTTTTTTCTTGGGACCAGAAAAATAGAAGTTGTTTTAGAAGTTGTTCCCAGATTTTCTTCTGTATTCAGTCCTTCATTCATTAAATCAGCCGCAATTTCTGAGCCATGTGTGCCCACTAACATGTTAGAGCCATGGATATCATTGAAGACAGGATCAGAGAAAGAGAGTTTGGATCTGTACTGTTCATGTGGACATCCCATCTCTGGATAAGGATTACCTGAACGAGTACCTTCTATTGACAGCCCAATACTGCCCTCATCCCCAGATTATAAATTCCCTTTAATTTCTTTTTAGCCCAGAGTTGAAGGCCATGTGGCCACCACAAAACATTTTTTAATTCTGCTCTTTAAAATTTTATCTTGGAAGTATTGGAAGTAAACTCCTAAGCTGTACCAACTTCCTGCAGTGCTGGGCCCCAGGCGGATGAAGCCCCTGCATTGACAAAATCACCAGTTGTGGTTTCAAACCACATTTATACAAACCATCATTTTCCCATCTCCAATTTCTAGGTTCTGTTCTCATACACATGCCAGGCTTATAAAGTTGTGTAAAGCTCAGGAAGTAAATTCCTCTGTAAGAAAGTGATTTATAATATTAGAGTCACAGGCCTAAACGTTGTCAGAATAAATCTGGTTCAATTTTTCGCTCATTTTTTTCATCATTTATCTCTCCCATATTCCCTCTCCCTGCTTTATACAATCCACCCCAACACACACGTGCATGCACATGTGGACGCACACACACTGTGCATGCATGCATGCATGAGGCCAGCAGCCCACTTTGCTTTGTTTTCATGTTGCAGGGAGGTAGTAGGATGTCCCTCTGAGCCTGCATTCCCATTTCTGTGGGCCCACTCCCTGGCTGGCCAGGCACAGGGCTATGACCCAGCTGGAAAGTCTTGCTTGACAAGTCAGCATGGAGTGTGACTCCATGGCAAGAGTCTCTAAATGGACAGGATCCATGCATTGCAGCTTCACCAATGACATCAGCCACATGACATCAGCAGACCCTTTCTGGAAGTCTCTGCTTGTCCCATTGGTGTTGTGCATAATCAAGAAAGGCAGCTAATAAGCACGTGGTGGGTGTTGCTTTCATGTGGCAGAAGCAGGGCTGGGTATCCCCTAGGCAACTGCCGATACCCACTGCCCTTTACATGGTCAAGTGGGACCTGGTTGTGCACCCTAGGAGGTTATTCCTGTGCCTTTAAAATTAGTAAGCAATGGGTCAATGTGAAGAACAGTTATCTGTTCTTAGATTTCCTCCTTCCATGCAATTCTGCCTACCTCTCTTTTAAAAGATGAAAGGAAGGTAAATGATTATTCTCAAGGTGACTTTCCTCCTGTCCTTTTCCTTTGCTGTAGCCTTTACAAAGCATTTGCATGGCTTTCAGAGATGCCCCTAAATTAGATGACCTGGTCCTTGCCAGGGCAACCAAAGACTGGCCCTTAGTTTCTCTGGCGAGACACTGAAGAAGGCTTTGCCCTCAGGGTTGAGATGGCCTACGTTCTGGACCCAAACCAGAAGCTTGCAATGACTGGGTTTTCAGTTCTATCTGTTTGTTAGATGTCTTGGAGGCTGCTGGGATTCTCTGCACAGTGCTGGCCTGGAAGGAGGTACTGGCACACCACTCACCCAAAATGCCCGTCAGCTCAGATGACTTCCTGTCTCTGGCTTCAGATGGCAAAGTCAAAGAAGTGAAATGTATCAAATTCCGGGCTACTTGCTCATTCCCAATTTTTTGATGCTCAACAAATGTTATGAATAGTTAATCATTTGCTCCTAGCAAGTAAAGTCCTCCTCAGGAATGAATTGGCCATGTTGAAGAGGCACTGACTCTTTCAGACTCCTAGTGAACGAGATACCTTGGCAGTCAGGCCTCGTGCCATGCAGTCAGGCTCACTGAGAGATATCAAGGGTGTGTTGAGAGTCAAACCGGGGAGTATCTGAGGTGCAGACAGAGTTGAAATCCCACTGAGCTGATTCAAGGGGCCCTCAGTATTCACCCGGGAGACTGACCTTAATAAATTTTACTTAAACCTGTTGAAAAGAAGGAAAATGCATCCATCTGAAAATGATAAAATCTCATGGCTGGACAAGACTACGGTCACGTGTTTCAAGCTTCTTTCTGACGTGTACACACAGGGTGGTTATGCAGCATCCCCTTCCCGGGGCGCTCACTGCTTCCCCCTTGCAGAGCTGGGACCGTTCATGTGCACAGCAGTCCAGTGCCCCTTTCTCGTATCTGTAGCCTTTCAACTCTCTTAACCAAGACATCCATGCCCTCCCCTGCTTCCCCTGTGTCTCGAGCATGGTCCCGGGTGCCCACAAGGTCCCACTGCTCTCCTGTCAGAGCCCCCCATCTGCTCATGCTCCCTTTAAATAGAGGTGCCCCTCACAGAGCCCAGCCAAGCTCCACGGGTGGTCCCACAGAGCCAGAGCAAGACGATCACTCACTCCCTCTAAACACTGCACTTTTATTAACACGGCCACAGCTCGTATTCTTGGCAGCCACAATACACCAGTGCTGAATATTAACTTTATTCTCAACCAAACTTTAACCCGTTTTACTCCTGCTCCCGCTAAATCTCAGGGCCACACCTCAGACGTCTGCAGTTCGTTTTCTGAACCCAAGAGCTGGGCCTTTTGTTTGCCAGGTATTTTAATTTAAAAGTAGACAGCTGAGCCACAAATCAAACTGAGGCACACTCACCCACATCCTTGTAAAGTTGCCCCAGAACCAACAACAACAACAAAATCCAACAGGAGAACGAGAACTGTCAAGTTGAAATGCAGCCCAGACCACATTTCATTTAGACAAGCACTGCCCTATTAATTTTAGTCAATTATTAATTCCAGCCTTTTGGTATCTGGGCAGCCTGGAAGAACAAAGGCATCTGTTGAAGCGACTGCTTGGGTGACAATGATAACGGGACCATTCTTTTTTCCAGCTCTGTGGAGCACAACGGGGGGGCGGGATAAGTGTAGGGGCCACGGCACACACGGTGGGGGCTCACAGACAGAGGCCAAGTACATCTGTGATCTCCTCACACCACCCAATGCATCTGTAAGCTCCCTGCCAGTGAGGGCACCCCCCACCCCCACCACAGATTCCACCAGCCAAGAGTGTCCGCACCGGCACTGGCTTCTCTCGCCGCAAGAAGTACTGAGCTTCCTTCTTTTCCCTCTTGATTTTGAGAGTCTCTACACCGCCATGGTAGGAAGTGAGAAGGAAACGGGGGAAGGCACGTGAGGAAGACAGGCGCAAATAGAAGGCCTGCACTTCTTTTAAACTATAGACTGGACTGTGACCATTCAGACCTTCTGTAGGAAAGCATGCTTATGAAAGAGCCCATGCCGACGGACCTCCTGGCTTGGGAGAGGGAATCAACTCTCCCCTTCCAACATGCACTGGCGTACGTGGGCTGACCCAGGACATCCAAGACACTGGCCAGGAATCAGACACCCTGAGCACAGTAAGAAAAATAGGAAGCTTGGGACCATGAGCCATCCACAGCTTTCACTAAGGCGAACCAAGCTGCAGCCTTCCCCGAGCGCTGGCAACACTGGTTTCCATTCCCCATTGGGTGAACCTGAGTTTGTGCCTGCTCACTGGGGCTTACGAATTGATCATCAAAGACTGTTCTTCCCAGTCATCCTCACTTCTCTTCCTCTGTTCAAACATCATTCTAAATTGCCAGCCCACAGGTCCTCCTTTGGCCTCCCTTCTTTTGCATGGCTTTCGGTTACAAGAAAAACCGAGCATGGTTAGAAGTGTGGTTTGAGCTTTTTTCCCAAACATTTCCACGACTTTGCTGTTGTTGTGACTCTGATGTGGGGGCTCTGCTGGCCAGAGACACCCCCTCCGCTTACACAGAGCTGGCAGATGGAAACAGTATCAGGACATCTCCATTACACAACAGGCTTTCACAGGGCGATGGTTCACATTTTACTGCAGTTTCCTTTGGAAATGCTCAAAGCAACTACATCCGTTTCCTTTCATTGGGACTTTTATGTTTTTCCAGCCAAAAAAGGAGAGGATAAAGTTCATTAAGTCAGAATAGTAATAATGACGAGGTCCACATAAATTTTGTTGTGTTTGGTGCTTTTAAATATTGAAGGATTCACCACCCTCTTCCACTCCCTCTTTCTTAGTTAGGGAGTGAAGATGATGAGAAGACTGCTAAGCCTCAGGGTGACACCTCAGAGGTCCTGCCAGCTGTAAAGAACTCACCACGGACTTTCCAAGAGGATGGTGACATTCCCAGACTACCACTGGGAGCTGCCAAAAACTCAGCTCAAAAACCCCAGCGACTAGGGCGGTCGTTGTGTGTGTGGCTAGCCAAGTCACACAGAGGAGACTTAGATGGCCCCACATTTTATTTTTTGAGGAAGGTAAAAACCTGCCACAGATGAGCAGGACAGGAGATGGGAGTAGAAGGAGGTAGGGTCCAGGACATGAAGATTCACCTAAGTTAAGAAGTTCAGACTTCATCCCAAATACATAGAATCTATTGGAAATCTTGATCAGGAGGTGACTTATATGTGCATTTTGAAAAGATCGCTCCAGCTTTAGTCTGGATAATGGATTGAAAAAAAATAGTAATTTCAAGACAGAAAGACCTAGGAGCAGGTGTGGCGACTGGATGAGAACTGGCAGTGGCCTGGATGTGGGGATCTCAGTGGGGAAGGGATACGGGGACAGACAGGATGCATTTGGGAGAATTCACAGGACTTCATGATTCATTGGATGGTGTCAAAATGCGGGGTAAGAAATCTGGGAAAGTCAAGGGAGACCCTCCAAGTTCTGGATAGGGCCACTGGGTAGAGAATGGTCCCGTTCACCTCAGACAGAAACAGAAAGGAGCATAGGTGTGAGAAGCTGGAGCCCCACTGTGGACCTGCTGAGTCTGAGGCATCCACGCACATCCAGGGGGAGCCGCAGGTGTGCGGCGCTCAGGGAGACAACCGGTAGGACACTTAGACCTGAGTTGTCAGAGGACATAGCGGGGTTCCAAGCCCTGGGAAGAGATCCCACCGATCACGGGGCAGAGAGGCTGAGAAGGGAAGAGAAGCCGGGACCAAAGAAGCTCCGGCAGAGCCGAAGAAGCCTGGCAAAGGTGATGCAGAGGCACCTCCAGTGGGAGGAGAAACCAGAAAAGGATCCACAGCAGCATCAAGGCTGAGAAAATGTTTCCAGAACAAGGTCAGCAGCGTCACGTGCCGCTAGGAGTCATTGGTCCCAGAGCCACAAGGAGGTCCTCAGTGGCCTTGCTGAGAGCTGTGTTGGGGGTAACAGAATCTGTGAATAAGGGAGAGGAGAGGAGGAGGGGACAAAACGCCACGTGGTGGCCATAAAGAGGAGAGGCGATGTGGAAACACAGGTCAGGGGAATTCTCTTTTTGAACCTATGAAAGACACCTGAGAACGTTTGAATGCGGATGGGAAGGAGCGCATAGAAAGGGCGGAGAGACATAGGCGGAGAAGAAGTAGACTCAGAGCAGTCTCTGTGGAGGCGAGAGGGGAGCGGCCGGGATCGCCAGGAACCTGGGATGAGGAAGAGGCTGGGGAGGAAGGAAGGCAGGCTAGACACGTGAATGCTGGCCCTGAAAGTTCCGAGTTCCCCCCAGTAGGTTCTGCTTTCCCTGTGTGTGTGAGAAGGGAGCAGGGAGAACCAAAGATCTGAGAAGAGTCTAGAAATATCTACATCACTTAAAGGAAGGCATACCTTCCAGTGAAGGAGCTGTCCTCCCATCCTCTGGGAAGCCAGGGACTAGGCGGTGAGGAAGGTAAGACACTATCCAGGGGGCAGACGGGCACTCAGGGAGTGCAACTGGGAGGCCGCCCCGGTCTGGGCGCTGGTTAAACTCACGTACAAACTTGATAGATTTCATTATTTGAATCATTTGTTCTGCAGTTCTGTGTATTTGTGGAGCTCCTACCAGGAAGCATGCCTGTTCAGGGCAGCCCTGGACAGACAATGGCTGGTGGGGAAGGCAGCGCCCCCAGGCTGACCCCCACCAACACCACCCCAAACACTCCCCAGCCATCAGCCTCAGCTTACCCTTCAGCACCTCCAGGGTCCATCCTGCAGGAAGGCACTCAGGAGCTCTTGCTTTTTTAAAGTGCTTATTGGGGCTTTGGACATATATTTCTCCCAACCCATGAGCCTGATGGTATTCCGTATTTGAAGAAACTGAGTGACAACAGGCTGATTGGCTACATGACTTCCTAGGATCTCAGGATGTTTGAGGGATGCACAGCCTACAAACTGAGAAGACATAAAATGAGGCTGGTCTGACCGTGCCCTTCTCACCCACCTTCCCTGGAGATGAATGAGCACTTCAGGAAGGCCCGCGTGCCGCCTCCGAGGAAGAATGAATAAACTTCTGTTCAGATAGGCCGAGTGCCCCTGCAGGGCAGCCCCTCCACGGTGGCAAGGACTCCTCCACGCATTACCCTAGAACCAATTCCATTTTGAAGAAAAAGAGACCACCTGAGGTGAAATTAAACAGCTGACTGAAAGGAGTCCTGAAATGGACAATATAAAAGGAAACACAACCACCCCAGACAGGGAGGAGCAGCTGCAGGAACTTAGGGGGCCAGACACAGTTGACTTATTGGCAGCTTGGCTCAAAACGTCACCATGAAAAGATCTATAATGGCCAATGTCTCATCTCATGCTTGCGTCTGTAAGCAAATTACATAACCTCCCTGTGCCTCAGTTTCCCCATTTGTAAAATTTGGATAAAACAGAATACCTACCCCACAGGGTTGTCATGCAGATTCAATGGGTTACTATCTATAGGAAGTGTTTAGAATCGTGCCTGGCACTTAGTAAATGCTAAATAAATATTATTTCCTGCAAGTTCTCCTTTAAACTGTGCAGACAACTCGGGACCCTCCAACACTTCTGATGGAAAAGCTGAGGTAACAGGCGTGCCCTGGACACTTGGGAAGAGACTGCTGGAAACTCTTCCAGTGTAGAAAGGCAACTTTCTAAACCAAATTGGGGAAGCTTGTTCTAAAGACAATACAGGAAACCTAAATTCCGGGCTCCCCGCCAAGCCCACAGTGCTTGGCCTCCCCAGGGAGGAGCCCCAGCCGCCCCCTTTGCCCCTGGAGTTCAGGTGGGTTCTGTGTCACTCTTTCCAGGGGACAAACTGAAGCTCTCCCCTCGCTCCCCTCAGACCCACCTCACAACAGCACCAGCTTTAAGAGGCCTGTAAACTATTTCAGTGTATTACAAAATCACAAACTCCCATGTAAAAGGCATGCTTCAGGCAGGGCATATGGCTCATGCCTGTAACCCCAGCACTTTGGGAGGCCAAGATGTGAAAATCACTTGAGCCTAAGAGTTCAAAACCAGCCTGGGCAAGATAGAGAGAACTTGTCCCTACAAAAAATTAAAAAATTAGCTGGGTGTGGTGGCATGTGCCTGTGGTCCCAGCTACTCAGGAGGCTGAAGCAACAGGATTGCTTGAGCCCAGGAGTTCAAGGCTGCAGTGAGCTATGATAATGCCATTGCACTCTAGCCTGGGCGACAGAGCAAGACCCTGTCTCCAAAAATAAATAAATATAATAATAAATAATAATAAAAATAAAAGGCATGTTTTGGACCTGGGAGCCAGTGGCTCACAACTGTAATCCAAGCAATTTGGGATGCCACTGCGTCCCAGCCCTGCTGACAGAGTGAGACCGCGACTCAAAAGTAAAAAAGGCATGTTTCGGGAGAAAAGGAAGCCGCCTGCAGATTGGTTTCCAGGGACAATTCCCCTTCCAGTCCTTGTTCCTTCAATCTTTGACTGCAATTTTCTTCCCGAACTCCCTGGGAGGACGGGGCATGGGTTGGGTTTCATGACTTTTCCTCCCAGGGTCAGCGGGAACAATATTGTGATTGATCTTGTGAACCCTGGGACGGAGATAAAGGCAAGCCGTGTGTCCGCACTCTCTGTTCACGTGGTTTAGAAGCCTGTCCTGCATCTCCAGTGCATGTGACCCAGAATGTCAGGCTTAGGCACAGCAGCAAGAGAGCCACACATGAATCCATTTTATATGATTGCACATATCTGGGGTTAGAGCAGACACAGGCAAAGAAGACTTTCATCAGATTAAATAAGCAGCCAGGATTTGAGGCAGGAATAAAGAAAGTGTTGATAGAAGGATGAAGGACTTCCCCGCAATACGAAAGTCAAGCTGGGAGATGAGGATAAGCACATTTTCTGATCGCCTCCTATCTGCTTGTGCGATCGCAAAACTGTTTTACATGAATTTACTTCCTGCTAATTAAAAGGACAAGAGTTCATAAGAAAGAATTTCTTCAAAGTCTTGATGAGCCTTTGACTATTTTCAATAACTTACATGTAGAAGAAAACATATCTAGGTCTGTGTGGGGGAGGAGAAGGAGGAAGCTATTACTGATCTTGGCTGAGCGGGCTCAGAAACTGCACCCATCAAAGCGACCCTGTTGCTGGGAGATGGAGCCTGCTGATGTCTCCCTCACCCCACCTGCGCCGAGGCCCCTGGGCCGCGAGGCAGGGTGTGAAGGTGAGAGGCAAACTGGCCATGGGAGGAGGGCCAAGTCCCCTGGCACACAGGATGGCCCCAGTCAACTTGGCAATTCACGCCACACTCTTCAGCTCTGTGAGGTCAACCTTAGCGAAGCAGCGCTTGGCTAGAACCATGGGGTCAGAACAAAAGGCCTGTGTTTGCCTTCCCTGGTTTTGTTTGCTCAGAAAGCCTGGGTGGAACCTGTGGATTTCTCTCTCCATGCTCCCGTCCAAGGCTCCTGCGCGTTTAATGCCCTGCGGGTTCACAAACAGCTGGTACCTTCTTTGTAAAGATGAGGAGCTGAAGATGAAATCCAGGCTAGTGTTTTCTTCGCTGTGTTTAGGAAACTGTGTGTAAGAAGTCGCAGAAATAACTCTCGCTTAGGACAAAAGCAAGTTTGAATGTAATTAACTGGGTCCAGATAATGATGGTGTTAACAATCTGGACAATTTTAGACAAAAAAAGGAAATGCTCCCACATTGGAGCTCTTTTTATACAAAATATACAATGCAAAGACAGTGCTGGCTCCGTGTGGGAGGAGGGGGTTTGTGTCTCACCCACAGGTGTGCTGGTCAGTGACCAGGGCCTCTGGAATCCATTCCTAGGAGGCAGGATGTCTCTGGCCTGGGTCCCACGTGGCAGTGACCCTGTGCTGAGGCTGTCGGCGGGCCGGGACTCCTCACAGGTCCTCATTATCTAGGAACCAGCTCACAAAACGACTCTTGCCAAAGAAACGAAGCCAAAAGTATGTGGTCATGGCCTGAGATTATGAGGAAAAGAGTCTGTTTCAAATTCTGCTGGCCCCCAAGCTTCATGGTACCTTGGAGCACAGAGATATGCTGGGACCTGGTTTGGTCTTGACTGGGTCGGGGCTAGGGGAGCCCACTCACTTCCACGTGCCTCAGCAGCCTTGTCCGTGAAATAAAGGTAAAACAAAGATAATTTACAGGCACTAAAATCTGCAGCACACTACACAGTATGATTTATTTTTTCTTTTCTACCTGGAGATAAATCCTTACCCATTTTTTAATTTCCAAGTAGAGGTTTCATAAATAAAAGGAGCCAGGGACAAGCCCATGAGTTTGGGGGTCATTAAAATGTGCATTATAATTTTCATAAATAATGATATATCTACTTCTATATAATATACAAATATAATTTTATGAATATAAATTATATTATAAATTATGCAATAGAAATATATACTTATAAATTATTATAAATTGTGCATCATAAATATATACTTACAAATCATTAAATAATATAATCATATATATTAGATATGCATATATATTGCACACACATTTCAGTCCATGTGTTAAATACTTACACTCCCAGCAACCTGTCATTACTCCCATTTTATAAATGAGAAAAACCAAGGGAGAGAGATTCAGGAAGTTGCCCCAAACCATCCAGACGCTCCCTGACCAGCCCTGCAGCGAGAATTGCTCCACAGAGTGCCCTTAGCATCCTCGGCTCCCGCTCCTCCCAGCTCATGGCACGCCCGCCCAACAACAGGTTTGAACGTGGATGAGAACAATGGGGCTTTGCGTGCCACACATCAGGAGGTCCCGTGGCACTGCACACAGCTCGCCACCAGCTCCTCCCTGTCCCCCACATGCTCCAAAGCCCACCCCCTGATGGCCTGAGACCCTCACTGTCCCCAGCTTACACCAACCTGAATCCCACCTTCTTATATTTCCCCGCACCATGACCCGCCCCGGGAATGCCCTCCCTTCTCTCTTCCACATATCTAAACCCCACTGGTCATCTCAGGCTGGGCTCACCTCGCCTCTTCCTCCAGCCCACATGGATCTCTCCTTTCCAGAGCCCCTGCTCTCTTGAGCTCAGCCCTGCACAGCCTGATTTCTCCCATAACTATGCCCTGAGTGTTCACTTCACTGTTCCCAAACAGACTTTCGATTCTTTGAAGGTAGTGACTGTGTCACATACCTTTTCTGTCATCTCAAAGACGCTAAGCCTGGTGCTGAGCACAGTCCCAGCTCCACACATTCTGACAAGTTGATAGAACTGATTGATGGGTTTCAATTAAGCAGTAGTGCCACCGGAAAAAAATGAAAGACAACTGGCGACATTTAGTAACAACGGCAGGAAGACTGGTTATTAGGGACCGCAGAAGTTTCATCAACTTTCAGCATATGCTTCTTTGTACAGAGCAACCTAATGAGTTTTCTCATAAAAGCATCTGGGTGCACATTCTGGATGGCTTGTCAAGGGATCAGTTGGAGACCTAATAAGAGGTGAGTTCATGTCCCATTATTATTTGCCAGTGACAGCAGTGGCCTGAGCCTCCAGGGCAGGAGGTGCATGAAGGATGCAGGCTCACCAACAGGCCCTGCCTGCCCCAGGTCTCCCAGCCCCGGGGCTCTTTCCCCATTCACAGTGGGGCTGGAAGAGAATGCTTTCTTACTTGTGTGTCAGTCATTCAGAATGTCGGAAAGGCGATGATGCTGAAGCTATAACAGCACCTAAGGACGTGCAAACTGTCATGGCCTAACAAGCCACACCATAGAGGGCAGCTCCAGCTTCCAGTGTCTTTGCTCTCTGTTATGTAATTAACTAGAAAAATGCCTCTGTGCTCATTTAAAATGCTAGAACCCCAAAAATGACCTGTGTTACTTCTCTTACCATTTGATGTGTGTGAGCATCCCTACACATTCGACTCTCAAGTGGTTTTACTCTATGAAACCTTGACCATGATATGTACAATACATTTCACTTTTATTCCACTGCAAATAATACCTCAACACCAAACTGAGGCATTAGATGCTGGTAACACAGCCATGCTTGGTCATGGGGCCTTCAAAGCTGATAATCCCTGTGTGGTAGGTGGATTCCAAAGTGGTCCCAATCCTCCACCCTTTCTAATGTGGCTATGCAGTTCCCCCCAGCAAGAAACGGAGTCAGCAGATGTCTTCACATTTGTCCAGATTCTGTTATTCTTTACATGATATATCTTTCTTGTTAAATTTACTCCTAATTACTGTGTAATTTTTACTGCTATTGTGAATACTTCCCATTTCACTGTGTAGGGTACTGCTATTGGGAATATATAGGAGATTTATTAACACATGTGCACACGCACACACAGCAAGTTTATTGACTTTTGTATGTCTATTGTATTCAGTCATCTTACCAAATTGTCACATAAATATTAGTCATTTTTACTAGTGTTTCTTGGATCTTCTGGGTATTTAATTATGTTATCAGAAAACATTTTTTGCCTTTTTTTTTTTAGATGGAGTCTCGCTCTGTCACCCAGGCTGGAGTGCAATGGTGCAATCTCAGCTCAACTGCAACCTCCACTTCCCAGGTTCTAGCAATTCTCTGCCTCGGCCTTCTGAGTAGCTGGGATTACAGGTGCCCACCATCACGCCCAGCTAATTTTTTGTATTTTCAGTAGAGACGGGGTTTCACCATCTTGGCCAGGCTGGTCTTGAACTCCTGACTTCATGTTCCACCTGCCTCGGCCTCCCAAAGTGCTGGGATTACAGGAGTGAACCACCACAATCGGCCTTTTGCCTATATTTATACCAATTGCTTAAATGTCTTAACATATTGCATTAGTTAGACCCTCTAAAATAGTGTCATTAAGTGGTGATAGTGGACAACCCTGCTTGTTCCTGCTTTTAGCTGAATTGGTTTTAGGATTCTATCATTTTGAATTTTATTTATAATAAAGCCTGAGTATACAAAAGTATTCATCAAGAGCAGAGGTCTGCAAATGCTGGTCCACGGGCCAAATCTACCACCTATTTTTGTTAACAAAGTTTCATTGGAACACAGCCATGCTCCTTCATTTATATATTATCTATGGCTGCTTTCTGCTACAATGGAAAAGTGTTGGTAGTTGTGACAGAGACCATATGACTTGTAAAATCTAAAATATCCAGCCCTTTGTAGGAAAAGCTTTCCAACAACCCCTGGTCAAGGGAGGTCATACTGTGGTAACAAACAACTCCAAAATCTCAGTGGCTTTACACATTTATTTCTCACTCCCTCAAAGCCAGCTGTGGTTCCGGACAAACCTCCAGGAAGTGATAGAAAGTAGGCTTTTCCATTCCACGGCACTGCAATCACAACAGAAAGCCTTCTGGGTCACCACGGTAGAGGAAGAGAGCGTATGGCATTCTCATACCCCAACTCCTCTGTGCTTTGGCACAGTAGTGACACAAGTCTTCCATTCCCAGCCCATTAACCAAAACAACTCACAGACTCCACCAAGAAAGCTGCAAGGGGACTGGGAAATATAACTGCCTGAATGCCTGGAAGAAAACAGAAAGCAGATATGGGTAAACATTATTAATATCCACCAAGCAGACCCTAGTACATCTCAGTAATTCTTTTGCATTCCTATTAAAATTTTTTATTTGGTTGTTAAAATTTCAGCATCTATTGATATGTTCCTATGGGTTTTCTTTACCAGAACTGTAAAGTAATAAATTATGTGCATAAATTTTCTGTGAGGGACTCATTCATGTGTTTCTGAAATAGTCTATTTAGTAGAAGTCATTATTTTTGATGACAGGTGAATTCTATATATGGATATTTTATTTTTGCAACTGTATTCATAAGTGAGATTAAGTAATTGAGCTATTATTTTACCTCATTTGTACTATCTTTGTGTTTTATGTTAGGGCAGGTCTCAATCCTGGTACTCATTAAAAGTCATTTGGGAAGCTATCACAAATACTGATGTCCAGGCCCAACTCCAGACCATTTGAGTCAGAATCTTTGGGTATGGAACCTATGCAGCAGTAACTTTTAAAACTATCTGGTGATTCTAACTGTGCAGAATATACTAAGGTTATATTGATTGACTCATATCAATATTACAGGATATGAGGATGTTAGAGGATATGAGCAATCAATATAATCTTAATATATTCTGCACAGAATCACCAGATAGTTTTATAAGAATATGCAACTGGGATCTATTCCAAGATGGCCGAATAGGAACAGCTCCAGTCTGCAGCTCCCAGCATGATCAAGGCAGGAGACGGGTGATTTCTGCATTTCCAGCTGAGGTACCTGGTTCATCTCCTTGGGACTGGTTGGACAGTGGGTGCAGCCCACGGAGGGTGAGCTGAAGCAGGGCGGAGCATTGCCTCACCCAGGAAGCGCAAGGGGTCGGGGTATTTCCCTTTCCTGGCCAAGGGAAGCTGTGACAGACTGTACCTGGAAAAACAGGACACTCTGCCCAAATACTGCACTTTTCCCAAGGTCTTAGCAACTAGCAGGCAAAGAGATGCTCTCCCTTGCCTGGCTTGGGGTTCCCACGCCCACGGAACCTTGCTCACTGCTAGTGCAGCAGTCTCAGATTGAACTATGAGGCAGCAGCCTGGCTGGGGGAGGGGCATCCACCATTGCTGGGGCTTGAGTAGGTAAACAAAGTGGCCGAGAAGCTTGAACTGGGCAGAGCCAATCCACAGCTCAGCAAGGCCTACTGCCTCTAGACTCCAGCTTTGTAGGCAAGGTTTAGCTGAAGAAAAGGCAGCAGACAACTTCTGCAGACTTAAATGTCCCTGTCTCACAGCTCTGAAGAGAGCAGTGATTCTCCCAAAACAGCATTTGAGCTCTGAGAACAGACAGACTGCCTACTCAAGTGGGTCCCTGAACCCCGTGTAGCCTAACTGGGAGACACCTCCCAGTAGGGGCCGACAGACACCTCATATAGGTGGGTGCCTGCCGAGACCAGCTTGGTCAAGGAGACCCTAACCCAGCGGCACTAGAGGAATTAAAGACACACACACCGAAATATAGAGGTGTGAAGTGGGAAATCAGGGGTCTCACAGCCTTCTGAAAGCCCCAAACAGAGATTTACCCATGTATTTATTAACAGCAAACCAGTCATTAGCATTGTTCCTATAGACATTAAATTAACTAAAAGTATCCCTTATGGGAAATGAAGGAATGGGCCGAATTAAAGGAATAAGTTGGGCTAGTTAACTGCAGCAGGAGCATGTCCTTAAGGCACAGATCACTCATGCTATTGTTTGTGGCTTAAGAATGCCTTTAAGCGGTTTTCTGCCCTGGGCAGGCCAGTTGTTCCTTGCTCTCATTCCCGTAAACCCAGAACCTTCCAGCTTGGGCAATAGGGCCATTATGGACATGTTACAGTACTGCAGAGATTTTGTTTATGGGCAGTTTTGGGGCCAGTTTATGGCCAGATTTTGGGGTCCTACTCCCAACAGGTGCCCCTCTGGGACAAAGCTTCCAGAGGAAGGATCAGGCAGCAGTATTTGCTGTTCTGTAATATTTGCTATTCTGCAGCCTCCGCTGGTGATACCCAGGCAAACAGGGTCTGGAGTAGACCTCCAGGAAACTCCAACAGACCTGGAGCTGAGGGACCTGACTGTTAGAAGGAAAACTAACAAACAGAAAGGAATAGCATCACCATCAACAAAAAGGACATCTACACCAAAACCCTATCTGTAGATCACCAACATCAAAGACCAAAGGTAGATAAAACCACAAAGATGGGGATAAACCAGAGAAGAAAAGCTGAAAATTCTAAAAATCAGAGTGCCTCTTCTCCTACAAAGGATTGCAGCTCCTCACCAGCAAAGGAACAAAGCTGGACGGAGAATGACTTTGAAGAGTTGACAGAAGTAGGCTTCAGAAGGTCGGTAATAACAAACTTCTCTGAGCTAAAGGAACATGTTTGAACCCTTTGCAAGGAAGCTAAAAACCTTGAGAAAAGGTTAGATGAATGGCTAACTAGAATAAACAGTGTACAGTAGACCTTAAATGAGCTGATGGAGCTGAAAACCATGGCATGAGAACTTCGTGATGCATGCATAAGCTTCAACGGCCAATTCAATCAAGTGGAAGAAAAGATATCAGTGATTGAAGGTCAAATTAATGAAATAAAGTGAGAAGACAAGGTTAGATTAAAAAAAGAGTAAAAAGAAATGAACAATGCCTCCAAGAAGTAGGGGACTATGTGAAACGACCAAATCTACCTTTTATTGGTGCACCTGAAAGTGATGGGGAGAATGAAACCAAGTTGGAAAACATTCTCCAGGATATTATCCAGAAGAATTTCCCCAACCTAGCAAGGCAGGCCAACATTCAAATTCAGGAAATGCAGAGAACACCACAAATATACTCCTCAAGAAAAGCAACCCCAAGACACATAATTGTCAGACTCACCAAGGTTGAAATGAAGGAAAAAATGTTAAGGGCAGCCAGAGAGAAAGATCAAGTTACCTACAAATGAAAGCCCATCAAACTAACAGTGGATCTCTCAACAGAAACCCTACAAGCCAGAAGAGAGTGGAGGCCAATATTCAACATTTTTAAAGAAAAAACTTTTCAACCCAGAATTTCATATCCAGCCAAACTGAGCTTCATAAGTGAAGAAGAAATAAAATCCTTTACAGGCAAGCAAATGCTGAGAGATTTTGTCACCACCAGGTCTGCCCTAAAAGAGCTCCTGAAGAGAGCACTAAACATGGCAAGAAACAACCAGTATCAGCCACTGCAAAAACATGCCAAATTGTAAAGACCATCGATGCTATGAAGAAACTGCATCAACTGACAGGTAAAATAACCAGCTAACATCATAATGACAGGATCAAATTCACATATAACAATATTAACCTTAAATGTAAATGGGCTAAATGCCCCAATTAAAAGACACAGACTGGCAAATTGGATAAAGAGTAAAGACCCATCAGTGTGTGGTATTCAGGAGACCCATCTCACGTGCAAAGACGCACATTGGCTCAAAATAAAGGGATGGAGGAAGATCTACCAAGCAAATGGAAAACAACAAAAAATCAGGGGTTGCAATCCTAGTGTCTGATAAAACAGACTTTAAATCAACAAAGATCAAAAGAGACAAAGAAGACCATTACATAATGGTAAAGGGATCAATTAAACAAGAAGAGCTAACTATCCTAAATATATATGCACCCAATACAGGAGCACCCAGATTCATAAAGCAAGTCCTTAGAGACCTACAAAGAGACTTAGACTCCCACACAATAATAATAGGAGACTTTAACACCCCACTGTCAATATTAGACAGATCAACGAGATAGAAGGTTAAGAAGGATATCCAGGAGTTGAACTCAGCTCTGCACCAAGCAGACCTAATAGACATCTACAGAACTCTCCACCAAAAATCAACAGAATATACATTCTTCTCAGCACCACATCACACTTATTCTAAAATTGACCACATAATTGGAAGTAAAGCACTCCTCAGCAAATGTAAAAGAATAGAAATCACAACAAACTGTCTCTCAGACCACAGTGCAATCAAATTAGAACTCAGGATTAAGAAACTCACTCAAAACTGCACAATTCCATGGAAATTGAATAACTTACTCCTGAATGACTACTGGGTAAAAAACGAAAGGAAGGCAGAAATAAAGATGTTCTTTGAAAGCAATGAGAACAAAGACACAATGTACCAGAATCTCTGGGACACATTTAAAGCAGTGTATAGAGGGAAACTCATAGCACTAAATGACAACAAGAGAAAGCAGGAAAGACCTAAAATTGACATCCCAACATCACAATTAAAAGAACTAGAGAAGCAAGCGCAAACAAATTCAAAAGCTAGCAGAAGGCAAGAAATAACTAAGATTAGAGCAGAACTGAAAGAGGTAGAGATACAAAAAACCCTTCAAAAAAATCAATGAATCCAGGAGCTGGTTTTTTGAAAAGATCAACAAAATTGATACACTACTAGCAAGACTAATAAAGAAGAAAAGAGAGAAGAATCAAATAGATGCAATAAAAAATGATAAAGGGAATATCACCATGGATCCCACAGAAATACAAGCCACCATCAGAGAATACTATAAACACCTCTACACAAATGAACTAGAAAATCTAGAAGAAATGGATAAATTCCTGGACATGTACACCCTCCCAAGACTAAACCAGGAAGAAGTTGAATCTCTGAATAGACCAATAATAGGCTTTGAAATTGAGGCAATACTTAAAAGCCTACCAACCAAAAAAAGTCCAGGACCAGATGGATTCACAGCTGAATTCTACCAGAGGTACAAAGAGCAGTTGGTATCATTCCTTCTGAAACTATTCCAATCAATAGAAAAAGAGGGAATCTTCCTTAACTCATTTTATGAGGCCAACAATATCCTGATACCAAAGCCTGGCAGAGACACAACAACAAAAAAGAGAATTTTAGACCAATATCCCTGATGAACATCGATGCAAAAATCCTCAATAAAATACTGGCAAACCGAATCCAGCAGCACATCAAAAAGCTTATCCACAATGATCAAGTTGGCTTCATCCCTGGGATGCAAGGCTGGTTCAATATACACAAATCAATAAACATAATCCATCACATAAAGAGAACCAACGACAAAAACCACATGATTATCTCAATAGATGCAGAAAAGGCCTTCAACAAAATTCAACAGCCCTTCATGCTAAAAACTCTCAATAAACTAGGTATTGATGGAACTTATCTCAAAATAATAAGAGCTATTTATGACAGACCCACAGCCAATGTCATACTGAATGGGCAAAAACTGGAAGCATTCCCTTTCAAAACTGGCACAAGACAAGGATGCCCTCTCTCACCACTCCTATTCAACATAGTGTTGAAAGTTCTGGCCAGGGCAATCAGGCAAGAGACAGAAATAAAGGGTATTCAATTAGCAAAAGAGGAAGTCAAATTGTCTCTGTTTGCAGATGACATGATTGTATATTTAGAAAACCCCATCATCTCAGCCCAAAATCTCCTTAAGCTGATAAGCAACTTCAGCAAATCTCAGGATACAAAATCAATGTGCAAAAATCACAAGCATTCTTATACACCATTAACAGACAAACAGAGAGCCAAATCATGAGTGAATTCCCATTCACAATTGCTACAAAGAGAATAAAATACCTAGGAATCCAACTTACAAGGGATGTGAAGGACCTCTTCAAGGAGAACTACAAACCACTGCTCAATGAAATAAAAGAGGACACAAACAAATGGAAGAACATTCCATGCTCATGGATAGGAAGAATCAATATTATGAAAATGGCCATACTGCCCAAGGTAATTTATACATTCAGTGCCATCCCCATCAAGCTACCAATGACTTTCTTCACAGAATTGGAAAAAAACTACTTTAAACTTCATATGGAACCAAAAAAGAGCCTGCATTGCCAAGACAATCCTAAGCCAAAAGAACAAAGCTGGAGGCATCATGCTACCTGACTTCAAACTATACTACAAGGCTACAGTAACCAAAACAGCATGGTACTGGTACCAAAAGAGAGATATAGACCAATGGACCAGAACAGAGCCCTCAGAAATAATACCACACATCTACAACCATCTGATCTTTGACAAACCTGACAAAAACAAGAAATGGGGAAAGGATTCCCTATTTAATAAATGGTGCTGGGAAAACTGGCTAGCCATATGTAGAAAGCTGAAACTGGATCCCTTCCTTACATCTTATACAAAAATTGGATAATTACAAAAATGGATAAAGACTTACATGTTAGACCTAAAACCATAAAAACCCTAGACGAAAACCTAGGCAATACCATTCAGGACATAGGTATGGGCAAGGACTTCATGACTAAAACACCAAAAGCAATGGCAACAAAAGCCAAAATTGACAAATGGGATCTAATTAAACTAAGGAGCTTCTTCACGGCAAAAGAAACTACCATCAGAGTGAACAGGCAACCTACAGAATGGGAGAAGATTTTTGCAATCTACCCATCTGACAAACAGCTAATATCCAGAATCTACAAAGAACTCCAACAAATTTACAAGAAAAAAACAAACAACCCTATCAAAAAGTGGGCAAAGGATATGAACAGACACTTCTCAAAAGAAGACATCTATGCAGCCAAAAGACACATGAAAAAATGCTCATCATCACTGGTCATCAGAGAAATGCAAATCAAAACCACAATGAGATACCATCTCACGCCAGTGAGAATGGCAATCATTAAAAAGTCAGGAAACAACAGATGCTGGAGAGGATGTTGAGAAGTAGGAATGCTTTTACACTGTTGGTGGGAGTGTAAACTAATTCAACCATTGCGGAAGACACTGTGGCGATCCCTGAAGGATCTAGAACTAGAAATTGCAATTGACCCAGCAATCCCTTTACTGGGTATATACCCAAAGGATTATAAATCATGCTACTATAAAGACACATGCCCACATATGTTTATTGCAGCACTATTCACAATAGCAAAGACTTGGAACCAACCCAAATGTCCATCAATGATAGACTGGATTAAGAAAATGTGGCACACATACACCATGGAATACTATGCAGCCATAAAAAAAGGATGAGTTAATGTCCTTTGCACGGACATGGATGAAACTGGAAACCATCATTCTCAGCAAACTATCACAAGGACAGAAAACCAAACACTGCATGTTCTCACTCATAGGTGGGAATTGAACAATGAGATCACTTGGACACAGGGCGGGGAACATCACACACCGGGGCCTGTTAGGGTTGGAGGGGTGGGGGAGGAATAGCATTAGGAGAAAAAGCTAATGTAAATGACGAGTTGATGGGTGCAGCAAACCAACATGGCCTACATATACCTATGTATCAAACCTGCATGTTGTGCACCTGTACCCTAGAACTTAAAGTATAATAAAACAAAAGAATATAAAATCATTATAGGCCTCAAATTACTTCACCATTTTTCATAAACAATGTCTGGCATTAAAATTAAAATAGTGATGCATACTAGAAAATAAGAAAACACCAAGAAAATCAACAAAATGGAAATGGACTCTATGTATTCCAGATAATTGAGATATAAGGCACAGAATTTAAAATAGCTGTCCTCATGTGCAAGTAGATAAAAAATAAAGTTTTAAGTTTTGTCAAGAACTGGAAACTATTTTTGAAAGAAAAGTCTAGAAATAAGAAAATGTAGCAATCAAAATTAAGATCTTACTGTATAGGTTTAACCACAAATTAGACATAGCTGAAGAGAAAAATGGTAAAATAGAAGCCTGACCAGAAGAAAATGTCCAGGAGTGAAGTCAAAAAGACAAATGAAGAATAATACAAAAAAGAGGGTAAGATACATAGGAGACACAATGAGAAGGTCTAATGTGTAAAAAATTGAAGACCCATTAAGGGATAAAATTATTTAGGTAAAAGCTGTATTATAAGAAATAATGGTGGAAATTTTTCCAAAACTAATTAAAAATATCAAGCCTCAAAATCCAGAAGACTTTCCAATCCCAAGCCAAATAAACATAAAAACAAAACAAATCAAAAAAGTCCCACACCTCCTTTGTATTAAAACTGCTGAAAACCAAAGACAAAGAGGCCATCTTTTAAAAGCCTGAGAATAATAGACAAATTCCTTAAAGGAGCAACAAATAAACTGACAGCTGACTATTCATAGAAACAGTGGAGCCCAAAGACAATGGAATGATATCTTTAAAGGGCTGAAAAAAAATAACTGAAAACCTAGAATTGTGTGCCCAACAAAATATCCTTCAAGAATGAAGGTGAAGTAATAACATTTCCAGATAAAATTTCTTTTAAAGAAAAGGCTGTGCCAACCACAGTTTAGGAAGCACAAGACTGCTCAAGGTTTTTCCAAGAACATCCTGTGGTGGGCAATAGGCTCTGCTAGTGGGCAGTCAGGGTTTCCAACTATCCATCCACCTGGAGTTCGAGGTAGAATGAAAACCTTTGGTCATCGTGAGGGGTGGGAGGAGTGACAGAAGAGGCCTCGAGACAGAGAGCCTGGGCTTCCTGCAAACATGGGCATGTGGCAGCTGAAGCATTTTAGTAAGAAAAATACAAGAAGTGTAATTATATTTATATTGGTGAAATGTCAAATATAAATTAGGAGTACTGAAAATTTGATCATGAGTCACTTGAATAAATTAGGGCTATTATTTTTCTCTCATGCCACATGAAATCCAGACAATTAGTATTAGTCCAGCAGCTCAAAAGTGTCAGGGCTGAGAATTCTGTAATTTTCTCAGTCTTTAGTTCACGGTTTTAAGAATAAACTTGAAGACATAAAGCCAATCAAATTCACCTTTCAATCTGGAGAAGAGGAAAGTAACACAAGGAGAAAGTAGTAGATGCCAAAATAGGAAAGTACAACTTCCCAGAAATTTCCAGCAGTCTTTCACTTCTGATTGTTCAGAAGAGTATCACATGACCTTCCCCCAACTACAAAGGATGCCAAGAAATGTAATTTTTTAGTAGGGCACAGTGCTACCCCAAACAAAAGCAGGGTTCCATCCGTGAAGAAGGAAAGAAGAATGGATCTTGGGTAAGGCAAGAGCAGTAGTGCTACCGCTCCAGGAAGGCCTATGACACATGAAATACCCTATTCCAACTTTGCATGTACAAATCCATTGTAATGTCTGCTTGGACTTCCAGAATACCTCTGTGCTGAGCAGTAAAAGTCTTAAAAATCACATTTTACTCTGGAATAAGCTGTATGGTGGTTTTGGTTGGTTTGTTTATTCTTGACAGATGACTCCATACTGAATTTGTGGAACATGGTTTCAACATCACAAGATTGTTTTATTCTTTATAGTCAATAAAAAGTGTTCTCTTAGAAGTCAAATAGCTTCATTAGAAAATGGTATGTTAAGAAATAAACATAAAACTATTTCCCAAAGACATAAAATCAGATTTTTTAATTGAAAGTGCCCTGAGGCCTCATTCCTTCCCACTGGGGAAAGTCCAGGACAACTACCTAATGATGCTAATGAACTCCACCTAGCCCCTCTCTCCCACACACACAACCTAATGAGAAGCAGACATTCCCAATGCTGCACCCCTCCAACTCCACCTCCAAGTTTGTTCTCCCTTCTAATGTAGACAGCTTCTGGCAGAATGAGCCGCTTTTGGAGAATGGTAGTAATTTCCATCTTCCTGGTAGATCATGCCAAAGGGAGACACCGTCCTTCTCCTCCCAGATGCTGGCCTTAGGACCAGATTTCCTTACCTGGAAACTTAACAGCCTCTGTCCACCTGCAGCCTGCCAAGGTGTTGTAGTAGGTGAGAATGTGGGCTTTGAGGACAGAGACCGAGGCTCCAATCCCAGCGCAGCTTCTGCTAAACAGCCATGTACAGCAAACAGGAAAGTATGCATCTTAACAGCCCCCTATAAAACATATGCCTTTTGTGGTCTCCATACTTATGGCCCTGGGACAACAGAGGGAAGGTACTTAGCCCCTTCACAGGACAAGAGGGCTGAAAAACAGGCTTAGATATTGAAACAATTGTAATTTTCTTCAGCTTCTAAAGAACCAAAGTCAGAGACTTTAATTCCATGCCACTCCTCGATGGTCATTATGACTAGAAGAGGAATTAATTAGGGAGGAGAGGGCTATACCACAGACTGCACCAGGGAGCTGGACTGGGAAATGAGGGGACCCAGGGTGACTGGACTCCAGGCAGCAGACCCAGGAGGGGAGAAGTCTATAGAGTTGGGGAAATGGACACCAGGCACGAAGGTCTCCCGATGTCGGTGTAGACTGGGCCTGCCCACAGGAATGCAGGAAGCAGCAGGCACCCCAAAGCCCAGCTCATCATGGCTCCACCCTGTGCAAAACCACTCCCTGAGGCCCCACCCGCTTCAGTCCCATTCTATGCAAAATCCTTCCCTGAGGCCACCCACACACATGAGGGGGTGACAGGGAGCCTCAGAGCTGGATGAGAACCAGAGACCCCCCAATCCCACAGCCACTGAGTCACCTGACACACACACTCCATGAGAACAGAGCAGGTGATTAAGGAGGAAGTTAAAACAATGAACGGTTATTAAAAATAAAAACACAGCATTCCCTGAAGGGATTTTTTTTAATTATTGGATTAAGACTAAATTTCATATCAAACAGAACTAAAAATGATTTTCCTCTCATCCTCTACCTAGCAGGTGAGAAATATCACTTTATCCATGAAACAAAGAAATAACATTTTCTCAGTCATGTGAGCTATGATTTAAGTCTGGAATCACCCCACGCCGCCTGTGTAACCCACAATATAGAGCACCAGTGTGTCAGTTTCCAATTGCTGCCATAACAAATTACCACGAATGTAGTGACTTACACAGCACAAATTCATTCTTGCAAGTCTAGAGGTCAGAAGTCAAATGGGTCTCACTGGTTAAAATCAAGGTGTCAGCAGGGCGGTACGCCTTCTAGAGGCTCTACAAGAGAATCTATTTTATGTCTTTTCCAGCTTCCTGAGGCCACCACATTCCTTGGCTTCTAAGCCCTTATTCAAGCCCTTTCCTCCATCTTCAAAGCCAGCAGCATCTGGCTGAGGCCTTTTCATGCTGCCATCTCTTTGGTTCTCACCTTTCCAGCCATAGAAACTCTTATGATTACATTGGACCCACCAGGATAACCCAGAATAATCTCCCTACCTGAAAGTCATTGGATTAGCAACCTTAATTATATGGGCAACCTTAATTCCCCTTTGCTGTGTAATCTAACGTATTCACAGGTTCCGGGGATTAGGGTGTGGATATCTTTGGGGGCCCCTTGTTCTGCCAACCATACCTGGTAAACCTTTTTCCTCTGTGGAAAGGGGAGATATGGGCCTGTTGGAGGGATTGCAGGAGCCAATGTAAGTAAACTGACAGCCACAGAGTAGGCGTTCATTCGTTTGTGGGTGATTCCCCCCTTGATCAAGCTCTGGGTCTGAGGCCTGCTCTAATCCATGGCCTGGCCCCTTGGTCTAACCCCATGGCTGTCACCTGGCCCAGACCAAGTGACATTTTCACCAAGTGCAATGGAGACACTCAGGAATTATGATTTTTGTCAAAGATAACCATCTTCTTCATCCTTAGCTCTTAGGTAGGGTGGTATGTTGAATGCACAGGCATGGTGTATGTGAATTTAGATCCATTCCAAACAGATGTTTGCAATACCAGAGGAACACGCCTGCCTGCCTGCCTGCCTGAGAGCACACGCGTTAAAGCTAAACTGAGTTCAAAAGCATTCAAGTTAATGAGATGGCCCTCATTAGAGTTCCAAAACAGTAAACTCAAAGACAATTGTGTCTTAACATTTTCAGCAATAAAAAAGTTAGGACTTTTTTGCTTTTTAAATTACTGTTTTTTTAAGCCCTTATTCAAGCTTGCTTTCCCCTCAGTCAGAGCTTCCAGTTGACAATGGGTGGACAAGATAGGCTATTTACATGTTAACATGTTGGGGGTGTGGTAAGAGAGATGTACATAGAACCCAGAATTTAATCATGAAATCAAAAAGTTATTCAACATTTGAGGGAAGGATCAGGTAAAGAAAAACACATAATGCCTTCTGTAATTATAAGACATTATAAAAAATTAATGCTTTCAACAAAGTAAGTCACACAGATGAAAGTTAGTAATGAAATTAAAGGTATTATTCTACTATATATTTTCATCAAAGATACCACAAAAGCTTACCCACATTATCACTGTAATTAGCCTAATTTTCTACTGGAAAAACAAACTCTTATATCTTCTAAGGGAGAGTGGAGAAGTTTTATATCTATCCTTAGAATCAAAAAGAAAGCTTCCTTCAGCCTGCAATTACAGTTTGCACTAAAAACTTAATAGTTTGATTTTGTTTGAGATGTGGGTTTTTGAAAGGAATTGGTTTATACTGTCTGTACTAAATGTCTATCAGTACAGACAGTGTAAACCAACTTGGGTTTTCCATCGTGCAGAAAGCCTCAAGACACAAGACCACACTGCCACCTCGTGGCAGGATCAGATTTTACAACAGTTGAATTTAATGGTTCACCAGCCTTCAAGTTACTATTCAGAATCACCAGCCTTCAAGTTACTATTCAGAATGTGAAAAGCGTGTGTTCTAGGTGGTTATAGTTTAGCACTAAGAAAAACAAGAGTCCGGGGACAGGTTGTTGGAGGTGCTGAATTAAAACAATTTTTTGGAGTGCTAAATCTTCCCATGGCTTCCTAGGAAAGGCGCTAGCCCAATTCCTTCTGCACCATCTAAAATTCAATGAGAAAGGGGCCCCTGGAGTGGAGTGACACCGGTTCCTCCAAGGACCCTCTGTTGTGTACATTAAAATTCAGCAGTGCCATTTAGCAAAAATTAAATCAGTAAGGCTTTGGAGGTTAGGAAACCAAATACACTTATTTACCTAGTTTTAGAAACCAAAAAGAAAAAAGCTCCAAGTATAGGAAATGCTTGAATCTGATGAAATGCTTGGGATCCCCATCCCAAACACGCCACAATTGTTAAAATATTGGGGTTGATGTTACGGAAAATTCCCTAAGAAAAATGATTTAGGACAATAGCCACCAGTTTACAGACAAAAACAGAAGGATGGCAAGCTGCACGTTCAGGGTGATGGGGGAATTAGAGGTGTGGCTCTCCAAGGCTCCTGAAATGTCCACCGTGTGGTCATTCTTGGAGGACGGAAGCTTTGTGATCCTAAAATAATTAAATAAGGTGATTCCTATTTTTAAAGCAACAGAATTTGCATATAACCATAATTGTTGTATAATCTTGACCCAGTTATCCAAATTAAGGCCCCAGATATCTTCCTAATCTGATGATGAAGTAGTCAAGCACCACGTCGCTTTCCCCAGAGCCCCTTCTCTAAATACAAGGACATGGCAGGGTGGCTTCCTCCATCGCCCCCGCTGAGAGAGCAGGACCCGCAAGTGCCTCAGACTCATTCCTGCAGAACCAAGCCCGGCTTGCTGGTCTCTGCGGCGGCACCAGCCCTGCTCCACGTTCTTCCCAAGCGGAGGCCTGAGATATTTCCACCAACTCCTCAGAGGGTGAGAAAGAAGTTTCGAGGGTTTCCCTTCAGGAGAACCACCAGCTTTTCATGATCCACTCTTCAGACCCACACCCGCAACCAAGGCTGGCCATGAACTCTGGTGGCTGAGCTGAGAGGGTGTCACCTGAGGGAAGGATCCTGCATCGTCACCTTTCTCTTGTGCTTGAGAGAGGGCCTGGACACAGACAAGTCCCCTTGAAGCTAAAGGAACCTCCCAGGCTCTGCAACTACCATCTCCCCCCGTGGGAAAACACCAAATTCCACAAAGCCACAGGCCAATCCTCTCCCCTCCCACTCCCTGGGCCCGGGGAGAGGAAGTCCCACCTTTCCCAAGGGTCAAGGCTTGCCTGCTTTCCAAATGGCCACTTCCAGGATGGCTTTCCAGAAAAGTCTCCATGCAGGCACACCTATATGTTTCCAGAAAAGTCTCAACGCAGTCCCTGCAGTCTAAGGCCAGCATCGGCCCATCTCCCAAAGTCAGTGTGGTGTGGCTTAACACACCGGCTCACCCTAAATGTGCACTGAAGGGGCCCTGAACTACAATGAAGGGGACGCCCCGAGCCAGCAAACCCCGAGGGGCTGGGCGTGCCAGGCAGCTGTGGAGCCGGTGGAAGCAGTGAAGTTGGCAGCACTGGCATCGAATGCCAGCCAGGGAACCAAGAAAAGGCCACTCTTAGTAAGAAAGTGGTGACTTCGTGAGTGGAAGAGTTGAGGTAAGAAGTTATGGCCATAGAGGATATTTCTGCAACTCGGATGAAAGGATCGCTGTGATTGGAAAGCAGTTATCTGCAGCCGAGATTTCAGAGATGTTTCTGCCCAGTGGTGACAAAAACTCTCCCTCAGGACAGTGAATGACAGGTGTGTGAAGAAAGTGCCCTGGAAGGGGGAGGTCAACAAACAGCAACCCGCCCAGCGATGACCCCCGAGAGCGTGGCGGGCAGGGGAGGGTGCAGGCTGGAAGAGGGAAGGAGCGAGGTGGGCTGAGGGCGGCGCGAGCTGGAAACAAGCCTGGGCTGTTGCAAGAGGGAGGAAAGAAAACCTCAGAACAGGCGTGAAAACGAGGAAGGAAACCAGCCCCTCCTCCCAGCGTGGAAGGGTCTTCTCCATTCCAGACCACAGCAGGGCCCCCAGGAGACATCTCAGCTTCTGTTGGAGCCTGGCGGCAAAAGGCTGTCCCTAGAAGATGAAGAGCGAGGAGGTTTGTGGATCCCATATGGGAAGTCTGGAGCTCTGCGCAGAAATGAAGATGAGGAGAAGCAGGCGGGGTAGGTTTCAGTTGAGGCAGGGCTTTCAGATTTTTCTTTTAACCACAATCCGTAGTAAGAGCCCATTTTATATGGCTACCCCGTGTGCATGCACAATTGTGCGTTTTCTCTCTCTCCTTTCAAAAAAGACTTACTGAGCACCTAACTGTATGCCAGGCCGTTAACAGGCACTGGGGAGGCAGCAGTGAACAAAACGTCTGAAAGCGCTGCTCTTAGGGAGCTTGCGTTCTGGTGGAGGAGCAGACCGCAAGAGAAATGAAGACAGGTATGGCACATTCCATGGGGGTGAGGGGAGCCCGAGCGAGGGGCCAGAGTGTGAAGGGACGGTGCCATTGTTCAGTTGGAGAGACCCAGGAAGGCCTCACGGAGAAGGTGACCTAAGTGAAGGCTGGGAGAGCTGAGGAGTGAGCCCCGCGGACACACAGAGGACAGCACTGGGGCAGAGGCCACAGCGGGTATAGGCTCCGGGACTGGAATGTGCGAATGCTCCGTGAATATCCAGAGACCAGCGTGACGGCAGAACGACGTGGGGCGAGTGGAGGGAGAAGGAATGGGGCTAGAGGGGGAAGCGGGGTCAGGGCAGGGACGCTGGAGCCCTGCGGGCCAGTGCCAGCTCCCCACTCTTACTCACGGTGAAGGGGGACGGCTTGGAGAGTCTGAGCACAGGAAAACACCCCTCCGACCTGTGTTTAACAGGACCGCTCTGGTTCCTGCTCTAAGACAGGCTGAGGGGACACGGGGGCGCCTGGGAGACCTGCTGAGACTGTCGAGGAAATGAAGGAAATAGAGGGGACAAAACATGGAAGTGGCAAGAAGCAGCTGGGTTCTGGGTGTGTTTTGAAAGTAGAGCCAGCAGCAGCGTTGACAAGACGGGCTGTGCTGTGGCATGGGAAGGAAGGGAATGCTCCAAGCAAGGATGACTCCGAGGTTTGAGTGAAGGAAAGAATGCGGATGGGGGAGGCCTGCATGGAGCAAGCCTGGGTGTGAGGGAGACTGGATTCAGTTCTGGACATATTAAGTCCGAGGTATCGGACACATGGCCAAAGTCGTTGGGGATGTAAGTCTATAATTCGAGGACATATCTGGGCTGGGAGCAGGGAAGAGGGGCGAGGGGACAGATGGAAAGCCGGCGCTCTGTGGTTACGAAGAAAGAGAGCCCGGGAGAGCCGAGAGTCACCCTCACCGATCTGTGATAGGGAAGGGTCACAAGTTCCCACCCGCGACTCAGGAAGTACCCCTGATTTGGGGAGCACCGGCCCTGCCCTAGGGGGAGTGCGATGGTGGGGGTGAGGGGACGCTGGAGCAGGAACAGGATGCGGGCGCTGCGGAGACCCAGAGGACCAGAAGCACCAGTGAAATCCAAATCTTTCAGACAAGCGCAGTGTCGATAACAAACTTTGAACTGAATATGAAAAAGAGCCTGAACTAACCTGAAAGGGGCTGAAGGGGACGATAAGACCAAAGGAAACGGAGATCCGTTGAAAGGCTAAGGTTTCATTGGCTCTGACTGGGTCTCTCCGTGGTCTCTGAAGCACTGGGATGTACTGACTGGCTCGGATACAGACCTTCTACTTTCCCAGTTGCCAGAGACCTGGCCCAGGCTGAAGAGCACCGACTGAGGGAGTGGGGGAAATGATGCCCCGGAACATGTTCACATCCTAACCCCCAGAATCCCTGAATATGTAACCTTCCATGAAGGGACTTTGGCTGTGATTAAGTGAAGGCTCTTGAGATGGAGAGATGGCCCTGGATCAGCCAGGTGGGCCCAGTGTCATCGCAGGGGTACCTGTAACAGGAAGGCAGGAGGGTCACAGAAGGAGAAGAGATGGTGGAAGCAGAGGTTGGTGTCATGTGACCGCAGGAGGGGCCACACAAGCCAAGGAATGTGGGTGGCCCCTCGATGATGGAAAAGGCCAGGAATGGAGTCTGCCCTGGAGCCCAGCTGATATTTTAATTTAGATAAAGGAGAGGGACTTTAGGATAAATTTGTGTTGGTTTTTGTCACTAAATTTGTGGTAACCTTGTACAGTCACAACAGACAACTACAGTAGTCCCCCCGCTTATACTCAGGGGATACATTCCAAGACCCCCAGTGGATGCCTGAAACCAGAGGTACTACCAAACCCTGTATACACATTTTTCCTATTCATACATACTTATGAATAGGAAATTTATACATAAACATAAAGTTTAATGTATAAATTAGGGACAATAAGATCAACAATAACTAATAAAAGAGAACAATTATAACAATATACTGTAATACCAGTTATGTGAAGGTGCATGCTCACACTCTTTCTCAAAATATCTCACTGTACTGTACATATGCTGCTCAACCTACAATGGCTTATGTCCCAATAAACCCATCACACATTAAAATACTGCATATCAAAAATACACTTAATACACCTCATCTACCAAACATCATGGCTTAGCCTGGCCTACCCGAAACGTGCTCAGAACACTTACATTAGCCTACAGTTGAGCAAAGTCCTCTAACACAAAGCCCACTTCATTATGAAGTGTCAAATGTCTCGTGTAATTTACTGAATGCTGTGCTGTAGTGGAAAACAATGTTGAATGGTACTGGAAGTATGGGTTTTCCTGAGTGCAGATCACCTTTGCATCACCTTACAGTCAAATCCCAAGTTAAAGTGTCATAAGCCGCGGTCATCTGCATCAGCCTTCTTCTGGTGAAGATGTGAGAGGAGCAGGCCTACGACAGGAAGTGAGGTGATGCAGCATGAGGCTGCTGTTGACCCTCTGATGACAGATCGGAGGATCACTCACTCCAGGTAATCCTGGATCATCGAGCCATGACGATGCTGATGGTTGGGTGTCAGGAGCAGACCATGTCAACGACTCAGGTGGGGAGCATCCAGCATGATTCCACTGGAGAAAGGAAGGATTCAGGTCCCCAGTGGGACGCAGTGGGAAGGCATGAGATTTCATCATGTTACTCAGAAAGGCATGCAATTTAAAGCTTATAATTTCTGGAATTTTCCACTTAATATTTTCAGATAACAGTTGACCACAGATAACAGAAACCACAGGAAGTGAAACCACAGATAAGGGGGTGGGGGGGGGACTGCTGTAATACCACTGCCCAGAAGGAAATCAGAATATAATACAAAAAAATGAAGTCCAGTTGCAAAAACAAACATCTAGATCCATCTTTTCTTGCTTGGTTCTCCACTTAAGCACAGCTTGCTGTTCTCCTTTTTATTCTGCCCACCCTGACTGTCCTAACCCATTCATGACTTGCTCTAGAGAGGGGAGTCAAGCCAGGCAGGGGAACAGCTGTCCTTGTAGCCTGGTGAGAAAACATTCATAAGCAGGTAGCATTCCTGCAATTCCTTACTACCTCTTGTGGACAGTCACTTACATACCGCTAATACATATTCCTCACATTTTAGAATGGTTTCCACATTGCTGGGGTCTCCCCCTAGCAAATCAATGGAATACAATCCCTGTTAACTCCAAATTGTTTCCCAAAATAAGGCAACTGGCATTGTTAGAAATCTAGATCAGTTGTGTCTGAGCAAATGAGAAGAGTGAAATTAGGCTGCTTTTGACACCATGTTCCTTTTACCTGTTCTAATGTGCAGAAAGGAAGTCTCATCAAAAAATGGAAAAGAAGAAAGGAATATGCAGGTCCCCAGGTGTCACAGTTCTGTGCAAGCACACTTGAAAATCACCTATATAAAAAGAAACTTCAAATTTTATCATAATGCCTGAGAGTCTATTTGAAAATGTAAAAATTAGCACTATTTTTACATTAAAAAGCTCCAAATATCCACAGATGTTCTGATTTATCCAAATAAAATTAATGTTTTGCCTGGTGATAGCTGAACACTACAGGAGTAAATTCTGCTCCATTTCTCCATGGCACAGAGCCACCTCCACAGCATACACTTCTCTAGGCAGACGAGGCGGAGAGCAGCTCCCAACTTACCTCCCAGAGGCTTTCCCACCATAACACAAGAAGACACTCTCCTGGGGTCTTTCTGACCTATCCCATAGAAATTAGGTGTGCTTACAATGGATCTTGCAAAAATCAAATAAAAATATGAACAGGACAGCACAGTATTTAGCTTCATGAGACTTGGTATCCTACCTGTATGAGCTTAAACAACGCACTTGGCATTTCAGCACTTCAGACTATTAATTTTTCAAAAAGAATGGTAATGATTATATTGTAGAGAGAATCAGTGTCAATAATGATGGCTAGCACTCATATGGTGTTAACTTTGTGCCAGTAATTATTTTCAACACTCTAGGTATATTTAATCGAATAACAACCTTATGAGGTGTGTATCAGTACACTTTCTTAAATCCCCTTTTTACAGATGCAGAACCTGAGACAGCAACGTTGAAAGCATGCCCAAGATTACAAGGCAAAGCCAGAATTCAAAGCCAGGCCATCTGATTCAAGTCTTCACCTCAGCGTGAGTCCTCCTCTTTCCCAGCCCTCAGCTGGGTCTTCATTCACAAATGAGGGGCAGGGGAACCTCATGTGCCAGTGGACATGATACCCTGAGGAGGACATGGTGCCACTTCTGTAGCAATCAGGCTAAGAATCTATTACTTGAGTCTACTGAGGAAACATCAAAGAAAGCCCAAAGGAGGAGGCAGGGACTGCATTCTTCAAAACATCAATGTAATAAAAGACAAAGAAAGGCTGAGGAACTATTTCAGATTCAAGGAAACTAAAGAGATTTGACAACTAAATACAACATGTGACCCCAGACCAACCCTTGTACTGGAGGGGGAAATATGCCATAAATGACATTATTTAGTCAATTTGGATACGGACAGTAGATTTGGGGGAAAAAACTGTATCAATGTTCAATTTGCTGAAGTTCACAACTGTACTGTGGTCATGTAAGGGAACCTTACCTTAGGAAATACACACTGACATAGTTAGGGATAATATATGCATGTCTTTGATTGATGGAGACAGGGTGTCATTGTTGCCCGGCTGGAGTGCCGTGGTGCAATCTTAATTCAAACTCCTGGGCTCAGCAATTTTCCCACCTCAGCCTCCCCAGTAGCATGCAATATGATATATGCAACTTACTCTTGGATGGTTTTGAGAAAATGTGGGTATATGTGTGTATAGGTATATATGCACATGTGAATGTGTACATGTGTGTACATGTATACATGTACATGAATGCATGCATATGTATATATGAACATGCATGTATGCACATATAATGTATATGTACTTATAATGTGGAGGGGGCAAGGAGGAAGCATCAACAATAAAGCAGTGAGGCAGAATGGGTGTCTACTATTCTTACACCTTTTCTTACAACAATTTCAAAAATTATTTCCAGGTAAAAAATGAATTTTAATTTTGTTAAATCAATTAACCATGTTGATTTTTATTTATTAGTATAAATTAATATTTATACTAATTGTATACATATATATAAAATCTCTGCTATGCTCCTAGGCATTAAAAAGGCTGTTAAAAAGTTATCTCTGGGAAGTGAGATATTGGAACTTTTTTCTACTATATACTTTTCTATCATTTCCAAACCTCTATAATCCACTAGTGTTACCTTCATACGCAGAAAAAAAGAACCAACAAAGAAATGCATCATTCTTAACACTCACAGGTTGCTCACCTACAAGAATGCCTCCACCCTTACAGTATTTTTACATTTTCTAACTCAAGAGTATTCATTACCATTAAGCTTTAAAATTTACCATTAAATTTAAAAAATTTTAATTATCCCAATATCATGTTCAATATGATTGAAGAACAGAGTAAAAACGTAATTTTTAAAATATCTTGCAGTCTTCACCACAACCTTACAAAGTTACAAAAGAGGAGTGTAAAAATCAGACGGTGTCCTTGATGAGGAGGCTACGCCTCAAAGAGGTTCCATAGTTGTTCCAGGGTTCGTCTCTAGCCAATGGCAGAGTTGAGATCCAAATTCAAGTCTGTCTATCCTCCAAAACCCACACTGTTTGTCCTGCTGCCCCTCTACCAGCATTCAATAAAAGGCTGTTGCCTAACACAGATAATGCCTGCAGCTGCGGACCTGGTTAATGACTTCAAAAATAAAACTTCAAGCCAAATACCCATTGTCCAGATATATTAATTTTTAACCCAAATAATCAGACAGCTTCCCAATTTTCCACTTCATATGGACATATACGATAACTGCTACCATTTCTTGAGCATCTGCTTTGTGCCAAGTTCTGATCTAAGAGCTGTACTTCTTTAATCCCCTCCACATCCAATGAACAGGCATAGTTATTACCCTGTTTACAGAGGAAGCTGGGACAAGAGAGAAATAAAACTGCCCAAGGTCACAACTAGTAAACTGACAGAGCCGGAATTATAACCCACAATCCCATTTCAGCATCCAGACTCATACCACTTTGAAATGCTTTCCTGCCAAGGTTCTCTCATGCTTAATATTTGGAACTATAACGCTAAAGGCCATTGACGTAGCTAAAAATCTAGGTTAACTTGCTGACAGGTGGGCTATGAAGAGCCTGAATTTCAAAAAGCTTGTATTCTGAAACCATATTGCAGCCACATGCCAACTTCTAGCCACTAGTACGGTGTATTAGGTAATTAAGTTTTAGGCATATTATTCTTTGATGTTGAGATTTTCAAAACCAGAAAAAAAAAATTATTTTATACTCTCAAAAGTGACTGAGACCAAAGTAAGTTCTCGTTTTTATTGAATTAAACATCATTAGATCAATTTCACCGTCATTCCCACCCCCTTTTTTCCCTAAAGGCAGCATGGTATGATGAAGGGCCCAGACTTGTCCAAGACCGTTAAGTTTGGACAGTGAATTTCTCCAAGTGCTTCTCATCTGTGTTTTTCAAAAGTCTGAAAGGTGGCCGGGCGCGGTGGCTCATGCCTGTAATTCCAGCACTTTGGGAGGCAGAGGCAGGAGGTTCATGAGGTCAGGAGATAGAGACCGTCCTGGCTAACATGGTGAAATCCCGTCTCTAGTAAAAATACAAAAAATTAGCCAGGCGTGGTGGCGGGCGCCTGTAATCCCAGATACTCGGGAGGCTGAGGAAGGAGAATGGCGTGAACCCGGGAGGCGGAGCTTGCAGTGAGCGGAGATGGCGCCACTGCACTCTAGCCTGGGCGACAGAGCGAGACTCCGTCTTAAAAATAAATAAATAATAAATCTGAAAGGTTATTCTGAGAATAAAATATATGTAAAGTACTTGACATATAATAGGTACTCTACAGTTACTGCTCTTCAAACTTTAGCCTATTTCAGTTTACAATGTTTTGGACATTCTGGGCCCAATTATCTGTTGACCAGGTACAAGTGCTTAACTAGTTTTGCCTCCTGACAACAGGATCCAGCCCATATCCCAATATTTCAATCTGGTATAATCTTACCCTACACCCCCCACTCCAACCTGTACCCAATATAGAAGTACTCAGTATTTATAATACATGATTAGTGTCTAAATCAGGGGTCACAAATTCAGCTGAATACACTGATCATGCAGGTAACAAGTAAAACGGAGTATAAAACAAGTGATGGGAATTACAGGGGAAACTGCTACTTGGCTCCAGAAAATTGTTGCCATGTGGTAATGCAAGACCTTTGTTCCAAATCTTGAATTTTCAAAAAAAATGCCAGACTTTGTGCCATTTCTCCATTTACACACACACACACACACACACACACACACTCTGCAGCGCATGCAGAAACAGTGTGGATGTGCAAGCAGCCTGAAGATTCCACATATGTGCTTAAAGCACCTCATCTCTCTTCCCCTAGACTCGTTTTCCTTCTAAAATTATGTGTTACTATGTACAGTCACATGTAGCAAGTGGCTTTTAGGGCAACATTTGTCTCAACAACTGTCTTCTGGCCAGACTTGATGTCTGAGTCCTAGAACAAACCACAAGAGATTCAGGAAAGAGCTGAGATTTTCAGTGATGTCAACTACATCTGTGCCAGACCGATCAACAGACTCTGTGCTAACATCAGGCAGTGGCAGCATTGCTGCAATCATCAATAGGCTTCAGCAGCCTTTGCTAGAGACTGGTGTGCTAATTTCAGTTCTAGCCCTGGCAGCAACGGAAAGTCACTACAATGGGTCCAAGCTGCTACTCAAAGGAGAAAACAATATATTAGTACATGAAACGCATGAGAAACCCCAAGGGAATTAGGTGGAAGTTTGGGGGTGTAAAAAATGTTAGGTGAAGGTAAAGCTAGACAAATAATCATCTAAGATACACAGCTACGTGGCATTTTAAAACATGCAAAATACACTATAAAACTGATTATATAATTACATACACAGGCAGCAAAACATTGAAACAAAAGAAGGACAAAAATTTCAGGTTCGTGGTTTGACAGACGAAAATGTGGACAGGGAAGGGCATAAAGGTGGCTTTAATCATATCTAGGCTCTAAACCAAATACGGAAAAATAATGTGTCAAAGCTGGGGAAACTTCGTAAGGAAAAAAATCAAAGCAAAGGGAAAAGGAAACACTATTCTAAAGCCACCTCATCTCCATACTACTGTGGTATGGGAAACACGTTATGAAAATGTAAAACTTCATTTGCTATTGGTATCTCCAAAGTACTGTCTTGGAGTTAGACATCAAAGTATTGGATGGAAATAACTATTTACATATTTAAGCAGTTTAAACATTATTTGCTGAAAACATTTGCACTACTTCCTCAAATGCATAGATGTGACAGGCTTGTTAACTACTCAATGCAAATACTATTGTAGCTGTTATCTCCCCCCATCACCTTGTGATGCAAATGTTATAACAATGAACACAAATTTCTACCACCTTAAAGTTCACATCGGGAACCTTTAAGTACATATGCCAATATACTCCTCTCCCTGAAATACCCGTTCTACTCACCACCTATCTTAGAAAGGAACCACTTGGTCCAATTCAAAATTAAGGCTCTTAAGGCATTTCCTTCATTGCAGAATGTATAATCTCCATAATTTCTTAAAACATGCATAGGGAAACTCCTCCAGCTGAGGGATTCTATGGGAGTCCCAGTGTACAAGAACATGTCTCCCTTGCAGAGATAATTTACTTGATTAAACATTTAACTTTTAAAAGAAAATCTTAATATCCCAATAACTTCATAAAATTTGCTCAATGGCAAAGTACACAAAAGCACCCAAAGAAATACTTTGCAAAACTTTATTTTGATTCTCGTTTGTATTTGTTTTCATGTGAAATATATCCTTAAATTTAATTCAAAGTAGCTTAATACCCTCATATATTTATCTACATATTATATACAATTAAGGATATACATTTTGAATTAAAACAGCACAAAAAAGAAAGTTTGCTCCCCACAACTGTAATTCCTAACAAACCTCTATTTGAAACAAGAATAGGAATTCTTATTGCTCGAAAATACAAAAGATTCCAATTCCTTACCATTTCAACCCTCCACATTTTTTTTTTTTTTTTTTTTTTTTTTGGAACAATGTCAGTAACTCACTCTCTCTCTCACACACACACATTGTATTATTTTTCCTCAGGGTTCTTAAGTGCCTATAGTACATAACAATTTTTGTTCTTTGTAGAATTATAAACAGTATCAAGAATTTAGACCACAAAGTCAATTATAAAAAACTCTTGCTTTAATCATTAAATCTTAAAGGACCATTAGAAAAGGCCAGTCACATTCTGTTCTCCAGTCTTGTAGGTTACATAAGCCATTTCCATAAATTCTATAGCCTTCTTCTTAGAGTAACACACACTCTTGTTTAGGAATGTTCATGTTGGTTTTGTTCACGGACTGAGATTGTTAGTGGGCAGGAGTTTACTTCTTCTCAATTTTCTGGGAGATAAAGGGGGAAAGCAGTCTTCAAAAATTTAAGACCAAAAATCTTAAAGACATTTCACAAATAATAGTACTCCATGTAAAGTGGAATCAAAGGCATCACAAAATTGCCATACTTACTGTTTGTGAGGAGTCAATATTTGACTTGGACCAGGACACAAACTATGTCCTTCATATGGTAGATCACTAGGATCAGACCATCTAGATCCCACTTTCTCTGCTACTTCAGCTGTGTAGACTTGAGCTAATTGAACCTGTCTAAACCCGTCTCCCCTATTCCATAGGATGGAGATAAGTATTTCACAAGTTATCAATGATGATGAAATGAGCTGACGTAAAACTAAGTAATAAGCATGTTGAAAACGACATTATACTTGAAAACCACCTTTTGCTTTGAGAAATACATGATGGACAAAATAAATTTCTCAGGTAGGTAGGTACACTGGGTGTCAGCAAAATGGCAATTAATACTGAAGCCCACATTTCTCAAATCGCCTTTTTGCGATGACAGCTCATTTATTCACAAGTCAAAAATCTTTAGTGGTATTCCAGCAATCCTAACTTGACAAGCAAAGCTTTTATGCAATTTTTTTTAAGCAATACCTAACAGTGACTCCTGCAGTTTAAAGAAAAATAAGTATTTTAAGTTCCCCTGTATTGCTGAAGTCAAGTCTTAATTAAATCTACTTCATATCTGCCTTTGGCATTTAAAAACCTACATAAAGCAACTGTCTGGCCGATGATTGGAGCTTGAAAAAAACTACCATGCCAGATCTCCACCCCAGACCAATTAGGTCAGTATCTCTGGGGGTGCTATTCAAGCAACAATTATCTTTTATGTTCCTAAGCTCATCATGAGTTAAGGTACTGCTATAGTTGAATATCACTACTACAAAAGTTATCTGAATAACTTCCTATATACTCTCTTTCAAGATGGGTGTTATACATAGCAACAACTGGAAAACAAGAAACTGAGTTTTAAAACAAGAAATGTGGCAACAGGAGGATATGCATAACTAGAAGGGAATTGTCAAGAGGCCAGGCCAATCAAATGTTACATTATAAAATGTCCATAACCTTAAGAAAGTTAACTATAAAAACAAAGCAAAATGCTTTTAGTCACATTTATACTTGGTTTTCAATAAACCACAGAAATTAAGCTGGAAAAAAATAGGATACAACTTATAATTAGTGATTATGCTTAAAGAACATTAATATTACAGGGAAATGAATGAAATGTTCCTAGCAATTGATGCTGCTGAAAGGCAGAATTTGGAATTTTTTATATTTTCCAAAAATTGCCTGAAGTGCACACACTGTGTCAGAAGGGCAAGACAAACTTTCTTTTTCCTTAGTGATATATGTTTATACTTCTTTGCACCAACCCACGAGCGGCTGGGCATTCATTCCCAAGATGCCACTGCTTACGCGAAGAAGCGTGGTGGTAGTCTACCAAAAGTGGGGCTATGAAACGTGGCATGAAAATCAGCTGTTCTCACTTCCTACTAAAAAATAGTTAACTCCATCTCACTAAGCAAGAGACTATCTGCCATCAGAATTCAAGTCCCAGTGATTAGCTATTAATGCTTAACAGGATATAAATGCACAAACCACACAATCTGTTGAAATTTTTTTTGTATTGTGAAAAGGAAAAGGACACTTCACATTTTTAAAGTTTATTCATGAATGGTTTAATTTCCCTTTAAAGCTAGAAAATAAAGATCATTTACCTTCTGATCTTCGTTTTTCCAAATGGTAATAAGCATTGATCCTTCCCTCGAATAAAGGTGAAATTTTTAAAATCTCAGTGAATAGGAATGTGCAAAGCTCTAAGAAAACTATTACTTGAATGTCTCTAAAGTGGTAGAAGATCACAAGTTGGGAATACCCTCAAAAACTATATTTTTACCCTACTGTTAAAACTTGTTTTCAAAGTGGTGTAATCTGAAAGATTACAGTTCAAAAGTAATTCCCATACCAAATAATATCAACTTTAGGTGAACATCTAAGTATTTAAGAGTATTATTTTTCTTGGCTGGGTGCGGCAGCTCACACCTGTAATCCCAGCACTTTGGGAGGCCGAGGCAGGCGGATTCAGGAGTTTGAGCCCAGCCTGACCAACATGGTGAAACCTTGTCTCTACTAAAAATACAAAAATTAGCCGGGCTTGTTGGCTCACACCTGTAATCCCAGCTACTCAGGCGGCTGAGCCATGAGAATCACTTGAACCCAGGAGGCGGAAGCTGCAGTGAGGTGAGATCACACCACTGCCCTCCAGCCTGGGCAACAAAGCAAGACTCTGTCTCAAAAAAAAAAAGAAAGAATTACTTTTCTTTGATCGGAATTTCTGAATTTCATACATTTTTCTTCCAAGTGTCATTTTTTTTTAAGGGAACATACCACACACTCAGAACATAATGACTTAGCTTCTTGTAAATATAAGAATGGGGGAAGTTAAGGTACATTAGTTATAGAACGAAGGAAGCTAGTGCATTCAGTGTCACATATGAACTCAAGGCCTTAGTTACTTGATTGTAATTTCAGTATTAGCAACAGTGTATTTCCCTCATGCTTACATATACAAGTAAGCAGGCAGACAAAGCAAAAACTTCTAAACATATAAGGAATGAAGACAAACAATTTAATCTCTATATTATCATATTATCAGTCAATTAATACAGTTGGACTTTCAAACTATAACTGTTGGTAGTAAAATAATCTGATCACATTTCATACAGCAATTAAAAATAACAGAAACAGAGTCTCACCTATACAATCAGAGCATCTCCTGATATGAACAACAGTTAAGCCCACATACATTTTAAAGATGCTACCCAGACTACAATCTATCTCAAAAGCAACCATGGCATAATGCATTTTATAAAATGCCTACCTAAAAATACATTGTATTTTGTAATGTTTATTACCAATGTGGGAGGCATTTCTAGCCTAAACACTATAACCAAACTATTCAACAGTAAGCCGGTAGTAGTCTTACAATAAGAAATTTCACATATACTTGTTATTATAAATAGCATTTTATGTTCATTATTTCAGCCATCTCTCAAACTAAGACAATTTTCAACAGTTACCAGAAGACACTGAGCTAGAGTCAACAGACCAGATATCTAGTTCCAGCTCTGCCTCTACCTACCTGTGAGACACGGGGAAAGTTCTCTTAACCTTCGTAAGGCCTCAGATTTCTCAACCATAGAACAAAGGGGCTGAACAAAATGAATTCTAAAGAGCATTCCCATAAAACGGGATTTGGCTAAATTTTCAAGAACTTAATTTCTTTAAAAAAAGATAGCTATGAGATACCAAACTTGGTATTTACCACCAATAATATTGATTATATAAGAGCTTTAAGCCAAGGAATTACTGATTCTGCATTTATGGGGTGAAAATATAAGACTATTTTTAGCATGCTTTTCCAGTTACCAGAAAAGGGGAGAGGGGGATTTTTACAAAGACAGTAAAGCATACAGCAATGGCAGTAAAGCATGCAGCATAGCATGCTAGTAATGGATAGGCATTACTTGTGTTTCCTTTTAGGAACTTTTGCACACAAGCAAGAGGTTTTATAAAAGATACCACAGCGCCCAATAACACAATATATGTGTGATCTGACAAATTCAAAACACAGTTGAAATGAAAAGGCAACCAAAATACTTCAGAGTACTTCATTCTTCTATAAAATGTGTACACAGACCTGGGCCTAAAATACTTCACTGCACCACATCCAGTTCTAAAATCCAATTTCCTTTTCAGGTAGAGCGCATCTTTTAAAAAAAGAGCCAACACACCTATGTTTAAGAATAAAAATTCACTTGTACTAGATTGTATGTAGCTAAACACTGGATCTATTTTCTGATTCCAAAATTTTCTATCCTAGTATGAATAAATGAAGAATAGGACAAACCTAAGTGCAGGAAAGTATCAAACCCTGTAACGCATACTTATACTGAAAATGTGTTTCACATGGTTAACATTTGCAAAGGCTAAAATCATTTTTCATAAAGAAAATTCCACAGGCTTGCTCAGTATTACCAAACTTCCATAATGAACATTATTTTGAGTGCCAAATTGAGCACGAAAAAAACACCTACTTTTAACTATTATGAAATATTATGAAAAGTAGTAAGACTTATTTATTAGGCTGGTTAAAAAGTAATTTAAAACCAAAGAGAGTTAAATCTTCCTTGAGAACATACTCTCAGAACTTAAGAATGGGGTAAATCAGATGGAGCACAGCCATGCTGTACACATCAACTCACTGAAATCACATAACTTCTATTCTCATGGACCTTATTTTCTATTATCTTGAAAACAAACTGATTATAATCTCCCAAAATACCAGTGGTACCTTAAAATTTAATCAACTCCTTTCCTTAACAGAATTAGGACTTTCAATTAAAAATACTGTAATATCCAAGAGGGTTTCAATGCAAGAGAAACCTTTGCATCATAATTTCAAGTGACCATATATAGTGGAGTTCCCTCTAATAACACGACAGACACAAACAAGCTATCGAGCAAGAATCTGTTAACAGTTTTATTTTTTTTTATGTTAAATACCATGGGACAGGATTGTAAGGATGAAAAACTCAGTCAACAACTGCCTCACAAGGGATAAGAAAAATTCTGCCATGATATTAGCAAAGGTAAAGGAGGAAAAATTTACACTGTAAGAGGCACCATTTCCCCAAGGAATACCTCTTGGCATTTCCTGAATGAGTGGGATTAGCAATCTAAATAAATCATATTTCAAGAGGTAACAGCAACAGATAAAATTTAAAGGGATTATTAAAATAACATTTACAAGACTCTGAACAATTCTTGAACTCTTATTAAAACCACAAAGAAAGAACAATTCTTTATTTATGAATTTCATAAAGGACTCAATGTGCAACTGACATCTGCTAGTGATGATCTGGTAATATACAACCTGTCCAGTAGCCGAACAGTTTGTTTTTATTGTGTTTTCTAACCGTAAGAGATCATTAAAGGCAAAGCCTATATGACGCTGTACACACAAAAAAATGGTCACCGTGGGCCATACTACCAATGAAATGGTAGGTAAACAAATCTTTTTCTGGTCAAGAGAAAAAAAAAAAAAGAAACAGCACTCTGCATGCTTCACTCTACAAGATGAATTTCCCTAGAAAGAATCCAATGAAAATGGCTGCAATTACAACAAGAAGTGAAGGAAGAGGACTGGTGACATTATCTCTGAAGGATGCAGTTGAGGTTGATCCAGGTTTATCCGAATGTGCTACCTTTCTGAGCCTTAAACCTTCATCCTAGAAAAAAAACACACACACAAAAGGTTTTTAAAAACAAGCATACTAACGAGACTACTGGAGCTAAAAATCTATAGGGACGGAAAGTAGATTAGTGGTTGCCTATGGCTGGGGACGGAAAAGGGGATTAACTGCTAACCACATAAGGAAACTTTCCGGGGGTGATAGACATTCTAAAACTGAACTATAGTGATGGTTACAAAGTTCTATGTATCAATGAATTGTACACTCACAGTGGGTGTCTCCATGGGATATAAATTATACCTCAATAACACTGATTTTTTAAAACTGGAGCTGAGAAATGTATTCCTAAAAAGCAAAAGTTAGATAGGCTATATTTACCTTTTTTTAAATCCCACTAAAAATATAATTAAAGAAGAGTACTTCCAAGGTGGCCCATGGTATTTAAAATCAGTTACATCCGTCCTAGCCCAATCAGCCAAAAACTACCCAGACCTGTAGTCTGCCATTTGGGTTTACTGACACACTGCAACTAAGGAACCGGAACAGCAGAGGCACAAAAGGGTGTTCTTGCCGTAAACAGAGATATGGTATCACAGAATTTGGGGGAAGGAAACAGTTTAGCGTGAAATTTAAGTAACAGTGTTTTTATATGCTCAAAGCAAAGCAGAGGGCTGTGTGTAAAGTGGTAGCACCAGGTCTCGACTGCAAAGCAGAGAAAGAATACTGTTTCTTCAGAAACTACAAATTTAGATGAGAAATGTACATAGGAAACCCTTATCTGAAGCTCTGCACCTGGACTGGAAAATGAGGGTGCTTCTCTGTGTCAAAATGACTTAGATCCTCCAGTCAAGAGTAGGCTGCTTCATTCTTGCTGATATGGCTTCACACAGCACTATGTCTTTAGAGCAGAAGGTTTCTCAGAAGAAAGCAGAAGTCACTCCAAGCAGGAGGTTGTTATGACACTGTGTGCAATGTGAACCTTGGGAAAAATACTAATACCTGTTAACTACACAGTTGTCTTTATCTCTGTCTGTTAACCAATCTGATAAATGGCAGGACAGTTTTTTACTTTTTTCAGTACAAGGCAATATTTTCTCCCATGATTCCTTTATTGTGCTTATAAATAAACACTAACTAAAAGAGTACACCTAATGGCACAGTTTTATTTGCATTACTGGATTTTCTGGAGTTGGGTTTTTTTGGTCTCATGCTAATTAGTCCTATATAAACAGTAATTCTCAGTTTCAGCTACACATCACAAACATCTACAGAACTTTTAATACTCCTGTGATTGTGACTCATTAGGTCTGGGGCAAGCCTGGTCAACTGTAACTTTTTAAAGCTCACTAGGTGATTCACATGCAGTGTGAATTAAGAACCACAGGGCTAGGGGAATTAAAAGGGATAGTGAACAGACAGGAGCAAGAAAGTGAACCTGGCAAAAAATTATGGTGGGCCTGTGTATAGGGTCTGAAATTCTGTAAGCCAGTGGGTCTTCAAGGGTTTTGTTTTTTTTTTTTTTTTGAGACGATGTTTTGCTCGTCACCCAGGCTGGAGTACAATGGCGTGATCTCGCTCACTGCAACCTCTGCCTCCTGGGTTCAAGTGATTCTCCTGCCTCAGCCTCCCAAGTAGCTGGGATTACAGGCACCCACCACCACACCCGGATAATTTTTGTATTTTTAATAGAGACGGGGTTTCACCACGTTGGCCAGGCTGGTCTGGAACTCCTGACCTCAGGTGATCCACACGCCTCAGCCTCCCAAAGTGCTGGGATTACCGGTGTGAGCCACCCGCCCAGCCCAGCTTTTTTGTTTTACTTTTCCAGCAGCAGAATCATCTCTCAAATAAAATCTCATACAGAACACTAGCATAAAAAGAGTAGAAACCAGGAATAAAGTCTCTCTCACCTACTTCCCTGGTTCACTCTTCCTATTTTCCAGCCCTGCCCCATCTATGTCATTCTCACTGTTTCCACTTCTCCCCTCCCTGCCAGAGGTAAACAGTGGCTTTTGAAAGAAATCTATTGAGCACCCTAAGGAGCACATCTTTATCAAAGAACAGAACTATGGAAGTCATGGCAGATGAAGTAAAAGTAACCAACAACATCCTTTAAAAGATCCATGGCGTGTAGGTGTGAAATAAAGATATTCTTTCCGCTACCCAGACAAGTGCTTGGAAGCAGACGGGTACCCCTCGAGGGGGTACTATGAAACATCAAGCATGAAGAGACACAAAAATTCACTTTAAAAAGCATTTCAGCAAAGGAGTTCACAGATCGACTTAAAACACAGTGCCTTTAATTTAGAGTGTAGTTCCTACATACACCTAACAAAAGGAATAATCAAATAACTCCCATCATTTAGCTTATTTTAGTTACATACATTTTTGTATCATCTACTTTGCTGCAAAGAGCTTCAAACAAAGCCTAGAGAGCAACGTATAGGTATTTAGGTCTTGAAACAAGTAATTACTTGTCAAAGACAAATTATTCATAAATTTCAGACATATTCAAATCAGTCCTCCTTCGCCATCCATTTAATTCAATCAAATACATGAATGACTACCACATGCATGTATGGTGAATGCAGAGATAAATGAAGCACTGCCCTTGCCACCAAGGCAATTACTGCCCACTAGAGGGAGAAAGGCCTCTAACAAGTAAGAGCAGTAGAAGGCGATCAGCATAGTGGAGGCACAAAGCAGACATGACAAATCGATTTTTTTCTTCTTTTGGAGAGGGTCCCAGCAAAGGCTATATGCTGTAGTAGCAAAACGTCAATGTGTGTATGTGCTGTGTCGGGAGGGGCAGGGTTCTGGGCCTTTCCAGTCACAGTGAAGAGCTTACACTAAAGCAAAGAGGGGTGATAAACAGATGCTTCTCCAGCATACTCCAGCCCAATGCTGCCCCACGCAAATACAATGTGAGCTTCAAATGTGAGCCCCGTATGTAAAGTTAAATTTTCCAACAGTACATTTAAAAAGTAAAAAGAAATGGGTAAAATTCATTTTAATAATATATTTGATTCAACCCAATATACCCAAACTACTATTTCAGTATGTAACCATTAAAAAAAAAAGATTTTACCTTTTTCTGTACTAACTCTTCAACATCAGTATTTTACACTCAACAGCACAGCTCAATTTGAACAAATCCCATTTCAGTGCTCAACAGCCCTAGGTGACTAATGGCTATGATGTGGGACAACACAATCCTAGGCAGTTCAGTATGACTAGGGCACAAAATGGGAAGGACATGAGAAACAAGAGCAGAAGCTGGCAATACTGCAGGCCAGATCACAAATAATTAGAATGTGTGCTAAAGTAAGGAACTTGCAGCAATGAGAAACCACGGGAAGACTGTTAAAAGAGGAGTAGGGTGGGGAGCAAAGGCACTGGGGCAAAGAAGAAAGAACTGACCAAGCAAAAATTTAAAAGCTAATTGCTAAAATGGCCTAATAACACTCACATGTCCTATACCTTCATTTCAATCAATTTATTTTCAACCAACAGAACTTACTCTCAGGTGCCGATTTTCTTCTGATAGCTTCATCATTTCTCCCTGAAGTCTTTTACACTCTTCCATTAGTTTCCTTGTTTCGGTATCATTAAGTGAAACACTGTGTGGTTTTGGCATAGGTCCATCTTGCTTAGATGCATTCAGTGGAACAGCTTTGCTAGGTTCCATATCATTCTGCATTACAAAGATATTGGGAATTTTTTAACTAACCAAATCTCCTTACAGGTTTTAAACAAATAACAATATAAATTCTACATCTTTGTTCATGAAAAACTCTTTAAAAGGCCTAAATCAGTACATGTCAGCAGTCAGATTAGTCTAAATAACCAGCCCACTCCCTCTATTCCCATAATCCCTGGCACGTACCTCTACCATAGCACTTTATTATGTATCTTAATAATTATTGTTCAAGTTCTTTCCTGTAATACTTCAAAGGCTGAGAGAGCAAGAGCCATCTCTCTTTGTATTTACCCCTAAAACCAGCACTTTGGTCAAGAGTAGTTATTCAATGAAAGTATGCTGAATGACGTCAACAAAATCCATTGAAGGTCATTTTCCGTGCTCTGGTTGTGCAATTCAAATAAGGTTCTGGGGGGTAGGGGGATATTATCGTAATCATTCCAATAAAATCGGAAACTACCTAAGAAAAAACATGCCCAAGAAAAGCTAACTTCTATTAATTTGTCATCTTTAGTAATGCTGTTTGCTTTAATTCACGTGATTCAACATCACAGGAGCACTTAGCATGCTTTGAAGACTATGAGCCCCAAAATCTTAATCCTCACCAACATTGAACCATTTGAAGCTAGTGAAGGCCTGGAGATAAATATCTATGACAGCACCTATGTATTCTTCAGCCCGTTGTCTAAAGTACCCCAACATCCTTCACTCCAACAGCATTTATGTCACCACACATCGTAGCAGTATTAGTGTAACAAGCTTTTTTCATTTTAATTAAATTCACTTACTTTAAAATAATTTTAGGTAAAATCTGCTTTATTCAGCTATAAACTGCTAAAAAAGACATTTACTAAATCAACTTTATGGCATTCCACAATACTCATTTTATAAGATTTATCAGAGGCTGCACACCTACCACACCATCCCAGCTGCCAATTTTATATTAAGTATAAACAGATTGTTCAAAGGGCAAAACTTGTTATTCTTATGAAGGGGATGTGATTTGATTAGTATGCCTAAATCCATGTAAAATCTATTTAAAAATGAAAATTTATAATGAGGTTCTAATGAACAACAGCATGTATGTGACCTGTCGGCAGACTCTTCCATTCTTCTTCAAGCTTCCCAGTTAAGCAACGTTTTAAAGCAGCCTACTTCAATTCTCTGAGTTTTTCTCTTGCTAGCTTTTTTGTTCTTCACCCCCATTTCTCCCACCCCAACCAATCTAATAATAGCCGCCCCTATTATTAAAAAACTGTTTCAGATATATTTTACCCTGCCAATACTTTTTCCTGTTCTTTTCCTTAATAGTAGTTAGAACTCATTTGTGATTTTCAGTGTGGTCAAATTCTATCCTAGCACAAATCCAACTTCTGATAATGAGGTTGGCACACTGACTTACTCTATAAAGGAGGTGGCAATGGCCACCAATATGGCAATAGAAGAACTTTCAGGTTTTGGTTAAAAATTGGGAAAAAGTATCATACTCATACCAGAAAACTGATAAAAACTTAAAGAGGATGAAGCAGGGCACCATGTCTGATGTCTGTAATCCCAACACTTTGGGAGGCCGAGATGGGTGGCCTGCTTGAGCCCAGGAGTTCAAGAACAGCCTGAGCAACAGAGGGAGACCCTGTCTCTACAAAAAACAATTTTAGAAATTAGCCAGGCATGGTGGTGTGCACCTGTAATCTCAGCTACTCATGAGACTGAGGTGGCTTGAGCCCAGGAAGCGGAGGTTGCAATGAGACGAGATCGTGCCACTGCACTCCAGCCCAGGTGAGAGTGAGACCCTATCTCCAAAAGGGGGAAAAAAAGATATACATGGGGTCAACACCAAAGAGAAAAAAAACTAAAAGAATCATCAAGCTCGACAACTGATTATTTTTAAATTCTTTACATTGCATAAAATTTTAAATTACGGAGGGAAGGGAAAAAGTCATTTCTCACAATCTTGTCAAATCAACAAAACTATTATTTATATTACTATTATTAAATGACATGTCATTAAATATTCTATTCTATGCCTTGCCAAAATTAAACATTTCACTTTTGTTAAGCATTTGATGGGCAGCTTTCCATTCTTTCAAATTTTAAATAACATGTCCATAGGAAGACATTCCATAAAAAGATAACTAGATTGGAATTAGATTTAGATTTTTCTAATTCTAATAGAATTAGACTTGGAATTAGATTAGAATTTATCTAAGCAAATAGAATTAGATTTTTTTGTTGTTGAATTTCTCTTAAAAATGTTATACTGCTTTTGTAACAAAAAGGAGAAGAAATGATAACCAATATGTGGAGCATAAACAGAATAGAATGCAAAGAATACAGTGAAGCCGAAACACATTTCAAAAGTGTGCCCAATAAGTTATATCACATACTACCTAGGCCCCTTACAAACCAGTGAACATACATAACAGGTGCAAGAAAATCTAATTTATTTACATATACATATGCTACATATGTATATGTTATGCTATATATGTATATGTAATGGGGGGAAGTGTGATGGGAGGGTGGGCTTTGAGTCATGCATGGAGTGACAATCTGAAGAGCCTGATGGAAAAAATTAAGCAGGTGTAACTTTAAGTATATGCTTCCATCCAGGACCTCTATTAGTGAGGTTTGGCTCCAATAAAACAGCTTGTTTCTTGAGAGTTGCTTCAAACTGGTCCAGAAAGAAAAGACTGGTTGTTCTGAGAACCATGAAACAAGCACACCAGAGAGATTCAACATGCTGTGACTCTTAGTAAATTGATGAATGGTAACCTTACATTTAACACTGCAATTCAGAATAAGCTGGAAGGTCAAGGTGTGTATCAACTAAAACAATAAACCAATCTTGTCCAGTTTCCACTATATTATTTAGCCTATCTGCAGTAATCCTCCATCTGAGTTGTCCAGTCATGTTCTGTATAATGATGTTTTGGTCAACAATGATTCATACATATGATAGTGTTCCCATACAATAATAATGGCACTGAAAAATTCCTATTACCTAGTGAGGTCTTATCACAATACATTATTCACGTTTGTGGTGATGCTGGTGTAAATATACATACTGTACTCCAGTCATATAAAAGTATTGCACATATGATTTATGTACAATACAGAATACTTGGTAATAAATGACTATGTTACAGGTTTATGTATTTACTGTTATGCTTTTTATCATTTATTTTAGAGTGTACTCCTTCTACTTACGAAAACAAAAAGGACACTCTAAGTCAGACTCCAGCAGGTCCTTCAGGAGGTATTCCAGAAGACACTGTTAACATAGGAGATGTCAGCTCCATGAGTGTTACTGTCCCTGAAGACATTACAGTGAGACAGGATGTGGAGGTGGAAGGCAGTGATACTGATGATCCCGCCCCTGTGCAGGCCTAGACTAATGTGTGTGCTATGTCTTAGTCTTAAGAAAAGAAGTTTTTTTAAAAATCTTATTTAAAAAATAGAAAAAGGCAGCGAATAAGGACATTAAAAAGATATTTTTATTTATCTATACACTGTGCTTGTGCTTTATGTCAAAAATTTTAATTTTACAGTTTATGAAGTTACGGACAGCTAAGATTAAAGAAAAAAATTTTAATAAATGTAGCCTAAGTGTACAGTGTTTATAAAGTCTACAGTGTACAGTAATGTCCTAGGCCTTCCCATTCACTCACCACTCATTCACTGACCCACCCAAAACAACTTCCAGTTCTGCAAGATCCATTCACAGTAAGTGCCCTATGCAAGTATACAATTTTATCTCTTATGCCATATTTTTGCTGCGCCTTTTCTGTGTATAGTCACGGGTGTCCAATCTTCTGGCTTCCCTGGGCCTCACTGGAAGAAAAATTGTCTTGGGCCACACATAAAATACACTAACACTAACACTAACTAATGAGCTATTAAAAAAAAAAAATCACACAAAAAAAAACTCATAGTGTTTTAAGAAAGTTTACGAATTTGAGGTGGGCCGGATTCAAAGCCATCATGGGCCACGTGTGGGCCGCAGGCTGCAGGTTGAATAAGCTCAGTGTAGATTGTTTCGATACACAAATACTTACCATTGTAGTACAGCCACAGGCTATACAAGTCTGTAGCCTAGGAGCAAAAGGCAATACCATATATAGGTTTTTGTAAGTACACTCTATGATGTTTATACAACACATCACCTAACAACACATTTCTCAATATATATCCCCATCCTTAACAGATGCATGACTGTACTTCTGTATTCTTTTTTAACCATCAGAATTTCAGTTCTAATATCCCAAGTATTTTTACTGGGGGTTAATTAGAAAAAGAGGGAACTAGGAATTGGAAATACAAGAAAAAGTTTGCAAAGAAGCCTTGGGAAGAACAAAGGAGATAAAAGACATAAACGTGGGCCTACATTCTTACAACTAACAGGAGTGATGGATAAAAACGCACATAAAGGGAGTTAAAAGGCTAAAGTCAAGAGTACTGTCATAAACCGAGAGAGGCAAAATTAAGGTCTTAACCTATGAATTAAGAGACAGGATTTAAGTAACAAAGTTACCTGAAGTTTTTTTTTCCCACTCTAAACAGCCAATTTACTGTTTCTTTAGGATCATGACTCCCAGAAGTAAATAATTCCCAATCACAAAAACAAAAAATTATTAAACATTTAGATAATTTTTTAAAGCCTTAGTATGCATATCATCTGCAAAACCAAATCAAAGTATAAACAATCTGTTAAAACTGTGGGGTTGCCACATGTGGTGGCTCACGCCTATAATCCCAGGACTTTGGGAGGCCAAGGCAGGTGGATCACCTGAGGTCGGAGTTTAATGAGACCAGCCTGGCCAACATGGTGAAACCCCATCTCTACCAAAAAAATACAAAAATTAGCCAGGCATGGTGGCACGTGCCTGTACTCCCAGCTACTCAGGAGGCTGAGGTGGGAGAATCCCTTGAACCGGGGAGGCAGAGGTTGCAGTGAGCTGAAATTGTGCCATGCACTCCAGCCTGGGTGACAGAGCGAGACTCCATCTCAAAAAAAAAAAAAAAAAAAAAAAAAAAAGAGTATATTCCCCAAATCTCAAAGAAAAAAATTACAGCAACTTCATAATGTTCACACTTATACTGTCCTGCTCACTATATAGATTTTAGTTAAGTTCAGAAGTTTTTTAGAACAGAATAGTTTGTATGCATGATTTTTAAGTGCTTTGTAGTTTTATTGTAATTTTAGGCATAGTTCAATTCTATCTACTTCATACAACATACTCACAATACCACTTATCTGCTAGGTATCTACATTAACTTAACCATTGACACTAGTAGACTCCTAAGTCTGTTAACTCCCTATAACAAACCTTCTGTTTCTCCTGTTTCAACACACTGAGTCCCCTGGGGTCATCCTTCGTGTGATAACTGGCAGGTGTTGCAACTGTGTTGTTGATGCTGCTCATTGAAGTGACAGTCGGAGCATTCCCTGGTGGAGTTATACCCTGAGATGGCATGGGAAACATATTCTCAGATTCTCACCGAACTCTGATTTCTTCTGCATGATATTGGGAATGACTGACACAGAAAGCATTAGGCTCTAAACATTAACACTTTATAAAAATGCATTAATGCATAAGAAACAATACTAATAATAGCTATGTTAAAGCAAAAGTAGTTTCTGAACTCGCTTTTTGTATTTCCCAAACAAAATTAGTTATAATCTACTTGCATTACATGCACCTATTAAATGTACATACTTTATTAAAATTTATGCCAGCCTTACATTGTTTTAAAATGAATACCATCTAATTCTTTGTGGCTTTTAATGTTTACTAATTAATAATTGTCAATAATCTGAAAAACAAGCACTTGTATGTCTTCTTATCTTTGATAACACTCAATCTGAACAATTTCATAAACCTCTCTTGTACTTAAAGCCTATCCCCCAATACACTCACTCTCTCACACACATCCCAGGCCAATAAACACTTAAAGACTCATATAACCATTAAGTCCATAGTTCTCTTCCTTTCTTTTCAAATTCCTTTAATAGATAAAATACTGTATTATACAAACAGGTGGGAAAGGGATTCCCTAATTATACTTACTGATACCCCATTTGTTCTGTCTCAACAGAAAATAATGTATATTCAACCATTTTATGATAAGACCCCTGAAATCCCTTTATAAGACCCCTGAAATCCCTGTTCTTTACAGCCCCTCAGTCTTCATTTAAAAAAAATCAGTATTTTTTTCTAGAAAATATGTCACCTTCAAGGTCAGGCGCGGTGGCTCACGCTTGTAATCCCAGCACTTTGGGAGGCCAAGGCGGGCGGATCACAAGGTCAGGAGATTGACACCACGGTGAAACCCTGTCTCTACTAAAAATACAAAAAATTAGCCAGGCGTGGTGGCGGGCACCTGTAGTCCCAGCTACTCGGAGAGGCTGAGGCAGGAGAACGGCGTGAACCCGGGAGGCGGCGCTTACAGTGAGCCGAGATCGCGCCACTGCACTCCAGCCTGGGTGACAGAGCGAGACACTGTCTCAAAAAAAAAAAAAAAAAAAAAAAAAAAAAAAAAAAAAGGGAAATATGTCACCTTCAAATGTCAGATGGAGGACATAAATGAAATGCAATACATTTAAGAAATTTAGAAAATGTCAGAGTTAAGGCCTCAAAAATTTTTTAGAAGTGAACACAAAGAACTGAATAGGTCATAAAACTTCAAAAATAATAAAACCACATTTGATCCTTAAAAAATAACCACTACCACTAATTGGACATTACGTATATACAGAGCTGACAATCCAAACAGAGCTAATAATTCAAAGAACCCTATTTTGTACAACAGCGCTTTCGTATCATGTGCCTCCAGCTGTCAACAATACAGGGAACAGGCTCAATGGCTTTCAGTACTAGCACTGACAACAACTCAACTGAAGACACTAGGGGCCATTAACAAAATGAAATGTATTGGCACACACCTGCTGATCCCGAGGACTAGGGTAATGACACATCTTAGTGTGCTTAAGGATGGTATTTGCTTATGCTTGTTATCCAGGAAAAAATATTGAGTCTTTTTGTTCTAAAATGAAAGGGTTCCTAAGTTTCCTGGGGCACTTTATCTATGATCCAAATCAGAAAGCTATTTCCCAAAAAGTAGCCCATACTTTAGTGATGGTTCAAATAAATGAGAATTGTTTTGTCACAAATAAATGATTTTTTAAACTATAAAAATAAAAACATGGACTCAAGCCACTGTGCTTCTAAAGCTGGCTCCATTTTTCACCCTATAAGATGACCACAAACCTTCAATCATTTCCTTACTTATATATCCAGTATCAAGGTCCTAAAAAGTCTAAAGAAATCAACAAAATAACATCATACTCTTTTTTCATGTGTTCCAAACATGTAAACACCCAAGAATTAACAGCATCCATAAAAAGATCAAAATCCTCACACAAGTGGGGTATACGCATACAACATACTTGATATGGTTTGGATCTGTGTCCCCCGGCAAATCCCATGTCAAATTGTAATCTCCAGTGTTGGAGGTGGAACCTGGTGGGAAGCGACTGGATCATGAGGGTGGGTCCTTCATGAATGGTTTAGCACCATCCCCATGACACTGTTCCCATGATAAGAGTTCTCATGAGATCTAGCTGTTAAAAAGAGTGTAGCACTGCCCCTTCGCTCTCTCTTGCTCCTGTTCCCACCACGTGAGGCATCTGCTCCCCCTTTGCCCTCCACCATGACTAGAAGTTTCCTGAGGCCTCCTCAGAAGCAGAAGCCGCCCTGCTTCCTGTACAGCCTGCAGAACTGTAAGCCAATTAAACCTCTTTTCTTTATAAATTACCCAGTCTCAGGTATTTCTTTATAGCAATGTGAGAACAGACTAATACAGTACTTAAATACCAGCGTACTTCTTTCTGCAAAGAGATACAGGAAGGGGGGGCTGGGGAAGTGAGGGAGTGGGGTTAAAACACACTAAAAAAAAATCATAAAGTTCAAGACTTGTTATCTCTACAATATTTGAGGAGAGTGCATCAACAATTATGATAGCTATTGCAGAATCTGCTTTGAACACTAACCAAATTTTTCTAAGTTGACTACCAAAAATGAAATTTTGATCGACTCTTTAAAATAAAGTGACCCATAAAAATGGTGCTTATCTGAGGTGATTGATAGGTTAATTAGCTTGACTGTGGTGATCATTTAATAATGTATGCATATATTAAAACAAAAAATAAAGGTGTAAGGAACCCCTATGAACTTGTCCACTGCTCTAAACACTAAATAAAGCTGAATAAAAAAATACAAATGCCATCCACAGAGTTCTACGTTAAATACTAAGTTGTTACCAGCAACGCAGTTAAAAGCTGAACTGATTTTGCTTAAGTTAACATACTTTTTACAACATACTAATAAACTAAAATAAAGGGTCAAAAGATCTCAAAGAATTCTCTATATCACAATCATAACTATAAGATAAAAAGTATATTTTCTACTCTATACTTTTAAAAAATACATCACCAACAGTTTTCAAACCATTTTTGTTAACCTTGCACATTTAGAAATGTATTTTCTTTGAATAAGGGAGTGTCATTTCAGCAACTGTGTAAGTCAGGATTCAGCATCATACAGCATTTTATCAATTCATCTGAAGTAAATTAACAAACTGTATCTATGCATCACACTATCCAATAATGCCCTAATTTCCAAAGAGCCAAATTTCATGCTAAACAAAGAAAAGGAATATTAACTACTAATTTTATCTACAGATACTAGAAAGAAACCAACATGTCAAAGATACTTTTTTTTTAACCAGTTTTATCAACTTCGTCTATAGAGAATATTGACCTAGAAACAGCAGGATACAATTATCAATAGGGTCTTATTACCACATGAATAAAATATTAAGAGGTGTTTTGTTTATCTTTAGATAGACATAAAAGGTTTTATCCTTAATTGTTAGAAACAAAAACTTCTTATATATTTTGTACTATCATAAGACTTCAGATTTGGTACCTTAAGATTTCATATTTTCTGTAAAAGATGAGATGCAACATTAAACTGATTAACTTGAAAGTCACATAATCAACTAACAACCCAGATGGAGTTGGGTCTGTGCCAGGTTGCACTGAGTTTAAACACATTTCTCAGTAAGTAACATTTCTTGTACAATCTGCAGGGTAGTTAATACTACAACAGTGAGTTTAGGCAGGAATAGTATTTCCCAAAGTATATTTTTTCAGAACATCAGATATTTCCTAAGTTAATTAGGTTATTTTAAATTAAAAAAAAAATACTGGGTTAAATATATTTCTTTACCGTTACGTTTTCTCAGAGCCTTTAATAGGCAAATACGCAATGTGATTCCTCTTGGAGACATTTACAGTATTTTTCCAAGCTCACCTGTCTACAGAACACTTCCAACCTAATACACTGGGAAATACTGCCTTATAAAAACACAATTGTGTTTTAGCCTCTCTTTAACATACACATTAATCAATTAAGGCCACTTCCAGCCTAAATAGTATAGACACAATTTTTGCAAGTTTGAATTACATAAATTTGAAATGGTGATATATTACAATCTTTAAGTCTCATTCTATGTGTAAAACTTGAAATGTAAATTATAAACACTCAAAAACATCCATCAAAAATCATAATGACGAGGCCAGTGAGCCATCAAAGTCATAAGCTGTATTTATGTATTGCTGTAATTGAAACACCACTTCAGCTGGTTCATAGAAGTACCCGCCCATTCTTCTCAGGATCAGTATTGGATTTTGCACATTTTGAATTACCCAACATAATCCAACCATAAAATGCAATCATTACCCCAAGAAATAAAAGGATCCACATCATCCTATATGCTGCTGACACAGTTTTATCATTAAAATTTTACCATTTGAAGAAGCACCTTCAAGTGAAAAATGGGCCTCCACTCTTACCTTGGTCAAAAAAATGAACAGAAAGTTTGATAAAATTAAAAATCAATTTTGTCACAGGTACCCGGTCGATTATAGTTGTGAAATACCATCTCCCACTGAAATGGCCCTGAGCTTCTTTCCAGGTCTGGACCTGGAAAAATCTTGCCACATTAGACAAGAAAATTACCAAAGACTATGAGGGTCAAACAAACTCAAGAACCAATTTAAAAAGTCTCCTTACCAGGCAATTTGAGCATCAACAATAATAATAAACTACCAAGAGTTAAAACTCAAATATGTTTAAATTCATGAGTTTTATCAATATAGAAGCAAGCAGGGAAGAAAGAAAGGATGGAAGGTGGAAGATCAACTGTACATCACGAGGTGGGATGCTTATAAACCAACTCATTTTTTAAAACCTCTAAAGAGAAACTTTGGCATTTGTTCTGCCTTTTTAAACTCTACCACTGAATAACCAAATATTACATAAGCACAAGTTTCTCCTTACACAAGTATTGTAAGTAGTGTATGAAGTAGGAATGACAGAGTATGACCATCAGACAATCTTAAATGTACTAACAGACCTAGGTCATACTGTCTCAATCTCAACTTTACTGACATTTTAAGCCAGATTATTCTTTGTTGTGGAGGCTGTTTTGTGCATCACAGGAAGTTGAAAGGCATCCCTGGCCTCTGCCCACTAAACAGGTTAACTGTAGCACCCTTACCTACCTCTCAGTTGTGAAAACCAAAAATGTTTCCAAGCACGGTCCCCAGAGGAGCAAATCGATTGCCCCTGGATAAGAACCACTCATTTCAAACTTTCGATCACAGGAAATACCAGGGACAGGGAAAAAAGGTTAAATAGCACCACAAGGATGGAATCAGCAAAATCAATTCTGTGGGAAAGTCTATAGGCAAACCTAGTTTAATAATAAAAACATTCAATAATTTGCAAAAAAAAAAAAAAAAGAGAGGAAACGTAACAAACTAAGAGATTTAAGAAACGTATCATCCAATAGAAGTATTTGGACTTGGCCAGGCAGGGTGGCTCACACCTGTAATCCCAGCACTTTGGGAGGCCAAGGCAGGTGGATCACCTGAGGTCAGGAGTTTGAGACCAACCTGGCAAAATCCCGTCTCTACAAAAAATACAAAAATTAGCCAGGCGTGCACCTGTAATCCCAGCTACTAGAGAGGCTGAGGCAGGAGAACTGCTTGAACCCGGGAGGCAGAGGTTGCAGTGAGCCAAGATCGTGCCACTGCACTCCAGCCTGAGCAACAGAGCAAGACTCCGTCTCAAAAAAAAAAAAAAAAGAAGAACTATTTGGACTTTATTTTCATCTAATTCAAACAAACTGCAGAAAAAAAAATTTTAATGACATTTGTGACAAGTTTTAATGCTGTCTGGACAGCTTGATATTAAGGATATACTAAATTTTTAAAGGCATAGTAACAGTATTGTCATTAAAACTCTTTTATCTCTTTTTTTAAAGTACTTTGAAAAATACACATTGAAACAGTTACAGATTAAATTATACCAAGTCTGGGATTTGCCTTAAACAATACCTAAGATGAGAATTAACAGGATTTATATATAATAAGCTTAACCACAAACTAGTCATTGTTAAAGCTGCTCATAAGTTCACAGAGGTTCACTGTACTCCTCCTACCTACTCTTCTAGGTGCTTCTAAGTTTTCAAAATAAATCTTAAAAATTATCTTTAGCAGATATTTCCTACAATTTAATATACAAGTCCAGATAATCCAATTAGTGAAAATACATTCTGCAGCTAGCTAATCAAGGTTCAGACTCAGATATTCTCTAAAGTACTTTGAAGTTACTTAACAGCTTTTAGGTTACTAGTAATACCTGCTCTGAAAAGGTTCCAGGCTCAAACTACTCCTGCTCGAGTTCCACCGCAGGGGATTCTGGGAACTCCATTCAGTATTTGTTCAAGCGCTAAAACAGACCCAAAACTACTTTCTTGGATAACTATGGGCTAGACCAATAGGTAGGCATAACTGCTCTTTTCACCCAAGATGTGTAAATGGCGAGGTTCAACTGTCATTGCCGTATCATTCCCATCAACTTCTGGTTTGGTTTCTAAACCAGTGAGAGCTACTCTTAATCAGCAGTATCAAATACCTGGGGTTCCAATCCTTTTCACACATCTCAAAGTGTGTGCTATCCAGAGCACAGTAGAAGCCCAGATAGAAGATAGATTTACGCTGACCGAATTACTGTAAAAAATGACATAAAACTCTCAGTGAGAAAATATCCAAATTTTTTTTTAAAAAGTCAATCCAGACAACATGCTGTTTTGTTTTCTTGGTTTCAACAGTAAGAGCTGGGCAAGCTATTAGCTTCCCTCCGCCTAAGCAAAAAAGAAAACCTCCAAATGGGAAGCATACACAGGCCATCTAACACTCACTTTCCACAGAGAATACATGTGTTCACAATTTTTTGCTTTTGGCAAATACCTCAAAAATCACTTAAAAGAGGCATTTTAAAAATTCAAAATATAATTTGGTCAACACCTAATTACCAGAGACCTTTTCATTTCTGCTTATCCTGAAAGAGGAACACAATAACTGAGCCCACATATTTAATCTGCATGTTTACTTTTCAATAGAGCAAATGGCCACTAGATTAAGGCAGTAGTCATGTCAGATTGTAACCAAATTGTGCCACACCATTCTATTTATCCATATTATTGTATGTATTAAGTCACATACACACACAGAAAAATTTATCTTTCAAGTCTCTCTCACCATAGGAAAAGATTCAAATTTGCAATCCAGACAGGGAAATGGACAAGGTAAGTGACTACAACCCACTCGGTACATTCACAGACTATTTTTTGTTTGTTTTTGAATAAACAAATACATCCCTCAGTCCCCCAAATTGTATTAGACTTACACTAATGAGTAAGCAACATAATAATTATTTACTAAAGAATACAATCAGATGGATTTGACTAAAAACAAAAGTGAGCAAAATACCTAGGAATAACTAAACCTGGAATAAACTGTCCATGTAAGTGAATTTATCCCCAAACTGCCGGTACATAGTGGCCAAAAAGCAATTTATATGTATTTTTAAATTATGTATACACATCTCATTCTAAAAAAGAACCTGCAGTGGTTTACGTCACAAAAAATCTGGTAGACTTAAATGATTCTTCTCCAGGATGCAGTCTTGACCTAAAAGTGAGTCTTTCTTTCTTCTTGGATAAACAAAATGTTACTTTAAAAAAAAAAAAAAAAAAGGCATACCAAGTTTTTTAAAACTTAACCACTGAGTCTTATGAAGTGTAATAGCCATATCACACATACCTCAAAGGTCAAAAATAAAAGCAAAATTAATCAAAGGAACTGAGAGCTCAACAGCTCCCAATTTTTTTTACATTCTCCTACTTACCAATTTATCATTTTCATTGGGCATTTCAAATACGCATCTCAATTTGGAATCCATTAATTCATCAGGTTTTGCCTCTTTCCACTAAAAATAAACAAAACCAAACATGAGACATAGGAGGTATGATCATGGTAAGTAAGTTTCACCTCACGGGACAGCTAAAAGATGAGTGAAGCTGCCTGGCTTGGCTGAAACACACTGGTGCACTCTTTATTGATCACCCTGCCATTGTTATCGGCTAATGTCACAGAACCTTTATATAATCCTAGTTACTATCACCATCCATTAAAATCACGATGATATTACTAGCAACCATAGGACTTTCTTCTTAGCATTTCTTTCTTTTTTTCCAGTTGGTCTCATTCTGTTTCCCAGGCTGGAGTGCAGTCGCCCCTCCTGGGCTCAAGCAATCAATCCTCCCATGCCTCCTGGGTAGCTGGGACTACAGGCGTCCAACACTATACCCAGCTCATTTTTGTTGTGGTGGTTTTTTTTGTTTTTTGTTTGTTTGTTTGTTTGTTTTTGTAGAGACAGGGTCTTGTCATGTCGCCTGAGCTGGTCTCGAACTCCTGGGCTTGAGATACTCCCATCTTGGCCTCCCAAAGGGCTGGGATTACAGGTGTGAGCCACTGCACCAGGCCAGTAGCAGCATTTCTAAATTGTTTCTAAAAAAAAATACTATTTAAAAATTCTTTCATTCTTTAAGTTAGGATTATCTATAATGAAGAAATTGGCAGTTTTTTAAAAACCTAAATTTAACTTTTAGTTTTTAGAAATTAAGTTTTTCTACTGACTGCTAAACAACACCCACAGTTTAAACTCCACTTCCCAAAACAAATTCTTCTTCTATACTTACCACAGCTTCCATATCTGAAGTGTTTGGTGGAGCAAAAATTGTCTGTACCATAAACTTGTGTTTACTCTTTTCATTCGGATCATAGTCAAAGGGCTGTAGCATTACTAAATAAGAAAAAAAGGATATATTATATTGTCTCCTGCATGTCTGAAAGACATACATTGAAACAGTTACAGATTAAATTATACTAAGTCTGGGATTTGCCTTAAACCGTATCTGGCAATAGTATCATTCCTACTACTTCACAAATATGCAAATTTAAAAAAAACCAAGAAGGGTTCAAGAAACCAAACACTGGAATGTTTAAGAATCAACTTAATGGATCCCAAGTATTTTTAAATTGTCTGTCTTTCTAATTTACTAAGTTTTGCACAACCAACAAAATAAACAATTACAATTAAAAATTAAATATGAATCTATGATTTTGCCCTTTCTAAACTCAGCTTGTGAAAATTTTCAAAACTTTGCCAACGTTAACTATAATGCCTATAAGCTCAGATTAAATATAAGTTATTAAAACTATGAATTTAGGCTTCATTTTAGTGTTTTCTGATTTAAAATTATACAACTGAGATATTTAAAGGAGAAATACTCAGTAACTTAAAACCTCACTACCATCTGTTTTTTGTTTTTTAAAACAGGGTCTCACTCTGTGGCTGAGGCTGCGCTGCAGTGCAGTGGCGCAATCTCAGCTCACTGTAGCCTCAACCTCCCTAGGCTCAGGCAATCCTCCCACTTCAGGCTCCTAAATAGCTAAGACTATAGCCACATGCCACCATGCCCAGCTAATTTTTGTATTTTTTTGTAGAGAAAGGGTTTTCGTCATTTTGCCCAGGCTGGTATAGAATTCCTGGGCTCAAGAGATCCGCCCTCCTCAGCCTCCCGAAGTGCTAGGATTACAGGCGTAAGCCACAGCACCCAGCCCATATATTGTTTTAATATAATTAATTTTTCAAAATTGTATTTTAAATAAACATCTATTTCAGAGTTTATGAATTTATTTAAATCTTCTAAGAAAACAAAAGTACACAAGGAAACCATATAGCCTCTTGAGTTCTAAAATTTATTCTACAGTCTCAATAACATTCAAAATTTTTAAGTTTTTTTTTTTTTTTTTTTGAGACGGAGTCTTGCTCTGTCGCCCAGGCTGGAGTGCAGCGGTACAATCTCGGCTCACTGCAAGCTCTGCCTCCCAGGTTCACGCCATTCTCCTGCCTCAGCCTCCCGAGTAGCTGGGACTACAGGCGCCTGCCACCATGCCCGGCTAATTTTTTTGTATTTTTAGTAGAGACGGGGTTTCACCGTGTTATCCAGGATGGTCTCGATCTCCTGACCTCAAGATCCGCCCGTCTCAGCCTCCCAAAGTGCTGGGATTACAGGCGTGAGCAATTTTTAAGCATTTATAATTTCTCGTCTTTTAAGTTTTCTAAGGTTCCATGTGGTTGTAAGTCATGCTAAATTTATGTAACATGAGTCCAATATAACAGACTATACAAAGAATCAATCAACAGTTACACAAAATATGTACATGGCATTATAGAAATTATTTCCCTAACTTTAGATTATTTCTAAGATATATCTCTACACTTTCAAAAAGATAAACACGGGTAAATAAATGTAAGAAATAATTATGTAATAAAGTCTTATTCATAAGGTGTGTCTGAGAAGTCCATTAACTGCTATCAAGGTTAAGACAACTTTTTCAAGGGGCCAAATACACAGCAGCAGGAAATGTACTGGATAAAATGCCTCAGAATACAGCTTAAGCTAAATAAAATTCCATTAGCAACCTTCACTGAGTTAATGATTATAAGCTAATCACTATGAACCAAAAATTTGTGAATAAAACGAAAACTTACAACATGGTTAAGTTTATAGGAGTTATACTCTAATTTAGGTTGCAGACCACATAACAAGACAAAGACGATCTTGAAAACATATATAAAAATGTGCACAAATTGAAGCAAATTCAAAAAACAAAGCGTCAAAAGGACACAGGGAAAAAGAGAAATGAGCATGTAGTACAGAGAATTAACCAGAGAAGGTTGTTGGAAGAAGCATAGCTTTGAGTGACTGTAAATGGAAATACACTACACTAAAAACTGGAAAAGCCAAATTCTAATTAAGTAGAACAATCCAAGGGCATGTTTGCGTAATCAGTAACCAGTTTGTCTGAAGGTTTTAATAAGTCAGGTTTCTGTGGGAGAAAGTGTTTTGATACGTTGTTTTCTCAAGAAATATTAATACACAGAAACCAGCAATCTAGGCCCCTCAAAGAAAAAGTCATTCTGCATAGTTGTATGGATTCCTAGGGATATAACTGTTTGTACCAATAAACTATTTTTAGCCATGTGGATTGAAATAATTATATCTTCTGGCCAGGCGCAGTGGCTCACGCCTGTAATCCCAGCATTTGGGGAGGCTAAGGTAGATGGATCACTTGAGGTCAGGAGTTCGAGACCAGCCTGGCCAACATGGTGAAACCCTGCCTCTACTAAAAATACAAAAATGAGCCAGGCATGTTGGCACACGCCCGTAATCCTAGCTACTCAAGTGGCTGAGGCAGGAAAATCACTTGAATCCAGGAGGCGGAAGTTGCAGTCACCTGAGATCACACCACTGCTCTCCTACCTGGGCAACAAAGCAAGACACTGTCTCAAAAAAGAAAGAATTCTCTCTTCTTCCAATTGTGCTAAAGGCTTAAAGATGTAGTAGAAAGCAGCAACATGCAGAGTGCATGCATTCCTTCATCTTTATTTCCCATCTCTCTTTCCCAGGAACTGATGAATTAGACTTAGCAAAGAAACATGAAAAGCACTCCTCCCAGGCCTCCTTACCGCAAGACTCACTAAAACATCTTTTTCCTAGCTCTTGAGGTTTTTGGCTATACCTGCTGAGGGAAGATTTAGTGTCACCAAGAACTCTATGGTCTGTCCTTCATGGCCTTTGTAGTCAGGCTCCACCTCTAAATACTCTCTCAATGAGCCTACCCTGGGTTCTCTCTCTCTGTACCCAATTCTGCTGTGGACTTGAAAACTGATACAGAATTATTATAATATCTTAGGATTACTTATCAAGATCACCCAGGCTTTTTTTTTTTTTAAGGTACACTTTTTTTGTTTGTTTGTTTTGAGACGGAGTCTTACTCGTGCAGTCTCCGCTCACTGCAACCTCCACTTCCTGGTTTTAAGCAATTCTCTGCCTCAGCCTCCCAAGTAGCTGGGACTACAGGCGCCCACCACCACACCCGACTAATTTTTTGTATTTTTAGTAGAGATGGGGTTTCACCATCTTGGCCAGGCTGGTCTTGAACTCCTGACGTCGTGATCCACCCGCCTCGGCCTCCCAAAGTGCTGGGATTACAGGCATAAGCCACCGCGCCCGGCCTAAATGTAACATTTCTAAGTCATGCTCCTAGAGATTCCAATCTGGGAGAGATGAATCCATGTGTGTTCCTGCTCCCTGTGTTATTACAGCATATAGTGGGAGTTGAGAAGTACTGCTGTAAAGAAAGAGTAAATGCAGCCTGAGAGGTTCTCCCCTAAGTAAAATACATGGAACCATAAAAGTTCTCATATTTACTTCCTATTTCCTATTTCTCAGCTATATTAGTGAAGTCAGAGGGACTGAGAAAGAAAGAAACAGTTTATAGGGGGCATTAGATATGGTACCAGTATCAACTCCACAGCAGGAGTAAGTAATCCATATATGGCAAGCATACTTCTTTGACAAGTAAACACATAAGAGAGTAGTAAAATAAAAATAAAGTTTTCACACACAGGACACTGTTGACATTTACAATGAAAGGCATAAAGACTCATCTGATTTGACACAGTAGGCAAAAAAGTGGCATTGCACCTTTTTAAGCAAAAGAATTATGACACTTCTATAGCTGCATGCAATGTGTAATATGATCATGATCTGAAGGAGAATGACCCATCAGAAAAATGATATAATTTTTCAAAGATAAAATAACAAAGGCAGAGAAGGTAGTGGTTAGCTGTAGAAATAAAGACTAAAGTTTGTAATTGACAATAATTTCTTATAAACTGACCACACTCCCTACACAGAAGATGAGTGAGAAATTTTCTGAAACAGCTTGCAGAGTACTGTAACAAGACATCTTTAAAGGCAAAACCAGAATAATATAAGAATTATTTCCCTCCCTCCAGATGAAACCTTATTAAACAAAAACATAATCATAAAAGGTCAAAATTCAAATGTACATAAATTCAGAACATGATTTGCTACCTGAAACAGTCACAGTTGACCCTGGGTCAATAATTCCACTGTTGGGCCTCACACAGTACCGGCGAGGTGCTGTAGTCTTCACTTTGAAACACACTTTTCTATCCGATGGATTTCGCAATTTAAGATTTGTAGTGACTACATCTGTGAAGGGGCCTGTAAAGTTTAAAAATTAAAGAGAAAACAAAATTTAATTGGATTCTCAACAACGAAGGATTCAAAACTGAAAATATATAACCTCAATTTTAATTAAGTGCTGACATTTGTAGGCATAAATATCCCAAATGGCTACTAACACTGCCTTTCTCGAGGTGGCAGACTTAAAAACAAGTCATATTTTCTTCTTCATTCCCTGTATTTCACAAAATTTCTACCATAAACATGTATGATTTCTATCAAAAAAGTACTATGAAACTTTGGATCTATGAACTTTACAACTGTATTTTTACAGTATGTTGTTAATACGTTGCTGAAAATAACAGAATTTCCCAGTTGTCTGCAAACCAGTGTCAATCTTCAAGTTCATTTTACTAGGCCAACTGCAAAAATCTCTACATCTGAAGACCCTACACCCTATGACATCAGTGCTTTTGCTTCACCTCAATTTTGTTTGTTCATTCATTCAATCCATTCATTCATTCACATATTTGTTAAGTGTTTATTATGCCATATGCTCTAGATACAAAGTTTTTAAGCTTTGGTTCTGCACCCAAACAACATAAAATTACAAAACAAAGAACCCAAAAGGCTGATCCATTTTGCTGAAGAAAAGCCTGAAGAAAAATTATGCAGATTAATTTAGACAACAAAATAAATACCTGTTAATTTGGAGGAAGAACATAAAAACATGTTCCAGTTGGGAACAATAACCACAGTTCTAAGTATTCCAAAAGTAATTTTAAATCGTTCTAAAAACAATTCGTTTAAAGTTATGTATTTTTTAAAAAAGCTAGAAGGCTGGAATCAAAGACAACTATTATAAAGGCTCTCTTTTCTTTATTTCAATCTTAAGAATAAGCATGTCTTTTAAAATTTTACAAAGTCATTAAAAGACACTTATTTCAAGCCCTAAGAAGCAAAATGATTTTATGCTATGCTTAAAGTTTGTTAGTAGTAAAATATTTTCTAATAAATAAAAATTTGGAACTAGGATGAGAGGAAGGAGATAAAAATGAGTGAAAATTAGAAGCAAGCATAGAAAGGCAGAGAACCAGTTATAGAAAAGAAAGCATTTTAATATAACTAACAGGTCTGCATTTTTTTTTTAAAAAAAAAGCATACATATGACAAAGTATGATCTTCTGAACTGCTTGTTTCATTATATGGTCAAACTAATCATTCCATTTACAACATACAACCCTTGCTGCTTCTTCAACCCCAAGAGCTTCCATTATCTTTTTGAAAAGCATCTGATTAAAAACTCCACCATAAAACTAGTATGAGAGTAAAGACGAAAACTCCAATGTGTCCATTTCACTACATGAATCCACAAAATGGCTGGCTGGAGATACGTTTTGAACTGATAAAACTAGAAGTCTTAAAGGCAAATTCCATTTCTTAACATTCTCAAACCCATAATTACTACAAACGCTTAAAAATGTAAAATGTTATAGGACTATTTTGACTAGGACTTTAACATTAGTAGCAATCACAGATTAAAATAAAGATCCAATTTCTTAGTAACATGACAAAAAGACATGTCACAAAATTTTAATTTTGAACAATCCTAATCCATAGTGAATGCCTAATTATTTTAATTACATATTTATGTATTTTCATAACATAATTATGTAAGTTTTTAGAATTAAATGTTTTATTAATTTAATTCTCCCCAATTTTAAAAAGTACCAATTATCCAAACTAAGGTAAAATAATTTTTTAAACTGATTTTTAAAATGACTGTGGGTCAGTTTTCATCAACAAACTCTACAAGAGTTGTACGAATTCTGAAATAGTATTTACATTTCACGATACTGCCCACCAGGGATTATAAATTGTCAATACAGATAGTGGGCTTTCTAGACATAAAAATATAAATTATCTAAAGATGATGATAATATATCAAAAGAAATACACCTCACCCATTCAAAACTAAATTCTTAACAGGACATGTTAACTTGCGAGTAAAACGTAGAATTATCTATAATAAACCCACTTAACTACTGAATTTGAGATTTTCTGCTCCATTGTATCCCTCTAGCCTCTCAATGAGGGTTGCTCCCAGCAGATAGCTAAGAGTTTGAGCCCCTTTCCTAGTTTAAAATAGAAAATTATCAAGTACTGATGACCATTAGCAAAGGAATAACCAGATTTAATAGCTTAAAAAAGTCACGGAAAGAAATATCTGGTCCACTTTTGTGAGTCACAGAATCCTTTAAGAACCTGACGAAAGCCATATCCCACCTCATAAAAACATACATAGGTAAATATTCAAAAACATTTTACATTGACTTTTATGGAAGGTAAAATGAGTTGGAGAGCTGAGTTCAGGGATGGAGGGGTTGTATCATGTACCCCCACCCCGCCAGGAGCTGCTGATTAAAAGGCCTGATGAAGAAATCTACCTTAAGATCTTCAAAAAAGAGAAGTTATATTCTTTACTGAAAGTGCTACAAACATAACCCTTTAGGTGGTAACTGCTCCTTTCATTAGGAGCAGGGGGTGGGGGCAGGAAACAGGACGGTAGACATTCTGCAATGCAGACCCACACAATGAAGTACTATGTTCCCATTGCACCGAATTTTCAAATACTCCTCCAGAAATTCATATTGGTGAAAAACCTCTTTTCCAAGTATTCATCTATTACGTGAACAGGAAAAATGTGTACTCTTTTCTTCAAAATGTTAAAAGGTGAGTTCACTATTACTGAAGACTATTCTAACAATAGCAATGCCACTCATCATACCTGAATCACCAATACAACACATCTGAATTAGTCAGCAGGCATCTGTAGGTAACACATTCACATGAATCTACCTATATTCACATGAATCTACCTATATGCCCTAAAACGGCATATTCTTATTTTGCCCTTTTAACAATGTTAAGAAAACTGTCAGTACTACTCGGATAACTCTTATTTCTCTTAAATCCAAACTTACTCACCTTAAGTAGATACAAACATCTGACTACTGTACCTACAAACTTAAGTAGGGTACAAGTATCTGACTACTTCATTATGTCTTCTAGTGTAGTCACGCCCAAACATTTACACTTAAAATGAGCATTCCATTATAAAATTACTTCCTTTTTTTCCCCTTATGTTATAGCTAGGGCAAATATATTTTAACATTTTTAATTACATATGTTGGTCATTTTATATATGCATTTCATTTCAGGATAGCAATAGCATTACAAAATATAAAAATGAGTTATGAAGTTAGAGTTAAGAACCCCTGAATTAAACCAATAATCTGCTTCACTAATTGAAAATGTATCCTTTGTAAGCCTTAGGTGATTAAACCATCAAGAGAAACAAGTGGCCACCATAAAAGTCAGGATAATGGTTAATCCTGCAGTGGAAGTAACTGGGAGAGGGTAAAAGGAGCACTTTGCCGAATGCTAGCCAAGTTCTATTTCTAACCCTGGAGGTGATTATATGAGTATTTAACTTTTGATAATTCCTTGAACTGTATATATCTTTTATTTACGAAAAACAATAAAAATGTTTTTTCAGAAAAACTGATCCTTGAAATAACCTTGAAAAATTGAAAAAACAGTGAAAAGCAGTTTTGATGACAAAGTGAACATCTGATGCAATTTATGTAATAAATAGGTTTAGAGGATTTCTAAAACTTAATCCCTATAAATCAGGGAAATCCTATCATTTGCCCAATATGAATGCTTAGTTTAACATTTAGGAAACAATTTTTTAACTAGTCCATTTTAATCAAAAGTATTGATAGAAACTTATATTAGAGATATGTCACTGTTTATAATGAACTATCCCATATGAAAAAAGAAAACTGCATACGTTACATTTATTTGCACTCTTATATTGAAAAAAATCTACAATTAAAATACTTCTACCTTTCAATTATGTGGCTGTTGTTCTTTGGAAGCCCTACCATTTCCTGCCACTAAGTATTCTGTCCCAACTCCTCTACAGCTGTCACTGCCATTAAGCCAAAATCCTACTCCTAGTCCCAAATTTTTACAATCAAACAGAAATGTAACACATACATAAATGTGGCCTTTGAGTAAAAAAGTCTGAACATAAGTTTTAAAAAAACTTAGAGCCTGACATGTCAAAAATATTAGAAAATTTTAAGGCAGCTCACCCAAAAGTCAGTCAAGTGAGACTGGCCTGCCTCCTTTGCCTAAAAACATTTTTCCAGCAGGAAATACCCTTTTTAGTCAGTCCATATGTGTAAAATTCAACCATTCAGAACAATGACTTCCTTTTAAATAGCGGGACCTTTATTCTCCAAACCACCCAGTCTTAAAAGGAATCCCACTAAGCTAAGAAGAGCTATCAAAAAAAAAAAAAAAGAACCACTGTAACAGTTCTTAAAAACTGTTATCATTCATCCATATTTTGATGTGAACTACTGATGACAAAGTTACCTTGAAAGGCTGAGTTGAGTTCAGCTGCAAAGAGAATCAATTGTGGAGGAGGGGAACAGCTAGCTTTTCCCCCAACATTTTATTATGAAAAATTTGACAAAGAAGTTGAGATAATTATATAAACACTCATACACTCATCACTCACATTCTACGATGAACATTTTGCTGTATTTACTTTGCAGCATATCTATCTGCCCTGTCCAGACATCCACTTAATTTTTGATGCACATCAAACTAAGCTGAAGACACCAATATAGTCACTCCTGAACATCTCAGTATGCATATCAACTTTAGTATTTGTTTTCTGTTAAGAGAATAAAATTTTAATATGGGATAAGCAGTAGTATATCACACAGAGCATTTCAGAAAACAGAAAACACTTCTAAAATGTAACTTAAGAATAAACAGACAATGCACATGAACATTAATTTATGAACTCTGTGACCCCCATTTAGGCTAGTTACTCAGAGGTGTGTTTAGGAGACAATTCTCCATGGGCCTCTAGCATTTCTGCACATCTTGCAAGAAGTAGTCCTGGGGGTTTTTACCCAGGCTATCTTTTCAAGAATGTATTAAATAGTGAACTGTCTTAGAAGACAACACCTCCCTTCTGAGGAGAGGGGCAGGTTTGTTCACTGACCAATATAATCAAGATAAGGTCTTCTACTGGAACAAAGGTCAGGTAGGTTTCTGTGCAGCCCACTATGAAAGATTCCGGTTCTCTAAGCTCAGGGTTTCTAGTTATGATGCAAACTCACTATGTGAGTAGCATCTACCCGAACACCTCTGTCACCTCCATGGAACTTGAGGAGGGCAAGGAAAACAACACAAATATAAAGCCCATTCCACTTGCAGTGCCATGAACAATGATGTCCACTGTCTAACTCAGGAAATCTCATGTCTTCTACCAACATCTACAAAACTGCAGCAGGCTAAATTTTCAGTCCCTTCACAGTTCTTGACAAGGTCTTTGTAAATTCTTAGCTATGCAGTGCAGACTAATGAGGAAGGCTGGGTGCTCTGCTCAAATACACAAACAATGTAGCCACAGCAATGCAGGTGATGACTACCTTCAATGTTTCTAACAGGTTTTAGCTAATTAAGTTGTATCACTGATTAAACTGTTTCCCAGTTACACAAGGGTTATGCTGCTGAGTATCTGTGGCATCATGTTAAGGTAATCATATATACAAAACATATATTAATACTATATAGTACACAGAATATCTACTAACGGAACAGCTAGCGTTTATTGGGCACTCATGTATCAATAACTTTGTATGAACTATGTTATTTAACCCTCACAAGTCCATGAAGTAGATACTTTCATTACATTTTAATATACCAAGTTTACAAATGATTCAACTTAGAAGGTAAACAGTAGTCCAAGGTCATATAACTCAAAGCAATGAAAGTGGGAAGTCAAACCAGGTCTGACTCTAGGGCCTGAACTCTCATAAATTTTGTACGTATAACCAAACGGTATTTATTTTCTAATTCATAAGTATTCCAGGTAGACTTCTGCCACAATAAAGCATGAAAGTGCAGTCAAATTAGCAATATATGAAAAAGATTTTTAAATTGATATTGTATTTCTCTTGGTCACACAGGTCAACACTGAACACTTCCTGAAATAAGTATCAAGCACTCAAAAAATATTTTACATTTTTACATCCAAGAAAGCCCTAAAACATTCTTATTACAAATTTTTTAAATGATGTCACTTGAATTTACCCTTACTGTATGTTTTTTTCAAACACATTTAAATATCAGACTTGATGTAAGCTCCATGAATAGGTCTTTGTTTCGTTAGCTGCTGTATCCCCAGCAACTAACACAATGCCTGGTGTAGTAGGTACTGAAGAAATATTTTTGTATAAATATTTTTGTACAAATAGAGTAATACTTTCTGGGAAAAAAAATGAGTCTTAGTTCTATTTTTAAAAACTTAGTCATTGAAGCACTAAAACATATCTCTTCATAAGATTTCACTAACATCATAAAAGTATGGATCCTGAGATTAATGGAAAAGCAAGACTGCACTATTTTATTTAAGCCTCTAAGGGCTTTAATTACTGAAATTGCCTCACTGTCCATATTATACAATCATATTATACAATTATACAAACATATTATACAATCATATTATACAATCAGTTTATCCATACTATACAATCAACAGTTTCAGAATGTATCATGAAAACTCTCCAAAATCCACTTAATATGGTCATGTAATCATTTTTTATAAACCAGTATTCCCATTCTGGGAGCCTAAAATTACAGTATGAAAAAGTTACCAACCGGAAGGGACCATGTCTTTTACTTCTTTTACACCATTTTCATACAGTGTAGTATTGTTCTGGTCGTATAAATACTCATCCATCACCTTTACATAAACACGTACCTAAATAAAAAATGAAAACACTTCTTTCCATTCTTTTGGCAGCCTTCTGGGGCAAGGGAGATGCTCATTTTTGTTACTGATGTTATACTATGACTTTAAAAAAAAAAAAAGCATAATGTAGTATGTTCAATCTGAGGCTTAACAGCTAAAACCATTACCTAGCTGATGGACCTTGGGTAAATCACTTCCCCTCTCTATCCCAGTCTAACCTGCTTCATTTTAGAATTTGTAGGCAAAATGATCTCTAAGGCTTCTCTCATGTCATGTGACATTGTGATTAACTTTACTTACCACCTTAAAGAACGTCTTCTACCCGGTGGTAAAGATGGGAGATAATTCAATCTTAAACCCATCACAGCTTTATTGACATTTCATCTTAAAAAACTACCTTAAACGTTTTAGGAGTGCTTTTTAAGGTATTCTGATGCATACACTGCTCAGTCTGACCTAAACAATCCTGGTGACATAATCTTGAAAACAAGGCAGAGAAAATAAACAATAGTCTTAACACAGAAGTGGAACACTTTGATTTGCAACATTTCATACCAATTTTATGTCCCTCCACTCTAAACTTCCAAAGAACAATAAGATGTACACATACGTAAATTATTTGTAAAAGAACAATGTTAGTGTTCAAGAATGAACGTGAAATTAGTGCATGCTACTTACTAATAATTTAACATCTTGATTAAAATAGAAACGAGCGGTCCACATCTAAAGTTTAAGTTTTTGGATTCTAGACAGGTAGGATGTAAAGAAATAGAAAAGAAGGTACATTTTCAGAGAACCTGAAACAAACTTTTTTTTTTATTATTTAGATCTAAAGTTTTTGCTAGGGGAAAATATAACATGAAAAAATGATCACAATAATCTTAACTAAAAACATACAAAATACAAATATATAATTATACACAGCATAGCTATAAAAAGTTTATCAAAATGTTAACAGAGGTTATTTTGTGAGATTGAGTAATTTTTATTGGCTTTATAATATCTCCCATCCAAGTACTAACCAGACCCTGCTAGCTTCCGAGATCAGACGAGATGGGGCGCGTTCAGGGTGGTATGGCCATAGACAGCTTTATAATATCTATACTTTTTCCATTTTCTAATTTAGCACTGATTTTATATAACAAGGGACTTTTAAACATGTACCCATAGTAGCTTAATTTGCTTATAAATCCTCTTACTTGTAAAATCCTGGAAGAAAAAACTGAAAAAATTCAGAACCACAGATTTTTTGGGGATCTGTTGTTAGTGAGGTTTTTCTCAGTGGGAACAGTACTCAGAAAACAAGACCAAGAGATTCTGGCCCTACAGGCTTTAAAAAGTAAAATTTTTTCACAGGAAAAACTAAACAGGAAACACTGTATGATTTAAAGGCACCCTATGTCTTTAAAGTATGACAGTCACTCCATGTCATATTATTCAAGAATTAAAATTATATACATATTCATATACACTTCACACATATACACACATACATGAAACATACAGCTACAAAAGAGCTGTCAAAACATAGGCCCATGAGAAATTTGTCAAGTTATACTATAAACATACGTTTAAAAGTCCTCTCATAGCAACAATTCTTTTTTAATTAACATCCCTACTTTTTAACGGTAATTCAATCTAATCATTTCCTTAAAATGCTAAAAGTTTAAAAGTCCTCTCATAGCAACAATTCTTTTTTAATTAACATCCCTACTTTTTAACGGTAATTCAATCTAATCATTTCCTTAAAAAGCTAAAAGATACGTAACTAAACTTCTCACTCCTTTAAATCTGAATTTTCAGAACAGTATCAAACATTAGTGATAACTAGTTATAAAGAACATCCAAACACCAGAGAAAAGCAGCTAAGCATGCTATGGTATATTAATGATGCATAAGTCAGCAAAAATGATACGGAGGTTTCTTTTATAAGCATTGAAGACACTAGTTTAGACTTTTTATAAAGTGAAATATGTGTTACAGAATAACAATTACAAAGTGAAATATGTATAACAGATTACAGAATTTATTTTTTATAAAGTGAAATGTTAAAGAATAATGTGTTACAAATATGGCTTCAGAAAATATCAAATTCAATCTCATTTAAGCAAAGAATATTTTATTATTAAAAAAACCCATACTGAAGAGTTCATCATAAAGATGTAAGCAATTCAATGGCACAGGAAATGAAGTATAACTGGCATCACAGGAAGAGGCTGTATTCAAGAGAAACTAATTCCTGGGATCAAAAGACCTCTCTGCCTACGTTTCTCTGCCTTTTTTCTCTCAATTAGTTGCTTCTGCTTGCCACTGGTCCAAATTAGCCACTGTTTTGTCTCCCAGTCCATATGACCTTGAAGGTCTGAAACCTATAACCATCTATTTATAGTTGTGTTTCAAGGTGAGCCATCAAAATTTTGACTGGTCAGTCACCAGCATATATATTGGCTGGCCTTGAATCTAGATTATAAACAGCCTCTTCCTGTGAGACCAGGTATACCTGATTTCCTATGCCATTGAGATTGCTCATTAATAAACTCTTAAGTGTGATTTTGTTCTTTGTAATAGACTAAATATTAGAGGATATCAAAGAATTACTGTTAATGTTATTACGTGTTAACAGTATCATGATTATGCAAAGAAAATGTCCTTTTTTGGTTATAAATGCAAACTCAAGTATCTAGGGATGAAATGTTATGCTATCATTCAGGATTTGTTTTAAAAATACTGAGGCAGGCCAGGTATGGTAGCTCATGCCTGTAATTCCAGCACTTTGGGAGGCTGAGGCAGGAGGATCGCTTGAGGCCAGGAGTTCAAGATCTGGCTGGGCAAAATAGCAAGACTGTCTCTACAAAAAATAAAACATATAATAATTAGCTGGGCACAGTGGCATGCACCTGTAGTCCTAGTTACTCAGAAGGATCGCTTGGGCCCTGGAGTTCAAGGCTGCAGTGAGCTATAACAGCACCACTGCACTTCAGTCTGGTGTCAGAGTGAGACCGCTGCAAAAAAATACAAACATGGAGGCAAACAAAAATATATAAATAAACACGTATGATTATAGTAAAATGTCAATTATTAAATTTATATTTAAATTTAATTTACTAAATTAACGCATACTGAGGTTCATATTATAAGGTGCTCATGTTTGAAAGTTTTCAAACGTTTAAAACTTACTAATTTAAAACTAATTTGAGTCACATTTCAGTTATAAAATGAATTAAACCAGTAAACAAGCATTTGCAAGTTAACAGTCCTCTCGCACATTTAATTTTTTTCCAAAACTAACTTTATGATCAAAAGAGAGCAAGATCCATCCTGTATCAACTTCCACCTCTGAAAGGCAAATAAGATTTCACTAAATGGTCAGTAAAGGTAAGATAAAAAGAAACTATGTTGAGATGATGCATATGTCAATTTGCTTCACTATAGTAACCATTTTACTATCTATATGTATCCCATAACATCATGTTATATGTATACCTCAAATATACACAATGAAATCTTTTTAAAGGATTAAAAGTATAGTTTTCCCTATTCTTTATATGCATTTTTCTGCTTCACAGAAAAATAGCATTTTCTTTTTGTACTCAATTGTCATATATTCACACAAACTTTTAAAGACAGAACACCCAAGAAATCACCTAGTCCTAACCTCTTACTTTACAAATGAAAAAAACACAAACATCAAACAACCTACCTTTAGGGTTAGTCAGCTCTTTACAAAATAGCCTACCACCCCTTTTCTGGAAGTACAAAATTTTGAAAGCACTATTACCTGCAAAAGCAGGTGAAAACTCCAACTGAGTCAAGATCCAAGACCAAAAAATAAAAATTACTGGAGAAATCATCTGAGTCTTATTAATTCAATCAACACTTACTGGGCAATCATTTTATGATGCCAGAACTTGTTACTACAAACATTAACAGGTATATACTCAGAGTTCATAGTATAGTTTGGGAGGGGAGAATATGTAAGCCTAACTACTATCTAATGTGAAAGTACTGTTATTACAGGTAAGCACAAGCTTCAACAGTGGCATGAAGGCTCTGACCAACTTGGACTGGTAGAGTATCAACGACTTCTCAAGAGGAAGTGATTCTTGAAATAAGAGGCTGCCTGACAGACGTGAGGGAGGACAATATTCTAAGCAGAGCCTGTGCAAAGCATTGCAGTGGCCTGGAGTGTTTGGGAAAATGGTTTCATATAGCCAAAGTTATGGACAGAAGAAAAAGAATAGACACTGAGGCTGGAGAGTTAGGCAGTGGATTTTGGATTTTTCAAGTACATAGTAAGAAAACATTTAGAGTTCTTCAATCAAGGGACTAACAGTAACAGCCTCCTTTTTCCAAAGCGTAGTTCCAGCAGCAGTGTGGAGGACAGGGTAAAGAGCTGACAATAAAGGAGGCTGGGCACAGTGGCTCACGCCTGTCATCCCAACACTTTGGGAGGCAGAGGCAGGTGGATCACTTGAGGTCAGGGAGACCAGCCTGGCCCACAGGGCAAAACCCCGTCTCTACTAAAAATACAAAAATTAGCCAGGCATGGTGGTGCACGCCTGTAATCCCAGCTACTTGGGAGGCTGAGGCAGGAGCATCGCTTGAACTCGGGAGGCAGAGGTTGCAGTGAGCCGAGATAGCGCCACTGCACACCACCATGGGTGACAAAGCGAGACTCCATCTCAAGAAAAAAATGAAAGAAAGAAAGAAAAGAAAAGGAGATGTCTGCTGACTAGTAAATATAAAAGGACCTGAAGTAAGGAAATTATCCAAAGCCCAGACCTTTTCTTAAGTAACACACCCATTTAACCAAATCCACCTTCATGTTAATATCCTGAAAGACCTAAACATATCTACCATACGTCCTCCTCCTCCATCTCTCTCACACACCCCCAAATAAGATGCATTTCGTCCTCATCCAGACATCCACCGTTTCTCAAATAGCACCACCATTTCCCCAGTTATATAAGCAGAAATCTCAGACATTCATACCCTTTTCTCTCAGTGCACATAGAGACCACCAAGTCTCACAGATTCAACCTAACTTTTCATCACCTCCAATACCATGACCTCAGTCCAAGGGGTCACCACTTGCCAGTACTGCTGCAGCCGCCTAATTCATCTCTTTCTCCCCTCTAGTATAATTTTACATTGCTACCAGAATTATTTTTAAATGCAAATGTGATGTTATTCGATTCCCTCCATCTTTACTGCTCCTCCCCTCACTTAAAAACCCTAGTGGCTCAGGATAAAAACAAAACTCCTAACTTGACCTACTAAACCAGCACTACATTCATCTTGACTATTTTCACCACTGCCACGCCGACCTCTTTCAGTATGGTAAATGTTTCACAGTCCCTCCTGCTACCGGATATTTGAACATGCATTTTCCTTTCTTCTTCACCAGGATAACTTTTACTCATTGTTGGAATCTTAGTTCAACTGTGACAGCCTGATCGAAGACCCTTATTTTACATTCTCGTAGCACTATATAGCTCTTCAGGGGTACACTTTATTCTTCTGATTATTTTATTAGTATCTATCTCTCTTGTTAGAACTGCCCCATGAAAACATGGCTTGTGTTTCACTCACAACTGTAGTTCCAATATTTATTCATCATACCTGACATGTAGCAGATACTCAAATCTAATCAAATTAGATCCATAATTGAATGAATTTTAAAAATAAATGAATTTGGAAGTAGAAACACATTGAAGTGGACAAAGGGATTATGTCAAAAATAGAAACACAGATTTTAATTATTAGATATGCATATTGTTTCTGGTGTGAGTAATCATGATGCCACTAAAAAATAAAAATAAAGCCAAGTGCAATGGCTCAGGCCTGTAATCCCAGCACTTTAGGAGGCCAAGGCAGGAGGATCACGCAAGGTCAGGAGTTCGAGATCAGCCTGGGCAACACAGCGGCACCCCCATATGTACGTAAAAAATTAGCTGGGCATGGTAGCATGCACCTATAGTCCTAGCTATTCAGGAGGATCACTTGAGCCCAGGAGGTCACGGCTGCAGTGAGCCAAGAACGTGCATGCCACTGCACTCCAGGTTGAGCAACTGAGCAAGACCCCATCTCAAAAATAAAAATAAAAAATATGGGAAGAAGAGTAGGCATGGGTAGTAAAAATTTTGAGATATTTTGAGTTTAGAATATCATATCTGTGCAATATTCAAATCTAAATAGTGAATAAGTTGTTTGAGTATGTGCTCTTGACTGACGGTAAAATGTGAATTAAAACAGACTTGGGGGTGTAGCAATACCTGCAGAGAGCAAGGAAGATAAAGAGAAAACCTCAAAACAATGAAATGAACAAAGAAAGTTCACAGAGTGAGATAAATGAAACCAAATCAGAATCTCAGAAACATGAGCATTTGAGGAAAATGCCACAAATAAGACAATAAATGGAGCAAATAAGAAAATTAGAAGACAATGCTGTTATAGAAGCCAGAAGAATTGAGGGTTTTTTTTAGAGAAACTGTCGGTACTGTCAAGAGCCAGGGGGAGGTCAAGTAAGATAAAAACTGGAAATGATTAAGTTAGCAATAAGTAGTGAGAGGATAAAAGTACCGTGGACTAAGGAGAGAATAAAAGGTGAGTAACTGGAAAAACAGTGAATATGGACTATTTTTCCAAAAAGTCTGAATGCAAAGGAAATGAAGGACAGGGAGAGACACATACTAGAAAGAGTTATGGTCAAAGAAGTACATGTCTGCTCATTTGTTTTTAAAATCAAAGACTCTGGTGTATTTATATGTTAAAACAATGCAGCCAGTGATTGAAAACCAGCAGGAAAACATCTCATGGAACATGGTCTGAGTCATAAGGAATTTTACCTTAGCCAGCAAAAATAGAGGAACAAAGAACCTTGGGTATGAGCAGGGTTTTTCTTTCTCAGGGAAGAAAGTATGGATGTGTACAGACTAACAGGTGTTACAAGAGGAAGGCACATCATGGAAGAGATGGTATGTCTTACTGAAAAAAAAAAATCTGACTTTTATTCTGTGAGCAATTGAGAGTTACCTAAAAACTAAGGAATGGAGTAATATATGATTAAAGATTACATTCATGTCTTTAGAGCCCCAGGCGTTTTGTATAGCCACTGGGAAACATGAAGAGCCGACTGGAAACACCTAAAAATGTGCTAAATATCCATCCAGAGGAGTATTCTCTAATTTCCCCCCCGCCCCGTGCTGCTTCTATGCAGATGCACTAGCTGATGTTAACACCATACGTCCCTCGATCCCTCAGAGAGCTTAATTTTCTTTGTTGATTTATTGTTATCGGCCACTCTCAACATAAGGATTTTGGTTTATTTTCGTCTCTCTCTGATCATTAAGAATATATTTGAAATTTATTTTAGCATTTTATAAACTTTCTTCTTCAAACTTTTCTACAAAACTGCTAATAGGGGTCAGGTGCGGTGGCTCACGCCTGTAATCCCAGCACTTTGGGAGGCCAAGGCAGGCGGATCACCTGAGGTCAGAAGTTCGAGGCCAGCCTGGCAAAATCCCGTCTCTACAAAAAATTCAAAATTAGCTGGGCATGGTAGTGCATGCCTGTAGTTCCAGCTACTCTGGAGACTGAGGCAGGAGAATTGCTTGAACCCGGGAGGCAGAGACTGCAATGAGCCGAGATCGAGCCACTGCAACAGAGCAAGACTCCGTCTCAAAAAATAAAAAAATTTAAAAAAACTGCTAATAGGTAGAAAAATAAAATGTGTAATACATTATAAATGGAATTTTATCATGTAAAAAATTTTAAAGACAAAAAAAATCTTTCACATAAAATACCAAGTTTCAAATCTGAAATCTAGGTAAAATTACTTCCAAGGTTTAAACAGAATTTGAAGTAAAGCAGCGTCTACTTCTTTTTCTTTACTAACACAAGTGATCTACTTCAGAATTCATTACATCGTAAATGCACTTTTATATGTTAACGACTGTATAAAACAAACTTTTTTTTAAATACTGAGGTATACAGAAAAATGTACTGAAATAGTTGGTGTCTGCTTTTGCAAAATTGTGCAACATACTGTTAATTCATCTTCAAGATGCTTGTTAGGTGTATAAAAGAAAAACCATCCAATCTCAGAATGATTACCTGAGTCACTCCTGGAGAAACCATCTCAAACTCAGAATCAATAACTAAAATAAACCTACTAGAAGATGACAAAGAATTTTGCAAAACTGTCTTCTAAAAGTCCTTCACTTAGAAAGTTTTGAATGACTTAGGGTAAGTCAGTTAAATGATTTTTTTCTATCATAAACTAAGCCCAAGTAGACTGTACATTCTAAATGAATCTCCTCAGTGTTGAACTGTGCATTTAAATACACAAAGGTTTCCATCAAAGCCAACAATTTACCTTTGACTAAAACGATAATATTAAGGAATCAAACACCAAATGTCACCTCCCAATCCTCCCCATCATCTCCATCTTTAAACTGAAACACACAACAAACTATTGGGCATTTAAGTACCAGGCATTCTCTCACAGCAGTGTGTTTACTCAACCACTCTCTTGGCCTAAACCTCCCCTGAAATGAAAAACAAGCCTTTTCCTTAAATGCTTCCTAAGGGAGGGATGGGGCACATAGAGAAAGGGCTTCTTTCCTCAGACACGGTTGTGTCTCTGTTATACCATCTACACACCTTTTCTGCTTCCCTGGCTAGTCTTATTTTTACTGGCAACACAAAAACAATGAGTTCTATAATCATAGCTGTAATTCTCCAACACCCCCAAAAAAGGAAATATATGAGTAAGTCACTGTGTAGGGCTTTTGCTTGTTTTTTAAACTTGCTTCTCCACTATTATTACTCCCTTACTATAGCAACATAACAACTTCCCTAAGGAGAAAACTTCAAACTCTGTGGACATTTCCTGGCCTAAAACTGGTTGTAAAGGCTTATAAATCCCTAATGGCAATTTACACATAGTTATCCAGTAGAGGAAATGTTCACTGTAAACACAGCCAATCAAAAGATAAAAACGAAATATTAAAAAAAAACACACCATACAGATTTACATTAAATTATCTCAAGATAATGGCTGAGTCAGGACTCTTCATAATTCCTCAAAGGTTTTCCCCCAGCTACAACTACGTAAAAATCACACAACTTACATAAACTTGCAATAAAATACATTCACTGCACCTTAAAACCAAATCCTTACCCAACAAGTAGCTCACTTACACTTCTATTCAAAGAAATTTGTAAACGCACTAAAAAGCTTGCAATGTAGTTATGCAATATTAATCTCATAATTCCAGAATATATTTTAAATTCCTAAACCTGAAGTTTTTCCTATGGAAAACAATGTAGTTGGCTTTCTCTTGGACTCAGCCTTACACAACAATAAAGGATTTAATTTTTTCTTTTAGCACTAGAATTGCTATACACCTCACAAAAATTGTTCTCATTCAACAATTGAAATACAAGACATAGACTTCCAAAACGGGACTCACTTTACACTTAACTAAAGATAGGAAGGAACCTACTTTCTATTAGATGTTCACACTCTTTCAGTATTCCTTAAAAACAAAGAAAAAAAATAAAAATCTGTACATTTTAACTCTCTTTCCTAAAGTACACTACATATTGACAAGGAAACCGACCAAAAGCCCCTGGGATTCTTCCAGGATCACCAAGTCAGACTAAAAAACTTATCACAGGCAGTACTACAAAAACCTACAAAGTTCCAGAGCTGGGTGACACCTTATCAGCCTTCTCAGGATCTGTCGGAAACCGCAAACGTAAAAGCAAAAAAGTCACACGCACTGAAGGTTTCTCAGCAGAGGAGCTCAACTAAAGGGCTAAATAAAAGCACGCGGGTGGCACACTGAAATGTCGTAGAAGGCAGGAAGCCCCGCTACTATGAACCTACAACTCTCCGTTTGCGGCTGACGCATCGCTCCTGCCCGCACGCACCTGGGTCCGTGCCAACAGCACCGGGCAGCCCTCGCCAGGCACCTCCAAGGACTCTCCACCTCCCCGGCGCGTCCTACACCTGACGGCCGAGTTCTAAACCTGGCGGAAAGGTGACAAGCGACGCCCTCCGCGGAACCCGAGGGCCGGCTGCAGCGAGCTCTCCCCGGGCCGGGGCAGGGGTCGGGGGGCGGCTCTCACTCCCAAGGGGTCCCGCGCCGTGCCCTAGCCTCCCCGCGCCGCTGACAGCCGGGAGCGGGCGACAGACGCAGCTTGCGCCACCTCCAGAGCCCACTCCCCGCCGCAGCCCAGAGCGCACGCCCTCGGGTGCCCAGCCGCCCACGCCCCGCCGAAGCACGCCGTCGGCCTCTGGGGCCAAGGACGCGGGCCCAGGCGGACCGCGGCGCGGGCGGGACCGGACGCCCAGGAGGCGCCCCCGCGGGACCGCAAGATGGCGGCGGCGGCGGCGCCAGGGCCGGGCTCCCCTCCGCCTCGCCCCGGCCGGCGCGCGCACCGCAGCGAGGGCGGGCGGGAGGGGATGAAGCGGGCCGGAGCAAGGGGCAGGCCGGCCGAGGTGGCGGCAAGAAAGCAGCCGGGAAAGGGAAGGCGCCGGGGCGTGGGGGAGGGGGCGCTCCCTCGGGCCAGGGCCGCGGACGTGCCCTCCGCGCCCCCCCGCCGACAGCCAGCGGTCCGCGCGCCCCACCCCACCCGGGGGTGTCCCCGTTCTGCCTACCTTTGAATTTGAGGTCTGTGGGCGGATCGAGGACCAGGATCTGCTCGTGCTTCGCCATGGCCCCTGAGGCGGACGCCATCGGAGAGACAGCGCAGAGCGGGGGCGCGCCCGCGGCGGCGGTTTGCTGACTGGGGGCGGGGGACGACGGCGGCGACGGCTCGGCCGAGCTCTAGGACGAGGCCAGGCTCGCGGCTCCCGAGCCCTAACGCCTGCCGCTGTGTCACCGGTTCGGTGGGCCACCCGCTGGGTCAGCAGCTCCGGGTCCCACAACTGACTCAACCCCACACCAGCCGCCACGGCCACGCGCACTTGCGAGCCTCGGCGACCCACGTGACGGCCTCTGCGTGCCTACGTGCGCGCCCCCGGCCGGGAGCTTCTAGCGCTTGTCCCGCCCTCCAGGCCGGCCTAGCGCGGCGCGGGGCTGCTGCGCCTGCGCGCTCGCGGCTTGCCGCGGCCCGGAGCGCAGCCCAGCTGTCAAGGGAACGGGTGTGGAAGGAGGCGGGGCAAAGGTCCGCGGGACCGACGCGATGCGCAGCGCAGGGCTGGAAGCGCAGTCCTCTGTCACCTTGAGCTCCGAGTACGGAACTAGAGAAACTGCTCTGGCAGCGCATCACACTCTTCCAAGTGGGAATGCCCAGTGGAAGGGACAAGTAGTAGTAGGGAAGCGCCCACTCACTACAACTCCCGGCATGCCCCCTGCGGGGCGGGGCCTTCGCCGAGGGCCTGGCCCTTTGCGGCCCTGCGCGGTGCTTGCTGGGAACTGTAGTAACGGCTGTTTGAGGGTGGAAAGGAGAGCTAGGTCTGTTGGAGGCAATGGGGTGGGGTTCGCGGACGCTAATTTTGGCTCTCAGAGCGCGTCTAGTTTGCGCTAAAAAAGAAAAAACTTGAAGACTGAAACGAGGCCCCAATGTTAGAAATATATTAATAAAATCTGCCCTGTGGAGAACAGGCGTGGGGGGATGTGTCCGTTTGCTCTAATTCTATCCAGTCCTCTGTTGGCAGGGCTGCATTCCCCGTGGTATCCAATTCAGCCTCTCCTGCTTCCTGAGTTCTCTCCAGTGATGCAAAATCAGATAAGGAAACACACCTCGTCTAGGAAGCAAGGGGAAATATGACAAAGCACACAGAAACTAGAAATAAAAGTCAAAAATCTACACCATCGAACCCAAATAATCTTCTTCAGTTTTAATGATGGACCCAAACCAAAACAGTTCTCACGTTCACATGTTAGAAACTAACTCCATCTGCATCACTTACGATAGGCTGTAGTAAACTGAACCAAATAAGAAAAATCCCAGCAGCAAACTTGCTGACAAAACTTTAGCCGATTGCCAGGGTAGTCCGGTACAGGAACGTCAAATGAAACCAATGTGCTGTAAATAAACCTTTATTGTATTTTGTGATACGGTTTGAATTTAAATCCCTAGGTAGCGCCACGAAACAAAAGACATATTGATGCTACTGCCATGGAGCAGCACAGTTTGTCTAGAAAATAAACGAGACGAAACAGCAGTCTAGAAGTAGGCACCAAATCCAAGTTTTCATGTGCGATCCAGGTATTAGGGTCCATCCAGGAACAGCCTGCTGGAATTGCTAGCCTGGCATTCACAGAAGATTGTGCCACCCACGAGGAATGTGTTTTCAGCCCTGAAATTCCTGGGAGTGAGAGGTGAAGCCAGCTGGATTTCTGGGTTGGGTGGGGACTTGGAGAACTTTTCTTACAAGAGGATTGTAAAATGCACCAATCAGCACTCTGTAGCTAGCTAGAGTTTTGTAAAATGCACCAATCAGTGCTCTGTAAAAACGCACCTATCAGCACTCTGTAGGTAGCTAGAGGTTTGTAAAATGGACCAATCAGCACTCTGTAAAATGGACCAATCAGCAGGGCATGGGCAGGGACAAATAAGCCAATAAAAACTGGCCACCCCAGCCTGCAGGGGCAGCCTGCTTGGGTCCTTTTCCACATTGTGGAAGCTTTGTTCTTTTGCTCTTCACAATAAATCTTGCTGCTGCTCAGTCTTTGGGTTTGTGCCATCATTTCTTTCTTTCTTTTTTTTTTTTTTTTTTTTTGAGAGGGAGTCTCGCTCTGTCCCCCAGGCTAGAGTGCAGTGGCGTGATCTCAGCTCACTGCAAGCTCCGCCTCCCAGGTTCACGCCATTCTCCTGCCTCAGCCACCTGAGTAGCTGGGACTACAGGCGCCTGTCTCCATGCCCAGCTAATTTTTTTATATTTTTAGTAGAGGTGGGGTTTCACCGTGTTAACCAGGATGGTCTCGATCTCCTGACCTCATGATTCACCCGCCTTGGCCTCCCAAAGTGCTGGGATTACAGGACTGACCTAGTGATCCACCCGCCTTGGCCTCCCAAAGTGTTGGGATTACAGGCATGAGCCACCACGCCTGGCCTGGGTTTGTGCCATCTTTAAGAGCTGTAACATTCACCGTGAAGGTCCGGGGCTTCATTTTTGAAGTCAGCAAGACCAGGAACCCACTGGAAGGAATCAACTCCGGATGCAGGAGGATAGAGTGCTTAAGTAGTTTGAAGCATATTCTAAATTTACCTTTACTGTGATTTCTTCCTATTCACAAAATTTATTTTGAGATGTCAATTATCATTAAGGTAGAATACAAAAAAAATTGTTTATTAAAATGGGGGTTCAAGTTTTGTTTTTGTTTAAGAAAAAAAAAAAGCTAAAAGTGACAATCAGTCCAAAGGATAGTGTCCCACATAGGTTTAGTTGTGAATTGACAACCCTAAAGGCCCTCACAAACTCCAGTTTTTTGCCGGCCTAAGAACTCTCTTCCATGGGCCAGCTAGCCTAGGCTGATCCAGTCCCTCCATAGCAGGAAGCACACTTCTCTTACCGGAAACCATTTGGGAAGCCCCCATGTGCAAATAGTCAACTAGCAGAATAGCATGCGGAGGAAATTCCCAGTAACTCCCCTATGGGAGGATGAATGATCGCCCATTCACTATAGATTTAATGGGAAGCCTGAATTGGATGTATTCTAGTTTCCCAGTCTATATTATTAAGAAATCTCTGCCCATTTGAGTCATCTGTCGTTGGAATCAACTGTTTTTTCACTTCTCAATATTGCTTCAAAAATCATGTAGGTATAGTCTTAAAACATATAAGAATTTAAAATTCTAATATTCTAAGAATATGTGAAACATCTTGGGATTAATCCCCTATTCGTATTTTAGAGCATTAGATTAATAATCACTGAGTCATTTTGAATCTTCTACTTCACATCGAATTGTGCACTATTTAAGTGGTTTGTGCTTTGGTATTTATTAGTACTTTTCTTCCAGCACTACAAACTTTACAAACATCATCACACCCTACTCAGAACAACTTCATGACAGTTGGCAAGTGCCGCTTTTGTTGTTAAATGTGGAAATGAAAACACAGATGACAGCATCTCATCTTAGTAATAGAGCTCAGCTATGGGCAGGGGACATTGCCCAATGTTCTATTCTGTGCATTTTTGCTCTTCCCAAAGCCGCAATAAAATGACAACCCACAATTTAAAATGTCATTGACTTCTCTATTGTTTAACATTTAAGCTAGGAATAATGAACCATGTGACCTATGTTCATTTTGTTTGCTCTTTTTAGATTGGCTAATGCAGCACAGAAAGGCCTTAAAGTATTAGCAAATATATACACTCCAGCATATCAAGCAACCAAATTTTCATGAGTCTAAGAAGTACAAAGGCTTTGAATATTATTTCAACCTATTTGAATCACTAATAGTATTCACCTTTGGACAAGTTCTCTCTTATGGACTTGGCAAAGATTTTTTTTTGTTTTCAGTACGGATAGTATCAAAGTACTTATACCCCTCTACTTCTCCATAGTTAAACATGTTAAACTTTACAGTAGAGGTGCTCTATAATTATGAATTTGTTTATGAGCAATTCTCTGAGTTATTGACTTCAGTGAACATTTAAACAGGCATGCTTTCCATAAATATTGAGGCAGTAAAGTAAAATACAGGCTTTGAATCTAGACTGCTAGGTTCAAGTTCCATTTTCCACTGTGTGATCTTTGCAGCTCACTCCACCTCTCTGTGCCTGTTTTACATCTGTAAAATGAGAAGAAGAAGAATACCTACATTCTGGGTTTGTTACCAGGATTCAATGAGTTCCTACACATGAAGAGCTTATAATAGTGCCTGATTCCAGCACTGTTACCTTATTAATATTAAATGTTAAATTACTGCTGTGTGCCCAGCACTGTGGCAGGTACTGGTGATTAGTCATGAGCTGATAGACATGGTCCCTACCCTTATAGGCTTACATTCAAGAGTGAGAGACAAAAGTGAAATAACTATACAATTATTTCATTTGAATTGTGGTAAACACTAGGAACGAGAGGTCTAGGGTACTGGGAGAGTAACCTGTGGGAACTGAGTTGAGGGTTTGGAGATTATCTCCTTCAGGGAGTAATAAGAAGTATCTCCTGAAGGATATCTGGATACCCAGGAAAGGAGAACAGAATATGCAAAGGCCAGACTGACATGAGCGTGGCTCATTGCAAATTGTAGAAGAAAGGCTGATGTGTTATGGTAAATAAAGTGGGTAGTGAGTAGCAGGAGATGAGGCTGAAAAGCCAGATTATGCAGATTGTTTCAGGCCATATTAAGGATTTGAGTCTTTATCATAAGAAAATAGGAAACCATCAAAGGGTTTAAACAATAGAGTCATATGAGCAATTCTTAAAAGTTCTCTTGACTACAATGTGGTGATTGGATTAGGGGGAGTAAGAGGGAATATGGGGAGAACTGTTTAGATTAGTGCTATAATTCAGAAGACAGAGGATGATATTACAGAGGATGGTATTGCAGAGAATGACAGTTTGGGCTAAGGTAGACACAGTGGAGATGGAGCAAATAAATACGAACAGATTTGAGAGATATTTAGGTGGTAGAATCAATAACCAATCAGCTATTGATTAGATACAGGGGTGGTAAGAGAAAGTAAGAGAGTGAGGAATCACTCCCCTTCTTCCGGTGTGTGCAGGTGAATGAATGATGGTACTAGTCACAGAGACAGAGGACCAGATTCTGATGTTGGGGTGCAGGGAAGGAAAGATCACTAAGCCAGTTTGATGTAAGATGCCTTTGAGACATTCATGAGGAAATGTTAAATAAGCAATAGAGTGTTCTGGTGGGAACTCAGGAGCAGCAGCTCTGTGCTGAAAACTGAACCTCCAAGTCTTGAGCATGAATGGTCACGGGCATGTAGGAGGTCACCTAATACAGACAGAGAAATGACCAGAACCTCATACTCCTTCTTGGGAAACTGCAACTTTCAAATATCTCATTAAGTAGAATGAGTTAGCTTGGGTGGAAGAAAAGTGGCCAGAGAGGTAAGTAGGAAAGGAGGCCATGGTTATTACTATGGATGGCTCAGTTGTCCCCATTCGGACTTCCTCCAGGGTTGCCTTACTGTATTGCGGAAGCCACTCCTTTGCATCTAGGCTCTTTTTTGGAATGAGAAAACCCTGGAGACTTAATGTATCCACCTTAGTGGCTCACAACATTGTACTTGACCTTATAGCTGTGATAAAAATTCTTGAACCCTTGGAAAACTCACACATTGCCTACTTTTCTCAGATTCTGTTGATCTCTCCTCAGCTCCCTCTAAATGACTTGTTTGCCAGTGCCAGAGCATGCTGGCAAAAAGAAAAAGCCCAACAAGCATCAGGACTCCAGAGGACTGAACCACCAGGCTTGCCCCTTGCCCAGTTCCCCGCAGGGGAAGGCGATCATACACAAATGGGACAAACAAACTGAGCCCATGGCCACGGCAACTCTCATTGTTCCTATTTGTAATCTGGTCAAAGATCAATAGAATTGTGGATTTTGAAGAATTGTAAAGCTAAATAATGGAAATGAAATCACAATTCAGATACAAGTCATAGATTTAATTAAATGTGTATGGATCGTTCTTGAAGTTTCTAGACTTACATGTAAAGGGCAATTATCAGGTGTGGCTTATCATACATCAATCTTATCAGCATGGTTCAATTTAAGAAAAAATGCATTAAGCTGAAATTAGATTGTGCCCACCAAGAAGACTTAGTAACTGTGTACTTTTGGAAATGAGTATATAAATCCCAGAGCTGTTCAGCAGTGTAGTAAACAATGTCTGGTCCCTGATTCTACATTTTCTTTTGTGACATCATTAAGACAGAAGCCAAGTGTCACCATAAATTATGTAAACCTTCAGTCAGAATAATTCAATCTGTACAGGGTACATTCTCATTGTCTTTATGACAAATGGTGAGTGATTAGCATGCGACCTATGACTTAATGTAAACCCCATGAGAGCAGGGGCCTCATGCCTCATGCTGTTCGCTGGCATATCTCTAGCATCTGCAACAGGGCCTGAGACACGGAAGCCGCTCAACATATATTTATGGTTTTCTAATTTTTGTTTTGAATTACAGTTAATTATTGAAAAATGTGGGTTTGAACTGTGTGGGTCCACTTACAGGGGAATTTTCTCCCATCTCTGCCACCCCTGAGACAGCAAGACCAACTCCTCCCTTATCTTCCTCCTCAGCCCACTCAACGTAAAGACCATGAGGATGAAGACCTTTACGATGATCCACTTCCACTAAATGAATTGGAAATACAGTTTCTCTTCCTTATGATATTCTTAATAACATTTGAGTCTCATCACCTTCCATAAATTTACTGATCTGCTGAATCATAATATGCATATGAAGGAGTCTCATTCTTGCATACCCCTGTGAAAAACAGATAGGAAACTAGAGTACAATATTTGTGTCTAGTTCATTTTGCCTTTTCCTTTACAATATACAATCAAAATACTGTTTTCCAAAGTAACTTTGGCTAGTGCCGCCCCTTCAGTGTGGTTATGTTATTCATTCGTAATACAATTATAGTAAATTCATGTATTACTTTTCGCATTCCATTTTGTCCCATCCCCATTGTTTTAACCACTTATTTTGGGAGTTTGTGAGGCATTAACATGGCTCTAAGAGTAAAAATTAGCATGGTTCTAAGTATGAACATGGCTAGCAAAGTATCTCTCCCTGATTCCTGTGACTCCATTCTCAGCAATACCATTATTTCCCCTCTGTTATCACCCAACACCTGTAGGTAACCAATTTCAGCTCCTAATTTACTGTTTGGCACAAACGAGCAGATGTACGTATATTTTCTTACATAATGCACTTTTGTTTTTGAGACAAGGTCTCACTCTGTTGCCCGGCTGGAGTGCAGACACATGAACACAGCTCACTGCAGCCTCAACCTCCTGAGCTCAAGCGTTCCTCCTGTCTCGGCCCCCCAAGTAGCTGGAACTGCAGGGATGTGCCACCACGCCAGGCTAACTTTTTAATTTTTTTGCAGAGACGGGTCTCCCCATGTTGCCTAAGCTGTATAATGCTCATTTTTAGTTGAAGGGTAGAATATTATGCCATTTTTGTGCTTTGCTTTCTTCACTTAATACACCCTAGACATGGGATATTTGCTAGTTATACTAGTTTCACTCTGTAACAGGTCATAGAGCACTTCCTTGTTCTTACAGCTGCATAGTACTCCACTCAGTGGATGTTATTCAACCACTTTCCCATGCATAGGCGTTTAGGCTGTCTCGAATATCTTGCAATTAACAATCAATGAGCAAGTTGCCCAAACTCTATATCACCCACAGTGGTTACCCCAGCTTCCTACCTCAGGCTCACACCCGTGGCCATATGGAGGGTTCTGTACAACTGGGTGGAAAAAGAGGAAGGAGCCCAAGCTTGGTTTATAGATTGGTCAGTTCAGTAGATGAATGCAAGGTGAAAATATTCCTGTCTCATGCCCACTCCACTGCAAGTCTTTGTGGTGAGCAATAAATAGCCTTGTGCATACGTATTTTCATATGTTGGAGGTATTTCTAAAGAGTAGTTTCCTAGAAATGGGACTTGTAGTTCAAAAGGTAAGAGTGTATGTAGTTTTTGATACTGACAAATTCCCTTCGTTTTTTTGCTTTGCTTTTTCTTCCCCAGAAGCTATGTGTTTCCTAGACTAGCCCTTTAAAACAGTGTATTTTTAATTCTCTTGTCTGTAGTCTGTGCTCTGAACTCCTCAGACACTATTTTACCAGTTTCAGACTTACGATGGACCTGTTCTTTTTGGCGGTGGGTTTAAATCAACCTTAGACCCCATTGCTAGCTCCCTCCAACTCCTTCTCCTGTAGTTTTTCTCATCTGTCTTTGCTCACCACATTCCATGCTAGGAATACAGCTTCGGTCCAGGTGTCCCACTGGGCACTGTGTTTCCTTCTTTGTGGCAGGAGATGCAAGAGCAAGAATGTATCTTTTAATTTGGAGGAAGTATCCGGCATACTTCTGATTATTGGACCCCTGAAAACTTTCCTGAAGTGGCAGGTCTCTGTCCTAACAAGACCTCCCGAATGCTGGCTACCTCTTGTTTGTGCTGCCCAATCAGCATGATGTCACCCATGTAATGGATCACTGCAATGTTCCACAGGATGTCCAGACTGTCTGGGTTTCTTCATACTATATGATGACAGAGGGTAGAAAAGTTCACAACGCCCTGAAGCAAGACAGTAAATTAATGCTGTTGTCCGTTCCACATGAATACAAACTGCTGCTCTTCAGAATAGAAAAGAGCACATTTGCCAAATCAGTGGCCACATAACATGTACCTGAGGTTTTAATAATCTGCTTTAGCAACAATACTGCTCTGTTTGGCAGCTGTAGCAGGGCCGCAGCTTGGTTAGGCTTGTGGTATTCTACGATCAGATCATTGCAATCATCAGACTGGCTGAGCAAATAGAGACATGATAGGAGGGACCACCACCTTGTATCCTTTCAAGCTCTAATAGGCATTAAACCCTGTGATGCAATAGTGCTTTGATTTACTATTTTGGTCCTGGGGTGGGGGCAGCTTTGACTCCCACTTAGCCTTCCCTAATGTGATAGCTCCTACTCCACACACCACGAACTCAAAGGTGTTATTTCAGCAGCCAGGGCCCAAGAAAATGACCACTAAGTAGATGCGTGGCAACCGAGGGGCTGATTGTACACATATAAAACATATTACTTTAGCCAGGGCTCTAAGGTGGGACGGGGAAGGGACACACGCAAGATGACATTTCAGATCTCGAGGTATTCATGTCAACTAAGTCCTCGTGTCCAACAATCTTTGCAAGGTCTGGGTGTTCCCTCCTCCCCAACATATAGTGACCCAAGTAAATGGCCATAGGTCCCTTTGGGACAGTCCTGGGGGAATCATCATGGTTTTTCTTAGCCGTGGTGTTGCTGCCTACTTCTTCCTGGGGACTTGGCCATCTCTTCAGTCCATGAGCTCCAAATGTGAAAAAATTGGCTTAGGTCTGGGAACTCAGCAAGGGAACTCGTAGAAACAGAGGCTGCAGGGAAGGAGAGGGGTAGGGAAAGGGAAGATGTTGACCAAAGTGTACAAAGTTTCGGTTGGACTAGAAAAATACGTTTCAGTGATCTATTGTACTGCATGGTAACCACGGTTAATAACAATGTATTGCATATTTCAAAATTGCTAAAAGAATAGATTTTTAATGTTCTTATGACAAAAAAATGGTAAGTTGTTGAGGTGATGCATGGGTTGATTAGCTTGATTGAATCTTTTTAAAAATGTATACATATATCAAAAAATCACATTGTACCCAATAAATATACACAATTATCATTTGTCAACTAAAAATAATTAAAAGGCCGGGTGTGGCTCAAGCCTGTAATCCCAGCACTTTGGGCGGCCAAGGAAGGCAGATCACTTGAGGTCAGGAGTTTAAGACCAGCTTGGCCAACATGGGGGAACCTCGTCTCTACTAAAAATACAAAAATTAGCTAGGCATGGTGTCACACGCTTGTAATCCCAGCTACTGGAGAAGCTGAGTCAGGAGAATCGCTTGAACCTGGGAGGCAGAAGTTGCAGTGAGCAGAGATCATGCCACTGCACTCCAGCCTGGGCAACAAGAGTGAGAATCTGTCTCTCAAAAAATAATAATAATTAAAAAAGAAAAAAAAAGTTTGATCATTTTTTTTCCACCACAGTTAAAATGACTTGTAGCCACAAAACAAGCAATAACAAATGCTGGTGAAGATGTGGAAAAAATGGAATCATTGTACACTGCTGGTGGGAATGTAAATTTTTTTTCCCTTTTTTTTTTTTTTTTTTTTGTTTTACTTTAAGTTCCGGGGTACATGCACAGAACATGTTGGTTTGTTACATAAGTATACATGTGCCATATGTTTTAAGCCCTGCATGCATTAGCTATTTGTCCTGATGTTCTCCCTTCCCTCGCCTCCACCCCCAACAGGCCCCATGTGTGTTGTTCCCCTCACTGTGTCCATGTGTTCTCATTGTTCAACTCCCACTTACGAGTGAGAACATGCAGTGTTTGGTTTTCTGTTCCTGTGTTAGTTTGCTGAGGATGATGGCTTCCAGCTTCATCCATGTCCCTGAAAAGGACACAATTCCATTCCTTTTTATGGCTGCATAGTATTCCATGGTGTATATGTGCCACATTTTCCTTATCCAGCCTATCATTGATGGGCATTTGGGTTGGTTCTATGTCTTTGCTATTGTAAATAGTGCTGCAATAGACATACATGTGCATGAGTCTTTATAGTAGAATGATTTATAATCCTTTGGGTATATACCACCCAGTAATGGGATTGCTGGGTCAAATGGTATTCCTAGTTCTAGATCCCTGAGGAATCGCCACACTGTCTTCCACAATGGTTGAACTAATTTACATTCCCATTAACAGTGTAAAAACGTTCCTATTTCTCCACAGCCTCACCAGCATCTATTGTTTCTTGACTTTTTAATAATCACCATCCTGACTGGCGTGAAATGGCATCTCACAATTATCATTTGTCAATTAAAAATAATTTTAAAAAAAAGAAGGCTTGATTAAAAAAAAAAGAAAAGAAGAAGAAGAAGAAGAAAACATACTAGAAATGCTTATTCCATACACAGGAACACATTTCCTTTAAGTATATCCTAACGCTGATTCCTCATTGCTATCTTGCATTTAAACACCTTTTGCAAAAATGTTTTATTCACTGGTGCATTCATTTCTTAATGGCTGCCGTAACAAATTATCACAAACTGGGTGGCTTAAAACAACAGGTATTTTCTCACAGCTCTGGAGGCCAGAAGTCCAAAATCAAGGTGTTGACGGAGCTGTGATCCCTTGGGAAGCTCCAGGGGAGAATCTGTTCTTCGCCTCTGGCGGCTGCTGGCAGGGAGCCTTGATTTGTGGCCGCATGGCTCCAGCTGCTGCTTCCGTCTTCACGCTGCCTTCTTCTTCGCGTGTGTTGAATCTCCTACGTCTCTTGTCTATGGACACTTGTGATGGCATTTGGGGATCACCCAGATAATCCAGGATTATCTCCTCATCTCAAGAGCCTTAACTTAATCACATCTGCAAAGGCCCTTTTCCAAATGAAGTAACATTTACAGGTTTATAGTACTAGACCCTGATGTCTTTGGGGCTACCATTCAACCCTCTACAGTTGGTATTAATAATCTTCACATCAGTTTAATGACTTGGTTAAAATTATCTCTGACAAAGAACCTAAGGCACATAAATGTTATTTGTTTATTTATTTATTTATTTATTTATGAGACATGGTCTCACTCTGTTGCCCAGACTGGAGTGCAATGGCTCGATCTCAGCTCACCACAACCTCCCGGGCTGAAACGATTCTCCTGCCTCAGCTTCCTGAGTAGCTGGGATTACAGGCTCGCGCCACAGGCCCAGCTATTTTTGTGTGTGTGTGAGACAGAGTTTTGCTCTTGTTGCCCAGGCTGGAGTGCGATGGCGCAATCTGGGCTCACTGCAACCTCCGCCTCCCTGGTCCAAGCGATTCACCTGCCTTAGTCTCTAGAGTAGCTGGGATTACAGGAGCCTGCCACCACGCCCAGCTTTTGGTATTTTTAGTAGAGATGGGGTTTCACCATGTTGGCCAGGCCGGTCTCGAACTCCTGACCTCAGGTGATTCATCCGCCTCGGCCTCCCAAAGTGCTGGGATTACAGGCATGAGCCACCAAGCCCTGCCTAGGTACTTTTTAAATAACATTTCTGCCATCCGGCCTAGGTACTTTTAAAATAACATTTCTAGCCAGGTTCAGTGGCTCATGCCTGTAATCCCGGCACTTTGGGAAGCCAAGGCGGGCGGATCACCTGAGGTCAGGGGTTCGAGACCAGCCTGGCTAACATGGCAAAAACCCATCTCTACTAAAAATACCAAAAAATTACCTGGGCATGGTGGTGGGTACCTGTAATCCCAGCTACTCGGGAGGCTGAGGCAGGAGAATTGCTTGAACCCGGGAGGGGGAGGTTGCAATGAACCAAGATTGTGCTGCACTCCAGCCTGAGTGACAAGAGCAAAACTCCATCTCACAAAAAAATAAAAAATGAAAAATAAAATTCAAAAAATAGTACCTATGTGATAGAACTACCACTAGTTGAAAACATAAAAAACATTCAGTCAACAGGTTGTTTTATATAAAGTGAAAATTATTTCCTGTTTCTAATTCTCTTATAAAAATGAGACATCGTGAAAAATAATATTCTGCCTAAATTGTGCATAAATTTCCCAATGATTACTGTGCAACTCTAGGTATCTTTTTTTTTTTTTTTTAGAGAGAGACTGGCTCAGCTCTGTCACCCAGGATGGAGTGCAGCGGTGCAATCATAGCTCACTGCAGGCTTGAACTCCTTGGCCTCAAGCCATCCTCCCACTTTGGCCTCCCAGAGAGCTGAAATTACAGACATGAGCCACTGTGCCCAGCCTGCCTCAGTATTTTTAAAACAAATTCTGGATAACATGGTATTTCATCCCTAGATACTTGAGTTCGCATTTCTCCCTTTTTGTAAACAAAGTAATAGGGTAGAAAAGTATCAAAATTTAAGTGCAAAGGATGCCAAAGGCAGGCTCAGATCCAAATGGTCAATATTTTCCCACTCATTAGTAAACTTTGTTTTTGTCTTTTATCAAGCAACAGCAAGACCCATTATGGGATTAAAAAGCCTGTATTTCAGAGGGACTTTTTGCCACCCATCATATTACCTAATTTACAATGATATTGGTAAGCATGATCTAGTGACAGCTATCCAGTTTCTGAAAATTTCATAAGCAATACTACTTTAGATGTGTGGTGAAGTTCAATGATCTACTTAGAAAAGAAATAGCAAGTGTGTTGCTAGGTGACATGCACATGCTCAGATACGGGGAGGAGCAGAACTGGTCCAACGAGGCCCTTGAAGCCAGGATGACCCACCTCTGCACCGCTCCTCAGCACATTCATCTGTGGTGGTCCCAGGTCACACCTCCTCTACTTCCCATATCTTCCCTATGTCATCTCACACCCGCCCATCTCATCTCCACACCCAGCAACCACATTCTGACTCAAACCCACTGATACCCCTATTGTTCTGGCAACTTCTGAAGTCCCCTAATGGTTTCTTGCGCCTCGACCTCACTACTTCATTTTCCGTTTCTTTTGCTTCCTTTGCTGCCTGGGATGAGAGGGACCCCTACTCTCAGCCCCCTGACCTTAAGGAACTCCCCATTCCTTTGCTATTCAGCTCAACCACTGTTCTTTCTGGAGAGGGGAGATTTGGATGTGTTTCCCTTGAATTGTTAAAAAGGAATGTAATCTTCATTCAGGGAGATAAAACTAGGGTTATCAAGACCTCATATTTAAGCAAGTCAATAAAGCACAGAAGAATCCTAAGAATTAGATGATACTTTCTTAGTTTTAATTCAAAATAGAGGAGTTTTCAGTTTTGTATTCACCTGCAAACAGTTTTCCTAGAGCACACCTGGGAACTCTGAATATTCATTGCATTTGAAACCGTTTGTCTATGGGCTGCAAATAGGGCTCATTGCTGTAGCAGTCGATTCCCTGACACACATTGATCTTTCTGTCTTCAATCTGAGTATCAAGAATAAACACGAGTAGCATCTGAACCACACATAATAAATCTTGGTCTTTTATTTTTTAAGCACGTAAGGAAAGAATAAGTGCCATAGGTAGGCCTGAAGAGGATGAATGTTGACCACCGGTATCCAATTTATGTAACTACCAATGTTATTTTAGCATGTTTATGTCTGACATATACAAAAATAGCAACCCAAAATGAAATAGGATTATAATCTGGATTTATAAATACTTTTTTAAAAACCTTCAAATGCCAAAACAAATGGAGATTATTTGAAAGTAAGTATGAGTAATTTTAACCTCACAGTAAAGAAATCAAAGTAATTAGGGGAATGAACATAGGGTGGGAATCATCAATATCCATTACTGGGCTGGGCAAAGTGACTCACACCTGTAATCCCAGCACTTTGGGAGGCTAAGGTGGAGGATCACTTGAACCCAGGAGTTTGAGACTAGCCTCAAAAACATAGTGAGACCTCTTCTTTAAAAAAAAAAAAAAAATAGCTGGGCATACTGGCACACACCTGTAGTCCCAGCTACTTGAGAGGCTGAGGCAAGAGGATCACTTGAGTCTGGGAGGTTGAGGCTGCAATGAGCCATGATCATGCCACTGCACTTCAGCCTGGGCAACAGAGTGAGACCCTGTCTCAAAAAAAAATTCAGACTGGTGTGGTGGCTGATGTTTATAATCCCAGCACTTTGGGAGGCCAGTGCAGGGGGATCATTTTATCTCAAGGGTTCGAGACCAGCCTGAGCAACATAGTGAGACCTCATCTCCACTAAAAATTTTTTAAAATTAGCCATATATGGTGGTGTGCACCTACAGTCCCAGCTACTCTAGAGGCCGAGGTGGGAGGTTCGCTGGAGCCCAGGTGATTGAGGCTGCAGTGAGCTATGATCATGCCACTGCACTCCAGCCTGGGTGACAGAGCAAGACTCTGTCAAAAAAAAAAAAATCCATTAAGGTTGAGTGCTCTCAAATTCCAGTTACGCAGCTGCTTCTGATAGCATGACAATATATTACCGTCTAGCCATGTTAACTGGTATGACTTAAAGGAAGTCTTCCTTAAAGCCTTCTCTGGGAGGTGGCTAGCCTCCTCTGCCCTTTCTAAACTGAGAATCATTAGCTAACTGGTGACTTCCTCGTGTATCTTCCTAAGGTCAGTGAAAGATATTGATCTATGAGTCATTAGAGTTGCATTTAGCTTTGTCTTTTAAACACCAACGTTTTGTGGCTTTCATAGAGCAGGGAGAGAGAAGCAGCATTTTTTTTTTTTTCACCTTTTCTCAAGACCTACCAGAAAGGTGCCTCTCCAGAGATCAGAGAACTTTTAGTTTTCTAAACCAGGAATTCGCGAAAACAGCATTAAGGTCAGCAGAAACGTAATGTACAGGGACAACCTTACTCTTCCCTGTCCTTCCCCATGCCATATCTCCCTCTTACTTGAAACTACCATCTTAACCTAAACAAAGATGACCCTCAACTTGTGTGTGTAAAAGTAATATACACTTCAAATCAATACGTAGTAGAACGATCACATTTTCTTTTCATTTTCACAATCCACATTTCTTCATTTCAACTACTGCCTGTCGTTACTGGCCCTAACTTCTTCCTATCTACCATTTTCTATCATCAACTTCTTCATTTTCATATAAATTATCTTTTTTCCATCCTGGAATCTGAAATTTTTTATTTCCTTAAATCTTTAAGCTACAGCCTTGGGTTTTATCTGACTCTGTGGTGTCTACATCCAAATATTTGTCATTGTTGCACTGGGTGTCTATTTTCATTGTGGGTATTAAAGGATCTCATGGTTCAAGTACCATTATTATTTCAAAACTTGCAGCCTAACTTTTCCTTTTATCTCTTGGTTTGCTTTGTTTTTTAGTTAACTTTTATCTCCATAGAGTGTAGCATTTCACAGTTCCCTTACAAGTTCTGGGAAACTTAAAAATCTGCCAAAAATCAAGATAGAATTCTAAGTAACAACATACCATAACTTTCTAGTATTTGCTGAATATAATTTATTTGAAATACCATTTGAGTCTCAAAAAGACACAAGTGTTGAACACTGAAGGCATAGTCTATGAAGAACCAGATTGTTCATATTTAGAGAAAAACATGTTTCAAAAGCATCGCTTAGAAGAACAGACCCCAGAACTGACTCACCCTGTTTACATCCTTTGCATCTTTCTTTCTTTTCTTCTTTTTTTCTGAGACCAAGTCTCATTGTGTTGCCCAGGCTGGAGTGCAATGGCACAATCTCAGCTCACTGCAACCTCGGCCTCCCAGGTTCAAGCAATTCTCGTGCCTCTACCTCCTGAGTAGCTGGGATTACAGGTGCTGCCCCCACGCCCGGCTAATTTTTGTATTTTTAGTAGAGACAGAGTTTCACCATGTTGGCCAGGCTAGTCTCTTGGCCAAGCTAGTCTCGAACTCCTGACCTCGTGATCTGCCTGCCGCGGCCTCCCAAAGTGCTGGGATTACAGGAGTGAGCCACCGCACCCAGCCATCCTTTGGATCTTTCTAAGCATTCACTCATCAGGTTTCATATTCTCTTTTGATTTATATCCCATATGCCAACGTTAGCAAAAGTTACTATTATAAGATAATTTGTCATTTGAATAAGGCACAGATAGCTATTTAGTTTTAAGGCTGGACAGACAGATTCAAGGAAATCGGATTGAATGTGAAATCAGGATGAAAGTGAAATGAGAAGGTGCGTTTAAAAGGAACTTGATAAAAGTACAACCTCTTCTTATTGGGTTTGATATTTCATGGGGATTTATAAGTGGGATAAGGGTGATTCTGACCATATTCTCCATATTCTTAATGTGGACTCTTAGTCAAATGTTGAGTGCTCAAATGCCATCCCTTGAAATCTATGTGCCTGATTGCAGGCAGCCTTTCCTTCCTCCCACTTTCCACGTTAATCCACTCAGCTCCTAAGGCTTGATGGGCCTGACCCTGCTTTGAGTGTGCACAAGTGACCAAGCCTGACCAATCAGAGTCCTTCAACTCTTCCAAATACGCAGAGTGGTTCAGGGATTGGCACATGATGCAGCCAATCAGAGTCTTTCCTGGAACTTTTGTTGGCGTTATTAGGAAACAGGCTCACCTTTTTATCTGCGATTATGAGCCACGGAAGCAACTGATGATAAAATCAAGATGAACAGCAGAGCTAAGGGTAGAAAACCATGTTCTGATGTTGTCTGAATCCCTGAATCTGCCTAAAGTCATTGATCTCCTTAGAATTTCCATTTTCAAGATCCAATACCCTCTCCCTTTTTGCTGGAGCAGGTTTGAGTTGGCCTTTTGTCAGTTGCACGGAGAAAATGAATGTATCACCTATCCCATAACACCCATGATCACTTAGGTAGTTCATCTCCAAACAGAATAACTTCCGATTTGGTCTGTTCTTGGGCCATTTGTAATCTGAAGCCTGAAAGGCCCAAAATGCACAACTAGAATACAGAACATCTGCATAATGCCAGCATTCGGAGGCTCTGCCAGAACACCCTTGAGCTTGGGCCATTCACCTATTCCCCATTGCTCAGGCTTCCCAGATTTTGTATTTTCTAGTAGTTGTTTGGGTTCCCTGGCAGTATCTAAACAGTTGGAGTCTTCAAAGTATTCAGTTGATTGTTTTTTGTTTTTGTTATATAATTAGGAAAAAACAAAATGAGAATGATGGTAAAAAAAATATCCTCACACAGGCTGGTCGCGGTGACTCACGCCTGTAATCCCAGCACTTTGGGAGGCCGAGGCGGGCGGATCAGGAGGTCAGGAGATCAAGACCATCCTGGCTAACACGGTGAAACCCCGTCTCTACTAAAAGTACAAAAAGTTAGCCGGGCGTGGTGGCACGTGCCTGTAGTCCCAGCTACTCGCGAGGCTGAGGCAGGAGAATGGCGTGAACCCGGAAGGCGGAGCTTGCAGTGAGCCGAGATTGCACCACTGCACTCCAGCCTGGGCAACGAGTGAGACTCCATCTCAAAAAAAAAAAAAAAAAAAAAAAATCCTCACACAGTGATAGCCAATGGCAACACATTGTGCCTTTTGTCCAATTAAAATAAAATAGAGATAATTCTGTTTTCAGTATTTTGACCTGCTTTTTATTTTCTTGTTTTCATTTCTCAGTGAATTTTTTTTTTTTTTAAACACGGAGTCTCTCTCTGTTGCCCAGGCTAGAGTGCAGTGACGCTATCTCAGCTCACTGCAACCTCTGCCTCCCATGTTCAAATGATTTTCCTGCCTTAGCCTCCCGAGTAGCTGGGATTACAGGCATGTGCCACCAGGCCCAGCTAATTTTTGTATTTTTAGTAAAGACAGGGTTTCACCATGTTGGCCAGGCTGGTCTGGAACTCCTGACCTCAGGTGATCCACACACCTTAGCCTCCCAAAGTGCTAGGATTACAGGAGTGACCCACTGCATCCGGCCTTTTCACAGTGAATTTGGAGGAGCTAGCCACTGACAGGAAGGAGGAAGGCGCTCCATACAGCAAATGAAATTCAGAACTCTGGCCAGCCCATCGAGAAGAGGGTAACAGGTAACCCCCATATCTCCCATTTGGGAGGCACCACTCACTAGAATTCAGCAGGCTGGAGGCCTGGAAATGACTCAGCAATGAGTCCATTTTCTTATCCCTGGTAGGCCTGCTGGGACAAGTTGAGAGAAGACGAATGAAGTGAGGACGCTGCACACCATAATCTGAAATAGTCCTAGCGGTGGAAAAGAAGCAGCCTGCAGACGAGGCGGGCAGTGGGAAGGTGCGCCTGCAGGAGGGAGCACCTTATGGGGCTGGGCAACTCACTGAGAAATGATTCTGTCATAGACATGTGTGTATTTCTTCTGATAGTTATGCTCTGGATCATCAGAAAAATACAAAGGCATAGCCACAATTCATACTAGTGGAGAGACCTCAACAGAGATGGACCCACCCAAGCCTAGCTTGGAACTTGGACTCGGATGGAACTTGGACTGCACAGACTGTGTGGCCCCACCCACTGGGGTTGAGGCTTCAATATATGAATTTCAGGGGGACACATTTCAACCCATAACTGCTTAAGATGAGGCTCACAGGCTGGACTGAGGACTCCTCTCAGGGTGCAGCACATAGGAAACCATTTTATTATTATTATTATTATTATTATTATTATTACTACTATTATTATTATTAGAGTCAGAGTCTTGCCTGTCACCCAGGCTGGAGGGCAGTGGCAAGACCATGGCTCACCATTACCTCAAACTCTTGGGCTCAAGTGATCTTCCTACTTCAGTGTCCCAAGTAGCTGGGATTACAGGCGTGAGCCACCGTGACTGGCTGTTTTATTTTCTTTTAGAGAAGAGAATCTCACTATGTTGTCCAGGCCTCAAGTGATCCTCCCACCTCTGCCTCCCAAATTCCTGAGATTACAGGCATCTCAACATTACGCCTGGCTCATGACTTTTCTAATTGAGTAAGCATCAATAAAGTGAACTTGTGGAAAGACGCAAGCCTGTGTAGACCTGGCTATGTCTGATCTTGTGCTGCTGATGACACCTCACAGGAAGTGAAAATGGCCAACACCTTGATCTCAGACTTCTAGGCCCTGGAACTGTGAGAAGTAAATGTCTGCTGTTTAAGCCATCCTTTCTGTGGTATTTTGCTATGGCAGCCTGAGCAGACAAATACACAAGCTAGTTTGCAAAGTTCTGCATCTTTCTACCCCGTAACATACCGCTATGTTCCAGAAGGACTTATAGCAGTCTTAACTCTCAGTGGCAGTACATGAGTAACTGTTTCCCTACATCCCTACTATCAAAATCTCATTGACTTTTGTTTACATTTTCCTATTTATTCCCTATTAGTGAACATTTTTTATTTTTATATTTGAGACAGGAGCTCACTCTGTCACCCAGGCTGGAGTGCAGTGGCATGATCTCAGCTCACTGAAACCTCCGCCTCCTGGGTTCAAGTGATTCTCATGCCTCAGCCTCTGGAGCAGCTGGGATTACAGCCATGCTCCACTACCTCCACTACGCCCAGCTAAGTTTTGTATTTTTAGTAGAGAAGGGGTTTCGCCATGTTGGCCTCGAACTCCTAACCTCAAGTGATCCACCCGCCTCGGCCTCCCAAAGTGCTGGGATTACAGGCCTGAGCTGTTGCCATACCCGGCTTTATTTTTATTTTTATTACAAACTTGTTTTTATTCTAATGTGAACTATGTCTTTTGCCTATTTTTATGAGAATATTCTGTTTTTCTTACTGATTTGTAAGAGTACTTTTATAGTACATGTATTAAATCCAATGTTGTACATTTGGCAAATATTATTTCCTTTTTCTGTTTCCTGTCAATTTTGTTTATATTTTTTATTTAAAAAATTGAATTGTTGGGGTCGGGCATGGTGGCTCACGCCTGTAATCCCAGCACTTTGGGAGGCTGAGGTGGGCGGATCACCTGAGGTCAGGAGTTCAAGACCAGCCTGACTGACATGGTGAAACCCCATGTCTACTAAAAAATACAAAAATTAGCTGGGCATGGTGGTGGGTGCCTGTAATCCCAGCTACTCGGGAGTAGGCAGGAGAAGCACTTGAACCCAGGAGGCAGAGGTTGCAGAGAGCCAAGATCGCGCCATTGCACTCCAGCCTGGGCAACAGAGCAAGACTCCATCTCAAAAAAAAAAATGTTGAATTGTTTTATATGTTCAAATCTACTTCTTTAATTGCAATTGTGTCTAGAAAATCCTTTCTCCATCCATGAATCACATACATGTTTGGCCAGGTGCGGTGGTTCATGCCTGTAATCCCGGTGCTTTGGGAGGCCAAGGTGGGAGAACTGCATGAGGCCAGGAGTTCAAGACCAGCCTGGGCAACAGTGAGACTCCGTCTGTACAAAAAATTTTTTTAAATTAAACATTAACTAGGCATGGTGTTGCAAGCCTGTAGTCCCAGCTACCTGGGAGGCTGAGTTGGGAGGATCACCTGAGCTCAGGAACTCAAGGCTGCAGGGAGCTGTGATCACGCCTCTGCACTCCAGTCTGGGTAACAGAGCGAGACCCCGTCTCGAAAACATTTTTAAAAACTTCAACTGGCTGGGCGTGGTGGCTCACGCCTATAGTCCCAGCACTTTGGGAGGCTGAGGCAGGCGGATCACGAGGTCAGGAGATCAAGGCCATCCTGGCTAACACAGTGAAACCCCGTCTCTATTAAAAATACAAAAAACTAGCCGGGTGTGGTGGTGGGTGCCTGTAGTCCCAGCTACTCTGGAGGCTGAGGCAGGAGAATGGCCTGAACCCAGGAGGCGGAGCTTGCAGTGAGCGGAGATTGCACCACTGCACTCCAGCCTGGGCGACAGAGCAAGACTCTGTCTCAAAAAAACAAAAACAAAAATAAAACAAAACAAAAAAACTTCAGCTAAATTTTCTTCTATTTTTTAATCATTCCATATTTTGTTTTTTATCATTTAATTCAGCTTATATTTATTTTAGTGTCTGGTGTGGGATTGGGATATACATTGATTTTTCCCCTCAAATATTAAAATTTTGCCAATTTTTTGAAAAAAATCCACTCACTGTCCATCAAATTGAAATGTTTCCTTGTCATATATTACTACTTACATGCCAATGTGTGGTTTTGCTTACTATTATGTTTCATTGCTCTCTTTTTCCTTCATTAATATCATTGTTTTATAATTAATGTACCAACTACACATGTAACTCTCTGATAGGGCACATATCTCGTCATTACTTCTCATTTGAGACTTTTCCTGCCTATTCTTGTCTATTATTCTCAGTGAAGTTTTAAATATTTTGTTAAGTTCTATCAAATATCCCATTGAGATATTGGCTGGAATTACAGGGTCTACTAATTAAGTGGAAAGCATCAACATCTTTCAGTCTTTTCTCCAATGAGAAAAATGGACTGTCTCACTTTATTCAAACCTACTTATATACATCTCAGAATGTTTTATTTTACTCTTAATCATCCTTACTTCTCATTAGGACTATTGCTAGACATTTTATTTTGTCGCTATTGTGAATAAGACTTTTTTTTCACAGATTCCCAATTATTTGCCACAGAATCACATGGAAGCTGTTGATTTTTAGATATTACTTCAATTACTGCCACTTTGTTGAGTTTTCTCGTTAATTCTAACAGATTTTCCATTGATTCTTAAGGCTCTGGTTAGATTATCATTGTTCACAGCTCATATGATTATCTGGGATCTTCTCATTAGAACTGCTTCTTATTTGTCCTTCATGTTAAATATTAGAGATGAAAACAATTTCTTGGTTGATTTTTTGTTTTGTTTTTGTTTTTTGTTTTTTGTTTTTTTGAGATGGAGTTTTGCTCTCGTTGCCCAGGCTGGAGTGCAAGTGGCTCGATCTTGGCTCACTGCAACCTCCGCCTCCTGGGTTCAAGCGATTCTCCTGCCTTAGCCTCTTGAATAGCTGGGATTACAGGCACCTGCCACCATGCCCGGCTAATTATTTTGTATTTTTAGTAGAGATGGGGTTTCACCACGTTGGCCAGGCTGCTCTCAAACTCCTGACCTCAGGTGATCCACCCGCCTTGGCTTCCCAAAGTGCTGGGATTACAGGTGTGAGTCACCACTCCCCGCTTGGTTGATTTTTTATTAAGTGCATGCATCTTTCTTACTCAGAAAAAGAAAATGTCCATACTCAAGCCTTCTGCCAGAGAACATAACTTTGACCTGGCTGCTGTTCAACTATTATCCAAACAGTCAAAAGAAGTGGTTCTCACAATGGGTAATTTGAAGGGCATAAATTGATTATCTGCTAGTTTAGATTTTATCCCTGGATCAAACTAGATCATCAGAGAGCCACACCTTTGCGTTGCTTTTTCTTGGCCCTACAGAATGCCTTCATAGAACTTCGCTTTGCCTCCTCCTTTGACTTATGTTAAGAATGCTATTAAATCATCTTAAGAATCTACTATCACAATAATTTTTAAGGATATTTTGAGGTCATTGTCAATGACATTACTTAGTAACCTAAATATAAAAAGGGACCTTTGACAGAAATGTCTTTAATATTATGGTACCAGAAAAAGCAGTTAGTATAAGTCACTGATGTTAGATTTCAGGGGCCCTGGTCCTTAAAATTGCACAGTCTAAAGTGTTGTGGGAGGCTGGGTACAGTGGCTCATGCCTGTAATCTCAGCACTTTGGGAGGTCTGGGTGGGAGGATCTCTTGAGATTAGGAGTCTGAGACCAGCCTGGGCAACATGGCAAGATGCCAACTCTACAAAAAAATATATATTTTTAAATTAACCAAGCGTGGTGGCTTTATCTGTAGTCTCAGCTACTTGGGAGGCTGAGGCAGGAGGATCACTTGAGCCTAAGACCATAGTGAACTATGGTCATGCCACTGCACTCCAGCATGGGCAACAGAGTGAGAATATGTCTCAAAATTAATTTAAAAGTGTTGTGAGGCTCACTAAGTTATCTAAACAGGACTCTGGTAGCACAATGTTTGGGTTAACTGGTTAAAGTCTAGGCCTATATGTCTAGGCTGGTAGAGTCATGTTGAAGCTAACCTTGTTCATTATGGAAAATAAGAACAAATTTGATTGAAAAAGTCAGAAGAAGGTCTCTCTATCAGAGGGAAATAACAGGTGGATATATGCACTGTCACTAAAAGCCCATTTCTATGAAAATGCAGTACACCTGAATCTAGAATCCTCTCGTTGAAAAGCCCTTTGCCATTATGGCTTCAGCTTTTACTGAAGAGTCTTACCAAGAATATCCACATGAAAAACTGTCCTGAATTTATTATAGAAAAATCTTGTCAAGAACTTCGTTTATCATCGAAGTCTCAAATGTAGTGTCCAAGATGAGAAATGTCATTCAGGAATTTAGTTAAGGAAAAGCTTTGACTCTTTTGCAAATTCCTAAGCCTGCTTATTTTGGGTGATGACATCTGGGTATTATTGAATTTATCTCTTCTCTCTCACTTGCCAAGAGTTCAGAACAAAATTTGCTGCTCTAACAGAGCCATGATACGAGCCCACAGAGTTGACACGTTACTCACTTCATGGCTCTGATTCCTCTTTCTGGTTCGTTAGCTTTATCATTAATCCTTTTGTAGGCAATTCCAAATTTTTTTGGAAAAAAGGCCAAGCATATAAGGTATTTCATTTTGTTTGCAGTTGTTAGGCCATTGTTAAGGGTGCAAATGAAGCCTATAACTGAGGTACCACTAAGGAGAGTCACGATAGGCACATGATGGAAGGAGATGGGGCAGTCTTGGTCCTCTTTTTTTTTTTTTTTTTTTTTGAGACACAGTCTCACTCTATCACCTAGGCTGGAGTGCAGGGGCACGATCTCAGCTCACTGCAACCTCTGCCTCCCCGGTTCAAGTGATTCTCCTGCCTCCTCAGCCTCCTGAGTAGCTAGGATTACAGGTACCTGCCACCACACCCGGCTAACTTTTGTATTTTTAGTAGAGACAGGGTTTCACCATGTTGGCCAGGTTGATCTCGAACTCCTGACCTCAGGTGATCCACCCACCTTGGCCTCCCAAAGTGCTGGGATTACAGGTGTGAGCCACCGCGCCCAGTCCCAGTCTTGAACTTAAGATAGGGATTGCAACTCAGCTGGCTAAGTGAAGAAGCCAGCCAGGTTCTGCAGCAGAAGACTGGAGAGAGTGCGCCCTATCAGATGGAGGCAGCTGCCGCTCAGACCCGAAGGTTAGATTGGTTTTCTTGAGGTAAGGCAAGCCTGGATTGCCAGATCTTACAATTTTTCAAGAAAAGCTAGACATCTAGATTTTTTTTTTAAATCCTGATATTTGAAATGTTGGCAACAAATTCAAATTTTTAAAAACACTCTGGACCAGCAAAAAGTAGAATGGTGACTGCCAGAGGGTGGGGGAAGGGGCAACGGGGAGTTGTTCGATGGGTGTTAAATTTCAGCCACACCGATGAGTAAGTTCCACAGATCTGCTGTGCGGCATCATGCCCCTAGTTAACAGTACAGTACTGGGCACTTAAAAATGTGTTAGGAGAGTAGATCTGTTAAGTGCTTTTACCATGATAGTAATAACAATAAAGCACAGTGACACAAGGAAACTTCTGGAGGCAATGAAGGTGTTAATTACTTTGATGGTGGAGATGGCAATCAAGGGCATATGCAACACATCCAAACTCATCCAACTCCCTCCATTAAATATGTGCTGTTCTTTGTATATCAATTATACCTAATGAAGCTGGTTTTATTCATTTTTAAAAACCCACTCTGGACTAAGCCTCTGTCTATGGTTCAGACCTGGGACTTTGGGCTCATAGACATCTGGGGCTCACTAAGTTGTCCAAACAAGACTCTGGTAGCACTGTGATTAGGTTAATTCATTAAAGTCTAGGCCTATATGTCTAAGCTGGTAGAGTCATGTTAAAGGCTGGCTTGTTCAATATTGAAAATAAGAACAAATTTAAGTAAAAAAGTCAGAGGAAGGTCTAGGTATTATGAACTCAATTACCAGGGAGACGAACCAGGAACTCTGCCATCAGGGCACTGATGTCATAAAGGCAGCAAAGATCCAGAGGACTTCAACCTCCGAGAAACCTGAAGTTCCGACCTCTTGTCTGAGATTTTGTGAGCGTAGATTATAGTAGGTAGAGCCCTGGACTTGAAATCTGGAAGCGGCCTTGATCTCATTTCCGTCACCAACAAATCAGATCTTGGAAAACCCACTGAATTTCCCAAGGCCTCCGTAGCACTTCCGGCACAAGAAGGAGGTTAGCTAAGATGTGAATCTTTCAAATTCCTTATTTCCAAACATATCTTATCAGAATCCCCAAAGATGTGTGACATGAGAAAAGAAGTTTCCATTCACCTTTCAGTCATCTACCTCTATAGAAAAATTATCTAAATTTTCAGTCTTGCTGCAAACACTAAATGCGTGAAATTTTCAAAGACAAGTGAAAAATAAATACATATCAAGATTGAAAAATAGGAAACCATGGGACTTAGCAGTCTTCACCATGGGAATTTCTAATTTTATACTCTCCCACTAACAGAAACACAGTCGCAATGTACTTTAATGCTTGGACTGTTTTTTGAAAAGGGTAGAGTTAATATTATCATGTACAAGCAGTGCCATTTGGACATACACTTTTGTTATACCTGATCACTTTGTGTAAATAATAAAAGAGAACTCAAAAGCTATAAACACCTGACTGTCTGCAATGTTTTCAGAATACATGTTTACTTTAATTCTGCAATGACTGCTTCAAGTTTTTCCTTAAGGGCGCCGCAAAGTTCATCCACCTTTTCTTCTTTTTTATAAAACTGAAAGGTTGGGACACACATGATGGCGCACTCTCTCACCACCTCCTCACAGTTGTCAGCGTCCACCTCCAGGAACACCACATCCTCATGCTTCACAGACAGGGCATGGAAGAATGGTCTGATGGTCCTGCAGGGCCCACACCACGTGGCCGAGAAGTCCACAGCCACCAGCCTCTCCCCGGCCTCCTTCAGTGATGCCTCAAAGTCCTCCTTGCTCAGGATCACTTTCACCTTGTCCCCCTCCGGGAACTCCATTGTTTCTTCTTCAGGCTTTAGGATGTCACCCTCCTTGGATGGGGTGGCTTCTTCTAGGGACTTGGGGCTGTCATCCTCCTTGGGCTGGATGGTTTCTTCTGGGGACTTGGGGATGTCAATCTCCTTGGGTGGGATGGCTTCCTCTAGGGACTTGGGAATGTCACCCTCCTTGGGCTGGATGGCTTGTTTTGGAGACTTGGGAATGTCACCCTCCTTGGGCTGGATGGCTTCTTCTGGGGACTTGGGGATGTCACCCTTCTTGGGCTGGATGGTTTCTTCTGGGGACTTGGGGATGTCACCCTCCTTAGGCTGGATGGCTTCCTCTAGGGACTTGGGGATGTCACCCTCCTTGGGCTGGATGGCTTCTTCTGGGGACTTGGGGATGTCACCCTCCTTGGGCTGGATGGCTTCCTCTAGGGACTTGGGGAGGTCACCCTCCTTGGGCTGGATGGCTTCTTCTGGGGACTTGGAGATGTCACCCTCCTTGGGCTGGCTGGGCTTCACTGAGGCCTTGGGAATATTGCCCAGCTTGGGCTGGATGGGCTTTGCTGAGGACTTGGGGATGTCACCCTCCTTGGGCTGGATGGTTTCTTCTGGGGACTTGGGGATATCACTCTCCTTGGGCTGGCTGGGCTTCACTGAGGTCTTGGCAATATTGCCCAGCTTGGGCTGGATGGGTTTTGCTGAGGACTTGGGGATGTCACCCTCTTTGGGCTGGATGGCTTCTTCTGAGGACTTGGGGAGGTCCTCCTTCTTGGATTGGATGGTTTCTTCTGGGGCCTTGGGGATGTCACCCTCCTTGGGCTGGCTGGGCTTCACTGAGGCCTTGGGAATATTGCCCAGCTTGGGCTGGATGGGTTTTGCTGAGGACTTGGGGATGTTACTCTCTTTGGGCTGGATGGCTTTTTCTGAGGACTTGGGGAGGTCCTCCTTCTTGGATTGGATGGTTTCTTCTGGGGCCTTGGGGATGTCACCCTCCTTGGGCTGGATGGTTTCTTCTGAGGACTTGGGGCTGTCATCCTGCTTGGGATGGCTGGTGTTTGCTGAGGACTTGGGTAGGTCATCGCCCTCCTGTGAGGCATCAGACTCCTCTGTGCGCATGTGGAACGTGTGGCTGACCATGGGGAGAAAGGCCTTCTCTTTGGCCTGGGCTATTTCCAAGAACTCTAGGGCCAGGAGAGGCACGTTGCTGGACAGGACTAGTAATGAGCTTTCTGTACCAAAAAACATAAAATAAAATAAAATAAAATAAATCAAATAGAAATGCAAAAGAAGAACCAAAGAAATTCTCTTCATATTCCAAGGAAGACTGATGTCACTCTTCGAGATCACGAATGAAGTCTGATGAATGATGTATTAATCTGAAAAACTCATTCAGCAGAAGGACAAACAGCGTGTGGTTACACGTATCTTCTGTATACATGTTCTTAAGCTACAACTTTCCCTTCTTGGTTCAACACCCTGCCCGCTCCCTAACTGCATAGGTCTTTAAGGCAACCCTCTTTCCTCCCCTACTTACCATTAGCATCACCTTCACTTGTTTCTTCCTGAGTGCCCAGCCTCATTTCTGGTTTTCCAGAGGCTCCAGCTTTAACACTTTCCATTCCTAGTTCCTTGTCTACATCCATTCCTGATCCTTCATAGATGCCTCATAGTAAAGGCCGTACCCTCCAACTTTTTCCAAGCTATCCATCCTAACATCAAAATATGAGTAAAACTTACATTTGGGTGGCACGTTACAGTTGGTTTTCCCTCTCTGTATTCACAACAGTGATATTTGAGAGCTTCAAGGTGGCTCCCCTGTGCTGAGGCTGGGACTACGCATTCACTGGCATCATTTCCTAGAACACAACAAACCACTGAGGTCAGAACCATTATGATGAGTAGTTTACACATGAGAAGCTATGTAGCTCACTTAAGGTCACAAAGCTAGGGTGGGGGCAGGCTCCAAAGCTCATGCTCTGCACTGTGAGGCTGTGCTGGACTGCTCGCCACAAGTCCCGTCCAGCCTGGGTTCTGTGAATCAACCATCTTATCATCTTTCTCCAGGATCCCCCAGCTCCAACATTCTCTTTACGACTCACCCATTGTGACCAGCTCCTAAGTATCTCCTCGAAACCATGTTAGCCTCCTCTGCAAAGTGTCCCACAATGTCAAATGTTCAGCTCCTGCTAGACAGCCTCTTTCCCCACCTCCCCCACCTCCCAGGCGCACCAGCCCAGCCTGTGCCCTCCCCCATGCAGACACATCCAAGTACACGGCTCTTCCAGCCTTTACATACAGGAGAACAACCTCTTTGTGAATAATCCTGGTTCCATAAGCCACATCTACCCCATCCTGTGGAATGGGAAGCCAAATACCTGTCCCCCAGGGAGACTTATTTTATTAGTTCAGGACCACTGGCTCATTTTCCACCCTCACTCTGCACAACACATCCAGTCCAAGGCAGGAAGAATCAGTGTGGAATTTTGCCTTCTCTACATGTACTTTGAACAAATCCTCATATGTTTCAGTTTCACCCCAACAATATAAGTGTTGAAAGTGGTCAGGCATGGTGGCTCACACCGTGATCTCAGTACTTTGGGAGGCCAAGGTGGGAGGATTTCTTGAGCCCAGGAGTTTGAGATCAGCCTAGGCAACATAGCAAGACCCCATCTCTACAAAAAATACAAAACCTAGCCAGGCACAGTGGCACACGCCTGTCCCAGCTACTTGGGAAGCTGAGGTGGGAGGCTTGCTTGAGCCAGTGAGTTCAAGACTGCAGTGAGCCGTGATCACTACATCGTACTCTAGCCTGGGCAACAGAGCAAGGCCCCGTCTCTAAAAACTAAAAATAAAAGTGTTGAAATCTAAATGATAAGACCTCCACATTGTCAATAGAAACCTCGAAACATCTAATGGCAATGGTTCAATTATCTGGATTTTTATACCAAAACACATTTTACTAAGGGGTAGAGAGACTATTGGCCTTAGCAAATCCATAGTTCCTTTTTTTTTTTTCTTTGAGACAGTCTTGCCCTGTCACCGAGGCTGGAGTGCAGTGGCACAATCTCGACTCACTGCAACCTCTATCTCCCAGGTTCAAGCAATTCTCTTGCCTCACCCTCTCGAGTAGCTGGGATTACAGGCATTCACCACCACACCCGGCTAATTTTTGTATTTTTTTTAGTCGAGACAGGGTTTCACCATGTTAGCAAGGCTGGTCTCTAACTCCTGACCTCAAACGATCCACCTGCCTCAGCCTCCCAAATTGCTGGGATTACAGGCGTGAGCCACCATGCCTGGCCCAGCAAATCCGTAGTTCTTGATGATATGAATCCTGTTCCAGGAAGAGCTCATGCTTCCACTCCGTTTCCTCGGTTACTGCCAAAGAAAGCTCTTCCCTCTCTCACTGGGAGACTTTGGGCCTTTCTTATGTGATATTTTAAAGGACGGGAGGTTGTCTTCACTCTCCAATGCCAACGGCTTCCACAGCTGACAGGACTGTTTTTCATGGTGCCCTATTTTAAAGCAGAGGATGAAAATAAACGTCAGGCACTTATCTGGGCAATGTCTTCTTTCTTAGTGTTAGGAGAAAGGAGGTGAAGCGGGGAGGATAGGCATCATTTGCAGAAACCATCATGAGCAGATTTTATTAGCACAAAGTGGGCAGCATCTTTGGCCCTTGCTCATTGGTAAGTTAATTTACTTCCTGGGACCCTATCTTGTACAGGGTCCCTGCTGTTTGGAAGGGAGTGGATGAGGACACAGAGGAACTCCATCGCTGAGAGGCAGAAGTGAAAACATCACTCCTGCCATCCCAGTAGATGTGGAGGCAAGAGGACAGATGCCTGTGTCCCGGCCTCCTTTCTCCAGGTTGATTGCCAGCACAGATACTAATCAGATGTGCTACTCTACTAAAAATGCGATTTTAGATCTCTACTAAAAATACGAAAGTTAGCCGGATGTGGTGACAAATGTCTGTAATCCCAGCTACTCAGGAGGCTGAGGCAGGAGAATCGCTTGAACCTGGGAAGCAGAGGTTGCAGTGAGCGGAGATGGTGCCACTGCACTCTAGCCTGAGCAACAGAGCAAGACTCTCTCAAAAAAAGAAAAAAAAAAAAGATAAAAAAAGACTTGCAGCTGAAAGCAGAGGGGCATCTGCCTCCTGCTCCACTTGGAAGGCCAGGATGAGCCCACGTGGACTTCACATCCAACACAGCACTGTCCTCGTGCAGCGTGGCCCCTAGTAGAGGGTAAGAATGGATGTGTGGACCTGGGGCAGGCCCCACAGCCTGCAGGGAGGAGGTTAAAGATCTAGCAACGATGTACACCTCAGAGAGTGGCTGGGAGTGCTCTGAGACTGGTGAAAGATAGAGGCCTAGAGGAAGAAGACTCAGAGGAGGAGGATCTGTGACCAGAGGCAAGGACTGGAATCACAGACTCCAGCAGTGAGTAACATCACGATGCCCCTGTCCTAAATGGAATCAGTGGGTCCTTCAAGAGATCTCAGGCTGGGGACCAGGCCAGACCAGCCAATTCACATGGGAAACCAGCACGGGACCAGAGCACCCGGCACGTTTATCCGTGTAGCCCTGGGCATCCAGACACTATGGACAAAGTGAGAACTCTGAAAGATTGCACCGCTACACCATGGAAAAGGGTTCTTTGAGCCAAAATTCCACAAACAGGCAAACTTAATTCGGTTTCCCTGCTCCTCACCATCCCACCCCAAAACCCATTGAGATAAGGCTCATGGGAAGGATGAGCCATTCTAGAGAAATGTATAAGTGATATTGTACCTGAATGTCTTAGTAAAAGAGAGGAAATCTGTGATCCTGTTACATTTATACTTGGAGATCTTCGTTGTGTTTTAGGTTTGGCACTTGTTCCTGATATTTTTACTCTTCCTTCTGCAATTCAGATGAATTCCAAGCAACTTGAAATATTAATTCTTCCACTGACTTGTCATAAAATGTATGTTTTCCTTCAGCAGAAGCTCATTCCCAAATAGCTCATGAGCCCTTATGTCACTCAGGTTGTGTCTCAGGAAACAGAAACAACCAGCTATTTTAGGCCTAGGATTATTTGGGCAATTATAAAACTGCTGGCGAGGCTGCCTGTTTAGGCTAGGTATCCCGGAATGATTCCCAGAACACTGAGCAATGATACAGAACAGGCTTGCCAGGATCATTACAACCTCCAGGATATCAGGAAGATAGGGAATTAGAAGACCACCACCCAAACTGTTAGCTTTAATAACCTTCTGCTACAGCCACCATCCAGGGGTGAGTCCGCCCCAGCCCCAACTCCCTCTGAGCCCAGAGATGGAGATGAGTTCTGGTCATCTGTTCCAACCCCCACTGAACCCCCGCAGACTGAGGCAGAGCTGATACTGTGGCCTCCTTCTCAAGAAGGTTCAGCTACTGGTGGATGCTAATTCATACCCAGCGACTCAGCTGCAAGGGAGTCAAGGGAACATGACTTTTTGTTCCCAGAAGGAACAAAGAAGGACACCAGAAGGAAGTTGGAATAAACACTGCATGTAAAGCCATTTCTACCACACCCTTACAAAGACAATATTATGCACAAAAATTTTTGTTTTTTGAGATGGAATTTCACTCTTGTCGCCCAGGCTGGAGTGCAATAGTGCAGTCTCGGCTCACTGCAACCTCTGCCTCCCGGGTTCAAGCAATTCTCCTGCCTCAGCCTCCCCAGTAGCCAGGATAACAGGCGCCCACCACCACGCCAGGCCAATTTTTGTATTTTTAGTAGAGACGGGGTTTCACCACATTGGCCAGGCTGGTCTCGAACTGCAGACTTCAGGTGATCTGCCCACCTCAGCCTCCCAAAGTGCTGGGATTACAGGCCTGAGTCACTGTACCCGGCCTATGTATGAATTTTTTATATCTTTTGCTGGCATACATTTTTGGTTTATAATTACAAAAATAATATGTGTTCATAATATAAAAATTAGAAAACAGATAAGTAAAAAGAGAATAAAAATTACTCGTAGTTCTTCATACCTCAGGAATCATTGCTATAATAGTGTGATGTACATTCTTTGTCTTTTGTCTATTCACATGTAGATATTTTCTTTTTTTTTTTTTAAGAGATAGGGTCTCACTGTGTCACCCAGGCTGGAGTGCAGTGGTGCCATCATTAGTCACTGCAGCCTCAAACTCCTGGGCTCCAGCAATCTTCCTGCCTCAGCCTCCCAAGTACCTGGGACTATAGGTGAGGACCACCATGTCCAGCGAATTGTTTTTTGTTTGTTTGTTTGTTTTGAGATGGAGTCTCACTCTGTTGCCCTGGGCTGGAGGGCAATGGCGCAATTGCAATCTCCGCCTCCCGAGTTCGAGCGATTCTCTTACCTCTGCCTCCCGAGTAGCTGGGATTACAGGCACATGCCACCATTCCTGGCTCATTTTTGTACTTTTAGTAGAGATGGGGTTTCACCATGTTGGCCAGGCTGGTCTTGAACTCCTGACCTCAAGTGATCTGACAGCCTCAGCTTCCCAAAGTGCTGGGATTACAGGCGTGAGCCACCGCGCCCGGCCTGTTTTGTTGTTGTTGCTGTTGTTTTAAAAAATTGTATAGATACAGGGTCTCACTATGTTGCCCAGGGTGGTCTCAAACTCTGGGTTCAAGCAGTCCTCCTGCCTTGGCCTCCCAAACTGCTTAGATTACATGTGTGAGCCACTGCACCTGGCAGATATTTTCAGATGAGATAATTTTCCAGAAAATATACTATTTTGTAATCATTTTCACTTAAGAATGTATTTCCATGTTTCCTCCAGTGAAGGTCACCGGGCGCCTGTAATGCGGGTAGGGCAGGGAATGGGGAGGGCACCTCAGGGCCTTGGGCCTCTCCTCAATTTTTCCTCCCTTGTACCTTGAGTCCCTCGGTCTATGCTTGTGCAGAGAACACAGTGCTTATTTTATTATGAGATGTTATTTCTGAATTTTGGTGAAAATCCTTAGGCTTAACCTATTGGCATCAAAAACACTGGGCAGTTGTGTTATGTGTCTCCCTCCTTATTACTTATTTTAGTCATTGGCCAGGAACTCGTGTTTGGAATTAACATGATGAATCCCTCTCCACTCAACTCCATTCAGGCAATCACAGACTACTAAACTAAAAATCAACAATGGAAGAAATGCCAGGAAGAGGCCATCCCAGCATTAAGAGATACTCTTATCATCAAAGTAAACCAAATGTTCTTTCTTGCAGCCAAATAACTTTTTTTTTTTTTTTTTTTTTTGAGACAGAGTCTCACTGTATCACCCAGGCTGGAGTGCAGGGGCGTGATCTCGACTCACTGCAACCTCCGCCTCCTGGGTTCAAGTGATTCTCCTCCCTCAGCCTCCCAAGCAGCTGGGATTTCAGGCACCCGCCACCACACTCCGTTAATTTTTGTATTTTTAGTAAAGACAGGGTTCCACCATGTTGGCCAGGCTGGTCTCAAATTCCTGACCTCAGGTGATCCACCCGCCTTGGCCTCCCAAAATGTGGGGATTACAAGCATGAGTCACTGCATCTGGCCTCCAAAGAACCTTACAGCAAAAACTGAACTATATGTAGACATGCTAACACCAACCACTTATTTATGTTTTTGACATCATAAGTTTGACCATAATTATTTTGACTATCTCTCTTATTTAGATGGTACTGAGACATAAAGAAAAATAAATTTAGGCCAGGCATGGTGGCTCAGACCTGTAATCCCAGCACTCAAATGTGGGTGGATCATTTGAGGTCAGGAGTTCAAGACCAGCCTGGCCAACATGGTGAAACCCCGTCTCTACTAAAAATACAAAAATTAGCTGGGCATGGTGGCGGGCACCTGTAGTCCCAGCTACTCAGGAGGCTGAGGCAGAAGAATCGCCTGAACCCGGGAGGTGCAGGTTGCAGTAAGCCGAGATCACACCACTGCATTCCAGCCTGGGCAACAGAGTGAGACTCTACCTCAAAGAAAAAAAAAAATTAATTTGAACTCCTCCTAGATTAAGTCTCATTAATATTGTAAATGTTCTCAGATATTAGTTAATAATGAACAGAATAAGTGAAATATTATATTACCATAAAAATAAATGTTTTTGGCCCCGCAGGATAGCACATGCCTGTAGTCTCAGCTATGCTGGAGGCCGAGGCAGGAGGATTGCTTGAGCCCAGGAATTGGAGTCCAGCCTAGGCAACATAGCAAGATCCTGTCTATAAATAAGTAAATAAATAAATGTTCTTTAGGACAGATTTTGAGTATTTTTCATGTCAAAACATGCTCACCTATAGCAGGAGTCAGCAAGTTTTTCCGTAAGGGGCAGATAACTATTTCAGACTTCACAGACCACACTTCTGTCAGAACTACTCAACTCTGCTGTTGAGTATGAACACATGAAACAGTAGCACGAAAGCAGCTATTATGGGTTCAGCGTGCCCCCCCAAAATTCATATGCTGGAGTCTTAATCCCCAGTACCTCAGAATGTGACCTCGTTTTTGGAAATAGGGTGATTGCAGATATAACTAGTTAAGATGAAGTTATATAAGAGTAGAGTGGGGCCCCTCATCCAGTATGACTGATATCCTTATAAAGAGGGGGAAATGTGGACGCAGACATGCACAGTGAGAAGACAATGTGAAGAGGCATGGGGAGAAGACGGCCATCTACAAGCCAAGGAGAGAGGCCTGGAACAGATCCTTCACTCACAGCTCTCAGAACACCTCGATTGGATTTCTAGCCTCCAGAACTGTGAGACAATCCATTTCTGTTGTTGAAGCCACCCCATTTGTGGTGGTTTGTTACAGCGGCCCTAGCAAACTAGCAGCAGATATAGAAGCCACACACAGTACATAAATGTATGGGCACGGCTGTGTCCCAATAAAACTTTATTTACAAAAAAGGGCAGCTGACCAATGGGCCATAGTTTGCCAACCCCTGACCTATATAACCATTTTTAATGGCTGATTAGTGTTCTTTCGAATGGATGAATTATAGTTTATTTAAATAATTTTCTATTGGTGGGTAAAAGTTGGTTTTGATTCTTTACTATTATAAACAATGTAGTAATAAACTTATTTATGAAGAAGTCTTTCCACATACTAATTTTCTTCTTAGAAAAATTATAAAAATGGAATCCCTAGATCAATTAGCAGACATTCCAGAGACTTTTTGATAGATATTGCCAAATGTTCTTAAGAAAAGCTGTTCTATCAGCAAGGTATTAAAGTGCAATTGATGGACAAAAAAGTTGTCATTATTAACAATTTGCATTTCTTGACTGAACATTAGTATGTTATTAGTAACAATTTGCATTTCTTTATTGAAATTTTAAAAATATTTATCATCAATTTCCATTTCTTTCTTTACAAATTGCTATATCATGGCCTTTGCTTAATATTTCTTGAAGGGAAGGCATATCCATATATATTAATTTTCTTAGCATATGTACTTATATATAATTTCCTTTTACCAGTCATTGTCATAGTTTTTTCTCAGTTTCCCTTTTAATTTCATTGATGATATTTTGGGAACAATACATAGATGCTTCCATTTTTGTGTAGTCAAATCTATCATTTTCTCTTTTCCGATTTCTCCTGGTGATATATTTAAATATAAACTTCTGAACTTTTGATTCTGAGACTGCCTCCTTTACAGCCCCAAATCAGTAATAATAGTAATAGCAATAATATTTTTATTGTATAATAATTTTTTTAGTACTATTATTTATAGTACTAAAACTTTGGAGGATTTAATTCAATGAGAATTCTAATACGAGGAAATAGTTTAAAGTGAAGTTAGTCTGCAATTCACTCCTTTTGCTACCTTATTAAAAATTCAACCATCTCAGAGAGTTAAAGAGAGCATGTTTATACATTAAGGGCTTTTTTTTTTTAGTACTACATATACTCCAGTGCCCACCAATTTACTGTGGAATAATAAAAATATGCTCCCTATAAAGATTCAGACTCTTGGTTATTTAGCCTAATGGATAGGCAATGGGGAGGCAGAAATTTAATATGGATCACCACTAATCAACACAGTAAGATGCAAAGTGGGTGCATTTTGTGGAATTTTGTAAGAAAAGAGCCCTGCTAGAAATCATATCTCCAAATTAAGATTTGGAGGTAAAAGAATCTTAACCCTATTATCAAGTAAAAAAGGGTAACGTCTGAGGCACTAGAAGGCAATACTATGAAAAAGCAAAGCTTTTTATTGCAAGTCAACTAGCAAAGAGACCAGCCCAGCTCAAATTTGTCTCCCTGTGCTGGCTTCAAGGCGGTAATCTTATCAGGAAAGGATTAGGGGGTGGATTCCGGGATTAGTAGATAATTGGTGGAAGGAAAGGGGAGGTCTGGAAACTCCTCGGACATGCACAGTTATCTCTTGATAACTGCCACCTCATGAGTTGCGTGTATAAATTTCAGGGGGAGTTAGTATGAAACACATGGTGGAAACATGGGCTGTGACATCAGCAAGCCTGTTCTGTGCAAAATCCAGTTGGCCATTTTGGTTCCAACCGATTTCAGCCAGTTTTGAAATCTCACAAGCTGAGGGAGTGTCAGCATTTCAACAAATGGTTTCTTTTTATCTGCCATCCTGCAAACTCAAGAATTTCTGTTAGTCATTGGTTTCTTACTCTTTGGGGCGTAGTTTCAGTTTAAACTTTGTTTCTTTTCTTATCTGCTATCTTGTAAGCCCAAGAATTTCTGTTAGTCATTGTTTCTTTAACTCTCCGGGGGCAGTTTTAACCCCAAGCTCTCTATCCTAGTTACAGTACTAACTGGGGCACACAGGCGGCTGTCCCTTACCTCTGACATTCCTTCCAATCTTTACTCCAGAGAGAAGCAGCCCTTTGGGCATAATAATGCGTTTTTACATAAACTTTTAATTTTAGAATACATATGTTCATAGAAAAGTTTCAAGGATAGTACAGAGTTCCCATACACCCCACATCCAATTTTCTCCACTGTTAACATCTTAGATTACTATGGTATGCTTGTCACAACTAAGGAGCCAACATTGACATATTACTATTCACTAAAACCCATACTTTATTTGGATTCCATTAGTTTTTCCCCAACATCCTTTTTTTCTTTTTTCCAGGACCCCATCCAGGATACCAAGTTATATTTCATTGTCATGTTTCCTTAGGCTTCTCTCAGCTGTGACAGCTTCTCAGACTTTCCTTTTTTGATTGTCTTGACAGTTTTCAGAAGTACTGGTCAGATATTTTGAAAAATGTCTCTCAAGTGAGGTTTGTCTGGTGCGTTTCTCATGGTTAGACCAGGGTTACATGTTTTTAGAAGGAAGACCACAGAGGGAAAGTGTCATTTTCATCAACTTCATCACAAATTAAACATATCAAGGGTTGATACTATCAAACATTGCTTATCACTGATGATGTTGACCTTGACCACTTGGCTGAGGTGGTGTTTGTCAGGTTTCTCCAGAGTGAATGATTTTACTGTGAATAATTTTACCGTTTCCTTATAGTATGTACCCTTTGGAAGGAAGTCACCATGCACAGCCCATGCCCAAGGGTGGAGATTATGCTCTACTTCTTTGAGGGAGGAGTAGCCACAGAAATGATTTGGAATTCTTCTGTTTGGAATATTTGCCTCCCCCCCAAAATTTATTAATTCGATTATATATTAATATCAGTGTGGATTATGGGTATTTATTTATTTATTTATTTGAGACAGAGTCTCACTCTGTCGCCCAGGCTGGAGTGCAGTGGCACGATCTCAGCTCACTGCAAGCTCCACCTCCTGGGTTCAAGCGATTCTCCTTCCTCAGCCTCCCAAGTAGCTGGGATTACAGGCACCCACCACCACGCCCGGCTAATTTTTTGTACTTTTAGTAGAGACGGGGTTTCACTGTGTTAGCCAGGATGGTCTCGATCTCCTGACCTTGTGATCCACCTGCCTCGGCCTCCCAAAGTGCTGGGATTACAGGCATGAGCCACCGTGCCCGGCCGATTATGGATGTTTATTTTGTACTTTGGGTTATAATCCAATACTATGTTTTTATTTTCGGCTCAAATTGTCAGCTTTGGTCATTGAGAGCTCTTTCCGATGGCTTCTATGTCCTATTTGATATATACCTGCTGATTTGCTTTGTAAGCACTTCCTTACTTTCTGGCTCTGCAGGATACTCCTGGTTCATCCTGTATATTCACTGCCCGAGCCATAGAATCATCCATTTCTAGGTTTTTTAAAACTGGAGAATAGTATTTAGAAACCAAGACCTAGGCTAGGTGTGTTCATTGATGCTGGGTATCATTGTCTCTAGACCCTCCCCGTGAACATGATTAGGAAGTATATACATATATGTATGTGTATATATATGTATATATAGTAACCCTTGCATATACACAAATTATAATTACTTCTATATCTGCCTATCAGTATCTATATTAAGCCAAACATGAGTTCATACCGATGTCCTCAAGTCTAATTCAGTACCACGTGGCTCCTTTCAGCCTTTCTCTCTTGCTTGTCTGTAACCTTCTACTCCAAAAGTGACTTGGTTCCCATCATCCACCAACCATTTACCTATTTGCCCAATCCCAATATGCATGTAGAATGGTTTCAGGATAGTTAACCTGTACCTCCACGGTTAGCAACTTTATCAACTGGAGCACAGTGCTTGTACATATAGTTCCTTTTATCTTTAGTTTTATAGTTTCCCGCATTTCCAAAGTTACTTAACATCAGCATTTCTTTCTCCTGACACCTTCAGTGAAGTTATATCACACATTTGTAATATAGTTAAAGTCATGCACCACATAATGGCATTTGGTCAGTGATGGACTGCACATACAACAGTGGTCCCATAAGATTATAACAGAACTGAAAAATTCCTATTAGCTAGTGGCATCATGGCTGCCCTAATGTCATGGCAAAATTATTTTTAAAATAAATTTAGTGTAGACTAAAGGTACAGTGTTTATAAAGTACACAATAATGTACAGGCATGTCTCAGGCTTTTACATTCACCGCTCACTCACTGACTCACCCAGAGCAACTTCCTATGTACAGAAAGTGCCCTATGAAGATGTACCATTTTAACTTTTTTTGTTTTTGAGATGGAGTTTCGCTCTTGGCATCCAGGCTGGAGTGCAACGGCACGATCTCGGCTCACTGCAACCTTCACCTCCCAGGTTCAAGTGATTCTTCTGCCTCAGCCTCCCAAGTAGCTGGGATTACAGGCACCCACCGTCACACCCAGCTATTTTTGTATTTTTAGTAGAGACGGAGTTTTACCATGTTGGCCAGGCTGGTCTTGAACTCCTGACCTCAGGTGATCTGCCAGCCTCTGCCTCCCAAAGTGCTGGGATTACAGGCGTGAGCCACCACGCCCGGCCATTTCAATCTTTTATAGCATATTTTTACTGCATCTTTTCTATGTTTAGGTATGGATTAGGCACACAAATACCATCAAGTTATAATTGCCTACAGTATTCAGTATGGTAACATGCTCTAGGGGTTTATAGCCTAGGAGCAATAGGCTGTACTATCTACGTTTGTTTAATTTCACTCTATGATGTTCACACTATGATGAAACCACCTAATGACACATTTTTCAGAATGTATCCCTGTCATTAAGTGATGCATGACTGTATATTCTTTTTTGTTTTCTTTTTTTGAGACAGGGTCTCACTTTGTTGCCCAGTCTGGAGTGCAGTGGTGTGAACACAGGCTCACTGTAGCCTCAACCTCCCAAGCTCAAGCAATCCTGCCACCTCAGTCCCCCAAGTAGCTGGGACTACAGTTGTGCACCACAATGCCTGGCTAATTGTTGTATTTTTTTTGTAGAGACAGGGTATCGCTATGCTACCCAGGCTATGACTGTATATTCTTTTGTCACAATCTTCATTTCATCCTAGAACCCTGTTCTGTCGGTCGTTTTTTTCAAATTTGCATATATTATTTTGTGCTGTGGAGTCCTTTGGGTTTTGACAAATGGATGGGTTTTTTTTTGTTTGTTTGTTTTTTGTTTTTTGTGGGTTTTTTTTTTTTTTGACGGAATTTCACTCCTGTTGCCCAGGCTGGAGTACAATGTCACTATCTTGGCTCACTCTAACCTCCGCCTCCTGGGTTCAAGTGATTCTCCTGCCTCAGCCTCTTGAGCAGCTGGGATTACAGGCATCTGCCACCACGCCCAGCTAATTTTTTGTATTTTTAGTAGAGATGGGGTTTCACCATGTTGGCCAGGTTGGTCTCAAACTCCTGACCTCGTGATCCGCCCACCTTGGCCTCCCAAAGTGCTGGGATTACAGGCATGAGCCACTGCTCCCAGCCAATAGATGGTATTATTAACCACCACTACAGTACCATACAGAATAGTTTCATAGCCCTAAAAAAATATGTGCTTCACCTAGTCAGCCCTCATCCTTCTGCAAACCCACAGCAACCACTGATTTGCTCATTGTCTCTATAGTTTTGTCTTTCCAGAATGTCACAAAATGGAATAATATAGTATGCAACCTTCTCAGACTGACTTCTTTCTCTTAGCAATACGCATTTATGGCATTCCCATGTTGTTTTGTTTATTGTTTATTTCATCACTGAATAAAAAATTATAAACTTTAGTTAAACTCTGAAAAGCAGATCCTAAGACAAAAATTTGAGTGCAAGTAGTTTATTTGGGAGATAATCCCAGGAGACACTGGAGGGGGAGTTGGAAGGTGATCAAGTCAGTTGCCACTGTGTACAACTGAAGCTCACACCAAAGGCAAGCTGGGAGGGAGTAATGCCAACTCTCTAGACTTCATTGGAACATTTTGTCTAGGGGCAGTAAGCCTGGCACCTCTGCTTGCCCTAGGCACAGGCCCTGCATGTCCCCACAACCACCCTGAAAGCATCACAGGTGTTTGCAGTGAGCAGTCATCTGAGAATAGAGGCCAGTGCTAAGAAATTGTGCTTGGAGAGGGTACCTGCAATGTCTATTACAAGAGGTGAGCAGTATTAGCAGAAGAAAGATTTCTCTTCTAGATTCCACTCTAAAGAGTCTGAAAATCTAACTGAGGATCCATGGGTACCCTGCCAAGATAGAGCTGTGAGCAGTGGTCCTACTCTGACCACTTCTGACTTTCTAGTGTAATGTTTAAAGCTCTTTGGTGTAAGTATTTACTGAAAAATTCCATGTGGAGCTGCTTCGGTAAGATTCAGGGTAGGTGTAAGTTTGTTGATGTTTTAATACAAATATGCCACTAAAAATATTTATCAAATGCACCATAGTTCATGGTGTAAAGACGTTGCTGTCTGCTTGCTGTTCTTTGAATCTACCAACGCCCACCTTCTAAAGAAGCCAGACAAGTGAGCAGACTACTATAGGCTACATCTGCCTTCAGAACGAATGGAGCCACAGTGGGGTGGAGCAGGTAGAAAGAAGCAAAGCAGCAGGCCCCCAGTAATCATCTTTTAGTGTATTGTAGCTTCGACGTTCAGACAATGTTTAGATGTTCAGACAGATGGTCAATACCTTCCTTCCTGGGAAGGGTCCAAGCTCATTCTCACCGTAAGCAAATGTGGCATTCAGTGGGCCCTTAATGCATGAATGAATAAAGGCATGGATGGATTACAGCTTGTATAATGGAAAACAGTTGAAGAAGGTTTATACTAAAACACTTAATTTAAAAAATATTTTTGCTGAAATGATCTTTATGAACATCTGGCAGACCACCATCTCCACCTTAGCCTCTGAGTAAAGAAAAAGGAGAATCACTATATATTGTATGTATCAAAACATCACTATGTACCCCATAAATCTGTGCAATTATTATGCGTTAATTTTAAGAAATAAAGGAAATTGGAGAGAGGTGAAAGACACTATTCCCATGTTTCCAATACATCCAAAGTTTAAAATCATAATATTGAAAAACAAATGTTTAAACCAAAAAAAGGGTAAAATGTCACAGATTAACACAGTCCCGTCAGCACCATGCATTTCATGAAATGATGTTATATGGTACAAATCTCTCTTTCCCAGTCCAAATATAGGCTTCTTGAGGGTAAGATATGCCTTGGTATCTGCAGTCTTTACAGCGCAGTGTGGAATAACCCAGACACTCAATGAAAACTTGCACGATAGGATCAAAGTGCCCATATCTTGTGAGTTTCTCTTTTTTGACTCACGAAGGTCATCACAATTAACTTCCTGGTCTCCTGCTACAACACTGAGTGTAGAGAAGAAAAATGACATTTTAATACTAGACTCATGATGTTTAGTGCAAAAAATGCACTGTCTCTGGTGAACACGATTTGACCCTAACTTATAGGCTAACCTGCTGCCCCCAATTCTATGGTGACTCTGATTCCTCCTGGGGAGATCCAGGAAAGCCTCCTAAAATTGCTTCCCAGCCTCCGACGCAGGGTGGTATATTGCCAGGCAGAGAGGAGCAAAGATGGATGGCCTTCCAGTTAGGAGAAAGCAACCAGGGTGTGATGTGGGCAGGAGCAGGGACCCTGGGCAGCGATGGGGCCAGGATGGAGGCTGGGCTAAATGAAAGGGGCATTTCACCACAGGTTACAGAGTTGCAATTTTACTTAATTTGCAATAAGAGACTCACAGAAAGTTTTCAGGAAATGATACGATTTGCTGTGTACCTACATCACTCACTGCTAGCATATTCTATGCTAGCTCTGAGAGCCAAAGATAACAATCAAAGAGATCTACTGAGAAACTATCACTATAATCAAGATAGAACATATCAAAAGCCTATGCTAGGACAGTGGAAAGAAGGAAAAAAGGTTTGAGAAACTCAGAAATAGAATTTCCATGGTTTGGTCAGTGCTTGAAAGGAGCTGAAACTGGCTCTCAAATTTGAAGCCTGAGCCTCTGAGAGAATGAATGCAGCGCAGGAATGGCATTGTTAACAAGGTGCAACACTATTTGCATGCAAGAGGGGACTTCAGTACACCCATTCCGCAGCTGGAAATCAAGCTCTGATCTCTGGAAAGCAGTCAGGCTAGACAACAGTGTAGAAGCCAGACACCCAGAGGCAATAGTTGAAGCCATAAAGTTGGATGAAATCAGAAGGAAGGTGTACTGAGGAGAAATAGGAACACACGTTTGCAGGAAGTACCTGCATTTAAGCTCTAAGAAGAGCCAGCAAAGGAAAATGAAAAGGGCAGTAAAAGAAGTGCAGAAACCACAGAACCAGCTTCTGGGCTGGAGAAGGAGGGTCCAGGAGGGAGAGAGGGGCCCACAGCTTCACCTGCCCTCTGAGAGTGGAGAGTGGAAAGAGGGGATAGGCTTTGAAAGTGCAGAGCTGGGGGAGGGACTGAATTCAGGCGAGCAGTGACTAGATGATCAAGTGAGTACATCATGATTCTCATTTAAGAATTTCTTTAGTGAGAAGGGAAGAGAGGGTGGCTTGGAGGAGGAAAAAAAGACAGCTGATCAAAACTAGAGAAGATTTATGCATATAGGTAGGTTGATGGGAGGGGTAAAACAGTGCATGGGTGATTTTAAGATGAAAATAAAAACAAATAAGCAAAAAGCTTGGGGCGTGCCTTAGCAATGAGAGAAAAAGCACGCACACATCCAGAGAGAAGTGAAGTGAAGGAGAACCGAGAAAGCTGCCACCTATGGTCTGCCAGGCCCACCTGGGGACACCAGTTTGGGCACTGGGTTCTCAGAAGCTAATTCAGGGCATCGGGCCCTACAAAGTCAAGATGGCTGGACCTTGATGCATGAGTCATTTCAAAAAAGCCGGTTAAGAACTTCACTGAGGGTTGAGTAATGGTTTCAACATCAAGGTCAGGGACACAGAAAAGATAAATGAAGCTGCCCAAACGGTAGGGTCAAGGAGAGTCACCCCAGCAGTTTTGGATCAGACCTTCCCATCAAAGCAGCAAGTCTCCTTTAATTGGGTGATTCAGCATTTCCAGCCTGAGCTGGTTAACCCTTAACTCCCCTGTCAAAACTTCCTCTTGAGATGCAACAATGGGTTTTGGAATAGGACATAGGACGGACCTCCGCATGAATGCACTTGCCCTCCTTATGTCCCTTAAGCTCTCCATGCTCCTTCTGTAAAAGGAGAACAATTTCACATCTATCTCAGATTTGTTTTGCGGATAAAATGAGATACAGTTTGAAAGTAGCTCCTGGGAAATTTTCATTAATCATGGATCTCCTTTTCTTCATTCTTTTATTATGTGCAGCACTTATAATGAGAGGAAAGAAAGGAGAAAACAGTAGTAGCTGATCTTTGACTTTTGTCTCTCTTGATCAGAAAGTCTTGGGTAATTTACTTAACCTTCTGTGTCTGGGTTTCCTCACTTGTAAAGTGGAGATAATAGTGTCTGCCTCATAAAGGCTGTTGTAAAGATAAAAAGAGATAATATGATGTAAAGCCCCTAGAACTGTGTCTGGCACATAGCAAGCCCCTGTATTCATGTTGGCTGTTACTGTTTTTGAGCGCTTGCTTGGTGCCAGGGCCATAACAATTCTTCTGTAGCATAAACCCCATGGCTCCACTTGGGAGGCACCATGAGTGTGTCACCTTCCATGTGAATAGCATTCCCAAGAGCTGCCTGGGGCTCCCCGTGTGAAAGCCTCATCACACACACCCTCTCACTCGGTCCTCAGGACACACCTGAGGGTAAATACCACACGCTGACAATACTTTATACTCTGGGGGCAGATGTTTTCAGAACTCAGAACTTTGGATTTTACAAAGTAACATAGTATATCTATCACAGAACATTCCAGCAGTCAGCGGGAGGATCCTATCATGAAACACAGTAGTATTTCTGCAGCTAGATATACAAATACTCACTCCTGGTTGGATAAATAACTATTATAAAGAGCATCACGTCAGTTCAGGTTTGGTCCTGCTGCCAAATGAGTCCATGTCAAACTCAGGAAAAAAAAAATCTGTTTACAAAGCTTTTGGATTCTAGAAGTGTGTATGTGTGTGCATATGAATTACTACCTGCATTTTGCATATGAGGAAACTGAGGCTTAGAGGGACCAATCTGCCAACGGTCTCACTGCCAGCAGATTACAGAGCTGGGAGTCAGACATGAGTGGTCTGACTCCAGATGTCTTAATCTGCACACTGCATTGCCTCCCAATAAAAGAAAAAGGAACAGAACAAAAAAGAATACAGCAACTAAAAACCACAATGAGATAACATCTCACGCCAGTCAGAATGGTGGTTATTCAAAAGTCAGGAAACAATAGATGCTGGCGAGGCTGTGGAGAAATAGGAATGCTTTTACACTGTTGGCGAGAGTGTAAATTAGTTCAACCATTGTGGAAGACAGTGGGACGATTCCTCAAGGATCTAGAACCAGAAATACCATTTGACTCAGCAATCCCATTGCTGAGTATATACCAAAAGGATTATAAATCATTCTACTATAAAGACACACCCACACACCTATGTTTATTGCAGCACTATTTACAATAGCAAAGACTTGGAACCAACCCAAATGCGGCCGGGCGCGGTGGCCCACGCCTGTAATCCCAGCACTTTGGGAGGCCGAGGTGGGCGGATCAGGAAGTCAGGAGATCGAGACAATCCTGGCTAGCGCAGTGAAACCCCGTCTCTACTAAAAATGCAAAAAAAATTAGCCAGGCATGGGGGTGGGTGCCTGTAGTCCCAGCTGCTTGGGAGGCTGAGGCAGGAGAATGGTGTGAGCCCGGGAGGCGGAGCTTGCAGTGAGCTGAGATCGTGCCACTGCACTCCAGCCTGGGCGACAGAGCGAGACTCTGTCTAAAAAAAAAAAAAAGAAAAAAGAAAATGTGGCACATACACACCATGGACTACTATGCAGCCATAAAAAAGAATGAGTTCATGTCCTTTTCAGGGACGTGGATGAAGCTGGAAGCCGTCATTCTCAGCAAACTAACACAGGAACAGAAAATCAAACACTGCATGTTCTCACTCATGAGTGGAAGTTGAACGATGAGAACACATAGACCAGGGAGGGGTACAACACACACTGGGGCCTGTTTTGTGGGGTGGGGGGAAAGGGGAGGGTCAGCATTAGGACAAATACCTAGTGAATGCGAGGCTTAAAACCTAGATGATGGGTTGATAGATGCAGCAAACCACCATGGCACATGTACACCTATGTAACAAACCTGCACATCCTGCACATGTGTCCTGGAACTTAAAGTATAAAAAAAAAAAAAAAAAGAAAGAAAGAAAAGAAAAGAAAAAAAAAGAACGTAGCAACTAAGAGGACAGGGAAAAAGAATGCTTCTCAGCTTCAGGGCAAAGGCTGAAGCCTAGGACATCATCATAGCCACTCAGTTCCCTGTCCTAAGTGTCTTGCAAACAATGATTTCACTTCACGTTGACATTAACCCTGTGATGTGGATACTATTCCCATTTTATAAGAGGTAACTGAGGTTCAGAGAAACCAAGTAACTTGCTCAGAATCATTTGATGAGTAAGGGGTGGGGCTGACTCCCCAGTCCCTGGTTCCTACCCATGTGGTCAGAGTGCCTCCTCCAGTCACGCTGCCCTGTCTGTAGTTGAATGAACTCCTCATTCTTGCCATTCTCAGTTGTCTTGTCTTTTCCCTTCTCTTCGTTCTCTCCTTTGTAAGCTTGGTAATTGCAGAAATCTCATGGAGCATGAAAAACTAGTTCACCAGCTGACTCATAGTAGCACTCAATAAACACTTGTTGGAATGATGGACGGATGGACAATTTTACAAAGATAGGTGATAAGGTGCTTACCCAGGAACTCATGAATTTTCTGTCCTCCAATACACCCTCCCCCATTGCCAGATGTGTAGAAGGTTAGACCAGAATGATCCCACATCCCAGTATGCTCAGAACTACCCTTTACTCTTGCTGTCCCAGCAGCCCTTTCACTCTCTAAAGTGCCCCAGACTAGGGGAAGAGTCTGGAACTAAACAGAAGATTCAGGAACCTAAAAGGGCAAGCCTGGGTGAAGTTGCTGTAAAGACATACTCCACCCACCACCCTCCTCCCACTGGCTGCAGCAAGAAAAGCACCGGAGAGGCCCAGGCAGCTGACACTCAAGACGCCATCTAGGTAAGGCCCTGGAAGGCAGGCCCAGCCCCAGCTCTCCAAAAGGGATCCAGTCCCAGCTCTCCACCACCTCCTGGAACGGGGCCCATCTCTAGCTCTCCACCACCTCCTGGAAGGGGGCCCATCTCCAGTTCTCCACCACCTCCTGGAAAGGGATCCAGCCCCAGCTCTTCACCACCTCCTGGAAGGGAGCCCATCTCCAGCTCTCCACCACCTCCTGGAAGGTGACCCGTCTCCAGTTCTCCACCACCTCCTGGAAGGTGACCCATCTCCAGTTCTCCACCACCTCCTGGAAGGTGACCCGTCTCCAGTTCTCCACCACCTCCTGAAGGTGACCCGTCTCCAGTTCTCCACCACCTCCTGGAAGGGGACCCATCTCCAGCCCTCTGCCACCTCCTGGAAGGAGACCTACATCTCCAGCTGATATGGTTTGGCTGATATGATATGATTTGGCCCCACCCAAATCTCCTCTTGAATCGTAACTTCCACAATTCCCATGTGTCATGGGAGGAACCCAGTGGGACCTGACTGAATTATGGGGGCGGATCTTTCCTGTGTTGCTCTCATGATGCTGAGTGGGTCTCATAAGATCTGATGGTTTTAAAATGGGAGTTTCTTTGCACAAGCTGTCTCTCTGCCATCCACGTAAGATGTGACTTGCTCCTTGCCTTCCACCATGATTGTGAGGCCTCCCCAGCCATGTGGAACTGTAAGTCCTTTAAATCTCTTTCTTTTGTAAATTGCCTAGTCTTGGATATGTCTTTATCAGCAGCATGAAAATGGACTAATACAAAGAATTGGTACCAGGAGTGGGGTGCTGCTGAAAAGGTACCCAAAAATGTGGAAGCGACTTTGGAACTGGGTAATAGCAGAGATTGGAACAGCTTGGAGGGCTCAGAAGAGGAAGGGAAAATGTGGGAAAGTTTGGAACTTCCTAGAGACTTGTTGAACGGCTTTGCCCAAAATGCTGATAGCAATATGGACAATAAAGTCCAGGCGGAGGTGGTCTTAGATGGAGATGGGGAACTTGTTGGCAACTGGAGCAAAGGTGACTCTTGTTATGTTTTAGCAAAGAGACTGGCAGCATTTTGCCCTTGCCCTAGAGATTTCTGGAATTTTCAACTTGAGAGAGATGATTTAGGGTACCTGGCGGAAGAAATTTCTAAGCAGAGAAGCATTCAAGAGGTGACTTGGGTGCTGTTAAAGGCATTTGGTTTTATAAGGGAAGCAGAGCATAAAAGTTTAGAAAATTTGCAGTCTGGCAATGTGATAGAAAAGAAAATCCCATTTTCTGAGGAGAAATCCAAGCTGGCTGCAGAAATTTGCATAAGTAATGTGGAGCCAAATGTTCACACTCCCACCCAGTATCTCCCAGGTACTCTAAATGGGGTATGGAAGTGAACCTAGGGAGCCAAGTGTGTAACATGGGGGGACAGAGAGACCACTGTGGACCCTGTGACCAGAGGTGACAGTGGGCATGGGGCTATCACCAGAGACCAGGCTGGATGAGTCAGACCTTCACAGAAGGCAAGAGGTGCCAATGAGGGGCAGCAATTAGATACATCCCCTCCCTGTGGGTGCAATAAGCCCTCCAGAAGCTTCAACACATCCTTCTTTCCCATTCACTTATCCTGGAAGAAAGGGCGGAGGGTTAAATCCTGACAACAAGTTGAAGCCTAAGACAATAGAAGCCACTGTGAACAGCTGGAAGACTACATTCAGCTTTCTGGATCAGACAGAATGGGGCTCATGCCACATCATGAGGCCATGAAGAAGCACATGGAGAGGCACACCTGGTGAGGAACGGAGGCTTCCTGCCAACAACCAGTGAGTGAGCCACCTCAGCAGCAGAATCCCAGCCCCAGTTCAGCCTTCAGATGACTGTAGCCCCAGATGACATCTGAAGACCCCTAGCCAGAACACTTAGCTAAGCCATTTTCAACTTCCTGCCCTCAGAAACTGTAAGATAATAATTGTTTATTGTTTTATGCCAATTTAAGTTTGGGGCAAAACAAATGTGTTTTGCAGTAATAGATAATATTTCTGTTATACACACACACATAAAGGTAAAATTAATTTCCAGAAATAGAAAAGTAGAATTAGTGTTGGGAGGCCGAGGTGGGCAGATCGTGAGGTCAGGAGATCGAGACCATCCTGGCTAACACGGTGAAACCCCATCTGTAATAAAAATACAAAAGATTAGCCGGGTGTGGTGGTGGGCACCTGTAGTCCCAGCTACTCGGGAGGCTGAGGCAGGAGAATGGCGTGAACCCGGGAGGCAGAGCTTGCAGTGAGTGGAGATCACGCCACTGCACTCCAGCCTGGGCAACAGAGTGAGACTCTTCTCAAAAAAAAAAAAAAAAAGAAAGAAAGAAAAATAGAATTAGTGGCTTATAGGATATGATAATTTCAAATGTTTTTGACATACATTGTCAAGCTGCTTTCTAGAAAGATTACACCAATTTATACTCTGACCAGCATATATGGGACTGCCTATTTTCAGGATACCAGGCAACACTTGGTGTTTTCAGTTTTTTAATAGAACACTGGAATGCAAGGGAGAAGATGGCTTCACATATGTACAAAACGCCCGTTGCTGCAGTTATGTCTAGAAACTTGAGAGGAGACACTCTTGGAGATGAATGCTCATGAAACTGGGATGAAGTCTCTCTCCTCTTCCAACCTGCAAGTCTTGCTCTCTGGACAATACCTGCCAGAACAGGAACTATTTGAAGGAACAGGAACTATTTAGAGCAACCACAGGGAATGCTGGAGTCCAGCTGAACACAGCCTGAGCTCCTTGTCCTTGCTCTCCAGGGCACCCTCAATCCACCAGAGTTGTTTTGTAAAAATGTGCAAGTTGCCATGAAGGCCTCCCAGCCTCAGGGCATAACTCCTCAGACACTGGTTCTATTAAATACACCCCGAGATGCGACAAAACAGTCGTGTGGGAGGGGGTGGTGGAAACCCTGTGCAGAGTGCTATTGACATAGAAGTCTGGGCTGCACAAAATCTGCCATCTGAATCCAATCACGGGATTATTTCCAAAAACATCTCCCAAAGTTGCTATACACAGGTAACCGCTTCTTAGTAAATGCAAAAGAAAGCCATGCTTTCTCATAAAATTGGAACACTGGGTCTCTTGTTGGTGATGGTGGGTGTTTCTAGTTTGATTACATATTGGAAGCATTTCCTAGCAGGGGCCTCTGACAGTGTCTCCAATGCTGAGAACATGAAGGTGCTGCTTCTCTCCTCTTCACCTCCCACTTTCCCAGTCATCTAGATGTCAAATGAAGCTCTGCAGAGAAAACATAAGCCCCACAAGGGCATGAATGTGAAAGTGTGTGTGTGTGTGTGTGTGTGTTTGTTGGTGGCAGGTAGTGGGGGCTGAGACAACGGAGGAGACGGGATGGGAGTGAGTATACCTCATCAAAGTAACTGACTTGGCAAATACACTTATGAAATCTTTCTTGCATATTAAAGAAGTCACCCTCATCCTTTATATAGTTTTTGTTGTCTCCATTCCCCTTCCTCTTTGAAAAACGAAACACACAGAAAAATATAAAGGCTAATAAAACACACACCTTGAAATGACCAAATGTTATCCTTTTGTCGTACTGGCTTCAGATTTTTCTATCATGAAGTAAATACAAATGACAGATAGTTACATCTCCTTCGTTCTCCCTGATCCTGTTCACTTCTCTCCCTCCCCTTAGGTAAGGACCATCATGAAGTTCCTGTTTTACTTTCTAATTCTTTTAGCACACAAACACATTCATAAACAATGTCTGAATTATTGTTCTGTGTGAGTTGACATGCATTGGTACTTATTCAGCTTGCTGTATTCACTCAGCCAGGGCCACAGGTTGGTTGCCCAGGCGATGCACTGCACAGTTCCTGAGGGTTGCATTCATACAGGACACTATGATGGCTCCCTTGGGGATGTGCAGGATGGCAGCCTGCACTCCAAACTCCGTTTTTGAGATCAATGTTGATGCATGACAGTGAGTTCATTTTCATTACCTGATAGCTTTCATCATGTGGCTGGGCCGCATTTCATTTTTCCATTTCCTTAGTGGAAGGCAACATTTTGCTACTGCAAACAGTGTTTCAGGGAACATCCTTATGCATGTCTGCATATGTGCAGGTGCACACATTTCCCTGGGGAATCATCATTCTCTGTTTGAGTTAACTGTGATTTTTAAAAAATGATTCTACTGAACAGTGTAATAAGAAAAAGACAAACGGTAAAACTGAAAATATTTATTAGTATGAATCAGTGTGTGTTAAACCAAAAATAACAGATACAATTAGGCATTGTTGATGGAAATGCTTTACTACAGAATAGAATACATGGCGGAAAGGTCCTAGCTGACTGCAGCGGTGTCTTGTATGTGCAAGAACTGGGTCCAGCCCAGATGGAAGCTCTTTACAAAAACACGAGAAAAAGGAGCAGTTTGCACAACAGGGCAGCACCACTGGACTACAGGGTCTGGTTTCAACAATGATGTTAAAACAGTAAGCTAGATACCCAGTCGGTCTGAATACAGTTCAGAGCTCTTTAATTTATAAGCTAGCTCACCATTCAACTTGCCATGAGCATTGCAGAACAGTGAGAACTGGAGCCCACACAAAAAAGCTCAGTTTCAGCCACCACATGCCAAAGTCCTTGACTGTAGAGGAAATATTTCAGTCATCCAAACCTTTCTCAGAAAATGAACTCAGTTTCCATTGGGGCACAGCCCTTATTGTTAGCTAAAAGTTAGTTTCGGGCCTTCAACCTTTTAGTCTGCAAGGTAACGTCATATTCAACTGCCTAATGTGCCGTTTTTAACCATAAAATGGCAAGTCAATTATGTGGCAATGTAAAATGCTTGCACAACTCCACTGTCATTCTCAGAGATTTCCATTGGGAAGCCATGCCTACTTTATATTAACACATGGCTAGGGGCCAAACTCAGCCAGTGAAATGGATTACATATCGGAGTAACACATATACAATCATATTTACACAGATACACACTCATGCCACACACGAAAGAAAAAAAAAAGGGAGAAGGAACAAATTTTGGAAAACGATGCCAAGGATGCTACACTACATGAAACTACATGACTTTTTTTAGCAACAGTAATTTCCAGGCCTTTACATAATATTACATGGTTATGGTTCAATTATTAGACAGCCAGGAAGTAATCCCGAGCCAAAACAAAGGAAGGTTGTAAAGCCTCATTGTAGACAAGGCCTGAGCATCCACAGAGAAGATACAATGTTTATGTGAATCCTGGTGTGCCCAAGTGTGATCTACTCTCTTCACTGACTACTCTGAGTGCTGATGAGAATATATATATTATCCTCTGACTGGCTTGAATAGCTAAGACAATACAGAAAGGTAACAGAGTGGTTTCACACCCTCATGTGCTTCTGAAATAAAACCATGGGCTCATTAGTGGGTAGCTCACTATCTGTGGCAAAGACTAGACATTTTATGCAAAACACAACCACTGCAAACCCAGCCCAAAGATGCAAAACTCTCAGCTAGGATACTTACCCCTCAGCTAAAAAACCTGAACAGCTATCTAGAGATAAACCCAGGTTCTCAGGGAAAACTGGATGAGGAAAGGTTACAAAATAAGCCTGCAACTCAGCTGGAAAGAGGTCACTTCAATTTTCAACTCATTTTTTTTTTTTTTTTTTTACCTTTGGCAAGGGGTATGATCATTTCTTGGCCTGCAAGCACAATCATGCCAACCATTAATGTGGACAATGTGGAAAAAACCCTAAAAATCCCTGCAAAGCCCCTGTCAAGACATCCAAATGCCGCTTGCTAACAGTTTTTGAGGTACCTATTTGGGAGAGCCAAGTGGAACTCTTGAAGCAAAATAAGTGTTTCCCAGCCTTCACATCCTAACACTGTCAATGAACTCTCTTAAGTTGAGTGAAGTGGAAGCGTGCTGAGTTACTGAAGTGCCAGGTCTTTAATCCAATCAGCTCACAACCTCTTTCCTGACTTTTGCGATATAGATTGTCAATAAAGGTTAGCCGTCCCTTGAATGCTCATGGCAAAGAAGGTACCAGCTGGCCCTGGCTAGCACACAGCATGATTAACCATTTCTGAGCACCAATCCTAATGTCCTTTAAGAATCACCCCCTAATATAAGCCCTGGCAGGAAATCAGCTGCTTCTTGATCCCAACTTTTTATGAAAGTTAGAATGGTAATAGAATTTGAATTTTCAGTAGGAATCAGTTCTCTTCCTTTCCATGCTTTTTCTTCCTTGACTTCCTTTGGATTCAAACATCTTTAATTGAGCAGACAGGGAATCTGAAAAGGAAGGTTTTCATCGGAGCCCATTCTCAGTTCCTTGGCATTCTAGGGTCAGACCTCTGGTTAGCCCTAAAGCCCTTCTCCTCAAGCTAGAAACATAAAAATACTTTTTCTGATTTTGTAGTTTTTTGGGGTCTAGAATTTTAAAGTGCTGACACTTCCTCTGGCTGGCTTTCCTGTAACCTATTATTAATTGTTATTATTAGAAGTTTGCCCAATGATTTAGATTCAAACATTAAATTTAATTCTAGTTAATTCTCTTCCCCTAGATATGACACCAAGAGATATTCTCTTAGTAAAATAATACTATGTGCGTTAAACTTCTCTAAGAGAGGACGAATGTATTCCTGCGGAGGAGATGCATGTCAGGTGGTCTCTTGAATAATGTGTATGTCCTGCATCTCTCACCACTTACATAGTGATTACTTAAATCACTCTTTCAAACTAGGCCACCCAATCCCAAAATTATATGCAGTAATTTAGTTTGATTTGGTTTGTTTGGGTATATATGACCATAACTTAGAAAAATTGTTCACCAATTAAAAGTGGTGTAGACAACAGTTTCTAATACACTTTTCCTGGCTTCTGTAATAACTCAAGTCTCAGTCTGAGTGACGGTCCATTGACACTTCTCTGATTTCCTCCAAAAAGTAATAAATAAAGGCTTACTTCCAAAGCTAGCTAAAAACTAACCTCCTGAACTAAATTTGCCTTTCAGTGAAGGTTGGTTAGGTAACAAAGGCAATGACACTGAAGTAGTTACTGGAATTTGGATAGGTAGCACAGGAAATCCAAGTGGAATGCCACTTTAGAATCCCATACACATAATAAGGCAGTAAGACTTTTGTACACATCCAACAATTTTTAAAGGTTTTTTTTTTTTTTTAGCAAAAATGCAACTACATCCCCTCCATGTGCATTTCATACACTAAAGGCCATTTTGTGGTGGTGTGGTGGGTTTTCCCAGGGTTTTCTAAAATCCTTTTCAGGTACATTTCCTGCCCCGCCCCCTGCAGGTCTTCCAGGATGCAAAGCCAGTGTGCTCACTCTTCTCAAAGTGAGGTGCCAGGCCACCGAGCGTAGGGTCCTTCAGCAGTGCACAGGATGTGGGCTCTGGCTTCTTCAAGTACCGTGGACCACGGCCCTTGGGTCAACAGCACCGGCGGCTGGCTTGCATGGTTGGCTTCTCAACTTTGATTGTTCCATTGTTTCCATTTTCATGGGGGTCCAAGGGTGGGATCTGGCGGCCTGCAACAAAAAGGAGGCCAAGGGTGAGTTCCCTTTCCTACAGCCAACACTGCACACACAGATTTTCACCCTGCTTCAACACTCCTGCTTTGGGCTGTGCACAAAATAAAGGTGTTCCTGGAGGGGCTCCTTTCTCCTTCCTTCCTTTCCTTCCTCCCTTCCTTCTTCCTATCCTTTCCTCCCTAGTTCTGCTGCATGAAGCCCAATTCATGGGCTTAGGAAGTTCAGGTAAGGAACAGTCCAGCAGTTTCCTGGTGGTGTGGAATTCCTGGGCTAGGAAGATCCACTCCTGGGGGCAGCTCCCATCCAGCCTCCGCTCATCAGCGCGCTCTTCCCTCTCCCTGCCTTCCCAGAGACCCATCCTGGTTTAATGAGCGGCTTTCATGGTACCGTGACTTCAACAGTAACAGTGAGTACTCATCCATCTTTTCTGCTTCTCAAAATAGAAATAGATTTGAATTGTAATCTTCCTAGCAGTGTCATTTATTAACACTTAGCTCATCATCCCTCATCCTGCCAATGCATTTAGATCATTAACTGGAAAGCCCTACAGAGACACTTTTCATAGGAAACAGTATTTTAATGTCATCCACAAGTAATCTTATTTTTACTTAACTTAATTTTAAAAATTATCAGAAAGTCTCTATAAATAAACACAAAATCAAAATTAAACAGGCAATGGAAGGGGCCAGGGAGATGACAGCTAAAGGGTATGGGTTTCTTTATGAGGTGATTTTTCTAAAATTGACTGTGCTGATGGCTGCACAGATCTGTGAATATACCAACACCACCGAATTGTACATTTGAAATGGGTGAAATGTATGGTATGTGAATTTTATCTCAATAAAGTTGTTTTCTGAAAAAAGGCAATGGAATCTGGAAATAACCTTAGTAGCTCCCAGTTTTCAAAGATTTTCACAAACACCATCCTCACCTCGCCCTGTGAATTTGATGTAATGGTCGTTATTATCACCATTTCACTGTGACTCGAGAACTTGAGCACTTTGCTGAAGGTCCCATCAATAACAGGCAGTAGTACAGCTGGTGCTTTGATTATAATCTACACCTTGACTTCCTGATGGGTCGCAAGGCCTGTGCTCTTCCCACTGAACCACATTAGGTCTCTTTGCTACTTTTCTATGCCCCTTGAAAAAGGCATGAAACACTAGCTCTAAAATGAGGATTTTGTTTTATTCTTGAGACAGGGTCTCACTCTGTCACCCAGGCTGAAGTGCAGTGGCTTGATCATGGCTTACTGCAACCTCGAATTCCGGGGCTAAAGGGATCCTCCCACCTCAACCTTCTGAGTAGCTGGGACTATAGGTGTGCGCCACCATGCCCCGATAAATTTTTTTTTTTTTTTGTAGAGATAGGGTCTTGCTATGTTGCCCAGGCTGGTCTCAAACTCCTGGCCTCAAGTGATCCTCTCACCTTGGTCTCCTAAAGTGCTGAGATTACAGGTATGAGCCACCAGGCCTAGGCTAAAATGAATATCTATATCTATCTATCTATCTATCTATCTATCTATCTATCTATCTATCATCTATCTATCTATCTATCTATCTATCTATCTATCTATCTATCTATATTATTGGCTAGTTAGTGTATTCATTTGCTAAGGAACCAGTAATTAGAAGTGGAAGGGAAATTGGTTCTAAAGACAAAGTCTTTTTTTTTTTTGGTTGTGGTATTGATTTATTTTTCCCCAGCACATCTTAAAAATCACACATGGGCATTTGCTTAGAAAACAGTACAGTCTAAGAAAACCAGTAAGAGGAGAATCTGAACACACACTGATAGCACGGAATACTGACTATGCGCTGGGCCCTGACAAAGTCTTTTAATGCAAGTGGGTGTTACCTAATGACAATATAGAGCACCAAAACACCCCAGCAGAGGTGCATTTCCACAAGGGACAAAAAGAGTTGATTTCAAAGGTAATAATACATTGTGTAGATCAGATGGTATAGACAGTCACCAAAGCTTCAGCATAAAGATGAAGGTCACCAGCATTTAACTCCAAACTCAAAAGTAATAGTAGAGATCTTCATTTGATGATGAAGCAAATGAAAAGTTTGCAACAATTTCTGCAGCTGTGGCTTTTGCCATTTTGTGTAGCCAACAGAGATCTACAGAGCTTTTGCAGGACATCTCCAAAAACTTCAGTCCCAATCCAGGAGGAAAGGAGACCATAAGTATGAATTTTCCTTTTCTGGACATGCTATTCTTTTAAATTTATCACAATTAAAAGGGAGTAAACAAAATGCCTCTTCTACTTGGTCAACCTTAAGTGATAAATAGAGAAGGAAGTCTCCAATGACTACCAGTACTCTTTAAAGATCTAGCCAAGTCAGATCTTGCCAATAAAGAGTTACTTACTCCTGAAGAGAAAGGGGTGACAGTGTCGAGTTACATCATTATTGAAGTTAGTAATATTTCAGGAGCCTCCTGAGTGTGTTACACACTGCAATCAGGACTTTTGCTTTTGCACCTGAAATATTTTTGGACAGTACTATAATTCTCATGGGTACAGCTGTTGCCCTAGTTAGCCAAGAGCTGTTTACTTATCAGTAAAAGGAGTTGACATTTTAGCATTTTTCACTGTATCAAAATCAAATTCTATGTTAACATCAAAACTTTGTGCTGTCCTTATGCTAATCCTAATGTTAGCAGAACAGCATTAGCTTTTTAGCCCTCCATGACTTTATTTCCCTCATGTCTTGTTTTCATAAGTTTTTTGCTTTGGAAAGTACACAAATTAAAGAAAAAGTTTATATGTAAGACAGTTATTAAAGTGACAAAAGTATAATGAAAATCTAGAAAGGAAGAGCGTACAGATAGCAAAGTAGGATGCCAGGAAGGTCTGTCCACACCTTTCCCCGCTTTCCGCCACCTCCTTCCTCTTTGCTGCTTCTCATTTCTCTCCCCAGTCAACAATGAGCACTGATGCACAGAATGCAAAATTGAGGAAGGCCTGGCTCTGTCTCAAGAAGACTCCCCTCCTGCATGTTTTGAACTCTTAGCAGCACTCTTGAATCAGCTGTTGAACATGGCTTCTTAGGAGTGCCAGGTTCTTTTATCTTCAGAATATTCAAAATTTCACTTATTAGAGTAAAATATTTCTCAGACTTCATTTTTCTCCTTTGGTAGGAAGAGTTTTGAGATGTGAGAGAGTCAGCATTCCAGTTCAATGAACTTGGACCAGTTATTTAAAACCTCCGAGCCTTCCTTTGTTCACCTATAGAACGAATGTGGGAAAGGAACACACACAGCCGTCACTAAAAGGGGAGGAACAAATGATGATGGAGGGAGTCCCCAGCAGTTGAGGGCTTCTGGGCACGGCTCATGGGTTTTGCATGGCGGGGAGAAATGCTGTGTGATTCATGGTCACGGTCAATTCTCAGGGTTCAGTTAGTGGACCGGGACCCATCTCATCTACAAAACTCTCAGCCTGGGATAAGTCACACACATGCCAACCTTAAACACAGGGAGAAGGAAATGCTTCCACGCAGAGAAAGAGAAAAGCCAGATCATAACAATGAGGCCGGCACCTTTAAAAGGAGAAGGGAGCCTGCACCAGGAAACCAGAACGCAAAACAAGAAAGCAAACGCCGAACGCAAACCCCGATCTTAGGGCCTAAGGTATTCAGAATTTACCGGAAGGTTCAAGGCACTTACACAAAGGCATGGTTTTGGAAAATGGCCATGGCTTTCTGTACCAAGGTGATCACCTTGGAACTCTGTTGAATCAGTATTATTTACACAGGCATAGAGCAGGACAAAAATATATACAAAAACATCTGAAAAGGCTCTGAGCCTAGTCTGTAGGTTTCCACTCTTACAAAATGTGCTCTAAGTAGTCAGCCTCCAGAACAAGTTGTCCTTGAGCATAAATTTGAGGCCAGAGTGTTTATTTTAATAGGGTTTGGATTTTGTAAGATGCTGTCTAGGAGAAGTTTAAAAGACTTTTTTTTTTTTAAGTTCAGTTTTCCTGAAAGTTGACAGTCTAGAGGAAACGCAGGTTTTAGAAATGATTCCACAGGAACACAGTATGTGAAAACAAATTCCTAGCCTGTAAGTTTTATCCTGGCTCGGAACTGGGCTGTCATGCATTTACACACAACAAAAATAAAACAGCAAGCTTAGCTGGGGCTGTTCCCTTTCCCCGTGGACCAGCCATTTCCTGCGCAAGCGCTGATTCTCCCGCTAACCATTCCACTGTATGTAATTCTTCTCTCCTTTCATTCCAGTTCCAGTATTTACTTGGCTTGGTTATCTTTTGTTTGGTGTTAGCAATGCTGGCAGTTGCTGTGTAACATCCATTTCTTGATTTGATTTTCTGAATCATCTAGATGAGTAACTTGACCAAGTTTGCTAGGACTTGGCAGTATTCACTCTTGATAATGACCTTTAGCCTCTAGCCATGTAGAGAGGGGGTCTCTGGAACACAGCAATGACTCACGATCATGGAACATCGCCCTAATAATGCAGAACTGGGGGACACACACATGCTACTTGAAGTTATTCCCTATCACTGTCCTCTTGCTGCCATAAAGAAGACAATATTAGGATTACTAGAAGGCCCTGAATATTAGGATAAAGAGGAACGCGCTACATGCTATAAAGGACCGGAATGGATTCTCAGGTGGGAAGCTCATTAGGTCAGGAGGCCTGGAAAGCCCAGGTCAGGGGTTAGGTGAGCCTTAAGTGTGCCACGGGGAAGCAGGAAGCACAGATGGAAAGGGAAACTGTGGAAGATGCTTGGCAGGAGGTGACAACTGCCTGGAGGCGGGAGAGTCAAGACAGAGACCAAAAAGCCTGAAGTTAAAAGTCTAGGGAGGTAAAGAAGTGGTGATGCACCTGCACGAGGGGAATCAGGGGAGGTCACAATTGCTCCAAAATGCTGAGGTGTCCAACAAGGAGAGACTTAAGCTACTTTAAAATCATTAGGCTTCCCCTCCACGTTCTCAGCAAACTAACACAGGAACAGAAAACCAAACACCACGTGTTCTCACTCATAAGTGGGAGTTGAACAATGAGAACACATGGACACAGGGAGGGGAACATCACACACCAGGACCTGTTGAGGGGTTGGGGGTGGGGGAGCGAGAGCATTAGGACAAATACCTAATGCATGCAGGGCTTAAAACCTAGATGACGTGTTGATACGTGCAGCAAACCACTATGGCATATGTATACCTGTGTAACAAACCCGCATGTTCTGCATATGTATCCTGGAATTTAAAGTTAAAAAAAAAAAAAAAGAAAAGAAAAGAAAAGAAAAAAAGAAAACCTTAAAAAAAATCATTAGGCTTCCCTACCACTCAAAGGCACCTTTCTCTTTCTTTTTTTAATTGATAAACTTTATTTATTTATTTTTTGAGCAGTTTTTGGTTTATGGAAAAAAATTGAGTGAAAAATAGAGAATTGGCATATACCTTCCTCTCCTCATCTTCAATTTCTCCCATTTTTAACATCTTAGTTTAGTGGAACATTTGTAACAACTGATGAACCAACATTTGCTGAAGACATTACTATTAAGGATAGTCAGTCTATAGTTCACAGGAGGGTTCCGTTTTGGCACTGTATATTTTATGGGTTTTGATAAACATGTAATAACATGTATCCTCCTTTATAGTATCAGACAGAACAGTTTCACTGCCCTAAAAATCCTGTGACCCACCAATTCATCCCTTCCCTGACAGCCCACAGCAACCACTGATCTTTTCACTGACTCCACAATTTTGTCTTCTCCAGAGTGTCATGTAGTTGGAGTCATACAGTGTGTAGCCTTTTCAGATTGGCTCCTTTCACTCAGCAATATGCATTTAAGGTTCTTCCACATTTTTTATGGTTTGATAGCTCATTTTCTTTTTATCCCTTATAATATTCCATTATATGGATGTATCCCTTTAATTTTTTTTATTTTAACATTTAGAAATTATAAGACAGAAAAAGCACAAATCAAAAGGGAAAAAATCTGACAAACTACACTTCATCAATAATTAAAAACCTCTTTTCTCCAAACAACACTGTCAAGAAAATGAAGACAAGCCACAGCTTGGGAGAAAATAATTGAAAAACAAATATCTGATAAAAAATATGTATCCAAAATATATAAGTAACCTTTAGAACTCAACAATAAGAAGACAAACGACCCATTACAAAATGGGTAAAATTTGAAGAGGCTCTTCACCAAGTTATACAAATTGAAAACAAGCTCATGAAAAGACACTCAACATTACTAGTCATTAGGAAAATGCAAACAAAAATCACAATGAGATACCACTATACTTCCTTTCGAATGGTTAATATTTTACAAACCGACGGTACCAAGCGTTGACAAGGACTTGGAGCAACTGGAACTCCCACACATTGGTGGTGGTAACATACTGTAGTAAAACCACTTGGAAGACAGTTTGGCATTCTAATCTTAGAAAGTTAAAAACACACCTACCAGATAAGACAGCCATTCCAATCCATAGTATTTACACACACAAAGACTTGTAAATGAATACTCATAGCACCTTTACTGGTTATCACCCAAAACTGAAAACAATCCAAATGCTAGGTGAATAGATTAATAAATTGTGGTTTATGCATGCAATGGAATACTATTCAGGAAAAAAAAAAAAGGAACTCAGCAAAATCCATATTGTCTTAAACTCTGCAGGAAAACTGATCTAATTTCTTGGATAAACAAATTGCATAAGGGGAAAAAAAGAAAGATGGAATGGAAAGCTATTGCTTAAGAGAGGCCTAAAAGACATACCAACTAATCCCAGCATGTGGAGATTATTTCCATTCTGATGTAAACAAATGGTAACATGCAAACAAAGAAACCATTTATGACAACTATGAACTTTTTGGAAATTTGACCACTGACTGTTTATTTGATGATAGTAATTAATATGATAACAGCATTCTGGTTATTAATATGATAACATAGTTGTCATTGTTTAAAAAAATTATGGACAAAATATTTATAGATTAAATTAGATGTCTGAGATTCTCTTCAAAATAATACAGGTGGTGAGCACAGGATGGGATAGAGATGGCACAAGCTTGGTTTTGAGTATACAATGGTTCACTATATTATTCAGTGCACTTGTGTATATGTTTGAAATTTTACATAATAAAGTGTTTTTTAAGTTCCCTGGAATCTGACCATCATGAAACAACCACTGTTAACATTTTGATATGTATCCTTCCAAGAAGGATATATTCTTGGAATAATATTTATCATTATATATATTGAAATATATTATGAAATATATGAAATATGATATTGAAATATATTATGAAATATGATATTGAAATATATTATGAAATATATGAAATATGATATTGAAATAGATTATGAAATATTATGAAATATGAGATATATTGTGAAATAAGGATATTATATGAACTGCTCTGTAACTTCCATTTCACATTCAATGATTGATCTTTTTATGTCAGTAAACAAAGATTTATGTCATCCTTTTGAATCACTTGTTTATATGGGTGTACCATGATTTCTTAAAAACTATTTCCTAACTTTTGGACAGTTCAGTAATTTCCTGTTTTCTGCTGTCATGAATAATGTTACAATAAACCACGCTGTGCAATGGGACATGATATAGACAAGCTAAGAGCATGTGCCCCGGAGCCTGCCTGCCTGTCTCTCACTTATTAGCTGTGTGCCCTGGGGAAAGTTACAAGCCTCTCCAGGCCTCAATTTCCTCATCTGTAAAACAGGGATGATAACAGAGCCTACTTCACAGGATCAAGGGTGCATTAATGAGCTAAGTATATATTTCAGCAATTGCAACAAAAGCACAGAATCAGAGCTCCGTACATATTAAACCTTGTTATTATGTTTGCACACCTGAAGAATTTCTTCTTTAGAATTGCTGGAATAAAAGACATGCCTTTTGAGACCCAACTTGCCCATATGCCGAAATGACATTATTTTACATTCACTAAATTAACTTTCTTGGTGTAAGAAAGTCTGTCCACTTTCTTAAGTGGATTGCATTTGGTAAATTAACTTTTTTTGGGGTGAGAAAGTGGACAAACTTTGTCTTTGTCCTTTCCTTGTTCCTTAACTGCTAAACTTACCTTCACCTGACAGCTTGCTGACTATTATAAAATCTGCAAACCTTTTGCTTTGCTTTAAAATTACTTTAACCTGCTACTAACTAAAGGTGCCTAGAGCACAACACTCTGTGAACAAATGTTTCCAGAACAAGACATGATCACTACCCACAAGTCTTAACTTGTTGTCTTTCATATTAACACCCCATTCCAATTTTCCAAGCCAATATGCTTGTACCTCTAAATATATTTACCTTATTTATTTATTTATTTATTTATTTTAGAGATAGGATCTCGTTCTGTTGCCCAGGCTGCAGGGCGGTGGCACAGTCATAGCTCACTGCAGCCTCAAACTCCTGGGCCCAAGTGATCCTCCTGCCTCAGTCTCCAGAGTAGCTGGGACTACAGGTGCACACCGCCATGCCCATATATTCACCTTAATAAAACAAATGTTTCTCACCTTGCTCTCAAACTAACAACAAATATAAAACCTGGTCTAATGTCTCTAGTGTCTCCAAGTGTAATTTTCAGGAGAAAGTCCTGCTTTCTCTGCCACAGTCAACACTTAAATTAACTGGAGCAAAATGCATAGCTATTTTGCTGGGTTCCACCCCAATCCAGACATTTTTCTGCTGAGCCTGCAGCTCCACCTCTCTTTGCCCTCAGGAAAAGTTAAAATACTTTTAAAGAGATATTCGAGTTAAGTAATTAAAATCCACAAACCAGCTGGCCATGGTGGCACATACCTGTAATCCCAGCACTTTGGGAAGCCAAGGCGGGAGGACCACTTGAGCCCAGGAGTTCAAGACCAGCCTGGACAATACAGCGAGACCTCATCTCTAAAAATAAAAAAATAATAATAATCTACAAACCAAAACTTGGGTTCACCACAATCCAGAATCCTATATGCTAGGCTCATAACCAAATCCAGCCCAGATCACTTGTTCCTATGCCAATCCTCCTCATTCCGGCAAACAGAACTTGGGGATGACTCTTGGTAACGCTGTCTTCCTCATTCCCCATCTCCTTCCAGTGTTATTGGTTCTTCTGGAAGATTTCTGAAATCCAGCTCCACTTCCTCCACCCTCGTCCAAGCCACTTCTCTCCTGGATTATTACAATCGCATGCCAACTGATTGAGACATGCGGAGACTTTCCTCCTTTTAAGTGTGATCTTTTTTTGTAAATGTAAATTGGACACTCTGCACTCCTGCTTTAAAAGCTTGAGGGGCTTCCAATTGTTTCAGAGTATCACCCTTACTCCCATGGCAAGGCCCTGCTGAGTCTCTAACCACAACTTCCCACAGCACTCCTTGCTCTTCCTTAAAAGCACCACGACATTTCCTGCCTTGGGACTTGGCTCCTGCGGTTTGCTCTGCCTGATAGCTCTTTGCCCACTGGCCTTTTCTCGTTTTTCAGGTCCAGCTTAAAATCATTTCCCCGGGGAGGCCTTCCTCACCCAATCTAAAGCCACTCCCTCGCCCCATAGTAACCTCTCACAGTCCACTCCTTCGCCGCGCAGCACCAATTACCAAGAGTCACCAGACACCGATCTGACTGTGCCCACAGCTGTCTCCCCGACTCCACTGTCACTGCGCCTTGTCACCGTGCTGTCCCCAGGGTCTAGCATGGCACCTACCCATAAAAGAGTACAGTATATATTTGTGAATAAACGAATCAAGAGTAAGTAGGCTTGTCTAATTTGCTGTTCTTCAACCTTAAATTCCCAGAGAAAAGTGATTACATTTCACTTTATATCATGAGATGAGGACGGAGATCCAAATTCAAAGCCCCGAATTCAGCACCATTCCATTTATTAGTCTCAGCTTCATGGGTAATACAAAAGACAAGCTCCCAAAGAACTTGCAATCTCCCTAGAAGAACAGGCACATACCTAAACGCTTGGAGAATCAATTAAAGATAAAATATGTTTAAGTGTCAAAATGGCAGAACAAACCAAAAGTAACCTCAAGTTTTTACTTTTCTTCCTTGGGTGTAAGAACCCAAGGAAAAAAAAATAAACAAACCCTGGGTAGAAATGCATGGAAGAGAATTAGCCACATGCAGGCAGACAAAGTAGGTCTAAAAATGTGATTTAGAAAAGGGTGCCTGGAGGAATACCAATCAGACGACAATATATTATATGAGGAGGACAAACTGCACAGACCACCCCAAACAGAGCAGCACCTAAATCCTTTACAGGGTAGCTTCAGTCTTTAAAAAGATAACATATTTTTGTAAGCAGTCTCCAGTTAGACACTGTATTTGCCAATGTTCAGAAAACACAGTTGTCCCATTTCTGGTTTATGAACACTATGGGACTGTAAAAGAGAAACATTCATCTCTTCATCCGAGTCAATGTGAATTCATTTTGTTTAAACACACCTTTTTAAAGGGCTTTTATTTTCACAGCTCCTTAACTTTTTATTGCATTTTTTCTCCAGGCATAGTCGACTGTGGAACATTGCTTTGGGGAGCCTAGGTGTCAGCAATATGTAGTTCTATTTTAAGCTCAGGGAGGAGCACATGTAATGTAAGTAGGAACAGGGAAAAGAAAAATAAATGAAAAGTCTGCTGCAGTATATTTAGGTGTACTTGGAATTGTGTTTTAAATTAACCTGCAATTAGGCTACAGAACTCCATTCTGAAGAAATTCACATGAAGGAGAAAAGAGGCAAAAGATCCAGTGCTTACACATGCAGATAGACAGGCGGACAGATGGACAGATGGACAGACAGACGGATGGCTAGATAGACAGATGACTAGACAGACAGATGTACAGATGAATAGATAGATAGACGGACAGATGGATAGACAGATGGACAGCTAGAAAGATGGATATACACACAGATGGACAGAAGGACAGACAGAGACAGACAGGCAGATGGACAGATAGACAGCCAAGTGGACAGATGGACAGACAGATGGAGGGAAAGATGGATAGACAGACAGATGGATAGCCAGACAGATGGACAGACTGAGGTTTTGCCATGGCTGTGTATTTACAAGCTTTCTTTGTCAAGGCAGTTACAACCAAAGTATAATAAAACAGAAACAAACAATTGTTTATGTGACATGAAAGATGAGGTGATATGGGTATTTGATGGCTTATATAGGAATTAATTACTTTGAAACCATAATTACCCATGTTTGAGCAAAGCACTTGTTTTTTCATAAAGTAGACCACCAAGATCTGAGGAATTAACCTGTTCAAAGTCCCTGTCACACACAGGAAGGGATTTATACTGGATAAATGTCTTTTAAGTTATTACTACAAGCCATGTGTGGTGGCTCACACCTGTAATCCTGGCACTTTGGGAGGCCGATGGGGGAAGATTGCTTGAGCTCAGGAGATTGAGACCAGCCTAGGCAACATGGCGAGACCTTGATTCTACTAAAAATCCAAAAATTTAGCTGAGTGTGGTGGTGCACACCTATAGTCCCAGCTACCCAGGTGGCTGAGGTCGGAGGATTGCTTGAGCCCAGGAGGTGGAGGCTGCAGCGAGCTATGATTGCACTACTGCACTCCAGCCTGAGCAACAAAGACTCTGTCTCAGAAAAAAAAAGAAAAAAGATATTAGTACAGTACTTCCTACTCAGGCTTCTTCTCTTTCAGGTCCTTATTTGATATTTTTAAATTTTAACAATGACTTTCATAAACTTCAGAAAGCTTCCCAGCTGGTGCAGAGATCTCAAGCTCAAGTTCAGGTCATACAAGGCACCAGGCTCCCCTGGCTGACCACTGATATCTGTGCTGGGGGTCTTCCAAGGCCAGGGAGCTAAGGAGGAGGAGGGGGCTCTGCGGAAGACGCGGGGCTGTAAGGATGGAAGGTGCTAAGGCAATCGTCCTCAGGAGCTATCTAGCTTCATTCATTAAAACCACCTGTAAAAACAAAATGTTTCATAGCTGAGCATAGCAGAAGAGCCTAACGCCACCAGAAGAGAATGAGTTTAATCTGAGGAAATGTGAGGCTAATGTAATGAGTTCGAGCCCAAACTTAGATGTCACCCAGAGTGACACAACACCAGAGAGCATCTGCACCCACTGACCATGATGGAGAAGGGAGAGGAATGTGGGGACATGGGGTTTCCCACATGAAATTCCAGCCCCAGCCTGCTAGAGTTCAGCCATTCAGGGCAAGGAGCCTGAAACCATTCTGTTGAGAGTAAGAAATCAAAGGAGGAAAGAAAGGGAAGGTGGAAAGAAGGGAAGAGAGTGAAGACCCCAGTGAAGGAAAGGGCCAGCAGCTGGGGAGGGGAGGCTCCAAGCCATTCTTTTGCACATTTCTTTTGCATATCTCTGCATAGTGTAGGTAAGACAGGTCAGAATTCCCCATCTCCAATGAATTCTCCATCAAGCCAACATAAACAAAAGATTCCCTCCTGTGGGTTCTTGGAGTCTAAAGTAATGCACTCAAACCAGTTAAACAGAAATCAAAACTGTTCTGGGAAGCCACGGCTTCTCTGACTTTGAGAGCTCTGCCAAAAACGATCTCAGGCAGGAAAGAGATCAAACCATCAGTTTCCCTTCTGGAGTTGTCTGGAGCTAAGATATTTGAGGACAATTACTGTTTTGGGGTTCAACTCCTCCTAAGGTGGCTATTCCAGGAACTTCAGGGCCAGTATTTCATCAAACACCTGTACTTCTCCCAACGTCCCTGATAATGCTCCGGTCGAACTTTCCTGAGGGTGTCTCAGAGCAGTTTTCCCAGATGGCTGTCAGCAGGGACTTCTCTGGCAGAATCCGGAACAGAATGACACAACCAGAGAACTTATGAAGGTTAAATCTGTTGAGCTGGAAGCCTCACAGCTGCAGATAGATGTGTTGGCAGAGCCATTAGCTGGGAACCAGCTCTGGTTGATAAGGTTATTCCCGGGGAGCCGGCATACAGTGAGCATAACGGGACCCAGCACTGGGACCAGGAAGGAGGCTGTCACCCTCCCTAATTAGCTCACCAGACACATGGGGTACCTGTACACGCCAACCCTGTATCCAATTCCCAATTTCAGGTCAAACAGGATGGAGACATTACTTTTTGTAGGAGATGATCAGGCAAAAAAAGTTACTGGAAGGTTCCCTCAGTTTACCTAGAGTCATCCCATCTAATGGGTGACCTTGAGTTCTATACCTTGTCTATTTTCTCTCTCCTCCTAACATAAAATGCTACAGAATGCATAATTTTCAATTAAAATAAATTTTATTTTTGCAACAGGATTACTTCATTTTAATTTACAGAACTCAGAGTGAACAGGTTCCAGTACAGAATCATGGAAATCTAGAATCGAGAGGATAATAGAAGTGGGTATTAACAACTGCATAGCTGTAGATTTTGTATCCATGGCATCCGATAAATTCACACAGAGGAAAAGTTCACTTCAGAGTTCTAAAATGTTATCCTTTGACTCCCAGAAGCATAAAAATGCAAGTTGGGCTGAAAACCCAATTTCAGGTACTTACTGATTCCTTGAAAGAGCTCTTCGATATTAATAGCATTTTTTGCACTTGTCTCAACCACGATGGCACCTATGGATTCAGCGTATTCCTTAGCATCCTTCAGGGGAACCTCCCTGGAAAAGAGGTCAAATGTAGACAGGAAATGAATGTTTGTTTGTAAAATACAAATCACCCAAAAGACCAGACAGCTTGTGCGGCAACAGCTCCTTTATCTTCTTGTAGAATAATAATTCAATCACTCAGCAAGAATGGACACCTAGTATGAGTGAGACTTTTTAAAGTTTAAAACCCAGTCTCTGGCATTCATGAAGAGAAGATATGCATATATAAAATAGTGTTCCTGCTCCCACAGAAGAATTCCAGAACAGCAGGGAAAACCATGACAAATATGGCAGTACACATTTCAGCTTTCAGAGCTACAGCTGATTTCAACTTTTTTCCCCATTACATGACTCAATATTAAAAAACACCAAACCTCTGTTAGTATGTTTGTGCACACATGCTTTTGTGAAACTTTTTACATATTATCTTTCACAAATCAGAGAAAATATGCAATGTGCTGTGACAGTTTGGAAACGAGCATGGTTATACCGACCATGGCTACAATACAGGATGGCATATCTGGACTTTCATCTGTAAAAGGATGTTCTCGCAAAGGTTTTAGGGCATGAACTCTATTTAAATGAACAATTAAAAAAATCTCCTCGGGAGGCTGAGGCAGGAGAATGGCGTGAACCCAGGAAGCAGAGCTTGCAGTGAGCCGAGATTACACCACTGCACTCCAGCCTGGGTGACAGAGCAAGACTCCGTCTCAAACAAAACAAAACAAAACAAAACAAAACAAAACAAAACAAAACAAAACTCACCTGAACGCACCTGATTTCATCTGATCTTGGAAGCTAGGCAGGGTCAGGCCTGGCTAGTACTTGGATGGGGTCTACGGCCATACCACCCTAAAAAAACCTACTGACCTCTTTTCAATGTGAAAATGCTGTGGTGGATCCAAAGATAAAAAAGATGCAGTTCCTATTCTCCAGCAGCTGCTGCATGCCAGTCCCTCTCCCAGGGGCCAGAGAAAACACAGGTTCTGCCTTCTGGCACCTGTGCTTTAGAACACAGACAAACAGGGCTCATCCAGGGGCACTCTAATCCACAACACTGCGACATAAAGTGCTTCAGGAGCAGAGGGGCAGGAAGTGATGTGTTCTGTTCAATAGACCCCAGGAAGATGCCCAGAGGTGGTCACCTTAAGTGTGGCCATGAAGGCTAGGCAAATGCAGGTCAGACTCTGGGATGGGACAGCCTGAGCAGAGGCCCAGAGACAGGAGAGTGCACACATTCCCGGAGATTATTAAAAGTTGATTCTGCACCCAGCACTGCTGGGGATGTTATGGCGGATTTGCAAATGAATGACACGGGCCCGAATGGAGAGAATGTCAGAGAGGTTGGAGCTGAGAGAGGGAGGCACACCATGTCTGTCTATACCCAGAGGCCACTGAAGGACAGGAAGTGACAGGGTCAGCTCCACAGTCTAGGAAAAAATGGTGCATAGAATGGATGGAGGTGAGGAGAAGAATCTGGAAGCTCCTCTAATGCTGCAGGCAAGAGTATCACAATCCTCGACCAGAAGGATTGCTATTGGAAAAGAGAAGGAAGACACAAAATCAAAACAGGGACAGAGAGTGATGGGAGAGCGCCCACCTCCCCGCCCCTTCCTCCACCTGCCCCAGAGCCTGTAAATGGCTTCAAGAGGTTTAAAGTTACCAAGGAAATTCTACTTTGGCATTCAAATTCCTATGGGACTCAAACCATATGCGGGGAAGACCCTTCAGTCCTAGCTGGAAAAGCGCCTGACTAGGGTCTACCATGTTAAAGGCGATGGCCCCAGCCTCTCAGCCAAAAGAAATATGTCCCTGGAGCCAAGTCAGTGGGCACCTGTGCTTCCAAACTGCAGGGAAAAGTACACCCCGACATTCACTCTCTTGTTTGTAACAGACAAGACCCAGGCCTGTCACAGGGATTATGCTGGAGTTTTTCTGGCAACAGAATTTTATATTTGAAAGATTACAGAAAAGTGCTTTTCTCTGTGCAGTTTGGCATGATACCTTGTTTTTTACTTCCTCCTGAAGTTTTTTTTTTTTTTTTTTTTTTGACAGTGTCTTGCTCTGTCGCCCAGGCTGGAGTGCAGTGGCATGATCTCGGCTCACTGCAACCTCCGCCTCCCGGGTTCAAGCAATTCTTGTGCCTCAGCCTCCTGAGTAGGTGGGATTACAGGTGCGCACCACCACACCTGGCTAATTTTTGTATTTTTTGGTAAAGACGGGGTTTCGCCACGTTGCCCAGTCTGGTCTTGAACTCTTGGCCTCAAGTAATCCGCCTGCCTCAGCCTCCCAAAGTGCTGGGATTACAGGCTTGCACCACTGCGCCCAGCCTCTTCCTGAAGTCTTTATCAAAGCACAGATAAAGGGTGGGGCTCATCTCTGCCCACAATGGGGTGCAGGAGGAGATGTCACCTGCTACCCTACTGGGGGTGGGGTGAGGAGCACCTGGCAAGCAAGGATGCCTCTGGGCCCGCAGGTGAGAGGAAATCACATTCACAGGTGAAGCACTTCCTCAGCCCCTCTAATCAGTCCAACTGCAGGACAAGAAGGAGCGGCACAGGTTCACTAGGCTTACAAAAGAACAGTTATCATGTACCACAGCCCAACATCTCCATCCTTAGGATGACCATGGCCAAGAGGCTAATTCCTTCACAGTCTACAACATAAATATGGAGATGGGAAGATAAGAAAAGCACACCCTCAGACTCCTTCCATGGCTAGAGGTGAGTCTCATTAAATCATCGGCCTGCCGAAGTGACATGCCTAATGAGAGGTGAGACAGGGCTTAACCCAAACCCGTGACTCTGTCCACCTCACTCCTACAGGGCTGCAATGGCACAAGCACCCACCAGCACCACATGCCAGAGGCTGTTATTTCCATCTTGACAGACACATGTGGGGCTCAAAGTGTTTCAAACTGTCACATGCACTGCAGTTGGGGTGGGGCGGGGCAGGAGCCTACTCCATCCTCCTAAAGAACAGGTGCTTACAGGAAGAATCTGGAGGGCCAGTGAAAGTCCCTCCAATGTGAACTAAGATTAGAACGACCAATCACTCTTGAGTCTGCCAAAATATGCTCCCATTACTGTGGCATAATAAAAAAATACAGATTCGGTCTTTGCCCTGGTTCCCGGCACAGTTCTCCCCAAACCCTCAGAGTTTCCTGGGTGATAGGAGTGTCTTCTGGTATTCTTGAAGAGCCCCTTCAGCCATGACTGAGTTTGATAGCGTGTGGCCCTAGACCATCCTGTGGCCTCTTCAGGATGAGCCTGGTTGCTGGAGGAATCAACCACATGGTTAGAGGGTTGAATCTTTCAGCCCCAACGCCAGCCTCTGGGGCTGGAGATTTAATCAATCTTCATTAGTCATCTAAGTAATGAAGCCTCAATACGAACTATTGAACACAAGGCTTGAGAGGGTCCGGGCTGCTGAGCACACTGGTGTGCTGGGAGTGCTACCCCTGAGAGGCTGGAAGCTCCTTGTCCCACTCCCACCCCTCGCCCTCACTATCTCTTCCATTTAGCTACTCCTGAGTTGTGTCCATAACAACAGAACTGTATGTCAAATTAATATTATAGGAGGCCTTTGTTTCGGGCCTAAGCTCCTGCATTAGGCCCCATGAGACCAGACTGAAAATAAAAGTAGTCACCCATGCTTAAGTTCCCCTTCACCAAACCCAAACTAAGTAGTTATCTGACCTTCTGAGAAGTCACAAGAGGTAACAGCCAATTTCCCAAATAGGCCAGCTGAAATCTTCAGTAGCCATGGAATGCAGTTCCCTTGGCTTTAATCCTTACATGACATGTTAACTCATCTGATATTCCATCGTTCTGTTTCCCCGTCCCTCCCTCTGCCTGTCCCCCAAGAAAAGTATCTTTGAAACGACTAGCAGGCTACTGTTCCTTGTTCCTGCTTTCTTCAGCCCTTCTCTGTCTATAAAGCCAATCCCCTCTGCTCAGCCCATGGGAACACTTATTCTATTTTATGGAATGATTTGTTGCCAGTTCTAGAATCATGAATAAAGCCAATTGAGATTTTTTTTTTTTTTTTTTTTTGAGACAGAGTCTCACTCTATCGCCCAGGCTGGAGTGCAGTGGCGCCATCTCGGCTCACTGCAAGCTCTGCCTCCCGGGTTCACGCCATTCTCCTGCCTCAGCCTCCGGAATAGCTGGGACTACAGGCGCCTGCCACCACGCTCGGCTAACTTTTTGTATTTTCAGTAGAGACGGGGTTTCACCATGTTAGCCAGGATGGTCTTGATCTCCTGACCTCGTGATCCACCCGCCTCAGTCTCCCAAAGTGCTGGGATTACAGGTGTGAGCCACTGCGCCTGGCCCAATTGAGATCTTTAAACTAAATTTGGGCCATGCACAGTGGCTCACGCCTGTAATCCCAGCACTTTGGGAGGTCAAGGCAGGAGCATCGCTCCAGATCAGGAGTTCATGACCAGCATCAGCAGCATAGCAAGGCCCTATCTCTACAAAAAATAGGAAAAATTAGCCAGGTGTGATGGTGTGTGCTTGTGGACTCAGCTACTCAGGAGCTACTGAGATGGGAAGATCGCTTGAGCCTGGTGAGTTTGGGGCTGCAGTGAGCTATGATTGTACCACTGCACTCTCGCTTGGGTAACAGAGTGAGATACTGTCTCTAAAGAATATTTAAAAATAAATTTGTTGTAATTCCTTCCTTTGACAGTAATCATAATTCCTTCCTTTGACAGTACAGTGCTTTCCTGAGTTCTGTGAGTCCATTCTAGTGAATTACTGAATTTGAGGAGAGGTCATAGGAGACCCCAAATTTGTAGTCTGTTGGGCAGAAATGCAGATAACTTGGGGATACCAGAAACTTGCAGCTCTAGTCTGAAATGGGAGGCAGTCTCGCAGTATTGCACTCTTAACTTGCAGGGTCTACACTAACTCCAGGTAGTCAGTGTCTGAATTGAACTGAATAGTAGGACATCCAGTTAGTGTCAGATAAATTGCTGTCGGAACAAATGGTGTGACTACAATCTGTGAGGAGAGTTTTGCGAAGGTGAGAATTCACTTCCCAGAATGTCTTGCAAACATGTAAAACTGGGAACATTTGAGAACTCCAGCTGCACTTCAGGAGAGGCCACTGCACAGACCCATGATGCAGAAAGGCTGCCACCACAGGCCTCCCGTCATTACGATTATGGGAGGGTACGGCATCCCGTGACTTTTGTTTATTTTTTTTCAACAAGTGTATAGGGTTTACTATATGCTGGGCATTGTGCTAGGCGTTGAAACAGGTAAACTGAAACGAGTTCACCCAAGCCAAGGTATAAACATGCAGAGAGTTAGTTTTGACGGTAAAGACTATTTTTAGACTTTCTAGACCAATCTATATGCAGAAATCACTGAGAATTACTACGACTGCAGGAAGTGTGGATGCAGATCCCCCCAGGCCAGCCCTGTCCCCTGGCTGCTCCTTCACAGACATTCCCGGAGCTGATCATAGTCTGCGTGGCCCATCAATGTCAGCATTACTCAGGGTTTCTTCTCTGACTGTCTGAAGCACACCCCCATCCCAAAGCAGCAGCGGTGGCCAGCTCCAGTCAGGCTGAGTGGTGAGGATGGAGGGTGGAATTCAGAACCCAGCTGGAGTCCCTCCTGAGCCGCTGCGGGATGGGGAGGGCGGGAGAAGTGGGAAAGCTGGAGACCGCAGGAACGGCTGCGGGACCACAAAAGAGACCAATCAGGCTCAGGTGATGGGAATGAAAGCACTGAGTCAGGATGAAGGATAGGTGACTGCCTCCCACGGTGGACACTGTCCTGCAGAGCATCTTAGGGACCTGCCGTTCATGCTGTGTGGTTACAGGCTCGGGGGCCACAGACTCCACCCTTTCTCTTCCACGTCTGGACACATCTCCCCCTTGAGCTAGCTAGCTGCTGCTCAGGGCAAATGGACTTCACAAATGCAACTTGTCAAAGCCCGACCAACCACCTCTCACCTACAAATCTGCCACTCTTCTTGCAAACCTCAATGCTCTGTGATAAAGCCTGCTTTACCCTCCTTCCAGCCTCACTGCCAATCCGCTGCCTCTGCTGCAGTCACCCCCTCTTCGCTTCTCACAGGGACACCCGCAATTGCCTTTCCTGGTCCTCTAGCCTCCTGCAATCCATGTGCCCATGGTGGGGACTCTTCAAACTGCGAATCTACCAAGTATTCCTGTGAATAGGATTCTCCAACATCTTCTGATTGCTGGAGAATCAAACCAACGCCTTAGCAGGACGGGGCTTCATGCCTTACTCTTCCCCTGTTTGCCCCCGAAGCCACAGCCATTTTAAATCAGCTGCTGGTGATGGAACTTTGGGTTCTTGCACCCACTTCTCCCTGTTCAGGTGGCAACATCTCACACGGCCTCCTAGAGAGCTCAGTCTGGCAACCCCTCCACCAGGCTAGATGCTCTTCCCCTCTTCCTGTCATACTCCTATCGTCATACCATCTCCTTGTGAAGCTGTCTCTCTGTTCAAACAGGCTGTGGATGTCTTCGGACCAGAACCGTGGCTTTTGTTTTCATGTCCAGGGATCCTCACATTACCTGGCTCTCAGGAGGCAATCAGTAAGCATCTGCTGAATGACTAGATGACAAAAATCACCCCAAGTTGCCTTCAGCAGAAAGGAGGAGTGGGTAGTGGAGGAATCTATGGACTTAGTGGGAAGTGTGGTGAGTGCTGAGAGTCAACTGGAAAAGATCCGGGACAAGAGGCTCACCCAGCCTTCCAAGTGGGCTGGGAGGGAGGCTTTGAGGGTAAAAACATGAAAGGGAGCCTCCTCTGAGTCCCAGGCTCTGATGTTAACCAGCCTGTATTCCAGCGAGGTGAGCCCTGAGCTGGTCCCTGGCACTCAGAGGCTTCTCAGCAGGGGAGGGGATCAGGAAACAACATTCTTGCGGGCTCCAGCATTTCCAACAGGCCTGTGCTACCCAATAGGGGTGCTTGTTTTGTTGTTTGTGGAAGTAACCTGGCAACATGGCAGCTGCCTCGGTCTAATTTCAGAGCTGGTTAAATTCTTTGTGGTCCTCCTTCACTGATGGCTGGGGGAATAGAAGACAGGTACACCAGAAGGAATCCTGAAGCCCTGCCTGTGAGGGAAGGGAATCAAATCCACAGGCTAAGGGTAGAAGAATGCTTTTCCCTACGGAGGTTTACTGGGAAGGTTCCTTTGGAGAGAGATGAGCTCCACCTCCACACCAGTCTGCCTGAGTACACTCAGGCGTCTTGACTATGGGTTTTGGCTCAGAGTCGTTCCCAGGTGGCCCAGATGAGCACCTCACATGAGAGGGTAAATACAGGCAGGCAGCCCAAGTGCACTGCTCACAGAAAGAAAGCGATCGTCTCCACCAGTAAATACCCTTCAGTGCTCACCTCCCTCAGGTCTATGTCGTCCATGCATTCCACCAGGCTGGGTGGACATTTTACAGCAATGTTCAGTGTTTACGTAAGGGAAAAGGAGGTTGATATTATAAAGTGCTCAGAATAATGCCGGGCACACCATAAGTGTTATATCAATGTTTCTTAAATGAATCTTTGCAAAGCCGTCTCAGTGAGGATGACAGCATGGCACTACTTTCTTACAGAATGCCAAAAAGACTGAGGAAATGATGCGAGTAGAAGAAACAAGTAAAGGCCCTTTGTAGTGTTATCCAACTCAACCCCTTCATTTTATGCCCAGGAGAGCTCCCGGTCCAATTATCAACATTCCATAGAAGCATGAGGGGAGCACAGGCCAGATCAGCCAACTTGACAAGTATATTAATGTTCATAAGTCACCCCAAGAGTAGAACTGCATCGTACTTTGAAGTCCTTTCTCAATGAAAAAAATCTGACATTAATTCTGAGAAACTTTTATTCAAGGATGGTGAATAACTTTTTAGAAGCCATGAGTGTTTCTTGTTCCATGACATTCGTGTACATGTTCTCTGCCCAGGGTGGTTTTGGATTATTTGAGGGTTTTTCCCTCTTATTTATTTGTAATTGTTCTTTGCATATTATGGAACCTAGCCCCTTGTAATACATTTTCCGAATTTTTTTCAACCTGCTGTTTGTATTTGATTCCTGTTTATGGCATTTATGCCACTCAGAAGTTTCCATATAGTCAGGCTTATTCATCATTTTCAACCATGGCTTCTGAGTTTTGTATCACGATTAAATAATTCATTCCATTTTTAAGATTATTTTAAAAATTATTTGTCTTCTGTAAGTCTCATGATTTCATTGTTTTACATTTAAATCCTTGTTCCATTTTGAATTTATCTTCTCTTATTTTTCCTTCTCTTATTTATTCCACCACTATTTACTGAATTACCTCTTTTTTGCACAGATTTCAAATATCTTTATATACACTAAATCTCCCTATGTATTTCACACCGTTCCTCAAACTGACACTTCTCATGTTTTCCCCCGTTCCTCACATACTGAATCTCCCCGTGTGTCTCACCCCATTCCTCACACTGACTCTCCCCAGGTGTCTCACCCCATTCCTCACACTGACTCTCTTCATGTGTCTCACCCCGTTCTTCACACACTGAATCTCCCCATGTTTCACCCCATTCCACACACACAGACTCTCCCCTTTGTGTTTCACCCCGTTCCTCACACACTGACTCTTCCCATCTATTTCACCCCATTCCTTATGCTGACTCTCTTCATGTGTTTCACTCGGTTCCTCACATGCTGACTCTCTCCCTGTGTTTCACCCCATGCCTCACACACTGACTCTCCCCGTGTGTTTCCCCCCGTTCCTCACACACTGAATCTCCCCATGTTTCACCCCGTTCCTCACACACTGACTCTACCCATGTGCTTCACCCTGTTCCTCACACTGAGTCTCCCCTTGTGTCTCACCCCATTCCTCACACACTGACTCTCCCCATGTGTTCCACTCCATTCTTCATATACTAAATCTCCCCAGACCTACAGAATCGGAATGTCTACTGGGCAAGCCCCAGAAATCTACACTGTAGCAAGCTTCCCAGCAGTTCTCAAGCCTGCTAAAGATGGAGAATGATTCTTGTAGGGGGGACTATAAAAAGTCAAGTCTGATATTTTTTCACTCTATCCAATTCATAATCTGACACTATGAAGCCAGTAGTTTGGAAATCTGTATCAAGATGACTATAGCTAGGGCACAATAAAATATACACTGCTCAGGCACCATTTTACAGTTAAATAAAAATAAAAATAAAAAGAAGAGTGGACTCATTAGCGCTTCCTAAAACAAATTCTCTGGTGGTTCATACATGTTCTAGCATGCATATTATAGTTCTAAAATACTGTAACAGAAAAAACTAAGTATATTATATTCTGCCAGACTCCTGGAATGTAACATTTAACGTCTCCTTACATGTTTTTTGCATTATATTTTTACTCTCTCCCCGAGCCACAGCCCCCTTCCAAGGTCAAGCATAAAAGACCAATTAAGCCGGCCACGAGCAGCACAGCAGCGGTGAGCGGGAGACGGCTGTTAACTGTGTGGTGGAATTATTTTCTGTCAAAACCATCCCACATGTTTAAGGTATTGCAGCCAAAAGCAAGGGAAATCATTCACAACATCTCATCAAAATCAAGCAGAGGAGGGCTGCAGGGCTGTGTGTGCTCTGACGCGTTCTCACAGCAGGCCCCGTTCCGGCAAGCACCCACTGAAATGAATAATCAGAGTTTGTTATGCTCCCCCTAGCTCATATTTTCTCTAAATACCCAAGATGTCTATGTAACACACAGATGAGGCAACCATTTTAACAATAATTAAAGCAGCAAAATCTCTGTTTAAAATGCTAGTTCTTACAGACACTTGGATTTTTACCTGTGAGAAGGAAAAAAACGAAAATAAACTTCTTTGAAAAAAACAAAGAATAGCTACTCCCTTCACAGCAAATATCTGAGACAATAACACATTGCAATGATCTAAGCACTTACAGCTAAAGCACTTGACAACCGTGTACCAGCAAAGAATTTCTGCTCCCAAGGGGCCTCACCTACTTAATAACACATGTCCTTAACTGCTATTCACCTGGGGCTAAATTCCTGGTGTCAGGTTCAAACGAGCAGTGTCAGGTTCTCGCCACAGATTTAAATGGGTTGTTTCTCATGGAAAACATATCAGAATTTGGAATCCAACAGGGACTGGGCAGAAAACAGGTTCTCTAGGGGACTTGGCCATTCCTTTGCCTCTTAATCCCCTTCTGCTGACAGAAATTCAGCCTAGTCCTGAAGAGGCCAGAGAAAGAACCACTGGAAAGAGTTGTCGGCTCCAAATCCTCTGAGCGGATCATACCAGCTGCCGTTTTCTCTCGGGGCAGTTTGGGAGTTCCTGTTTGTACTGTGGGTCCTGTTTGTACTTCTTAGTGGATGCAAGATACCATGACGGTCAAGAACACAGGCTCTGGGATAGACCACTTAGGTCAGAAGCTGGACCCTACACCGTCTTAGCTACAGGACCTAGGATCGACCCCTTGACCCACCTGTGTCTCGGTTTCCTTGTTGATAAGATACGAAGAGGATATTAACTTCATGGGATGGGAGGATTGACATAAACTACACACATGCACACAGTAGGCACTCAGTTAGGGTTGGCAGTGATAATAATTAACTTGTTTACAACCCACTTCCTAAGTAAACAGGAGACAGATCAACTATAAGTAAAAATTGTGCCATTTGAAAGTAATCACTGAGATAGTTGTAGTTCTTAATATTAATATAAGTTACATTATGAAATGCTGAAACTTCTGGGCAGTATGTGAAGTGAAGGCAAAAGAGATTACTCTGTCTTCGAAGAAAATCCCCAGGAACAGAAGATTAAACCACTCTGTTTAATCACTCAGTAGCTGATGGCTTTTAGCATCCTTCCCCCACCGCCAAAGAAGGTTAGAATAGGGCTTGTGGTTCTGGATTAGAGTTAGAGGCATCAATAAGAACTTATGTTCATTCTTTTTTTGAACTTTGAATATTTCTTTATGACTTCTTTCCTTATGTCTCTGTAAATATTGTCTGAAGTTGGTAGAACCTTCCCCTTCAACCCCAGAAGAAATTTATTGCTAATTGTCACAATAGGACTGACAGCTGAATTAGTGAGGAGATCCACATGCCTATAGGAAAGGTGTTTTTGAGCCTACCACCTGCTGTTCAGGTTTGTCCCTTATTAAAAGGCTGCATACTGGGCTGGGCACAGTGGCTCAAGCCTGTAATCCCAGCACTTTGGGAGGCCGAGGAGGGTGGATCACCTGAGGTCAGGAGTTCAAGACCAGCCTGGCCAACATAGCAAAACCCCATCTCTACTAAAAATACAAAAATTAGCTAGGCGTGGTGGCGGGCGCCTGTAGTCCCAGCTACTAGGGAGGCTGAGGCAAGAGTTTTGCTTGAACTTGGGAGGCGCAGGTTGCAGGGAGCCAAGATTACACCGTTGTACTCTAGCCTGGGCAACAAGAGTGAAACTACATCTCAAAAAAGAAAAAAAAAGGGCTGCATAGTGGAGAACTATTTGTTGGACAAAAGACTATATAATTTGTTCAATGTGTCTACCACTGAATCTCAAGGACTTCCCTTAAATCTCATTAATTGGCTCTATTCCAGACGGTCATATCTCTATCAGTATCCCATCTGTCTCATAAAAAGCATGAAGGGATTGACTTTACCCTACTTATAAGTCAATAAAATCATCTGATACAGTCAATGGATGCTGACAGAAGACCCAAGAATTCTGGGTCAGAGACAAAGAACTTTATGACACTTTTGGCACTGTTTTAAAACCAAGGTTTATTCCAGCCAATTTACTGTACTATTTTCTAATAACAGCTCATAGATCAGATATGGCTTATGTCTTCCTATCCATAACGAACACAATGATGTTGAGGTAAGAGAGGCCCTTTTTCTAAACGAAAATGAAATACTTATCCTGCGTACTTATGGAGGGTCCAGAGATGTGGAAATCGTGTATGTGCCAGAATTAAACAATCTTTATCTGAAAAATAGTACCTTACAATCCTAATGCCATCTATCAAACATCAATATAAGCAACTTCAGCATCAACCAATGAACTAAACTAACAAGAGATCGAGCAAAAGTAACTTAAAGGGAGCACCACTGGCTGATGTTCTGCTGAGGCTCTGGGCGTTCAGGACCTGGTTACAGGGAAAACAGAATCAAACCAGCAGGTACTCTGGACCCAAACCCTCACATTGTGACCTGCCTCCCTTCTGGGGGCCCTGTCGTCCCATGGTCCCCCTGACACTTCCGGGCCCCTGTGGGCTGCGGGCAGAACCCCAGGAGCCAAAGCACCACCCCGGAGAAGCTGGAACTTGGCCTCAAAATCAGCTGGCTTCTGCCTGCTGTGGTCATTTTCTTCCCGGAGCGGCTGGAGCGCTGTCTCAGTGGATACAGCAGCCATCCGGCCTTCCTGGGCCATTTTCTCACGGAAGAAGATCTCCCTCTGAAAATTGGAAGTGTCTTTTTTCGATTCCTGGGCCAGGTCTTGGGTCATCTTCTTGTAGTGGTTGCAAGTCTGACACGGCGGTTCACGTTTTCGTGCACCTTTCGAAGTCTCTGGTCGAGGTCCAGGCAGTAGGCGTTCTCCTCCGTGGACTCCCGTGAGACCCCATCACGGGAGTTCTCGGTGCAGTGTAGGCAGCGGGAACCCTCAGCTGCAGTTTTGGAAGCTCCCTCTCCAGCTGTGCCCTCGTGCCCCGCAGGGAGGCCTGCAGGAAGACTTTGGACTTCCGCTGTGAGTTCTTTACACCTTTGGATTTCTTCCCAGGATTGCAAGTCTGCTTTTCCAATCTCCCCCTCAGGATATTCAAAAGACACACCTAAGTCACCATCATCATTCACTCTTCAGAGGGACTTCTGGCCGGGATGCTGAGGGACTGCCATGTCCTGATTCCCTGTTCCCCACCATTGCCAAGTCCTTGTCCTCCACGTGGTCCCTACTGCCCTCGAGCACATGCTCGGAGGGGTGTGGGCCAGGAAGGTCTGCACTTCACTCCGACATTCGCGGCCCGTTCCACTCCTGCCCCTGCCTGCTCTGGCCTTTCCTTCTTCTCCTCCTTCGCCTGCAAGCGTTGCTTCCGTCTCGTAATTTCTTGGCCAGGCAGCTCTGCAGGTTGCTGACGGTCTGTGCTGTCATTCAGATCGTCCACGGTTTGCCCCTGATGATCTTCGTGCTGTGAACCGTGTGGGGTGTACTTTGCATCGGTCATTCCAGGATGTTCAGGAGGTTGTTTTGTCACACTTGTTTTCAGAAGCTCATCTGGGCCCTGATGGGAAGACCTGCTCATTTCCTTCTGAACCCTTGAGCAGAGGGTTTGGAGCAATCGAGGACTGACCTCTGGCATGGGTGATGTGAGGCCACCACCGGCCTGGGGTGCTGGCTGCATCTTGGCCCTGGCCTTTCCGTGGACCTCACCCTGGGCTGAATCCCTTTGGGCCAGTTCTTCCCTTCTTCTCACTGCATGTCGCCTCCTGACCATAAAGGCCACCACAGCAGTGCACGCCCAGATCGCTCGGCGTATCCACAGAGTCACTGGCACTAGTCCCAGGATTCTGTCCATCACTAGCACTGCCGTCCACAGGGGGCCAGTAACAGCTGAGTAGGCATTTCATGACGGGTGGCAGGCCCTCCGTGGCTACCAAGGGCTCCACAGCTCTGCCTCCACTTGCCAGTGGACTGTGAGCCACAACTGGCCACTCAGAATCCTGCAGAGCGTTCTGTCTCTAACACAAACAAGGGCCCACCACCCAGGGTAGACCAGCATGGGCTGCAGGGAGGGGAGGCACCCCGTGTTCGAGAAAACTGTGTCCCTGATTTTGCTGTGCAAGTAGAAAGTGACATTACTTATGCAATGCCTTGGGGAGTGGAAAGAGTTCACGGCAGTCCCCAGCTCAGGCCACTCCAGGCTCCACCTGGCCCTACAGCATAGCTAGAGGGTCAAAGCAGGGCCATGCCACAGCGCCGTGCCCACACACGATCCTCTCAGGGCAGCGTGGTGGCCCGTCCCTGCTGAGGCTCATTACCCTGATTTCAAGTTCCCTTCTGCTGCAGAGAAGCCTGGTCCTGCCTACAAAGAAGCTGTCTACTGCTAGGCCGAGCTCCTTGAAGAAGGGACTGTGTTTCCTGTGGAGTCCTAATTAGGGAAAAGGAGTCAGGCCGACTATAGGGCCGGAGCCAAAAATATCCAAGATAAATCTGAAACAGCTTCTTGTGCCAGAAAGTAAGAAAGTGCTCAAAAACCAAAATGATAGGCATATGTCAAAGGGACAGGGGAGCCAACAGAAAGAAACCCCAGTGGCCAAAGTTGGAACCGTTTGAGCAACGAAATAGATAACATAGTTCTGCATCATAACCCAAAGTACAACATAAGCCCAGTCTCCACCAGACCATAACATGTCCACACCCACACTTCTATGTGCTCATGAAATCTTTTCTGGGGCCCACAAGTATTGATTAAAGATCCCAGAGCATAAGTCCAGACTGTTTATCAAGACTCACGATAAAGGTATCGTAATTAAGTTAGTGCAGTGTTGATTTAAGGATGGCTAAGTCAGCCGATGGAACAGAAGAGACGGCCCAAGAAACACTGTGCACATGACACGCAACGTATGACAGCTAATACTGCAGGTCAGTAGGAAAACAGTGGACTTCACATCCAATAATGCTGAGACAACTGGGTGTCTACATGGGAAAAATTAAGCAGCATACATATCAAAATCCATTTCAAGTGATTTGAAGACAGATAGGAAAACCAAAACTGTAAAGCTTATGAAAGATAGTTAATATTGGGGGAGTAAGTTAATATTAGGGGAATAACTTCCTGATCTTGGAGGTATGGAAATATTTTTAAAATAAGATTTCTTAAAATTAGGCTCTTCCCCCCAAAATAAACCATAAAGAAAAAAATTGATAAATCATGTTACACAAAAATTAAGGACTTCTGATGATGAAAAAACAACACAGCCTGGCATGGTGGCATGCACCCGCAGTCCTAGCTACTCAGGAGGCTGAGGCAGGAGAATCACTTAGCCCCAGAGTTCTGGGTTGTAGTGCACTATGTCAATCAGGTGTCTGCACTAAGTTGCATGGCAATATAGTGACCTCCAAGGGGTGACGGACAATCAGGTTGCCTAAGGAGGGGTGAACTGGCCCAGGTAGGAAATAGAGAAGGTGGAAACTTCAGTGCTGATCAGTGGTGGGATTAGGCCTGCGAATAGCCACTGCACTCCAGCCTGGGCAACATGGCAAGACCCTGTCTCTTAAAAAATGAAAAAAAGAACTGGGTGCGGTGTTTCATTCCTATAATCCCAGGGCTTTAGGAGGTCAAGGTGGGAGGATCCCTTGAGGCCAGAAGTTTGAGACCAGCCTTGGCAATATAGCAACACCCCCATCTCTACAAACACATAAATTTTTTTAAAAAAATTAGCTGGGTATGGTGGTGCACATCTATAGTCCTAGCTACTTGAGAGGCTGAGGCAGGAGGATTGCTTGAGCCCAGGAGTTCAAGGCTGCAGTGAGCTATGCACTCCAGCTGGGCAACTACGTAAGACCCTATCTCTAAAATAATAATAATAATAATAATATTTTTTAAAAGCAAAAGACAACATAAAGAAAATGAAAATATAAGACCTAAATTCGAAGATGATAGTTTCAACACATAGAGATAACAAAAGAATAGCATCAAGTATATATTTTTTTAAATCCTAAAAATAAACAAGATTACGGTAAACAATCCAATAGAAAAAAATGGCAAAGATTTGAACAGGCACTTCACAGAAGAAGAAACTTAAATGGCCAATAAATATATAAAAAGATGACAACTTTATAGGTAATTAGGAAAATGCACATTGAAATGACTGTCAGATAGCACTATATGCCCTGAAGGATCACAATTCTGAAGCCTGGCAAGGAGGCAGAGCCTCAGGAAGTCTCACACACGATTGGCATATTCCATGCCACCGTGAAAGACGTTGGCATTACCTAGTAAGACTGAGGGTGTGCACCCCCTGAAACTCAGCAATTCAACTCTTACCTACCCCAGTCCAGAGAAATGCTTACACATGTGCAAGAACGTTCAAGCAGCAATGTTCATAGTAACACCACGCCAGAAATAACTCAAATATCCACCAATAGAATGAATAGATAAACTGTGTTCCACTCATAAAACGGAACAGTAGACAGCAATGAATATGTAGAAACCACAGCTAACCCCCATCAGGTGAATCTGACAAACATGCTGAGTGAACGACACGTCATCACGTGACACATACAGTCTCATTCCGCTTACAAAGTTCAAAAACGGGCAAATCTACTGCTTGGAAAATGCAAATGTAGGTGTAAAGCATAACGAAAACAAGTGGTTATCACCAAAGTCAGCAGGGTGGTTACTTCTGGGTGGAGAGAAGAGGATACGATTGGGGAAGGGTTCTCTGTGGCACACTTACACGGCTGTTCATTTTATTACCACAGTATTCCTTACGATATGCTTGTTTTATATATTCTTCTTTAAGAATGTTTTAAATTAAGAAAGATTCCAGATGCCTTTGATGGGCTCTCTGGGCAGCTCAGTCTTCAGCTCCCTCCCTCCTCCTGTGACAGCAGCAGGTAAATGGGAGGGGCCACCCGCACCACATCAGTCGCAGAACACGGACAGGCACATCTCAGAGCACACACATTTTAACAGCACAGACTCTATTCTTCCTCATTATCTCACATAAGGAAAACGCATCGTGCATTTAACACTTGCCATGATTTTTCAGGCCTTTTGATGTTCACTGGCTTTAGTGCTTTTAGTATTTGGAATAAATTGGATTTTTAAGGTCCAGCATTTCAAATTCTGTTATTTGGTTTGTATAATTTCTAAGAAACTCCCCTACTCAACTGTGGCTCACTATCAAGACTGGAATGAGTTTTAGAGTCACATGGAAGAGATGAAAGCAATGTAAATTTATTATTCTTAGTAAAAAGTATTTATCTCCAAATATATTTTTAATCTGTTAAAAACCACAACTTTATCCAAAAATGTAAAACAAGTGAGGAGATGGCTGGTGGTGTTTCTAACTTGACCGTGTACACTATGGAAGCACAGGCTCACCCTGGTTTCCAGCTATAGATTGCACAGGAAATTGCATGAATCACACACTTACTCAAGACACTAGAACGGCTCCCACAGCCTCCTTGGAGGATGGCCAATAGGTTTGATCTCTTTAACTGGTAGTGACTACCCGAGGCATTGCATTAAGGAGGAGCCTGGGGCCACAACAGGCTCAGAAGAAAACAGTGTTCTGACTGCCTGGCAATGGGGAAGCCGAGGCGGGCACCATCCTGGCCAGCACATCGAGCCCACCCACTCTGCATGCTTCTGAGACCCACACCATCCCGCCATCTTTCCCACTATTCCCCAGGGCAGGCGCAGGGTAGATATTCTTGACGGCCCCTCCCTGCCAACACGTGCCAAGCTCGCTCCCACCTCCAGGCCTTCGTTCCAGATCTTGCCCCTTCCTGGAATTTCCTCCTCCAACACATCCGTAACTGCCTGTGGCACATACCTCACCTGGGACGCATGTCGTCCCATGCCTTTCCTAGTCACAACAGATGATTCTGACCTCTCCCCTTCCTGAACCCCTCTGTCCTTTCTGGACTGCATCAGACCAACTGGAACTTCATTAAATACAGTCTTACATTGCTCATCAGATACTTCCCCACCCCCTTTCTTGGCTGCCCAAATAGAAGTAAACATTAATAGCTCAAAGGAAAAGACAGTCTCTTTTCTATTCTCACAGCACTTTGCTGCCACAAAAGGACCGTCAAAACGTATTTGCTAATCAAATGACTGAGAGCTGATAGGACTAATTTCCTTCCTCCTACCCTACCCTATTTTCACTTCTAACACTAGATGCCCTTTGTCTTGGTGTATGACCTCTACTCCAGGAAGGAATTCTGGACTCCCTGGCAGCAGTCCCACCCATCCCTCCCAATGTTTCTGTAAGAGGCACCAGAGTGCTTCCGTAAGATGTTAAGAGACCATGATTCCATCCCTCAGAAGAGGCGAGAGTGCATGAGAACAGCCCCTGAGCATCTCCTGGGTTGTATTCATGGGGAGGGTAGGAGGAATCTTAGGCAGAGGCAGCCAGTGACAGCAGAGCCATCTCAAGGTCATTACCCACCACCTCTGAGAAGAAAGTTCTCCCACTTCCCAACCCAGCCCCCATCGTCACTGTTGTTGGGTAACTTCCCACTGCTACCACTTGTAAGATAAAATAAACTAGGTCTGAGGGGTCTTCTCCCATCGGCACTTCCTGATCCCTCCCTCATCCTTCTGATTCATTCGTGGCCCTAAATACACCAGTGAGAGGTGGAATTTCAAGGAAATGCCAACAGGAGACCCCTGAGCTTGAAAAGCAGTTCCATTAGAAGCCATGAAATGAAGGCCAATGTCCAAAAATGACCAGGAAAGCCTGAAAGAGTTTCAAATTGGGAAGAGTCAAAGGGGATTTGTGTAGAGCCAAGAATTCAAAATCAGGAAAACAAGATCAAGCAGAAGAAATGTAGAACTAGAACCTGCTATGCGGAATGTATGGGGTTGGAGTAATTTCTCCCAAGGAATGACTTATTATGGCAGCTATAGGTCAAGGCTGCCCATGCTTGTCAGAGGAAGTGTGAGGGAGTGATTCTTGCTTAAGGGCCAGGGTGGGATAGGATATGCTCTTCTTCCTCTGACCTTCCCTCCTTCGCGGAGGATCCTGGCCACATGGCCCTAAAGCAAATGGTTCCTGAAATACCTGCAGGTCCTCTCACAGAGGTCCCAAAGCCAGGTACCCTTAACCCCTTACCCAAGCCAAAGGCAACCAAGCACAGGCTGGATATAAGGGAGTCGAACCATCCAGAAGAGGGATCATACATTACTTCAGTTTCACAATAATTTGAGCAGAGGAAGAATTTGTTTAGGGTTGTTCAAAATAGGAAAATCTTTCACCAAGATCAGGAACCTAGAAAAAGATCCAAGCTAAATAGGGTAGCCTCATATTAATTTGAACCCAATCACATCTCTTCTCCTGGTGATTATGAATGTGGGGTGTGAAAGGGGGCAGAGAGGCCCTGGAAATGCTTTGGAAGAGATTAAAGATGAAGGGCCAATGGTGTCACTTTTGTGTTTTGTGTGTGTGTTTTTTTAAATAATTTCAACTTTTTTGTTTGTTTGTTTGTTTGTATTTTGAGACAATGTCTCGCTCTGTCACCCAGGCTGGAATGCAGTGGTGCGATCTCAGCTCACTGCAACCTCTGCCTCCTGGGTTCAAGCAATTCTCATGTGTCAGCCTCCCAAGTAGCTGGGATTACAGGCGTGTGCCACCACACCTGGCTAATTTTTGTATTTTTAGTAGAGGGGGGTTTCATCATGTTGGCCAGGCTGGTCTTGAACTCCCAACCTCAGGTAAGCTGCCCACCTCAGCCTCCCAACATGTTGGGATTACAGGTGTGAGCCACCCTGACCAGCCAATAATTTCAACTTTTATTTTAGATTCAGAGGGGTACGTGTGCAGGTTTGTTACATGGGTATGCGGGGTGACACTGAGGTTTGGGGTACAATTGATTCTGTCACCCACGTACTGAGCACAAGAGGAAGTTTTGCAACTGTCCCCCACTCCTTCCTGCCTCTGAAGCTCCCAGTGTCTGTTTCCATCTTTATGTCCGTGAGTGCCCAATGCTTACTTCCCCTTATAAGTAAGAACATGCAGTATTTGATTTTCTGTTCCTGGATTAATTTGCTTAGGATAATGGGTGACACTTTTGAATCCTGAAAGATGATGAGTCATTGTTTTCATTCTCCAGGAAGCCTGAAGGGCAAGAGAGAAGCCCAGACAGTGCAGCCTGCAGTTAGAGACCTGTACAGATGCCAGGATAGATTCTGGGACTTCCTCATTCTTCTCTACCATAAACTCCTACTGACGAAAGCAATGCTTTTCCGAGAATGACCCTTGGACCACTTGTAAAAGGATCACTTTTTAAAATGCACATACCCTTGCCTGCCTCTTCCTATTGAATCAAAATCTCTGGACCTGGTTCCTAGAACTGGAATTTTTAACAAGTGCACTATGGTTTCTTGAATTCATGAAACTTTTAAAACCACTGAGGCAAGGTTACAACCTATTTCTCTTTTTTTCTTTGCAAGACTCAACTGCCCTGTTTTTCCCACCAGACCCAGGAAAAGGACATGCAGCGTCCTGTAGGGCTCTCCAGACTTTCTGAGACAAAGCTTTCTTTTCTATTTAGACCCTAGGCCAATCTGCTGTCCTAGAATAGCACAGACCTTGAATTAGCCCCATGCCATGTGCTACTTGTTCAGAAACTTGCTGCCAGCCCCAGCTCGCACACAGACTAGGTTCTCCTGCCATCTTGACCAGGCAAGTCAGCTGGTACCCCAGATCCTGTGGATTCAATCCATTTGAGGTTCTTATTTTCTTGCAACTCTGACAATCCCTTAAATGTCCCCAACTGTGCAAGCCTAACTCCAGCATCAGCAGATGGTGGAGAGAACAGAATGGCCTGCCCCACCAGGAACTGCACACTCTCCACCCCTGGGAGCTGTGACCAGAACATTCATGGGGAGGGAGAAGAGCGGCAGGAAGGACGGGGGGTTACACCCCTGAGCACCTACTCTGTGCAAGTCCAGGACAGTCTTCTCACATTCCACTTTGCTTTCATGCCTCAAATTCAGAGGGACCATACATTACTTCAGTTTCACAATAATTTGAGCAGGGGAGATTTTGTTTAGGGTTGTTCAAGATAGGAAAATCTCTCACCAAGATCAGGAACCTAGAAAAAAATCCAAGCTAAAAATCCTGAGTGTACCTGACCGGATGCCTCTGAATGCCTTCCACTCTGGGAGTGGGGCGGACCTTTATACCATCTTCTGGAACATGCAAGAAGATGAAACACACTGAACAGGCATCTCTGCCAAGTACTTCTGCACTCAAATGCCTTAAGTGGGCTGAGCCAAGGTTGGAGGGCGAATTCCATTTCCATCCAGCAAATTCTCAAAATAGGCCAGGCAGAGCTCCTTCCAAGAATTGACAAGCTTACACAACCAAAGTGTGTTGGATGAGATCAGTTCCACCAACACACACACACCTACACACACACATCTACACACACACTCATACACACACATCTACACACACTCATATACACATACATCTACACACACACATACACATCTACACACACACACCTATACACACATCTACACACACATTTATACACACATACATCTACACACACATACACATCTACACACACATACACACACATCTACATACACATCTACACACACACTCATACACACATACATCTACACACACACATACACACACACATACAAACACATCTACATCCACACATATCTACACACACATATCTACATACTGTCCTGCTACAACCCTCAGTTAAAAATCAAATACAGTTTTCTGGGAATTACAGGAGAGCAAAGTACTTTGGGATTAGAGTAAAAGAAGGTCAAGCTCTGAATAAGGTCTGGGGTTTAGAGGTTTGGCTAACTCCCCAGAAAAGTTATATCAGCAGGCAGAATCTGGAGCAGCCAGATTGCTGACCAAGAACCGATTCCCCCACCATAGAAACGTGTCAACAAGCCGGTGCCCACTAGGTTCCCAGGCCCTATCACTTACCGACTATTCCTGTCTCACAGGAGACAGACATTCTGGGCAGAGACCCAGGCAGCAGTCTTCCCCTTCCCTCTTTCCTAAATGGGAATTTTTAATACAGTTACCCTGTTTATCTTTTGTACCTTAGGTGTGCTGGAGATGGTTAATTTAATCATTTGGCCCAGTGTGTTTACAAAATTTTTGTCAAATACATCCCCCTTTGTAATTTTTGCCATGTGTATATAATATATATAATGCATATGTATCACACATACCCTCACCTGACTGTTCCAATATTTATTATTTTTATCTAAATCAACTTTTTGTTAATCAGATTTTTTACTGAGATAACCGTAGATTCGTTTACATGCAGTTGTAAGAAACAGTACCAAGCGATTTCTCATACACTTCGCCCAGTTTCCCTAAATGGTCACATCTTGAAAAACTATGGTATAATATCACAAAGAGGACATTGTCATTGATGCATTCTATCTTATTCAGATTTCTCCAGTTTTACTTGTATGCACTTATGTATGTGAGTTAAGCTGTATACAATTTTACCACCTGTGTAGGTTCCTGTGTCCACCACCACAGAGAAGATACCAAGCAGTGCCGACACCACAGGGTCCCTTATGTTGCTCTTTCAAACCCATGCCCACTTTCCTCCCCGTCCCCCACCCCTACTTCCCCTTATGATAGGCCCTGGCAATCAGTAATCTATCCTCTATTTCTAAAATGTTATATAAATGGAACCATGCAATGTGAAACCTTTGGGACTGGCTTCATTCACTCGGCACAATTCCCCTGAAGATGCATTTCGAGCTGTGTGTATCAGCAGTTTGCCTCCTTTTAGTGCTGAGTAGTAGTCCATGGTATGGATGCACCACAGTTTGTTTAGCCATTCGTAACTGAAGGACATCTGGGCTGATCCCAGTTTAGGACTATTACAAATAACGTGTCTATGAATATTCATGTGCAGGTTTTGTGTGAACATAAGTTTTCATTTCTCCAGGATAAATGCCCGTGAATGTGATTGCCAGGCCATATGGTAACTGCACGTTTAGTTTTATAAGAAACTGCCAAACTGTTTTCCAGAGTGGCTGTGCCATTTTGCATTCACACCGGCAACGTATGGATGACTCAGTTTTTCCATATCCTCACCAGCATTAGGTGTTGTCGCTGATTTTTATTTTAGCCATTCTGATAGGTTTGATGATGATATTGAACGTCGCCTTATATCCTTCCTCACCATCTTCCTATTCTCTCAGGTGAAATGTCTGTTTATGTCTTTTGCCATTTTCAAATTTTTTCATGTAAATTTTGTGAGTTCTTTATATAGTCTACATACTAGTCCCTTATAGATATATAGTTTGCAAATATTTCCTCCTAGTCTGTAGCTTGTCTTTCATCCTCTTCACACCTCAATATTTCACAGAGCAAATATTTTTAAGTTTTTAAATTTTAAGGGTGTCTAATTTATCAGTATTTCCTTATATGAATCGTGCTTTTAATGATAAGTCTAAGAACTCTTTGCCTAACCCCAGATCTTTAAATTTATTTTCTTTTAGAAGTTTTTCTAAAAGTTTTATGGGTTAACATTTTACATTAAAGCCTGTGATTCATTTTAGACTAATTTTATATAAGGTTGAGGTTTGTTTTTGTTTTGCCTATTGATGTCCGATTACTCTATTTGTTGAAAAGGTCATTGGTTGAATTGCTTCTTCTGTTGAACTACCTTTGCATCTTTGTCAAAAAATCAATTGAGCATATTTGTGTAGATTTATTTCTGGGTTCTCTATTCTGTTCCATTGATCTATGCATCCGTCTCACTGCCAATACCATACTGTCTCGATTACTGTAGCTATATGGTAAGCCTTCATATAGAACAGAGTGATTCTTTCCATTATATTCTTCTTTGTCAATATCGTTTTAGCTATTCAGTGTCTGTGATTTTCCATATAAATTTTAGAATAGGCTTATTTATGTTTACAAAAAACCTTGCTAAGATTTGACAAAAATTTCATTTAAACCTATAACTCAATTTGAAGAGAATGAACATCTTTACTATGTTGAGACTTTCAATTCATAAACATAATATGTCTCTCCATTTATTCAACTCTTACATGACTTCTTTCATCAACATTTTGTACTTTTCAGCATACAGCTCCTATATATGTTTTGTTAAATATATGCCTAAGTATTTCATTTTCTTTGGAGCAATTGTAAAGAATATCGTGTTTTAAATTTCAGTTTCTGCATATTTATTGTTAGTATTAATATATAGAAATCTGATTGATTTTTCCACGTTGCTTTTGTATCCCACAACTTTGCTGAACCCACTTAGTATTTTTAGAACTTTTTTGGTAGATTCTTTGGGCTTTTCTGTGTAGATAATCATGTCATGTGCATAAATCAACTTTTTTAACATTTTAAAAGAAATATGATATCACTGTCATAAATGCAACACTAGTGTCAACTATCATAAAAAGAATGTAATCCTAAAAAATAAATATGATAAAGACAAAATATAATTAAACTCTAGTTAGACACACTTGTCTGCAGAGGGCCCTCAACCTTAGACTTTCTCTCTAAGGGAGAATAGCAAGTGTAAAAATAGGTCTTAAAAACTTAGTGTCATCGGGCTCACTTAGAACATTCCCCAGGACAGACCATATACTAAGCCATAAAACAAGCCTCAATAAATGTAAAATAATTAAAATCATACAAAGTATGTTTCAGATTACAATGGAATTAAATTAGAAATGATCAAAAGTCAAAATTTGGGAATTGCATATGCTATTAAATAAACAATGGGTTAGAACACGAATTAGAAAATATTTTGAGATTAGTTAAAAACAACATATCAAAACCTATGAGATGCAGCTAGAGCAGTGCTTACAGGAAAATTTATAACTATAAATGCCTACATTTAAAGAGATCTCGAATAAATATGCTAACCTTTCTCCTTAGCGAACCAGAAAAAGAGGAACAAAGTAAATCCAAAGTAAACAGGAGGAAGGAAATAACAATTAGAGGATAAATAAATGAAAGAGAAAAACAATGAAAAGAAATAAACCAAAAACACTGGTTCTTTGAAAAGGTCAACAAAACTGACAAACTATCGACTAGACTGAATGAGAAAAAAAGAGAGAAGTTTCAAATTTCTAAAATTAGGAATGGAAAATGAGACATCACTACTGACCTTATACAAATTAGAAGTATTATTTAATTGGTCATGGGATTAAGAAAAAAAGATTATGAGATAATACTATGAACTACACAGCAAATTAGATAACACTTAAAGAACTGACATCATGGAGATCAAGTTGATGTAGAAAAACAAAGAGAAATGACATCAATCCTTCACAAACTCTTCTAGAAAACAGAGGAGGTGGGAAAACTTATCAACTCATTCTGCAAGACTGTTATTGCCCTGATACCAAGGCCAGACAAAGATATTCTAAGAAATGGAAACTACAGACTAAAACCCTTTATGAATATAGACATAAAAATCCTTAACAAAACACTAGCAAACTAAACCCAGCAATGTATAAAAAGGATTATGCATCATGACCAAGTGTGATTTATCCCAGCAATGCAAGACTAGTTTAACATCCCAAAATCAATTAACATATAATTACATATGTAAAAAGTTTTTTGAAAAAATCCAACATTCAGTCATGACAAAAAGCCTTCAACAAACTAGGAGCAGAAGGGAATTTCTTCAACAGAATAAAAAACATATATGTAAAACCAGTTAGTGTGATACTTACTGGAGCATTTTATCCTTAAGATCAGGAAGAAACAAGAATGTGCACTCTCATTACTTTTATTCCAGGCTGTTTTAGAGATTCTAGCCAGAGAAATTAGTCAAGAAAAAGAACTAAAAGGCACCCATATTGGAAAGGAAGAAGTAAAATAGTCTTTATTCCCAGATAATATAATCTTGTATATAGAAAACTCCAGATAATTTACTAAAAAACAACTAAAATTAATAAATGAGTTCAGGAAAGTTATAGGATACAAGATAAACATACTAAAGTCAATTGCATTTCTACACACTAACAACAAGCAATGCCATAAATAAGAAAACAATCCCATTCACAATACCATCAAAAAAATCAAATACAGAAGAATAAATAAAACAAAAGCAAGACTTGTAAACTGAAAGCTATAAAACATTGCTAAAAGAAATTAAAGAAGACCTATTAAAATGAAAAGACATTTCACACTGATGGATCGGAAGACTTAAAATTGTTAAGATGGGAATAATACCTGAATGGGCCTAAAGATTCAACACAATTTCTGTTAAAATCAAAGTTGCCTTTTGTTTTTCAGAAATTAAGAAATAGATCCTAAAATTCATATGAAAATGTTAAGGGTCCAGAATAGTCAAACAATCTTGAAAAAGAGAACAACGTTGAAGGACTCACAGTTTTAAATTTCAAACTTACTACAAAGCTACAGCAATCAAAATAGTATAACACTGGTGTCAGGACAGACGTGTAGATCAACTAATAAAGTTAAGAGCACAAAAATAAGACCACATTTATGGTTGACTGCTTTTGGGCAAAAGTGCCCCCAAAAGATTCAATGGGAAAGAAACCATCTCTTCAACAACTGGTGCAGGGGTAATTAGATATCCACATGGCAAAAGATGAATTTGGACCCGTATCTTACATTACATACAAAAAGTAACTCAAAATGGATGACAGACCTAAATGTAAGCACTAAGAAAACATTAATAAATATTTGTGATGTTCAATTAGCCAATCACTTGTGAACAAGAGATAAAAGAAAAACATGATAAGCTGGACATAAACTTTTGCACACAGTAAAAATTGTGAAAAGATAATCCACAGGATGAGAGGAAATATTTGCGAATTACATGTTTGATAAGAGACTTTTATTCAGAATACATAAAGAACTCTTACAACTCGATAATAAAAAGACAATCCAACTAAAAATTAGGCAAGGGATTTGAAGAGACATTTCTCCAAAGAAGATACACACATGGCCAATAAACATATGAAAAGACATTTATTAACATCATTAGTCATTAGGAAAACCACAGTGACACAATCTCACACCCACTAGGATGCCTATGATCAAAAAGACAGGCAATAAATGTTGGTGAGGATGTGGATATCTTGCAGTTACTTTGGAAAACAGTCTGTGAGTTCCCAAAATTATTACAAAGAGTTATCATGTGACACAGAAATTCCACTCCTAAGTACATATCCTAGAGAGATGAAAACATACATCCACACAAAATTTGTACATGATTGTTCATAGGAACATTTTTCATAATAGCAAAAAAGTAGAAATAATTCAAATGTTAATGTGTGAATGAATAAATAAAAATGTGGTATATCCATACAATGAAATATTATTCAGCCATAAAAATGAATGCATCACTGACATTTGCTTAACTGAAAGAAGATGGTCACAAAAGACCACATATTGTACGATTCCATGTATGCAAAACGTCCAGAAAAAGCAAATTTAGAGGAAAAAAAGGTACATTAGTGATTACCAGGGCTGGAAGGAGGTGGAAATTGAGAGCGAGTATAAATGGGCATGACGTTCTTCACAGAGTGATAGAAATGTTCTAAAATTAGATATGAGATGACTGTACAACTCTAAAAATATACTAACAGTCGTTGAACTGTATACACTTAAAACAGGTGACCGTGATGTTTTGTAATTTACCTCAATACAACATATTAAATGTTTAAAAATTAAAAATGAATTAGTGTCCAACTAGTCTTTCTCACTGACCTAATCAGAGTTTTAAAGGCAGTCAGCTTCTTGTTGCTTGATTCAATAACAAGTACCATCTAAAATAACTGTGTATAACAAAAGATATACATGCCACACTTTAAAACGCAACTGCAGGATCTTGAGGAGCCACATTCCGACCTCACTGAGGCCAAACAAGAGGAGAAAAGATACTACCAGGGAGGCTGGATGCATGGGACAGTGGCCCCATGACACTACCACTAGAGGTAGCAGCTGGATGGCCCTGCATTTTCTCCCACTGGGGATAGAGAGGCTGTGAGTAAATTCACGGTTGGAAGTGAGATGAATAGATTATGTTAGCTGGGGCACTATGAAAATTGCACATATAAGAATCAGCTGAGCACAAATCAGAACACCCATCAAGAAGAATGCTGTACCTGTGCATAAAAGGCAAATTCCACCCCGAAACACAGCACATCTTTGGGTGCTGGTAGCCACATCTATATGTCACAGATATGTTTTATCTGGCCAGGCTACACTTTTCTAGGAACTGTCCCTCTTCAAGACCACCTGCCTTCCCATTCTAATAGTAATGTTGGGAAATATCATCTCGTACTACCAATCCCCTCTTGGCCACACACGCCTGTTCTTAACCTGGGGAATTCCTCCCTGGCATTTTAGACTGGAAACGAAGAGAATGCCAGGCCAGTATCTCTCCAGAGACTAACTCTGGAACATGTCAAATGCCAGAGCTGAGGGCAGTTCTGTTTTTACCATGTGGATTACCAGTATCTTCCAATAAATTCCCCTTTCTCCTGAATTTCAGTTGTGCTTTGGTTCCACATAACCAAGAATCCTAAGTGATACCATTCAAGTTTAAATCGTTTTCTGCTTAAATTCTAGTCCACCAGCATTCCCACAATACATAAGACTCGGTTCCACTTAAAGGCGCACATTAGTCCCATAATTAGGGGGATTTAGAGATAGCACCTTCTCTCAGCAAAGGTCGTCTCTACCCACCCACCTCACCCTTCCCATGACAAAGGTTAAGGTGATTCTGCTGGGAACACTAGATGAGTAAGCTGTTTGAGGATTACAGTAACGAAGGGAGATAACTAAGTCTGGGAAGTTTGAAGATTTGTCCAAATCCCAGAAAAGTGGTGTTTATGGCTGTTATTATAAACCAACCAGATGCAAGTTGATGCAAACTTTTGAAATCCTAAAGAAACAGAACAGTTCGTTAAATGCTATGTTAAGAGCTTTTGCAAGATCCACTTCCATCCATTATTTATTCCTCTTTGGTTTAATCACACTTTGATTAGCAAAACCAGAAGCATGATGTAGTTGTCTTTATGAAAATCAACGACTAGAATTCCTGAGAATTAAATTAACCAAGGGAATGGAGATACCACAAATTCGCTATTTCCTTTTTTAAATAATGTATTTATTTAGCAAAACAGCTAGCTTACCAGGCTAGGTAAAGCTATCATCAAATCTCTAATTCATGTGTACTGGATCCTCACAACCTCCTTCAAGATATAAGAAGTTCAATAACCCAATACCACTGGGGAAAGTCAAGGTACTCACATACAATGTGTCGTATTCTGATTTTAGAACTAAATAGTGAGATTATGTACTTGACTATATCCTTAAGATAAAATCTAGAACCAAAACAAACAGGTATGCTATGAAAAATATTAAGAATTCTAATGGTCATTACCATAGGAAAGTGTTAGTAAAATTGTGCTAGTAGTCATAATGAAAATAATAATGGAAAAAGTAACAACAGAAATAACAAAACCATCTAGCCCAAAGATATGTAGAGTCAGGGATGTAACTGTGTTATGTACAGGAGTTATAATTTGAACATTTATCATTGTATGGTACATCAGATCTGTATTTCCCTATCATTTTCTCTTATTTCTTCTCTGGTTGAATCAATGCCACATTGACTACCAAAAGTGAAAGGCCATTAATTAAGTTACTACACTGAGGGCAGACATAACAAAGGCATGATACCTTTGTACACTCAGGGATGACACTCAGGGATGGAGGACAGCATCTACACGGATGACACTCAGGGATGGAGGACAGCATCTACACGGATGACACTCAGGGATGGAGGACAGCATCTACACGGATGACACTCAGGGATGGAGGACAGCATCTCCACGGATGACACTCAGGGATGGAGGACAGCATCTACACGGATGACACTCAGGGATGGAGGACAGCATCTACACGGATGACACTCAGGGATGGAGGACAGCATCTACACGGATGACACTCAGGGATGGAGGACAGCATCTACACGGATGACACTCAGGGATGGAGGACAGCATCTCCACGGATGACACTCAGGGATGGAGGACAGCATCTACACGGATGACACTCAGGGATGGAGGACAGCATCTACACGGATGACACTCAGGGATGGAGGACAGCATCTACACGGATGACACTCAGGGATGGAGGACAGCATCTACACGGATGACACTCAGGGATGGAGGACAGCATCTACACGGATGACACTCAGGGATGGAGGACAGCATCTACACGGATGACACTCAGGGATGGAGGACAGCATCTACACGGATGACACTCAGGGATGGAGGACAGCATCTACACGGATGACACTCAGGGATGGAGGACAGCATCTACACGCATGACACTCAGGGATGGAGGACAGCATCTACACGGATGACACTCAGGGATGGAGGACAGCATCTACACGGATGACACTCAGGGATGGAGGACAGCATCTACACGGATGACACTCAGGGATGGAGGACAGCATCTACACGCATGACACTCAGGGATGGAGGACAGCATCTACACGGATGACACTCAGGGATGGAGGACAGCATCTACACGGATGACACTCAGGGATGGAGGACAGTATCTACACGGATGACACTCAGGGATGGAGGACAGTATCTACACAAAAGAGATTTCAATGCATCTTACCTAATATCTGAGAGGTCGCACTTGTTTCCAGCGATGGCCATTACAATGTTTTCTGGACCATGTTCTTTCAGCTCCTTGACCCATTTCTTCAAGGTATAAAATGAATCCTAAACCAACAGTGTACACAAATCATTAGAAAGACCCCTCAATATAATATTTCAACTAAGCAGAAATACAAGCCCAGTACAATTTAATGGAGAAAAATATTTTTAGGAGACTCATGCAGATTAACATACTACCTCTGTCTAGGCACAAAAGTTAATGTTAGCTGAAATATACTTAAATAGACCATATCAAGTTTTCTAAAATTAAAACTTGATCTAGTTAAGAAAATCATATCAGTGATTTTTCTCCTATAAATAACATTAATTTAAAATGATAGCCTGGACTCCACATGAATAAGAATAACAGGACTAAGTAAATGCTCATGCTTACACCAAGGAAGAAACATATATATTTAGAGTCCTGTCTTCCTGTTGGCCCTTCACTCACAATTGTCCTCTAGAAAACAGGCCAAGGGCAACACACCACATTTAGGTAGAAGTGGTCAGGAACTCGTGGAAAGTAACAGTGATGGGTCATTAAACTAACAGTCTTATGTGCTGAGTCAACACTCCAGAGAAAAAAAAGTAAATAATTCAGTTTGCAGGAGTGGGAAAAAATGTCATCAAACTACTGCGGTTATTTGTTGATGGAAGTCTAAGACCTTCAACGTGATAACTAAAAATATACTTATATATACACACACAAAGATTTACTTACATACACACGAATGTTATGCTTGGCATTTTAAGTATGTAGTATGATTGAAACAGTAACAAAAATAAGTATTCTGTAATTATAAAGCATGCAGAAATTAAAAATGATTTTCCTTTTCTTTAAAAGCTGACATTCTGCAGAATAGTACTAGCAGGCATGACTTTGCCTCTACAGTCAATTTTAAGAATGAATGGTCATTATTGTTTAATTTAGCAGATAAATATGGGATGCTTTGTTACATATACATGAAATAAACTCAATATATAGTGGCACGCTACTGGCAAGATGCAAGCAGTGACGTCTCTGCTCCAGTCTCTCTAAGTGAGAGAACCACCATAAATGACATCTAAATTCTGAAGGAGACATTCTTACCTGCTTGGTAATATCATACACGATAACAGCTGCAGCTGAGCCTCGATAGTACATGGGAGCCAATGAATGAAACTGTTTAAGAACAATGAACAGTTTTAGGCCAAAGTGAACAGACTTTATTCAATCCCAAATTAAACATAAACGTTTTATCCTACATCATCCTTACAGGATCCCTAAATTCCTTCCCTATATAATTTTTCCATGGTTCATATTATTTATTTATTTTATTTTATTTTTTTGAGATGGAGTTTCACTCTTTTCACCCAGGCTAGAGTGCAATGGCATAATCTTGGCTCACTGCAACCTCCACCTCCTAGGTTCAAGCGATTCTCATGCCTTGGCTTCCTGAGTAGCCAGGATTACAGGCATGCACCACCACATCTGGATCATTTTTGCATTTTTATTAGAGACAGAGTTTCACCATGCTGGCCAGGCTGGTCTCAAACTCCTGACCTCAGGTGGTCCACCTGCCTCAGCCTCCCAAAGTGCTGGTATTACAGGTGTGAGCTACCGCACCCGGCCCCAGAGTTCATATGAAATAATAAATCTTCCTCCTCATCAACACATATGTATGCTTGTGGTTTATTGACCATGAAATCTACTGTTGGGTAAAGGCCAAAAACAAATTTTATTTTAAATGTTACCATCTTGTGAATTTTCTTTTCCCTGCTGCTCATCATTTCTCTAATATAACTGACTGACCCAGGGTAATCTCATTAGAATTATGCGGCAGTAAAGGAAAGATGTATGGCAAGGAGAGGGAAAGGGAACACTGGCAAAGATCACAGGACCCTTGCTGAGCCATTAATGAGGACCAGTCAGCAAGGGCAACCTTGGCAGCAGCTGCCTCGGGTCTGGAGGGGCTGCCACCTCTCCAACGCGGGGCTTCACACCTACCTAAGGTCCACAAATGACAAGACAGCAGAGGAGCTCCATTCCAAAATGTTAACAAAGCAAGTGCTGCTGGTCACTAGCATCGTTCATCCCCAGACAGGAGAGGTCATTAGTCTCAGAATGCATACATTTTATGTATATTTTGGAGAAGGGTCCAGTCTTAATCTGCATATTTTTTTAAATTAAAAAGTATCCTGGAGGGGCCGAGTGCAGTGGCTCACGCCTGTAATCCCAACACTTGGGAGGCTGAGGCAGGCAGGATCACCCGAGGTCAGGAGTTTGAGAACAGCCTGGCCAATATGGTGAAACCCGTCTCAACTAAAAATACAAAAATTAGCTGGGCATGGTGGCAGATGCCTGTAATCCCAGCTACTTGGGAGGCTGAGGCAGGAGAAATGCTAGAACCCGGGAGGCAGAGGTTGCAGTGAGCTAAGATTGCAAAACTGCACTCCTGCCTGGAAGACAGAGTGAGACTTTATCTCAAAAAAAAAAAAAAAAAAAAAAAAAATAGTATCCTGGAGGGGTTTTGAAAGTCAATAAGAAAAAGATGGCTTAATAGAAAAATGGACAAAGATATATATAAAGGTAAATCACAGAAGACATATACATTGCCAACAAATATTTTAAAACATGTTCAATTAGAATCGGAAGAACACCAATAAAAATAAGGAGACACTTATAAATTATTAAATTGTAAAAAGATTTGTGCTGTTCAGTGTTGGTGTGGGTTTGGGAAGGGAGGCACACATACTCTACATGGAATGTGCTGAATATCTTCTTTCAAAGCAACTGTTGGTAATATAATCAAAAGTTGAAATGTGTGTCCCATTTGACCCAGCAATTCCACTTAGAGGAATATATACTGGAGTGACCATCACACGCAGGAAGACACATCCCTGCGCTGTTTATGGGAGTAAATGGGAATTGACTCATGGTATAATGTTATGAACTGAATGTTTGTGTCTCCCCTAAAATCCATGTATTGAAACCCTAACTCCCAACGTGGCGGTATTAGGAGGTGGGGCCCTTAGGAGGTAATTAGGGTTAGATGAGGTCACAGATGGGATTAGTCCCTTATAAGGAGAGAAGGAGACCAGATCTCCCTTCTCTCCCTGCCCTGCCCCTATGTGAGATACAGCAAGAAGGCGAGTATCTGCATACCAGAAAGGGGGCCCTCACAGGCACTGAATCTGCCAGCACCTTGATCTTGGACTTCCCAGCTCCCAAATGGTAAGAAATCAACGTGTGTTGTTTAAGCCACCCAGTCTATGTTATTTTGTGCACAGATTAATACATATATGTATGTAATGATATTCTATAGCCATTAAAATGATGATTTTTATTTATAGGAAAAGAGATCTTTGACATACTGTTAGATGAGAAATAGTCTCAAAACAGCACATATAGCATATAATTTATCATTTATTATGTGGTTAATTTATCATTATATGATAATATAATGTAGGGTAAAATGTATGTGGGAGTATGTCTCTGTGAGCAGGAATAACACGAGGTTCCTCTAAATCTTAACAGGTGGGATTTCCAGCGATTTTTACATTTTCCTTACAAGCATCTGTATAGCATAAATTTTTACAATGAGTTTTAAATAATATGGTTTTTAAGTTTTGAACAAAGCAGCTGTTTTTATTGGGCAGTGGGGAGAGAGCAGGGAGGAAGGAGAAGTGGATCCTGAAGCTTTTCTGGCAAGCGACAAAACCCTAACTTATTATTTTCTTTCCCACGATACTCATCATTGGATCAATACTTGCCAAACTGAAATGATGGTATTTGGAAATCTGAGTCCCCAGGTTTCCCTGTTACTGCACTGAGGAATGCTGGTGAGGCACTCACAATAGTGTGGAAAGGAAGTGGGCCACCCTCCCTGCCTCCAGTCCCTCCATGCAGGTCTCCATCCTGAAGAGAAAGGACTCTGGAGCCTCTGCGGGTTTCAGAAAAGGGAGAAGGTTGGACGAAGCTCAGGGTGAACCAAGGAGTTCACAGCTGAACTGTGCGGTGGCCGAAGATGCTGAAGGGCCGGCGCCACCCACTGCCCCCATTCCAGAACGCACTTGGGGACAGCGACATTTGCCATGCATGCCTTTCCGTACTCACTGACGGCCCAACACTGTGTTTGGCATAATTATTAGGCATCCATAAATCTATTTTTAACCCACCATTTGGCAATCTACTCCTTACACTTAAAAAACAAAATCAGAATTCCTGCCCAAAGGAAGGAAAAAGCAATAATTTTTTTTAAACATTCCTACTTTTCAAAGGGTAAGGACCGCAGATTAAGTATCCTTTTACCCCAATTATACAAAATGCCCATTTTTTTCAAAATAGCCTCCATATAAGAGTGGTTCATGTAAACGCACAAAGTAGCAGTCAATACAAACTTTATTTCCCAAAAGTAAAGATATTCATGGACTCAAGCTCAAAGAGGAGCAAACTGCGGGTGTCTTCTAAGACAGAGAGAGTTCACTTTAGGCTAAAACACCATGAACTGAATCTAAAACGGTCACTGGCATGGAGGTCTCATGAATTATTGAAGCGATCTTGGTATATAATGCATTACTCATTCTTTCCTTCCTCCAAATGGAATCGCTTTGAAATAAATCTCTGTTGGTGAAGCCACTTAAATGACTTTATTGCTGGGGACTTGAGGGTTTTAATGAGTTAGAAGTTCACGTCTCAGTTCCAAAACCCAATAATGCATTGACCAAAGGGTGATCTTGGTGGAGGACAAAAAGATAAATCACTTCTAGTCTACAATGTTTATGCTTTTCCCCCTTACAAATAGAAAGCAAAAGCACCACAATCAGCCTCAGTCCTCAACATGACATAATTCAATTCCTGTGGGGTCAGAAATAAGACTGATGGAATGCTCACATAAAAAGATTCTTCTGGAAATAAAGTTCACAGTCACAAGAGGCTGATAAAGCTTTATTTTTACATCTTACCTTGAAAGGTTATTTGAAAATTAGCACAACAGATGCCAATTCAAAATCCCTTCTTCCCTGACTACCCAGCAAAACATCTAGAAGACCAAATTAAAATGTTGAGAAATTTTTCAGATGTCATTCAATTATTTAGAAACGGCACAGGGAACTGTGAAAACCCAGTGTGTCTCCTCAAAAGAAATAGCTGTTTATGTCCTTAGTGTGTGTGATTATTTGTTTTCTAATTGCTGGAGGTCCCTGTGGCAGGGGAGACGGGAACGGCCTTCTTCAGGCTCTTGGAGCTTCTCCGGCTGCTCAGCTTTCGCAGATGGACATTAACCCTGCCCGCAGCTGGTAGAAAATAAACGAGCATGACCTTTCTGGAAAGCAGCTGGACAATGTGTTTCAAGAATCTTGCAAATGTTCAGATACTTTGATTTGACAATTCCACCTCTTAAGGGAATAATCAGAGATGGTTACAAAGTAACCAGAATTCCTTTGAAAATTATCAATGATGCTGAAAAACTGTAAGCAATCTCAATGTCTAACAATTAAAGAATGGACACATAAATTTTGGCTTAGCCATATGATGGAATATCCAGCAGCAATTAGACTTAGGTGTTTGTAAAATATTAAATGGCACATGAGGCAAGACAGCCTAGTGTGGTATTTTCCTGAGGGTCTTCTGCAGAACACCAGGCCACGTGGAGGTGGCCAGGAAAAAAGGTTTCCTGGCCAAATAAGTTTGAGAAACACCACATGCTTCCCTGGAGGTTTACAAAGCATAATTAGTGCATTAAAGGCTCTGAAAATTTTCTACAGTAAAGAAACCTATTTATTTTGGTTTTAGTTCAGAATTCCCATTCATTTTTAAAATCTTTTTTTCAAGTAGTATTTATTAACATCTAGGGACCTCGCGTGATCAAGAATCACCTTTGGGGAAGTGAAGAGAACTGGACTCAAAGAGAGTCCTGAGGCTTGGCTTGGCTCTATCCTACTTTTCTTATTTTGTGAAACTGGTGCAGTGGGTGGGGTCAGACACAAAGCTGAGGTTTTTCCAGCTCTGTGACAACCCTCCAGAGCTCACGGCCAAGGTAAAAACAGGCTCAGGATGGAGGCTCTCGCCTTCCGTGTAGTGTGCACTACACTTGTTTTCCCATCCTGTACTGCCTTATGTGCTCGCACACCCACGCGTGCGCGCGCACACACACACACACACCCCTCAGCAGCACAGTGGAAAGTCTTATTCCAGGAAATCTCCTAATCCTTTAGAACACCTACTCTGCCTCAGGCAACATTCCTTAAATGCAGGTTTGTGGCATCGTAAATTCTACAGCAGCAAAATCCTGCAAGTTGGGAATGAGCAGTGGTGGAAAATACATGAAGTTTCCCAACAAGCACAGCTCCAGCTGGGCTCTGCCTCCCAGATGAGAATTATCCAAGCCAGAATGCTCTGGCATCAGGTCCAGGAACTCGGAGTGATGGGCTTTGTATTATGATTTCCAGAGGACGCTCTGTCCCTGTTGAGTCGCTCAGGCTCGGCCTGGGCGCCTATGCTGCTCTGTGGCAGGTCAGGTGCAAGGCCACCATAAGGGAGCGTCAAGGGCAGATGCCAAAAAGAGCCCAAGGTCCACTGGGATTCAAACAAAGAGAGAAGGGGTAGAAGAAAATTCCTGAAATTCTCAACATTCTCAGCTGGCAAAAGTTGAATGGAAAAACACATTACTGAATGTTCTTTCTGTGCCATTCAGAAGAATGCTTCCGACTTTTACATAGACCCTCTCTCTCCACAGAAAAGCAGAGGCCTAGTTAATATGCCTACTCAGATGTCCTAAAACCCGAGTGTATGCAGAGTTGAATGAAACGGGACTGGGAGACAATACATCGAACTGTTAAGATGTTCTCTCTGAATAACGGCAGTACAGACAAACCACCACTTGCTTTGCTGTTTCTGAATTATTCAAAAAACCTTTCTATTATATCATAATACATTACTTCTGCAATGACAGGGGGTGTCTTTTTCTTTTTTTCCCTTTCTTTCATTTTTCTTTGAATGTGTTGTTAGAGCCAAAAAGCTTTCTCAGCATTCAGGGATCCAAGGGTTGAAGCAACAGTACCAGGAGGAAGCTGGGTTTTAGAAGAGACCTGATGAGCACCTGACTCCTTTCTGACAAATGTGCTGCAAGCCTCATTTAGCAGAAAATGACACAACACAAATCCAAACATCTTTCCACAAAAACGATGTTGGGAGGAAGGCATGGATTACTTTTATTGATTGACTGGGACAGGGTCTCGCTCTGTCGTCCAGGATGGAGTACAGTGGTGCCACCACGGCTCACTGCAGCCTCAACCTCCTGGGCTCAAGTAATCCTCTCATCTCAGCCTCCCAGGTACCTGGGACTACAGGTGTGTGCCACCATATCCGGTTAAGTTTTTTTTTAAGTTTTTATAGAGACAAGTTCACGCTATGTTGCCCAGGCTGGTTTGAAACTCCGAGGCTCAAGTGATCTTTTTGCCTTGGCCTCCCAAAGTGCTGGAATTAAAGGCATGAGCCACTGCACCCCGCTGGATTAGTGTTTTTTTAAAAGACAATGTAATGAACTGGAATATTCCAATCCCTAGAATAATGTATAAAAAATAAATCAATGATTTAAGATGCTGTAGAAATGCATTTTTTCCCACCCATGAAATCGTCCAAGGGCAGTGAACGTCAGCTCATGTACCTGCATGTTGGCAAACAAGTGGAATTTCCTAAAACTCCAGAACTATGCCCCACCCCACTCCTAGGTATGTCTATTCGCATCATACACAGCCACCGTGATATGCATTTGCGGGGAAAGCCAGGATGGCCATGACGATCACAGAAAGTTAGTCTCATCTTGCCCTCTCTCCGCTCTGCCCAGGCTGGTTTGGTCTCTCCCATCCTTAGCCTCAAGGTCACAGTAAGCGTACCATGTTCAAGACAAGAGCCCACTGTGTGGGACAGTATCTTCGCTGCACAGCCCTGAGGAGGCCTCCGAACATGCCCCATCACACCAGATGCACTCAAAAACATACGGTGTCATTTACCCCCATGTGCCTAGAGCCCTAGACTCTGCACTTTGCTGTGTGCCAACCCAGGCTAGCCAGCACGGCCTTCAGACCCAGCCCCAGCTCTCACGCAGCCGCACCTCCCTCCTGTCCGAGCAAAGTTCGTCTTGCCTTGACTGGACGTCCAAAGTTTCCACAAGAGCCTTCAGATATCCAGTGAGCTCCAAACTGGCCACACAGCCACCAGAGAGATCCTGTTTTGAAGTGCTGGATTATGATATTTATTTACACTGACCACAGAATGTATTTATTTTTAACTTTCACTGTGGAAATTTTCAAGCATATCCACAAGAAGAGAGACTAGAATAATGGACTTCCATCTTCTCATCCCCTGACTTCAAGATCACCACTAACACATGGACCACTGGCTTCCTTTCTACCTCGTCTCACCTCCCGCTCCATTCCTACCCCCTGGAGTCTTTTGAAGCAAATACTTGACATCATCTTATGTTAACTGAACATCAGAGTGATTGATTTCTTCCTATATAAATCCAATTGTTTCACTTCCCTGTTCAGAATCCTTCAAACTTAGTATAAAAGCCAAGCTCCATTCTGTGGCATCTTGGGTGGGACCTGGTCCCTTCTTGGGCCCGCCCTGGTCCCTTCTTGGGCCCCTCCCCTGCTTGTCTCCAGCCCCGGCCTTCTCGCTGCTCCCTAAACACAGAGGCAGGCCCACCGAGCCTCCGCACCTTCCCTGACGCCTTCTAGCAGCCTGGACCCTCCTCCACCAGCATCCTCAAGGCCCCTCCCTCACTTCTGTCACACCTTTAATCAACTGCCACCCTCCCTGAGAACCCTTCCCTGAATCCCTATCTGGACCATAGCAAGGACTCGACAAATATTTAATGACTGAATGCATGTAATAAAAGTCAATAACCCTGTGAAACCAGGGAGAGAAGACAGAGTTGTTCCTGTTATTCAGATGAGAAAACTGAGGCTCAGCATGGTTAAGTGAATTGCCCAAAGACACACAGCTCTTCTTTTTTTTTTTTGAGACGGAGTCTCTCTGTGTTGCCCAGGCTGGAGTGCACTGGCGCCATCTCGGCTCACTGCAAGCTCCGCCTCCCGGGTTCACGCCATTCTCCTGCCTCAGCCTCCCGAGTAGCTGGGACTACAGATGCCTGCCACCACACCTGGCTACTTTTTTTGTATTTTTTTAGTAGAGACGGGGTTTCGCCATGTTAGCCAGGATGGTCCCGATCTCCTGACCTCGTGATCCGCCCGCCTCGGCCTCCCAAAGTGCTGGGATTACAGGCGTGAGCCACTGCGCCCAGTCGACACACAGCTCTTAAATGGTGGAAAAGACTTTGAACACAGGTCTTGACTCCAAATTCCATGCATTTTCCATTCCTGTGTTGCTTCTCTGAAATGAAACGTTGCTTCAGTTGATATAATTAAGACACAGGTTTACATCAAATGTATTCATTCATTCAACAAACAGTATCTCACTGTTTGAACGCTCAGTATGTGGCAGGCACTGTTCTGAGCAGCAGAGAAACTGGAGTGTGGTGGGCAGAATAGTGTCCCCCAAAGAGGTCCATGTCCTAATCCCCATCACCTGTGACTATGTTAGGTTACATGGGAGGTGGAATAGGGCTCATCAGCTGACCTTCATATGAGGACATTATCTTGCATTCCTTGGGTGGGCCCAGTGTCCTCACAAGGCTCCTCAACAGTGAAAGAGAGAGGCAGGGGAGTGGGAGAGAGATTTAAAATGCTACTCTGCTGGCTCTGAAGACAAAGGAAGGGGCTACAAGCCAAGGAATGCGAGTGGTCTCTGAAAAAGGCAAGGAAACAAGATTCTGCCCTTGTACCTCCAGGAAGGATTAAGGTCTGCAGATATTTTAATCTTATTCCAGTGATACTTATTTCTTTTTTTTTTTTTAATCTTTTTATGTTTTTGTTTTTGTTTTGAGACAAGGTCTCATTCTGTTGCCCAGGCTGGAGTGCAGTGGTGCAATCTCGGCTCACTGCAGCCTCAACCTCCTGGGCTCAAGTGGTCCTCCTGTCTCGGTCTCCTGAGTAGCTGGGACTACAGCTGCATGTCACCACACCTGGCTAATTTTTTAAAAACTTTTTGTAGAGATGGGAGTCTCATTATATTGCCCAGGCTGGTCTTGAACTCCTGGGCTCAAGTGATCCTCCCATCTCAGCCTCCAAGTATCTGGGACCACAGGCATGAGACCCATTTCTGACTTCTGACCTTCATAGCTCTAAGGGAGTCTATCTGTGTTGTTTTAAGCCACTGAGCGTGTGGCAATCTGTTACAGCAACAACTGGAAACAAAAAAAGAAAGTGAAGAAGGTAACAAGGTCCCTGCCCTCAAAAAGCCTCCTCTTTTTTTTGGAGTGAGGGGGAGTCTGGCACCTTCCACCGGGCCACTCTGGATGCAGAGGTCTTCCTACCACAGGTCCGTGCTCACTGCAGCCCAGCTGCCTCTGTTAGGACAGGCTGTCAGCGCCTCAGGAACAGGTTCTTCTGTTACCAAACAAAGTCTATTTGCTAATTTCCTATTCAAGAGTGACACTCATAGGCTTTATAGGGCTTTTCTACTGTATTTTAGCCAGACGTAGGAAATTAGCTCCATAAAAGAAAAGAAGAGGACAGAAGGGAAAGGGAGTGGAAGGGAGGAGAGGAAACAAAACTAGTTGAAGTGCTTCTTAGATTCTCGGCAAATCCACCTCCAGACCCCCTGAAACTCCTGTCTCAGCGGCTCTGTGTTTTGGCCCCACGTCCTCTGAGAGTTGGCAGAATGGAAACTTGGCCTCCACCCAAGAGGCACAGACAGTGCCTCATAATTAGAAGCTACTCAGGGCATCCCAGACTAAAACACACATCAGCAAAATGTCATTGCCTGACCTGGGAAGGTGTTCATCTAGCGCAGTCACTGTACCTCCCAGAGCAGCCTGTCCCCACCAAGGAGGGGGCATATGGAAGAAGGGGACACGCACTGGAGAGCAAAGGGCAACAGCAGGGTCTCCAGTGACAAAAGAACCCCCGAGGGGCAAGAGCAGGGCAGAAGCCCGTGTGTAAGCAGAAGAAGCCTGTCCACGCAGCTCTGAGGCTTTCCCCTCTGGCCGCCTCTGTGTTCCCACGGCCCAGGCCACATCCCTCACTGCCAGCATGGCCACCTCCCGGGCTCAGGGCAGAGCTGTTTACAGTGTTTCCCTAAGAACTCCCGAAAGGTATCTTCGTATATGAACATGTCCTTCCTCCTTCTCTCCTGTCGCTGGCATTCTGACACCCAGGAGGGCTGTTCTGCACCTAGATTCCTATTTTCTTACAGGACACAACCCCCGCAAATGGCACGACAGTTCTGGGGGCCACGTCTGTGGACCGAGGCAGTCCCTGCTCCACCTGCACAGCTGCCGTCAGGGTCCCCTCATGCCCCTCTCCAATACCTCTGCTCACACTTTGCTTTTGTAGTTTCCAGCACCAATTTTCAAATATCAATGAAACTCTTCAGCTGTAAAGTGCTTAATGAAGGATTCCTGGGGCTTCTCCTTAAAGGAGCTCAGCAGGCATGGCCCTCACCACAGCTGTTTATCTCACTTCAACAGCATAAACCCTATCTTCAAGCTCCAGGCCTGCCTCCTCCCCACACAATCATCACTCAGTTTTCTCTTTCAAGAGAGTTACTAGGGGCATGGAGGAAGGGAATATTTCCCTTGCCGGGATCTCAGTTTGCATTGGTAGAAAGCACAGTCATCCCAGCCTGGACAGTATAGTGAGACCTTGTCTCTGAACAAAAAACAAACAAAAAATATTAGCCAGGCATAGTGGCTGGTGCCTATAGTCCCAGCTACTCGGGAGGTTAAGGCAGGAGGATTGCTTGAGTCCAGGAGGTCAAGGCTGCAGTGAGCTATGATTGCACCACTGCATTCCAGCCTGGGTGACACAGCAAGACCCTGCCTAAAAAAAAAAAAAAGAAAGGAAAAAGAGAAGAAAAGAAAGCACAGTGCTCTTGTGAAAGGGTGGGAGGAGAGCAAAAACTCGCATGTACTCTATCCTCTCCCATGAGGAGGAATGCCTACAAAAACGTTCTATCGTGGGCTGGTGGGGATGGTGCAGGTCAGGAGCAGGATTCCGGGCTGTGCTGCTGGCTGGTGTTGCCAGCTGGGACTGTATTTCCAATGCCTGCAGGAGAAAGAAAGGAGCTGCTCATTCTGAGCTTGTAAGAGGCTCCATTCTTCAAGAACTTCCAAAGGTCAAAATTTCCTCTGACTTTACTAATGGCCTATGAATAGTGAACCACTTTTTTGACCATAGATGTTGGGGCCCTGAAGAAAGCAGGAAAGACAGCAAAAGAGTTTCTTTGGATGTCTGTAAAGCCTGAATTTGACCTCAGCTATCTGCTGCCTCCAGTTCCTTTGCTTTCTCAAGGACCCATTCAGACCCAGCGATTCCGCACAGCTTTGTGCCAGTGCATCCCAGCCCTCTGGGCACATGATCTCCAAACACCTAATCTTTCAAACCATGCAGACTGGCAGTCACTTGCAAAATTAATCTGAAGGAGGTGAACAAGCGGTATGGCTGAACAGCCTGGGGTGGCCAGATCTCCTGACTGCATGCATTAAACCGTGGGCTCCTGGAGGATGTCAGTGTGGATCCCTCTTATAGGCATGCACCACCACACCCAGGTAGTTTCTTATTTTTTGTAGAGACAGGGTCTCACTATGTTGCCCAGGCTTATCTTGAACTCCTGGGCTCAAGCTATCCTTCCACCTTGGCCTCCCAAAGTACTGGGATTAAAGGTATGATTCACTGTGCCTGACCTAACTCTTTATTCAAAATTTTTTCTCTGAGGTCAGCATTTCTAACCTACATGTAAATTCCAAAGAGTTGAAAGACAGCTGGCAACTTGCTTATCATTGATAATTTACAGGTTTAAGGAGCAGGTAACCCCAAAGTCATCTACAAAGTCAACATAATCCTGACCAAAATCCCAGTTGGATTCTTTTGATAAATATTTACAAGCTGATCCTAAAATTCATTTGGAAATGCAACATACACAGAATAGCTAAAACAATCTTGAAAAAGAACGAAGTTGGAGAACTCACATTTTCCAATTTGAAAGCTTACTACAAAGCTACAGTAATCAAGACAATGTGGTATTGGCATAAGGAGAAAAAATGTATATCAAAGGAATAGAACTCAGAGTCCAGAATCAGAGCCTCAAATTTATGGTCAGGTGATTTTCAGTAAAGATGCCAAGACAATCGGGCAAAGAATAGTCTTTTCAATAAACTGTGTTGGGACAACTGGACAGCTGCCTGCAAGGAATGAAGCTGGATCCTGTCTTTACAACATGGACAGAAATTAACTCCAAATGCATCACAGGGATAAAAGTGAGAGCTAAGACTATAAAACTCTCAGAAGAAAATGCAGGAGTAAACCTTTACGACCTTAGGTTAGGCAAAGACAAGTGTTGGTGAGTATATGGAGAAACTAAAGCCTTACACACTGCTAGTTTTCCACTTTGGAAAACAGTTTGGCAGTTCCTCTAAATGCTAGTCATAGAGTTACCATATGACCCAACAATTTCACTTCTAGATACATACCTAAGAGATTTTTAAAAACATGCATCTGGCCGGGCACGGTGGCTTACACCTGTAATCCCAACACTTTGGGAGGCCGAGGCCGGTGGATCACCTGAGGTCAGGAGTTTGAGACATCTGGCCAACATGGTAAAACCCTGTCTCTACTAAAAATACAAAAAATCAGCCGGGCATGGTGGCAGCTGGCTGTAATCCCAGCTACTGGGGAGGTTGAGGCAGGAGAATCGCTTGAAAGCAGGAGGCAGAGGATGCAGTGAGCCAAGATCATGCCACTGTACTCCAGCCTAGGCGACAGAGAAGACTCCATCTCAAAAAAAAAAAAAAAATCTACACAAAGAATTGTACATGAATGTTCACAGCTATTCATAATAGCCAAAAAGTTGGGGGAAAGTGGATATCCATCAACTGATGAGTGGCTAAACAAAATGTGGTCTATCCAGACAATGGAATATTATTCTGCCATAAAAAGGAAATACTTTTATGACCCACACCACAAGGTGAACCTTGATAATCTTATCCTAAGTGAAAGGATCCAGTCACAAAGAACCACAGGTTGTATGATTCCATTTGTGTGAAATGTCCAGATTAGGCAAATCTAGAGACAGAAAGTATCCCAGGGCTGGGGGATGTAGAGGGGGAACTGGGAGTGACTGCTAATTCATAAGCGTTTCTTTCTGGACTGATAAAAATGCTCTAAAATGGATTGTGCTGATGGTTGAACAATTCGGAACACATCAGAACCCACCAAGGTGCGTACTTTAGATGGATAAATTGTATGGTACGTGAATCGGATCTCAGTAAAGCTGTTTTTAAATAAAAAAAAAGGGGGGCTGGTCATACTCCACATACTGATAGTCAACACAGAAACAAATGTGGACAAAAGCAATTTTCAGTGAATGTGATTTCTAACTGCTAAAGCTCCAGAGTGGGTTATCCAGAAAAGATGAAAGTTGGCTCATCTGCTTCCAAGGCCAACAGAGAATGAGGACAGAAAGCTCAGAGACAGAAGCTTGAGTGGGTCTAGAACAGGTAAGAAGGGGGTCAGGGAAAGAACTCCCTGCCAAGGAAAAAGTACAGAGAATTCCACCACTGCCGCTTCACTGGGCTCTTTTTAGAAACCATTTTCCAACATGGGGAGGGGCCGTCTGAGCCAAGAGGAAGGAATAAATATATCTTCAGAGCCATGGAAAGTCAAACATTAGCTCTACAGCTTCAGGTTTTTTAATGGGAAATTTGTGTTGGAACGTCATGAACTGTGTAAAAGTATAGCACGGTGGAAAAAAATGGAAGGGAGATGGCTGAAGAAAGTTTCAGGTTGGAAGAAGTTGGTCCTCCATGGTATATAGAGCAAGAGAACCCAGGAGGGGCCGCTGGCAGATGAAAGTATTATCCCCAGCTCTTCACCTCTTCATGAACGCATGCCTTATTTATGACAATGTTGCTTTTCAGCTCCTCTCGCTAAAAGCCACTCTATGTGTTGACTCTAGGCTCCCGCAGGGAGCTGGGCAGGTAAATTACCTTCTGTCGGCTATGGACCGCTCTAGGCATGGCTCCTGTGTACATCCTTGCAAAGGTGCCTGCTGACCTGCTACTCTGTACTGTTCACAGCTTGGTGTGAAGCAGAAACCAGCACAATAACCCATTCCAAGAGGACAGGATAAAAACTTCCCAAAGGCCACACTGATGGTACAACAGAGGGAGCCCAATGGCACTCTTCCCCTCTTCATAGTCCTTGGTGGTACAACACACCATGCACAAATCTTACTAATGTCAAGCTTCCAACAAATGGGATTCAACTGGGAAATGGTTAAATTTTTCAAAAAACATTTTTGTTAATAGATGCACCCTATGAATTACCATATCACCACTGAATGAATGAGATAGGATGCCCATGACACACAGTTGGATTAAAAAAGCAAAAGCAACATTCAGACAGTATCAAGAATGAATAGGCTGGGCACGGTGGCGCACCTGTAGTCCCAGCTACTCTGGAGGCTGAGGCGGGAGAATCGCTTGAGCCCAGGAATTTGAGACTACAATGAGCTATGATCATGCCATGGCACTCCAGCCTGGGTGACAGAGTGAGACCCTGTCTCTAAAATAAATAAATAAAAATAAATAGAATGAATACTCTCTTATATAAAGAGGAGGAGGATCCTTTGAGATTCCTGTGCTCAGGAGAAGAAAAAATAATTTTCCAAGAGTACAAATTTGTACCACAAATATAAGATAGAATTATTACTGGGCAGTAAGTAGGACATTAACCAGAATGCTGTGTATGTTAGGCAGAACTTGGTGCAATCATTCCACAAATAAATAAATATTGAATCATGAACACAAGCAAAGCACTGAGCGGAGCTTTCTTCCTTTAAGGACACAGAAATCCATGTCTTTGGCCAGGCTTGGTGGCTCACGCCTATAATCCCAACACTTTGGGAAGCCAAGTGAAATGGATTGCTTGAGGCCAGGAGTTCAAGCCCAGCCTGCACAACATAGCAAGACCTCATCTCTAACAAATTTTTTTTTTGAGGTGGAGTCTTGCTCTTTCACCCAGATTGGGGTACAGTGGTGCAATCTCAGCTCACTGCAACATTCGCCTTCTGGGTTCAAGCGATTCTCTCACTTCAGCCTCCCAAGTAACTGGGACTACAAGTGCCACCACGCCCAGCTACTTTTTCTATTTTTAGTAGAAACGGGGTTTCACCATGTTGGCCAGGCTGGTCTCGTACTCCTGACCTCGTGATCTGCCCGCCTCGGCCTCCCAAAGTGCTGGGATTACAGGCGTGAGCAACTGTGTCTGGCCCAATTTTTTTTTTTTTTTTAAATTAGCTGCGCATGGTGGCATACACTGGTAGTCTCAGCTACTCAGGAGGCTGGAGCAGGAGGATTGACCAGGCCTGGGAGTTTGAGGTTGCAGTGAGCTATGATTGCATCACTGCACTCCAGCCTGGCTGACAGAGTGTGACCTTGTCTTAAAAAGATAAAATAAAATAAAATAAGAAAGAAAAAAAGAAATCTGTCTTTATATTGTCAAATCATAAACCCAAAGTGATTGTTTGTTTAAAATTATGAAAACTAAAAGAACAATAACATTTCTATGATGATAAAGAGGGGTAATAAAATTCACGGGACTCCAATAATTAATGAGACAGAACAAATAGCAATAGGCACAAGCAACAGCAGGGAATTTATTTTTAGCTCAAACATTAGGCAACATCATTACAAGCACAATTAAAGCCAGCAACAAGCTGCCAAAACAATTGAAAAATTGCCATTACTGGAGAGATGCAAGACTCCACCAGGGGACACCAGACAAGGACAGCCCAAGGATAATGAAATCAGGCCGTCGAGGGCTGGGGAGATCAGGTGACCACATAGCCACATGGATATCAGTCACACACTCTCCACAAATCTAGACTCTAAAAATGTTCACTTTGAAATCGTTATCCCAAACTAAATCCGTCTTCCTCGAAGTATAAAGAAAGAATATCCCTACTGTGGAGTCATGCCTTGCATGTATAATGCTAGTGATTTCTTTAAAATTATGGATGTATCAATGGAGTCAGATGTCTACAACCTCTAAAAGTCAAATTTTAGGAAAAGCAATCACAATAATTAGAAATATGGTCATCTGAAAACTTCCCACTGGTATTTTTCTTTGCGATGGTAAGTGGAACAAACTACAAACTACAATAGTCATTTTCGCAGATTTCAAGTTTCATCAAAAGACTATTCCTTGAATAGCCTGTTAGAGGTAAGTGTTAAACATTCTGTTTTGATCACACAGAAATCTTTCCTTTGTGACACTGTAATATCAAATGAAAACAGCAGGTTATAAAGAATCACAATCCCATTGATATAAAATTATCAATCACGTAGAGATATCTGAAGAACGATCATCTAATATCCATAGTGGAAATATCTGGGTAGTGGGAGTTTGGATAGTTTTACTTTCAACCGTATGGTTTTTTGTGTGATTTTTCAATCAAAATAAAACTACAAAGCTCAGGACCCAGACTGCTGGATTCAATTTTCAGCTTTACACCTTATTAGCTCTGCGACATTGTGCAAGTTACTTAATGTCTCTGTCTCAGTGACCTCACCTGCAAATGGGAATAACGACAGTTTCAACCTCAAAGTGCTTTTGCGAGGAGGGCTGAATGCATCAGTACACACAGGCACTCAGAACAGTACATGGAACACAGCAAGTCATCAGGGAACGTCCGCCAGCAGGAGAAGCAGAAGCATCGCTGACATTAAGCCAGCGATTCGCAAAATTGACTTATTGTGTTCATTAAAGGCAGCTGCAAAAGCAACTATTTCATAGCCAGAGGTAAAAAGAGAATCAAGAAACTCTCTCTGTTTAAGTTTACATAACAATACAAACAAAAAACCAGCAGATCAACTACAAGTAATACACACGTATATCAAGAAGTGAGGTCTCTAAGTAGACATTTTTCCTTGAATGGGTCACCTCATTTGAGGACTAGGCAGGCACAGCTGATGGAGTTAAAGAGGTGCCCCAGGCAGCTGCTTCCCGTGCACAGAAGTCTGTGTTCTCAATTTAGCAGAAAAATAGAAGACTTTCTAATGAGGTTAGCATTTGTAGGCCAGAATATTCATCCTAATTTATTTCTTAAAACTGTTTAAAATGTATTTTTAAGAAAATGTGTTTTATTTAAATATTTAATATAACTTTAATTAATATTTACTTTAGCATTCTGAAGGTCTTTTAAAGCATGTATTCTAAAGCAGAATTCATAAAAGACAGGATTATTGATTTAACCCTAAAAAACAAGTTTGACCATTAGAAACCTAAAATAGAAATTAAAATATAAATAACAAATGGAGACATTATGTATAATTTAATGTTAAGAGATTCTTACAAATTACTCAAGAAAAAAGTGGGTAAAGCTATAATCATTCAATTATTAAGATCAGAAATGAAATAGCTAAAAAATACGAAAGAAGTTTAAAGTCATTAGAAAGCAAATATATATTTTTAAAGGATTATTTTTTCTTTCTCATTTTAATATAATACTTAATTTGGGTAAAAGTGAAAGTACATAACAGTGAAACACTGGGTCCAAATAACAGGTGGATTTTACAGTATGTATCAGAGACTCTGAACTAGCAATTCCACATCTACAATTTTAGATTAAGATTAGGTGCATATTTTAGCTATATTTTAGCATGCTTCTTTTAGCTTTATTTTATTATTATTTTTAAAATTTCAGTAGGTTTTTGGGGAATGGGTGGTGTTTGCTTACAAGAGTAAATTCTCTAGTGGTCATTTCTGAGATTTTGGTGCACCCATCACCCAAGCAGTGTACACTGTACCCAGTGTGTAGTTTTTATTGCTCACCCCCACTCCCACCCTTTCCTGCAAGTCACCGAAGTCCATTGTATCATTCTTATGCCACTGTGTCCTCATAGCTTAGCTCCCACTTATGAATGATAACATACGATGTTTAGTATGTTACTTCATTTAGAATAATGGTCTCCAATTGCATCCAGTTTGCTGGAATGTCATTATTTAGTTCCTTTTTATGGCTGAGTAGTATTCAGTAGTATTGTATGGTGTATATATATACCACATTTTCTTTATCCACTCATTGATTCATGGGCATTTGGGCTGGTTCCATATTTTTACAACTGCAAATTGTGCTGCAATAAACATGCGTGTGCAAGTATCTTTTCTGTGTAATGACTTCCTCTGGGTTGATACGCAGGAGTGGGGTTGCTGAATCAAATGGTAGATCTACTTTTAGTTCTTTAAGGAATCTCCATACTGTTTTCCACAGTGGTTATACTAGTTTACAATCCCATCAAGAGTGTAAAACTGTTCCCTTTTCACCACATCCACGCCAACATCTATTATATTTTGATTTTTTGATTATAGTCGTTCTTGCAAGAGTAAGGCCGTATCATATTGTGGTTTTGATTTTCATTTCCCTGATAATTAGTGATGTTGAGCATTTTTTCATGATCATTGGCCATTTGTATAAATTCTTCTGAGAAGTGTCTATTCATGTCCTTATACCACATTTTGATGGGATTGTTTGTTTTGTTCTTGCTGATTTTGTTGAGTTCCATGTAGATCTGGATATTAGTCCTTTGTCAGATGTATGGATTGTGAAGATTTTCTCCCACTCTGTGGATTGTCTGTTTACTCTGCAGATTGTTTCTTTTGCTGTGCAGAAGCTTTTTAGTTTAATTAAGTCTATTTATCTTTTTCTTTGTTGCATTTGCTTTTGGGTTTTTGGTCATGATTCCTTTGCCTAAGTCAATGTCTTGAAGGGCTTCTCCAATGTTATCTTCTAGAATTTTATGGCTTCAGGTCTTAGATTTAAGTCTTTGATCCATCTTGCATTGATTTTTGTATAGGGTGAGAGATGAGAATCCAGTTTCATTCTCCTACATGTGGATTGCCAATTATCCCAGCACCATTTGTTGAATAGGATGTCCATTTCCCACTTTATGTTTTTGTTTGTTTTGTCAAAGATCAGTTGACTGTAAGTATTTGGCTTATTTGTGGGTTCTTTATTCTGTTCCATTGGTCTACATGCCTATTTTTATACCAGTACCATGCTGTTTTGATGACTATGCCCTTATAGTATAGTTTGAGGTCGGGTAATGTGATGCCTCCAGATTTGTTCTTTTTGCTTAGTCTTGCTTTGGCTATGGAGGCTCTTTTTTGGTTCCATATGAATTTTAGGATTGTTTTTTTCTAGTTCTGTGAAGAATGATGGTAGTTGCTTTTTTTGTTTTTTGTTTTTTTGTTTTTTGTTTTTTTGAGACAGACTCTCTCTCTGTCACCCAGGCTGGAGTGCAGTAGCATGATCTCAGCTCACTGCAACCTCCGCCTCCCGGGTTCAAGTGATTCTTCTGCCTCAGCCTCCCAAGTAGTTGGGACTACAGGTATGTGCCACCACGCCTGACTAATTTTTGTATTTTTAGTAGAGACAAGGTTTTACCATATTGGCCAGGCTGGTCTCGAACTCCTGACCTCATGATCCACTCATCTCAGCCTCCCAAAGTGCTGGGATTGCAGGCATGAGCCACGGTGCCCAGCCTGAATGAAATGATGGTGTTATTTTGATGGGAATTGCATTGAATTTGTAGATTGCTTTTGGCAGTATGGTCATTTTCACAATATTGATTCTACCCATCCATGAGCATAGGATGTGTTTCCATTTGTTTGTGTCTATGTCTATGATTTCTTTCAGCAGTGTTTTTAAAATGTTTTAATCTACAAATATGGGAACTTTTGTTTTAAAAGGGAATTTAGGTAAAATGAAAATTATATAAATTACCACTTGATTAGTTAGGAGATGATAATGAAAATTATAGATTATCCTGAATCCTGGATTCTTCCTTTTAGAAAGACAATAAACAGATCAATAATTGAATTAAGGCCCCAAATGGTAGCTCACACCTGTAATTCCAGCACTTTGGAAGGCCAAGGCAGGAGGACTGCTTGAGCCCAGGAGTTCAAGACCAGCCTGGGCAACATAGCAAGACCTCGTCTCTACAAAAAAAATTTAAAAATTACCCCAGAGTGGTGGTGAGCACCTGTGGTCCCTGCTACTCGGGAGGCTGAGGTGAGCTGTGATTGCACCACTGCACTCCAGCCTGGGTGACAGAGCAAGACCCTGTCTCAAAATAAAGTGAATTAAATAATATATTGGAAGATGATAATAACTGTGGAGAAAAATGAAGCAGGAAGTGAGTGGAGTAGGGCAAGAAAATGAGGTGGTGACATTTTAAACAAGGAGGTAGAGAAGGTGACATTTGAGTTTGGATCAGACAAGGGAAAATTCTACCAATTTTACTCCATAGTCATCAACTCTGATAATTTCAATCAAGCTAACAGCTCTTGGCTAAGACAAGGTATTGGTTATCTCTGCTTGGCTATCTGGCTATCCGTTTCAACTTTTTTTTTTTTTGAGCTGGAGTCTCACTCTGTCGCCCAGGCTGCAGTGCAGTGGCATGATCTCGGCTCACTGCAACCTCCGCCTCCTGGGTTCACGCCATTCTCCTGCCTCAGCCTCCCGAGTAGCTGGGACTACAGATGCCCACCACCACACCTGGCTAATTTTTTGTATTTTTAGTAGAGACAGGGTTTCACTGTGTTAGCCAGGATGGTCTCAATTTCCTGACCTCATGATCCGCCCGCCTCGGCCTCCCAAAGTGTTGGGATTACAGGCGTGAGCCACCGCGTCCGGCCTCAACTTTTATATTATGACTGACACCTGCAATCCCAGCACTTCGGGAGGCCAAGGTGGGAGGATTACTTGAGGCCAGGAGTTCAAGACCAGCTTGGGCAACATAGCGAGACCCCAGGCTCTACAAAAGAAAAAAAAAAAATCAGCCAGGTGCAGTGGCTTGTGCCTGTAGTCCCAGCTACTCAGGAAGCTGAGGCAGGAGGGTCTCTTGAGCCCAGGAGGTCAAGGGTGCAGTGAGCCATAATTGTGCCACTGCACTCCAGCCTGGGAGACACAGCAAGACACAGCAACTTTTATAATATACGCTCTAGTTATTATGCAAGTATCCAGCAATAGACACTGTGCTAGTATTCGTCATTTCCCTTTTTTGAATCTAAAGGCATGACCTTCTAAAATATATAGTCTTCTCCATAAGTATTTTCAGCAAATACAGAGAATTAGGAGTAAAAGAGAAGTCATCCACTGTTTTGATAACCCAGCATCCATTTACCCACTTTTCCAGTAAGAGACCTCAGATTTTCCTTGGGGCGCTAAGCCTACCTGACTTCCTGAACCAACATGGTTCAGGTGGGGCTGACACCAGCCCTTGCCTCTAGGGGTCAGTGTACTGCCAGATCCCACCAGTAGGGGCACCAAACCCCCAAGAACAAGGTACCACCTGAAGTTCAGGAGTGGGCATGGGGCCTAAGGCAGGCCAGTGAGAACTCAGAGGCACTAAGATGTATGTTCCCACTTGCAGAAGAGGTGCATGCTCAGCCAGTAGTTGCTAAAAAGGCTGAAGGTAGGTGTAGAGATGCTTTTGGGGCCATGGTTACCACCCTTGAGGTAAGGAGGGAGGGTGAGTCTGCCTAAAAATGAACCAAATCGAGAGTGCAACCACAACTGCACTAAATGGAAAGAAACAGAAATAAGAGAGATGGGCTCCTCTCACAACACATTTGGGGACCTGAACTCAGCCCCGCCTCACCCTAGGTACCCACTTAGACTTTTCACATAGCTAATGAGTACATTTTCTTTTTGCTTACATCATTTCAAGCTAGGTTTCTGTCACCTGCAACCAAGAGTCTTGTCTAATGCAAACAAACCTTCAGAAACTGATCTTATTTTCACTGGATCTTGTTTTCACCAAAAAACAGCATATACTCACCCGTTCCTGACCAGCAGTGTCCCAGATGAGGAACTTGTGAAGTTCATTTCCACAAGGCACAGTTTTGGTCATAAAAGATGCCCTGAAAAAAGAGAGTCAGCATCTCCACATTACTGCATTGTTTCTTCACAAAGATTCACAAATCAAACAAGTTAAATGCTACACCTCAGCAGGACCCCAAAAAGCCCTGGTCCTTGGGAACCACTAAGACGAGAAAAGGGCTAGAAGACTCATGACACCCAAAATAAAATATTTCTCATTTTCTGTTAGTTCAACTGGGGGTTTTGAAACAAAACAAAACAAAACAAAGGAGGCATTCAAAAGACTGTTTCTGGCCAGGCGCGGTGGTTCATGCCGTAATCCCGGCACTTTGGGAGGCCAAGGTGAGCAGATTACAAGGTCAGGAGTTCAAGACCAGCCTGGCCAATATGGTGAAACCCTGTCTCTACTAAAAATACAAAAAATTAGCCAGGCCTGGTGGCGGCGTGGTGGCAGGCACCTGCGGTCCCAGCTACTTGGGAGGCTAAGGCAGGAGAATTGCTTGAAACCAGGAGGCAGAGGTTGCAGTGAGCCAAGATGGCACCATGGTACTCCAGCCCAGGTGACAGTATGAGACTTCATCTCAAAAAATATGTATATGATAATAAAATAAAATAAAAATAAAACAAAAATTAGCCGGGCATGGTGGCGGGTGCCTGTAGTCCCAGCTACTTGGGAGGCTGCGGCAGGAGAATCACTTGAACCCGGGAGGCAGAGGCTGCAGTGAGCCAAAATCGCACCACTGCACTCTAGCCTGAGTGACAGAGCAAGACTCCGTCTCAAAAAAAAAAAAAAAAAAAAAAAAAAAGACTGTGTTTCTAAAACCAGTTAGCTTCAATTATTAAAATACCCCCAGATCTCAGGAAAGAATACAACCTTGGATTTTAAAAACTTATTACAATAATTAAGAGTGAAAATAGCAGCTGGTATGTTGGCATGTAATGTTTTTGGTCTTACAATGGCATAAAGAAAAAGTTGTCTTACATATTTACTATGCTAATATGAAACCAACACTAGTAGCAACTAATAGAATACTACATCTAAGTCCCAACCTGCTTGCATAAATGCAAGGACGATGATTGGCAGCTTAACACATACTTATGTTTTCTCTATAAAAAAGGAAGGATTTTTTTTCCTCCCTTCTAAGTCCAAAAAGAAAGGATTTTAAAGCCTCAGTAGATCATTAAACACTTACTATTTTCTTTTTTGCATATTTCCTTTTAAAAAGCATTTTCTTTGTGCTCATGAACAGTATAAAAATACCAGGAATGTTCAATAGCCTTGACTTTTATGACAGAAAGTTTTCTATTCATTAAAAAATAGCAAGCATCCCCAGTAGTGGGACAACCTGGTATGAGAGCCTCCTGAAGTGATGGAATAAGAAGTAGATACATCACCTATATAGCATTCTGGCCACAAATGTTTAGTCTGAATTTAATTGTAAGAAAACAATGAGGCAAATGTAGAATGTGAAACATTCTGTAAGACAAGCTGGCCTGAATGCTTCAAATAAGTCAATGTCATGAGAAGCAAACCAGAAAAATACAGGGAGATTATTCTAGAATCTAGATTGAGAGGAAAGAGATAAAACAACAAAATGCAATATATGAACCTTGGCTGGATCCCAGATTAGGGGGAAAACAGCTTTAAAATATATTTGGTCAGGTGTGGTGGCTCTTTTTTCTGTAATCCTAGCCCTTTGGGAAGCTGAAGCAGGAGGATGGCTTGAGGCCAGGGTTTCGAGACCAGCTTGGGCAACAGAGCAAGACTCCTTCTTTACAAAAAAAAAAATTTTTTTTTTTAAATCAGCTGAGCATTATGGCACAGCCTGTAGTTCTGGCAGCTCAGAAGACTGAGGCAGAAGGACAGCTTGAACCCAGGAGTCTGAGGCTGGTAGTGAAGCGCCAAGATTGCCCCAGTGCACTGCAGTCTAGGTGACAGAGCGAGACCCTGTACCCCCTACCCCCACAAAAAGATATTTTAAGAACAACTTTAAAATTTTAAATTCACACTATATGCAAGATATTATCACTGATTCAAATTAATTTTGTAGGTATGATCATGGTGTCCTCATTATGTTCTTATTAGGAGATGGACCCTGGGGTTTTCGGGGTAAAGAGTCAGGGGTTCTTCACCTTACTTTCATATAGTCCAGCCTGGTCAACTAGCATTCATCATAGTAATATTTCCTCAGCCTCTAAATCTTCTAAGAATAAGAGGCCAACTACCGAAGTCCCAAGTAGAAAAGTCTACTGCAATTCCCACACTATCCCCACAAAAACCAAAGGCTAATAATAGTTAGAGAGTTCTAATTACCAACCTACAATTGCAATAAATGAAAATTCTAAGTATTCTAAGTGACAAATCCAGTAGTATCAAAACCACATCTATTCCTTTATTTCTTTAAAAGTGTTTAAAATGTATATCCAGACTACCGGGGAGACCTAATATATTCCAAAAATGTTAATGTCTTTATTACTTTTCCCATTTTAAAAGCAACATATGTATTTCATAAAAAAAATTCAAAAAACCAGAAAGAAAATAAAAACCAATCATATTTCACCACCCAGCCATAGTCACTGCTAATAAATTGGTATATGTCCTTCCCAATTATTTTTATATGACTTTTAAAATGGGATTATTCATTCAGTTCTTTGTTTCCTTTTATTTTTAGCCGGTACACAATAATTATGCATCTTATGGGATACAGAGTGATATGTACATACATGTATGCAATGTGTAATGATCAAATCAGGGTAATTGGCATATTCATCACCTTGAACATTTATCATTTCTTGGTGTTGTGAACACCCAAAATCCTCTCTTCAAGCTTTTCGAAAATATACACTAAATTATTGTTAGCCTTATTCATCCTACAGTGCTACAGAACACTAGAATATTTTCCTCCCGTCTAGCTATAACTTTGTAACTGTTAACCAAGCTCTCCCTATCCTTCCCTCCCCCAACCCTTCCCAGCTTCTAATAACTACAATTCTACTCTACTTCTATGAGCTCTTTTTTTTCAGCTCTTGCATATGAGTGAGAACATGTAGTATTTATCCTTCTGTGTCTGGATTATTTCACTTAACGAAATGTCCTCCAGGTTCATCCATGTTGCCATGAATGACAGGATTTCATTCTTTTTTATGGCTGAATAGTATTCCAGTGTGTATATATACCACATTTTCTTTATCCATTAATTCATTTTTGCTTTGTTTTGTTTTTTTGAGATGGGGTCTTACTCTGCCAACCAGGCTGGAGTGCAGTGGCACAGTCTCAGCTCACTGCAACCTCTATATCCCAGGTTCATGCGATTCTCCTGCCCCAGCCTCCCAAGTAGCTGGGATTACAGGCATGTGCCACCATGCCCAGCTAATTTTTGTAATTTACTTTAGTAGAGATGGGGTTTCACCATGTTGGCCAGGCTGGTCTCAAACTCCTGACCTCAGGTGATCCACCCTCCTTGGCCTCCCAAAGTGCTGGGATTACAGGTGTGAGCCACCACGCCAGCCTCCATTCATTTGTTGATGGATGATGGACACTTGGGTTGATTTCATAGCTTGGCTGTTGTGGATAGTGCAGCAATAAATCTGTGAGTGCAGGTATCCCTTTGATATAGTGATTCACTCTCCTTTGCATAAATACCCAGTAGTAGAACTGCTGGATTGTATGGCAGTTCTATTTTTAGCTTTGTTGAGAAACCTCCATACTGTCTTCCATAATGTCTGTACTAATGTACACAGTGCTTAATTTACCAACAGAATACAAGAATTCCCTTTTCTCTTCACCCTTGCCAGCACTTGTTATTTTTTGTATTTTTGATGATAGCCATTCTAACTGGAGAGAGATGATATCTTCCTGTGGTTTTTAATTTGCATTTCCCTGATGATAGTGATGTTGAGCATTTTTCCACAAACTTGTTGGCCATCTGTATGTCTTCTTTTTAGAGATGTCTACTCAGATTCCTTGCCCAATTTAAATCATTTTATTTGGGTTTTCTTTGCTGTTGAGTTGTTTGAGTTGCTTGTATATTCTGGATTTTCGTCCCTTTTATTTCAAAGTTCAAGTTGAAAGTCATAAATAGTAAAGTAGCCTTTTCAAGAATCTTCAAATAATTGAATAAAATATTTCATAACCTGAAGTTAACTGGCCACTGCCCAACATCCTGGTACCTTTGATAGATATCATGTCATGAGTTTTAACATATTTTGACTTGTAATTGTTCTGCAGTATGAAATGTCGAAAGTTAATCTTGGAGAACTAAAGACTGAGTCATTCCTCATCTGACTCCTCTGATGGTCTACAGTTTCGATCTTTGGGCGACAGCCTCAGCAGGCACATTACATTTCTGTGGTTTCATCAAAAATGCTTATTTCGATGTCTTGTGAGTGTGAAATGTGGATAAAGCCTCTCCTACATACATTACGGTTCTATGATTTTTCTTTAGTATGGACTCTCTGATGTCAATTAATGCTTGAACTCACGATGAAGGGTTTGCCATAATCATTGCATTTGTAAGGATTCTCCCAAGAACGAATTATTGGATGTTGTGGGAGAAGTGAATTGTGCATGAAGACCTTGCCACACTCATTTCATTTGGAAGGCTTCTCTCCAGTATGGACCACCTGATGGTAAGTGCTGACTGCACACTGAAGGCTTTGCCACACTCATTACACTTGTAAGGGTCTTCTCCAGTGTGAATTCTCCAATGTCTTGCAAGTTGTGAATTGTGACCGAAAACCTTGTCACATTCATTACATTTGTAGAGTTTCTCTCCAGTATAAACTCTCTCCAATGATGTGCAAGGTTTTATTTTTGACTAATAACCCTGCTACATAAATCACATTTATGTCATTTCTCTCTGGGATGGATTATCTAATATACAGCATAGAGTGAGTCATGATTAAAGGTTTTGCCACACTCATTTCATTTGTAAGGTTTTTCCCTAATGTGTGCTTTCTGTTCTTGTGTAAGGAAGAATAGATTAAGTAAGTCCCATACTTGTTAGAAATATGGATTTGGGCTTAGAAGGAATTCTTTGGGGTGGTGAAACTGAGGAACCATTGCTGACAGACTTTTCAACTTGACGACATTCATAAATTTTCCCTTTAGCTTGAAATAGCTGTAGTTCAGGCAGATATGACTGAAAGCTTAATCCAAGCTGATTTTTAATAGGCTTGTTGCCTGCATCCCTTCTATCATGTTGGTCTCTTCTAACAGTGAGATTTTTTTTGAGGCACTCTTGTAACTGCTTTCATCACTTCTCCACTGAGACTCAAAGTAGTTTCTATTTTTCTGGATTTCCCTGAAGCAAGTCTTCAACGTCATGGCTTCACGTCTTTCCAATGACACTGTGTGGAATATTTCTCCTGTATTACTTTTCTCTTTGGCAGATAATTCCTTGATTGCATATACAGGAAAGATATCCCTCCGAGAGAAGGAAGCAGAGTTGCCAGAAGCCAGATGTGTAGGAGATAACTCTCTAGAACCATGTTTTTCCTCTGTTCTCACACCACAACCATCAACACAGAAGAGAACCTCTATGACCAAATCTGTGGGGGGTTCTCCCACCACCAGCAGCAGATACCAGCTAGGTGTCCTCCAATTCAATTCTGACACTCTCTCCCTGGAGATACTGTCAGATCCCACAGGTTGAGGGCTCAGTACCCAAGAGTGCTCCTCCACAGACACCAGTCCCAAGTCCGGGCCTCTAGAACTTCTGATCGACAGGCTTCAGGTTGGGGTTCCCACCAACCCCTCTTTGAGTTTGATTAATTTGCTACAGCGGCTTACAGAAACCAAGGAAACACTTACTTATAGTGACCAGTTTCTCATAAAGGATACTGCAAAGCATACAGATGAAGAGACGCTTAGGGCAAGGTAAGCAGACAGGGGCACAGAGCTGCCATGCCCTCCCTGGGCGCCACTTTCCAGGAAACTCAGCTCTCCAGAAGTGCCCTGAACACTTTTCTTTTAAGTTTTTATGGAGGCTTCATTACATAGGCATTCTCTTTTCTTTCTTTCCTTTTCTTTTCTTTCCTTCTTTCTTTCTTTCTTTCCTTTCCTTTTTTTGACAGAGGCTTCATTACATAGGCATTCTCTTTTCTTTCTCTTCTCTGTTACTCTCTTTCTCTTTCTCTCTTTCTTTCTCAGAGTCTGACTCTGTCGCCCACGCTAGAGTGCAGTCGCATGATCTCAGCTCACTGCAACTGGGTTCAAGCGATTCTCCTGCCTCAGCCTCCTGAGTAGCTGGGATTACAGGGATGCACCACCACACCTGGCTAATTTTTGTAATTTTAGTAGAGAAGGGGTTTCACCACGTTGGTCAGGCTGGCCTCAAACCCCTGACTTCAGATGATCCACCCACCTCGGCCTCCCAAAGTGATGGGATTACAGGCGTGAGCCACTGTGCCCGACCTACACAGGCATTCTTAACAATCTTGTAAAAATGTGATTGGACAAAAAGTGCATGATCAAAACCCAGCAAGGCCTGTGTGTTCAGGTTCTTCTTGGCCTCTCTGAGTAGCATCCTTCCTCTAGAAGATGGGGCAGGACTCTCTCTGGAATGACCTGCGATCAGATTAGAGTCCTGCCTTGGGCAGGTAAAAGGAGGACAGGAGAAGGTCAGATAGTGATTCTGTTTTCTGAGGCCTAAAGTGCCCCAAGATTATAACAAGGGTTTGGGAGTTAGGAGCCAGGAACTGTAAGTGAAAACCTATATATATGCAAATATGACATATATATCATGACACCCTACCAGATGAAAGCTGTCCACCATGATAAGATCTTTGCATGTGTTTCTGTTTGAGCTGCAGCACCAGTCTGATCACACCTTTGATACGTTCTCACTCTTTTGGCTTTCTTGCTATTTTCACTTGACTCTCCACTGTCCAGTGGTCTTTCCCTTGCTCCACCAAGAAGATAATACTCAGGTTAGGAAGAGAATTTCCTGCCATGGAGACCAGGTTCCTGTAGCTCTCCAACATCAGGTCCCTGTATAGAGGATGCTGTGCAGGGTCCAAGCATTCCCACTCATCCTCAAAGAATTTTATAGCCACATCCCTGAAAGTCCAGCATCCCTGAGTAAGAGCTGTTCTCGACTCTTTTTCTTTCCTCTTCCTCCTCTTCCAGGCTTCTTCCCAAGTAACATCGGTCTTTATGTCAATCACACTGCAGTGTGACCACCCCTTGTGATCTGCTTCCGAGTTTGCAGGACGCTCTATTTTAACATAACTTTTGCTCTGAAAATTGATCATACTCTATCTAAATTTTGCTTTTCCTCAACTTTATATATCCTGGAAATCTTTCCTTTTCTATGAATATAGATCAATATCATCTAAAATTGGCTGGGCGCAGTGGCTCACACCTGTAATCCCAGCACTTTGGGAGGTTGATGGGGGAGGATCACTTGAGGTCAGGAGTTCGAAACCAGCCTGGCCAACATGGCAAAACCACGTCTCTACTATAAATACAAAAATTAGCCAGGTGTGGTGGTGTGTGCCTGTAATCCCAGCTACGTCGGGGACTGAGGCAGGAGAATCACTTGAGCCTAGGAGTCAGAGGTTGCTGTGAGCTGAGATCACACCACTATACTCCAGCCTGGGTGACAGAGCAAGACTCTGTCTCAAAAAAAAAAAAAAATCACCTAAAATCTTTCCATTTCTATGAATATACATCAATATCATCTAAAATGACTGAAGATCATACATCATGTTATGGAATTATTCAATACCCTAACGATGGACATTTTGGTTATCTATTGTTCACTATTACGACAATGATTCAGTGAATATCCTTATAATTACATCTTTGTGTCCCTGTACAACTATATCCTTAGACTTAATTTTTAAAAAGTAGAGCCGAGCATGGTGGCTGACACCTGTAATCCCAGCACTTTGGGAGGCCAAGGTGGCAGGATCACTTGAGGCCAGGAGTTCAAGACCAGCCTTGGCAACATAGCAAGACCCCTGGCTCTACAAAAGAAAAAAAAAAATCAGCCAGGCACAGTGGCTTTTGCATGTAGTCCCAGCTACTCAGGAAGCTGATGCAGGAGGATCCCTTGAGCCCAGGAGGTCAAGGGTACAGTGAGCCATGATTGTGCCACTGCACTCCAGCTTGGGTGACACAGCAATGCTCTGTCTCTAAAAATATATAAATGTATAAAAATACATAAATAAGCAAATAAAACAAAAATAGATACACTCCACTTTTGCTACATGTGCCAAACTTAGTTGGTACCAACCTACATGTCCATAATGGTGTATGAGATGGCCTTTTCCTCACCATTATTAATCTTTCAAATCTCTTTCAATGTGTTAGGTAGAAAATATCTTATTCTTATATTCATTATGCTTATCACAAGCTTAAACATCATTTTAACATTTATTGTTCGCTTGCATTTTTCTTTGTAAAGGAATTTTTCTCAAGTTCATGACCTTGGCCCACCTTTCAACTGTGGTATTCATCCTTTTCTTATTCATTTTTTGACTATTTTCCACTAAACTTTTGTAGTAGTACATTTTAAATAATATTTTTCCAGTTTAACATTTGCCCTTTAACTTTGTTCTAGATTTTTTCCATAAACTCATTTAAAAATTTTATTAGACAACTCTATCAAAATTTTGTTTTTGTTTTCACTTTTGATGTTAGTCAGATTTTCATTTATTCTTCAGTATATTCTAGGTGCTGCGATAAATAATACAGCAACCCTACTACCCTTAAAAAGTTCTCCTCAGGGTTAGAAAACAAAGTTCATGCCTTTAAAATCTTGGAAAAAATATAAAATATCCAGTCCAACCCCTCCACAGTGCAGGTAAGGGGGGGGAACCAAAATCCCAGAAGACTGCCTGGTTCCTGGTGAAAGAAGAGTGCAGTGGCCTAACCAGGAAGAGGAAGCAGAGGCCCTCACTGCCAGACTCAATGAACCAGCCCGTAAAGCCCTTTGGTTTCCTGTTCTGTGAAATGGGGCCAATACCTACTCTGCATTGAATAGAAGGTGTTTGTAGGGACATATAGGGAAATGGATACCTGCGAAATTCCCCTTGGTTCACAGTGAGCTGTGAGGAGCAACTTTAGTAATAGTAGGAAGGCACACCTCACACACACACATATCCCTCTGTGTTCCTGATCTCTCGCCACTAGGAGAAAGACTCTCAGTATTTGAAATGAGGACCACGACAATCATTGCTTTTTTTTGTTGACTGAGATTTGTTGTTGGTTTTTAAGTCTTTGCTAGCTTTTGATCTTAAGAACCTCATCCAGCCTAGGCAACAACACAGTGAGACCTCATCTCCACAAAAATAAAAAGATTTAATTAAAAACAAAAATTTAAAAACAGCCAGGTGTGGTGGCTCACACCTGTGGTCCCAGCTATTCAGGAGGCTAAGGTGGGAGGATCACTTGAGCCTGGGAGGTGGAGGCTGCAGTGAGCCATGATTGCGTCACTGCACTCCAGCCTGGGTGACAGAGCAAGATCCTGTCTCAAACAAATAAACAAATAAGAACCTCAGGCATCTTTTCTTCTGTGTAGATTACCCTCCAAACTGGTGGAGGAGGCGCACTGGCCCTGATAAACTGACTTCATTATCTGTGGAAACCAAAATCTGGCAGAGAAGTTACACAATTTCCTTACAAAAGTTGAAATAAAAAGGGAGACACACACATACACACACACTCAAGATGTTAATGCAATCTGCTTGAATAGCAGAGCCAAGGTTTTTCAGTGTGAGTCAGAGAGGCCATAAGAGTTAACTCTTTTAATGCTGAAGCAATGGCATTTTACAGCCCATGGCATTGTACCAATGGTCGTGTGATTCCAGTGGGAAGAACAAGGGTGGGCTTTGAGAGTGGACTCACTGGTGTGAGCCATGAGTGGGCTGCTCACGGGCTGTGTGCACCTAGGCAAGTCCCCTAACCGCCCTGGGCCTGGGGGTGGCCAGCAGGGTTACCGCCAAGAAGGCAGTGCCAGGGCCAGGAACTGAAATGTCTAGGGACCAGGCAGGACATATAAATGAGTGAAGCAGGCTAGGTGTGAACGTTTATACTGATGAACATAATAGTAACAATACCTAGCGGGAATGGCATGAAGCCGGGAGGCCTGGCCACCCATGCGGAGTGGCACCGGCTGGCTCCCACCACATGGGAATGGGCACCAGGGCTCCAAACCCACTGATTTTTCAAGAGAAACCAGGAATGCAAGTTTATTACGTGCCAGTCTCCTGATTCTCTATTGGCTTAAAGTCTTTACAGCACTGTGAAGGCTGAACAAAACAAATATATTAATATAAGCCAGTTCCTCAGCCCACCGAACCTACCAGCTTTTGGGAAAGCACTCAAACGTTTTAAAAGTGTTCCATTTATGCCACCTTCCAGGAAAACTGCATGTGTCACTTAGAAAGTGTTCCCACTAGCTTTATTTTTCTGCAACTGGTGTTTGAAAACATTTTCTCAAAATTCCAGAGGGAAAATTTTCATCAATTTTTAAATCAAGAAGTTAAATTATATCAAGAAGACAATACATAAGGGTGGAGGGGCTGAGCCTAACATTGACTCCAGAGGAAAAGCAAGGGACGAGGTAGAAAGCGAACAGGGCTGGGCGCGGTGGCTCACGCCTGTAAACTCCTTTGGGAGGCCAAGGCGGGCAGATCAGCTGAGGTAAGGAGCTCGAGACCAGCCTGGCCAACATGGTGAAACCCTGTCTCTACTAAAAATACATCAGCCAGGCGTGGAGGCGAGTGCCTGTAATCCCAGCTACTTGGGAGGCTGAGGCATGAGAATTGCTTGAACCTGGGAGGTAAAGGTTGCAGTGAGCCAAGATCGCGTCACTGTGCTCCAGCATGGGCAACAGAGAAGACTCTGTCTCAAATAAAAAAAAAGAAAAAAGAACAGCACACAATACCATGCTGCCATCATGTAAAATTGTTTTAACAAAGAAACATTAAGCTACGAGAAAATGCGAACATTTGAAGTTAGAGGAAAAGAATAGAATTCAAAATCATACAAACTTTTACAATTTTATAAAGTTAAAAATTGTACAAAAAAAAATACCTAAAGCTGGTACAGAGATAACCTTTCCGAAAAACAATTTGGTAATATCCATTGAGAGCCTTAAATAGATTTTTATTCTTGGACTAAATTATTCCATTGCTAAGAGTTTAACCTAAAGAAATAATCAGCAGTATACATGGGTATCTATGCCCAACGAGGTACATCATAACATTATTTATTTATGTTTTGTTTTGTTCTGTTTTGTTTTGTTTTTTGAGACAAGAGTCTCACTCTGTCTGTCACCCAGGCTAGAGTGCAGTGGCACAATCTCGTCTCACTGCAACCTTTGCCTCCCGGGTTCGAGCGATTCTCCTACCTCAGCCTCCCAAGGTAGCTGGGATTACAGGCGTGCACCACCATGCCTGGCTAATTTTGCATTTTTAGTAGAGATGGGGTTTCACCATGTTGGCCAGGCTGGTCTTGAACTCCCGACTTCAGGTGATCCATTTGCCTTGGCCTCCCAAAGTGCTGGGATTACAGGCGTGAGCCACCGTGTCTAGCCTCATAACATTATTTATAAAAGTACAAAAGTGTTTAAACAACCTAAATGCCTGAAGTGAAAAATACAACCATTAAAAATTGTTTTTAAAGACTATTTAATGGCATGAAATTCACAAAATGATGTTGAATAAATAACGCATACACACACTTATACAAGAAAAGGGCTGGAAGAAAATAACAAAATGTTTACAGTAATTACCTCTAAGAGGTAGATTATGGGTTTTTAAAATATTTTTCCTCATGTTTTTTTCATTTTCAGTTGTTTATGATGAGTATATAATACTTTTATAATCAGAAAAAATACTTTCAACATGTTTTTGAAGATTATGTGACACTGTAAAAAATGTTCAAAATATATTAAGTAGAAAACACAGAGTAAAAAAAAACTGTATGTACACTAAGATTCCTAGTTTCATGAATTCTGTGTTCTTTGGGTTTTTTTTAGAGTGAACATGAACTTTTTTTTTTTTTTTTGGAACAGTATTTCACTCTGTTGCCCTGGCTGGAGTAGAGTGGCACAATCATGGCTCACTGCAGCCTCAACCTCCAGGTCTCAGGTGATCCTCCTACCTCAGCCTCCCAAGTAGCTAGGACTCCAGGCACATGCCACTACACCCAGTTAATTTTTGTATTTTTTTGTAGAGACCAAGTTTCGCCCTGTTGCCCAGGCTAGTCTCAAACTCCTGGGCTCAAATGTTCCACCTGCCTCAGCCTCCCACAGTGCTGGGATTATAGGCAGGAGCCACCACGCCCAGTCGAACATGAACTTTTATAATCAAAACAATTAGACTTTAATCTTGTCTGTGTCACAATTAAAGTTGAGTCACCTGTGTAAGCCCTATTGCACAACTGCCTGCTTCTATTGAGGTCCCTTTGGTTGCAAGACTCGGAAACCCAACCAGCTTGGCTTAAGCCCAAAGGAGGGGTGAGGTAAGGGTTGTGACCTTCAGCAAACACAAATACAGGATGCCAGTTCAATTTGAATTTCAGATAAAGAACTAATAAATTTTTAGTATACACATGTCCCAAATATTGCACGGGGCATACTTGTATTATACCCTAATTGCAGCCTGCAACTTAATAACAAGTTAACAGTCATCACTTGGCAGCCTGACTCAGTTTCCCAGAGGCTGGCAACCAGCAGTGAAAAAGAATAAGGAGGACCTAAGTGGACTGGGAATGTATGTTGTGGCTTGTTAGGTAAAGTGTGATACGTTTTCATTTTTAGCTTGTATACCTGCATGTCCACAGAAAGTACTTATAAGAAATATGTTTAACATGCACTTTGGACTCTAAATATTGGTTATGTAAATTGAAGAATACGGGATTGAAGAGCTAGCAAAATCCTCTGACTTCACTTTTTATTTTATATATTTCTACATAGTATAAATTTTTTCATAATTTTAAAAACTAAGACATAATTTTTAAACTAATAACAGTTTTTTAGAGCACTTTTAGTTTACAGGAAAAACTGAGAAGAAAGTGCAGAGAGTTTCCATAGACCGTTGACCCTTGAACATGGGTTTGAATGTCATGGGCCCACTTCTAATTCGATCCCTTCTGCCTCTCCCACGCTCAAGACAGCAAAACCAACCCCTCCTCTTCCTGCTCCTCCTCAGCCTACTCAATGTGAAGACAATGAGGATGAAGACCTTTATGATGGTCCATTTCCACTTAATGAATAGTAAATATATTTTCGCTTCCTTATGATTTTCTTAGTAATATTTTCTTTTATCTAGCTTACTTTATTGTAAGAATACAGTATATAATACACATCACTTACAAAATATTTGTGAATTGACTATGTTCTCCATAAGGCTTCAGGTCAATGGTCAGGTATTAGCAGGTAAATTCTGAGGGAGTCAAAAGTTATATGTGTGGCTGGGCACAGTGGCTCACGCCTATAATCCCAGCACTTTGGGAGGCCAAGGGGGGTGGATCACCTGAGGTCAGGAGTTCAAGACCAGCCTGGCCAACATGGTGAAACCCCGTTCCTACTAAAAATACAAAAATTAGCTGGGCATGGTGGCGTGCAACTGTAATCCCAGCTACTTGGGAGGCTGAGGCAGGAGAATCGCTTGAACTCAGGAGGCGGAGGTTGCAGTGAGCTGAGACCTTGCCACTGCACTCCAGCCTAGGTGACAGAGCAAGACTTTTGAGCCAAGTACCGTCTCAAAAAAACAAAAAGTTATAGGTGGTTTTTCAACCACTCGGGGCTCAGCACCCTTAATCCCCGAGTTGTTCAAGGGTCAATTGTAATACATAAGTTTTTTAAAACTCCAAACCACCGAAATGCATTTACTAGACAAAACACTGTCAACTGTGTTTGTTTCCAAAATGGTAGCAGCAATCCATCCCCGACCCTCCCTCCATGCACACACGGCTCCTGCCACCACAAGGCAGCCTGTGTCTCCCCCTTTAATCTGGGCTGGCACAGCAACTTTCTTTGACCAAGAGATTGTGACCAAAATTACGTAACTACCCTATTTACGATGCCTATACCTATGCTTAACACTTACGCTTGTCATTTTTATGTACTGCCCATAATTTGTGGTATGAGTATGCACTGTCTTTTTACTTTAAAAAAGGTCATTACAGGCCGGGTGCAGTGGCTCACGCCTGTAATCCCAGCACTTTGGGAGGCTGAGGTGGGCAGATCACAAGGTCAAGAGATTGAGACCATCCTGGCCAACATGGTGAAACCCCATCTCTATTAAAAGTATAAAAATTAGCTGGGCATGGTGGCGGGCACCTGTAATCCCAGCTACTCAGGAGGCTGAGGCAGGAGAATCGCTTGAACCCGGGAGGCGGAGGTTGCAGTGAGCCAAGATCACACCATTGCACTCTAGCATGGGCGACAGAGCAAGACGCCGTCTCAAAAAAAAAAAAAAAAAAGGTCATTACAAAAAGATTTTATTTTAAAAAAATTTTTAAACAAAAGTTTAGAAAGTAGAAGGCACAAATCTCTCCTCCATCTTCTGGAACCATACTTCACAGTTAATCACTCTTATCAGTTCTGCTTTTTATTATTAAAACACATACACACACACACAAAGTGAAAAATAAGAGAGAGAGAGAAAAAAGTACATTCAGAGCAGAGTGAAACCAATTTCTTCCATAAAAAGTATACCTATCATACAAGCGCGCCTATGTTGGGAGACAATTCTTTATGGTCTCTCACAACGTGCACATCTTGCAAGTAAACACTTTTTTCCGGATTGTGTTTTCAAGGATGCTTGTACATGTTGAGTATCCCTTATCCAAAATGTTTGGTACCAGAATTATTTTGAATTTTGGATTTATTTATTTATCTATTTACTTATTTGAGATGAAGTCTCGCTCTGTTGCCCAGGCTGGAGTGCAGTGATACAATCTCAGCTCACTGCAACCACCACCTTCTCTTGCCTCAGCCTTCCGAGTAGCTGGGACTATAGGCGCGTGCCACCACATCTGGTTAATTTTTGTATTTTTAGTAGAGAGGGGTTTCACCGTGTTGGCCAGGCTGGTCTTGAACTCCTGACCTCATGTGATCTGCCCACCTAGGCCTCCCAAAGAGCTAGAATTACAGGCGTGAACCACCGCTTCCGGTGGATATATATTTTTTTAAATTTTGCAATAATTGCATTATACTTACCCAGTTGAGCATCCCAAAGCTGAAATTCCAAAATCTGAAATATCCCAATGAGCATTTTGAGTATTACCTTTGAGCGTCATGTTGGCACTCAAAAGTTTCAGATTTGGGAGCATTCTGGATTTCAGGTTTTTGGATTAGGGATGCTCAACCTGCACAGCAAGCATCCTTGGAGGGGAGAGTCTCTCTCTGTAGCTGAGGACAGATGTGCTCACTGCCCCATGTAGAAGACTTGCGTTCCCTCAGCTTGGGGTTCCGCTCCCGTAACACAGCCCCCTGCATGTGAGGTGTCTGACTCTAATGTCACCCTATTTTGTGAATACTCTGGCTATTGCTATTGCCTCTGTCTGTGACTCGGGGGTCTTCTGTCTTCTGCCAGCATCCCTGAAACTGAGTCAGGCTAACAAGTCACAACTGCTAACTTGTTAACAAGTTGCAGGCTGCAATTAGGGTAAAATCTCAGACCTTTCCTAATTCTTGATATTTTCATGAGTATGTTTCTTTAAGTCATTTTTAATCTACAAAATGTGGGTTTTCTCAGCTACACAGTTCCAACTACTGGCCTATCAGCCAAGTACTCTTGAGCATCTATTTATTCCCTGCCATGATTTTTCTCCACTTCTGATACACTCTCCCATTCTCAACAATCCTACAGGTTTCCCAAAACATACAGACAAAGACATACATTGCCTACAAAGACTTGATATCTTCAGGGTGAAAAATAAGCAGAGGCCACGTTCTAAGAATGAAAAAGCAGGCACTTCCCGAACAGCAGAGCCAAAGCACACGCGGCCAAGGAGCCCACTGGAAAGGGGAGATGAACAGGAAAACAATTTTGCATCCCAAGCTCAGGAGAATTTAACAATGCACTTCCACCCCTCCCCACACATGACAGTGGAAATGCTGGCATTAGATAATTCCAGAAAAGGGGCTGGGCGCAGTGACCCATGCCTGTAATCTCAACACTTTGGGAAGCTGAGGCAGGTGGACTGCTTTCAGTCAGAAGTTCAAGACCAGCCTGACCAACATGGTGAAACCCCATCTCTACTAAAAATACAAAAAAATAGCCAGGCATGGTGGTGCGCACCTGTAATCCCAGCTACTCAGGAGGCTGAGGCAGGAGAATCCACCCTGGAGGTGGAGGTTGCAGTGAGCCAAGATCACCCCACTGCACTCCAGCCTGGGCAACGTGACAGAGCAACACTCAGTCTCAAGAAGTAAAAAAAAAGATAATTCCAGAAAAGGAAAGTCAATCTGCTCCACAGACTTTGCAGACAGTGCTGAGGTACGGGTGGATGGCATTTTCAGGGTTTATTAGCAGGCAACTTAAAGCAGAACTATCAGGGGTTTGCTCTGCATATCGTCTTCCAACTGGAAATAACGCCAAGATTTGCAGAATAATGCTCTCAGAGATCAAGGAAATGACCTTAGGAGGTAGCATGAGGAAGGCTGACTAGGAAAAAAAAAATGACCGACAGGGACAGTAAGCCTGGACACATACTCAGAAGTCCCTGAATTTCTGTCGGTCTACAGCTGGGATTGATTCTCACTGGCTGGGATGAAAACTGTGGCCCTGCCTGAAGGCTCAGGCACAGACAGAGTGGTCATTCTGATGCCGTGAAAGGAAGCAACGCGAAGGAGAATGACATACAGGAACTTACCCAATAGTAGGGCTGATGTTGTGGTCAAAGTGATCCTGGACAAATCGACACACGATGCTTGATTTCCCAACCCCAGTGTCCTAGGAAAGAATGAGGATACAACCGTGAAGATGAAGGGCGGCAACTCACAGGTTGTGAGGTTAACTGACCTCACAGATTACCAGAGGACACGACTGGCTATTTCTGGTTGATGAGACTGGGAGAGGGAGTGGGGGGATATTTTCTTCTATTTCTCACCAATATTTTCTATAATAAAATTGTATTGCTTTCACAGAAAGAAAAGAAGTATGGTAAAAATCAGTTTCAGAAACATGTCTGACATGTATACAATATTTAACCAAAAATGAACATGTTCACTATGGATGTATTTTCAGAAATTCTGAAATCTTGGGAGGGCTCTAGAGAAGAAGTACGTGAACATACCACATTGTTTGGGCAGAAACAGAATTCATTCTGTTCAAAACCTTGCATTCAAAAGACACGTAATCTGTTTCTCTAGGCATCACCCTTTAAGACCTATTAATTCTAGTTTCTATGTTTCTAGCATTTTCTCTGTAGAATCTGATGGTTGGGTAATAACTTCCAAATTTTGCTTAATTATATAATGGTCTTGTCTCAGTTCTTTCTCTCTTAAATAATTCTTTAAAGCTGATTATGACGAGGGTCCAATTACACACTGGAAATTCAATGCACGCATTTATATCCACTCCCTTCCAAAGCCCTTGTAAAGTGGTTTAAGAAATAAAAGACACAAATTCACAAAGTCAAAGAGATAGGAGAAGAGACAACACCAGACAAGTGATATCAACAAAATCCAGGAGGACAAGCGGTCCCTGAGAATGAAGAAGCTGAAACCAAACTGCTGGCAGGGAGAGAAGCCAATAAAGAAGCAAGTCAATTCATGCCGCAGAACCTCAGGAAACATCAAGCAATGGAGGGCTGAAAACAGATCAGTTGAAAGGCCACACAACAACATACCCTTGGAGCCCCAGGCCACATAACCAGGGTCAGAGCTTTACTCTCCAGGAAGCCTGCATCGGACGGAGCTGGGCTTGGGGACATCAGGCACAGGTAAGGGAGGGGCCAGGTGCTGTTCACCCTAAGCTGGATAAGCCCACACAGAAGCAGTGAAGGCTCCCCTTTAGGTAGGAGAAAAAAAGCTCTAGAGTTCCCGATATTTGGGATCCCCTAACCAAAGGCCATGTGTGCAGCAGTTGACAAGCCCCAATACAAACAGAGCTTTCAACTTACATTTTTAACTTTTTCAATATAATCACTCACTAAGAAATACCTGACATTTATATGCTCCCCTCCACACACACACACACACAAAACAGCAGGATGTTATTTTAAAAGATCGTTGAGAATACAACCAACCTCTTAGAAATTTAAAATATGGCTAGGTGTAGTGGCTCACACCAGTAATCCTAGCACTTTGGGAGGCCAAAGCAGGATGAACACTTGAGGCCAGGAGTTCAAGGCCAGCCTGGGCAACATAGCAAGACCCCTGACTCTACAAAAAAATGTAAAAATTAGCCGGGTGTGGCGACATGGGCCTGTAGTCCCAGCTACTTGGGAGGCTGAGGCAGGAAGATGGCTTGAGCCCGGGAATTCAAGGGTGCAGTGAGCTATGATTGTGCCACTGCACTCAGCCTGGGTGACAGAGTGAGATTCTGTCTCAAAAAATATATATATTAAAAATATGATGGCAGAAATTAAAATTTCATGGAGGAGTTAGAAAATAAAGTCAGGAAGTTGCCCCAAAAGTAGAAGAAAGTAGAAAAAAGCATCTGCCCTCAATTGTTAATGGCTGCTGTTCTGAGACAGGCAGGAAGGGCAGAGGACACAGGACCCAAGGCTTTATCAACACCGATCGCCGTTGCCAACATGTTCCTACTGGAAGGATCGTGGAGGCGTTCTGAAAACTATACACAAAACGGGAACAAGTGATTTATCGAGAGAATGAAAAAATAGCTGATTCAGTTCTCTTACATTAAAGGTATAAATTTGAAAGCCAAAAGATCAAGGATGAAATGTTGAAATTCAGAGAAATGTGGTTTTCTTCAGACACTGAAATATGAAGTGGGATTTGAAATACCAGTTGGCAATCTGAATTATTTTTACTCCTTCTCAGCCCTGTGTTTGGGGGACAATTCCAGCAAACCTGGGGCAACAGGGGACTTGGCTTTTAATACTCATCAGAAAACCCCTCTCCAGAAGGTCTCGCCTCCCAAGGAGAGCAGCCTGCACTGACCCTGAGCCCTAACAAACACAGCACCAAAGCTGCTGTTTATCTGCATCGTGCAAATCGATGCACAGAGTTCAAAGAGGTGACGGCAGAATCAAAACATCAGCTCCTGAGATGCCAATTGATGCCGCTGCTATTTCTGAGCTGCACCTCAAGTATGGATTCTGGCTCATGTTCCCTCGCAGTCCCCCAAACCACAACTCTTTTCATCTCAGTTGTTCTTAAGACCCCCTGTGGAGGAGCAAATCCTTGCCAGACTGTAGCCCACGTAGCCCCCAAGAAACTGGACACTGAGGAACTGTGACAGCCTGCCCTGCCCTGCCCTTGAAGATTAGGAAATTGCCCCTTACAGCAGGCAGCACACTTTCATGAGGCCAGCTGATTCCTACAAACTGCCAAGGAGGCAGGGTGGGGACCTCTCCCCAACACCGACCACGCTCATTTCTACCTTTCTCCATCACAGTTTAGGAATTCTCCTTCTCAGGGCTATTCCATTCAATCGTTCATTCACTCATTCTTCACTCGCCCAACAGGCATTCCCCAAACCCTCCCTTTCCCATGCCAACAGCAGGCTAGACCCCATTGGCGGGGAGATACCATTCCACCCTCCCTGGCCTCCAGGAGTTCTTAAGCAGGGCCAGGCACACGGCAGGAGGACCAGCACACAGTGGTGATGGGGCTGCCCCACCTGTGGCCCCTCTGAGCTCAGGAGACAACTCCTCGATTTGCTCCTTTTTTTCATTCCTTGATACCCAGGCTTACCCTATCACCCAGTGACAAACCTCGCCTGGTTTCTGTGTGCCCCGGGGCCTTCCTCCTTAGGCTGCAGGTGCTTGCTCAGTTCCCTCACGTGCCCCTGGGGCACAGGGCTGAGGGTGCATCTTCTCGGTGGGGGCGCTGGTCTGAAAAGCACCCCTTTGGAATCTATCATTTACTCTCCCAAGGGATGTGCTCAAAACAATGGACACAAGTCTCAAAGCAGCCAACAAATCAATCCTGCAAGGCCAGCCCCAAAACGCCCTTGAAGGCGGAAAAGGGAAGAAGTCACTTGACAATGCTCAATGTTCAGCTTTACTCATCATCCTCTACAAAGGGCTCAAGCGTCAACGCCAACTTGTCTGAAGAGTTACAGCAGCAAGTCTGCTCAAATTTAGATATAAGCACTGATTTTTCAAACAACAAAGTCACTGTCTCTTTATTTTGAAACATTTTAACTCTCACCTCTTTTAGAATGCACTGTCAAATGTACATTCTTACACACTTGATAGGAAAGAAATAACAGGACGAAAGGATAGACAAAGTTTTAGTTTGTCTCAGAAAGGGAAACATTTCTGCAAAGAACACCACCATCGAATCCTCTCTGACCCGTGGCTTGGGACCGCTCAAGTGGATGCAGTTCCCGACCTCCAGGGGCGACTGCTGTTCCTCGGCTGGCCACCAGGGGCACACCCTACCCGCGGTTTGCTGAGGACAGGCCAGGAGCCAGGCTAAGGAGTCACTCCGCGCTGGGAATGCCCTTCCCCGCAGGAAACTCGCTAGGGCTGTGACACACACACAAGGAAAGTGCCAGGGTAATAGTGGCTGTCGCATGTGAAGACACAGAGGTAGGACTCAGAAAAGAGAATGAAGCCTACTGGGTGAAGAAGGAGCCTTGGAAGAGAGAGACAGGATCAGAGAGGCCTGTCTTTAGGGCCACACTGACGGAAACCCATCTATGTATATATTATTCCATTTCGTAAGATTCTGAGAATACCACAGGCCGTCTTGTCCAGTCCCCTCGTTTTGGTAAAGAGGAAACAGTGTGACTTCCTCAAGGTCACATAGCTGGTTGGTAGAGTCAGAACCAAACTCTTTTGAGTCCTAGTCAAAACCTCTTAAGGCTCTCACTAGGTTAAATCAACTTCCCTGCTAAGTGTACATTTTTCCTTTATTTTTTTAAGAGAGAGGGTCTTGCTCTGTCACCCAGGCTGGAATGCAGTGGTGCAATCATAGCTCACTGCAGCCTCGAACTCCTGAGCTCAAGTGATCCTCTCGCTTCAGCCTCTCCAGTAGCCGAGACTACAGGTGTGCACCGCCACACCCTGCTATTTTTAAATGTTAGGGGTTTTTTTGCAGAGACAAGGTCTTGCTATGTGGGGCAGGCTAACGCAAACTCCCAGGCTCAAATGATCCTCCGGCCTCAGCCTCCCAAAGTGCTGGGGTTATAGGCTTGAGTCACCACACTGGCCTAAATTTCTCAAAAAAAAAAAAAAAAAAAGTCAAATTTCTAGAACTCACAAGTACTTTACTAGTGCTTTCTGGTTTCACGTTGCATAGCTCAAGTTACTCATAGCCTGACAGGCTCTGAAGATAGCCGCTGCAGCCTTAACAGTAATGAAAGGGGCTCAAATTATTGACTGCCGGGGAGACATTAGAATAAACCCGATTCTGACTCCAGAACCTGAAATAAAGTACAGTAAAACCCTACCTGTGGGCCAGATAGTGTTTCATTGTATAATCATTTGTATAGTCGATATCAGAGACGTACTCATGCCCAGCAATTGGTTCCATCTACTTCCTGGGAAATGGATCCCTCATATGAGATTCCTCTCTGAGAACAACCACTTATTCTGAAATGACAACCCCTGCTGTTTGAATTGTCACACTTATTAATCACATGTAAATCTATAATTATGAAATCAGGAACCACAAAGTTTTGGCTGCTGCCACACAAAACGCTAGGCACCACCAATCTGTGAAAACCAAGCACTAACACTTGATTCATTCCTGGACTCCTGCAACGGCCTTCAAGCTTCCTATCCCTCCAGATTAAGAATGATACCTCCCACTACAAGGAGGAGCTGCTAACATTCCTTTTGAAACTATTCCAAACAATAGAAAAGAGGGACTCCTCCCTAACTCATTTTATGAGGCCAGCATCATCCTGATACCAAAACCTGGCAGAGACACAACAAAAAAAGAAAATTTCAGGCCCATATCCCTGATGAACACCAACGCAAAAATCCTCAATAAAATACTGGCAAACTGAATCCAGCAGCATGTCAAAAAGCTTATCCACCACAATCAAGTTGGCTTTATCCCCGGGACGCAAGGCTGGTTCAACATATGCAAATCAATAATCGTAATCCATCACATAAACAAAACCAATCACAAAAACTACATGACATGATTATCTCAATAGATGCAGAAAAGGCCTTTGATAAAATTCAACACGACTTCATGCTAAAAACTCTCAATAAACTAGGTATTGATGGAATGTATCTCAAAATAATAAGAGCTACTTATGACAAACCCACAGCCAGTATCACACTGAATGGGCAAAAGCTGGAAGCATTCCCTTTGAAAACCGGCACAAGGATGCCCTCTCTCACCACTCCTATTCAGCATAGTATTGGAAATTCTAGCCAGGGCAACCAGGCAAGAGAAAGAAAAAAAGGGTATTCAAATAGGAAAAGAAGAAGTCAAATTGTCTCTGTTTGCAGATGACATGATTGCATATTTAGAAAACCCCATTGTCTCAGCTCAAAAATCTCCTTAAGCTGATAAGCAACTTCAGCAAAGTCTCAGGATACAAAATCAATGTGCAAAAATCACAAGCATTTTTATACACCAATAATAGAGAGCCAAATCATGAATGAACTCCCATTCACAATTGCTGCAAAGAGAATAAAATGCCTAGAAATACAACTTACAAGGGATGTGAAGGACCTCTTCAAAGAGAACTACAAACCACCACTCAACGAAATAAGAGAGGACACATACAAATGGAAGAACATTCCATGCTCATGGATAGGAAGAATCAATATCGTGAAAATGGTCATACTGCCCAAAGTAATTTATAGATTCAATGCTATCCCCATCAAGCTACCAATGACTTTCTTCACAGAATTAGAAAAAATTACTTTGAATTTCATATGGAACAAAAAAAGAGCCCGTATAGCCAAGACAATCCTAAGCAAAAGGAACAAAGCTGGAGGCATCACGCTACCTGACTTCAAACTATACTACAAGTCTACAGTAACCAAAACAGCATGGTACTGGTATGAAAACAGATATATAGACCAATGGAACAGAACAGAGGCCCCAGAAATAATGCCATACATCTACAAACATCTGATCTTTGAAAAACCTTTGAAAAACAAGCAATGGGGAAAGGATTCCCTATTTAATAAATGGTGTTGGGAAAACTGGCTAGCCATATCCAGAAAACTGAAACTGGACCCCTTCCTTACACCTTATACAAAAGTTAACTCAAGATGGATTAAAGATTTAAACCTAAGACCTAAAACCCCAAAACCCTAGAAGAAACCTAGGCAATACCATTCAGGACATAGGCATGGGCAAAGACTTCATGACTAAAATACCAAAAGCGATGGCAACAAAAGCCAAAGTTGACAAATGAGAGCTAATTAAACTAAAGAGCTTCTGCACAGCAAAAGAAACTATCATCAGAGTGAACAGGCAACTTACAGAATGGGAGAAAAATTTTGCAATCTATCCATCTGACAAAGGGCTAATATCCAGAATCTACAAAGAACTTAAACAAACGTACAAGAAAAAAAAACCCCATCAAAAAGTGGGCAAAGGATATGAACAGACACTTCTCAAAAAAAGACATTTTTGTGGCCAAAAAACATATGGAAAAAAGTTCATTGTCACTGGTCATTAGAGAAATGCAAATCAAAACCACAATGAAATGCCATCTCACACCAGTTAGAATGGTGATCATTAAAAAGTCAGGAAACAACAGATGCTGAAGAGGATGTGGAGAAATAGGAATGCTTTTACACTGTTGGTGGGAGTGTAAGTTCAAACATTGTGGAAGACAGTGTGGCAATTCCTCAAGGATCTAGAGCCAGAAATACCATTTGATCCAGCAATCCCATGACTGGTTATATACACAAAGGATTATAAATCATTCTACTATAAAGACACATGCACACGTATGTTTATTGCAGCACTGTTCACAATAGCAAAGACTTGCCCATCAATGATAGACTTGATAAAGAAAATGTGGCACATGTACATCATGGAATACTATGAAGCCATAAAAAAGGATGAGTTCATGTCCTTTGCAGGGACACGGATGAAGCTGGAAACCATCATTCTCAGCAAACTAACACAGGAACAGAAAACCAAACACTGTATGTTCTCACTCATAAATGGGAGTTGAACAATGAGAACACATGGACACATGGAGGGGAGCATCACACACTGGGGCCTGTCAGGGGGCAGGGGGCTAGGGGAGGGATAGCATTAGGAGAAATACCTAATGTAGATGACGGATTGATGGGTGCAGCAAACCACCATGGCACGTGTATTCCTATGTAACAAATCTGCACGTTCTGCACATGTGTCCCAGAACTTAAAGTGTAATAATAATAATAAAAATAATAATTTTAAAAAAGAATGATACCTCCCAGGCAAATAGATCGCGACTACTTAATCCTGCTCTCATGGCAGACATCAGTAATCAATTCAAGACACATTATCTTATTGAACGTGAAAAGGGCCTTAAAATCTTTTCGACCCAGCCCTGCAGGGAATAATTGTGACTCGATCAAAGTGGGCACTGAGAAGAAAAGGCTGTCCTCTCTGGTCTCTCTTCACGACATCCACCATACTCCTACTGACTCCTTTACTACAAACTCACTAAGCACTGCTCCGCAGACTTTCAGAAATCTTCAGGTGGTGAGGTGTTTGAGTAAACTGGTAAGGGATATACATTGCTGATAACATTATAAATCAACATGATTCTTATGGACAGGAAATAACACTAACAAGACCCATCAACTCAGGGATTCCATTCCTCAGAATGTAGTTAAATAAGAAAAAAAACTAAGCACAAAAATTATGGCATACATGATAGTCTTTCAAACCTTGAGTGCATTCTTCTCAGAATGTTCAGAAAGAGAGAGAATATGATTTGCCTATAATGTACACTACAAAACTGACTCTGTGCATGACATCCCATTGGGGATCACTGATAATTCCAGCATCTCCTTCTGGTCTTGGAATCAGAGATAATCTGTATGAGAAGGATTTTTGCATTTATTTTTTGTATTCAGTCATCCATTTAGTTGAATGTTTAGACTTTAAGGCTTACATACTTCTTTTTGTTTGTTTTGGTTTGGGGTTTTGTTTGTTTGTTTTGAGACAAGATCTCACTCTGTCACCCAGGCTGGATTACAGTGGCACAACATCGGCTCACTGCAACCTACTCCTTCCAGGCTCAAGAAATCCTCCTGTCTCACCCTCCCAAGTAGCTAAGACTACAGGTGCACACCACCATGCTAGGCTAATTTTTTATTTTTATTTTGGTAGAGATGAGGTCTCACTATATTGCCCAGGCTGGTCTCAAACTCCTGGCCTCAAGCGATCCCCACCTCAGCCTCCCAAAGTGCTGAGATTACCGGTGTGAGCCATGCGCCCAGCCACATGCTTCTAAAACGTCTTCAGCATCTTCAGCATTGACAAGGAGTTAAGTTAGGGAATTCAGGAGGCCTGTACAGGGCAGCAGACCTTGTGGGCATAAAGAAATAACATAAAGAGAGAAACAGGCAGAAGTCTGCATGGTTAACAGTTTGGACTGTTCTGACTCCAAAGGTGACCAAAAGAAGTAAAGGTCCCATCAGGCACCTGGGACACCAGCATACACACCCCACCCGCCCGCCTCAGCCCACCCCGCCTGCCAGGCAGGTCCTTGTGTGGAGATGCCTGCAAGCGAAGGCAGTGCATAGTAATGAGGGCAGTGCCACGCTTGCCTGGCTCACCCACTCCGGGGGCAGATGGAGCTCGCAGATGCAGAGATGAGGTCACGCAGGAAGGCGCCTCCACATCTTGGAGCAGGAGGGTGCCTCAGCCCTGTCTGGAAAGAGTGAGAGCCCAGCTCCCGGGCCCTGGCCTTAGCAATCCAGGCCAGGGTTACTGGATGGCTACTCCTCCCCTTTCTACAGCCCCAAAACCAGGGTCAACTCAGAGCAGAAGACAAACGGGCTCAGGAAGCTCAATCCAGGAAGCACTGCACCTTCCCTTTTCGATTTCAAAGAAACCCCACAGAAATATGGCACAAATTCCATATTAACCCACAAAGCACTTTTTTGAAGCTTTGCCTAAGGGGAAGAGAATATACTCCTCCCACCCACTCTCCCCCACCCCCTACACCCGGCCCCCTACACTAGGTTTGTTACAAAGCAATCAACAGAAAACCCCAATCCTATATACCCAACAAGAGTCTCGGGTCCCCAAAGTGAAGTATTCTATCAGTTGGCTGGACCAAAGACTGGAGGTTAAAACAACGAACATCACTCCTCAAACTACCAGTGAACTCCCGGGAGAGCTCCAGTTCCTTCCTCACTTGAGTCTGTGTCTAGGCCTCCCTTTGTGTCAAAGAGATCGGAAGTACTTTGCACCTGGATCCCATTCCAGGGCTTATCAGATTACAGACTTACTGGGCCTGTTTGCTCTGGGCCCTAAATACTATGTTGGTGGTATGAAATAATTCCTCTGTACCTCAAGCACTTTTCACCAGAGGGACAATTATGCACTGAAGAGAAAAAGGTCTGATTTTTACACAGTAACCACTACCAAAAATAAGGTGCCATAAAAGCAGAAAACATTATCAAACTCAAGTCCATCCTGTGCTGTTGTTATTACCACCCATTCTATAAGATTCCTTTTGGGGTAGAGAGAGCAGATCTCACTCAAGCAGAGTAAATCTCAGTCTTCACACTCTGTTCTAGGAAAAACTGAGCTAGCAATGCAAGAAAATGCAACTCCAGGCCTGTTACTGTAGTGAGAAAACCATAACACAAAATTATTTGTGGAAAACACAGTATCAATAAAAAGCTCTGGGCAGCCGGGTGTGGTGGCTCGCACCTGTAATTCCCAGCACTTTGGGAGACCAAGGGGGTCAGATCATTTGAGGCCAGGAGTTCAAGACCAGCCTGGCCAACATGGCAAAACCCTGTCTCTACTAAAAATACAAAAATCAGACAGGCGTGGTGGCGAGAGCCTGTAATTCCAGCTACATGGGAGGCTGAGGCAAGAGAATTGCTTGAGCCCAGGAGGCGTAGGTTGCCGTGAGCCAAGATCGGCATTGCACTCCAGCCTGGGTAATGGAGCGAGACTCTGTCTCCAAAAAAAAAAGAAAGAAAGAAAGAAAGAAAAAGGTGGGTTCTGCACTGGGTCTGAGTCACTAGACTTCATTTTATCTATCTACCTCATGAGGGAAAATATTCCTTACAGAAGTAAATTTAAACTAATACATGGCATAAGTGAACTCAAGCATTTAGATTAATGCCCCGTGGACATTAATGAGCATAGCTTGGAAATGTCCACAGTTCCCTCCATGAAAGAATCAGAAGCCCACATACAGAGAATAAGGTGCCACATTTAAGATACAAAAAAATGGCCAGGAGAGATGTAAAACATCCTACCAGAGAATACGAAAAAATAAGCGGAAAGGAAGGGCATGGAAGCCACAAAAACAAGATGATTCGATGGTGCAAATGGGAGCCCGTGTACCCATGTTCACACACTTATCTCACTTGGTCCTCACAGCAGCCCTTTGTCAAGGGGAGGAGAGATGGCTTCATCCTCAATTCCCGCATAAGGAAAACATGGATTCTCCCAGTGGGCCTGTAACTAGTAAGGGCAGAGTCAAGACTCAGATTTCCCATTCCCCATATCCAGTGCACTGTTCACCAGCCAAACCATCTCTCCAGGAGGCACGCACAAATGCATGCACGAATTCATCCACTGATTCACCGTACGTGCAGTCAGCAGTATGCAAGGACAGGGGATAAAAAGATTATGTCCTGATTCCTGCAGTGAGGACACTTACAAATGAGACTTAAACTTTACAAAGGAATCAAAGGCAGGAGGTTAGGGTGACAGTGACCGAACTAATTGTACAGGCAATCCCCACTCCATCAACTGGATTGCTGATGGCTGAGTTCCAAGTGAGCATTTGTTGGCTACGCATGTGAAACTAAAATATGCGTTTTTCCATTGAACTGATGCTGTAAATAAAGAATGATTATTTCCTAAGCTTGCTGCTGAGCTACAGCACTCTACAGTGGACACCCACATTCACTGACAACATTGTTTCCATAGGAAAACTTACTCTAATTTCATATCAGATTTCAACCAGTGTGACCCCAACTCCAGGCCTTTAGTAGAAGCAGAAGCTCCAGGACTGTAAGAGCTTTGGTGAACAAAAGGCCTAGTGGATTTGGACTCTCATAAAACTGCCATCAGTGTAAATCTTCCACAGGAGCAAAGATGAGCAAAATAATAATATTGATGATGAGAAAAGCTGACATTTACTAACAATATAAAAAGTTCTAGGCACCAAGCTAAGCACTTCCTATGGAAAAGTATCAGCTATTATCTGATCTAACAATATTAGATATTGTTTCTGCTCCATTAAGTCTCTTCTATCCTACTGGAACTCCAATTATGCCTACGTTAAACTTTTTCACCATATATATATATATATATATATAATTTTTTTCTTTATTTTCTATCTCTCTGAGTTTCTCTGAATTTGGAGATTTTCTTCCAGTTCTTTCTACAGATGTATCATATATGATAACCCTATTTATTCATTTCCTAATATCAATTATTATAGTTTTCAGTTATAAATGTTTCGTTTTATTCCTTTCCTAGTTTTCGATTCCTTGATGAATTTTTAAATCTTGATTTTTATTTCCTTGAACATATTAAACATTCATCTTTTAAAGTCCATGTCTGATAATCTCATTCCTTAGATTCTCTGTGGGTCTGCTTCTATTGTCTGTTGAAAGGTTTTCATTTGAGTTGCCCTGTCTCCTCATCTCTCTGATCATGTTTGATTAGGCCTTAGCGTAAGTTTAAAGGAAGAAATTAAAGCAACTCGTCCAAGGACACATGTTACGGCCAGGACACTTTCCAGATCTTTTCAGACTCTGAGATGAAGGTTTAAAAAGAACAGATGGTCTCGGTGCCGGGACATCATCCACCCTAAAGAAACTGTTCCTAATAAGAAAATATTTGTAATATTTAAAAACACTGTCCCTTTCTGCTATTGTTAAATTTATTTTTCTCTCATTCTCGCAGAGCTGGCCTATCTGGTGGATTCCCAAGTTCAGCAATCTTTCAGCCACTGAGCATTCTGGCCTCAATGGTGGCAGCTCCCCTACCCTGCTGGTGGCAAAGGAAACTCCTGTTGCTGAGTTCTAGGAAAGCCAGGGCCACTGACGTTATCAGGAGCAAAAAACCAAAGTGCCAGAGGCTCCATGTCTCCTCTAGCCCAGCTCTTAAGGAAGCCCGCACCACCACTCTCTCCTCCTCCCCTACTCTTCAGATCAGTTAAAGAAGGAAGACGACTTTTAAATGGGGAAGAAGAGCAAGTTCCATAACTCCTTCAGTTCCGTTTTTCTTATAATAGCCCCACAGCTTCTTGGCATTTCCAGAGAGCAGTTTGTCCCGATGTACAAACTCTGTGCAGCTAAGCAGAAATAGAGAATGTGGCCTTAACTGTAAAAAAAAATAATAATTACCACAGTTTCTTACTTAAATCATACTTCCTATCCAAGGAAGCACCTGTCTTTTTGCCACCTTTCTTCACAAGCAACACATGTGTGAGCTCCTCACTGGGCAAGATGGGTCACTGATGAGTGATACAGGCACCCACCTCCTGGAGGGAGCATTCGCAGATCATATGGAATAACCTGGCTTACCAAGCAAGGCACCACGCTCCAAACTTTGGATTTTTTATTGCTACATTCTGCAATTTTTTACAAGACAATCTTTACTGTTCCTGAGTTGCATGTCTAGCAAAAAAGGATGAAGAATCATGACAATTGCAGTAGGCAGCTTCTAAAATGGCTCCCAATAATCCCCGCCTCCCAGTATTCACTCCCATATGGACTGGACCCAATGACTTGCTCCTAAGAAATGGAATGCAGCAAAAGTGGCAGATGTCACTTCCAAGGGGGAGGTTATAAAAGGTACTGGTGGCCGGGCATGGTGGCTCATACGTGTAATCCTAGCACTTTGGGAGGCCGAGGCAGGTGGATCACCTGAGCTCAGGAGTTTGAGACAACCCTGGCCAACATGGTGAAACCCCATCTCTACTAAAAATATTAAAAATTAGCCAGGCATGGTGGTGTGCACCTGTAATCCCAGCTACTTGGGAGGCTGAGGCACGAGAATCGTTTGAACCCGAAGGCAGAGGTTGCAGTGAGCCAAGATCACACCACTGCACTCCAGCCTGGGCAACAGAGCAAGACTCTGTCTTAAATAAATAAATAAATAAACAAATGAAAGATGCTTGCGACCCTCTTTTTTCATACTCCCTCTCTCCCTTTTGCCTGCTTGCTCTTGCAAGCTGCCATGCATGAAGAGGACGCAAGGCAGGGAACTGAGAGAGGCCTCAGGGCACATATACAACAGGCCACCAGGAACTGCATCCTGGTGACAACCACCAAGGGAGCCTGAAAGCAGACCCTGCCCCGGTTCCATCATGAGATGACTGCAGGCCCAGCTAACACCTGTTGTAGTGTTGTAAGAGATCCCCCAGCCCGAGGACCTACTAAGCCATGCCCAATTCCTGACCCACAAAACCCGTGACATAATCAGTGCATGTTGTTTTAAGCTGTTAGGTTTGGGGACAACAGCAATGGGCAACTAATACAGACATAATGGAGGGCATTTAGTAAGCACTGACTCTCCAGGCTTGTTACAGGTTTAATCTTTCAACAACCCTAATGAAGTAGGGTTATCCTCATTTTGCAAATCAGGACATTAAGGTTTAAGGTAGGTCAGCAGTGTGAGGGGTTGATGAGAGCAAAGTTTTATAGGATTATGAGGTTCTGCTCTGCGAGTACTGATTCTGAATATTCCAATATTCCTACAGGAGTCTACTCTCTGGGCTGTAAGAAAGGAAAGATATTACATTGCTTTAACTGACAAAACCTATTTAGAGTGATTTAAACAATAGCGATAAAGCTGCCATCAGCAAATGAAGTTAGCATGGCTACAGAGCTACCATGAAATGCAGTCATTCCATCTAAGAGTAAATCTCTAGGGAAGATATCACAGCATCCAAGATCAGAAAGAAGAGAATTGGGGATTTCAGAACTTGCTTTTAGGATCTCATTATAGACATTTCAGAGTTGCTTTGAGTAGCCATTAAAACAGCTCCCTGTGAAGCGTTATGTCATTTTATTAAGTGCCTTTTCATCTCAGTAGAAAATCTCTCCTTCATTTGATATCCTTTCCACACACTGTGACTCAACAGGGAACCTAACACCAGGATGGGGCTGTTTCAGTTCCTCCCATCTCACCTCCCCATTCCACGCGTCCTTAGCGGGGGCCTTGGGAACTGTGACAAGACATGTTAGGCGAAACAGGATTGTTCTTCCACCCTGCAGATTGCCCACAGCCAGGATCCTTAGTCCTGGGACCCGACAGACAGAGGGAGAAGGGAAGCATGAACACCTCCCGGAGCTCACTGCCTCATCTCTCGGCTTTAAATAATCCTACTGACCCTTCTCATAAGATCATTCTATTTGAAATGCAGGGAAGACTAAATGAAAAAAGAATTTCTTTAAAAAGAGTGAAAAAAAATTGTTCTGAAGAACAGCTGATGGCCCAGCATGGTGGCTTCAGGTCTGTAATCCCAGCACTTTGGGAGGCTTACGTGGGAGGACTGCTTGAGCTCAGAAGTTCAAGACCAGCCTGCACTACATGGCAAGACCTTGTCTCTACAAAAAATAAAAAATTAGCTGGGCATGGTGGTGCACACCTGTAGTCCCAGCTACTTGGGAGGCTTGGGTAGGAGGATCGCTTGAGGCTGGGAGGTCGAGGCTGCAGTGAGCTGTGATTGTGCCATTACACTCCAGCCTGGGTGACAGAGTGAGACCTTATCTCAAAAACAAAAACAAAAACAAAAACAAAAAGAAAAGAAAGAGAAGCTCATTTCATTAAACGAATTCTAAAGCACCAGAGAAAATGTGGAAGATGCATATCTTTAACCCAGGTTAAAAAAATAAAATTAAAATAATCTTTTTCAAAAAAATGGAAATGTGGAATAGCAAAGCCTTCAACGCAAGGCAAGAAACAGGGACCATTTACCCACCCTCACACTTCCCGAGAACGTGCTCACGGGGACCACCTTAGTCTGGTGCCCCCTTTTCTCACCATGTTGTCCCCTCTGAAGTGGACACAATCCTGATAACTCATGCATCATCTGTCAGAGCCCCCAGCACCCCAAGATCCTCTGTGGTGCTTTCCCCTTATAAAAACTTGATGTCACTGACACTATTTCTACCACCATAGAGAGGCAAAATTAAACTTTCCATTCAAGTTGAGAGGCCCGACCATGTATGGAAACAGGTCTCGGGATAGCCTTGCCCTTTTCACCCCTCCTGTCTCTCTGTCTTGACCTCCGGCAAGCATATACCTTGTTGGTCCTCATCACCACACCTCTGGGATGAGGCTTAGAAACAGATCACAGACCTCAGGCATCCAATATCCCCCTAAATCATATGGAAACCTTTGTGAGCAGGTAATTTTTTTTTTTGGTGAGAGGGTCCCTCATGAGATTCGCAAAGCAATCTATGACCTAAATAGTTTTAAGATCTACTAGATAGGACAGGTGCTGTGGCTCACGCTTATAATCCCAACACTTCGGGAGGCTGAGGTGGGAGGTTTACTTGAAGCCAGGAGTTTGAGAACAGCCTGGACAACATAGCGAGACACTGTCTTTATGAAAAATCAAAAAATTAGCCAGGCATGGTGGCATGTGCCTGGTGTCCAAGGTACATGGGAGGCTGAGACAGAAGGATTGCTTGAGCCCAGGAGGTTGAGGCTGCACTACACTCAAGCCTTAGTGACAGAGCAAGACCTTGTCTCAAAACAAAAACAAAAACAAAAAGACCCGCTGTATAGATAAATGTCCTCTAAGTGCCCTCCGCTCTACATAGCCGAGCCGCCATGTTTCAGGCCACCTTCCTCATGTCTGAACGTCTATTCCCAAGGCAGCCCTGGGTCCAAACCCTGGGAAGGACAAAGCTACTACTGCTTCTCCATCTCAAAGCCGCACACTGCTTGATCTCAAAGATTATCAATTCTGTCTAATCTTCTACTGCCCTACTTCCTGTCCCACCCAACAGAGCACGCTGGTTGAATTCTGCAGACGTCGTCAGTTACACTGTCTTGCGGTCCCAGCCACTGTGCTGCACTTTCAGAGCAAAGGCCTCGGCAGCGGTGGTCATTTTTGTAGTCACCCTTGCTTTTGTCCTCATGGGGAGATAGACAGGGGGATGGATGAAAGGTCATGCCACACTCGCACACAGCTGAGACTCAGAATCAGATGCACCAGACCATGTCTCACTTGTGTGACATTGGGAAGGGAAGCACATGGCTATTGCTGTAAGTCCCATGTGTCTACCCTCACAGGCTCCTGGTTCAGTGAGGAACACAGACAAGTAAACTGGGAAGTAGCATCGACTGTGACAAGTGCTGTGATGGGGATGCACAGGGACACCTGCCCGCATCTGACAATCAGGAAAGGCTTCATGGAGGCAGGGGCACTAAATCTGAAACCAAAAGGATGCACTAGCCCAGCAAAGAGACAGGCAGGACTGGTGAATGGAGAAGGGAAGAGGGGGGAGGAGAACACAAGCAGAGGCCACAGAGAAGGAAGGCTGTCCGAGTGAGTCAGCGTGGTCAGACATTTGGGGCTTTTCCCCCCAGGAGGCAAAGAAGCCAGCACCTCCCCATGAACATGTGGATGGAGGGGCCTGGGTTATGCTTTCCACTCCCCCATCCTGCTGATCCCACTCTGACTGGAATGAGCTGGTTCCGTGGTGAGCAGGTCATTTTGCAAACCGACTGCCAAAAGCCAAGGGAACTGAGAGGTCGAAGAAAGAGGCAACAAATCCAGTTTCTCAGAGAGCAACATTTAATGGGACGTATGAACAGGAGCCGCGTCTCGGGTGGCCCACAGGCGAAATGGGGGATCCCTGTGCTACCATCCCCAGGCCCAGGGCTTACGCACCACAGGGGGACAGTGTCCGTGCTTCAGAAGGGATGTGCGGAACAACTGCTTTACAGCAAGATTTACGGTAAGTACGATAACATCAAGGTTGTTTTGACCTAAGGACAAGATTTATGGTAAGTACATGCTCTTACACAAGGAAGAAGATGAAATAGAAATCTTAGAGGCATTGCCAGAACTGGAGTTAATCAGAAGCCGACATGATGGATTAGCATCCAGGATGGAGTCATCTTAGCCCTCCACAGGTGGCCTCAAAGAGGGCCTCTCGCCCTCTGCCCTAACCCAGTGGCTCTATCTCCCTACTTCTGACATTCCTGCACATTCCCCAAAGGGGATCTGAAGCACACACATGAACACACACATACATGCACATGCATACATGTGCACACACATGTCCACACAGCCCACAGAGACACTGTTACACAGACCCAGCATGCGGTGTCCTGGATCATCCTAGGTTCAACGTGGCTAAAGCTAGGAACACCACTCACTTCCCAGAAGCCCCTTCTCCATAGAGTTCTGGACTAGAGTTGACCAAAAAAGGAATCTGCAGGAAGTAAAGACTGGGCATTACTCTCTGAAGGTCTTTAGCACACAGAGATGACAAGGTTCCCAGCAGAGCCCCACTTGTCCCCACTCCTCTCTTCTGTGTCTGACTCTTCTCCCAACAGCGGTCCTCCCAATGTAGGGTGTAGAGGCAGGAGCTACGCAGAGCAGTGGCTGCCCGCAGGCACCTGCTCCATGTCCCCACTGCAGGCCGGCTTCCCTGCTGGGCACCTCTGGCTTCTCAGAGCTTCCTTGAGAGCCACAACCATCCACCATGCCGGGTGCTGCTGTTTTGAGATGTTTCTCTGATCTTCGGGCTCTGACTCCCAGGCATCCCCTTCCCCAGCCACCCACACTGGTATTAAGTGGGATTACTGTAATAAATTCCTTTTCCCATAACACTCAGAGTAGCTCTGCTTCCTGACTGAACGCCAACTCATACTGACATGCCCACCAAGGAGAAATAACCCAGAAACAAGAGAGGAATGAATGTACTGCAGGCTAAGACGTAAACTCTGGTAGGAGCATGTCAGCTAAACCCATAGTGCAGAAAGGCACCAATCAATCAGAACAGACTCCTAAACTTATACAACTGGAGCCAAGGGCACCATCAGTTACTTCGTTAGGGAGTTTGAACTTTGTTCTGAGGGCAATGGGAGCCAATGAGACCACACAGTGGTGGAATTTTAAGAGGACTGGAGGAAAGCAAAACTGGAAACAAAGGCCATTTAGGAGCTGTTCATTCATTTGCTGCATTTTTATTGAGCACCTACTACGTGCCAAGCATTATCATAGATGACAGTGGCCTGATTTAAAGTACCAGAGTCTATCGTATCAACACTAAGACTCCACAATGACAGCTTGGCTTACATTCCATGCTCACTTCTATAGAGCAGACAAAAGAAACAGTTCATAAATCCCAACCATAATAAATTTGAAAAGTCAGCATCCTCAGACCACTCACAAATATGAATTAATGCTCAAGGCTTTGCCGACTGCCAAGCCAAGGTCCTGTGCAATACAGTTAACTGCTGTAATCTCTTAATCAGGGCACTAGATTACAACAGATGTGATTTAATCAAATGAGATATATGCACACTTGCAAACTGTACAGAGAAGAGCAAGCAGTCAATACACTTCCACATTATTTATAAGCTGGGGATATTACAGTCTGCCCACAACTTACCTGCTTTCCTGACTCTACACTGTTCTAGTTAAATAATAATGGTTTTTGACTCATGATGTATTAGGAATTGTCTTATACTCATGAAGGTTAACTATATCAGGGTCTATACTTGATCGCACTGCATGAGGAAAGGAATGTGGAAGCAAGGGAGGGAGTACAGAGTTTGAGAAAACCCTAACTCCCTATCTACTGCATCCCCACAACTACCATGCTCACATGACCTTCTCATGGTTTAAAGCTTCTCCAATCATCCAGCACTTCTGCAAGTATTTAACAGACATTACAAAATATAAATAAAAGTCATCAATGAATTTCCAACTCAAGGGAAATTACTAAGCCCTCATCTTCAATCTATGCTCTTTGGAGAAAAATGCTAAAATATTACTCTTAGTTTAAGAAATTTTACCAGGAAACACAAGGCAGCCTAAACCACAGCTGCCAGAAGAATCCACGCCACATTGCAGCCTCTGAGCAGAGGGCAGCAAAAGCCCCCACTTCCTCTTCCATTGTCCAGGCCTCCTGAGGTCAGAGATGAGGCACGCTAGCATCTTTCATTCATTCAAAGGAGAGAGGGGGTGTGACGGCTGGGACTGACAATGAAAACAGAGACAGCCTCACATGTGGACAAACCTCCTGGTAACAACCTAAATCCATGTACTGCTGCCATGAGGCCATGGAAATTCAGTCTCTGGTTCCTGGACAGTGTCCTCAACTGTTCCCCAGCCCAAGAAGAGCTGAAGCTCAAAGAGGAGGGCAAGTGACTGCAGATCAGCTCCTTACTGCTATGCTGGATATCACAGCAATGAGCTAAAATTGACAGCGTGACATTAGTCCTCAAGTACAGCCTTAGCTTACCAAAAATGCCTCCAACTCCTCCAGCACAGAAAACTAATCTGAAACCTTGCTAGAGAGTACGAAGCTCCTGCTCACAGAGGGTAAGGCCAAGGGCACTGATGGGAACCTGGACTACAAAGCAGGCACATGTGGCCAGTTGGGTTGAAAATGCAGTAAAAAATGGTGACTAAGGGAAAAGTCAAGAGAAGGCAGTCACAGACATCAAGACAAAACGGAGCTAATGAGATTCCAAGTTCCACATCATGAATATCTATGAATTATTAAGACCACTAATCATGTTATTAGTAATGATGGTGATGATAGTTAACATTCTGTTAAGCTTTCCTGTATGCTAGACTCTTTTCATTTGCATCACCTCATTTAATCTTCAATCTAATTCTATGACAGACTTACTAGTGTGACGCCTTACAGTTGGGAAAACAGGCTGGGAAAACAGTTGGGAAAACCTGGTCTGTGCCTCAGAAACCCAAGCTGTAGACCTCCATACTGTACCTACTCCTGCCTCTTCACAAACACCATCTGGGCTTGCAATCCTGTGACAAGTGCCAGAGAGACAAGCAGGTATGGTAATGCCTTTATTCTTCCACTCACTAAACACATATTCCATGTCTAGGCCACACCAGGCACTGTGTTAGACATTGGAGATTCAACAGTACATACAGTTGTCCCTCGGTATCCTGGGGGCATTGGTTCCAGGACCTCTTGCAGATACCAAAATCTGAGAATGTTCAAGTCCTGATATAAAATGTTATAGTATTTGCATATAACCCATGCACATCCTCCTGTACACTTTAAATCATCTCTAGATTACTTATAATACCTATACAACATAAATGCTATGTAAATAGTTGTTATGCCATATTGTTTAAGGAATAATTACAAGAAAAAAGTCTGGGCTGGGTGCAGTGACTCACGCCTGTAATCTCAGCACTTTGGGAGGCCTAGGCAGGTGGATCACTTGAGGTCAGAAGTTCGAGAGCAGCCTGACCAACATGGTGAAACCCCGTCTCTACTAAAAATACAAAAATTAGCCGGGTGTGGTGGCGGGCACCTGTAATCCCAGCTACTCAGGAGGCTGAGGCAGGAGAATCTCTTGAACCCAGGAAGCAGAGGTTGCAGTGAGCCAAGATCGTGCCATTGCATTCCAGCCTGGGTGACAGAGTGAGACTCCATCTCAAAAAAAAGAGAAAAAAGTCTGTACTTGTTCAGTACAGACACAATTTTTTTCCCAGTATTTGAAATCCAAAGTTGTTAAGTCCACAAACATGGAACTCACAGATACTGAGGGCTGAGAGTACCTTATTGCATAAGCACGTAAGATGCACAAACAAGGACAAGATATAGTGCTAGACCTCAAGGTTTCAACAGGATGGAGTTTTGTTTTCAATTCCTCTTCATGACGCAGAGTGGCAGGAGCCCTGCACCCCTCCTGTCTTGGGTGGGACTACTTATGCCCAGTGGTGATGCACTTGGCACCGGATAGTTTTTCTCGGGCTTGGAAAAGATTCCTTACGCATGATACACTAGAACACGCCTTGCATCAGAAGTTCATGAGAAACTCAACAATGCCTTTTCTTCATCTTAACCTACCTATCTTTTAGGAATTACAGCTCGTAGAGCACAAACACGTTCATGGTTGTATTTGATCTTCTGATGACTCTGGGAGGTATCATCGTTCCCATTTTACACATTAAGAACTTGAGCCCCACCACAATTCACAGTCGCGCTACTTGTAGAAATGGGGTTAGAGCCAATTCCCATGCCTTCATCTCCTAGTACATACTTTCTTCATTGCTAAAAGACCTTCAAAAAAGCTTTACAGAATCCACACTGGACCAGGAGAGGCCTTCAAAAGCCAAGGAAGAAAAAAGCTCAGAGCCAAGGTATCTGTCTCCATCCATTTTCTGTTATTTATAGTACCTGAAACTGAGTAATTTATAAAGAAAAGTAATCTATTTCTTATGGCTACAGAGACTGAGAGTCCAAGGTTGAGGAGCTGCATCTGGTGAGGGCCTTCCTGCTGGTGAGGACTCTGTAGAGTCCCAAGGTGGAGCAGGGCATCACATGGCAAAGGGGATGAGTTAGCTCAGGTCTTTCTTTCTCCCCTTATAAAGCCATTAATGCCACTCCTGTGATAACCCATTAATCCCATTAATACCACTCCTGTCATGGATTAACCCATTCATGACAGTAGAGCCCTCATGACCCAATTACCTCCTACAGGCCCCACCTCTCAATATACTGGGAATTAAGTTTCAACGTGAGTTTTAGAGGGGACAAACATTCAAATCATAGCAGTATCACAAATAAAGCCATTCATTTCTTATAATTGAGCAACTTTGGTTAATTTTATATTAAAAATCATTTTATGCAAATAAGTATAGACAACTTAATAAGAATCCCACAGCACAGTCCCAGTCTTCTTTCTCATGATAATGTGAGAATATCAGTAAATGTTTGAAACATGAAATTCCACTGTACATATCTTAAGATCTATGGATATAAATCTCTTTAAGTTTTTTTGGAGTCAAGAAAGAAAATGTGTAGTATGTGTTTATCAAGATATGATCTGTGCCTTGTATGAACCACTGCATATTCCCACAGATATTCTGGATAAACATCCTATACGTAGTGTAGACATTCCATAAAGTAAAAGTCTCCAAACTTCTTTGATTGCACATCCCTAGTTGTAAAAGGGTTTGTGTGCATCCTCGAATATGTGTGTATTCATTTATAAATTGCGTACCTGTACTACTATACTAAAGTATCATAGAATATATAAAACATACAGAAATAGAAACTTTAGAAGAATGATGTTATATCAGTCAGGATCTGCTCAATACTGAGTCACCCAACACAGACGTCAATGGGATGCTGGAGCTGATGAAAGCTGCAGCTGCCCTCAGACCTCCAGGTTGCACAGTTTTGTCCATTTAAAGGGCCGAGCTGGGCCGGGCACGATGGCTCATGCCTGTAATCCCAGCACTTTGGGAGGCCGAGGCGGGCAGATCATCTGAGGTCATAAGTTCGAGACCAGCCTGGCCAACATGGCTAAACCTCGTCCCTACTAAAAATACAAAACTTAGCCGGGCGTGGTGGCAGGCACCTGTAATCCCAGCTACTCAGGAGGCTTAGACAGGAGAATCACTTGAACCCAGGAGGCACAGGTTGTAGTGAGCCAAGATCACACCACTGCACTCCAGCCTGGGCAACAGAGCAAGACTCCATCTCAAAAAAAAATAAATAAATAAAACAGCCAAGCTGGTGTCACAGACAGACATGTAATCAGTCAATGCAAGCACGGTGGAGAAAGGGCTCTCAGCATGTCCTTCCACGCAGAGGCTGGGAAACACACAGAAACAAAGCTGTATGAGTAGAGGCTGGAGGCAGCCTCTTTTACTCCCTACAGGAGAGTCAGCAAGGCGAGAGGAAGCTGGGTTGCAGAGAGGAGCTAAGCCAAGCAGCCAGAAGACAGCACTCTCAGGACTGCAAGGGATTCTAGTACAATCCCTGTCTTCCTGGGGCCCAGCTGTGTTCCTGCCTTTGGGTTGCAAGGGATGATGTTTTGCTCTGTTAACGGAACCTTGGGGTATGCTGTGACCCTCTGATGTTCTCTCATGGCTGGACAGCAGGCATCTAAAGCTTGACTCCCAAGAGGAATTGTCCCAAAGATTTTGTAGATGAGCCCTGGGCACGCCCCTTTCCATTTTGTCCCTTCACTTTGCCGTTACATCATTAAATGAACCACTTTTTTACGTGCACCAGCTCAAGTTTCTGCTACAAGTATTGTTTATATGTCTAACCATGACTTAATCATGTGCTGCTCTACCATTGCGGTTGGAGAGCAATACATCAAAAGAATGATGTCTCCTACCTAGAAATAAGTGGACATGCAGAGTCTGGGAAAGATTGCTGTGGCCCGATGTAAGGGCCTTGCCAACATCCAAGTCCTGCCTCTAGCCAAAGCACCAGGAGCACTCATTCAGCCAGTTATGCTCAGTGTATCAAATCTGCACCGCGGGCCAAGGTCATTGTTTAAAGGCACTGTTGCACATGCACTCAGCATTTCAGTTACAGAAAGCTGTGTGTATCCTCTAATCCATCAGAAAATGTTTGTTTTTACATTCTAGCTTTATAACTGACTGACTTTATTTTAAAAAGAAAAATGAACTTGCAGGGCTGAGGCAGGAGGATCACTTAGGCCCAGGAATTCAAGGCCAGCCTGGGCAACATAGCAAGACCTCATCACTACAAAAAATAAAAAATAAATAAATTAGACGGGCATGGTGGTGCATGCGTATAGTCCCAGCTACTCGGGAGTCTGAGGCAGGAGGACTGTTTGAGCCAGAAGTTCAAGGTTGCAGTGAGCTATGATCACACCGCTGCACTCCAGCCCGGGTGACCATGCGAGACTCTGTCTCAAAAAGACTAAAATTAAAAAACGAAAAAAGAAAAGAGGCATGAAAGAAAAATACATGTGCTAGGAAAGATGATGCCTCGTTCCAGGAGTGAAGTCATTCTGGTTTCCATCTGGACCCTTTGGTCTGTTCACGTTTTGACCCTGGGGAGCAACAGTACATTGCCCCCACTCCCCCGACACCCAGTTCTCTCTCAAGCAGGCAGGAAGATTGCAGTAGGATTGAGGCAACAAGGCCAAAAGTTTGCAGATGATAATTTGATCAGATGAACCAAAGGAAGTATGTTTCTTCACTTAGTGGTTTGGACAACTTCAGAGGTCAGGAAAAATATTGCAGACCTTCTCCGAACTCATAGCTTCAACTTCTGCTCTGCTGTGATCTGACTCTACAACCTCAGCACCTAATTTCAAACACTGGTTTCCTACCCATGAATCTGTTGTCTTATCCAAACTGGCACAAAGGCGCCTTTCCACAGTGCCCACCACACGTAAGAATGCACTGGCCAATCCGCCAGAGCAGTGCCCAGTTTTGCATGCAACTGCCGGCACCTCTCCCCCAGAAAAGGATTCATATATTTAAGAATGACTTCCCAGGGCCCCAGTGCATGCCAAGCCTGCATTTTTACAAGGCGGGATCCTTCTAGACGAATGTCCTTTTCTGCTAAATGGATCTAAATGGCAAACTGTATTGGCAGCGGCCAAGAACGCCAGGGTCAACCGGGACGCAGACAGCAGTATCCTGCTGTTTTGCTGACCTAAGGATAAAGGCAGCCCGAGTTTTCTATTACACTTCATCTTGATCCTAGATCCAAACCAGCTAGTTGTTTACACTCCCGCAAACCAGTTGCAGAAAGGCTGGCATCAGCGTGTTTCCCATTTCTTCCCTCTTCACAAAAGCCAGAACACAGATCCCGGTAGACAACCATCTCGCTGCCCACGCCTCCACAGAGTCACAAAATAGACTCACCCTGTACCTTTCGGCCTGTTCAAGGGAAGCCTGTTGGTTAGCTGCGGTTACAGCTACGTTTCAATCTGGAGCTGAGTTCAGGGAGATATGATGACACAGTGAGACAAAAAGAAAGAATGAATCAAAGGGCCCACTGGACGGAGGTCACGAGCTCAATTTTCTTGTCCCTGCTTTCATGCTGGGACCTGTTCACTTGTGGCAGGGCAACCCATAAAGCCTCAGTGTGCTGCTCTCTCATGTTGCATCCCAGAGGAACAACGAGGACTTTTCTCCCCTACAGGACAGAACCGTCTATAAAGACTTACTGTTGTGTGCAGTCCAAGCTATTAAAAGTATAGATTTTCTGTGCTCTGGACTAATATATCAAGAGCTAGTAGCCATTCATGGGAACAATTCTGCAAACCTCAATCATAACTGTTTCAGTCTTCTTGGTTCTTCCTTTTCTTTTCTAATTTAAGGAAGACAAAATCAAGAAAACCCAGTAAGGTAGAGCCCCTGGGAGACCGAAATGTGAAACGTAGGGCACACACACCTTAGGGAACTGGACCAGAAAACAGCAAAACATAGAAGCTATGTAAACTATAAATTACAATAAATCCCAGCTCTCCCACAAACTAACTGTGTAGAGGAGTAGAATTTTGTGTTGGTGAGAGCCTGGGCTCTGGAATCAGACACACAGAACTTAAATCTCTTCCTGGGTGTCCCTGCACTTCCGTTCCCTCCGCTCCCTCTGTTCCCTCTGTTCCCTCTGTTCCGTAAAATGGGGCAATGGTAGCACCTCCCTTAGAGGGCTGTGGTGAAGATTAACAATGACGACAATGTGTCCACAGCAGTTAGAACAGTGCTGGCACACAGCAAATGTTCAATAAGTGCTGATTATTATCGTGATGATGCAGCCACTTAAATGAATAAAGTACATCCTTAGGTGCTGATACGTGTGGAAAAGGCTTCAAGGTATATCAAGTGAAAAAAGCCATATGCAAATCTGTAATGATGCCTCTATTTTTTTAATTATGTCAGCATATGCACATAACCATAAAATGGTTCTTTGAAGAAAACAAACAGAAATCACAAGAATGCATTAACAGCAACTGTACTAAGTAGAGAAGCCTTCACTTTCCAGTCTGTACCTTTCTATACTATTTGAATCTTGTAATTCTATACATTTCTTATATTTATTTTTATTATTATTTTTTTTTGAGACAGAGTCTCGCTCTGTCGCCCAGGCTGGAGTGCAGTGGTGCAATCTCGGCTCACTGCAACCTCCACCTCCCGGGTTCAAGTGATTCTCTTGCCTCAGCCTCCCGAGTAGCTGGGATTACAGGCACATGCCACCACACCCAGCTAATTTTTGTATTTTTATTAAAGATGGGGTTTTACCATATTGGCCAGGCTGGTCTCGAACTCCTGAGCTCGTGATCCGCCCGCCTCGACTTCCCAAAGTGCTGGGATTACAGGCATGAGCCACCGCATCTGGTCCCCTTATATTTTTAAATATCAACAGATGTGATCTAAGTAGAGGAATTAGGATACAAATTTTACGTTCTTTAGGCTAATCTATATAAATGTAGCTTTTTTGTTTTTGAGACAGGGTCTTGCTCTGCCACCTAGGCTGGAGTGCAGTGGTGCAATCATGGCTTACTGTAGCCTCAACCTTCTGGGCTCAAGCGATCCTCCCACCTCAGCCTCCTGAGTAGCTGGGACTACCGGTCCATGCCACCATGCCTGGCTAATTATTATTATTTGGGGGTAGGGGGTAGAGATAGGGTCTCACTGTGTTGTCCAGGCTGGTCTCCAACTCCTGTGCTCAAGCGATCCTCCTGCTTCGGCCTCCCAAGGTGCTGAGATTACAGGCTTGAGCCACTGCACCCAGACAAATATAATGTTTTACACTAGTATTTTCTCCCTACACTGCTGTCCCTCAAAATTATCAAAAGTTAGAATGACCATCACCTAATCACCTCACCTTGCTTCTGCGAGATACGCCACCAGTAACTTGTAATTAATCAGAGTTAATGATGAGGTGGTATTCAGGAAACTCATCGAAATTGTGCATAATCCTGGGAGTTCCTGGGACTGTGTTTCCTGTGTGGATGCCGTTGACCGTAGGTGTTATATGTGCCATGTGTTTTCAGGGGGAGAATATTTAATACTGTTGATCTAAACCCTCTTCCTACTAGGAACTAATTACTCACATATAAACCATATCAATTTTTGTATGTGCTGAAATTCACATAGCATAAAATTCACCATTTTAAAGTGAACAACTCAGTGGCATTTAGTACATCCACAATGGTGGCAACCGCCACCCTTATCTAACTCCAAAACACTTTCTTCACCCCCAAATCACTCCATATTCATTAAGCAGTTATTCCCCATTGCCCCTTCTCCACCCCTGGCAATCACATATCTACTTAATCTCCATGTACTGACTTACTCTGCACAAGCCCTATGAAAGGAATCACACAATATGTGACCTTTTGTGTCTGGTTTCTCTCATTTAGTATAATGTTTTCAAGGTTCATCCACATTGTACCATGTGTCGGTAGTTTATTCATTTTTACAGCTGAATAATTTTTCATTGTATGTTTATATCACAATTTGCTCATCCATTCATCATAGACATTTGGGTTGCTTCCACCTTTTGGCTATTATGAATGTACAAGTATTTGAGTACCTCTTTTCAGTTCTTTGTGGCATATACCTAGGAGTAGAATTGCTGGGTCATATGGTAACTCTATGTTTAACTTTTTGAGGAATCACCAAAGCACTGTTTTCCACAGAGACTGGACCATTTTACAACCCCACCAGTGTTCCAATCTCTGCACATCCTCGCCAACATTTTTTTAAATAGCCATCCTAGTGGTTATAAAGTGATATTTTACTGTGGTTTTAATCTGCATTTACCTAATGACTAATGATGTTGAGCAGCTTTTTATGTGCTTCTTGGCCATCTGTATGTCTTCTCTGGAGAAGGTCTATTCAAATCCTTTGCTCATTGCTTAACTGAGTACTTTGTCTTTTTGTGTTGAATTGTAAAAGTACTTTATATCTGGATACCAGGCCCTTAACAGATATTTGATTTGTAAATATTTTCTCTCATTCTGTAGGCTGTCTTTTCACTTTCTTAATACTGTCCTTTGATGCACGTTTTTAATTTTGATGAGGTCCAATTTATGCATTTTCTTTTGTTACTTATGCTTTTGCTTTCATGTCTAAGAATCCATTGCCAAAAACAAAGTCATGGAGATTTCACTCTATGTTTTCCATTAGAAGTTTTACAGACTTAGCTCCTATATTTAGGTCATTGAGCATTTTGAATTGATTTTTGTATAAAGGGTATGCAAATGTGTAAGTAGGGATTAAACTTAAACATGTGGATATCTGGTTGTCCCAACACCATTGGTTGAACAGACTATTTTTTCCCTATTGACTGATCTTCGTACTCTTATTGAAAATCAGTCACCATAAATGTATGAATTTATTTCTGAAATCTCAATTCTATTTCCTTGGTCTGTATGGCTTATCTTTATGTCAGTACCACACTATTTTGATTACCATAATTTTGTAGTAAGTTTTGAAATCAGGAAGTGTTGAGTCCTTCAACTTTGTTCTTTATCAAGATTGTTTTGGCTATTTGGGGCCTCCTGCAATTCTGTATGTATTTGAGAGTCAGCATTTCCATTTCTGCAAGAAACACATTTGGAATTTTGATAGATATTGCATTGAATCTGTTGATCGCTTTGGGTAGTATTGCCATCTTACCCATAAGAAGTCTTCCAATCCATGAATAGGGATTTATTTCAATTTACTTATGTCTTCTTTGATTTCTTTCAGCAATGTGAAATGTTCTTTAGTTTTCATTGTATATGTTTTTCACCTCTTTGGTTAAATGTATTTGGTTAAATGTTATTCTTCTAAATGCTATTATAAATGGAATCATTTTGGTAATTTCAAATTGTTCACTGCTGGTGTAAAAACACACAACTTATTTTTGCATGTTTAACTTGTATCCTGTGACTTCACTGAATGTATTAGTTCCAGTAGTTGTTTTTTGTGAATTCTTTGAAATTTTCTATATCTAGGACCATATCACCTGCAACAGAGATAGTTTTACTTCTTTCTTCTCTATTCAGATGCCGTTTACTTCTTTTACATGCGTAATTGCTCTGGGTAAGACTTCCTATGTTGAACAGCCACGGTGAAAGTGGGCATCCTTGTCTTGTTCCTGATCTTTGAGGAAACGCTTTCAAGTCTTTTGCCATTGAACAGGATGCTAGCTGTGGGTTTTTCACAAATGTCCTTTAACATGTTCCCCTCTATCTCTAGTTTCCTGAGTGGTTTCATCATGAAAGAGTGTTGGAATGTGTCAATACTTTTTCAGCATCAATTGAAAGGATCAGGTGGTGTTTTTCCCTCTTTCTATTAATATGGTGTATTACATCGATCCGTTTTAGTATGTCAAACCACCCTTGCACTCCTGGGATAAACCCCATCTGGTCATGGTGTATAATCCTTTTAATATACTTCTGGGTTCAGTTTGCCAGTATTTCATTCAGGATTTTTGCTTCTATATTGTAAGGGATATTGGTCTATAGTGTTCTTGTAATATCTTTGTCAGGCTTCATCAGTATAATGCTGGCCTCATAAAATAAATTAGATGTATTCCCTCCTCTTCTATATTTGGAAGAGATTAAGAGCAACTGATGTTATGCTTCTTTAAATGTTTGGTAGAATTTACCAGTAGAGCGATCTGGTCCTGAGCCTTTCTTTTGGGAGGTTTTTGATTACTGATTCTCCTTACTTGTTTTAAGTCTATTCAGACTTTCTGTTTCTTCTTGAGACAGTTTGGTAGTTTTGTGTGTCTAGGAATTTGTCTAATTCTTCTAGGTTATCTAACCTGTTGGCTTACAAGTGATCATAGTATTCTCTTATAATCTTTTTCATTTCTGTAAGGTCAGTAGTAATGTCCCATTTTGTTTTTAATTTTAGTGATTTACTTCTTTTCTCTTTTTTTCTTAGTAATGTAGCTTAAGGTATGTTGATTTTGTTGATCTTCAAAGAACCAACTTTTGGTTTCACTGATTTTCCCTATTATTTTTCTATTCTCTATTTCATTTCTCTTCACTCTGTATTTCCTACAATTTGTAACTTTGAGTTTATTTTGCTCTTCTTCTTCTAGTTCCCTATGTTGTAAAATTGGGTTATTGATTTGAAGTCTTTCTCTTTTTTTAATGTAGGTGTTTATGGCTATAAGTTTCCCTCTGAGCACTGCTCTGAAGTTTTGGAATGTTGTGCTTTTGTCTTCATTCATCTCAAGGTAATTTCCAATTTCCATTGTAATTTCTTCTTTGACTATTGGTTGTTTATGAGTCTACACATTTTTACAATATTAAGAGAAAAACTTCCAATGTCTTAAGCCCTCAGGATTAATTCATTCTGCTTTTTGCATCCAAGTTCCTCTTGTTAGGGCCCATTCTTGTCACTGGTTAACCAGGAAGCACGGTGCCTTTGTTATTTTTAATAGGGACCATAAAATATTACGTTAAAAATAATAATCAAAGGTAAAATCAACTCTCATACAGATACAAAATGAACATGTCAAAGATTTTATTGACTTCACCATTAATTAGGGAATTAATAAGATGTTACAACCAGTTAAAAGGAGAAGTCAGAGAAGCATAAGTATATATGGAGTAAAGGAATGTTGAAATGAATTTACAAATACGAACTTTGCTTTTCCTACGGCTTGGAGGGGGTCATTTTAGCCATGCTAACAGACATTTTTGCATGTCTACAGGCAATAGTTATTTTGCATTGCTACCAATTACCTACAACTTACGGAGGTATGAAATGGATCAAAGGCTACAATCAGATACCTTGGAAGGGTATGCTCTACACAATGCATAGTTTTCCACTGGAAATACTCAGTAATGTTTTCTGCTAATTCCAAATTTCCTCCTACTATGACATGGAAAATAAAAAGAGAAAAACTAAAGGTGTGGATGAGAACAGAAATTCATGGAGGCAACTCCACCGCTAAATAAAAATGCAAACTAAAATGAGGAAAGATTAATGCACCCACTGTGCCCCATGATTAAAGCACCCACTGCGCCTACAGGGTCATATAGAGGAGGTAAGTGGAGCCTGGGACCACAGAAGATGGGTGAGGGGATGACAGTGAAGTGAGTCAGCTGCCCATCTTCCCAACAGGCACAGACCGCACCCGGGAGTCCACAGTTAGATCTGTCTGCAAACTGAGACCAACAATCAAAAGACAGAGGTCCTGGAGGTGCCAAAGGCAGACAAATAAACAGACTTGGCTGCAAGATGGCGAAACATGGTGCTGCGGTGGCTTCAGCCAAGGTCTCCCTGTGGCTTCCCAGAGGGTGGTGGTGACTCAGAGTGTGTCAGGGATGATTAACAACTGGTTTTGCATGTGGCCTGAGAACGCAGATCCCCTGAAGCCCTGGGGCAGGAAGCATATCCGGGAGGGCCGGACCCAGGAGCTTTCCCAAACCCACCCAGCGCCCAACTCCATGTCCATCTGGGAGCTGTGAGAGGGTGGCAGCTCAGGTGCTACCTCCCTAACCAACTAGCCCTCCAGTGAATCAACCCGCCAGGAAATCTAGAAAATAACAGTAACTTTAAATACTTTTCAGATAGGCACTATATAAACATTGAGGTATTATTATTTGAATTAAGGCAATACTTTATTTTCAAGGGATCAAGATGTTTATAATCCAGGTATTACACTATCTGTTTATTTTCAGTAACACACATATTGTTTTATAGCTTTCGAGTACATTTAAGTTATTTGTACATGTGTTAATCATTCTTCCTCAGGTGCTGGTCATGCCTATACAGGGAAGGTGACCAGACAGAACTGAAGAAATAAAAATCAAAAAATTCAAGGAAAATAAATTATTTCAAGCAAAACTATTTCAGTCAAAAGCAGGTCTAGGGGCTGAATTCTTAAAGCTTTGCCGCATGTCCTCATTTCCCTTGGTACAATGGCATTTCAGAGCCTGTTTACACTGCTTTCTAAATGGACAAGTCCAAACCATGTTTGCTACAGTCCGAGAACATCAACATGTTGAAAGACAGCTTTGGTTTTTTAAAATCCTACTGTATTTCATTTGCGACTTTGAAAAACATTCGTGCTTTAGTGGACTGGATTTTTTTTAAAAAGAAGAAGAAGGAAAAGAAGAAGGAAAAAGAGCCAAGTTGTGGCTCCACCCCTCTGCCACTTGCTGCCGTGAGCTTTCCTGTTCCATTTCGCTGGGGAAAAAGCACTCTGCACAGGTCAAGCCAAACTGTCCGGAGAAGGCGTCTGCACTGCTCATGAGTAAAAGAGAAGGATTTCATTCCCTTTCCTTCCCACATCAAAGAGGGCACTCAGGGAGGAAATAAACTGTAATTGGGCATGAGCCAGCAATCAGACAGCCCCCTTCCTCAGCCTTCCCCAACCCTGCCCCTCCAAAATAAAACAAATAGACATTATCCTCATCTACAACATTTATGAATAGAAACATCTTTTATTAGAAAACAAAAAGCCATGAAGAAGAAAACACGTAGAACGTCCCTAGCGTGGAAACAGGCCGAGCCAAGCAGCCCCCACACTCAGGCTGGCGCTGAGAACTGAGGCCCCTTCCTGTCGGCTTGAAGGGGACTTGCTATTCCTCTGTCTCATTAGCATGTCTTTGCTCTTCCGGACCATCCGCCCAGACAAATGGGAGGACTGTTCCTGCCAGGAACTTCCCTGAAGGCCCATCCACTCTTCAGTAGGAAGCAGTAGAAGTTTGCCCCTAGGAGTCTTTGAAGTCCTCGAAACCCTTGCTTGCTGTTTCCACCAACTCTGCGCTGCAATATCGCGATTCTTACCCAACCCTCACCAAGAGCCTGCTTTGAAAGACCGCCTTCAATCACAGTTGCAACTCTCAATCCAGTCTGACCTTGCCTTCCCACTTCGAGCCCTGCCAGTGCTTTGCCGGGTGGTCTTCCCCAAGACAACAGTGACAGTCAACTCAACTCTGTCTTCTCAACGGCCAGTGCTGGGAGGGCTGGGGACAGCGTGAGACAGGACAAAGGGCAGACAGCAGCAGCCCTATGACACCACAGGCCAGGCAGCCACTTTGGGAAGCCACTGACTCACATTTCCTGGCTCCCTCTGGGTCCCTGGGGACCCTGCCACACCAGGAAACCTGGATGAGGCAGTGGATGAGGGGTATGTCCCGCTCATAAAGCAGACAGAGGAACCGCATGGGAAGTGAGGCGAGCATTTCCAAATGAAATCTCCACCCTCAATGGCAGGCCTGGGTTCCTGTGAAAAGTCAACGGCCCCTGAGGGGGCTGCTGGAGCAGCAGGACAGCCTAGCAGTGGCCTCCACCCCTGCCCACAGCCCTGAGATCCAGCCGAGGGCTGCCATGGACATGTACGTGCTGCACACAGGCTGAGAGAGGCTGGCACTGGCGCAGGACAAGTGGTCCTGCTGGCCCCTTCCTCCCAGCACAGAAAGGACTTCCCACTGGACAGATGGTGCGTGGCTGGCAGGAAAGCTCCATCAGCTCTGACTCTGCAACTCCAGCCCTTGTGATCCATCCACGGTGGTATTGTCTTGGTCACTTAGCACTGACACCCAATTCTGAAGTTTGCCACAATCCAGGGGTGCCCAGAGCAGCTGCCTTTTTTTTTTTTTTTTTTTTTTTTTTTGAGACGGAGTTTTACTCTGTTGCCCAGGCTGGAGTGCAGTAGCGTTATCTCGGCTCACTGCAACCTCTGCCCCACCAGGTTCAAGCAATTCTCCTGCCTCAGCCTCCCTAGTAGCTGGGATTATAGGTGCCCGCCACCACACCTGGCTAATTTTTGTGCTTTTAGTGGAGACGGAGTTTCACCATGTTGGCCGGGCTGGTCTCGAACTCCTGACCTCAAGTGATCCGCCCACCTCGGCCTTCCAAAGTGCTGGGATTACAGGCGTGAGCCACCATGCTGGGCCTAGAGTGGCTGCCTATTACACTATGCAGCACACAATGCCCCAACAGGAGTCACCAGCCTCAATGCAGCCCCTGCCAGGGGTTTTCCCAAGTCCAGCATCTTACACAATAGGGTCTTGTTTTAAGAACCCAGAGGCCACTTACTACAAGCAAGGAAGGCATTGCAGTGTGCGCTGCTACTGCTGACATATCAAAGCCCCCTGGAGGCACCTCTGCCATTAGAGACCCCTGTGCAGCAACTTCCATATGTCATTTCCCAAGAAAACCTGTTTTTCTGTTTACCCCCTTTATTCTAGCATTGGTATGATGTGGACAGAAGATGTGTGAGCACAGTATGATCTGCTTCTGGGTAACATTAACCCACCAAAAGAATTTTTTTTTTTGAGACAGAGTCTTACTCTGTTGCCCAGGCTGGAGTGCAGTGGTGCAATCTTGGCTCACTGCAACCTCCACCTCCCAGATTCAAGCAATTCTCCTGCCTCAGCCTCCTGAGTAGCTGGGATTACAGGTGTGCGCCACCACGCCCAGCTAATTTTTGCATTTTTAGTAGAGACAGGGTTTCACCATGTTGCCAGGCTGGTCTCGAACTCCTGACCTCAAGTGATCCACCTTCCTCGGCCTCCCAAAGTGCTGGGATTACAGGCGAGAGCCACCACGTCCAGCCAAAATAATTTTAAATTTTGCATTTGGAGAAGTATAAATAACTTTACTGTAAAGAGGTGTCATCCTGATGCAATAATGCAAATTAAATCAGGCTCTGAGCAAATTAACTTGTTTCACTGGAAGCGTTAGGTAAGTAGATGATTTCTATGATTCATCCTATAGAGGAAGGAACAAAGGAACTTTTACTGAAAACTCATCATATGACTGGCATTATCCTGGATGTTCTCAAAATACTTGTTACAATGACTTTGTGAGACAGTTATCATTACCAGTGAATCGGAATGTCAGAGAGGCTCAACAGCCGAACTGAAGGCCACACAAACAGCAAGTGAGGGAGTCAGGATTCATCCATTAGGCTGGTCTAACTAGAATCATAGAGCTCCTCTCGTCACCCCAGGGTCTGAGGTCAGAATCAGCTCCAAGTTTGCAGATCAAAGCTCTAGCCAAGGAAGACACAACTGGCCTGGCAGTGTCCTCATTGGAAAATAAAAGATGCTTAGGAGAGAAACTGCTGGGGCTCTGTGATACTCACTCTCCCTTTCAACTATTAGAAAAAGAACCCTGAGTTTTAGCTGGGCCCCTGGTTACCCAGCTAACGATGACATTTTCCCATCTTCCTTGCAGTCAGGGGTGGCCATGTGACCAGGTGCTGGCACACAGGACAGGAGAGTATACAATGTGATGACCCCACAAGCCACCAAACAAGCCCTGAACCAGCCACCAGGAGGACTGAAAAAGCTGAAGTCACTATAATCTGGGATCTCCTGTTTCAGCAGCTTAGTCTGTATCCTCATCAATACAGTGTATCTAAGAAACTTAAAAACCTGTGCTTTACTCTCCATAGGCTAAGAATCATCCAGATAGTTTGTTTACTTTTTTTTTTTTTTTAGCACATTACATCTTCCTAAGCAGTAAATTCATCCTGCACCCTGAGTCTGAATTCTTACAAATTCTTTTTTTTGAGACAGAGTCTCCCTCTGTTGCCAAGACTGGAGTGCAGTGGCACAATCTCGGCCCACTGCAAGCTCTGCCTCCCAGGTTCACGCCATTCTCCTGCCTCAGCCTCCTGAGTAGCTGGGACTACAGGTGCTCGCCACCACACCCAGCTAATTTTTTATTTTTAGTAGAGACGGAGTTTCACCGTGTTAGTCAGGATGGTCTCGATCTCCTGACCTCATGATCCGCCTGCCTTGGCCTCCCAAAGTGCTGGGATTACGGGCGTAAGCCACCGTGCCTGGCCAAATTCTTAGAAATTCTAAGGCAATGAAATCCAAATTTACGAGATGTATTTATATAGTATGCAACTATATCATGCATTACAATCCATTTCTTTAAACTCATATTCTTTCCAGTGTTTTTATTTGGAACATGCCACCTGAGTAGAAAAACAAAATGTTTTTTCTCCTAGTCTACTCTCACAACACAAAATGCTTCTGTGACCAAATGTACAGGAGGTTTTCCCCACACACCAAGCAAGCCACTGATTCTTCAGCGGACACCAGCGTTCTCTAGTTCTCTGAGTGTTCTCTAGTTCAACTCAATTGTGAAGCTACCTACCTGGAGATAATGTCAGATCCCACAGCGGGAGGCTGAGTCCTACAAGGCTGCCTCCTCCTACTCCAGAGGCCTAGCACAAGGAGGAAGGTGTCCTGTGCTTCTGATTGATGGGCTGCAAATCAGGGTTCCCATGACCACTTCCTCAGGTTTGATTAATTTGCTAGAGTGGCTCACAGAACCCCGGGAAACACTTACTGACATTCACCAGTTTATTATAAAGGATGTTACACAGGATGCAGATGAAGAGACTTGTAGGGCAAGGCATGTGGGAAGGGGTGTGGGACTTCCATGCCCTCCCCAGTGTGCCCCTGCGCCGCCCTCCAGGAGCCTCCACATGTTCAGCTATCCAGAAGCTCTCCAAACTCACCCTTTTGGGTTTTTATGGAAACTTCATGACGTAGGCATGCCTGATTAAACCAATGGCCACTGGTGATCAACTCAACCTTCCGCCCCTTCCCTTCCCTGGAGGTCCCTTCCCTGGAGATTGGTGGTGGGGCTAAAAGTCCCAACCCTCCCATCTTGCCTTGGTCTTTCCTGTGACCAGCCCCATCCTAAAGCTACCTGGGGGCTGCCAGCTATCAGTCCATCATGAGCAGGCAAAAAATACTCTTTGCTCCAGAGATTCTAAGGGTTTTAGGAAACAGGGATGAAGACCAAATACACATTTCACAATATCCCACCACCCACCCCACAGTTAGCTCCTCGCCAGGGGGTCTGTCTGCCACACCGGTCTTGCAGTGGCCCAGGCGGCGTTAAGTCATTGGAACCAGGGCTGTGCTTGCACCGCTGCCTTCCATGATGCACTTGGCCTTCAGCTGCTGCATCCACGCTCACCCATTAAAGGCCCGTGGGGTTGCCACAGCAGCAAGCATCATTTAAATGCCGGCCGGCTGGCTGCCTGCCAGGACCACGTTGTTGGTAAGCCTGTCTTGTTGGTTAGCGTGGGGGGCAGACAAAACTCTCTTTATGACCATTCAGTAACAAGAGCTTTTAAAAGCAGAAGGGGGTGGGGTATCTGTTAGAACCCTCTGACCTATTTAGAGACCCCTGCTTGGTTTCCTTATGCTATGGACTATTTCAGCCCCTCCATGCATAACCAACCATCATTACTTGAGATTCTGTAATGGGCATAGGACAATTTGCTCTAGCCTGCAATTTTCTGCCGTCGTGACAACCTTTTACCAATCCAAGATTGATTCACTGTGACACCTGGTGCTAACCCATGACCAGAATAATAAACACAAGCAATTCACTGTGGCGACTCATTTCTGCAGAAGAGCCGCAGGAGAGGAGGACAGTCATCTGCTCGTTAGTGTAGCAGATAAGTAACTGCATTATTTCCCCGCCCAACACCAAGCAGTGTATGGAAAACAAATGGTTTCACAAAGGAAAAACAGCTTTATACTCTAAATATTGAATTGCAGATGCTCTATTATACCACCGACTCAGCCTCTACTACAATGTAAATATATTTATATTCTACATAACTATACATTTATATTACATATTTACATCATGTATGTTACATAAGGAAACAGTGTGTGGGTGTGGGGGTGTGTGTGTGTGTGCACGTGTCACCTGCTACAGAGGCATGGCTGGGGTGAATCTTAAATTAAAACAGATGGAATCGCCAGCTATGCTGACAAAAAAGACTGCTATAGAATTAAACTGACCTATGAAACTGTGCTTTTTGTGGTATCTGATTGGAATTTTTATGGGCTTGACCTTGTCGCAGGGGCAGAATCTGTCATCCATGGAAAGTCATAAAGCTGAGTCACCTTGGCACACTATTCAAAACTCATTAATCGATTCTCTGCTAGACACAGAAATCTATTGATCCATTTTTTAAATTGGTACATAAAACATTTATAAGTGCAAATACATAATAAATTTTAATAGCTATTTGAAAGAGATAATACATATTTGAAAACAAAAATAACGAGTCCTTGCCCCTACCACCCAATAACATCTGAAAACACTCACACCAAAAGCTTTTCAAATGACAGGGGCAAACTTGGAAATTTACCACAAAAGAGTACTGTGCTTTTAAAATAAATTAGCATCTTCTAATACGAATTACACAAAATTTACAAAGCCAAGTTTTTTTACCACCACAATCTGAAGGCTTTCTAGAAACTGTAGGCATAACCCACTTAAGACTTCTCTTGCTTTCGGCAAATCTTATTATTAATAAACATTTGCTGAATTGACTTTGGATATTTAATGGGATATTACACACTGAGCAAATAATTACAAAATACTCCCAAGAGGAATGCCATTATTCTGATGTACAGAGTTGTCAAGGGGTTTACAAATGAACCAAACCAAATTCACATACACTGGGAAATCTCAGCTTTGCCAATCAACAAATGAAAAAAAAAGGGAGGGGAGAGGGCAGGGGCTTCCCCACAGTCACCAGAGAAAGTCCCTGCACTCCAGCATCCAGTACCCTGAGCATCATCTGGGAGGGAGGCCCAACCAACTCTGGTCCTCAAAGGTCTGGACAGGGAATAAGATCAGCAGCAAAAGTGGGCAGCGCAATTCTAGGGCAACGGTTTTAGGTTTAGGATCTAAATGCTAGAATCAAAAGGAAATGTTTTCAGGCTAGGCATGGTGGTTCACATCTGTAATCCCATCACTTTGAGAAGCTGAGGGGAGAGGATCACTTGAGGCAAGTAGTTCAATACCAGTCTGGGCAACCTAGCAAGACCCTCTAAAAAAAATTTTTAATGAAAAATTAGCCAGGCATGGTGGTGTGCACCTGTGATCCCGGCTACTCAGGAGGCTCAGGCAGGAGGGTTGTGTGAGCCCAGGAGTTCCAGACCAGCCGGGGCAACCTAGTGAGACCCCATCGCTGCAAAAATTTTAAAAATTAGCCAGGCTTGGTGGTGCATGTCTGTAGTCCCACCTACTCAGGAGGATGAGGCAGGAGGATCCCTTGTACTCAGGAGTTCAAGACTGCGGTAAGCTATTATCTCACCATGGCACTCCAATCTGGCTGACAGCAAGACTCTGCTTAAAGAAAAACATGTTTTCATATTGGCAAAGAAGATGTTACTGATTTTCTACATCAAAATGATAATGAAAGAAAAATTCCCCTTTGCCCAAGCTGATCTCAAACTCCTGGGCTCAAGCGATCCTCCCACCTCAGCCTCCCAAGTAGCTGGGATTATGGGCATGCACAACTGTGCTCAGCTTGCCCGTTTTTAAAAGGAGAAATAGGTGCTCAATACCTTAAGAGACTTTGTAGAAATCTTCCTCTTTTGTCTGACATGCCATCCAGACTGAGGAAGAGCCGGAAACTTCAGGGCCACACGAGCCACGGCCATGGCCACATCACCGAGTGCGGAAGCACCGTGGAGGCTGTGGTAATGCAGGTGGTGTGCACCACCACAGGATCAACTTTGACAAATGTCACCCAGGTTATGTGGGAAAGCTGGTGTGAGGCATTACCACTTAAAGAGGAAACAGAGCTTCAGCCCAACTGTCAACTTTGACAAACTGTGGACTATGATCCGTGAGCAGACACAGGCAAATGCTGCTAAAAACAAGACTGAGGGCCGGGCATGGTGGCTCACACCTATAATCCCTACACTTTGGGAGGCCAGGGCAGGCGGATCACTTGAGGTCAGGAGTTCGAGACCAGCCTGGCTAACATGGTGAAACCACGTCTCTACTAAAAATACAAAACTTAGGCAGGCATGGTGGCAGGCGCCTATAATCCCAGCTACTTGAGAGGCTGAGACAGGAGAATCACTTGAACCCGGGAGGCAGAGGTTGCAGTGAGCCGAGATTGCACCACTGCACTCCAGCCTGGGCGACAGAGCGAGACTCCATCTCAAAAAAAAACAAAACAACAACAACGACGACAACAAAAAACCACCGCCACCACCAAGAGGCTCCTCCCATCACTGCTGTGGTGCAACTGGGCTACTATAAAGTTCTGGGAAAGGGAAAGCTCCCAAAGCAGTCTGTCATCATGAAGGCCCAATTCTGATGAGCTGAGAAGATTAAGAATGCTGGGGGGCCTGTGTGCTGGTGGCTTGCAGCCGCAGGGAAGGAGGTTCATTAAATGCTAAATACTTTTTAAAAACAAAACCAAACAAAAAGAAATGGATATGGAAAGAATAAAACCACACACAACTTGTCTCTCACCTGGCACACAGTGCTGAGGCGCCAGAGACTCGAGTCCTTCCCCACCCCACTGCTCCCCCGCAGGGGTGGCTCCTCGGGCCCCGCTTTGTTCATCGTATCCGGGATCCTTTCTGCACCCTGCCTGCCTCTCCTTTCTGCTGTTCCTCACCTTCACTAACAATTCACCCCTCCACACCTGCAGATAGGCTCCCCAGGCTGCCAGGCTTGGCTACAGTCATCCTCTCGGCTCACCCTTAGCTCACTCACAACTTAAACTCGCAAGGTTTTGCCCATGTTCTCCTCGTTAGGTATGTAACGCTTCCTGTCCGTGTTCAGGAAAGGCAGCGGGTGTGGTGGCTTCACAACACAATCGCTGGAGTCCATAGGCCAGGAGGTAAGCACAGGTCCTGCCACTTACTGGCTGCGGGGCCCTGAGCAAGTATTTAACTTCTCCAGGCTTCCATCTCAATTGCACAATAGTGACAGGAAGAGCAACACCTCACAGGGCTGTGACAGTGCAGGGAAGGAGTTCGTCCAGTGTCAGTATATAGAGTGCGATAGATACTAGCTCTTATGTACCTGAGGACCTGAGTGCATGACCTTAGTTTAGCCTTCCTCCCTCCCTCCCTCCCTCCCTCCTCCCCGCCACCCTGCCCCCCAGCTTCCATCTCACATAACTGGACACAGGCTCCTGACTACAGGGCATGCCTCTCCCATGTAACAGAACACATTTTCTCCCCTCTTTACATTTGTATTAATAGATACTCCCCTCTTTTCAGTTGGGAGGAATTTGACCCATGCCAGCAAAATTCACTTATTTTTACCAACCAAGCCCCCCCTCCCCAGTAACCATGCCTCCTATTTTTTTTCTAGTCTCTTCTTTCTAAGAGCTACTGCATCAAATTTCAAGGATCACTAGAAAACAACGGTACAATGTCTCTGAGGGAGTCTTGAGGGAAGGATGGGCAAGGGTTTGCAGGCAACGGAGAGGCTGGCTGCAGAAGGGCTGCAGGTGGTGTCTGAGCCCAAGAACCTCATCAACAGAGCAGGGAACCAAGGCCGTGGTCCCAGCAGTCTTGTCCACACCCACCTGTGGACCGAATCCTGGAGGGAACCAGAGCCCAGGAAAATGGAATGAGGCTTGGAGTTTGGATTGGGTCTCCAGGCACAGAATACGAATGAGAATTCTAGGCCGAGCTATTAAGCAGAATGAAGGAGAACCTGGGCTTCCAGAATGCCTGTGGACACTGAAGGGTGGGACAGCTCTGGGAACAGGAAGAGCCATCTTCCAGGACACCTGTCCCTGGTCAGCCTGGAAGCAAGCAATGCTGGAGCCACACTGCAGTCAGGGGTCGTCATTTTGTCCCTCAGAACATACACCATATATGCCACATCTGCACACGTCGGATGGTTCTAACCTGGTGGGAGGAGTGACTCCCTCACAGCTCACTGTTTGGGAAGAGGAAGGATCCAGGATCTAGGATCATTTCCAATATATTGCATGTTAAGCTCAATTTATTCCTAACTTATAGACTCACAATTCCCACTGAATTAGCAATTTCTGGATTAGCTCCAATGGAAGTGATCCCACTCAAACCAAAGTGGAAAAAATAAAGATTTATAGCATGGAAAACACCCAAGTGCTGTGCGCAGTGGAAACTGTCTAACTCGCCATTCTATTTGCTTGTTTTCTACCACTGATCCAAACACATCAGCATCCAGAGCCAGGTGCCACCTGGTGAAAGCTCAGCTCATCACCATTGCTTCCCTTAACCTACCCTCAAGTTTCATTCCTTTAAGCATCCTGCAGCAACCACCAAGTGAATTCAATATAGGTCATGCTCCAGGTTATTATGCTCAGTAAGATGAGCATTAGCACAGACGATGAAAACTCACAATACACTCAGCACCCAGCAAAACTCTTGTGTGTTTACAGTGGCTCAGTCAATACTGTTGCATGAGGAAAGCAATGCATTCAGACTCCAGCCCAGGGTGTTCACGGCACCCTGCAAAGTTCAGCGCCAACCAGCTGATTCCTTCAGGGAATTTTTAAATTTGTCTGAGATGCTGTCACTTTATCATGACAGTTAAGGGGAGAAGGAAAAAGAAGTCCTTGCAGTAGCACCAAGCACTAGGGAGAGGTTGGAGACACGGCTGTGGTGGAGAGCATGGGCTCTGGTGTCAGACAAGCCTGGGTACAAGTTCCAGGACCCACCTCACTGCATGCCCACACCTAACCCGCTAACAGGGCCGTTGTGAGGACCAGAGATTGTGAACAGAGCACTGAGCATGAACTAATGTCACCACAGGGTCTAATGTATTCCAGGGGAGGATTCTGCCCTCTGCTCACCTGGCTACAGCCCTGCCCTGCTGCAGTGGGTGCAGGACTTGGGCCTCTGGGGAGGTTTCTCTGGAGACAGAGCAGACCTAGGGCTCTGATGAAACCCCTGCCCCAGGGGCCCAGCCTCATCCGGTGACCGGCCCTCTCCTTGTTGCCTGCATGCGTGTGACTCCACGTCCCCCTGGACGAAGATGGTCTGGTACCTGCATAGGCAGAGCAGAGCCCATGCTGGATGAACCCAAGAGCTCTGAGGGCATTACTAGTGACTGGTGCCCCTGGGGAGAGGAGTGGCAGAGCTGAGGGAGACGGAGGCTGGGCATCGTTTCTCGCTGCTCATCCTGTGTGTCTTCTGCATTTTGTCCTCTGCGCATGTAAATATATAAAAGAGAAAGTGAATGAAAAATGCAAGCCTACCTTTGCAAATGTGTGCACATTAAAATTTGTCTGAGTTCAATTCCTATCTGTTTGGGTGAGGAGCTTATTATCATAGATAAAAAGCAAATTCAGGCCAGGCATGGTGGCTCATGCCTGTAATCCAGGCACTTTGGGAGCTGAGGCAGGCAGATCACTTGAGGCCAGGAGTTCGAGACCAGCCTGGCCAACATGGCAAAACCCTGTCTGTACTAAAAATACAAAAATCAGCTGGGCGTGGTGCCACACGCCTGTAATCCCAGCTACTCAGGAGGCTGAGGCAGGAGAATCGTGAACCCGGAAGGCAGAGGCTGCAGTGAGCCAAGATCACACCACTGCACTCCAGCCAGGGTGATAGAGCTAGACTCTGCCTCAAAAAAAAAAAAAAAAAAAGCAAATTCCCAGAAAGGTTCTCATCTTTACATCATCACACAGGAATCACCTTGTGAGATCCACTCAGAAAGGGCAGATTCCCTCCCATACAGTTGAATCACTGGTTACCCTCATGACCACTGGCAAAGCCAGCATGGATGAATCAACAGCAGAGAGAATTTTATGTCACCTTGCACAAGTTAATTTTCTAACATAACGATTCTCTCTTTTACTTTATTCTGTCCAAGCACCTGGTAGAGGTAATAAATTATTTAATGTCCAAAAAAACAGCAAAATGGAAGAAAAGACCAAGGGAAGCTTAGGGAAGACCTGACAATGCCAAGTGGTTAAACTGCCCCAAAAATAAAAGAGCCAGCTTGTAGCTGGGCACATATCTGTAGTCCCAACTACTCGGGAAGCTAAGGCGGGACGATCACTTGAGTCCAGGAGTTCGAGACCAGCCTGATCAACACAGTGAGAACCCCCATCTCAAAAACAAAAAACTGGCTTGATATGCAGCTATGTGAAACAGCAGATATGCTGTTAAGAAGACAGAAGCCAGATGGAGCAGAGAAAGAGCATTCACTCACCCTGTGGTTCTGACTTAGCATGTAGTGAGGCTCACATGGAACTCTCAAAACTCAAGAGTTGTTGGCTACAGATCCTGCACACTCAACTCATGGGAGACGATAAACACTGAGACCTCTTCCCTCTCTCCACCAGAACAGAGCTTAAATGCAGATGCTTTCCCCCAAACTCATCACATACCATATAGGAGGAAAGAGAGAGGCTTACGGAAATGAATGCCTGCCGCCCAGCCACCCTGTGCAGAACTTCCATCTCACTGGGCATCTCACATTGACAATACAGAATGTCCCAAGCACCAAACCCTTTGATATCTTCTCTGCTGTCACTTCACACACTTTGCATTAGGAGAATGCTGGTAATCAGGAAAGAGGATTTACATATAGCATTTCAGCTTCTCCACATGCAACTAATTCTGTAACCATGTTTTCAAAAATACAGTGAGGACCGGGTGTGGTGGCTCATGCCTATAATCCCAGCACTTTGGGAGGCCAACATGGGGGAACACATGAGGTCGGGGTACAAGACCAGCCTGGCTAACACGGTGAGACCCTGTCTCTACTAAAAAAAATACAAAAATTAGCTGGGCATGGTGGCACATGCCTGTAATTCCAGCTATTTGGGAGGCTGAGACGGGAGAATTGTCTGAGCCCGAGAGGCAGAGGCTGCAGTGAGCCAAGATCATGCCACTGCACTCCAGCCCGGGCAACAGAGCAAGACTCTGTGTCAAAAAAAAAAAAAAAAGATAAGGTGAGGCTCGAAGGACTTTGTAAAATACTAAGACACTAAATGCGTATTTTAAATTTGCCCATTAAGTTTTGGGCTGCGTAAGAAATTAGTAAAAAATATTTCCAAATAACATGCAGAAGTTGTTTTTAAACTTAAAATCTCATATTTTAGCTACACCCACAGCGATGCTATAGAGAGGAGCTGGATTTCGTTGTATCTGAATGGCTCAGATTATGTTCCTTCCAAAAAAGTTATTTTATGTACGATCATTTTTTATATGAAGCATATGAAAAATCACCCAGAATCTACCACGTATTTACCACATAGACAAATGTCCATCTTTAGATCTGTCATTCAACACCATGTTATTCTTTTTATGCAACAGAATGCAGTGTGTGAGAAGTACATCAAGAGAAGAGTAAAAAAACAACCAGGGGTAAATTCATAATTCGGACACTACTGGCTCTGATTTTTCTCAAATTCAGAAATTAATTAAAATTTTAATAGAACATAGAGTCCAAAAACAGACACACATACACATGGAAATCTCATTTATGACAAAGATAACATGTCAGACCAGTAGATAATGATTATGAATTAATCAATACATGGTATTAAAGCAACCAGCTAGGCATTTAGAGGGGGGTGGGGGAGGGGAGACTAAATCCCTAGCTGGTTCTTTATCCCAAAATCCACGTGCTCAAATAATTTAAAATGTAAAAAAGAAAATATGAAAGTACTAGGACAAAATATAGCTAAACACTTTTTTTTTTTTTTGAGACGGAGTCTCACTCTGTCCCCCAGGCTGGAGTGCACTGGCGTGATCTTGGCTCACTGCAAGCTCCCCCTCCCTGGTTTACGCCATTCTCCTGCCTCAGTCTCCTGAGTAGCTGGGACTACAGGTGCCCACCACCACGCCCGGCTAATTTTTTATATTTTTAGTACAGATGGGGTTTCACCATGTTAGACAGGATGGTCTCGATCTCCTCCCCTCGTGATCCGCCCGCCTCAGCCTTCCAAAGTGCTGGGATTACAGACATGAGCCATCGCGCTAAATACTTTTATAATATTAGAGTAGAGAAGGATTTTCTAAGCAAGACATAAAACATCAAAATCACAAAAGATTGATATAGTTAACTAAATGAAGATTTCTAAATATCGGTATGATTTTTTAAAAGACAGTAAACAGTGAAACATGAAACAACAAACTGAGGAAAAACATATGCAATACAAATAACAAAGAGTTTAGCTTCTTAATATACAAAGATTACTCACAAATCAGTAACAAAAACAACCCAGTTGAAAATGGGTAAACGATGTGAAGGGGCAGGTAACAGAAAAATATAGTCAGTCAATAAACAAATTTTTAAAATATCCATTGTCATTATAAAGAAATGCAAATTAAAATAGATTATCATTTTTAATCTATAATATTAGCAAAAATAAAAAAATTTATTATATTCATGGTTGGGTGGGGTGGCTCACGCCTGTAATCCCAGCACTTAGCGAAGCCAAGGAGGGGTGCATCACGTGAGGTCAGGAGTTCGAGACCAGCCTGGCCAACATGGTGAAACCCCATCTCTACTAAAAATACAAAAATTAGCCAGGTGTGGTGGCAAACACCTGTAATCCCAGCTACTCGGTAGGCTGAGGCATGAGAATCGCTAGAACCTGGGAGGCAGAGGTTGTAGTGAGCCAAGATTGTACCACTGCACTCCTGCCTAGGTGATGGAATGAGCCCCTGTCTCAAAACAAACAAACAAACAAACAAAAAATTAGGTTATATTTTGTGTTGTAAGGGTGTAGAAAATCATGTCATCAAACATTTAAAGGGAGTGTAAATTGGCGCAATATTTGAGGTTAATTTTGCAATATCTTTTTAGATATCAATCTCCTATTCTCTGACCCAACGTTCTATTTCTAGAAAATCCCACAAATACATTTCATTCACGTACATTAAGATTCAGGTACAAAGATTTTTATTGCAGAATTGTTTGTAAAGCCAAAAAATGAAAACTACCTCAACATTTATCATTAGGGCACCAGTTAAGTAAATCATGATATACTGTTGTGAGAGAACACTATGTGACTTTTAAAATAAGTGGGATTGCTCTATACATGGGGCCAAGGAATAATACTCAAGGTTTACCTTTAGAGGAAAAAGGCAAGAAAATGTTTGCATATGCATAGACCATAGCTTAAAAAATACACAAGAAATAGAAGACATTAGTAGAGAAAGGTGGTCTTTTTTACTTTTCATTTTATACCTATGTGTACCTTTTTTATTCTTTACAAGTATACATTAAGTTTAGTCATTAAAAACAACTTTAAAAAGACTGATCTATTTGCTAAGAGAGTAGATCTCAAAGTATTCTTACCACAAAAAAGATAACTATGTGAGATAATGAATGTGTTAATTAGCTTAACTGTGGTAATCATTTCATAATGTATACAATCAAAACATCATATTGCATACCTTAAAAGTGGACATTCAATTTTTACTTGTCAACTATACCTCAGTAAAGCTGGGGTAAGAGGAAAGACTGATCTTAGCAAAGATTTTCTTCATAGAAAGGTTTTGTTCATTAAAAATGGAAACAAGACATTTTTAATATTTGAGAGAACTGTTTTCAAACACCCTTGAGCACTTTAAAATGGCTTAATTATACACAATTAACATGCTTCTCAGGCCGGACACAGTGGTTCATGCCTATAATCCCAGCACTTTGGGAGGCCAAGGCAAAAGGATCCCTTGAGGCCAGGAGTTCGAGACCAGCCTCGACAACATAACGAGAACACTGTCTCTACAAAAAATTTAAAAATTAGCCAAGTGTGCTGGAGGACCTGTGGTCCCAGCTACTCAGGACACTGAGGTGGGAGGATTGTGTGAGCCTGCGAGTTTGAGGCTGCAGTAAGCTATGATCACACCACTGCACTCTAGCCTAGACGACAGAGAGAGACCCTGTCTCTAAACAAAACAAAGCAAAATAAAAGTAATATGCTTCTCATTTTAATCAATTTTACAAGGCCTCTGAAGACACTGCTTTCCAACCTTATTCACATCCCAGCAAACAGAGAAAGTGCTATTATCTACATAGCACCAGGGCATACGGGCCCACATGGCTACAGCTGGAAGAAGCCAAAGGGCCACAGCCTACCCAGCCCATCTCCCCAGGCCAGCATCCATGTCTCTGCACACTTGTGGCCCAATGGCAGCACATTCTGCCCCAGCCCTTTGGTCCTAAGAACGTCTATTAATGCCATCTTAGTATAAGTACCTAAAAAAAACAAAGATCCTACAGTAAGCATCTGCTACAACTTAAAAACAAGCAAAAATAAATGTTACAGTGTTAGAAGTCAAGACAACTAGTTACTTTTTTTTTAAGGTAATGCTTGGAAGGGGGAACAGGGTGGGCTTCTGGACAGCTGGTAACATTATTTCTTGACCCAGGTGTTTACATAGGTCTGTTCCATTTGTGAAAGTCCATCGTGCATTAAACTGAAGATTAGTGCACTTTGTATGTTATACTTCAATAAAAAATTTAGAGTATGTTATAAATTTAGTCGAATGAATGAAAATAATGATGTTCTACAGTATTCATTTAGTGAATTGAAAGCTATTACTCAGCACCTTTTACTTGCCAGACCCCGTAGCAAAGTATATAAAGAGAACAGCTCAGCCAGAGCTCCTCTTGTGGAAACAATCTACTTAAACTCCCTTAAGCCTTAAAGTTACGAGGATGTAAAACAGTCTGGGAGAAGAGGCTGCTAAGGTAATATCTTGAATATTACATGCCAGGCAAGGTTCCCCGTTAGAGGCATTATCTACGCAAACTGTCAGTATTTTGCAATGAGAAAAGTGAGCCCCAGAGATTACATGATTTGCCACAGCGAATACGTGCCCAAGTCCACCTGCTGCCAGGGCTCATCTGCCCTCCACTGTGCCACCCTGACAGCAGTGCTTGCACAGTGACCCAACAGCTGTAATAGCAGACCTGGGAACCTCTGATCTCTAACAGTCCCCTGCAGTCCAGCAGGTTGGCCTTCTGGATTGATCACATTTCACAAACTGACATTTCCTGAACCCAATTTATAGTGCTTAAAAAGTATCCTATGAGAAAGTAAAGGAAGAAAAGAACTGGAAATGGTTGCCTCCTGCACTGTGGAGCTGGGAACCCTGGAGCAGTCACACTGCCTGGCTTAGGGTCCACTTCCCACATGGCCTTTATGACATTGAGCAAAAACATTTCACATGGCTAAGCCTCTGTCCTTCACACCTGCAGATCGAAGACAAAAAGCCAACCACATAGAGTTATTTGAGGACTAAATGAAATAACATGAGGACAGTTCACTGTAAACTGTAAAGTGCTAAACAAATATATTGTTGTCGCTGCTGCTGTTGGTATTATTATAAACGCATTTGAGCCTTTTACTGCCATCAAGGTGAGACCATCTCTGATACTGGACTTTGCCTCTGCACATCTCATACATTCCCAGAAATGACAAACAGTTACCTGTAACTCCAAAGAACCTGACCAGGACCCTAACATTGTGGGAATTTGCATGTTTTCCTTCCACGGAAATGCTTCAAACCTGGTTCAAATTATTCAATAAAATTATTAAATTATGTTTTTAATACAAGACCCCTTATTTTTAAAAAGTCCATTCTATCAGACCAGTGGTGCTCTCCCTACTACATGCCAGTTTTGAACAAATAATTTGTAACATATAACAATAACAAAAATAACTGGTTTGTGGCACAGTTAAGTTATTATGTGCATTGGGATTTAGAATCATACAAAGCTAGTTCTATTGCTCGAAGCATCCTTTATTAGCAGTCAGTCCTTGAGCATGTTACTTAAATCCCTGTGCTGCAGTCTCTTCATTAGCAAGATAAAGATGAGAATAGAACTTGCCCTTATAAGCCTATTAATGTCATAATTTATGTAAAGCACTTATTCAGTAGGGTAGATTAAGGATGATCACAAATTCTTGCTATTCCTCCCATCAAGAGGTGGAGTCTAATTCTCCTCTCTTTGCTTCTGGGCTGAAGCAAAGCATTTACCTTGGTAAAATGCTTGATCAATAAAATGTGGTAGAAATGGCATTCTGGGATCTGTGAGGCTAGGTCAGAAGAAGTCTTTTAGCACCCACCTCCCAAGGCTCTGGAACACTTGCTGTGAACTCAACCAGCCACCATATGACAAGACTGGCCACCCTGAGACTCCATGCTATGAGGAAGCCCAAGCTACCCAGGTAGAGGGGCCACTTGGAGAGAGTTGCTTGATTAGCACCCAACCGACCCAGCCTGCCCGGTCCGCTCACCAGACAGGTAAGCAACAAAGCCTTCAGATAACTAACCACTGCTCATCTGAGCCCAGTCAACCTACAGAACTGTGAGAAATATTAACAAGTTGTTATTTGGAGCCACTGAGGTCAGGGTAGTTTGTTATGCGGCAATAGGTAGCAAACACTGAGCACAGTCCCTGGCACATGAGTTATACTCAGTACAAGTCTACGTGCTTAGGATTATGGGGCTATTACCTTTTTCAAACACTAGAACAATTACAAGCTCATCTGCATAATGACATCCTTCTTAATCAAAGGCATTCTGAAGCGCTTCCTTAAAAGAAAGGCGTGCATTCCAGGGCTATGTACCAATCCTTCTCAATCATTCCTGATGTTGCCGAGATTCACAGCAGAAGCAATTACAAATTATTATAGTGCCTGTGAGTCTACAATTACTGTTTTTCTTTCACCCACGGATATTTTTAATAAGGAAGAAGCCAAGGGCATATAAAGAAGGCACAAGTAGAGTGTAACTACTTTGTTCATAAGCACAAATAAGAATGTGCACATCTGGTTATTTGTGACACAACAGTTAAGATTAACAAGTCAGAAGCAAAGCGCTGATGCAAATGAAGTGTCCAGTCATGCAATTCTCATTAACAGTAGCAACATGTGTAAATCAGTACATTATGTGAAGTATCATTTCAATAATAATGTTTTTTTTTTGTTTTTTTTTTTTTTTTTGAGACGGAGTCTCGCTCTGTCGCCCAGGCTGGAGTGCAGTGGCGGGATCTCGGCTTACTGCAAGCTCCGCCTCCCGGGTTCACGCCATTCTCCTGCCTCAGCCTCCCAAGTAGCTGGGACTACAGGCGCCCGCCACTACGCCCGGCTAATTTTTTGTATTTTTAGTAGAGACGGGGTTTCACCGTTTTAGCCGGGATGGTCTCGATCTCCTGACCTTGTGATCTGCCCGCCTCGGCCTCCCAAAGTGAATAATGTTTTTTAAATACTTATATTTTGATTATACAATATTACACACTAGGTTCTTGCTATGCTTTAGATGTAGTCTGTTTGTCCCCACCAAAACTTGTGTTGAAATTTGATCACCAGTGTAATAGCGTTGGGAGGTGGGCCTCGCGGGAGGTGTTTGGGTTATAGGGATGGATCATTATGAATACACTTAATGCCGTTCCACTGGGGTGGGTGAGTTCTGACTCTAGCAGGAATGGATTAGTTCCAGAAACAATCGGTTGGTAAAGAGTCTGGCTTATTTGGTTTTGCTCTCTTGTATCCTCTCTCACCATGTGATCTCTTTGCACACACCCACTTCGCTTCCACTTTCTGCCATGAGTGGAAGCAGACTGAGGCCCTCACCAGATGCAGCTGCCCCGTCCTGGACTTTCCAGCCACCAGAATCGTGAGCCAATTTCTTTATATATTACCCAGTCGCAGGTGTTCTGTTACAAAACACAAAATGGACTAAGAAAATTGTCTTGCTAAGATTAATCTATGAAAAATAATATATATAACTCATCTTTTTAAATAGAGGTATTTTTAAAAATTTTTATTTGCCATATTTACTAACAATTCCCTAACAAATGAATTGTTTTGGAAGATCTTGAAATGACTGAGTTCATTATTCACATGCTCATAAAAATGCTTTTACAGGCCAGGCACGGTGGCTCACGCCTGTAATCCTAGCACTTTGGGAGGCTGAGGCAGGGAGATCACCTGAGGTCAGGAGTTTGAGACCAGCCTGGACAACATGGTGAAACCCCATCTCCACTAAAAACACAAAAATTAGCCGGGCATGGTGCCACACGCCTGTAATCCCAGCTACTCGGGAGGATGAGGCACAAGAATTGCTTGAACCCGGGAGGCAGAGGTTGCAGTGAGCCAAGACCACACCACTGCACTCCAGCCTGGGTGGCAGAACGAGACTTGGTCTCAAAAAAAAAATGCTTTTATGAACAAAACCTATTGCATTCTTTGCTTTATTTTGCAACACAGACTTCTGAGGTTTCAATAGTATCTGCATCTAGTCATGGGAGTAGCTAGGATTTGCAAGGTTGTCTATTAGTTGTGTCATACCAGAAAAAGTAGTAAAACTGTAGAGCTGAGGAATTGCATCTTGGCAGACACTGGCCATACCTGAGAACATACCTCCATCTTCCACCTGGTGGTGCCACAGGAATGCAGCCTTCCTTGTCCTTGTCCAGAGTCCTGCCAATACTGTGACACTTCGTAAGGGAACAGATCGGTTCCATCAGTCCCTGGATAATCACAGTGGTTAGAGCAGGGTTTCTCAGGCCCCTTTAAGACTCCACATACTTTCATAAGGGGAAAAACAATCTCATGGACCCTGAGGTAGTCATTAACTATTCCACTGTATAAATATACACAAATAATAAGGGTACACATAAACTGTGCTATTCTGAAACTACAAAATAGACACAGATACATTGATTAAATACAAATTAAACTATAAAGCCAACGACCTTCCACTTGACATTAGTTTCACATGATGAACAGTGTTGCTCCACTGTGGCTGGATTCCGAGGTACGCATCATGCACCATGTCATGGTTTAATTCCCTTGTGCTCCATACACAGTCCATCAGCAACGTTTGTCAGCTCTACCTTCAAAACACAGCTTACATGGGATCATGTGCACCACCTTGCTGCTACACTCTGGAAGTCACCACCGCTCCCATGTTCCTTCTGCATCCTCCTGTGGTCAGCCCTCACACAGCTGCCAGGGCAATCTCATAAAAGCTAAGTCAGATCATGTCCTTGCTCTGTACCAAAACCTTAGCAAGCTCTCTCACTTGATTCCAAGGAAATGCCAAAGTTCCTACACCAGCCCGCAAGACCGCGCCTGATCCAGCCCCAAACCTCCCTGACCTAACCCCCTTCTACACCCTCCTCTCCCTCCCTTCTCTTTCCTGCCCCAGTCACACTGCTCGCCTGCTGTTCCTCAGACTCACCAGGCACATCCACCCTGCTCCAGCCTCACAGACCTCTCTGTCTGGTGGCACACATGGCTGCCCTGAGTACTGTCTCTTTGATCTTCACTCAGATGCCTCCTTTCAGAAATGCCTTCTCAAGCCCCTACCTGAAACCACACTCCTCCCAACCAGCATGCCCAGGGCCCTTCCTCACTTTCCTTTTCTCCACAGCACCCCTCACCATCTGCCACACTCGGTATTTGTGCACCGCCTGTCACCCCTACTAGAATATCAGCTCCATGAGGTCAGGGACAGTCCATGTTGTTACCTGCTATTCCCCCAACCCCTAGAAACTGCCTGGTATACAGCAGGCACTCAGTAAACACCTGCTGCATGTGCTGCAGAATCACATGGTCTTCACATGGCCCCAGTTATTTCTTTTTTTTTTTTTTTAGATGGAGTCTCGCTCTGTCAGCCAGGTTGGAGTGCAGTGGCGCAATCTCAGCTCACTGCAACCTCCACCTCCCATGTTAAAACAATTCTCCTGCCTCAGCCTCCTGAGTAGCTGGGATTACAGGCATGCACCACCACACCCAGCTAATTTTTTATATTTTTTGGTAGAGACAGGGTTTCACCATGTTGGCCAGGCTGGTCTGGAACTCCTGACCTCAAGTGATCTGCCTGCCTTGGCCTCCCGAAGTGCTGGGATTACTACAGGCATGAGCCACTGTCCCCGGTCGACCCCAATTATTTGTATACTAACTCTACATCGGTTATTTTCTCCTTAGCCAGTATTAATGACGTTAACGTTGTCACACAGAATTCTGTGACAGGATGATGACCTGGAAGATACAGGATATACTTTTATTTATTTTTCAAATAACAGCACACAGAAAACAGATATGCCACACACAGAAAACCTGTAGAACCCTAAGACGGATAGACAGGCTCATAACTTTCCTAGACCCCATTTTGAGGAATAGGAAATCAGAGAATGGTGAAAAAGCCCAAATATCACCCCATGAAGAGGTCACCATTCCCCAAAAGGAGGTGGCTGCCCTCCCATGATGGACCACGGACCCCAGAGAACGACCTGCACAGGTGAAAGCACAGCACTACCTGCTAAGCCAAATCTGCATCCTGTTGATGCCAGACCTGTCATTTCACCGAAGCTATAAACTCAAACTGCAAGACCCCTTTATAATCGGACCTAGAGTCACTTTCCAATTTCATTACCAGTGTACCACTTATTTCCAGTAAGAACCAAATGGATCTCGCCCTGTCAAGCATCTCCTTGTCCCCTGCAACACATTTTGCAGGTTTTAACGAAATTACACAAAGTAATACATGCTCACTAAATAAACCAATACAGAGAAGCAAAAAAAAAAAAAAAGAGAAAATTACTTATAGGCCCAAATCTACCCCCCGCACCAGGCAGGTAACCACTCTGACACCGAATCTTGGGGAACCTTCTCCCTGTGTGTGTGTGTCTCATGTAAGTGAAGCCACTCCCACCGGCTCCCAGACACGCCCCCTCCGCACCTCACCTGACATCAGCCCTTCTTCTGGTTCATTAGCAGACACCACACGCTCTCCCTGGTCACCCCAAACTCCACCAGCCCTCACCTTCTGAACATCTGGCAACTAAGCATCTGGCGATATCCCACTGGGATGTCTGGTACTGTTACCTAACTTTTCCCATGTACGCCCTAGCAGGCCAAGGACATTGTTAGACTGTAAACCTCAAGGACAGAAACTACCGCATAGCACCCATGTAATACAACTTTGATAACTAAAGATTTCAGGCTGGGTGTGGTGGCTCACGCCTGTAATCCTAGCACTTTGGGAGGTCGAGGCGGGTGGATCACTTGAAGTCAGGAGTTCGAGACCAGCCTGGCCAACATGGCGAAACCCCATCTCTACTAAAAATAGAAAAATTAGCCGGGCATGGTGGTGCATGCGTGTAATTCCAACTACTTGGGAGGCTGAGGCAGGAGAATTGCTTGAACCCAGGAGGCGGAAGTTGCAGTGAGCCGAGATTGTGCCACTGCACTCCAGCCTGGGTGACAGAGCAAGACTCCATCTAAAAAAAAAAGGTGAGCCTGGCCAGGCTTGACGGCATCCCTGGCAGCACCCTGCTGTGCCCCGCGGCTTGCTGAGTGCCTGCTGTGGCACGGCGGGAAGGAGTTTGGCACACTCCCACTGAAAGGGTGGGAGCAAGTGAAAAGCAGGGTTAGAAACACTTTCCTGTAAAAGCGAAGCCTTGGATGCCTCTTTCAAGGAGGTCGGGCTGATGACTCATCGTGTGAAGTGGAGAGAATAAGAAAATAAATTAAAATGATGGAAGAAAATGATCCTGCAGGGGCAGAAAAAAAGCAGCGACATAACAGAAGAAATACAGGGCAGGATGGTGAGGTTGACATTGGTCCTAAAATATAAAGCCGTCCTCCGAACGTGAAACAAAAGACAGAAAAAAAAGAAGTTAAATGAGGAGGTGAGTGTTACAGAAAAGGAGGGCAAGCAGGATGACTTATCTTTGGCTGTGGGATTACAAACAAACTAAAGAGGAGAACAAATAGGATATTGCCAGCTAATACAATGATGTGTCATTATTAAAAAATGGGATTAAAGCCATCATCCTGTATTCCTCACCTCTACAGTCTAAAACTACAACAGCATGTATCATTTCACTACTAGATCATTTCCCCTCCCTCATAATTAGATCAAATTTATTTATTTATATATATATATATATATATATATATATATTTTTTTTTTTTTTTTTTTTTTTTTTTTTTGAGACAGAGTCTTGCTCTGTCACCCGGGCTGGAGTACAGTGGCACAATCTCGGCTCCCTGCAACCTCCACCTCCTAGGTTCAAGTGATTCTCATGCTCCAGCCTCCCTAGTAGCTGGGATTATAGGCGCACGCCACCACGCTCAGCTAATTTTTGTATTTTTAGCAGAGAGGGGGTTTCACCATGTTGGCCAGGCTGGTCTCGAACTCCTGACCTCAAGTGAGCCACCATCCTTGGCTTCCCAAAGTGCTGGGATTACAGGCGTGAGTCACCATGCCTGGCCTTCAAATTGTAATTAGCATGCATCACTTTATGTTATGGTCTGAATATTTGTGATCCCCAAAATTTGTATGTTGAAATCCTGACCTCCAAAGTGACAATACTAGGAGGTAGAGCCTTTGGAAGGTGATTAGGTCAGAAGGCTAGAGCTCTCATGAATGGGATTAGTGCCCTTATGGAAGAGGCCCCAGGGAGCTCCCTTACCCAATGGGAAGACTCAGTCTGCAACCCCTTAGAGAGCCCTCACCAGAACCTGCCCGTATTGGCACCCTGATGGTGGACTTTCAGCCTCCAGAACTGAAGGAAATACATTTCTGTTGTTTTTCAGCCCCCAGTCTATGGTGCTTTACTATAACAGCCCAAAAAGACTAAACTACTTGATAATTTAAAAAATTAGCTCTTTAGAAGTTTATTATGAAAGTTCAGAAAATAAGGCTGGTTGCAGTGGCTCATGCCTGTAATCCCAGCACTTTGGGAGGCCGAGGCAGGTGGGTCACCTGAGGTCAAGAGTTCAAGACCAGCCTGACCAACATAGTGAAACCCCATCTCTACTAAAAATACAAAATTAGCCAGGCATGGTGGCGCATGCCTGTAATCCCAGCTACTTGGGAGGCTGACGCAAGAGAACTGCTTGAACCCAGGAGGCAGAGGCTGCAGTGAGTCGAGATCACACCACTGCACTCCAGCCTTGGTAACAAAAGCAAAACTCCATCTCAAACAAACAAACAAAAAAATTCAGAAAATATTTTAGCTGCTAAAATGAAGTATAAATTAACTACGTAGTATTGATGCCATGAGATGAACTTTAAAAAACACTTTCTAATCCCAGCACTTTGGGAGGCTGAGGCAGGTGGATCACTTGAGCCCAGGAGTTCAAGACCAGCCTGGGCAACGTGGCAAGCCCCATCTCTACAAAAGAAACCAAAAAAATTATCCAAGTGTGGTGGTGGGCACCTATAGTCCCAGCTACTCGGGAGGCTGAGGTAGAAGCATTGCTTGAACCCGGGAGGTCAAGGCTGCAGTGAGCTGTGATTGCACCACTGCACTCCAGCCTGGGCAAGACCCGGTCTCAAAAAAAGTAAATAAAATAAATAAAAAGTAAATAAATAAAACTTTCTTAATTAACCTTGCCATAAATGTAAATGCCCTGGCCAATAATCTGATTATTTAAAAAACAAACAAACACACAAGAACACCTTGCTCTTTCTCCTTGCCAGCAGTGGGCAAATTTTATGTGATACTCCACATACTGTGTGTACGTGTGTCTGTGTGTGTACGTGCGTGTCTCTCTGTCTTTCTTCTTCTCTTCTCCTCTTTCTCTCTTCTTCTCTCCACTTTCTCCCTCTGTCCTTCCCTCCCAGAGCGACACATTATATTTGCAGATCCTAGTTAGGAAAGTGATTCCATGAAGGCAGAGAGTAGTCCTGGAGAATGCAGGTATCCTTTTCTTCAAAAAAAAATACATTGATAGAAAGGCATCTAGCTCTCTGTGACATCCTGTTCAAAGAAGAGAAAATAGAAGGGAAATGACCTCCCTGTGTTCTGTTTGCTGTCCTGCAGGCCCCTTCAATTTTCTGATAACTCGAGTCTCCTAGGCACCTCTGGGGGAACTGAAAGTAGCCTAAGATATCTTCTGGGTTAAATATGGTGCAAACAGAAGCCACATTCATGACTTCTAGAGAATTCAAGCAGGTCTGAGACATCTAAACCAAGGAAATGTATTCGAAAAAAACTCATCAAAAGATCCCACAGTGAAAAACCCATTTGGTGACCTGATGTTAAATCCGACTTTTCGGAAGCAGGAGGATCACTTGAGACTGGGAGGTTGAGGCTGCAGTGAGCTGTGATCGCACCATTGCACTCCAGCCTGGATGACAGAGTAAGACCCTGTCTCAAAAAACAAAAAAACAAAAAAGAAGCCCACTTTTTGGCTGGGCAAAGTGACTCACACCTGTAATCCCAATATTTTTGGGGAGGCTGAAGTGGGAGGATCGCTTGAGCCCATGAATTCAAGACTAGCCTGGACAACACAGCAAGACCCCATCTCTACCAAAAAAAAAAGAAAGAAAGAAAGAAAGAAAATTAGCCAAGTGTGGTGGCACGCCTGTAGTCCCAGCTACTCAGGAAGCTGAGGCAGGAGGATCACTTGAGCCCAGGAGTTCGAGGCTATAATGAGTTATGATCACACCACTGCATTCCAGCCTGGGTGACAGAGCAAGACTCCGTCTCAAATAAAAATTCCATTTTTCTTTTCCTCATTTCTGCTGACAAAGTTAGGTAACAAAAAAGACCACTCTGGCTCCTCAGGACATACTCTCCTCTCCACAGCTCAGCAGCTTACCACAGGAGGAAGCTGTAGGACCAGCGTCAATCCCCGGGTAAATAAGAGGCAGACGCCTCCATCCTGGGCTCTGAAGACACTGAGCACACTCAATTGTCACCCCCGCCAGCCCACTCCCACCTCTTGCCTTCTTTTCCCATAAAGCACATACCACCTCCTAACAGACCATATGATTTATTTTCCCTACCTTCCTGCTAAAATGTAGGCTCCAAGAGGTCAAAGTTCTGTGTCAGACACACCACTGCCTGACACTTGCAGAAGCTAAGAAATTTTTTTAAATAAATGCCACAGAGATAAGTGGGAAAGAGTATTTTAATATTATACATGATCACGTTAAAAAATAAGACCACTCGAGATCGCCTGCGTTGTATTCTCACCCAAACAATGAACCTGAAAGAAGTAATGAGGAAACAATCAGACACTTCCAGATCTTGGGACCGCCTACAAGACAACTGGCCTGGCTTCTTCAAAAATGCCAGAGTCATGGGGAAAAAAGAAGGGGAACTGTTTTAGATGCACAGTGACTAAAGAGACAGGACAACCAAATGAAATACATGATCTCTAACTGGACCCTTTAAATAGCTGGAAAGGACATTTGGGGGCAACTGGAAACATCTGAACATGGACCATATGTTTGATACCCTGTGTTCATGTTCAATTTAGGGGATGGGAGCATAGTATTGTGGTTACATAGGAGAATGCCCTTTTTCCTAAAAGACACATACTGAAGTATTTGTGGGTAAAGTGCCACCATGTCTGCAACTTACTTTTAAATGGTTCAAAAAAAAATGTTTAGTATTATTTATAAACAGAAAGACAGGCTGGGCACAGTGGCTCACGCCTGTAATCCCAACACTTTGGGAGGTCAAGGCAGGCAGATTGCTTGAGGCCAGGAGTTCGAGACCAGCCGGCCAACGTGGTGAAACGCCATCTCTACTAAAAAAAATACAAAAATTAGCTGGGCATGGTGTTGCACACTTGTGATTTCAGCTACTCAGGAGACTGAGGCAAGAGAATCGCTTGAACCCAGGAGGTGGAGGTTGCAGTGAGCCGAGATTGTGCCACTGCACCCCAGGCTGGTTGACAGAGCGAGACTCCATGTCAAAAAAAAAAAAAAAAAAAGAGAGAGAGAGAGACAAAGGACAAGTGACAAAATGTTACTCCTGCTGAATCTAGGGGACATTCATAGTCCTTTCAACTGCTGTGTAAGTTTTAAATTTTTCAAAAAAAAAAAAAGGGGGCAAAGGGAATTAAAAATAAAAGACCCAGTGCTAGAGAGACAGGGAGTAGGGGGTGTCAATGGAAGAGTGGGCAGGCTGGGAGGGGAGGGACTGTGCCAGAAAATACAGTGAGATCCAAGCCCCCTGCCAGGGCCTGGAGTGCACACCCACCTTTCCTTCCCTGTCCCTTTAGGCACTGTTCAAATCCTTCCTACTCCAAGAAACCTTCCCAACTCCCCACTTCACAGCCCCCGCTGTATTTGACTCCCACCATATCCCACTATACATGCAACACCTCCTGCCTCACACCCATCAGCAAGGGCCGTGTTCCTGTGCGTGTGGCACAGGAACCAACCAGAAGCCTCTCCATCCCAGGCAGGGACCAGATCCCTGCCTGACCTACTTTCTGTCTCTAGCAGAGTTAGCACAGCACTGTGCGACAGCAGGTACCCAAGACAGACCTGGAGCAAGAACTTTCTGTCCCTCCCATGCCGTCAAGTCTACTAAGCGGGATGACAGTCAGTATTTCTCATCATCACAACACACTACTTCTGTTCCGCATGGTGGGCCATGGTAAGCACCATAATAAGAATCCAGTCAATGCCACAGAGCTCACTGCTGGTGTGTTCGTGTCTTTGGGAAGGCAACAATCACTGCCATCCTGTCTACATGCAGCCACCCACAGCTCCCAGCATAAAAGAAACACTCCACAAATGGTGAATGGCTGAATGAATGAATACCTATTCCATTTTCAAACACATGTCATAAGTGATAAAAACTAAGATAAATGAAAGTGTAAAATCTGCACAGGCATGCAAACACCAAATAAGCGTTATCTACCAGGCTTAATTAAATTTTAAAGGTCTTTTCCAATTAGTGAACTCAAAAGCTTTTGCGTTCTAGCACAGAGGTCCCCAACCCCTGGGGCGGTACTGACCCATGGCTTGTTAGGAACCAGGTTGCACAGCAGGAGGTGAACAGTGAGTGAGCATTACCAGCTGAGCTCTGCCTCCTGTCAAATCAATGGTGACATTAGATTCTCACAGGAGTGCAAACCCTGTTGTGAACTGCGCATGTGAGGGATCTAAGTTGCATGCTCCTCATGAGAATCTAACTAATGCCTGATGATCTGACGTGGAACAGTTTCATCCTAAAACCATCCCCCGCCTCCTGCTCCCATCTGTGGAAAAATCGTCTTCCACAAAACTGATCCCTAGTGCCAAAAAGGTTGGGGACCACTGTCCTAGCATCTTAAAATGTAAAGTTTCCTATTTTCTCATGGCTGTGGCCTTAGAGCAGACCTAAAGGATATATCACACTCACTAAAACAGTGTCATTGGGCCAGGGCAAAAGTAGAGGCCACATGCCTGAACACTATTGACAAGGTACTATGGAATTAATATTTGTGTCCCTCCAACAAAATTCCCATTTTGAAGCCTAACCTCCAATGTGAGGATATTAGGAGGTGGGCCTTTGGGAGGTGCTTAGGTTGTGAGGGTAGAGCCTTCATGAATGGGGTTGGCGTCCTTATAAGAAGAGAAAGAGACCGAGCACTCTCTCAGTCATGTGAAGTTACAGCAAGAAGGCAGCTGTCTGCAAACCAGAAATCGAGCCCTCACCAGGCACTAGATCTGCCAGCGCCTTGGTCTTAGACTTCCCAACCTCCAGAACTGTGAGAATTAAATGTCTATTGTTTAAGCCCTCCAGCCTATGGTATTTTTGTGACAGCAGCTCAAATTAAGACATAAGGGATGGGGGAAGGGACCATGAGAAGCTTGAAAATGCTCCTCAAATGATTCTGATACACACTCCAGAGATGCACTGAGCTCTGAAAGCTGAGGGAGGATGAAAGCAGCAATGCTGACCCTGAACAAAGGAGGAACAAAGGGACCCTGATGGATTCCATCAGCCTGGGATGGGTGCATAAGACACAGTGTTACCATATGCCAGGCACTGCTGGGAAGATAGCCCACTATATCATATTTATTCTCGTGTAACATAGAACGTACCCAGAGTCACCAATGCTGAACATACTTTCCACAAATGGTTCAATTTAGTAGAGGAATCAGTTGTGCCAAGAAATAAATGCTGTGGCTAGCCACTCAACCCTCCCCACCATCCCCCTTCCCCAAGAAATGCCAGTCTCGGGAGAAAAAATAGTAAGTTACTAGAATCTCAGACTTGGAAAGCAAATGTGATCATTACCTAGCCCAACCCACTATCCTATGCATTACTTCCTTCCACAATAACACTAACAAATTCTTATCACCTTATTGGATACTCTGTCATACAGTGCTCATAGCAACTCATGTGAGGTTGCACAGTTCTGATGATCTGCCTTACTGTGAGTATAAATCTGTTCTACTCTTGCGTCCTAGTGTCCCTGGGGAGACAAGAGGCCTTCCATGCGAAGGCCCTGGACATAGGTGAAGTACCCATTACCCAGATGTCTCACCAAATCCCAGGTATTTGACTGCTCTTTAATGAGCCACCATATACATTCCAACAAAGATCACAAGATGCTTCAACAAGCTCCTTACCAGAAGCAGGGAAGCCATCGGCTCTTTTAACTGATCACTCAGCTATTGAGGAAGTGGTAGGAATTTCTAAATTGTTGTCAAGACAACCAAAGTCCAAATATAAATCTCTTTGGGATTCCATCAGGAAGCAGTTTTTAAGTGCACGCAGTTTTTAAGTGCACGCACACAAATACCCCAAGGAGATAACAAAACAAAGGTCCCCTCCTTCTCTTTCTCCTCCTCCCCACTCTCTCCCTTCCTCCTGCTTCTTGCCACATGGTGATGTGTGTTAAAAATGCATACTGGGAAACTTTTCCACCTTTGGGGTTGAAGCAGCTGCTGCCTCAGTGTTGTTTTTGTTAAGTATTTTTTGTTGTTGTTGTTAACATACTTTGTTGCCTTTAAGCTTCATGTTTCATAATACCAGTTCAGATCACAAAGTGGGACGAATGACACTTTCCTGGTAAGAAGGAAACTCATGGGGTCCTGCCCAGGGTGCTTCCCCCTATCAAGCACACCCTCCTGCACGGCTGACTTCCACAGGTGACTCGGCTCAGGCCAGGAAAGGGCGTTCACAAAGGCTTGCTGGGCTGTCCCCATGTGGAATAAACCCAAGAAAGTCCACACATGAAATGTGAGCCAAGAATTTATAACAGGTAACCTAAACAAACCCAACGCTCTTCAGTCCTTGGTTTTCCAAGAACACAAAGCATTCAGAGAATGTTCCACAGGCCATTATCCATCCCATGTGGGAGCATTCACCAATAGAAATAAGCTTGGACATTCCTAATGTGCCAGGAAGACAGGAGAGGTTCAGGTAAAGAAGACCTGGCACCCGGCCCACTTTCACTCCCACCTGCTGCAAATGACTCTAACGTCAGGAGGTAAGACCTCCGACCCCATGGATGGAGCAGGAAACTACAGCAAAGAGTGACCAGCAGGGAGCCTGTGCTGAAAGCGCCTACTGCCCATGCCTAAAACAACCTATACCTTAAATGCGAAGCATGTCCCCAAGTCCCCACTGAGCACAGTACCAGGCACAAAAAGACCAACCCCTCAGCCTTCCCAGTGAGAGTGATATTTTGTTATGAAGTCTATGTTCTCTATCACCTTATAAGGGAAACCCGACAGAAAGTGATTCTAACAGGCAGAAAGAAGGTGTGGCTGTCAGGGTCTTGGTCATAGCAAGACTTCAGGGAGGTGTCTCATGGCTAAAAAACAGGAAGCTGAATGCCAGCCACACACAAAACTTCACCCAGAAAAGACAGACCTCCCTACGCAAAGCACAAATGAGCCCAAGGTTCCTGTTAAAATGTTGAAAGAGCCTGGGCAACATAGGGAGACCCCATCTCTACAAAAATAATAAAAAGTATTAGCTGGGCTGGGTGGTACACACCTGTGGTCCCAGCTACTTGGCAGGCTGAGGTGGGAGGATCACCTGAGCTTGGGAGGCTGAGGCTGCAGTGAGCCAGGATGGCACCATTGCACTCCAGCCTGGGTGACAGAGTGAGACCCTATCTCAAAAATATACATATATTTTTTAAAGGACTTTTGGACTTAGCACTGACTGATCCACAGGGTCTCTCGAATCAAGAGAATAAACCTAGGCTGATGCAGAAGGATCCACTGAGCCCAGGAGTTGGAGGGTGCAGTGAGCTATGATGGCACCACTGCACTCCAGCCTGGATGACAGAATGTGACCTTGTCTCAAAACAAAAAAGAGGAGAGAGAGAGAGAGAGAAGAGAGTAAACCGAAGACAGTCAAATGGTTTTGATCTCCCTCAATGTTATCCCACCCAGAGAATCAGCCTAATTGGATGAGCAGCTAGAAACACAGCCTGCTGCACACATCTCACCCAGGAAAGAGCCAGCCAAACGAGGGGATGTGGCAAATCTTACTCAGTGTGGACAACAAGGTCATTTGGTCTTTCAAATAAAATGTCCTCTGATTTCAATAAAACTGAAACTTACAGCCACCCTCAAAAAAAAAAAAAGGAAGCCACAAATGTGGTGTGATATGACTGATGTTTCTTTTCTTTTGTTTTCTTTTCTTTGAGATAGAGTCTCACTCTGTCGCCCGGACTGGAGTGCAGTGGCGTGATTTCGGCTCACTGCAACCTCCACCTCCCAGGCTCAAGCGATTCTCCTGCCTCAGCCTCCCGAGTAGCTGGGATTACAAGCATGCGCCGCTACCGCCCAGCTAACTTTTTTTTGTATTTTTAATAGAGACGGGGTTTGACCATGTTGGCCAGGCTGGTCTTGAACTCCTGACCTCAAATGATCCCCCCGCCTCAGCCTCCCAAAGTGCTGGGATGACAGGTGTGAGCCAACGCGACCGGCCACGATTGATGTTTCAAAGCCTCCGTCTGCCCAGAAACCTCTTCTTTCTCTGCTTTGGCATGGTTCTTCCAACTCCAAGTTCAAATTCCTACACACAGAACTGGCAAAGGTAAGGCACTGTCTGCAGGAAGCCACTCAAAGAGTGTGTATCTTTCTTGGAGATAAAAGAAGTAAAGAGATTTCCTCCAGCTTCCTCCTCTCCCAGGTTTGCTAATTGGCACCCTGAACTCATAGATTAGCAGGAAATGGTAACATGTATCTTAAGAGATCATCTGGTGTAGTCCTCTGCCTAAAGGGGGAACATGTTATTATGCCCATTTCATAGATGAGGCCACTGAGTTGCTTTGCTAAAACGACACAGCTCTTTGGTGGGAAAGAACGAGAGCCTAGGTTTCCTGCCTCTTGACACAGGGTTCTTGCCACCTGATCAGTGTCCTGGTAGGAGGACATAGAGACCTGTCCCTAAACACCGAAACTGAAAATAAGGGGTCCTGTGACACGGCAGGGCTTGGACCACCTCAGTAAAAGTCAAGAGAAAAGAGTTGCAGAAAAAAAGGCAAAAATATGTCCTATTTCACCTTTCCCAAGGCCAGTCCTGACAAACACGGCACATCAAGGCTGCCTCTTCATTCCTTGGAACACGACATTCCTTCTAAGTCTCTGAAGGCCTTTCCTGAGGCTGAAATGGCCCCTCAAGAGGGAAGCATGGGATTCCTGGAATTTATGTCTGGAAATATTAGAGGGCCTGGGGAACAGGAAAACCCACTCCTGCCACACAAAAAGGTCAACAGAGAAAGACCAGACTAGATCCTGGCTGTGGCTGAGCAAGTCGGGGGAGGTGGGGATCTGTGCGGATCTGTGCCAGGGGCTAGCAGGGAGGGCAGGGCCTTCCCAGATCCTCTGGAATTCTAAGCCAACCGGACAATCGAGTTAGCGTAAGGGATGGTTTTGGAAGAGGCCGGTGATGGGAGCCGATGATGGGAGCCTGCCGGAGGTTCCACAAGAGCCTAGAGGAAGCCTAGAGACGCTGGCACAATTCAGTCCTCACCGAAATCATTTCCTCTTTCTACAGTTCTTGTACCCCCATCTTGACAGATCAGTTCGCACAAGAATGCGACCCTTTCGCTGCCCTTTTTTAGGAAATGGTTTTCATGAGACCAGCTTTGCCAATGACACGGGCGGGTACACCAGATGCTAATGGCTGCTGAAAACGCCCTTAGAACCGGCTCTTCTTTTAGAAGAAGGAATTCTGGAATGCGGAGTGGGCCCCCGAAAGGAAGCGACCCTACGTTTATCTGAATTCCCAGGGGCGGTTCGCCAGCGGCTCCCTGCGTCCTCGCCGGGTCCCCTGTCTGCAGTCCCCGGGCCGCACGGATTGACTGCTTTTTTGTTTCTGGCTGCTTTAAGGCTTCTTCGGGCGGAGAAAACCCCACTTTAGGGGAGTGATGGTGGGGAGGACTTTCCCAGGCAGCTTCTTTCACCCGCAGCAGGGAAGTTTGCAGGGCGCGCTCCGCACAGGTCACTGCCTCACCTTCCACCCCGGCCGCGCCCTCGGCTTTCACCCCCTTGGCTGGGTTCGCTTTTGGTTTTATTTTTCTGTTTTACGTGAGTAAATCAATTGCCCCCAGGAGGCAAAAGAGCACTCAGCGACTTGGCTGAGCAACTTAAACTTTCTGCCGGAAGGAAACTATCAAAAGCGGAGGAGAAAGCCCTCGGGGCCCCAGACTCGCCGCCACTGCCCCGTCCCCGCTGGGGGTCCCCGCGAGGTCGCCGCGGATCCGGGGACTCGCGGGCCGGGAGGAAAGAGCGGAGTAAGCCCGGGGCAGGCTCGGACCCGGACCCCGGCAGGGTGAGAGCGGGGGCGGACCAGAGGGGCGCACGGACGGCGGGGAGGCGGAGAACAGGCGGGGTGCGGAGAGCGAGGGGCGCGGAGAGCGAGGGGCGCACGGACTAGGGGAGCCAGGGGGACCCGGGGAACCAGGGGGCGCGCGGACGAGGGGGACGGGGGCTACGAGAGGGGTGCGGAGAGCGAGGGGATCACGGGGACTGAGCGCGCAGGGAATAGGGGAGCGAAGGGGCGCGAGAGCGCGGGCCGGGGTCCGCCGGCGGGTGGCGGCCAGGACTCACCCCGAGAAGGCACACTTTGAGCTCCCGTATCGCCATCATGTGCTCGCAGCCAGGCAGTGCCGGGGCTCAGCAGCATCCTCCGGGGCCGCCGCGCCCGCGCCCCGCCGGCGTCTCTCGCCTCTGCCCCTCGCTCGCGCCGCCCGCGGGCGGAACCGCCGCCGCTGCTATTTCTGGGCCGCCGGCCCCGCCGCGGTGGGTCACGTGGCCGCCGGCCGGCTCCTCCCGGGCGCGTCGGGTCCAGCCTCGCCGGCCCCCAGCTCCCAGGAACGCCCCCGGACGGCGTCAGCCACCCGGGACCTGCGGCGTCGCCGGCGGATTGCCTCCGCCCTCGGACCAGCCCCGCGCGGGTCGGCCTCCCCCAGCGCCCTCCGGCATCCGCCCCTCCCGGCCCCGCCTGGCCGCAGGGCCCGGGTGGGTAGGAAGGACTGGACCGGCCCTGTGGAGACCTGGCCCCACTACCAGCGGGTCCCTGAAGATGCCATTCTCATCTGGAAAGCGAATGCTCTCGGCCGAGGCCGTTTGCGTGGCAGCGCGTGGAGGTCTGCGGGGGTCCCATCCTCAAGCGACATTCTGGGTCCCACGCAGAAAAAGTCAGGCCACTGAAGGGGCCGCTGTGAGGACAGGGGTGAGGAGAAGGGGGCTAACTTTTCGGCCTGCCTTTCTCGACGTTCCTAATACCCGAGCTTCCGTTTAACATATGTGTGGCTCTTCAGCTCAGCCAAGTTCATTTTTCTGTATGCAGCTGAAAATGATTCTAGAAGCAAAACTCGCTGTCCGTGTCTGAAACGGGAAACTTGCTTTCTGGAGCAAAAGTCTTTTTCTCAGTAGAGCAAATCCTGCAACTCGTGTGGGCAGAAACCCAGTCCTCAGAGGTACAGGTAGAAACGTGGAGATCCCAGCAGACCCCTGCATCGTTCCTAACTGGGAAATGAGCAGAGTCTGTGGCCGCACACAGTCGGGGAGGCTTGGGTAACTGTGTTCTCTTCTCCATGTATGGCCTAGAGCACCTCATCCACTCGGATGACTTCATTCGTTGCTGCTACAGAAATGTCAGCCTTTTCAATGTAATCTATCTGAACAATTCACTGGCATTTCAGATGGGAAATGTTTTTTTAAAAACTGATTTTTTGAAACTTCATCTCCTATCCCAAACTCTCAGGCCTCTCTCTTAACCTTCCAATTTTAATCAATGGCATTTCCATTCTCCTAGCAGACCACCCACCGTGATCATCTGGCTTTGTTCTTACGGAAGCCAGGTTGAAGCTACCCAGTACCCAAGTAGCCCCATCCAATGGGAAATTCCAAATCAAGGCCTCCAAAGAGATAAGTCCTGGAATACAGGAGTCAAAATGGGCCCCGAAACAGACAATTCACAATTAAATTCCCCAGAAGAGCAGGAAGTTTGCCCTCGAGGTGCAGGCTTGTAGAGATTACTCAAATGGACTAAACTGTACAAAAGGCAGCCATGGACAAGTTACAGGTCCATTGTATCAGTATCCGTCCTTGACTCTGTATCCAAAGCAGAGTCTTCTATGTGGGCAGGGTAAAAAGAGGCTTCCCCAGAATCAAACAGTCCTGATCACAATATCTCCCTGCCCTCAGATTTGCTAATCAGAAAACCACCCCTACACAGTTGCAAAGACACCTCCCCCAAGGCCTTCGCCAGCCCTGAGGGCACCTCCACAGTGAAACATGTCCTTTTGGCTTTCCAGCTTGATTCCCAAAAGCCAGTCAAACCAGGGTGGAAGCCTCCACTGTGTTCTACATCCCGTGCAGTGAGTGGAGCTTTGTGAAGTTGCCTTAGATTGCTAAGGGCAGAACTGTGCCCAGACAGAAATAGGCAAACCGAATTTCTCTTGTGTTCCCTTACTCTTTTTCATGACTGCTCTCATTCTGCTCTCTTCTCCACTAGCCCGGGTGTCTGGGACGCTTGCGTCGTTTCTAGGCTCTCCCAAAAGAGTCTCGTATCCAGCCCTTCCCTCCCTGAGAATCGCCCCAGTCTATTTGTCCTTCTCCCCTCCCCTAGTTCTGTTAAAAATGACCTCATTTGTGTCTCATTCTGATCAGGTCTTGGGCTCTTCTTTACAAAGTGGCAATCCTAGTCTGTCAACTGACTCGTGTTCATGGGTTTATACCCTCTTCCCAGCCAGGTCACCCCTGAGCTTAAACATGGCCTCATGAAAACCAGGTCCCCATGATCACCCTAAGGTAACCTACAAAGCTCTAGCCCTGGAAGGCAGGAAGATGACTGCTGGGAGACATATTTTAAGAGTGACACGTCAGAGGCAGCTCTCGACTTTTTAAAAAAGTGCCATGTTCTCTATTGTTACACTCTATGATTACTGTACTAAGGGCCCATCCTGACTTCTCTGGAATTTTCTGCAAATATGTAGTTCTGGTGTAACTTCAGCAGGGGTAAAAATTCAATGGTACATAACTGACAATTTATCAAATTAAGAAATAGAACATGCAAGTTTTTCTTATAAGAATTTTGTAACGTAAATGGTCATTGTGCTAATTCAGACCTCAACTTCTCTGCTGCTATAAAGTCTCCAACAGAAAAAGCCAGTAATGGTCATAAAACTGATCATGTTTTTTGATTCAGGAAATCCTTTTTTGAACAATAACATACAAAGACGAAAAGTAAACAAAGCTGCCTGTTTGAATATAAACACATATGCAGACAAAAAAAACAAATAAATGGGTTAGAGAAACAACAACAAAAAAATTACATCCATGGAGGTAAAGGGAGGATTGTTGCGTTAATTGTAACTCAAACCTCTTAACACTTGAGGAATGATTAAGCAAGCTAGGGTGTCGTTACTGGGTATATTTGATGGTGTACAATAGTATATGTTACTTAGATATTAAATGAAATGTGTATACTATGTAGATTTATAGAGACGTTTATAGTAAATAAGGTTCTGTGAAAATAATATGACTCAAAATGTTAAATAGGATAAGCAATATAAATGTGTCACAACGCCCTGGAGTGCAGGCTGATCCCTGGAGACCAGTACTGAGTCATCTGGTCTGCTCAAGGGCCAATTAAGGAAAGATAAAAATGTTTACAAACCTTGTTTTTCATAATTTATCTTTTTTATGGAACTATAGTGTCTGCAATATCAGTTAAACAGCCTTTTAGTATTTCTCATTTATGTAACAACTCCTTCCTTCCTTCTTTCCTTCCTTCTTTCCTTCTCTTTCTGAAACTTTCTAAATAGCATGTGCTACCTAACCTTATTTGTAACCCACGCCCTTTAAACAAATTTTGAGGAGATGAATCCTGGACATACCAGGGTAGGAAAGGGATTTGAGGGATTTAGAAAAACAGAGGTGAGTGGACCCCACAATTCACCCACAGACTTGAAAAAGGAGACAATAGCTGGAGGGGGGAGGCTGGAAACTGAAGGAGCCTGTCTGTGGGAAAGGGAGCGTCCCTGAGAACCCCAAGGAAGGTGGCTGCTCGGTGGAGGGGCTATTAGGTAAGCGGATAGAAACTGCACAGCCTCCTTTGCAATTCCAGATGTCTTCATGTGGAAAGTGTGGTGACATCTTAGATGGGAGATGGGGAGGGTGGGGGCTCGCCTCCTCATCGTCTCCATCGCCTCAAATGGGAGTGCTCAGAAGTGTTCCAGAACAAGTAGACAGCTCTCACTGAAGACAGGGAAGGCTCTGTTGGGATCTCACAAAGGATTGGTGTCAGGTGATAATGTTTAAATTTTCCAGATTCCTGAGAGCCAGCACTGGGCAGCTTAAGCCATCCTCAGCATCCAACTGGCCTCTTTACTGACACTCCTGCCTAGCAACCTCCACTGTCCCTTGGATCTCTGGCTGAGCTTAAAGTGTTGGGTTAAAAGAAAATAAGCAATAAGATATATATTAACACCTCCCATGGAAGGTAAACGGATTGATTCAGCTGTGACCACCTCCCGAAAGCCCTAAGTAACATGTAATTCAGTCAGTCCTGTTCATTTTCATTGCTTACTTGTAAAACTGAGAAATTAAACTACAATGATGCAGATCAAAGTCACCACAACCCCAGTTTCGTTTCATAGACTGTCTTGGGTTATTTCTTCTGGCGAGTCAGAAGTTTTCCTGCAATTGCTCAGAGTAATACACGGAGTTTAGGATTTCTTTTTCTTAAAAGGAGTTGTGTTTCACTTTTTTGTACCTTGATATTATTTGCTCTCAAACTAAAAATTGGTTTAATTTTAGATGTTGGCAACGATTCTCATATCACAGGGATTTCTATGTTTAGCTGTTTACCCACCCATTCGGCAAATAGCAGACACTGACTGTGCTAGACACTGGAAGAATGACCAATGGCGGAAGAAGACCCACGTTGACGTCGAGCTATAAAGGAAAGAGACAAACATATAAACAGGAGACTATTGTATGATGTGAAATGTCTGAGGCTTGGTGTAGTTGCTTCATTTTTGTAGATCTTCTTATTCAAGAAATGGGTATAAATTCCAGAGATGCCAAACCTTGAATTCAACTGAAATCAACCCCCAAGTAAAGGAGAAGATGATCAGGATGGTTGGAGTTTGAACCTAGTCAACTGGTAGGTGAGTGTGTGTGTTTGTGATGGGGGGAAAATAGATTTGTGTTTTGTTTGAATTCCCAAGACTGCCCTAGATAAGGAAGAACCTAATGCAGACTCTTCCTAATCTGAAGTGCCTCTAAGAATATCTGCGTACAAGTTGAGTATCCGTCATCCAAAATGCTTGGGACCAGGAGCGTTTTTCCGATTTTGGAATATTTGCATTATACTTACCAGTGGAGCACCTCTAATCCAAAAATCCCGAATCCAAAATGCTCCAATGAGCATTTCTTTTGAGCATTGTGTCAGCAGTCAAAAAGTTTCGAATTTTGGAGCATTTTGGATTTCAAATTAGGGATGCTTAACCTGTACTAAGAGTACTGAACTACTGTACTAAGTATTTAATAGTTAACTGAGTTGCCTTAAGGCTCCAATTACATTAGAACTCTTGCAAATTTTATTTCTACTGAGGTTATTATTGTTAAAAAAACAAAATTTCAACAACGTTAAAGATTTAATTGGCTTTTATTACTGATTAATGAATCAGGCAGCATCCCATCCAAAAATTGAGAAAATGTGCTCCAATGAGCTAGGGAAAAGACTTGACTTTATAGGCAGGAAAGGCTGAAGAAGCAGAAACAGGGAACGAAAGGTAGATTGGCGTTTCAGAGTTACTTCCCTTGCAGGGTTAAAGCATGGGGGACTTCCTCATCAAACCTGCTCAGGTAAACTGGGCCCCTTCTGATTAGCTGCTGTGCATCTCCTATTTTTCTGAAAAGCTGCCCTTTTTAAAGTTCCGTTGGACAGCCTGGCACCTAGCAGGAGTGACTCCATTCTGGTTTGGTCTGGTCCGTTGGGCCTAGTGTAAGAGTTCAGTCCTCCCATAAATTTTATTTAAGATTATTCTTGAACTACTATTCTCCTTGCTATTCATGGGCTTTCCCAATTACCAATATAACAGAGCCTGTTCTGAATCATCCATAATCCAATCCTTCGCATAGCATATATTCTGCACTCTGAAAATATGTGGTGAGTGGGTGGGTGAGAGAGTGAGTTCACCGACCCGACCGATAAATCCCAAGCATGGAGGGTAGAAAGGGCCCTCTGACATCAGACGGAACCAAGTTTACATGCAGGCTCCTTTATGCCCAGTTTGTGTGAATTTAAGGAAGTTATCTGAGTCTCTTCAACCTGTAGTTCCATCCTCTGTCAAAGATGGATACTGAAAGGCTGTTGCATTATTTTGGGGGAGGGTTACACACAATGCTGTGTGTGCGTGTGTGTGTGTGTGTGTATGTGTGTGTGTGTGTGTGTGTGAATAGCAAGTCCAGAACATCCCAGTTTGCATGGGACTGTCCAGGTTTTAGCCCTGATTGTATGGGACTGTCCAGGTTTTAGCCCTGATTGTCCCGCATTCTGGGAAACTTCAGTCGCAGGTGAACTGCAATTGTTGTTACCTTGTCCCCTTCCCTAAGCCCATAAAACTGTTTTGGGTTGTTACTATCCATTAAAAAGGAAGTGCTGACTTCCAAACATCCTCACTTCCTTCCTCAGTTTTTCTGAATGTAAAAACGACTCCACATTTAGAAAACAGCGTAACTACTTCATGCATAGCTATGCACATCTAAATTACTTATGATTCTCCATCTTATACTCAGTTCACGTGGGAGGCTTAAATATGCAAATTCTAACTTCAGCTAAGTAACCATTGTTTTACTGAAAGACATACTGGGTCTAAAAAAGGAACAAAAATAGGAAATAAGAAAAGAGGGCTTGGTTTCCCAGTCTCCTGGTGGGGCCCCAGCCCCTTTTGTGGCCCTCTCCTGACTCCCCGCCCTTCCCCTCCTGCACACTTGTGTTCAGTGTCATATTCTTCTACTGAACTGAACCTTACCCTAAGAACCAACCCTCAGTAGCTCTGGTAGAGGGCATTTTAAGGACTTTAAGGCAGAACCCTCCCTTGGGTAAAGATTTGTAGGAAGCTGGCCTTCCTCCAGACAGTTCTTCCCCTAGCCCACATGTGGTTCCTGAGTTTCAGGCTATGGAACCTCCCCTGGTTCTAGTGTCAGCAGATGTTCAAAAGTGGGGCATCAAGATTAGTCAGTGGCAGGCCGGGCGCGGTGACTCACACCTGTAATCTCAGCACTTTGGGAGGCAGAGGCGGGTGGATCACCTGAGGTCAGGAGTTCAAGACCAGCCTGTGCAACATGGTGAAACATCATCTCTACTAAAAATACAAAAATTAACCAGGCGTGGTGGCGGGCACCTGTAATCGCAGCTACTCAGGAGGCTGAGGCAGGAGAATCTCTTGAACTCAGGAGGCAGAGGTTGCACAGAGCCAAAATCACGCCATTGCACTCCAGCTTGGGCGATAGAGTGAGACTCCGTCTCAAAAAAAAAAAAAAAGATTAGCCGAGGGTTTACTGTGGGTAGCCCAAGGACAGAGGGGCCCTGGCTCCATTTCTCCTAAATGGGGGAGGAAGCGGGGAGAAGGAAATGCAGATTTACTCTCAAAAATCACAGGGAGAAAGACTGACAGGTTCGACCACCAAAAAGTTAACACTTGCTTAATGGAAGAAATATCATAAACACAATTTTTAAAACTACAATCTGGGAAAATATTTGGCATAAATATGACTCGGTTAATAATCAATATAGAAAGAACTAATAGATTATTATTTATCATTATTATTTTTTACAAAACCACCAAGGTCCATTAGGAAAAATGAGCAGATGCAATCAGGGAGTTCACAAGTAGGAAATGCATGTATGAAGAAGGTGTTCAATTTCACAAGTAAGTAAACATACAGATTAAAGCATCAAGAAATAATTTTCGGCTGGGTGCAGTGGTTCACACCTGTAATCCCAGCACTTTGGGAGGCCAAGGTGGGCCTTGAAGCCAGGGGTTTTGAGACCAGCCTGGCCAACATGGTGAAACCCCATCTCTACTAAAAACACAAAAATTAGCCGGGCGTGGTAGTGCATGCCTGTAATCCCAGCTACTCGGGAGGCTGAGGCAGGAGAGACTGCAGCGAGCTGAGATTGCACTACTGCACTCCAGCCTGAGCAACAGAACAAGACTGCCACCAAAAAAAAAAAAAAAAAAAAGATTTTTTCACTTATCAGCTTATCAGAGTTGTAAAACCTAAAGCTCCGTGCTGGTTAGCGGAACAGAAAGGAGAAGGCCCGGTCAGGCTGCTCAAACAATAATAAACTGCTCTTTTAGAATCAGACTGTCTGACTTTATATATGTTCATATCCTGACAGCCATTCTCTGTCACGTGGGTTCCTTCACATATCTTTCCCCCAATGCAATATTTATTTTACTCTCCATGAACAAAATTAGGTTCTGGTGGGTGTGAGAGATAAGGAATCTGAAAGCTCCCTGCTGGTTGCCAAATGTAAATTTGCATATAGAGGATAAGGAAGGGAAGAAAAGGAAACTTAAACGGAAGGTTTAAGGATTATCTAGGAGTACTCTTCTCTTTTGACTGTGAACGTCTGGAAGCAAGCTTGATGCAAGTAACCACAGCAACACTTATTCAGTGTTAATTACTAGCTAAGTACCAGGTACCCATGGGCCCTGCCAGGCTTCTTATGTCAAAGATGTCACTGTCCCCCTGCCTAAAGGAAGGTGTCATTGTTCTTGAAACTGAGGCAGAGTCCCTGCAAAGATCTGCCCTGATGGGCCACAGACAGGCTTTAAGCCCATGCACTTCAGTAAACATGTAAATTACCATCCCATGCGTTCAGTTTTTAGTTTGAGGCCTTACTGAGGATATGCAGGAAAAAAATGTTGAACAGACTGGGAAATAAAATATCAAAGCTTGACATAGAGAATCAGCTGCAAAGATGAGCAGGTCAGTGCTGGCTGGCATAATCACACACACACTGGTCCTATTTCTCCCTGTTGACTGGAGGGGATTCAGAAAATACATTTTGGTATTTTCCCTGCAGGGCTGAAGAATTTCTCCCAAAGAGTAAAAATAATAAATATTTGTAGAACATGTGAGATCACGTCTGTGAAACACATTTCCCTCTCAACTAGGTTATTTTTCGTGCCCTACAGTTCTTACCTAAAGAGTAAACAGCAAACCCAACAATTATATATATATATATATATTTTGAGATGAAGTCTCACTCCGTCATCCAGGCCAGAGTGCAATGACACAATCTTGGCTCACTGCAACCTTCGCCTCCCGGGTTCAAGGGATTCTCCTGCCTCAGCCTCCCAGGTAGCTGGGACTACAGGCATGCGCCACCACGCCCAGCTAATTTTTGTATTTTTTAGTAGAGACAGGGTTTCACCATTTTGGCCAGGATGGTTTCGATCTCTTGACCTCGTGATCTGCCTGCCTCAGCTTCCCAAAGTGCTGGAATTACTGGCGTGAGCCACCGCACCCAGCCTGTGATGGTTACTTTTATGTATCAGCTTGGCTAGGCCATAGATATTTCATCAAACATTATTCTAAGTGCTTCTGTGAAGATAGCTTACATGAGACTAACATTTAAATCAGTGGACTTGCAGTAAACCAGGGTATTCTGCTAATGTAGGTGGGCCTCATCCAATCAGATGAAAGTCTTTTTTTTTTTTTGACATGGAGTCTCACTCTGTCACCCAGGCTGGAGTGCAGTGGCGTGATCTCAGCTCACTGCAAGCTCCGCCTCCCAGGTTCACGCCATTCTCCTGCCTCAGCCTCCTGAGTAGCTGGGACTACAGGTGCCCGCCACCACACCCGGCTATCAGTTGAAGGTCTTAAGAGAAAAAGACTGACCTCCTTAGAGGAAAAGGGAATTCTGCCAGCGGAGGGCCTTCAGACTCAAGCTGCAGCAGCAACTCTCCCAAGAGCTTCCAGCCTGCAGCCTGCCCTGCAGATTTTGGACTTGCCAACCTCCATAATAGCATGAGCCAATTCCCTAAAATCAATCAATCAATCTATCTATCTATCTATCTATCTATCTGTCTATCCGTCTATCTATCTATTCATCTCCCATTAGTTCATGCTTCTCTAGAGAACCCCAATTAATACAATATTCAGCTAATATTTTTTGCCCTGAATCCCCCACTCAGGATGCACACATATGGGTTCTGACTCTGCTCTCCCAAATATGAATTAGGTACTGCTATGTGCCAGACATGCAGCCAGGAGCTAGAGATGCAAAAGGTCATCGAGGAGTCCTGGCCTCAGGAAGCCTGCAGTCCGAGCTCACCTCTGCACCCTGACCCTTTTAGGAAATAGGCTGTTTCCCAGACTTCTGTTGCTGTGGCCCCGGTGTGAGAATTCATGTGTATAAACACGGACTTGGTCCCATTAATGTTATGAGGAAAGGGCAGTAATAATTAAAAAATAAAAATAAAAATGTGAGAAGACAGATCCAGGTCCAAAGCAGAAAAGCTGTGGTCCATAAGGTTAACCTAGTGCCCACGAAGTGGCAGAACCAGAAAGAAGGGCCAGGTGGAGAGGCAGAGTTAAGTCAGAGCTGAAGACGGTGGTTCAGAACAGAATAGCAAGGCCAATGAGTGGGGCTGTGGGCCCGAGGGGAGAAGGCCACACTTTGGGGAGATTTCACTGACCATGCTATCACCTGTCCAGGTCCTTGTCTGGATGCATTATCTAGCCTAATCCCAGGGCATGATCCAGAGAAAAGAAATTAAAAAGGCATTACTTCCTTACTATCCAAGAGATTTGAGAAGGAGGGCTGTAGCTCAGACCAGGAATAGAAAACAGGTGTATCTAGAAAATGGAAAAGAAACAATATAAACACCTGGTGTGTTAAACCAGCCCCAGCAGGCCACAATAACAAGATGTGCTTGCACCAGGATGTACCCTAGATGCTCAGAAAATATTTGTTGAGAAAAATGAATGGAATCATACAATATGTGTCTTTTTGTGTCTGGTTTCATTCACTTAACATAATGTTTCCAAGGTTCATCCATGTTCTAGAATATATTCACACTTCACTCCTTCTTATGTGATACTGGTTTAAACTCTACTCTTGGTCGGACGAGATGGCTCACACCTGTAATCCTAGCACTTTGGGAGGCCGAGGTGGGTGGATCATTTGAGGTCAGGGGTTCGAAACCAGCCTGACCAACATGGTGAAACCCCATCTCTACTAAGAATACAAAAATTAGCTGGACGTGGTGGCTGTGTGCCTGTAACGCCAGCTACGTGGGAGGCTGAGGTGGGAGGATCGTTTGAACCCAGGAGGTAGAGGTTGCAGTGAGCCGAGATCATACCACTGTCCTCAAGCCTGGGCTACAGAGGAAAACTCCGTCTCAAAAAAAAAAGAGAAGATTTTAAATTCTATTCTTCTGTTCAAAACTCTTGTACACCTTCCCATTGCCCATCCAAGTAAAGTCTAAACTCTTTAGCATAGCATTCACTATTCTACAGAATCCCACCTACCCACCTTCCCTGCGCCAACCCACCCTACCTTTTGGTCTCTGTACCTTTGCCGAAGTCCCAAATCTCTGGACATCTAAATTGGTGATTCTCGAAGCATCTCGAGTCTCCAAACCAGGCTCGGCAGAAACAGTTTGGGAACATTTTATCAATATCCTGCCGGGCAGCAAGCCATACTGCTCGCTGAGAGACGGTTACAAGCTCAAATATGCAGGCTTCTCCTTAGACTACTGATTTGGAAACTGGACTCTGTGTGTTCACAAGCCCTCCAGGTAATTCTGATGTACAGTAAAGTTGGAGAAGCATTGGCCTACATCACAGCACTCCTCAATGTCTAGTTTATATGCGGCTTCTTCAAGCCTCCCTGCTTTCTCTTTCCTCTGCCCAGTTCAGAGTATTCCCATTGGACATTTTCATTCCTCCTTGAGAGGATTTCCACATTTTACACTGTGTCATGGTTGTGTCTCCATTATTAGACCTCAGCTGTGTCATTTCTTTCATCTAGACACTGAGAAGGAGGTTGGACAAGATGCCATTGAAGGTTGCCTCCAGCTGAAATCCTGGGGATGAGCTCATGGAGGGCAGGCCTGGCCCTTCTCCTATCTCCCATTGCACATCATGCCTAAAACATGGCTCCCAAGTTGCCCGTGACAAACTGCCACCAATCTGCAGCAAAATGAGAGGGGGGACAAGTAATGTGATAAACTTTTCTTGGCAGGAAATGTATCCAATTATATTATTCTGAGAGTATTACTTTCCTACTTGGGGGTATGAAAATGTCATTTCTAGGCCAGGAGCGGTAGCTTACATCTGTAATCCCAGCATTTTGGGAGGTTGAGGCAGGTGCCTGTTGTAAACTGTCTCAGAGCCGTAGCTCAGAGAAGGTCAGAGAAAAAGAGAAAACACAGCACAAACAGAGAAGGCCCACCACCGGGACTGTCAGGTTTTGAAGGGAAGGCGAGGGTGAAAGAAAGACACACACAGAGGGAGAGGGCAGCTTAAACAGACACCTGCAGAAGTGGGGACCAGCTTAACACCAGAGCCCACCACTGCTTACAGGCCGGGGATACTTATAAGTATGGGTGGAAGGGGTCTGGGCAGTATGGCTTGCTGCCTGGCAGGATGTTGATAAAATGTTCCCATGATGAGGCGGTTCTGGCCCTTGTTCTGGCAGAATGTGGTGTTCCTTGCCCTTTCTCCCAGCAGAATATGATAGGGGTGTTTCTTTAGTTGGGTCTTTGCCTGTCTGCCTTGTGGTCAGGTGGTTAGGCAGGATGTTTCTTGTGGCCCAAACCCTTGTGAAATGTTTCACTTTGACCAAGGTCTGCAAAATAGCAGGGAGCTTACAAAATGGTGCAGTTTGGACTAACAGGAATAATGAGGACCTGCCACATGCACACGCAGGGCATTCTGAAAGCATGCAAACCTCCTGCCTTCCAGCCTTGCGACGTAACTCACACACGCGCCAACTAGAACTAAGGAGACAACTGTTGAGTGCCTTTTGAGAATTAACAGATAAAGTGTCTATGGAAATCCCTGAAATTTGCTTTAATCCTAATGCCTGGGCCCATTCCAGCAGAGATCAGCATGTTGGACCCCACCAGAGATTAAGCAAAAGGAAAGACAGGCTTAGCAGGAAGGGCGGGACAGTTGTCATCCTCCCAGCCGCCGTCGGGGCCAGCCACAGACTGTGTGTGGTGTTTCTGTTTAATTGTTTGACACACTGAGTGTACCATTCCAAAGTGAGTCCAATTTTTCCTATTTATTCCTTTTTCTATATTTACAGAGTCATAAGTTAAAGAATCTTATAGCAGATGCTTTCATGAAGACTCTGCCCAGTTCAGAAAAACTCTTTCCTCCGAAGAATGCTCCTTCTAAAAAAAAAAAAAAGGGGGAGGGTGGGGCAGGAGACCTGGCAGATACTGCTTTACTACTACCCCAACTGCTTGGCCACAGGTAGGCATGGGTAAATGTCTGATCCAAGGCACACCAGTGAAATTCTCTTGCAGGAATTTGGACCTGAGGTCCTGAGGGTCCACTTGGCTTCTATGTGCAACTGGAACTAAGGTGATGTAGACTCAGGTGCTGTGGGGTGGGTCTCAGGCATGAGGTGAGAGAGGGCCTGGAGCCAAAGTGCAGAGAGAGACACAGATGTGTGACCCTGTGGGAGCAAGAGTCTGAGGACACGGCTGTCATTGGTGCCTCTCATGAAGACAGCCACATCCCCTCACTGAGGATCTCTGAGCCACTCATGAAATGCCTAACAGGTCCCCTTCACTGAGCATGTCACTGCAATGCCGTGGAGACACCACAGGGCCCCACAGGTAACCTAGCACCATGCTAGTCCTGGCACCTTGTGGCTGACCAAGAAATATGTAACACATCACCTGTCACCAGACTAAGAAGAATCTTTGAAAGACTGGTATGTTCCATCTGGAGAGGATTAAGGAAAGCATAACAGCAACCTTCAAATAGTGCAAGCATACTCATCAAAGAATAGAAGGATCAGCTCCTGGATTACTTCTTTTCGTATTCATACCTGACCTTACTTGGGGAGCAAAATTGAAGTGCCTCGAAATTCTGAGAAGCTCCACATGGCAGATTAACTAACAAAGTGTGGATGCAGCAGAGCAACCCATCCCAACTCATCTAAAGGAGTGGCTCACTCTCTCTCTCTCTCTTTTTTTGAGACAATCTCACTTTATCGCCCAGGCTGGAGTGCAGTGGCACAATCTCAGCTCACTGCAACCTCCACCATTCAGGTTCAAGCAATTCTCCTGCCTCAGCCTCCCGAGTAGCTGGGATTATAGGTGCCCACCACCACGCCCCACTAATTTTTTTATATTTTTAGTAAAGACAGGGTTTCACCATGTTGGCCAGGCTGATTTTGAACTCCTGACCTCAAGTGATCCTCCCACCTCAGCCTCCCAAAGTTCTGTGATTACAGGTGTGAACCACCATGCCCGGCTGACTCAGTCTTGACAGAGATGTCCAGGTGAAAGAGCTTCTGGGGAAAGGAGTTAGCTGTCCTCCTCCTCTAGGGGCCGACTTGCCACCTGTCAGGACGTCAGCCACATGACCTCCATAGGAGGAATTGCTCCCCAGAACCTATGTGGCGACTCAGCAGCCTGCCACCCCTTTCCTGTCCAGCCTGACCCACGAGTGAGCTAGAGACCTGCTGGGCAATGTGCTGACTACATAGTTAACAGCAATGGATCTTATGCTTAAACACTGCTTGGAATAGATCTTAAATAGTCTCACCCAAAAAAAACAATAGGCATATAAAGTGAAGGATATATTAGCTTGATTTCACCATTCCACAATGTATACATATATCAAAACATCATGTTGTACACCATAACTATATAGTTTTTATTTGTCAATAAAGGAAGGAAAGAAGGAAGGGAAGAAGGACAAGGTGTGTGTTCGCAGGGCTGAATGCGGCCAATTTTTTAAAAACTTAACTCTGAGAATAATAGATTGCCTTTTTGTGGTAAAAATGACATTTTTAATGACATAAGTATGAAAACAGAATGATAGATGGGTTTTTTAAATTTTTATGTCAGTCATTACTAGACAAAGTGGATTAGCAACTTGAGGTCAGCCCCTTCATTTTTTGTTTTATTTTGTTCTGTGTGTGTGTATACATACATATCTTTTTAACTTATATTAGTGTGTAAAATCCAAGAGTCTGCAACTACTGAACTATATGACTTTAAGCCCCTTTCCAACTCTGGATTCTGGACTGTAGGACTGAACTTATTTCCAACAAACTTTACAGTCTGTCTTAAAACTTTATGTGAACAAGCAGGGAAAAGCAATATGGTCTCTCTCTAGAGGCTCTCTGGACCCACTCTAATGTTCTAGCCAGGCGGCTGCTGCCAGAAAGGAGATTGGTAGTATTGGCAGTATTATACCAGAAGTCACCTTGTAGTTTTGCCCCAACTTTTTATTTTGAAATTTTTCAAAGCTACAGAGGAATGGAAAAAATAGAACAAATCATTCAGATACCCTTCACTTACATTCACCAATTGATCACATTTGCCACCTTTGCTTTCTCTTTCTCTCTGTATAGATATAGATATATGGCTAAACCACACATACATTTTTGGTTGAACCTTTTACAAATAAATTAGAGTTCTCATCACATTTCACCCATAAATACTTCAGCATGTATGTCCCATAAACATAAACATTCTCGTATAAAACTATAGTAACATTATCACTCCCAAGATATTTCACATTGATATTAATACATTAATTAATGTCATCCAATAGACACTCTATAGTCACATTTCTCCATCTGTCTTAATAATAGTCTTTAAAACCTGGAACCAACCCAAATGTCCAACAATGATAGACTGGATTAAGAAAATGTGGCACATATACACCATGGAATACTATGCAGCCATAAAAATGATGAGTTCATGTCCTTTGTAGGGACATGGATGAAGCTGGAAACCATCATTCTCAGTAAACTATCGCAAGGACAAAAAACCAAACATCGAATGTTCTCACTCATAGGTGGGAATTGAACAATGAGAACACATGGACACAGGAAGGGGAACATCACACTCTGGGGCCTGTTGTGGGGTGGGGGGAGGGGGAAGGGATAGCATTAGGAGATATACCTAATGTAAATGACGAGTTAATGGGTGCAGCACACCAACATGGCACATGTATACATATGTAACTAACCTGCACGTTGTGCACATGTACCCTAGAACTTAAAGTATAATAATAAAAAAATTAAAATTTAAAAAAAGAAAAAAGAAAAAAATAATAAAATAATAATAGTCTTTAAAATTTTTTTTATTGTTATGGTTGAGCCAAGATCCAATCAAGGATCTAGCATTTATCATGTCTCTTTGAATCTCATTTTATTTATTTGTTTGTTTGTTTGTTTATTTGAGACAGAGTCTCGCTCTGTTGCGCCCAGACTGGAGTGCACTGAGCTGCCCAGTGGCATGATCTCGGCTCACTGCAACCTCCACCTCCCAGGCTCAAGCAATTCTCCTGCCTCAGTCTCCCAAGTAGCTGGGATTACAGGAGCCCGCCACTGCACCCGGCTAATTTTTTGTATTTTTAGTAGAGATGGGGTTTCACCATATTGGCCAGGCTGGTCTTGAACTCCTGACCTCAGGTGATCCATCTGCTCAACCTCCCAAAGTGCTGGGATTACAGGCCTGAGCCAACGCATCCAGCCTGAATCTCTTTTAATCTTGAAGAATTTCATGGCTTGTATTATCTTCCAAGACTTTTAACATGTTTAAAGAGCTACTTGTCTTATAGAGTGTCACACAATCTGTATTTGACTGCTTGTTTCCTCCTAATAAGATTCAGGTTAACATTTTGGCAAGAATACTGCAAAGGTAATATTACCTCTGTGCAAAGGGAGCACAGAGGTAAATTTATCCCATTGTTGGTGAAGCTGACTGGGTTAAGGTATGTCTGCTAGATTTCTCATTGTAAAGGTACCTTTTCCCTTGGTATTTAATATGTATCTGACATAGTAAAGGTTTCAGGGCCGGGTGCGATGGCTCACACCTGTAATCCCAGCACTTTGGGTGGCTGAGGTAGGCGGATCTCCTGAGGTCAGGAGTTCAAGACCAGCCTGGCCAACATGGTGAAACCCTGTCTCTACAAAAACACAAAAATTAGCCAGGCATGATGGTGGGTGCCTGTAATCCCAGCTACTTGGGAGGCTGAGGCGGGAGAATCGCTTGAATCCAGGAGGCAGAGATTGCAATGAGCCAAGATCTCACCATTGCACTCCAGCCTGGGTGACAGATTGAGATTCTGTCTCAATAAAAAAAAAAAAAAATGGTTTCAGATCACCTTTTACTTTACCAGTCAGTTATAGCTGTCAGCTATTTCTCTAAGGTCCTATGATTCCTTTTAATGGGAAATGGTATTTAGACATCAAGATTTTTGTGCTAGGTATTTCAATGATATTGGAGAGGGTATATAGGCCCTTTCAATGGATAAGATTAAAACAACAATTATGAGCCCACACTAATACAACCACAGCTCTTCTTTCTCACTATGACCTACTGGTATTTCCCTCTCCCCTCAGGGAGAACCCTGGCTCCCTACAACATGTAACTTATCTATCCCTCAATATACAGAAAATAATTTCAGTATCACTCAACCAATGCCACTTCCAACAATGAAACTACCAAGTAAATTCAAAATTTCTCCACAGTCTTTTTTTTCTTTCTATCTACCAAGGCTGTACAATCAGAGCACGGGGTTCAGAGGCTAATTTAGTTATTTATTATTTCTGTGTGGTGATGTAATCATTTGATGTACAGTTAGATTTATTTGTTTCTGTTTATATTCAGTTTTAGGTGTCTTTGTTCTGCTTTGTTCCTTTACATATTACTGATTTCTTATAGAAGTCTGGGATTTTGGCTTTTCTGGAAGACTGGGGTCATGGCCAGAATGAACATACAAATAAATAATGAAACAAATCAGCAAGCATATGTGCTCCAGATGTCTCTGCATAAATTGTGGTTATTAATACTTCACAGGACTGTTGGTGCAAATCAGATCATATGTGAGGTAATTCAGTAGGGAAACCAAGCCTGAAGGGAGAGGTTAACCTGAAATGTCAGTGAGGCAGCAATGAAACCAGGATTGAAAGTCACATTTGTCCTAGATCCAAAGCTTGTGACTTTAAATACCATGATATATGCAAGAAATAACCAAAGTTATTCATCCAGCCTGGGCAACATGGTGAAACTCTATCTCTACAAAAAAAAAAAACAAAACCCACAAAATTAGCAGGGCATGGTGGCATGGGCCTGTGGTCCCAGCTGAGGCTGAGGTGGGAGGATCACCTGATCCCAGGGAGGTCAAGGCTGCAGTGAGCTGTGATTGTGCCACCACACTCCAGCCTGGTCAACAGAATGAGACCTTGTCTTGAAAAATAAAAATAGAGGCTGGGCACAGTGGCTCACACCTGTAATCTCAGCACTTTGGGAGGCTGAGGCGGGTGGATTGCCTGAGCTCAGGAGTTCACGACCAGCCTGGGCAACACAATGAAACCTCGTCTCTACTAAAATACAAAAAATTAGCCCGGCGTGGTGGCATGTGCCTGTAGTTTCAGCTACTTGGGAGGCTGAGCTACTGGGAGGAGAATTGCTTGAACCCAGGAAGCAGAGGTTGCAGTAAGCCAAGATTGCACCATTGGACTCCAGCCTGGGCAACAGAGCAAGACTCTGTCTCAAAAAAAAAAGAAAGAAAAAAAAATTAATGTTAAAAAGACCAGGCACAGTAGCTCACGCCTGTAATCCCAGCATTTTGGGAGGCCGAGGCGGGTGGATCACCTGAGATCTGGAGTTTGAGACCAGCCTGGCCAACATGGTGAAACCCCATCTCTACTAAAAATACCAAAAATTAGCCAGGCATGGTGGCAGACACCTGTAATCCCAGCTACTGGGGAGGCTGAGGCAGGAGAATCGCTTGAACCCGGGAGGCAGAGGTTGCGGTGAGTTGAGATTGCACCACTGCACTCCAGCCTGGGTGGCAGAATGAGACCTTGTCTCAAAAAAAAAAAATTAATGTTTAAAGAGAAACTTTAGACAAATTAAATCGAATAGTGTTTAAAAGAGCAAAGAATGATTCATGGATCAGGCAGCCCCCAGAACCCTCAGAGCAACTCCAGGGCTGCCACATGACTTGATAACACATATAGACAGAAAAAACAAGGTGACATACAGAAAATGGAAGGGAGGTACAGAAATAGCCAGATTGGTCACAGCTTGGAGTTTGCTTTATTTGAACACAGTTTGAACAGTTGGCTGCCTGCGATTGGCAGAAACTTGGCCAATTGTTACCAAAATAGGTTAGAGTCTTGTTTACTCATAGGTCACTATGTATGGAGAAACCTTCAGGCCTAACTTAAAATAAATAAGGAGGCAGCTTTAGGCTAAACTTAATTTAATATTAATAAGAATAACAATTTCAGGGATTCATCAATGATAGACTGGATAAAGAAAATGTGGTGTATATATGCCAGGAATACTATGCAGCCATAAAAAGGAACGAGATCATGTCCTTTGCAGGGACATGGATCAAGCTGGAAGCCATGATCCTTGGCAGACTAACATAGGAGTAGAAAACCAAACACCGCATGTTCTCACTTATAAGTGGGAGCTGAACAATGAGAACACATAGACTTGAGGAGGGGAACAGCACACACCGGGGCCTGTTGGGGGAGGGCCAAGGGGAGGGAGAGCATCGGGACAAATAGCTAATGCATTTGGGGCTTAAAACCTAGGTGACGGGTTGATAGGTGCAGCAAACCACCATGGCACATGTATACCTATGTAACAAACCTGCACGTTCTGCACATGTATCCCGGAACTTGAAGTTAAATTTTTTAAAAAATGAGTTTCAGGGATTTCAATGAGTCAGAAGAAAAACTATTCACTATGCATTTATAAATAATAGATAAACATGTGCATGTATGTAGTCATGCACCGCATAACAACATTTTAGTCCACAATGGGCTGCATAAATGACGGTGTTCCCAAAATTATAATACTGTATTTTTACTGCATTTTTCCTATGATGAGATATGCTTAGATGCACAAATACTTACCATTGTGTTACAACTGCCCACAGTATTCAGGACAGTAATCTGCTGCAGGTTTGTACTTTAGGAGCAGTAGGCTATACCACATAGTACTATCTAGGTTTGCCTAAGTACACCCTATGATGTTCGCACAATGATAAAATCGCCTAAGGACACATTTCCCAGATCATATTCCCATTGGTAAGCAATGCATGACTGTATATTTTTTCTCTTATGCATAAGAAAAACCGAACAGGCTGACTTGGATTTATCTGCATAAAGGCAAGGGCATGACTGAACACACTGAGTCGATGACTCAGTGGGACTGAACCTCCCGGTTAGCCTCTCAGCGATGCATCTGTTGAGAAAGAGTGCACACCGAGGAGAGAAAGAATTGATATATCCAAGTCAATCCAGGAGAGCTCAGTGTCGCTTCCATTTCCCCATTTCATAGAGGTGGGAAGGTCTGTGATGACCACACCCACATCCCGCATGAGCGATGGCGCATGCGCATGAAAGCTGCTTTAGGGAGCATGGTCAGGGCTGTGAAAACTCAAGAGGAGACAGCATTCATACTGGAGAGTTTTAAGCCTCGGGAACCCAGGTCTGGCCCTTTTCTTGGTAACTGTTTGAGCAGAACAGAAGTGCCAACACCTGGTTACGGATCCGAGAGACAGAGGAAATAGAGTGTCTAAGTCCAAGGTTGCAGCTGTTCCCCAGGACCAGATCACCTCTGCCTTGCCTCAGCACGTGCCAATAAACTCCCCCTCGGAGCTTAGGCTTGTTGAGGTTGAGCTTTTCACTTGCAAACAAAGCCCCTGACGCGCGTGTGCATCATTTTTAACCCTCACAATAACCCCGTGGGGAAGCTAGTAATACCTTGCTGTTGGGAGATGAGAAACCAAATTTCAGATACCTCAAGGAACTCATTCAAGGACAAATATTTTGCAAATGGCAGGTGGGATTTGAATCAAGGTCCTCCGATGATGTATCACATCTCATTAGAATATGCCATTGAAGACACTATATATTGAACAGCTCTGTGAACAAAAATTTATACCTAGAAAAATGTAGATTGTAATGTGTATTATCCTCGTGTCTCAGTTATGAGAAGGACAAGGAGAATGTTTGTTGAACATCCACTACATGTCAACTGCTTTTGAATCTGTGAGGTCATTATCCCCTCCAGCAAGCCAGTGAAGCATCCACTTGTCGTATTTGTTTTTATTATTAGTATTATTTTGAGACTTGGTCTCACTCTATCACCCGGACTGGACTGTAGTGGTGCAATCTCTGCTCACTGCAGCCTCCACCTCCTGGGCTCAAGTGATCCTCCCACCTCAGCCTCCCGAGTAGCTGGGACTACAGGCACGCACCACCACACCCAGCTAATTTTTGTAATTTTTTGTAGAGACGGAGTTTTGCCATGTTACCCAGTCTGGCATCCACATGTTTTAGTTGAGGACTAAGAAGTTCAGAGGGTGCAATTAGTAATTACCTTTGGTCACACAGAAACAGGACTAGCGTACAATTTCTTCTGACTAAAATTCTGGTGGTGTTTTTTGTTGTTGTTGTTCTTAGTTTGTTTGTTTTGTTTGAGACAGAGTTTCGCTCTTGTAGCCCAGGCTGGAGTGCAATGGCACAATCTCGGCTCACCACAACCTCCGCCTCCCGGGTTTAAGCAATTCTCCTGCCTCAGCCTCCGGAGTAGCTGGGATTACAGGCGCCCACCACCACACCCGGCTGATTTTTGTATTTTTAGTAGAGATGGGGTTTCACCACGTTTGCCAGGCTGGTCTCGAACTCCTTACTTCTGCTTGCCTTGGCCTCCCAAAGTGCTGGGGTTACAGACGCGAGCCACCGTGCCCATCCTCTGGTGTTCTTTTTACTACACTAAATTCCTTCTTCCTAGTGTAGGATTATATTGTTTGACCCCAATTCCATAATTCAAGGAACTAATATTCACCCAGTGGCTTCTAGCCAGGGAGTGAAGAGAGAGCTGATGAGACACTCACCAGCCGCTATGAACAACTCTTCTCCTTCACCCTTATTTCCGTGGTGGAAACTATCACAGCACTTCTAAGCAATCGCCTAAAGTTCTGCTAAGAGCTATTCATGAGTTTCTTTAATATTCATCAGCAACAATGTATTTACAAAAACCAGAATAAGGGTTCAAGCTAATAAACCATTTTATTTGCATGTTATAACTAAGTGTCTTGGATACAAAAGTTTACATTGACAAGAACTAATTGTAGGGCTCTGTATGGTGGCTCACACCAGTAATCCCAGCACTTTGGGAGGCCGCGGCAGGAGAATCATGTGAGCCCAGGAAATTGAGACCAGCCTGGACAACATAGGGAGATTCTGTCACTACAAAAAAAAAAAAAAAAAAAACCTAGCCAGGCACAGTGACAGGCGCCTGTGATCCAAACTACTCAGGAGGCTGAGATGGGAGCATCGATTGAGCCTGGGAGGTCAGGGCTACAGTGAGCCGTGATTGTGCCACTGCACTGCAGCCTGGGCGAGAGTGAGAACTGTCTCTAAAAAAAGAATTGATAATAGAACACAGTTTGAAGGCCCAGATGTTTTTTTCTCATCTTGGATATATTGGGTTAAGTAAAATACATTATTAAGATGAGTTTAACCTGCTTAATTTTACTTTTTCAAATGTGGCTATTAGATAATTTAAAGTAACATATGACTCACATTGTATTCTTATTGGATAGCACTTTTCCAGCACATAACTTTTTTTTTTTTTTTTTTTTTTTGAGACAGAGTCTTGTTCTGTCACCCAGGCTGGAGTGCAGTGGCACGATCTTGGCTCATTGCAACCTCTGCCCCCCGGGTTCAAGTGATTCTTCAGCTTCAGCCTCATGAGTAGCTGCGGTTCCAGATACGCTCCACCATGCCTGGCTAATTTTTGTATTTTTAGTAGAGACAGGGTTTCACTATATTCGTCAGGCTGGTCTTGAACTCCTGACCTCAGGTGATGTGCCCGCCTTAGCCTCCTAAAGTGCTAGGATTACAGGCGTGAGCCACCAAGCCCGGCCTAGCACATAACTTTCAAAACCTAGAAAATATTACATCATTAACTTCCCCCAAGCAATTAGAATTGATTTTTTAAAAATAATAACTGTGCCATGTAATAGGAACCAACTGGAGAGCTAGATTAGGCCAGAAAAAAATGGTAGCTGAGAGGAGACAGTTATCGAGCAGCTTCAATGATATCTCCTAACGTCAAGGAGATGAAACATCTGGGTGTCAGGAAGGGGCTTGCTTCAGAAGTGCAAAGTCCTCCTCCTTTTTCTCTTCTGTTCTTTCTGTCTACAGGCTGGCCTTCTCTGCCTCTCCTGTCTCCACTGCAGGACCTGACCAGGACACCACTCCTGAAATTTACCTACCACAGTTGTAGTCACATGCAAACGAAGAGGCTGGATCTGGGTATCTCCTGCAGTGCATGTGGACTGTGCAGAGAGAAGGAGTCCCCTGGAGTGGGACACTTAGAGCAGAGGGCACCCAGAACCAGGAACCATGAGAGAGGAGTCTCAAAATAGGACACAAAGGGAGTGCTTCACCACGTCACAGTGCACATTGCAGCTAAGCCTCCGGCTCTGCTGGGGTCAGGCCAACATGGAAAGAACCCAGGGACACCCACTCTTCCTGGGCACAGCTGAGAAGAGATTAGGAGCCAGAGAAAGGCCTCCAGGAAACCCAGGGCAGACCAGTAAGAATCCAGAAGCCCAGTCCAAACCGAGGCAGAAAGAGGACTGATGTGTCTAACACCTGGCCTTCGCTACCTCCGAAGAGAGACAGACCAAGAACAAACGAACCAAGAAGGTGAAATGGTTAAATGTGGCGCCTAAGCCTTTCTTTTCCAGGAACTGACATAACTTCTGTCTGTCTGCCTACACGGAGTTGTGGTTAGGAACACATTTCTGGGGGATTGGTTTGGTTTCAATGTTTTCCAGCATCTGGTAAAAACAGAATTATGAAAGTTAAGTATTCAAAGATTGTTGTTTGGGTTTTGAAACAGAAACATTTTGAAATACTGATATGTTTTGCTTTCATAGTATTATTTTACTTAAAGAGATACGCTTGAAGTAAAACCAAATTCTCAGCTACTAACAGAAACACTTTAGTCTTCCTTGTTGCCCAAAAGCCAGTTTGAGATTCGGCAATTTTAGGAGAGAAGGAGGGAGAGAGAGAGGAAGGACACACCACAGATAAAAAGGAAGTTTGAGACAGTTGTGCCTGTTCTTATTGAATGTTTTAGGTGATTCCTATATCCCTTTTCTTCCTTCAGCTGGGGCGATCTTTCCAGAAAATGCAGCCCACCAGGAAAGGTTAGAATTTATCCAGAGCAGCTATTTGCACTTGGTTTTTGACATCTTGAAGTAATGTGTTTGTCTGAGTGCTTTTCTTATTTATACATAAATAATCTTACTATCTATGTTTTATGCTTTCTTACTAGCATGTAGATCTAATGTAGTTCCATTTACTGGATTCTGAGAGAAATATAGACATTGAAAGGGGGACTCTAGACTCCTTCCTCTGGCCAAAATGCAGTAACAGGGGCCAGATTTGTGTTCTTGCCTGAAACAGTAACAACAACAAAAGATGAGACTTAAAAAAAAAGTTTCAAAACATGGATTTAGGCAACGAAGGACAATGAGTGATCCCTAAGCTACTGCCCCATCTTGTGGCCTTGAGACAGTTTCCAGGCTGTGGTGCAGAGTGGAGAACAGAGGCAAAGCCTGGTAGATCCCTGACTTGAGGAGACAGAGGTGAGAGTCAGGAGATCAAGGCAGCTAGAGTTCATGGGAATCAGCACCAGAGAAGAGAGAGCTCCATAAAGAGAGGACTTGGGAGATCTGCAGAGGATCCTTGAATATTCATCAGAGGACCTACTGACCAGCACATTCATGCGCAGGCGTCATCAGAGACAAGGGAGAGAGCCACTTGAAAGGATTGGAGGTTTACAGTGCTCACTCAGAGCAAGGAATCGTGCTTATTCCCACCAGCCAGACCAGAAAACCTCATAGTTCATTGACATTAGTAGTGTTAAACTAAGTTAAGCCTAAAGCTACCTCCTTACATATTTTAAGTTCAGGCTAAATGTTTTTCCATACACAGAGAACTGTAGCCTAACTGGACATGTGACCAGATTGTAAGGCACTCCTGTAACAAGTAGTCAAGCCTCAGCCAATTATAGCAGCCGAATTTTGGCCACTCAAAGGCAGCCAACTGTTGAAACCATGTTTAACTAAGTGCCAAACTGTCGCCAGCCAGCTGTTTCTGTGCTTCACCTCCATTTTCTGTAAGTCACTGCCCTTTTACTGTCCATAAATGTTATCCGGCCACATGGTGGCCCTGGAGTTGCGCTGCTGGTTCTGGGGGATGCCCAATTCATGAATCATTCTTTGCTCAATTAAACTCTGCTCAATTTAATTTGCCTAAAGTTTTCCTTTTAACGGGATGGTACATAGTACAAGGGAATAATTAGACTAAATGCTAATCAGTCCTGCCGAACTAATTCAAAAAGAAAGACCTGAAAATATCAAATTGTTTACAAGTGACATAATTGTGTTCTAGAACAAATATTTATATAAACATAAAAATGTCCATCACCCTACTAAGTAAAATTCATAAAGTCTGGCATCCAATCAAAAATTACCAGTCAAGCAAAGATCCCTGAGAATACAACCTATAATGAGAAAAACAAATTAAATTTGATCCTTAACTGACACAGATGTTAGAATTAGAAGACAAGGCACTAAACTGTATTACATATGTTCAAAAGGTAAGTAGAGACAAGGAAAATATCAAAAAGACTCAAAGCAAGCTTCTATAGATGAAAACTGCAATGTTCAATATGAAAAATTCACTGGCTAGAATTAAAGGCAGATTAATTACCTGGTTGGTCCTGCCTATAAAAACAAATTTAAAAAATAAAATAAAGACTAGCTAGACATTACGTAAGAAAAGATTACTGAACTTGAAGACATAAAAATAGGAATTACCAATAATGAAACCCAGAGGAACAAGAGAATTTTAAAATATGAACAGACTGGGCACAGTGGCTCCTGCCTATAATCCCAGCACTTTGGGAGGCTGAGGTGGGAGGACCACTAGAGGCCAGGAACTTGAAACCAGCCTGGGCAACATAGCAAGATCCCATTTCCACCCACAAAAATTTTTTTTTAATCCAGGCATGGTGGCATGTGCCTATAGTTCCAGCTACTTAGGATGCTGAGGTGAGATGATAGCTTAAGCCCAGGTATTTGAGGCTGCAGTGAGCTATGATTGCCACTGCACTCCAGCCTAAGTCACAGAGTGAGACCCTGTCTCAAATAAGTAAGTACATAAAAATGAACAGTCAGATGACACCCAGAATGATGATACGAGGCCACCACTCCTTGGATTCATCCCCTGACAAAACAACCAAAACTGGTGAAAATTATGAAACAATGACCACTGAAAGTCTCTGAAACTTGTCCTAAGTCATACAGCAAACAAACAAACATTCAAGAAAATCTACCTAATCTCACTACAGACAGCAAGACTCTGTGGCACTTGGGCATAACCTGTTCCCTCCCTTCCCATCAGCCCAGCATGATGGAAGCCTGGCCCTAGGTAGGCATGGCCAAAAAGATGAGACTCCTTTTCCTCAAAGCTCCCAGTCAAGGGCTAGGGTATCTTTCTGGGAGAGAAAGTTTGCCAGCATCTCTCATCCTCTTTCTCCATGTTCTTTGTTACAGAGGCTAAATTATAGGTTAATCCACCCAAAAAGTCAGAGGCTCTCTTCTTTCATCACTTCTTCACTCATAGGAAGGTAGTGCTACCATAGTCATGGCAATCTGATATTGGGCCCATGTCCTGGCCCTCATTTGCTCACAGGGTAGTGGTTTTAAGTTGGGAGAGAGAAGGTGAGAAGACCAGAGACTACCACCCATATCCACCAACCCACTCATAAAGCAACGATGCTACTCCAAGAAAAGTGACCCACTGTCCCTACCCTTAGGTCTGAAGCAGGTACTCAGAGATTTTTCCTAGTGGTAGAGTCAGGCCGTAAGGACAGAGAACTCTGAAACTCTCCCCAAAGAAACTGACTTTATTTGGAGCACAGTGTCAGGGAGTTCAAGCCTAAGACCACTCTCAAAAACAATGGAGAGTTTGGTGATAAGCAATTAAGAGGAAGCAGTAGCTCCATGAGAGCAGCAAGCTAAATTATAGACCAGCCAGTTTACCAGAGAGGACTGAAAAAAGAGATAGCTAAGAAGAACCCTCCTAGAATCAGAACAAACCTCAAAGACTGGCTTCAAAAACTATCCCTGCAAATGTGTCTGAATTTAACAGGATCAACCAGTGGAGCAATTAATCCATAGGGTACTATTGAACACAATAAAGAATTTGATTGGTAATTAGTACAGCCTAAGAGCTGGTTGTGACTCAAACAAAGGCAGACAGCTTAACAGAAAGATTAAGGAAAAAGATAGTTGAAAGTGCCCTACTAAACTACTGTCATCCCAGGGTGACTGTGCATGTGACCAAGTCTGTGTCCTCTGAAGAATGACATCAGAAGCTTTATACTATGAGGGAAATAGACTTCACTAAAATAGTACAGCCAACTTACTAAATAAATAAATAAGCAAATAGCAACAAGCCTAGGAGGGAAGAAGGGAAGGGAAAAATCGGTATGCAAAATTGCTACAATATCTAAAAGTCTGTTTTTTTAATAAAAATTGTAACTCTTGCCAAACAACAACAATCAGTAAAGTATAAATCATACACAAGAAAAAAAAAAGGAAGACAACAGAAATTATCTTTGAGAAGGTACAGGTGTCAGATTTAACTGATTTCAAAGCAGCCATTATAAATATATTTTAAAAACTAAAGAAAACCATGATTAAAGAAATAAAGGAAGATACGACAGTGTCTCCTCATATAAAGTAAATAAAAAGATAGAATATATATTTTAAAATTGATCTATAGATTCAACATAATCTCTATTAAAATCCTAGCTGGCTTCTTTGCAGAAATTGACAAGGTGATAAAATTCATATGGAAATTTAAAGTACCCCAGAGTAACCAAAACAATCTTGAATAAAAGAACAAATTTGGAGGAATTTCACTTCCTTATTTTAAAACTTACTACAATGATACAATTAAGACAGTGTGGCATTGGCATAGGGATAGACACACACACACACACACACACACACACACACACACACACACACACACACATATATATATATATATATATATAAATGGATTAGAATTCAAAGTCAAAAAATAAACCCTTATTTACAGTCAACTGATTTTCCACAAGGGTGAAAGAATAGTCTTTTCAACAAATGGTGCTGAGACAATTGCATATCCATATGCAAAAGGATGAAATTAGACCTTTTTTCACATAATGCAGAAAAATGTACTCAAAATATATCACAGACTGAAATGTAAGAATTAAAATTATAAAACTCTTAGAAGAAAATATGAAGGACTAAACCTTTGTGACCTTGGGTTTCTCCATCAATGCACATCATAATAAAATTGATCAGAACCAGAGATAAAGAGCAAAAGGTAAAAACAGCCAGAGGAAAAAAAAAGGCATATCTACAAAAAGCAACAAAGATAAGAACAGCAGATTATTTGTGATAAACAATGCAAGCCAGAAAAACGTTGAGTAACATGTTTAACAAATTGAAGTTAAAAATGTATCAACGTAAAATTCTATACACGGTGATAGTTATCTTTTTAAAATAAGGATGAAATAAAAACTTTTCAGACACACAAAAGCTGAAAGACATCTTCACTAGCACATATGCAACACAAGAAATATTAAAGAAAGTCTTCAGGCAAAAGTAAAATTATATCAACTGGAGCAGAAGTTTGTTAAAATGCTGATTCCTGGGCTCAGACCCCAAGGACTTATCTCCATAGTTCTGCAGTATGGCTTAGGCACATGGTATTTTATTTTCATATTTTTTTCTATTTATTTTAATATATAAAACATACACATGCCAGAAAATATAAAAAGTACGAAGTGTTGGTAATCACTGGAAGTAGGTAATAGATGCATGGTTCACTATACTGTTCTCTCTACTTTTATCTACTCTGAAATTTTCCATAATAAAAAGTTCTTTTGACTTAAAAAAAAAAAAACAAACCTGATAACAGGCAGAAATTCAGATCTACACAAAGGAATAAAGAGCACCATGTATGGTTCATTAAATGAGTAAATTTATAATATGTTATTATTTAAATATATTTTAAAGATAAATGACTATTTAAAATGCATTGTAGAAAATATAACATACATAAAAACAAAATGTTTGACAATAGCAGCATTAAAACTAAGAAGGAGTCCTCGGCAAAGCCCGAGTCCTGTCCTCTCGCCCTCCTCCCGGAACAGCATGAGCTTCACCACTCGCTCCACCAACTACTGGTCTCTGGGCTCCGTCCAGGCACGACCAGCGTCTATGCAGGTGCCGGGGGCTCTGGTTCCCGGATCTCTATGTCCCACTCCTCCAGCTTCTGGGGCGGCATGGGGTCCGGGGGCCTGGCTGTGGGAATGGCCGGGGGCCTGGCAGGAATGGGAGGCATCCAGAACGAGAAGGAGAACTTGCAAAGCCTGAACGACTGTCTGGCCTCCTACCTGGATGGAGTGAGGAGCCTGGAGACCAAGAACCGGAGGCTGGAGAGCAAAATCGGGGAGCACTTGGAGAAGGGACCCCAGGTCAAGAGACTGGAGCCGTTACTTCAAGACTATCGAGGACCTGAGGGCTCAGATCTTCGCAAATACCGTGGACAATGCCTGCATCGTGCTGCAGATTGACAATGCCCGTCTTGCTGTTGATGACTTTAGAGTCAAGTATGAGACAGAACTGGCCATGCACCAGTCTGTGAAGAGTGACATCCATGGGCTCCGCAAGGTCATCAATGATACCAATGTCACTTGGCTGCAGCTGGAGACAGAGATTGAGGCTCTCAAGGAGGAGCTGCTCTTCATGAAGAAGAACCATGAAGAGGAAGTAAAAGGCCTACAAGCCCAGACTGCCAGATCTGGATTGACCGTGGAGGTAGATGCCCCCAAATCTCAGGACTTTGCCAAGATCATGGCAGACATCTGGGCTCAATATGACAAGCTCGGAAGAACCGAAAGGAGCTGGACAAGTACTGGTCTCAGCCGATTGAGAAGAGCACCACAGTGGTCACAACGCCGTCTGCCAAGGTTGGAGCTTTTGAGGCGACACGACACTCACGGAGCTGAGACGTACAGTCCAGTCCTTGGAGATTGACCTGGACTCCATGAGAAATCTGAAGGCCAGCTTGGAGAACAGCCTGAGGGAGGTGGAGGCCCGTTACACCCTACAGATGAAACAGCTCAACGGGATCTTGCTGCACCTGGAGTCAGAGCTGGCACAGACCTGGGCAGAGGGACAGCGCCAGGCCCAGGAGTAAGAGGCCCTGCTGAACATCAAGGGCAAGCTAGAGGCTGAGATCACCACCTACCGCTGCCTGCTGGAAGATGGTAAGGACTTCAGTCTTGGTGATGCCCTGGACAACAGCAACTCCATGCAAACTATCCAAAAGACCACCAACCGCCAGATAGTGGATGGCAAAGTGGTGTCTGAGACCAATGACACCAAAGTTCTGAGGCATTAAGCCAGCAGCAGCAGGGTACCCTTTGGGGAGCAGGAGGCCAATAAAAAGTCCAGAGTTAAAAAAAAAAAAAAAAGCCTAAGAAGGAAGAAATGGAAGTATACTATTGTAATACTATACATGAATAGCATAATATTACTTAAAGGTAGATAGCAATAAGTTAAAGATGTATACCATAAACCCTAAAATTTAGAGTTGGCCAGGCACAGTGACTCACGCCTGTAATTCCAGTACTTTGGGAGGCTAAGGCAGGTGGATCACTTCAGGTCAGGAGTTTGAGCCTGGCCAACAAGGTGAAACCTCATGTTTACTAAAAATACAAAAATTAGCCGGGCATGGTGGTAGGTGCCTGTAATCCCAACTACTCAAGAGGCTGAGGCATGAGAATAGCTTGAGCGTGGGAGACAGAGGTTGCAGTGAGCCCAGATAGCACCACTGCACTCCAGCCTGGGTGGCAGAGTAAGACCCTGTCTCAATAAATAAATAAATAAATAAATAAAATTTAGAGTTTATCACTTAAATACCACAACAAAGAGTTATAGCTAATAAGCCAACAAAGAAGATAAAACAGAATCATAAAAAGTATTCAGCTAAACCAAAGGAAGACAGAAGAGAAGAAAAAAGGAATAAAGAAACATGGGTCAAATACCAAACAGGGCAAGATGACAGCATTAATAAAATCATTTCAGCAATTACTTTAAATGTAAATGGTCTAAACACCCTAAATCAAAGGCAAAGATTTTCAGATTGGATTAAAAAATAAGATTCAAGGCCCTTCATGGTGGCTTACGCCTGTAATCCCAGCATTTTGAGAGGCCAAAGTGGGCAGATCACCTGAGGTTGGGAGTCCAAGACCAGCCTGGCCAACATGGCAAAACCGCATCTCTACCAAAAATTCAAAAATTAGCTGGGCGTGGTGGCACATGCCTATAATTTCAGCTTCTGGGGAGGGTGAGGCAGGAGAATCATTTGAACCCAGGAGGCAGAGGCTGCAGTAAGCCAAGATGGTGCTACTGCACTCCAGCCTGGGGGACAGAGCAGGACTCTGTCTCAAAAAATAAAAAATCAATAAGATTCAACTGTATGCTGCCTATAAGAGACAGTACTTTATGTATATAAACACAAGGAGTTAAAAGCAAAATAATGGAGAAAGATACACCATGAAAATCAAAAGAAAGATGGAGTGGCTATATTAGTACCAGATAAAGCAGATTTCAGATAAAATATTACCAGGGAAAAAGAAGATCATTTCATAATGATAAAAGCATCAATTCATAAAAAGAATAATGCTAAATGTTTAGGCACACAGTAACAGAGCTTAAAGACATATGAAATGAAAACTGATATAATTGCAGGGAGGGCCGGGCACAGTGGCTCAGGCCTATAATCCCAGCACTTTGGAAGGCCGAGGCAGGTGGATCACTTGAGGTCAGGAGTTCAAGACTAGCCTAGCCAACATGGTGAAACCCTGTCTCTACTAAAAATACAAAAATTAGCCAGGCAGTAGTGGTGCGCACCTGTAATCCCAGCTACTCAGGAGGCTGAGGCAGGAGAATCTCTTGAGCCTGGGAGGTGGAGGTTGCAGTAAGCCAAGATTGCACTACTGCACTGCAGTCTGGGCGACAGAGGGAGACCCTGTCTCAAAAAATATTTTAAAAATTGCAGGGAGAAATTCACAAATCTACAATTATAGTTAGAGATTTCTACAACCCTCTCTCCATAATTGGGAGAACAAGTAAACAGAAAGTAAGTGTATAGAAGACTTGAAAAACACAATCAACCAACTTGACATATTTAACCCATCACAGTCCACTTTCAAGTAGTAATATATCATGGCCACTCTTGTTAAAAACTCTTGGCAAACTAGGAATAGAAGGAAATGTCCTCAACCTGATAAAGGGCATCTTCAAAAACCGACAACTAACATCATACTTAATAGAAAGACTAAATTCTTTCCCCCTAAGAAACAACTGGATATCCATATGGAAAAAAAAGAATTTTGTTCCATACCTGACACCATAATCAAAACATTACTCAAAGTGAATCAGATGTAAATGCAAAACCTAAAAGTATTAAACTTCTAGAAAAACAATAGAAGAAAATCTATCTGATCTTGGGTTAATCAAAGGATTTTGAGATATAACACCAAAAGCGTGACCTATTAAAAAAAACTGATAAATTAGACTTTATTAACATTTAAAGTTTCTGCTCTTCAAAAGACAGCGTTAAGTGAATGAAAAGCCAAGCTACAGACTCAGAGAAAATATTTGCAAGTCATATCTGACAAATAGCTTGTATGTAGAATATATAAAAACCTTCAAAACTCAGGAAAAAACATTTAAAAATGGACAAAAGATCTGAACAAAGATTCACTAAAGAAGATATCAATAGCAAACAAATATTCAATAGAAAAGATATTCAACATCACTACACATTAAAGTAATGCAAATTAAAACCCCAGTAAGGTTCCACTACCCACCTATTAGAATGACTAAAGTTAAGACTGATCATTCTGACTTGGCACGGTGGCTCACGCCTGTAATCCCAGCACTTTGGGAGGCTGAGATGGATCACCTGAGGTCGGGAGTTCGAGACCAACCTGACCAACATGGAGAAACCCCATTTCTACTAAAAATACAAAATTAGCTGGGCGTGGTAGCACATGCCTGTAATCCCGGCTACTCGGGAGGCTGAAGCAGGAGAATTGCTTGATCCTGGGAGGCGGAGGTTGCAGTGAGCTGAGATTGCACCATCACACGCCAGCCTGAGCAACAAGAGCGGAAACTCCGTCTCAAAAACAAAACAAAACAAAAAAAAAACGACAGATCATTCCAAGTACTGGTGAAGATATAGAGCAACTGGAATCCTCATACACTGCTGGTGGGAATGTAAAATGTTACAAACCTTTTGGAAAAGAGTTTGGCATTTTCTTAAAATCTTAAACATTCACCTGCCATATGAGACAGACACTACACTCCTAGGTATTTATCAAGAGAAACAAACGCACATGCTCAGAGCACTCTATTTCTAATTGCCCCGAATGGGAAACAACCCAAATTCAACAGGTGAATGGATAAACAAATTGCGCTACGTCTGCCAAATCCACTGCCCACTCCTCACTGTGCTCCAAATACAAGCAACCAACATTGGTCATTGTCTCAACATAAGCAGAGGCACAGGCATTGTCCATTCACTGCACATTCTTTTGGAGTCTCATCTATGTGGAAAAAGAGGATATTCAAACGACATCGGGGTGAGCCACACTGGGTAACCAGTTTAAGGAGCAGAAGATGGTAGTCAAAAGCTATTTCAAGTCCTCCTTAGCCAGTACTATTTCCTATCATATCTGGATAGGTTTTTTTTATCTCTTTTTAGCATCTAACATTCTCATTTTTAGGGGGACTTCATTTTTCCCCATGTATTTTCAATAGACCGTGGCCCCATCTATTATTTTTGAAGAGGAAAACTCCTGGTGCCAAAAAGTCCACCGATCCTTGGTTCAGACAAGGACTTCCAATTGCTTAATGTCAGATGAATACTGAAAGGTCACCAGAGGATACACCACGGTAAAAACTCTATGAACTCGATACTGAAATTTTCTTGTTAAGCTCATGCTGGAAGGCGGGAGAGTAGAAAATAAGTTGTAAAATGGCCCAGGGCTTAATTTATTTAAAGCTTTGGTTAAAAACGTTTGCTGCTTTGAATTGTTTTAAGAGAAACCACAAAGATGTTCAGTAGTGGAAGAAAAGAATTCCAGAGAGGGCTTTAACTACCCTGTTACCTTCATAGCACCTCCCAGCGGTAATCCACAAAAATGATATTTTTTGTATGGAAAGTTGACCTTTTTCTCAATATTATGCAAATTGAATAAAAATCTGTGCTGTTTTAGATGCTATGCAAGTTAACATGATATCCAAGTAAAAACTCTAAGTTTGCTATGAAATACATCTCTGATTACAGCCAGATTGCTACCTCTGAACATTTTTTAGGCAGAAAAAAATGTAGCCAGCTCATTGGTTTTCTGAGATAAATACCTAAATTTTTGCAACCCAAGACTGTTCTATTTTCTTTACCATCTGGTTCTAGGAACACAGGGACACCATGACTATTGAAGTGTTGAAGATTCCAGATGAAACGTTTTTTAAAATGTAAGCCTACACTGCAGGGCATGGTGTTGTGCCTGGAGTCCCGGCTACGTGGGAGGCTGAGGTGGGAGGATCCCTTGAGCCCAGAAATTCTAGTGCAACCTGAGCAACACAGTGAAACCTCATTTTTAATAAAATATTTTTTAAGCCTACACTTCCTAAATTTTGTATAGTGACTGCACTAAGCACATTATATATTTTCTTCTTTAGTACTCACACTAATAGTATTCAATAACGCTATTGCTTCCTGTTTTTGACAGATGAGAAATATGGGGCATGATGGGAATGGCAAGTGTTGGGAATAAGGGTGTGTAACCACCCTCTTCTCCCAGATGCCTGTGTCCTTGAGCAATCTGCTCTTTGCAAAGAGGTTGGACCAGCCTCTGGGTGATTTCTAACCTCTAACATTAGAGGGCAGTGACTCTAAGCTAAAACGCCCTTGTGGGATCCACCGTGCTGGTATCAAGCCATGAAGAGGAAGCATGTGTGCTACAGAAACTCATAGGTGAAAGCAGCATCTTTTACTGCCTTATACACTTGTAGAGTGGGAAGTTTTCGTTCTGGTTGACACCATGCACAACACATAAGAGAAATGGTTAGACTGTTTGAGGAAGTGCACACTAAAATGCCTGACCCCTGCACAGAGGTGAGTGGATGCCATCTGGCCGAGAGGTTCCTGTTATTAGTATCTAATCAGGTTTCCCTGGTAGCTAGAGAACTGCATGACTTGTTGACTGGAAGGCCTCTTACCTCACAAGGGTGTGGTTTCAGAGGTTTCTGAAGAACAAGTGTGGGAGAACTAACCATGACTAAGGCATCTCAGGTCAATGCAGGTGAATGATTAACCCCAGCTCTCTTTTTTTTTTTTTTTTTTTTTGAGACAGAGTCTCACTCTGTCACCAGGCTGAAGTGCAGCGGCGCCATCTCGGCTCACTGCAAACTTCGCCTCCCGGGTTCAAGCGATTCTCCTGCCTCAGCCTCCCGAGTAGCTGGAACTACAGGTGTGTGCCACCACACCTGGCTGATTTTTGTATTTTTAGTAGAGACCAGGTTTCACCATGTTGGCCAGAATGGTCTCCATCTCTTGACCTCATGATCCCCATGCCTCAGCCTCCCAAAGTGCTGGGATTACGGGATTACAGGCGTGAGCCACTGTGCCCAGCCGACCCCAGTTCTAAGAACTCTTGTTCCATTATGGGTAGGGAGATCATAACTAGGGAAACCATCCAGGTGGTGAGGATGCGAGCCAGAGAAAAGCCAGAGCCTGCCAATTCAGCTTTGGAATGTTCCAGAAAAGCATTCCTGAGACTCTGATAGCATTTATATGCTGGAATGATTTCTATTTCCCTATATAAAGGATATTTTTATTTTCTTACTGGCTAGTACCAAATTCAGAACATGGAGGCTTTAAAAATTATTCAGTGAATAAATGAAAAATAAAACCTTCATTTACATTGAAAACAGGTATTTCTTATATACAATGATTTTTTTCTTCTAATTTATTTTTTCCTAAAAGGAACAAAGGGAAAAAATTATAAAGTCAAGAGCAAAAAATGGATAAATTAGAAAACATAAAACAACACATTTGGTAGACAAATCCAAGAGCTGGTTCGCTGAAGAAAATAGACAATTTGTGTACAAATGTTACCAAGAAAACAAGAGGAGAGTCAACATACATTTGTTGTTAAACAGTAAGTTAATAAGTGAGATTTTGGTGAAAAAAACATTTACTGTGTGTGGAATAGATAATTTTCTAAGAAAATATAAGTGATCAAAACTGATGTTACCAATAAAACTATCAACAGGATTTTTAAAAGTAAACTGATGAATTCTAAATTTCATAGGAAGGACAAACAAACAATAAAGGTCAGACAAAATCTTAAAAAAATGGTATAAGAGGAGAGTGGCCCTATCAGATATTTTAATATATTTTAAAGCTACAGTGATTAAAATTGTGTGGTACTGACACTTGAATACGAAAATCAGCCAAGCATGGTGGCATGCACCTGTAGTCCCAGCTACTTGGGAGGCTAAGGAGGGAGTATCACTTGAGTCCAGGAGTTCAAGGCTGCAGCGAACCATGACTGTGCTACCACACTCCAACCTGGGCAACAGAGTGAGATGCTGCCTTTAAAAAAAAAAAATGAATAAAAAGAAGATCATCTGGAACATCATGTCCAGACTAGACCAAAAGAAATATAGAAATTTAGTATAAGACATAAGCAACATTTCAGATCAGGGAGGAAAGATGTTTTATCTAAATATATTGTGTTGGAGACAAAAAGAATCACAAGGAAATCTTAAATTATGTTGATATTAGTAGTAATGTTAGTATTGATATTTTAAAATTATTTCATACACACAGAAAGATATACACATTGTATGTATGATGTATATACGTAAATACTAGCCAGGATGCAATCAGAGAAGCAGAATCGCTAGAAATAATAGAGCATGAAGGATTCCTAAAGGGATTTGACATTACACAGTTGTGGGAGCTGGCTAGACAGCCTCCGTTTGGCTCTTTACGCCTGACACTGAGCCTGAAGTCATAAGGCCGTGGTCAGGAAGGAAAAATGCATGTGAAATGGGGCCGAGCAGAAATTCCCTTGCCTCACCCCACTGCTACCTCTCCTGTCTTCACACCTGGCCCAGAACTTGGAGAAGCTGCAGGAAGAGATCACATGGGGCCTGGAGGATTCTGCCTCCGGACTCTGTCTGCACAACAGAGGAGCCGGCAGGCCTGCACATGCCATGAGTTCCAACAGGGCCTAGCCTAGCCCAACATTCAGAGGGTGAGCACTGCTACTTCTTGACTGCTGCCTTTCAAATCTCACAAATTTCCCTGTGTCCAACTCTAACCAAACGTCTACCAGGAAGGGAATTCTGGAAAATGTAGTTCTGTTTAACCAAATTGACACATTATTAAGCCACCATTATATACATTCATGTGTGCTCACACACACACATGGACACGTAATCTATTTATCTTTATCTCTACATATGAAATAATTAAGTTAATTTTATTAGGAACCAAGCTATATGATGTAAGAGGGAAAAGATATAAATATAAAATTACAAAATAAAAACCATGAAATATTTAATTTGAATTGAAAAGTATGGGTTGGGTGTGGTGGCCCACGCTTGCAATCCCAGCACTGTGGGAGACCAAGGCAGGAGGATCACTTGAGGCCAGGAGTCTGAAACCAGCCCTTGGCAACATAGCAAGATTCCATCTCTACTAAAAATACAAAAAAAATTAGCTGGGCATGGTGGTGGGCGCCTGTATTTCCAGCCACTCAGGAGGCTGAGGCAGGAGAATCACTTGAAACCAAGAGGCGGAGTTTGCAGTGAGCCGATATAGTGCCATTGCACTCCAGCCTGGGTGACAAGAGTGAAATTCCATCTCAAAAAGAAAAAAAAAAGTAAGTATGAACTCATGATGTATATCCCTTTTGAAAAAAAAAATTAATAGGCTTTTCCCAGCTCTGAAAGCTTGAGAGGCCTAGAAGCCATGGCAATACAGTAGCAGTAAGTATATCTAGCATTCATTTTGTGGTCTCTAAACACCATTTTCCATGGAAAGGAACCAGGGCTTCTTGGAGAAATACTTTTTTATTTATGTGTGTATTTTTATTGTGAGACACTGTCTCACTCTTTCACTCAGGCTGGATTGCAGTGGAATGATCTTGGCTCACTACAGCCTCTACCTTCCAGGCTCAAGCTATCCTCCCCACTCAGCCTCCCGAGTAGCTGGAACTACAGGCTTATGCCACCACACCTGTTTAATTTTTATATTTTTTGTGGAGACGGAGTTTCATTATGTTGTCCAGACTGTTCTCAAAGTGCTGGGACTACAGGCATAAAGAAATATTGAATGTCTTTTTTTTTTCTTTTTTTAAAAATGGGGGTCTCAGCCAGGCACAGTGGCTCATGTCTGTAATCCCAGCACTTCGGGAGGCCGAGGTGGGTGGATCACCTGAGGTCAGTAGTTCGAGACCAGCCTGATCAACAGGGTGAAACTCCGTCCCTACTAAAAATACAAAAATCAGCTGGGTGTGGTGGCACACGCCTGTAATCCCAGCTACTCGGGAGGCTGAGGCAGGAGAATTGCTTGAACCCAGGAGGTGGAGGTTGCAGTGAGCCGAGATCCTGCCACTGCACTCCAGCCCGGGCGACAGAGCGAGACTCTGTCTGAAAAAAAAAAAAAAAGAAAAAGTAAAGAAAGCAATGGGAGTCTCACTTTGTCACCCAGCCTGGAGTGCAGTGGAATGATCATAGCTCACTGCCACCTCCAATTTCTGGGCTCAAGTGGTCCCCTTGAGCCTCAGCCTCCCAAGTAGCTAGGACTACAGGTACATGCCACTGCACCCAGCTAATTTTTAAATTTTTTGTAGAGACAGGGTCTTGCCATCTTGTCTAGGCTGGTCTCAAATTCCTGGGCTGAAGCAATCCTCCTACCTCAGCCACCCAAAGTGCTGGAATTACAGGTGTGAGCCACTGTGCCCAACCCTGAATCTCTTATATCAGAAAGCAAGAAATCTCTGAGACTACAAGGTTAACGCCAAAGGACACAGGAACTAGCTTGAAGAGAAGATTGAAGCATATTGAGTAAAAACTCAACAGTTTATCATCATAGTAAACGAGAAAAAGGGGGTAAAAAAGCCTCAACAACAACACTGCTAGAAACAAAAATGAACAAGTCGGTGGAGGATGTGCTGGGTAATTTTCTGCGTCAGTCTGACTGTGCTGAATGTTGCCTGGATAGCTGGTGAAACATGACTTCTGGGTGTCTGTGAGAGTGTTCTGGAGGAGGGTACCATGTGAACTACACTGAGTAGAGCAGTTGGCCCTCCCCAGCATGAGGGGGCATTGTCCAATCCATTGAAGGCCTGAATAGAACAAGAAGGGCAGAGGAAGGAAGGTGGATTTGCTTCCTGTTTGAGCTGGGACCTCCATCTCCTGCTGCCTTCAGCCATCCGCACTCATGGTTCTTGAGCCTTCAGAGTTGAACTGGAACTTACATGACTGCCTCCCCTGAAATACAGCACAGGTCTTCCTGGTTCTCTGCCTGCAGATGGTAGATCAGGGGATTTTAGGACCTCCATAATCTCAAGACCCAATTCTTGGGCTCTATGTATTCTATTGGTTCCGTTTCTCTGGAGAACCCTGACTAATAAGAGAACTCTCCCCTAAAAAAGGAAAAAAATGGAAAATGAAACAATTCATTTCATTAAAAGATACCCTAACACTAACATAAAAACCTGACAAAAACACAGAAAAATAAACTGACACCTGTCATGTATGATAGCAGTGAAGTATTAATAAAATATTAACCAGTGGAAGACAGTTACATTAGAAGACTAATACAAAGTCAGTCATTCTGAGAGAACCCTGACATAGTTTGAAATTACAAAAACAGGCCAGGCATAGTGGCTTATTGCTGTAATCCCAGTGTGTATGGAGTTGGATCCTTCCAGTGGGTTCGTGGTCTCGCTGCCTTCGAGAATGAAGCCGTGGACCTTCGCGGTGAGTGTTACAGCTCTTAAAGGTGGCATGGACCCAAAGAGTGAACAGCAGCAAGATTTATTGAGAAGAGCAAAAGAACAAAACTTCCACAGCATGGAATGGGACCTGAGGGAGTTGCCGGGGCTGGCTGGGGTGGCCAGCTTTTATTCCCTTATTTGTCCCTGCCCATGTCCTGCTGAGGGTCCATTTTACAGAGTGCTGATTGGTCCATTTTACAAACCTCTAGCTAGCTACAGAGCACTGACTGGTGTGTTTTCACAGAGCACTGATTGGTGCATTTTACAAACCTCTAGCTAGCTACAGAGTGCTGATTGGTGCATTTTACAAACCTCTTGTAAGACAGAAATGTTCTCCAAGTCCCCACTTGACCCAGGAAGTCCAGCTGGCTTCACCTCTCACCAGCACTTTGGGAGGCTGAGACGGGTGGATCACCTGAGGTCAAGAGTTCAAGACCAGCCTGGGCAAAGATGGTGAAACCCCATCTCTACTAAAAATACAAAAGTTAGCCGGACATAATGCAGGTGCCTGTAATCCCAGCTACTCGGGAGGCTGAGGCAGGAGAATCACTTGAATCCAGGAGGCGGAGGTTGTGGTGAGCCGAGATCGCGCCACTGCACTCCAGCCTGGGCGACAAGAGTGAAACTCCGTCTCAAAAAAAAAAAAAGAAAAAGAAAAAGAAAAAGAAATTGCAAAAACAATTCTCCCATGGTTTCTTCCTTTTCTGGTTTCAGTTTTTACAATTAAGGCCTACTTATCCCAGAATAGGGTGAGATATATACCTTTTCTTCCCAATACTATTTTTTATTGTGAAAATGTTCAAACATACACAAAAGTAGATTTTGCATGTGGAAGAGAATGATGACTTCATGTCACTCAGCTTTAACAATTACATCAATATTTGACCAATCTTATTTTATCTATACCACCCATCAAACACATCCCTCCCCTTCAATTCAAATATTTCAGTCACTCCAGAAAACATAGCATTTCTTTCTTTTTTTTTTTTCTTGAGACAGAGTCTCACTCTGTTGCCCAGGCTGGAGCGCGGTGGTGCAATATCGGCTCACTGCAACCTCCGCCTCCTGGGTTCAAGCTATTCTCCTGCCTCAGCCTCCCAAGTAGCTAGGATTACAAACACGCAGCACCACACTGGCTAATTTTGTATTTTTAGTTGAGACAGGGTTTCACCATATTGGCCAGGCTGGTCTTGAACTCCTGACCTCAAGTGATCTGCCTGCCTCAGCCTTCCAAAGTGCTGGGATTATAGGCATGAGCCACTGTCCCTGGCCAGAAAACATAGCATTTCATCAGAAATACTTTGGTATGTATCTCTAAGAAATAAGAATTCTTTTTTTAAAAAAAACCTAACCACCATGCATAGTCTTCTCTTTTTAAAAAGGTTATTTAATAATATTGAATATAGAGCCAATGTGTAAATATCCCTGATTGTCTTATAAATGTTTTTTATTAATCAGTTTGTTCAAATCAGGACTCAAACTGGGTCCAGACAATGTAGCTGATGAATGGTCTCAAGACTCCTGTAGTCTTTAACAATTTTCCTCTCCTCTCCTTTTTATACCTGCCATTTGTTGAAGACATCTGGACAATTTTTCTGTAGAATTTCTCCCAATCTGGATTTGGTTGATTATATTCTTGTAGGTTGTTTAATATGCTCTTCGTATTTCCTGGAAATGGATAGTTGGATTTGGAGGTTTGTTGGTACTCTATTCAGGTTCATTTTGGTTGGGGACAAAAATACTTCAAAGATGGTGCTTGTAGTTCCTATTGCATCTCATGAGGAAGTGCCTTCTTGTCTGTCTGACAATTAGTGGTTCATTGTCGTTAGCCTGACCTGTTCCCCACTGCCTGTTCACCTACCGGCTTTAGAAGACAGGCTTCATCATTGCCTCTATCTACTATTTCATTAGCAGAGGTAACATGGTAATTTTCAAATTCTATCTGCCTCACATCCCCTGCAATGATTAACTTTGATTCTTCTATAAAGAAGAACTTCTTTGGCCAGGTGTGGTGTCTCACGCCTGTAATCCCAGTACTTTGGGAGGCTGAGGCTGGAGGATTGCTTTATCCCAGGGTTTAAGACTAACCTGAGCAACATATTGAGACCCCGTCTCTGTTATTAAAAACCATAAATAATTTTATTTTAAAAAGAAGCACTTCTCCCATCAACTGTTCACTCTGAAATACAGTTCATTAGGGAGGCAGGATAAATGCTTGGTGCTGTCCCTTTACACATCATTTCTGTCCCTTTATGTATCCAGAGCAGTTAAGAATATTTTAGTTGCAGATAACAGAACCCAATTTGGGACAGCTTAAGAAAGTATATAATTTATTGGGAAGCTCTGGATAAGTACAGAATCATAGGAAGAGAGAAGCAGAAAGTGGAGACATGAGGGCAGCTCTGAGCACCCCAGCAGCAGGCTTTGTGGGCTTCTCCATAGAGAGTCGCCCTCTGTGAGACTCAGCAACATTGACTTCCAGAAGCAGGGTGCACACTTAACCACTGCAATTAGAGAGGACAGTCCCCACAAGAGACTGTCCTTACTCTGACACCAGTTGAAAGTTTGGGGGGGTGTTCCCAAAACCACCCTCAGTTTTGATAATTCACTAGCTGGAAGGACTCACAGTGCTCACCAAAAGCTGTTATACTCATGGTATGATTTCTTACAGAGAAAGGAAATGGATTAAGATCTGCCAAGGGCAGAGACTCGTGGGGCAGAGTCCAGAAAGGGGTCCGCCTGTGGAGCTTCTGACCATCCTCTCTGTGTTGTTATGAGCACAGTGAGCTCCTTCCAGCCATGATGGAATAATGCACATGGAGTGTGGCTAACCAGGAAAGCTCGCCAGAGCCTGGGTGCCTACTGTTTCCATTGGTGCTCCATAGCATAGCATACTGACCACATGGCTGGCCTGTAGTCTCTACCCCCTCCTGGAGATCAGTCTGGTAACTTTAGTCTCCAGTCCCTTCTGGAGACAGAATCCATCCTATGTAGCCCACATCCCCCATCATAAATCACATTGGTAGACTGTCTGGTGGTGAAAACCTCCGGCCAGACAAAGGCAGGACATTCCAGTGGCCTAGAAACCACCTCCCAGTAGCTGAGGGCAAAGGCCAGTCTTCTCTTTGAGTAAGGTTCATTCTTCACTGCACACTGGGTCTCTTCATTCCAAGTTTAAAATTACAAAAGAAACGGAGACTACTTGGTCCAGTTTATACAAAATCATTCAGACATGGACCCTGGAGAAAGACCTTGAGAAAGAGCCTTCTATATTTTACATACACACCCCTTTCTCCAGCTGTTTAGAAACGCCCCTAACACAACTGACCTAAACTCCTATGCACCCCTCACTCTCTCAAAAAACATAACCCCAAGTTAGACTCAGCAGCTGCCTGTGAAAGTCACGTCGCGAAGCCATAGTCCCCAAAGCCAGATCACAGGCCTGGCCCATGCTCCTCCAGCTCTGCTGAGATCCTGTTTCAGTGTTCTGCACCTTAGAGACATTAGTACATCAGCCAACAAGGTCACATCCAATATCAAGGAGAAGAAAGGAAAAAAGACAAACTATAATCACGTCTTTAAGAAAAGGGAGCAATTAGCTCCCACTGGCAATAAGATAGTGATGGAAGCATTCCATTTATTTTTCCACAGCATTATTCACAGTAGCAAAAGGTGGAGACGACTCAGGTGTCCTTTGATGGATGCATGGATAAACTCAATGTGGTGGATTCGTATACAGAGGAATATTATTCAGCCTTCAAAAGAAGGGAATTCAGACACATGCTACAATGTGGATGGACATTGAAGACATTACGCTAAGTGAAAGAAGCCAGACATCAAAAGGACAAATATTTTGTGATTCCACTTATACGAGGTATATGAGTAATCAAATTCACGGAGACAGAGAGTAGGAAGGTGGTTGTCAGGGGCTAGGGGCAGTGGGGATGGCAGTTATTGTTTAATGGGTACAGAGTTTCAATTTAGAAACATGGAAAGTTCTGGAGGTGGATGGTGATGATGGTTGCACAACAGTGTCAATGTACATAATGCCATTCAACTGTGCACTTAGAAATGGCTAAAAAGGTAAATTTTATATTATGTAGTTTATGTATTATGTATTTTAGAACAATTTTTTAAAAGGCTTTTAAAAACGTCCTCTATTGCAAATTGTCTGTTCTTGTTCCATGTGAATGAATTCTGAATAAAATATGAACTATTTTTCTTTCATATTTACTTAGAATATATCTCTGAATTTGTAATTTATTTCCTTTGTTGTTTGGAAAATGCGGTTTTTTTGGACTTAAACATTTATCATAATTATGTAATTGTTTAAAATGTTCCTGTGGGATTTCTCCCACAACGTTTAAGCTTCTGAAGTGGCCTACCCCTCTCCGTGTTTTAATTTTTTTAAGCCTTTTACATGGTTTTAAATTTTTAAATGTTTACTTTTTGTAGCAACAGGATCTCACTACATTACCCAGGCTGGTCTCAAACTCCTGGACCTCAGACTCCCAAAGTGCTGGGATTACAGGCATGAGCCACTGCACCCGGCCTCGATTTACTTTTTTAACATTGAATTCCTTAATGCATCTATTGTCATAGCATGATTAATTGAATAATTTTTCTATCTCATTAAGTTGAGATTGATGTGATTTTAATCACATATTAAAATGTAAATATATTCGGTCCAGTTTTTTGGCTTTTTTTGTGTCATTGATCAGTTTCATTTTTCACTGCTACAATGCTATTTAATTATTCTAGTTTTATGTGGCTGTCTTTTGCAAAAATGGCTGCAATAATATTTCCCATCCCACGTGAACCTTCTAGAACCTTCACATTCCTCCAGAAAGATGGAGAGGCTGTGTTCCCTCCCCTTCAAACTGGACAGGCCCTTTTGAATGCCTCAGGAGTACTTTGCAGTGGAGGTGACTCATGCGACTTTTGAGACTAGCCTAGAGAAGGTCACAAAGCTTGTTCTAGGCTCCCTTGAGACACGGGCGTTTGAGCACGAGCCACATGTAAGAAGCGCAGCAGCCCTGAAACTGCCATGTTGGAACCACACAGAGGCAGGGGCAGCCCGGGACCCAGCAGGTCCACCCTCAGCCCTTTGAGTCTTCCCAGCGGACACAGCTGCCCAGCCTGGGAGGGAGCAAGTCTTTAGCCATACTAGCCCAGCTCCCACCTTACTGCAGCCACATGCAGAACCTCAAGGAAGAGCCACCCAGCCCAGCCCGGCCACCCTCCAGATTCATAAGACATGGGACGTAAAATCACTATTGTTTCTTGCGATACTGCGTTTGGAGTGATATATTATGCAGCAATAATCACCAGAACCCTTTATAACATGTTTTAGAGTAGTCCTGCTTCTTTGTTTTTTTTCAGAATTGACATTACTATTTGCATCTATTTATTCTTCTTGTGAATTTCAGATTTATGTGGTCACATTCCTGCTTCCTTCCGATTTCCTTCTTGGAATCTATTAACAGATGTGACCGTGTCTATATAGAATTGTATTATCTTTTAAATAGCATATTTAAAACTCTTTTCTATATAGCTATATAACTTCATAATTATATTTACTTAAATTTTGTCTCTATTATTGGACATTTAAGTTGTAGCATTTTTTTCACAATTATAAATAGTACCATGCCATTTTACAATAATGCATATTTGTGTACCCCCAAAATTCATAAGTTGAAACTTAACTCCTAGTAGGATGGTACCAGGAAGTGGAGCCTTTGGGAAGTATTTAGATCATGAGGGTGGAGCCCCCATGATAGGATTAGAAGAAGCCAGAGAGCTGGCCCTCTTCTTTATTTATTTATTTATTTATTTATTGTGATGGAGTCTTGCTGTGTCTCCCAGGCTGGAGTGTAGTGGCACGATCTCAGCTCACTGCAACCTCCACCTCCCGGATTCAAGCAATTCTCATGCCTCAGCTTCCTGAGTAGCTGGGATTACAGGCACCTGCCACCATGCCCAGCTAATTTTTGTATTTTTAGTAGAGACGGGTTTCACTATGTTGGCCAGGCTGATCTCAAACACCCTACCTCAGGTGACCCACCTGCCTCGGTCTCCCAAAGTGCTTGGATGACCCAAAGTGGTGGCATGAGCCACCGCGCCGGGAGCTGGCCCTCTTCTTTCCTCCACGTGAGGATACAATGAGAAGTCAGCTGTCTGCCTCCTGAAAGAGGGCTCTCACCAAAACCTGACCATGCTGGCACCCTGATCACAGACTTCCAGCGTCCAGCACTGTGAGAAATAAACTTCTGTTGTTTACAATAATAATAATGCTATAACAGATATCTTCATGCATATAACCTTTTCAGATAATGTATTGCCTCTCTGGGGAGACTTTTTTGAGGTGGAAATCACTGGGTCAAAGAGCAAGAACACTTTTAAAGGTGTGATACACAATGCCCAACAGTTATAACTATTTATTGACCCCACCAGGAATGTGCACAGACAGACCCACAGTGCCTCTAGGACTCCCTGTTATGTTTTATGTATTTGAATTAGCGAACAGTTACATTTTATTATTTTTGTTTGACTTGTACTTCTTTCATTACTAGTGACGTTGGGCATTTTCCTATTTATAAATTAAGAATTACCTATTTGTCTCCTTTATTAATGTGTGTATTACTACAGTCATCATTTTTTCTATTAACTTTATGAGCCCTTTAGATAATTACAGTGAATTCTAGGGTGAGCCACCCAGACCCCCCTTGAAGATGGATGCTGTCATTCTCACAGCTGCCAGGAGGATGAGCTGCTGACTTTTGCAACTGCTTCCCTCTCTGCAGATGCCTTCAGGAAAGGGAGCTGCCTTGCCCATGGTTAGGCTCCCAATCAGGGGCCACCCAAAGATCCATCCAGTGGAACACCAACCCCCTTGCCTTAGTTTGGGATGATTCTGAAAGACAAGCTGAGGCCTCAGTCACTCTTGCGTCCCAGGCCAGCTTTGCTCTCTGCTCAGTCCTGCAGCCCTCACTGCCTCACAGATACTGTTTCTAGAACCCTCCCTAATAAACTTCTTGTGTGCAAAGCTTCATCTGAGGTGGTTTCCAGGGAACCTGATCTAAGACAATTGATCATTTCTCATTGACTTTTCATTACTTCCCAGCCATTTTTTTTGCAAATATTGAATTTCAAAATATCATGCAAACACATCTGTATTATTTCTATGTGATTTCTTCTAAACTTAAAAGATGCCACCCCCAACACACACACCAGTGGTTTCACTAATACTCAGTTGTATTCTCTTCTAGCTTTTCGTTTTTGTCTTTTTCTTTTTTTTTTTTCTTTTTCACAGATTCTTCTGGCTTTTCTATGGTTGCCATTTTATTCTTGGCTTCTAATTCTAATGAAATTCATTTTTAGTGAAGGATTTGAAGCAAATGAGTAAATGCCATTTGTTGACGATGTCTCTCTCGTATCATTCATTTGCAATGCCTATCCTTCATTATATATTAAATGGAGGCAATGTTCTCACCATATTCTGCAGCTGTAAGTAGACAGCTGAGAAACCACTGCTTCAAAATGATTTCTGAAGCTGTCCACAATCTCCTCCATGTGTGTGGGCTTTTCAAATGTTCCTGCCCAGGCAGTGGAGACTTTGGGCCAAGCTCTGGCCTCTTTTCCCCATCAGCACAGCCCAGCACGTCACCATGTTTAAGATGAAGCCTGGATCCCAACGCTGAATGAACCTCACTGATTTCCTAGGAAAATTGCCCATACATTAGTGAGCTGGTAACTTTGCCCCCAGTACCAAATGGATCTTTATAGTCAACATTGATGTCCACATGGATAGCCAGATTGCCAAGAAAACATTCACAATTACCTTCCTTCCTTCCTTCCTTCCTTCCCTCCTTCCTTCCTTCGTTTTTATTTTGAGACAGGGCCTGCTCAGTCGCCCAGGCTGGAGTGCATTGGCACAATCACGGGCTCACTGCGGCCTTGATCTTCCAGGCTCCAGCAATCCTCCCACCTCAGCCTCCTGAGTAGCTGGGACTACAGGCATGTGCCACCATGCCTGGCTAATTTAAAAAAAAAATGTTTTTATAGAGACAAAGTCCCACTATGCCGCCCAGGCTGGTCATGAACTCCTGGCCTCAAGCAATCCTGCTGCCTCGGCCTCCCAAAATGTTGGGACTACAGGCTTGAGCCACCATGCCTGGCTTATGCTTCTTAATTAAATCAAATATTATAAATGAAAAATAGAAAAAAAGAGTGTTAAGGTCAGGGTTTCCTCGTCCAATAAGCACGCTTTTTGTATGAATAATATACTCTTAGTTCAGTCAGCACTTCCGTTTTGCCAGGCAGGCAGGAGGCTTACTTCAAAACCTCCCAGTGTATTTGGTGCCAACAAGAATTTTTTATTCAGTTCTGTCTTCACAGCCTCAGCCAATGGGTACGTTTACATGTGTGCATTTTTTCCCCATCAGTGTTCATGAGAAATCTATTTATAACTTTTCCCAAACTAGAATTTCTGAACAGATTTGGGTGGAATTCACACATTTAAAGCTTAGGTGCGGTGCGAACAGCCCGCGTAACCAAGCAAGGGGCCGTAAAACTCAAAGACTTTGGTGTCCGCAAAGCTCCTCCATGCTCTAGGAGCCGTGCACGCCTGCGCAGCCCATCCTCCTCCTGGGCTGGGGCTCTGGGCTCTGAGGGTGCAGTGCACTGGAGTGTGGGGTCTCGTCTTTACAGTGTCTCCAGTGAGTGGATACAGTACTGCTTTGGCCCGCTCTGAAGGGGTCTCCCCCAGCATGCGGACAGAAAGGTGGAAGCACTTCCTGACTCCGGCTCCTCCGGACCCCGAGTGCACTCGTGCACGCCACACTCACCTCTTCATCTCAGGGTCCCCAGCGCTGCAGCCCATGAGTTGGAGGCATTAAGGGAGGGTGATGAGGCCAGCGGTCTGGGCTTTCTCTTCTCACCAGTGCACCCCTGTGTGTCCTACTAGAGAGCCTGCTTTGCTGCCCCAACTTCCCTCAGTAACAGTTCACAGGTAAACCCCTTTTCTCCACATGGGCCCCACCTGTTTCCGCCCCCAGTGCCATCTGTCCTTTTAATTCCTTTTCTTCTCCCAGAGTTCCTGCCTCCCCCATGTCCTGAAAGCTTCGCATCACCCTCTCTCCCAAAGGTTGGTAGGTCTCGAAGCTTCTCTGGCGACATTTTCCCAGCCCCTTCCTTGATCTGTACATCAAGACTCTTTGTCCTCTCTGCCTACATCTGCTGCCAGGAAGAGAAGTACGAACTCAGACGCCCAAGATGAGAGGGGTGGGGAGGAAGGAGTTTGCGGTGATTCTCCATTCCCCACAGGTAGTTAGGGTTTTGCTTTTCTTTGGTTGCTTTCAAGTACATGTATTTTTTAATTAGACATGGTTCACACTTCGAGATTTAATCTCTTTATCATTGAGTCTCCATATGGACCCAAAACCCCAAACCCAGCTGGTGGGATAGTGAACTCTTTTATGAGTTCACTATCATAAAAGAGCGTTAGTTCCACTCTGACCTTGAATTACATGACAAAGCTTCTTCCAATCACTGGGTGTTGGTAGGATCCATGCCAAAGTACCATGCTCTAATTCCTGAGTAATACAACCATATATTTTAGATCCCATCTACATAATTCTACTGGGAGACACGTTATCACTTCTTCCCACCTCATCACTTGCTCCCTTCTCTAACTGTGGAGTGGAGAAATTGGAGCACTGTCTCTGTGGCCTACAGATGTCCTTGGGTAGCTGCTATACCCGGTCAGAGAAGTGGGGAAAAGCTCGTTCATGGATGACCAAAGAGGCCTTGTTGAAACACTATCGTAATTTACTAGAAAAGTTCCAGTACCATATTGGCAGTCGTGTTAAAGAGTAAAGTGCCACCCACAGTATTTGACACAGGCATGATTCAGCCATCAGTACACCCATACCTTCAGCATTCTTCTCCAAGACCCAAATAAAACTACCCTACTCACCTTCCAGTCATGCAGTTATTTACTGACAGCATAGAAAGGATTATCCTATAAATCCATTGTTGGGAAACCTCGCAGACCTGATCACCTCATGTGCTTGCCTGGGGGACAGGCTGAGCAAACGGCAGGAAACTGCCCCAGGCCCGGGCAACTAAAGGCAAGAGGGATTGGCTTGGCTGACTCAGTCACTCCTCACCCTGGGTGCCAGTCCACTTACAGGGCCGTGAAAGTCTCCCCTCCCAAAATCTACCAGGCCTGGTCAATAGCTTCATGTGTTGGAGACTGCTGGCAGTCAATTGCCCCTTCTTCCATATTAATAGAGTGTAAACTAAGCATGGGCTGCTCAGGAAGAGACAACATTTCCCAGACACCCTTGAGGCCAGGTGTGGCCAGGTGACTAAGTTGCTGCGTGACTGAGGAATGAACAACTTCCGTCTTATTGCTCAAAAGGAAATTGCTTCTGGACTTCTGCTGTTTGTCCTTCTCTCGGTTGGAAAGCCAGCGTGCCCAGTTTTGACCAGGCTCGTGAAGACCATGATCTAACGCAGGGGTCTTAGAGCCTTTTGTGCCATGAACTGCTTATAGTGTCTGGTGAAACCTATGGATCCCTTCTCAGAAAACTGTTTTTAAGTGCATAAAATAAAATACACCACAAAACATCCACTAGAGCAGACAAAGTTTGAAAGACTGATAATCTCTGGTATTAGTGACAACATGGGACAACTGGAAGTCATACATTGCATGCTGGTAAGAGTATAGCCTCACTCAACCACCTTGAAAAATAGCTTGGCGGTCTCTACTGAAACTAAACATATGGCTACCCTGTGACCCAGCAATCCCAGCCACAGCTTTATACCCAAGGGAAATGCATTCATGCACATGCCAAAGATGTGTGTGTGCATGTATATATATGTGCATGTGTGTGGAATATATATATATGTTATGTATGTATTATATTACATATATAATGCAATATGTGTTATATATGTAATATAATACATATATAATGCAATGTGTTATATATGTAATATAATACATATATAATGTCTGTATTATATGTAATACATGTTTTATATATGTATAAGAATGTCCACAGAGTGTTTGTAATAGTAACAACAGGAAATGGCCAGGTGTGGTGGCTCACACCTGTAATTCCAGCACTTTGGGAGGCCAAGGCAGGAGGACCATTTGAGTCCACGAGTTCAAGACTAGCCTGGGCAACATAGTGAGACCCCATCTCTACTTTTTAAAAATAAAAAAAAAATAAAATGAAAACAGGAAACTATCCATATGTCCACCAGTGGAAGAATAGACAAATAAATTGTGTCTATTCACAAAATGGAATACTACAAACAATAAAAGGGAATCAATTGCCAATACACAAAAACTTGAGTGCATCTCACAGGAATTATGTGGAGTGAAAGAAGCCAACACAAAAGCATACGCATTGCATGTTTTCTTTTTTTTTTTTTGAGATGGATTCTCATTCTTCTCACCCAGGCTGGAGTGCAATGGTGCGATCTTGGCTCACAGCAACCGCCGCCTCCCAGGTTCAAGTGATTCTCCTGCCTCAGCCTCCCAAGTAACTGGGATTACAAGTGTGCGCCACCACACCTGGCTAATTTTTGTATTTTTTAGTAGAGACGGGATTTCACCATGTTGCCCAGGCTGGTCTCGAACTCCTGGCCTCAAAGAGATCCACCTGCCTTGGCGTCCCAAAGTGCTGGGATTACAGGCGTGAGCCACTGTGCCTGGCCCTGGGTGTCTCTCTCTCTCTCTCTCTCTCTCTCTCTCTCTCTCTCTCTCTCTCTATATATATATATATATATATAAAATTTTTTTTTTTGAGATGGAGTCTTGCTCTGTTGCCCAGGCTGGAGTGCAGTGGCATGATCTCGGCTCACTGCAACCTCTGCCTCCCGGGTTCACGCCATTCTCCTGCCTCAGCCTCCCGAGTAGCTGGGACTACAGGCGCCTGCCAGCACACCTGGCTAATTTTTTGTATTTTTAGTAGAGACGGGTTTTCACTATGTTATCCAGGATGGGTGTCTATATTTTAAACAGGCTTCTCACGTGACTCTGAGGCCTGTGCAGTGTGAGTTTCTCCCCTGACTTACAAACAAGAATTTCTGGGGAATTGGTTGTCAGGAATTGTGTCCCAGCCTTGTCTCGGTTAAATCAGAATTCTTGTTGATCTGTCAGGGATTTCCTTTGACTTTAAAAATTAACATGCAATTAATTAAAATTCATAAAAACCTAGTTCTTTCTTAAGCATTTAAGTTCAATTCTCATATCTTGAACCTAGGAGGCGGAGGTTGCAGTGAGCCAAGATCATGCCACTTCACTCCAGCCTGGGTGACAGAGCCAGACTCTGCCTCAAAAAAAAAAAAAAAAAATATATATATATATATATATATATATATACACACACACCCCACCTCCATTCCAGACTGAATCAGGGATCTGGGGATGAAGCCTGGGAACTGTGGGGTTCTTCTTCTTCTGTACCAAGGATGAGGAGACGTTGGTGCTTTGAAGGGTTTCATATTAATTTCATTCATCACCATGCTTTCAGCGAGGAACTTAAAATGCTTTACATAACGTACCTGATTCATGCTAGTATGTGAATACAATTATCTCTCAGTATCCATGGGAGATTGATTCCAATAGGTAACCCAAAATCTGAGGATGCTCAAGTCCCTGATATAAAATGTCGTAGTATTTGTATATAACCTATGTACACTTTATAACCTCCCGTACACTTTACGTCATCTCTAGATTACTTATAATACCTAATGCAATGCCTAGACATCACTTCATTCTCATGGAGTTAACGTAGTATTTGGTGTGGCAAATTCAAGTTTTGCTTTCTGAAAATTTTTGGAAGATTTTTCTTAAATATTTTCAATCTATGGTTGGTTGAATTCACAGATGTAGAACCCACAGATACAAAGGGCCAACTGTATATGGTAATAATAACTCCAGGCATAGTGGACTTACAAATGTCTCCATGGCAACAATTCACTCTCTGGTTTCCATGGTGAGGTTTATAAGGACCCTCAAATTTACTTTATTTAAAATTCTAAATTACTTTGCTGTTGATCAGACATACATAAAGAGCTATGTTTTAAAAATAACTCTCTAGTATTGTTTCAGGACTCCTATAAAGAAAGAAAGGAAAAAAAAGGAAATGGAAGAAAAATAATAGTAATAAATCAGTACCTCCCATGAAAGCTCCTGTTATGTGGCAATGAATTAGAATATCAAGGTCAAACACTGTAAAACTGAATTAAACAGCCCACATAATTTCTCCATCTGACTCCCATTTGTCAGAATTCATTTTTGTATTAATACAGAAAATGAATCATTGTTCAAACAGGCATCATTTTTATGAATTAAAAATGCATAAATCAACTGAATGTCCTTTATTCAGGAAACATTTCTCTTTATACGTTGTGCAGCTTACACAGATGTCTGATCACGGGAGAACTGACTGACAAAATGTTGATGAGTCAAACTGTCATTCCCCAATAGGGAGAATGCCTCACAATTAAATACAAGATTTAAGAAGATGAGTTGTAACACTAATTGTTCCTTCAGAAATGTCACAAAGGAAGCACATCATTTTTTTTCCCCTTTTGTTGCGATTTGGGAAGAACAAGGGCCTGGGAAAAGTGCTTGTACAGTCCTTCCCTCAAGCAAGGGGCCTGCATGTCATTGGGTTCTGGGACTGGTAGGCTGGGAGCAGTGAGTTTCGCCCCTCATCCTGGGATCTAGGGGGAAGGATGCACCCCTGTTTGCCCCCACTATCTTATCTGGGAGCAATTAGGACATGGCACTACCTGAGCTTCGCTGAGCACAGGATAGTGGCTTATTTTGAATGCAGCCTTAACCATTATCTTCACTGTGTTACTTTATTTTATTTTACTACATCTTATCTTGCTTATACTTTTGAAACAAAGGACTTTCATTCTTTATTATCACGGACTCTAGCCTTGCAACACGTAAGAGACATTGACCTTGTTGAAAACAACTACTGTTGGCCAGGCACAGTGGCTCACACCTGTAATCCCAGCACTTTGGGAGGCTGAGGTGGGCGGATCACAAGGTCAGGAGTTCGAGACCAGCCTGACCAACACGGTGAAACCCCGTCTCTACTAAAAATACAAAAATTAGCCGGACATGGTGGCATACGCCTGTAATCCCAGCTACTCCAGAGGCTGAGGCAGGAGAATTGCTTAAACCCAGGGGGGCGTGGAGGTTGCAGTAAGCCGAGATTATACCACTGCCCTCCAGCCTGGGCAACGGAGCAAGGCTCTGTCTCAGAAAAGCAAAGCAAAACAAAACAAAACAAAAAACTATTGTTGCAAAAGAATTATAAATGTTACCAGTGACGATTTGGAAAGAAACCAGGGTAGGTTCCATTTGGCCCCTCAAAGATCTGCTTCCGAGCCAGGTGCAGTGGCTCACAGCGGTAATCCCAGCCCTTTGGGAGGTCAAGGTGGGTGAATCACTTGAGGTCAGGAGTTTGAGACCAGCCAGGCCAACGTGGTGAAAGCCCCATCTCTACAAAAAAAAAAAAATACCCGGGTGTGGTGATGTGCACCTGTAGTTCCAGCTACTGGGGAGGCTGAAGTGGCAGAATCACTTGAGCCGAGATTGCACCACTGCACTCCAGCCTGGGCAACAGAGCCAGACCTTGTCTCAAAAAAAAAAAAAAAAAAAAAAAAACCTGCTTCCGGTCTAGTGCTCTGACACCGCCTGTATGTCTTTTAAAAATTACTCAGCATCACGAGGCCTCATTTTCTTCATCTGTAAGATAAACTGCAAAATAAATAAATAAATAAATAAATACAAGACAATTTCTAAATTCCCTTCCAGCGTTAGAATTCTTGTCTCTGCTGTCTGTCTCCTGCACCTGGCACAATGCCAGTGGCCATGTTTGTGTTGGACGCTGAGGCCACATCCCTTGGACACATGGTCTTGTGTGGCACAGCTGGTGCCCTGGGGCTGAGTGGAGAACAAGGCCAGGGTTGTGCCGGGTCAACAGCAGTGACTTCCAAGTGTATAACATTGAGTCTGTTACCCGAGAGGCAGCATCACAAGGATCAGGAGTCCACCCCAGATCAACAAGGGAGCTTCCTGGGTAGCCAGAAATCTGGAGCCTGTGGAAAAGCTAAGCTGTAAACTGATGGTGCTAGGAGCATGAGTGCTTCAGTTGCCAGTTTACTTAGACAAATTTCACTGAACAGCATCCAGTCCCTTGTATGGTTCTTATTAAATCAACCACTTCATGCTTGGGATATATTTCGCCCTGGATATTCTTAAAAACGACATTCAATCTCTAATATGCTGTGTGGCAGGTAGAATAATGGCCTCCAGAAATGTCCACATGCTAATCCCTGGAATCTGTGTATATGTTGCATGGCAAGGAAGCATTAAAGTCACAGACGGAATTAAGGTTGCCAATCAGCTGACTGTAAAACAGGAGATTATCCTGGACTATGTTGGCCTAGTGGAATCTCAAGAGTCTTTTAAAGTGGAAGGTGGGCAGATGAAACAGGTCAGAGGCAGAGGGAGACTGGAAGATGCTGCACTGCTGATTTTGAAGATAGAGGAAGGGACCACCAGCCAAGGGATGCAGGTGGCCTCCAGAAGAAGGCAAGGAGACAGATTCTCCCCTGAGCCTCCAGAGTGAGCTCAGCCCTGCCCGCACCTTGGCTTTAGCTCAGAGAGACCCATTCCAGACTTCTGGCCTCCAGAACTGTAGGAGGATAAATGCATTTTACTTTAAGCCACTATGTTTGTGGTAATTTTTAACAGAAGCAATAGGAAATTAATAGATACTGTGTATTCTAATGTCAGAGTCTAGATTACTATGATAATAAAAAATACAAACAAAAGGAAAAATATACAAATTTTTAAAAGTGAAGTAAAATAAAATGCTTCAGAGATTTACTATAATGAGTTCATTAAGATGACTGGAAATTGATACATTCAAAGCAAAAGAAATAGTAAATTAAAAATTCCAGAATAAAACTACAAAGAAATGAAATGCACGTTATTCTTGTGAGTTGAAAATGCGCAATTGTTTTTTTTCTCCTTCAGAGTCACTGTGAACTGTGAGCTCCAGTTAATCATGGAGACTTGTCAGGGGAGGGTGGGAATTATGCACCAAGCATGAAATTGGGTTGAACCTGGGAGTTGCTTAATTGCCAGATTCCGTATTCAAGGGAGAAGTCAGAAGACCAGAAGCACATGGGTAGTAAGTCCTCTGCAATGCATCTGGCCAAGCAGGTATGGGAGGTCGGATAAAGACTATGAGTCAAGAAGGAGGTCAGGCCGGCACGGTGGCTCACGCCTGTAATCCCAGCACCTTGGGAGGCTGACATGGGCAGATCACGAGGTCAGGAGATTGAGACCATCCTGGCTAACACAGTGAAACCCTGTCTCTACTAAAAATACAAAAAATTACCTAGGCGTGGTGGCGGGCACCTGTAGTCCAAGCTACTGGGGAGGCTGAGGCAGAAGAATTGCTTGAACCTAGGAGATGGAGGTTGCAGTGAGCCGAGATCATGCCACTGCACTCCAGCCTGGGCAACAGAGCAAGACTCTGTCTCAAAAAAAAAAAAAAAAAAAAAGAACCAGGTCATACAGGAGTCCTGAAGCTCAAGGTAGGGGCAGGAACTAGAAGAGGATAATGACAGCAGACAAGGGCACCCCAACAAGGACACCTTCAAAGTAAGGGAACCTCTACATCAGCCAAGATGCCTCCTGCTGAGTCAACAGCGTTCCTAGGGCACAGAGGCAGGACTGCATCAGAGGGATTAAGGAATGCCAGTGAGGTTAGTTTGGCAGGTGGGTGGGTGGGGGTCACAGCAAAGGACATATCTTGACATTTGCTTGATGATAGAATAAATGATTTTATCTATCTGATCATTTTTAAAACTTTACTTTGAAAATTGCAGACATATACCAAAGAAGTGAGATGGCCACCTTTGTCAGTATCCTCAACCACTTGCCCCCTGGGGAAACAACTCCCAGCACATCACTTCACCTGTAAATATTTCAGTATTTGTCTCTAAAAGGATTCTATTTGACCAATTTTTAGTAAAAATACCCACACTAAGTTATTTCAGCTGACCTGCTTTTCTAGTCCCTGTTCTCCAGCAATCTGATTACCTTTATCCTTTGGAAACACTATACCTGGCTAGCAGCTGAAAACCTATGCACCATCTCTACAGTCAAGCTGACATCAACACAAATTCCCATTTGCGTTGAATTTTACCACTTACAAAAGACTTACACAGACTTATATCCGTCCTCTCCGTAATGCTTGATGTCCTTTCCAACACCAACATTTCTTGCAGTCTCTTCTTCTTTTCGGGTGTAGAGATAAATGAACTAAAGTTACAGGCAGGAAAGTGAAGTTTTGCAAAGCTGTTTTCCATAGGTAGGATCACAGTCTCCAGACATCTTGTCCCTGCGCATTGTTAAACATTTGCAGGGAGCAGGGGACTATGCTAGGTATTTTATTTTATTTTTATTTTTTACTTTTATTTTTATTGTTTTGGAGATGGAGTCTCACTCTGTCACCCAGGCTGGAGTGCAGTGGCACAATCTTGGCTCACTGCAACGTCCACTTCCCAGGTTCAAGTGATTCTCCTGCCTCAGCCTCCTGAGCAGCTGGGATTATAGGCATGCACCACCACGTTCAGCTAATTTTTGTATTTTTAGTAGAGACGGGGTTTCACCATGTTGGCCAGGCTGGTCTTGAACTCCTGTCCTCAGGTGATCCACCTCGCCTACCTCGGCCTCCCAAAGTGCTGGGATTACAGGTGAGAGCTACTGTACCCAACCTATGCTAGGTGTTTTAGACATATTCTTTTATTGAAACTGCACCCTGAAATTGGCATTATTACCAACTTTTTATAAATGCGAAATCCCAGGCTTGAAAACGTGGAGTCACTTGTCCTAGATCAATTCTGGAAAATTCTGGAATACCAGCCCAGGTCCCTTTGGCTCCTATGCCTGTGCTATGATTGACTACACCAGGCCTCATGCTCACCCCAGTCTCCCTTCCTCCTCCTCTCTCCTCCCCTTTTCCCTCTACCCCAGGGACGGCAAAGGAGTTGGCTGTCGGAACCTAGTCCCTTTTCTCCCTAATACAAAACACTTGGGAGTCACCGTATTTTAGTGAAGGACAAAGAATAAATAGATGTCTGTTCTCCAAGCATTTCAAATTTTGGAGATCCAGATGTGGATTTTCTAGAAAGTTAATGAAGACTGACAAGAGTCTCTCACTTGCTGAGACCTCTGTGGGGCCCTGGGAGGAGCCCTAGCAATATGTTCACACAGACTTATATTTCTATAAAACTGGCAAAAGCTACAAAAAATTAGCCAGGCATGGTGGCGGGCGCCTGTAGTCCCAGCTACACGGGAGGCTGAGGCAGGAGAATCCCTTAAACCCGGGAGGTGGAGGTTGCAGTGAGCCAAGATCGCACCACTGCACTCCAGCCTGAGCGACAGAGCAAGACTTTGTTTAAAAAAAAAAAAAAGAAAAAAAAAAAAAAACACTGGCAAAAGCAAGAGATTTTTAAATTCCTCTTCTGAAAAGCTCCCCCACCCCCAGTTTGTGTCAGCTACAGGCCCCACAGCCCAGATCTTCCCTCACAAATCTCACCCATCACAGAAGCCTTCACTATCCTTGTGCCTTGGCTGAGACCCAAGGGGGCTGCAGCCAGGGAGGAAAGCTGGGGAGTGGGGACCCCTGCCCCTGAGCCTGGGCAGCAGGAAGCTGTGTGCATGGCTCCAAACATGAGAAAACAGCCTGAATTTTCCCACAGGAACCCTGACACAATATTTATGCATACAGTCAGGCATCACTTAATGATGGGGATTCTAAGAAATGTGTTCTAACAAATGTGTCCTGGGAGATGTTGTCATTCTGTGAACATCATTGAGTGCACTAACACAAACCTGGATGGCAGAGCCTACTACACACTGGGGCTGTTCGGTGTAGCCTATTGCAGCTAGGCCGCAAAGCTGTACAGCGGGTTACAGTCCTGAATGCTGTAGGCAATTGTAACACAATTGGGTATTGAAACATATCTCAACATAGAAGAGGTACAGTAAAAATACGATATTATAATCTTATGGGACCACTGTTGTATATGCAGCGCATGACTATAGTTGAAAGAATGTATTTATAATAGTTCTCAGGCACATTGTAGATTTGTGGGCATACCAGGAGACCAAAGACCACACTATTGTTTCCATGAGAAATATGTTCCAAATACCAATGGTCAATCCCAAAAGAAATTGTCTGGGCACCATTGATGAAAGTGGTTTTAAGCAACCCCACAAGTACAGATTCTGCCCATTCTTCAAAGCCAGACTAAATATCTGCCTGAGGAGGCCTCCCAGGATTGTCTCTGAGCTGAGTCCCATCCCTGAAGTCCTGAAGTCCAAGCACACTTCTCTCTACCTCTCTGCGGCACGTATCACCTACAACCTAGATTTATATTTGTTTGTGGACATGACTTAGCTTGTCTACTTTACTGTAAGTCCCAGGGGCAGGTCCCTTTCTTATTCATCCTGAAATCCCCTTAACACCCAAACACGGAAGTCCAGAAATACCGTCTGGCTGAATGAGTGAAAGAATTGGTGCTTGAATGAATGAAATCTGTTAGGGGTCCATCTCTCTTCTGAACTTCTAAATCACTTATTTGCCTCTTTCCTCTAGCAGTTATTTATTAAACATGTGACACATTCCCTATGTCAGCTCTTGTTTTGTTCACTTTTTCCCCAAGAAGAAGTTTAGCTTCTTAAGGAGAAATCGTGGTCTCTATTTTTTGTATACTTCATGATGATGAACATCAAGATTTGCTCAGAGTAAGAGCTCAGCAAATGTTGGTTGGCGGAATGACTAATCTTCAGGTGGAGGTGCTTTAGAGGATGTAGAATCACACAATTACTAAGCATAAATAGGTCTTGATGTATCAGACAGGCATTTATTCTCAGGAAAAATGAACTGCGGGAGACTTAGTACTGGTCAGCATAACAGACAGTATTCCCATCTCATTTAAATGTCTTTATTACCAACTCTGGACCAAGATTGCTCTGAAATTCCTTGAACTGCTGGAAATAAAAGAAGTAACCCTTTTAACTCTCAAAATGAAATTTAAAAAATTAAAAATAAAAAAATCAAGTAAAATCTAATATCAGAAATCATAAAACCAAAAGAGCATTTATGTTGGTCTGTGTCATTGTCTCAGGTGGGAAACTTTTCTTACAGGGAATTGATGCTTTTCTTGCAGAGAATAGGTGCCCTGAGTTTCTGTTCCCACAGACACAGCGATGAGTTGGCAGAATTCATTTCCTTTTCATGCCTGGGTAAAAATCTTAAGCAACAACACAGGGAGTTCAGGTCCTTGCAAAAGCAGGTCCATCCTCCGACAGTTCGGAGACGAGAGCAGGGACCAGTGTGGTTCTGGAATAGGTATGAGGACGGGGACACCACACAGCTCATGTCCAGAGGATGGAATCGCTTTGGCTCTATGCCATTATCAGGACATTCTTCTGCTTCAAACTGGTCTGAAACAAAATGGTACTTGTTTAAAAAGAAAGAAATTCCATACATTTTTCAAAACAAGGTAAGAGCTAGATAAACAACTATCCAGTTCAGTTTGCATTACGCAGTATTCCAGGGGTTACAGATTTTGTGACCCAGGGAGGGTCCCTGGAAATCAAATCAGAACAAGAAACCCCAAGTCAGTGCCACAAGAAGAGTGGGAGTGTATAGTTTGTCCAGACCCAGCAAGGCCATGCATGGGCTCTGTCACAACAGGCTCATATTTTGGTCGGTGCCACTGTCTTGTCACCAGGCCAACCCCTAAGTTTGCAGATGAGGAAAGTCAGGCCTAGGTAGCTTGAGGTCTTGTTTGAACACTGTCAGTGCTAGAGGGAGAAGGAGGAGATAGAGATGAAGGGAGGAGGATGAGCAAGGGAACTGAAGCTCTGGCTAAACTCCATGCATTGCAAGTCTTCCTCTTCCATTACCCTAGTCATGCTCCTAGTGATTAAAGCTAGCAAAGGCCAGCCGGGCATGGTGGCTCACGCCTGTAATCCCAGCACTTTGGGAAGCTGAGGCAGGCTGATCACATGAGGTCAGGAGTTCGAGACCAGCCTGGCCAACATGGTAAAACCCTGTCTCTACTAAAATACAAAAATTAGCTGGGCGTGGTGGCAAACACCTGTAATCCCAGCCGCTTGGGAGGCTGAGGCAGGAGAATCACTTGAACCCAGAAGGCAGAGGTTGCAATGAGCCAAGATCACACCACTGCACTCCAGCCTGGGTGACAGAGCCAGACTCTGTCTCAAAAAAAAAGAAAAAGAAAAAAAAAGCTAGCAAAGACCTCACAATCAGACAGATTCAGATGAGAGCTTAGTTCTGACTCTTGCTGGCTAACAGCAACTCAGTTTGTCTCAGCAGTTTTCTTTCTTTTGTCAGAGATAGTACTTCCTCACAGAGTTCTTGTGAGCTCAAAATGCAATGTGCACAGAGCCCGAGACACAATAGACACTCAGTAAATGATATTCCCAGCCCTCCCTCTCCATAGCCATATTTCAAAATGGAGCCATATGTTGTACAGCATCTAGGTTTGTGTATTTGTATTGAGTCCTTAGCCTGGAAGGATCTTTGGTCTTAGGGTATTGAGATGTGATGGAAAGCTCCGGACCTACTTCTTTGCATTTGCACAAGTTGTCATGTGTAGGAGCCAGGAGGTGACTGAACATGGCTGCTGGGGACCCCCCTTATTCCCAGCAGCTTCTCTAGCCTGAGCCATTTCAGGTTTATCTCTCCCATAAAAAACAGGGGAGCAACAATCTCGCTGTTCATATTGTTTGCCCTAGACTTTGCGATTGCCCAGGGCTGTGATGCATGGCACAGCCAATGGGCCTGCTCCTAACACACTGGAGTTTCCTGGAGCATAATCACTTAGTACGAAGCACTTACCGTCTCCTGACTGGAAAGGAGTCAGTGAGGCACAAGAGATACTCAGCAACTTCATTGTCCTTGATGCCCAAGCTCGGTTGACTTTTGCAGCCTTACTTCAGTTATTTATGCAATTGGAGTAGCAAAAGACCTCCGCAATTGTGCAAAGAACCGTCACCAACCAAGGTTTAAAAGAGGGCAAGATACATGAGCAAGTGCACTAAGTCAAAGGAAAAATTCAATACAGACAACAAATAGGGAAAGAATTGTGAATGCCAAATAATATCACATGTTTTAAAGTGGCACGAGTCAATATTCTTCTTTGTGTGATCCAAATGGCTTGTTTTTAGTGTCCCGTGTTACTGACTGCATGTTGGTGCTAGTCTATTATCAGTGAAAGTGCCTAGGTTTTATTTTACAGAGATGGAGACAGCAGTACCTTGCCTAATTTCTTTATCTGTTATTTGAGAGACTGTCACCTTAAGAACTTTCATTTTTAAACATTCTGAAAGATGGGCATCTTGAAATTACCTAGGTAACTACTAGCAAGTACAGTTCCGACACTGTTGGCCCTAAATTCTGGATGCCGAGGTTGGGGGCTGGTCGGTGAGAAATAATGGTCATCTGTGAAAGAGAGGGCCCTGACTGCTTGGTGTATTTATAACAGGAGATAAAAGCATGTTGACCAATAGGGGTTCGAACCTTTATTTAGTGAAATGAATGGGTTAGGAAACAGAATAGGTTTGTAAGAGATCCATCCGTCAGAACAGAGCCATGCCAAAAATTTAGTATAAAAAGAAGTATGAGAGGAGAATTGCAAAGGGCAAGAGATTTCCTCAAATACCCCTGGCTTTGTGTCAGTATGAATATGTTACAAGGAAGTATATTATTCTACTCTAAAATTGTTTAATTTTTTTTTTTTTTTGAGACAGAGTCTTGCTGTGTCCCTCAGTTTGGAGTGCAGTGGCGCGATCTCAGCTCACTGCAAGCTCCGCCTCCCAGGTTCACGCCATTCTCCTGCCTCAGCCTCCCTAGTAGCTGGGACTACAGGCGCGCACCAACACGCCCGGCTAATTTTTTGTATTTTTAGTAGAAACGGGGTTTCACCGTGTTAGCCAAGATGGTCTCGATCTCCTGACCTCGTGATCTGCCCGTCTCGGCCTCCCAAAGTGCTGGGATTACAGGCGTGAGCCACCGCGCCCGTCCGTGTTTAAAATTTTTAAAGAAAGTCTTGTTGACTTGTTGATTTACAGTGGATACATAGTTCTGGGAGTGATTTATTAGACTTCTAAAATGCGTCATTACACAAGACCACTGAATATCAGTTTAGACCAGAAAATACTTGTATTTTTGCCTAGCAAATAATGTTCATTGTACTAATTATAAGCACGTTTTCTTTACAGATACACCCTTGAACAGCGTGTAGCGTGTTCTTGACCTTGACAAAAGGGCAGTAATGTATACAGAATGTTTACACTGCAGGCTGAGTTCAGCGTTAATAGTTTAGTGTTGGCCAGGCGTGGTGGCTCATGCCTGTAATCCCAGCACTTTGGGAGGCCGAGATGGGCGGATCACCTGAGGTCAGGAGTTCAAGACCAGCCTGGCCAACATGATGAAACCCTGTCTCTACAAAAATACAAAAATTAGCCGGGCATGATGGCAGGTGCCTTAATCCCAGCTACTTGGGAGGCTGAGGCAGGAGAATCACTTGAACCCGGGAGGCGGTGGTTGTAGTGAGCCGAGATCACGCCACTGTACTCCAGCCTGGGTGACAGAGCAAGACTACCTCTCCAAAAAACAGCTCAGTGTTAACAGTTGGGCCTTGTTAAAAGAAGGAGAGAAAGGGTTTCAGTCCCTTCCTAGAAAACTTTTTTAGTCATTTGGTTTGATTTAAAATATAAACACAAAAAAGTAACTTGAGCTATAATAGAATTTTGCCTGAAAATTCCAATTCATAAAACTTTTGCCTAAAAATTCTGATTCATGAAAATTCCAATTAATGAAAATTCTGATTACATAATCATTCAACTTTTCAATTTTTTGAAATTAAATATGTAATTTTAAATCCTTTAGAGTAAGCAAGGGAAACTAATATTTGGAGAGTGGCTACCCTATGCTGGGTATTTTGCTAGAAACTTTAATACATTGTTCTATCTAATCCTCACCATCACTCTAGGAGATGTGGTTGGAGCTGCCACAGAGAAGCTGTTATTGTACCGCTTCTAGTTGTATCAAAAAAAAGGCACAAGTTGCTAACCATCATTTTCCAGTATATCTATTACAAAAAGAAAATAAAATTAGGGAATGGAAGTGCTTTTCTCAGAGAACATGACTTTACCACTGTTAAGCCATTTGTATCTTGTGTGATTTTAAAACTAATACAACAAAAATTTACCTGGGGAACCAAATAGATACAAGTTTTTCTAGACAAAACTGCATGTTTTTGTGTATCATCCTGAGGTTATAACTTGAACAATGGGTATTAAGGTAAATATAGTTATGATCAACCTTAACACACAAATAGGAAACATTATTCTTATAGGCTTTTGGCTTATTTTTAAAGTGCATTTCCAAGTGTAATATTTGCTCCAATGATATTATTCTATCAAAACCCAACGATCCAACTATGAATTTATATAAACATTTCTTGGTCATGTTTTCTGTTAAATATATGGTTCTGACTTTGGAAGGACAGATGAAAGAAAAATTTAATAGGTTTGTGAAAGTGATCTCCAAATCCCTGAAGTGCTTGCATCCGTTCTTCATTCCTTAGGTCGTTTTTACAGAAGTGTATAAACATATGGGTGAGTACCCTAGCAACCAGAAGGAGCACGTCAGCAGAAAGTCATTCAACTGCATTCCACAGCCATTACTCTTCCCTCAGCATAAAGAGCTTGGAACATTCCTCCCTTCCCTAAATGTGAAAACAATTAGATTATTTATTATGCAAATCTACCTAAATGCATAAGGAAGAAAAAAACTATATACATAAACCCCATATCTTTCACAAGATATGATTCCTTTATGGTTGTAAGGGAGGAATTGATTATGGATATTTTTGAATTATTAGAACTGGAAAAATCATAACTTAGAAAAAGATACATGGGGCATCCAGTTGATGGCTGATAGATGGAGTTGATCCCTGCCCAGTGCTAATATGACATTTTTAACATGTTATTCTTTGTGAGGTATTTACATTTACATTTTGATCAAGAATGCTAGAAACCTAAAATCCTAAAATCCCCTTAAGATTCAAAGGGACACACCCCAGATGGTGGAACTTTAGGCGTTTGATGCCTTGAGATGGCTGTCAGGGAGATGTGTTGTGAAAAGCAGTTCTGCACCCTGTGCGGTTGCCCACTAATAAGCCCCGGGGCTGGCTCCACTGAGAATTCTCACTAGAAACAAGTACATTATTTCAACGTTTGGTGTGTCTGAAAGATTCCATGCAGAATATATTTTGACACAATCTTCCTATTTTACTTAACAATTGCTGCTTCAATAAACCTGTTCTCCAGGCAAGAAGATGATTTTTTTTTTTTTTTGAGAGTCTTGCTGTGTCGCACAAGCTGGAATGCAATGGTGTGATCTCAGGTCATTGCAACCTCCGCCTCCCGTGTTCAAGTGATTCTCTTGCTTCAGCCTCCTGAGTAGCTGAGATTACAGGCATGCACCACCACATCCGGCTAATTCTTGTATTTTTGGTAGACATGTTTTTGTATTTTGGGGTTTCACCATGTTGGCCAGGCTGGTCTCGGACCCCTGACCTCAAGTGATCCACCTGCCTCAGCCTCCCAAAGTGCTGAAATTACAGGCGTGAGCCACTGTGCCCGGCCAAGAAGATGAAATTTTTTAGATTAAATTGAAGTGAAATTTCTTCTATGAATGTGGATTGATGCTAACTTTTATCATAGAAAATATACATGTGATATCCTAATCACATTCTTCTAATTGCACTTTCTGTGGCTGCTTGGTTCCATCGTCATGAATTCATTTGTTCATTCATCCATATTTCCTTAGTGTTCAACCCCATGCCAGGCACTGCCCTAGTTACCAGGGTTCCAGCAGTAGCATAACAGAACCCATTAGTACAAGAATGGGTCTCACATTCTTATTATCATGGAAAATAAGGAACTTACTATATTCTGTCTGAGGGTAAATTTTGGATAGAAAGTTATAGGAAAGACACCAACAACATTTAGTTGGGTTTTTTGTTTGTTCGTTTCTTTGTTTGTTTTCGGTTTTGGTTTTTTTAGAGACAGGGTCTTGATCTGTCACCCGGCTGGAGTGCAGTGGTACAATTGTAGCCCACTGCAGCTCTGAACTCCTTGGCTTAAGTGGTCCTCCCACCTCAGCCTCCCAAACAACTAGGACTACAGGCACATGCTACGCACGGGCAAAATTTTTGAAAATTTGTTTTGTACAGCCAGGGTCTTGTACAGAGTTGTCCAGGCTGGTCTGCAACTCCTGGCCTCAAGGGATCCACCTAGGCCTCCCAAAGTGTTGGAATTACAAGTGTGAGCCACCATGCCTAGTCTTTTTTTTTTGAACCCCCTAAATATTTCTTGCTGTTTGGAAAACTGTTACATCAAATGTTTCAGAGTAGAATCAACAGCAGGTCACTTTTGTGCAACTGCACAGGATTCTACAGAGTAAAACGCTAGATATCTCTTCAATCAATGATTATTTATGAAGCACTGTGATGGTTAATTTCATATGTCAACCTTGCTCAGCCACAGTATTTGGATCTATTCAGACATTACTCTAGCTGTTTCTGTGAAAGCATTTTTTAGATGAGATTAACATTTAAATCAGTAGACTTTGAGTAAAGCAGATCATCCTCTATAAAGTGGGTGGGCCTTATCCAACCAGTTCAAGGCCTTAATAGAAAAAGGCTGACCTGCCCTAGAGGTGAGGGAATTCTGCCAGCAGACAGCCTTCAGATTTGAGCTACAGCATCATCTCTTCCCTGGGTCTCCAGCCTGCAACCTACTCTGCTGATTTTGGACTTACCAGACTCCACACTCGCATAAACCAATTCCTTAAAATCAGTTCCTATCTATCTATCTATCTTTCTTTCTTTCTATCTATCATCTATCTATCTTTCTTTCTATCTTTCTATCTATCATCTATCTATCTATCATCTATCTATCTATCCATCTATCTATCTATCTATCTATCTATCTATCTATCTATCTATCTATCTTTCTATCTTTCTATCTATCTTTCTATCTATCTATCTATCTATCTATCTATCTATCTATCTATCTATCTATCTATTATCTCCTATAAGTTCTGTTTCCCTGAACAACCCTGAGTAATCCATGCATCATTTTGAGAGATGATGTGTGTCTTTGGAATCTAGAGTTTCTTTCAAGACTTTTTTTTTTTAATGGGGTCTTACTCTGTTGCCCAGGCTAGAGTGCAGTGGTACCATCATAGCCCACTGTAGCCTCAAATTCCTGGGCTCAAGCTATCCTCCACCTCACCGTCCCAAGTAGCTTGGACTACAGAGGTGCACCACCACACCTGGGTAATTCTCATATTTTTTTGTAGAGACAGAGTCTCACTATGTTGCCCATGCTGGCCAGGAAACACTACTAATCAAGGCAAGACAAGCAACCTCACGGACCTTCCAGGGAATTCTTCTCCCCTTTTTGACTCAAGAGCCTACCCCACAAATTATTGATTCCATTCAGATAATGTTTCCCATTGAACCTTACCAAAAAGATCACTATCATTGTTCTTTAATTTAAAAAAAAAAAACACAGATTTCTTTACTCTTTCCTGCAAGAAAAAAGAGAAGATGAGAAAAGCCATATCCTAATTGTAGCCATCCATGTCATCTATTTTGCATTCTCATTGTACTGCTATACAAGGTGTTGCTGTTTAGGGGAGGGGAAGGTCTTGGCCACAATGCCCTGGTCAAATCCTGAGGGCCTCTTTCCAGGCTAGTCTCATCCCAGCTGCCTGTTTAGCAAGGTCTGAAGGGATTCAGAACACAGACCTCCTGGTCTATTGCTTGCTTTTCTTCAATACAAAGGTGTCTTTTGGGGAAACGATCATAGATTCTTACTATATGAAATTTTGAAAATCTCCCCAACGGTGCCACCACTTCTATTTTTAAAACATGTTCATTGAAATTTAAAAAGAAGCAGTTATTCTTTAATGCAAATTTGTGAGATTTGTACAGGCTTTCAGCACAAGCTTTATGTATGTCAGTGGTGCTCAAAGTATGGTCTCCAGACCAGCAGCATCTGCAACACCTGAGAATTTGTCAGAAATGCACATTATCAGGCCCCACCTCGGACCTATGGAATTGGAAACTCTGCCAGTGAAGCCCAGCAATCTGTGCTTTCAAAAGTCCTCCAGGGAGTGGAATGATAGTTGTCAGAGGCTAGGAAAGGGAGTGGGATGGAGAGAGGTTGGTTAATGGGTAGAAGCATACGGTTAGATAGAATAAGTTCGAATGTTCCACAGTACAGCAGGGAAGCCATAGTTAACAATAATTTGGCTAGCGCGGTGGCTCACGCCTGTAATCCCAGCATTTTGGGAGGCCAAGGCAGGTGGATCACCTGAGGTCAGGAGTTCTAGACCAGCCTGGCCAACATGGTGAAACCCTGCCTGTACTAAAAATACAAAAATTAGCCAGGCTTGGTGGCACGTGCCTGTAATCCTAGCTACTTGGGGTGCTGAGGCAGGAGAATCGCTTGAATCCGGGAGGCGGAGGTTGCAGTGAGCCGAGATCGTGCCATCCCACTCCAGCCTGGGGGACAAGAGGGAGATTTCGTCCCAAAAATAATAATAATAATAATTTACTGTATATTTCAAAATAGCCAGAAGAGAAGATTTGAATTGTTCCTAGCACAAAGAAACAATGTTAGAGGGACTGTATATCTTAAATACTTTGATTTGATCACTATACCTTGTATGCATATATCAAGATATCACATGTACCCCATATAATTATTATTATTATTATTTCGAGATGGAGTCTTGCTCTTTTGCCCAGGCTGGAGTACAGTGGTGCCATCTTGGTTTACTGCAACCTCCACCTCCCAGCTTCAAGCAATTCTCCTGCCTCAGCCTCCTAAGTAGCTGGGACTACATGTGGACACCACCAAGCTCAGCTAAACCCCATGCAATTATTATGTATCAATTTTTAAAATTTCAAGCCCTCCAGGGGATTCTAAAGCATGCTACGGTTTGAGAACCCCTTATACATGTATTATGCAACTCACTCAGCAGGCAGCTAAGCTCCCTAACCCAAGGGGGTTGATTGAATTTATGGTAAACTAAAGCATGTCAATTATATAATTTTCTCAATATGATACTTGTTCAAATATGATACTTGTCCTTGAATAAACATCATCTCTTTAGTCATCAAATACAATTTAAATAAATATGCGACAGGAAATTGTTTGCACATTCTTGTGCTAGTCCTCTAGACAAAAGCAGGCAGAATAGAGTATTAGTGACATGGTGGCCACAGGTGGAGAGCTGAACACAGGGAAAAACACACCGACGAGCTCCAATCCATGCTCATTAGTTGCAAGAACAGACCTGCAGACAAACACCAGGTGTGCCGTTTCAGCAGACTTCACAATGAGGTGTGACTGTGTGCCCATGCCCATGGATTAACTGAAATGTACTCAGAGGAAATCTGTTCATCTTGCTAGACCAGGACTCCCTACAAGCGAATCTACAGACAGGCTCTCAGTGAATTCCATGAAATAAAACCCCTTTAAATTATCTGCATGGAAATGGTTATCTAGAATAAAAGTGGGGAAAAAGACACACTAAATAGACAACTATACAAATTAGTTCATGTACATTTCACAGATTGAAAGTAAATTGGAAATGATAATTATTCACAATTCAAGGTTTATTAGGCTCACCTGTCTCCAGAAACGGTGTCTGAGCTGACCTGGGGCTTGGGCGCAGAGGGTGGGGAGCTACAGGCAAGGCCACCTGGGTGCCCACAAATGGATGGTAGTGGGGGAGGTCACTTTATCCTCGAAGCACTGTGCTCACAACTCTACCCCCTGCACATGGCTAAGGTGAGCGCTGAGCCTCCCCCCAGGTCCATTTCCCTCACGAAGGAGGACACAGAAAACTGACGCCTGCTACTAGGCATGTTCAGCATTTACAAAAGACGACATGCTTCTCTTAGGATCCCTGACCAAGTATTTCTGCCCAGTCTTCTCAGATCCACCCTGTGTGTTCCCAGAGCACCTTCTGCTTCCTTCTGTCAGAGCCCTTAGTGCATTTTGTTACAATTCTTTTACTTTGTTGTCTCTAGACTGTGAGCTCCTTTTTTATATTTTTAGAGACAAGGTCTCACTGTGTTGCCCAGGCTGGCGAGCAACGACACAATCAAGGCTCACTGCAGCCTCAAATTTGTTGCCTCAAGTGATCCTCCTGCCTTAGCCTCCTAAGTAGCTGGAACTACAGGTATGCCACCAGGCCTGGCTTATTTTATTTTATTTTATTTTATTTTATTTTATTTTATTTTATTTTATTTGAGACGGAGTCTTGCACTATCACCTGGGCTGAAGTACAATGGCGTGATCTTGGCTCACTGCAACCTCCACCTCCTAGGTTCAAGCAATTCTCCTGCCTCAGCCTGCAGAGTAGATGGGGTTACAGGTGCCCACCACCATGCCTGGCTAATTTTTTGTATTTTAAGTAGAGATGGGGTTTCACTATGTTGGCCAGGCTGGTCTCAAACTCCTGACCTTGTGATCCACCTGCCTTGGCCTCCCAAAGTGCTGGGATTACAGGTGTAAGCCACCATGCCTGGCCTAATTTTTTAATTTTTGTAGAGACAGAGTCTCGCTATGTTGCCCAGGCTGGTCCCAGACTCCTAGCCTCAAGTCATCCTCCTGCCTTGGCCTCCTGAACCCAAAGTGGTAAGATTACAGCAGCAAACCACTACTTTCGCAAGCCGCTTCTTCTGGCCTAGACTGTGAACTCCTTGAACGCTTTTTACCCTTACAGAACACTAATACTGGAGCACAGGCACTCTGTAAATTGTTTTCTGCGTGAATAACACTTGTGTCATAAGCCTGGTTTCTTGGGCATTTGCCTGCTTTGAGACCAGGACTTCCTGAGAGTTGAGATAAAAGTGAAAACTTATTTGCCCTTTTTTTCAAATAATATATGTTTCCCACGTGAACCTTCAGTGTCTCTAGTGAGCACTGATACTGTTTAACAAGAATGATGCTAAACCCTGTCCTAAAAGAATGAGTGGGGCCAGGGCTCGCCGGACAGGATTGGTTTACAGCGTTTCAGAGCTTGAGTCCAGAGGCCTGCATAGACCCCAAGGCACAGCATTCTTGAGAGCTGATCTGCAGTCATGGAGATTGACCAATGGGTCAGACACCCAGGGCTACGTCAGAGAGAAACACCCCAGGCACAGGCTACGGGGTGAAGACTAGGGTGGTCAGGTGGCAAAGAAGCTTCAAGCAGAGGATGGGAGCCTGCACCAGGAGGAACTCAGGTATCTGGGGGTGCTGCAGCCTTAAGCTTTCATGTAACTCAGTTTTTGACCTTGGGATCCCCCTTGAAGTCTCTGGTGTGGATACATCCTTCATCCTTTTAGACGTCCTAGCCCTGGACCTAAAGGAGTGTACTTGTCTTGGATGGAACTTTTTCATCTTCCCCAACTGAAGCTCTGTACCCGTTAAACTCCCATTACTTGCTCCCCCTTACCCCCTACCCTGGGCATCCACTATTCTTTCTTTCTTTTTCTTTCTTTCTTTCTTTTTTTCTTTCTTTCTTTCTTTCTTTCTTTCTTTCTTTTTTTCTTTCTCTCTCTCTCTTCCTTCCTTCCTTCCTTCTTTCCTTCCTTCCCTTCCTTCCTTCTTTCCTTTCTTCCCTTCCTTCCTTCCTTCCTTCCTCTCTCTCTCTTTCTTCTTTCTTTCTTTATTTTTTTTTTGAGATGGAGTCTTGCTCTGTCACCCAGGCTGGAGTGCAGTGGCATGATCTTGGCTCACCACAACCTCTGCTTCCCGGTTCAAGCAATTCTCCTGTCTCAGCCTCCTGAGTAGCTGGGATTACAGGCGTACAACACCAGGCCCGGCTAATTTTTGTATTTTTAGTAGAGATGGGGTTTCACCATGTTAGCCAGACTGATCTTGAACTCCTGACTTCATGTGATCCGCCCACCTCGGCCTCCCCAAAGTGCTGGGATTATAGGTGTGAGTCACTGTGCTCGGCCCCATTCTTCCTTTCTCCATCAATTTGACTACTATAGGCACCTCATCTGAGTGGCATCATACAGTATCTGTCCTTTTGTAACTGGTTTATTTCACTTACCGTTATGTCCTCAAGTTCCATCCATGATGTAGCCTGTGTGAGAATTTCCTTCCTCTTAAAAGCTGAGTCTCATTCCATTGTATAGATATGCCACATTTTGTTTATTCATTCGTCTATCAATGAACACTTGGCTGTTTCCACCTTTTGGCTGTTGTGAATAATACTGCTATGAGCATATAGGTGACATAGTCTGAATATTTGTCCCCACCCAAATCTCATGTTGAATTGTATTCCCCAGTCCTGGAGGTGGGGCCTGGTAGGAGATGTTTGGCTCATGGGGGTGGATTCCTCATGGCTTGGTACTGTCTTGTTGACAGTGAGTGAGTTCTCAGAAGATCTGGTCATTTTATAGTGTGTGGCACCTCCCCCACAACTCTCTGTCTCTCTCTCTCGCTCACTTGCTCCTGTTTTCGCCATGTGAAGTGCCTGCTCCCACTTCACCTTTCACCATGAGTAAAAGCTCCCTGAGGCCTCCCCAGAAACCAAGTAGATGCTGGCACCATGCTTCCTGTACAGTCTGCAGAACCTTGAGACAATTTAACCTCTTTTCTTTTTACATCATCCAGCCTCAGGTATTTCTTTATAGCAATGCAAGAATGGCCTAATACAATGGATGTACAAATATTTTTTAGGGTCCCGGCTTTTAGTTATTTTGAGTAGTTACCTAGAAGTGGAATTGCTGGATCATATGGTTATTTCTATGTTGAATCTTTTGAGGAGCCACCATCCTGTCTTCCACAGCAGCTGTGCCATCTTATATTTCTACCAGCAATGCAAAAAGGTTCCAATTTTTCCACATCTTCACCAGCACTTTTTATTTTCTGTTCATTTGTTATTTATAATAGCCATTTGATACGGTATGGCTGTGTCCCCACCCAAATCTCATCTTGTAGTTCCCATAATCCCCACATGTCATGGGAGGGACATGGTAGAAGATAATTGAATCATGGGGGTCATTTCCCCTATCCTGTCCTCGTGATAGTGAGTGAGTTCTCACAAGATGTGATGGTTTTAAGGGGCTTTTCTCTCATTTGCTCAGCAATTATCTTTGCCACTGCCATGTGAAGAAGGACGTGTTTGCTTCCCCTTCCACCATGATTGTAAGTTTTCTGAGGCCTTCCCAGCCACGCTGAACCAAGTCAATCAAATCTCCTTCCTTTATAAATTACCCAGTCGTGGGTAATTAGCAGCATAAAAACGGACTAATATAGCATCCTAACGGGTATGAAGTGATAGCTCCTTGTGCTTTTGATTTGCATTTCCCTTATAGCGGTATTGAGCATCTTCTCATGCGCTTATTGGCCATTCATATACCCTCTTTGAAGACATGTCTATTTGAGCCTTTTGTCCATTAAAAATATAAAATAATTTTTAGTCATTCAAGGAAGCGCACTTCTTATAGTTCTTAATATAATCATAAAATATTCTAGGGTTTTCTTGTTTTTTGTTTTTTTTTTTGAGATGGAATCTCGCTCTGTCGCCCAGGCTAGAGTGCAGTGGTATGATCTCAGCTCACTACAACCTCTGCCTCCCGGGTTCAAGTGATTCTTCTGCCTCAGCCCCCAGAGTAGCTGGGACTGCAGGCGTGCTCCACCATGCCCGGCTAATTTTTATATTTTTAGTAGAGACGGGGTTTCGCCATGTTGGCCAGGCTGGTCTGGAACTACTGGCCTCAGGTGATCTGCCCACCTCAGCCTCCCAAAGTGCTGGGATTACAGGCATGAGCCACCGCACCCAGCCAATATTTCTGTCTTAATACAGACTAGACCTTTATCAACCCACATTGATTTTGCAGATGTTGAGGAAAAATGTAAAGAAACTGTAGATAAGTTATTTAAGAAATATATAAATGTACATAAAGTACTATACATAAATATAAATCATATATTATATATTATACATATTTATATATCCAATATATTCATTTATATTGTACATAGATTGAACATATAAATGAATATATTTAATATATTGAATATATATAAATCATATATATATGATTTGAACAGTACACTGAATATGTATCATGGCCAAATGCCAAAGACCAAATTTTTTTTTCCAGATGGAGTTTTGCTCTTGTCATCCAGGCTGGAGTGCAGTGGCACAATCTTGGCTCACTGCAACCTCCACCTCCCAGGTTCAAGCAATTCTCCTGCCTCAGCCTCCTGAGAAGCTGGGATTACAGGTGCCTGCCACCACGTCCGGCTAAGTTTTTGTATTTTTAATAGAGACAGGGTTTCATCATGTTGGCTAGGCTGGTCTCGAACTCCTGACCTCAGGTGATCCGCCTGCTTCGGCCTCCCGAAGTGCACGGATTACAGGCATGAGCCACCACGCCTGGCCCAAATTACCAAATCTTAAAAACAATATTCAGCCAAAGCTAAGAGAGATCCAGGTTCTGTCAAAGCAGAAGCAGAAGTTGAATACCACCGTCACAGATTAAGCTTCTCAAGTACAAAGATAAATGGCATGTTATCAAAAAATTTAATTAAGATTATAATTTTACCCTTACATATTTTAATAACCAATGTTTTAAAGTTTGACATTATTGTGTAGGAACAAAATTTGTCAAAGCTGTCAGCTGTGAATTCGCGTCTGTAGTCACTCAAGTGCACCTTTATGAGACAAGATTGTCACCAGCACATTGGACGATGGCACCAATCCTTCATCCACAATTGAATATAACTCAAGAAAGGGACTTCAGTGCTGTATTTTCTCAAAGGAACTATGTACCAAGACTGGGAAAATCTCAAAAGTACTTTTTAACTTCAACTACCAAAAAACAGTTGGAAGAACACAGCAAACATTTAGGCAAGCCTTTTAATGTTTAGTTTTTATGTTTAATGTTTAGTTTGATGAACTCAAATCTATGAGAAAACATTCTTATGACATCTGTTTTTTTAAGTTTATTAGAAGGAACAAAATGTGGGCTACCTAATTTTTCTCTAACACTTCCTTTTTTCCCTATTGTTCAAGCTTTTTAGTGTATGTATCTGGAATAAAAAATGTTCATTATGGATTTAACGTATGTTGTTTTGTACTTTTTTTCTCCCTGTAAAACTGAGATGGCAAAATTGACATTATGCTTTTAATATCTCATTCTCGTGATATGTAAAGAATTTTTCAAATAGAACTTAAGAAAAAAGACTTTTGGTCTAAAAGACATTTTTAAAAATTTAACATACAGTTCTTACAGATTATTTTGTTTAATGGTAAAATTGCAAGTATAGGGCCAGGCGCGGTGGCTCATGTCTGTAATCCCAGCACTTTGGGAGGCCAAGGCAGGCAGATTGCTTGAGCCCAGGAGTTAAAGACCAGCCTGGGCAACATTGGGAAAACCTGTCTCTACAAAAGTACAAAAAATTAGCCAGGCATGGTGGTACACACCTGTAGTCCCAGCTACTCAAGAGGCTGAGGTGAGAGGATCACCTGGGCCTGGGAGGTCAAGGCCACAGTGAGCTGTAATCGTGCCACTGCACTCCAGCCTGGGCAACAGAACAAGACATTGTCTCAAAAAAAAAAAAAATGCAAGTATAACAATTCTGAGAAGATTGGAATCATGATATAATCATGATTATGTTACCTTATGTGATTAATTAAATTTTTATAAATATGTATTGGCTTCACTACTATATAGCATTCATTCTAAAACTGACTACCTAAAACACTATTTTAAATAACAGCTTTCTAAATATGTATTAATATTGCAGCAGTTTCCCACGCAATTATAAACTTATGTTGAACTTTAATTGACAGAATTTCAACATAGGAAGCACATAAGGAGATTTCACTCTGTGTTATATTTAGAATGCTTAATTATATTTCAAAGGTTATATTCAAATACTAATAACAAATCCACGCCATGGTTATTCCTATGAGATTTCACTGCAACTAAATATGATGATAACCTGTGTACTTACCTGATCACCAAGCAGCAGAATCCCACATGCTAGAAATGATGTTGAAGCAGCACGGGGCTGCTTAGCCTTCCAAGGCTGTGAAATTAAAGCTGAGATTAAACCACTGAAGTCAGATGCCATCACTTTCCTAATATATGCACTATTTTATTTTTTAAATGGTGGAAAGATAGGAATGAGAGCTTTGTGAACCTGTGAATCCCAGCCCATCTTAAGTGCCATTAAATGTGGGGGATGGCATTTCCATTTCATAAAAGCAGTGACGGCTAAAAATAGAAAGCCATCGGTGACAAAGTTAATAGGAATTCAGCTTGATCTACTAACATTGCTGCCTACGTCACTAACTTTGGTTGCTCAGAATGAGTGATTGTTTAATAAGTTCTCTATTGGTTTACTTACTGAGTTTATACCATGTACCAGCCACTGTCTCAGCACTTTACAGGTATTACTCCCTTCAATCCTCACAATGGCCCAATGAGAAAGGCACTTTTATTATATTCATTTTACAAATGCAGAAACCAAATCAGAAAGAGGTGAAGCAATTCACCCAACTGCAGATCAAAAGTATTTGGGAAAAAAACGAAAAACCTAACTATATAATTTTAAAAACAGTTTGGGCATGGTGGCTCATGTCTGTAATCCCAGAACTTTGGGAGGCCAAGGCAGGCAGATCACTTGAGGCCAGGAGCTCAAGACCAGCCTGGCCAACACAGTGAAAACTCACCTCTGCTAAAAATACAAAAATTAGCCGGGCGTAGTGGCGCGCGCCTGTAGTCCCAGCTACTCGGGAGGCTGAGACAGGAGAATCTGGGGAGCAAAGGTTGCAGTGAGCCGAGATCGCTCCAATGCACTCCAGCCCAGGCAACAGAGCGAGACTCTGTTTCAAAATAATAATAATAACGATAATTTTAAAAACAAATTTTAACTGTTTGCCCAGCATTTATATTGTATTAGTTATTATAAGTAATCTCGAGACGATTTAAAGTGTACAAGAGGATGTGCGTAGTTTACATGCAAATACGGTAACATTTCATATAACAAACGTGAGCATTTCAGGATTTTGGTATTTGATGGGGGTCCTGGCACCAATCCCCTCCAGATACCAAGGAACAACTGTACGTGTTTATCCTATTCAAAATAAATATTGTATTTTAATTACCAAGCAAAAGTTACAACTGCTAAAATGGCACAGGGAAAAAAGAGATCATGAGTTCTGTCTAGATAAGAAGTCAAAAGCCATGGCTCCCACCCCCAACCCTGCTCCTGACTCCTGTTGCTACCTTGAACAAATGGCTCTCTGCACCTTGGTTTCCTTGTCGTGTAAATTAAGAGAAAGTTTGAACTAGAATTTTAAATTTCTGAGTGCAGGAATTATGTGTGGTTTGTTCATCACTTTATCCCCCAAAAGTGTTGAATGAATGACTAATAAAAGAGTAAATGGTGGAAATAAAGAAAAGAAAGACGTGAAGTAATTGCTCAAAGACCACACATCTGAAAGTGGCAAAGCCAGTGTCCGTGGCAGCTGCCTGGCTGCAGAGACCCCGCTTACCTCCCCACACTGCCCAGGTGCGGGTCACACGGAGATGAGTGGTTGTCACACAGCTAGCATTAAGGATTTCCTTTTCTCTCAACTTTCAGGTTAGAGGACTAAGTATCTTTGATTTAATCAGGACGCTACTGTAGTCCCAGTTCACTAGTGGTATCTACCCAAGGGGCTGGAGGTGCAGGGAGAGACAGATAATTCTAAACTCGCAGCTGAGGGAAGGTAGGTTGAAGACTTAAAGGGGATGGAAAAAGTGAAGGGCGAGAGAGAAACGGTGGATAGGAAAAAAAAGATAAGGTGCACACTTATTTCTCCCATTTGCCTGGGGAAAGGCAAAGTTTTGCAACACTTTATTGCAAAAAGCAAAATAATTAGTATTAAATAATCATAGTAAATCAGGTAAACATTTTCTTTTTCTATTCCTCCCCTCTTCATCCTCTTATTCTTTCTCCTCTTCTTCTTCATTTTTTTCCTGAAGATGATACAGAGAAAAACTCAGTTTTTGAAATTCTTAGGTGTTGGTGCCGGGCTATATATTGTCACACAAGTCTTTCTGGATGAGGCAATTTTTTTTGTTTCTTAACACACTTTTATAAATCAAAAGTAAAATATGCATACAGAATATCACTCTAAAAAAAGACATTACAGAAAAATGTCTCCAAATATGTTGAGTTTATCTGGGAATGAGAAAAGAGGATTATAATCTGGATGCACAAAACAGCAAGCCACAAATGCAGCCAGCTGGGGAAGGGCAAAGGGAAGTTCTATTGGCTGAAAGGGAGAAGTTTACATAAGCTGCTTAGAAACTGAGCTAATTGGTTCCAGAGGCTCAAAGTGAGTTGTCGTCAGTTCATTGGTGAAGATGGTGTTATTGAACAAGTGTTCTTTTGAGAGCATCTTATCTCAATTACTGCAGTCCTAAAGAATGTCTAGTGATAAACTTTGTCATAAAAATACATGTTTAGGCTAGGCGTGGTGGTTCATGGTTGTAATCTCAGCACTTTGGGAGGCCGAGGCAGGAGGATCGCTTGAGGCCATGAGTTTGAGATCAGGCTGGGCAACACAGCCAGACACTGTCTCTACAAAAATTTTTAAAAATTGGCAGCATGTGGTGGTGTGCGCCTGTAGTCCCAGCTACTCAGGAAGCTCAGGTGGGAGGATCCCTTGAGCCCAGAAGTTTGAGGCTGCAGTGAGCTATCATTGTGCCACTGCATTCCAGCCTGGGTGACACAGCGAGACCCTATCTCAAAAAAAAAAGAGAAAGAAATAACGTGTATACGCGCCAAATATGCAAGCCATGCAAAGCAGGAGATGCATGTAGGATGTGGAGGGATTTCTTGTGGGTTTTTAGAAAGTGCTGGGAAACAGTTCTTATTTGAGATGCAAGCCTGAGCCCCTTTGTCTTCTCAGCCCTATTTTGTCTGGGTCTGACTAAAGCAATTTCATCTTGGTATCTGCAACTTTTATAAGAAAAAGTAATCCCCAAATCATATGATACAGCATGAAAAATTATCACAGCGGTTCACACATATGCAGATTAAGAACTGGAACTTTCCTGGCTGGGCACAGTGGCTCACTCCTGTAAACCAGCACTTTGGGAGGCCGAGGCGTGCGGATCACTGAGGTCAGGAGTTGGAGACCAGCCTGGAAAATATGACCAAACCCTATCTCTATGAAAAATACAAAAATTAGCCAGGTGTGGTGGCACATGCCTGTAGTCTCAGCTACTCAGGTGGCTGAGGTGGGAGAATTGCTTGAACCCAGGAGGCGGAGGCTACAGTGAGCAAAGATTGTGCCACTGCACTCCAGCCTGGGTGACAAAATGAGACTCCGTCTAAAAAAGCAAAACACAAACAAAAAAACAACTGGAACATCCCCAAGACCCAGAAGCCCTGCTCCAGGCCTGGAGTCATTTTCCATCCCATCGGCAAGGTCACCTCTAAACTGACTAATAACACCAAGGTTAGTTTTGCCAGTTTTAAAAATTTGAACAAATGGAATCACACAGAATGTATTCTTCAGTGTCCGGCTTCAGTTAACATTATGTTGGTGATATTTGTTCATTTCATGAAGTGTGGCAGTTGTTTATTCACTTTCATTTTTATATAGTTTCCACAATATGAATATACCACAATTTTATTCATCCATTCTAAATGTTGATGGACACTAGGATTTCTTCTAGTCTGGGTGTTTTTTAAACAAATAATGGTGATGTGCACACATTTTTTGGAGTGGAATTGTTAGATCATAGGTTCTGCATGTGTTCAGCTTTGGTAGATATTGCCAAATATTTTCTAAAACGGTTGTACCAATTTACATTCCAAAGAGGATTGTATGATAGCTGTGTTAGGCCGGGAGTGGTGGCTCACACCTGTAATCCCAGCACTCTGGGAGGCTAAGGTGGGTGGATCATCTGAAGTCAGGAGTTCGAGACCAGCCTGGCCCATATGGTGAAACCCCATCTCTACTACAAATACAAAAATTAGCCGAGCATAGTGGTGCATGCCTGTAGTCCCAGCTACTTGGGAGGCTGAGGCAGGAGAATTGCTTGAACCTGGGTGGCTGAGGTTGCAGTGAGCCAAGATTGCGCCACTGCACTCCAGCCTGGGTGACAGAGTGAGATTCTGTCTCAAAAAAAAAAAAAAAAAAGAAAAGAAAGAAAAAAAGAAAGCTGTGTTGTTCCATGTGGTAGGCAGAATAACGTCCATATTCTCAACCCAAGAACCCGTGAATATGTTACCGCCCCTGGCAACAGGGTCTTTGCAGCTGTGATTAAATTAAAGCTATTGACAAGGGGAGATGATCCTTGTTTAGACAGGTGAACCTAATGCCATCGTAAATTTCTTAAGGTAAAAGAGAGAGGAAGAGAGTTAGAGGGTGACATAACTGTGGAGAAAGGGACAGAGAGATGCAACAATGCTGAAGATGAAGAAAGGAGGCCATGAGTCACAGAAAGTGGAGGTATCTAGAAGCTGGAAAAGGAAAGGAAATGCGTTCTCCCCTAGGGCTTCCAGAAAAGAATGCAGCCCTGCTGACACTCTGACTTTAACTCAGTGAGATCCGTGTCAGACTTCTGACCTACAGAACTGTAAGATAACATATTTGAGTTGTTTTAAGCCCCTAAGTTTGTGGTAGTTTGTTACAGCATCAACAGAAAACTAAGAGACTCCACATTCTCAACACATTGTCTGTGTTTTGAGTTTTTTGCTATTCTGGTGGATGTGTTATGGTATCTCATTATGGTGTTTATGTTTCCCTGATGAGAAATGAGCTTGAGCACCTTTTCATACGGTTTTTAGCCACGTAGATATTCTCTTTTATAAAGTACCTGTTCATACATACTGCCAATTTGCCTACCAGGTTGTCAGTCTTTTTCTCATTGGTTTATAGGTCTTTGTATATTCTGAATATAAACCTTTTTTCAGTTATGTGTATTGCAGATATATTCCACTTTATAGCTTGTGTTTTCATTCTGTTAATAGTGTCTTTGTCTAACATAACTTCTTAATTTTAACATCATTCAACTTATCTTTTCCTTCATGGTCAGTGTTATGTGTCTGTTTAAGGAATCATTCTCTGCTGGGTGTGGTGGCTAATGCCTGTAATCCCAGCACTGTGGGAGGCTGAGGCAGGAGGATTGCTTGAGCCCAGGAGTTCGAGACCAATCTGAGAAACATAGTTAGACCCTGCCTCTAGTAATTAAAAAAAAAAGAAAAGAAAAGAAAGAAAGAAATCATTCCATACCCCAAGGCCAAGAAGATATTCCCCTATGTTATCTTTTTCTTTTGTCATTTTTCTTTCTTTCTTTTTTTTCTTTTTTTTTTTTTTTTGAGACACAGCATCACTTTGTTGCCCAGGCTGGAGTGCAGTGGCATGATCTCAGCTCACTGCAACCTCCGCCTCCCAGGTTCAAGTGATTCTCATGCCTCAGCTTCCCAAGTAGCTGAGATTACAGATGCCCACCACCATGCCCAGCTAAATTTTTTTTGTATTTTTAGTAGAGACAGGGTTTCACCATGTTGGCCAAGCTGGTTTTGAACTCCTGACCTCAAGTGATCTGCCCACCTCGGCCTCCCAAAGTGCTGGGATTACAGGCATGAGCCACCATGCCCAGCCTATGTTATCTTGCAAAGCTTTATTTTTTTACCTTTCTTATTTGTAACTAAATTCATCTGGAATTGGTTTTTGTGTATGAAGCAAGGTAGCGACCAATTTGCTTTTTTTTTTTTTGTCTCATATGGCACTCCAACCCTCCCAGCCTCAGCTTTCTCCCACAGCTTTATGGTGCTACTTTTGTCTTTTAGTTCTCTACATACCTACTATTGTCATAAATCAGGTATTGATATATGTGTGAGCCTGTTTCTGTACTCTTCATTTTGCTTTATTGGTCTATTTGTTTATGTTCACTCCAACACTGCACTGTCTTAGTTATTGCAGCTTTAATGTAAGTCTAGATGTCCAGCAGGGTAAGTTTCTCCCACTTGGTGGCTGTTCTTTGAAATTGGTTGTTCTTGGCTTGACCCTTTGCATTTCTGCATATACCTTTAGAATCAGGTAGTCAATATCCACTATCAACTTTATGTCATCATAAAGTCCTTAAAAGTGCCAGGCGCAGTGGCTCACGCCTGTAATCCCAACACTCTGGGAGGCCAAGGCAGATGGATCACTTGAGGTCAGGAGTTTGAGACCAGCCTGGCCAACATGGTGAAATCCCATCTCTGCTGAAAATACAAAAATAAAAATTAGCCGGGTGTGGTGGCATGCGCCTGTAATTCCAGCTACTTGAGAGGCTGAGGCAGGAGAATCACTTGAACCCAGAAGGCAGAGGTTGCAGTGATTGTGCCACTGCACTCCAGCCTGGGTGACAGAGTGAGACTCTGTCTCATAAATAAATAAATAAATAAATAAAGTCCTTAAAAGTGGAAGAAAGAAAAAGAGACAGAGGGTGACATGACTTTGGAGAAAGGGTCAGAGAGATGCAATGTTGCTGAAGATGAAGAAAGGAGGCCATGAGTCACTGAAAGTTGAGGTATCTAGAAGCTGGAAAAGGAGAGGAAATGCATTCTACCCTAGGGCTTCCAGAAAGGAATGCAGCCCTGCTGACACCCTGACTTTAACTCAGTGAGATCCGTGTCAGACTTCTGGCCACCCATAAAAAAAATCTAGGCCGGGCACAGTGGCTCACACCTGTAATCCCAGCACTTTGGGAGGCCAAGGTGGTGGATCACCTGAGATCAGGAGTTCAAGACCAGCCTGGCCAACATTGTGAAACCCCGTCTCTACTAAAAGTACAAATATTAGATGGGTATGGTGGCACAAGCCTATAATCCCAGCTACTCGGGAGGCTGAGGTAGGAGAATTGCTTGAAGCTGGGAGGCGGGGGTTGCAGTGAGCCAAGATCGCACCACTGCATTCCAGCCTAGGAGACAGAGCAAGACTCCATCTCAAAACAACAACAACAATAACGACAACAACAAAATTGGCTCAGATTTTAATCAGGAATGAATTGAATCTATAAATCAGTTTGAAAGACAATTGACCTTTCATAAAATTGAGCTTTCTAATCTGTGGTCTTGATGTAGCCTATCATTTTCTTTTTTTGTTTTTTAGATGGAGTCTCGCTCTGTCACTCAGGCTGGAGTGCAGTGGTGCAATCTCGGCTCACTGCAACCTCCGCCTCCTGGGTTCAAGAGATTCTCCTGTCTCAGCCTCCAGAGTAGCTGGGATTACAGGTACCCACCACCACGCCCAGCTAATTTTTGTATTTTTAGTAGAGACAGGGGTTTCATCATGTTGGCCAGGCTGGTCTCGAACTCCTGACCTCAGGTGATCTGCCCACCTCGGCCTCCCAAAGTGCTGGGATTACATGTGTGAGCCACCACGACCAGCCAGGCTATCATTTTCTTAAGAATTCATCAAGTTAAATTCTTTGATAATGTTTTATAGTTTTCTATGTAATGGTCCTGCACATCTTTCATTAGGATTCATTTTGAGGATTCAACCTTCTTAATGCTATTGCAAGTAACATTAAAATTTTTAATTCTATTTATAATTATTGAGTAGTTATATAATAGATATAGAACTGATCTTGTGTCTAATGACTGCTAAATTTACTTTTAAACTTTAAGTTTATTATTATTATTTTGAGATAAAGTCTTGCTCTGTCACTCAGGCTGGAGTGCAGTGGCATGATCATAGCTCACTGCAGCGTCGAACTCCTGGGCTTCAAGTAATCCTCCCACCTCAGTTTTCTGAGTAGCTAGTACTACAGGCATGCGCTGCCACACATGGCTATTTTTTACATTTTTTTAGAAATGGGTCTTGCTATATTGTTTAGGCTGGTCTTGAACTCCTGGCCTCAAGTGGTTCTACTGCCTTGGCCTCCCAAAGTGCTGGGATTATAGGTGTGAGCCACCACACTCAGCCTATTTTCACTTTTTTTTTTTTTTTTTTTTTTTTTGGAGACGGAGTCTCACTCTGTCGCCCAGGCTGGAGTGCGGTGGCATGATCTCGACTCACTGCAAGCTCCGCCTCCCGGGTTCATGCCATTCTCCTGCCTCAGCCTCCTGAATAGCTGGAACCACAGGCGCCCGCCACCATGCCCGGCTAATTTTTTGTATTTTTAGTAGAGATGAGGTTTCACTGTGTTAGCCAGGATGGTCTCAATCTCCTGACCACGTGATCCGCCCGCCTCGTCATCCCAAAGTGCTAGGATACCTATTTTCACTTCTTATAGTTTATTTGTAGATTCTTGTATCTTCTACATATATAATCATGTCATTTGTGAATACTGACAGCTTAACTTTGGATGAGACACATTTTACGTAGGAAGATGTGGAGAAATTAGAACCCTCATACATTGCTAATGAAAATGCAAAATAGCGTGGATGCATTGGACAACAATTGCCAGTTCCTCAAAGTAGTAAAGATGGAGTTAACAGCCGGGCGCGGTGGCTCACACCTGTAATCTTAGCACTTTGGGAGGCCGAGGCGGGCGGATCACGAGGTCAGGAGATCGAGACCATCCTGGCTAACACGGTGAAACCCCGTCTCTACTAAAACTACAAAAAATTAGCTGGGCGTGGTGGCGGGCACCTGTAGTCCCAGCTACTCGGGAGGCTGAGGCAGGAGAATGACGTGAACCTGGGAGGTGGAGGTTGCAGTGAGCCAAGATCACACCACTGCACTCCAGCCTGGGCGACAGTGCAAGACTCCATCTCAAAAAAAAAAAAAAAAAAAAAAGATGGAGTTAACAGATAACCCAGCCAAGGCTGCAGTGAGCCTTGATTGTGCCACTGCACTTCAACTTAGGCAACAGAGTGAGACCCTGTTTCAAATAAAACACAACAAACAAATGAAAAAAACACACAACCCAGCAATTCCACTTCTCGGGATATAACCAAGAGAATTGAAAGCATATATCCACACAAAAACTTGTAGATGAATGTTTATAGCAGCCTTATTCATAATAACTAAAACAAGGAAATAATCCAAATGTCCATCAGCTGGTGAAGGGATAAATAAAATGTGATATATCCATACAACGGACAATAGACATTAATAAAAAGAATTTTTTAAAAAAAGAATGAAATACTGATACATGCTAAAACATAGATGAATATTAAACACATTCAGCTAAGTGAAAGAAGCCAGTCACAAAAGACCACGTATTATACAAATCCATTTATGTGAAATGTCCAGAATAGAGAAATCCATAGGGACAGAAAATACATTACTGGTTACGCAGAACCGGGGTTGTTGTAGTGGCAATCAGGAGTGACTGTTAATGATACGTGTTTCTTTCTGGGGTTATGAAAATGTTCTCAAATTAGATGTGATGGTCACATAACTGAATATTCTAAAAACTAAAGAATTGTACATTTTAAATAGGTACATTTTATTTTATTTATTATTATTATTTTTTTGAGGCAGGGTCTTATTCTGCCACCCAGGCTGGAGTGCAGTGGCACGAGCACAACTCACTACAGCCTCCACCTCCTGGGTTCAATCCATCCTCCCACCTCAGCCTCCTGAGCAGCTGGGACTACAGGCGTGCATCACCACACCCAGCTAATTTTTGCATTTTTTGTAGAGATGGGGCCGCACCATGTTGCCTAGGCTGGTCTTGAACTCTTGGGCTCAAGCAATCCGCCTGCCTTGGTCTCCCAAAGTGTTGGGATTACAGGCATTGGCCACCTCGCCCAGCTAAATGGGTAAATTTTATAGTCTATAATTTATATCTCAATAAAGCTATTTAAAGTTTTGGGGTTTTTTGTTTTTTTTTGTTGTTGTTGTTGTTTTAAACGGAGTTTTGCTCTTTTTGCCCAGGCTGGAGTGCAATGGCACAATCTCGGCTCACTGCAACCTCTGCCTCCCAGGTTCAAGAGATTCTCCTGCCTCAGCCTCCCAAGTAGCTGAGATTACAGGCATGTGCCACCACACCTGGCTAATTTTTTATTATTATTTAGTAGAGACAGGGTTTCACCATGTTGGTCAGGATGGTCTCAAGCTCCTGACCTTAGGTGATCCACCCTCCTCAGCCTCCCAAAGTGCTGGGATTACAGGCATGAGCCACCACGCCCGGCTAAACTTTTTTTTCTTTTTTCCCCCCAAGACGGAGTCTCCCACTGTCGCCCAGGCTGGAGTGCAGTGGCGCGATCTTGGCTCACTGCAAGCTTCGCCTCCCAGATTAATGCCATTCTCCTGCCTCAGCCTCCCGAGTAGCTGGGACTACAGGCGCCCGCCATCACGCCCGGCTAATTTTTTGCATTTTTAGTAGAGACGGGGTTTCACCATGTTAGCCAGGGTGGTTTCAATCTCCTGACCTCGTGATCCGCCCACCTCAGCCTCCCAAAGTGCTGGGATTACAGGCGTGAGCCACCGCGCCCGGCCTAGGCTAAACTTTTTTAAATATAGGACTTTGAAAGCTTTAAAAAATAGGTAAACATAAACTGTTTGGGGGTATTATCTCTAAATTTTTGGAGATTTTAGTTTTTTCTTTATACTTTTCTGGGCACTCCAAAAACATGTATTTTTGTAATTGGAAAATTCAGAAAAGAATAAATGTTACAAAGATGTAGAATTCCGGCCGGCCATGGTGGTTCACACCTGTAATCCCAGCTCTTTGGGAGGCCAAAGTGGGAGGATTGCTTGAACCCAGCAGTTCAAGACTAGCCTGGGCAACAAAGTGAGACCGCATCTCAAAAAAAAAAAAATATGTAGAATTCCACCCCTCCCAACACCTGCCACATACCTACAAGCAGCAGCAACAACAAAACCTCCTAAAAAACCAAGAACATCGTTTGAGGGAGAAGTGAGTTGGCACCTGAGTTCAAGATTGTCTACCTGGATGATTTGTCCGAATAATGAAATGGTGGCAAACTGCAGCCATTCAAGCCAAGGGCAGCTGGTGAGAGGACACTGTTAAGGCACTTGCTTGGGAATTTCACAGAATTGTGATGAACAAAATATTATATGAGAAAGATAATTTTTGTATACTTGGCCAGAATAATTGAAACAGGCTAGTTAAAAAGTTATTAGTATGGTTTTGAAGTGGTTAATATCTTGGTCAGGATATTGAGTGAGAAACGGAGTGAAGAGGTGACTCCTAAAATGTTTCAATGACAAAATCCTCAGGGAACAGTGATAACTTAGATGGAATTAGAGATTATACCAAGACCATACATGTTGAAAGACTAGAAGTTCTCTTAATGCGAAAGAAGTTGACGAAGGACCATTTTGACAGAAAAGCTATGAATGTGAGGATACGCAAACGCTATTGCCATTATTTAGAATCAGGATTCCAGTGTTTGAATACTAATTCCCCTATTTGCTTGCTTGCTTGCTTTCTTTCTTTTCTTTTTTTTTTTTTTTTTTGAGACAGTCTCACTCTGTCACCCAGGCCAGAGTGCAGTGGTGTGATCTCGGCTCACTGCAAACTCCACCTCCTGGGTTCAAGAGATTCTAATGCCTCAGCCTCCCGAGTAGCTGGGATTACAGGCATGTGCCACCACACCCAGCTAACTTTTGTATTTTTAGTAGAGACAGGGTTTCACCATGTTGGCCAGGCTGGTCTCGAACCCCTGGCCTCAAATGATCCACCCACCTCGGCCTCCCAAAGTGCTGGGATTACAGGTGTGAGCCACTGTGCCAGGTCATTTGCTTTTTGATCTTTGTCAAAATACCCAACCTTTCTGAGCTTCGATTTCCTTTATTTTTAAAATGGTAATATCAATTTCTACTTCACAGGGCTGTTTTAAATAATCAGAAAGCACATAAAAGTGCTTAACAGGCTGGACGCGGTGGCTCACACCTGTAATCCCACCACTTTGGGGGGCCGAGGCAGGTGGATCACTTGAGGTCAGGAGTTTGAGACCAGCCTGGCCAACATGGTGAAACCCCGTCTGTACAAAAAAAAAAAAAAAATATATATATATATATACAAAAATTAGCTGAGTATGGTGGTGGGCGCCTGTAGTCCCAGCTACTCAGGAGGCTGAGACAGGAGAATCGCTTGTACCCGGGAGGCGGAGGTTGCAGCAAGCTGAGATTGCAGCAAGCTGAGATTGTGCAACTGCACTCCAGCCTGGGTGATGGAGCGAGATTCCATCTCAGAAAAAAAAAAAAAAAAGAAAAAAAGAAAAAAAAAGAAAAAGCGCTTAACATGATGCCTGGCACACGCTCTGAAAAATGTTTCATATATACGGTAATATTACCATTGGGGGAACTGATGTGAAAGTGACATAGGACATCCTGGCACATCATTTGAAACTTCATGTAAATCTGTAATTGTTTCTAAATAAAAAGTTAGAAAATGTATTAGCTATCTAGTCTGGGAATTATATTGTGTCATTGTGCTAATATTTTTCCCACCAAAGGAAGGAACCAAGGACCAGAGACACAAGCAATTTGTTACAAACAGTTACAGAGAAGTGAAATGAGAATGGAAGTAATTTCTTCTGAATCATATTACCATAGAGCAGCCTTAGTGTGAAGGGAGCTTAGAGTCAGGGCAGTTAACCACTGAACTTATCTGGGTTTGAATATGTGGTTTGCTATGGTTTATTTCCTGGTTCAACTTGACTCATCCATTCAGATTCAGAATAATAAACATTTAAACATTTAAAATAATAAGCATCTAAAATGATAAGCATTTCCTCCACACGTACTCTGTGCCAGGCATTGTGGAAGCCTCTCCCATATTGCTTTGAATGGGATTGCAACTAAAGCTTTCTAAATTCTAAGAGAAAGGCACAAAGGAAATTTACTACTGCCACTCTAATCCATTTAGTGCTCACTGTTTAAACATCTTTGTTTTCTCTTAATGAAATTAAAATGTGTGGAACAAATTGTGTAGGATGTAGTACCTCATCAGTGGGGAATTCTTTTGCCTCTACTAACCTGGAGCACTGGGAAAAGCACGGGAGTAGGGAACATAGTGGATAAGAAAAAGAGGGTTTATTTTCCTTTATACTCAGTTTACAGTAGTGATTCCAGCAGGATGCACTATTTTGTTCAGAAAAAGCTGATGCTAAGAAACTTGGAGCTGTGGCTGACGACCTTGGGACAGAGCTGAAGTTCTGTTGCATTCTCGGGGCAGTGTTCAGCTCCTGTAAATGTAGAAAGAACAGCCTGAATCAGGGTAACTCTGTATAGAGCTCAGTTCTGTAGGTATTTTTCTTCTCTTTTTTCTTTTCTTTTCTTCTCTTTTCTTTTCTTTTCCTTTCTTTCCCTCCCTCCTTCCCTCCCTCCCTCCCCTTCTTTCTTTCTCTCTTCTTTCTTAAGCACAGTGTGAGAAAATGTCTCTTTAGCTGATGTGAGTAAAGAGATCAAGTATCTTTGAAAAACTATGAAAGCTCTAGGAAAGGCTAAGGCTTCACATTCAGAATGTCACCTTGACAGGGAGCTTTAAAGGGAGATAGAAGAAGCATAGAGAGGAGGACAAGTAAAATTTCACAAATATACAATTTTTTTTTTTTTTTGAGACAGTCTCGCTCTGTCACCCAGGCTGGAGTGCAGTGGCGCGATCTTGGCTCACTGCAAGCTCTGCCTCCTGGGTTCACGCCATTCTCCTGGCTCAGCCTCCCGAGTAGCTGGGACTACAGGTGCCCGCCACCATGCCTGGCTAATTTTTTTGTATTTTTAGTAGAGACTGGGTTTCACTGTTAGCCAGGATAGTCTCGATCCCCTGACCTTGTGATCTGCCTGCCTCAGCCTCCCAAAGTGGTGGGATTACAGGCGTGAGCCACTGCGTCTGTCCTTACCTTTATACAATGTATAGAAATGTATAGGAGGCTTTAGGTAAGAGACTGGCAATTAGTTTTTTTAAATTGTTCCTTTTTTTTTTTGAGACAGACTCTCACTCTGTGTCCCGGACTGGAGTGCAGTGGCATGATCTTGGCTCACTGCAACCTCTGCCTCCCCGGTTCAAGTGATTCTCCTGCCTCAGCCTCCCTAGTAGCTGGGATTACAGGCATGTGCCACCATGCCCAGCTAATTTTTTGTATTTTTAGTAGAGACAGGGTTTCGTCATGTTAGCCAGGCTGGTCTCGAACTCCCAACGCCAGGTGATCTGCCCACCTCAGCCACCCAAAGTGCTGGGATTACAGGCGTGAGCCACCACACATGGCCTAAAAATTGTTCTTCTTATTTGAAAATGAGTTTATGAGGGACATTTTGTCAATCTGGCTTCAAAAAAGATGAATGAAATGAATGGTAAAAATTTGTTTAACGTGCTCGTTTCAGCAGCACATGCACTAAAATTAGACTGATACAGAGAAGATTAGCATGGCCCCTGTGCAAAGATGACACGCAAATTTCATTTTAAAAAAGCAAATAAATATTTGTTTAAAAATCATTTTTAATCATGTAAGTATTTCTCCATTTTTCAGACTGTTTCTCTTTTCATCATTTAAAACAATAAATAATAGGGCTGTCCTTATATACTTTCAGTTTCAGGAATGATAATTCTGAAGAAAAAAGTGAATGGTTCAATCACCGATACAAAAATTAACAAACATGATAGTGGCAAGCAACATCAGGTGGGTTTTGTTTATTAGCGATGTTTTCGCCATTTTTTTTTTATGTTTGTTTGTGGTTGAAAAGCCAGACACATTAATTTCCAAGGCTCATTGGCTGCTAAGAAAAATTGTCACTGTGGCCAGGCACAGTGGCTCATGCCTATAACCCCAGCACTTTGGGAGGCCAAGGCGGGCAGATCACCTGAGCCCAGGAGTTTGAGATCAGCCTGGGCAACATGGCAAAACCCCGTCTCTACGAAAAAATACCAAAATTAGCTGGGTGTGGTGGCGCCCACCTGTAGTCCCAACTACTCAGGGGGCTAAGGTGGGAGGACTGCCAGAGCCTAGGAGGTGGAGGTTGCAGTGAGCTGAGACTGCACCACTGCACTCCAGCCTGGGTGACACAGCAAGAGCCTGTCTCAAAAACAAACAAACAAAAACCCTTTCCTTATCATTTGGAAGAGGACTTATTCTTAAAAATGCAGGCCTTAGTACTTACATAGTTGGATGATGCTTTTAGGAAAATGACTTGGGACACTCCCCCTATATTTTACACATTTCAGTGGCAGAACAGGATAACAATTCAGACTTCCTGTGTGTCTGACCACGGACAACACACAGCTCTGCCATCCACGAGCTGCATTGTAAGTGAAGCTGGGTTAAAGGTATGTAGAATAATGATTGCTATTATTTGTTTAAATATTATTTCTTAGAAGAAGGGGACAGAGTGCAGTTTGTAAACACTGGTTTAAAAACTCCTTTCTTTTAGAAAGGAGAGAAAGTGAAATGTAAAAAACACATATTTGTGCTGAACCATGAATGATACCGTCACTGAAATATCTAAAAACCATATTGCTTAAAGGCACTTCTTGCAATGTGTAATTCAGCTAAGATGATAATCAAATGCATAGCTCTTGAATACAGAAAAATGATACAGATCCTCCTCCTTTGCTGCCCTTCCCACAGAATACTGAGATAAAACTTACTGAGGCCTAGCTACCAAAGGCAGAATTAGTTGTTCCATATCCTAGGCTAGCATTTGGTACATAGTCCCTATTTTATCATGATTACTGAGAACTGTTAAGTCTAACTCAACTGTGTAGATCAAGACAGTTTTGTCTTAGTGCATCCAGCGGCTGAAGCACAGTTGGCACGCTGTAGATTTTGTGTTGTTGCGGTGAGACCACCAGTTAGAATAAAGAGCTGATTTGGGCCGGGTTTGGTGGCTCACACCTGTAATCCTGGTGCTTTGGGAGACCAAGGCCAGAGGATTGCTTGAGGCCAGGAGTTCAAGACCCACCTGGGCAACACAGTAGAACCACGTCCCTAAAAAATTTTAAAAATAAATTGGCCAGGTGGAGTGGCCTGTGCCTTTAGTTCCAGTTACTTGGGAGGCTGAGATGGGAGGATCTCTTGAGGCCAGGAGTTCGAGGTTACAGTGAGTCATGATTGTGCCACTGCACTCCAGCCTGGGCTACGTAAGGCAAGACTGGCTCTAAAAAAAATTTGCTTTTTAATGAAAAAAAAAAAAAGAGCTGATTTGGCTCTTTCTTCCCCCATTTACCCAGAATTGCTAAAGTGGTAGATACTGACAAGGTATCTTAGCAGGGCAGAAGTCTCATGGTTTGAGTCAGTTGGGACCAATTGCTGTTGATGTGAATTTCTAACTCCTTTGTCATTCTGAGTGTGTCAGCTGAATTCACATAAGGGCATTCACCAAGGGAGGAAGAGAAAGGCCTTTAGTTTTAATTATTTTATAGTTGAGAAAATTAGACACATACTCGGGGTTACGGGGTCTATTCTGATTTTTATTACTCCTAGAAATTTCATACAGATTATAATCTGTCTATCTTGTTAGTAATATCTGACTGAATTTTTTGGAATAGCTATGTGTAGAACCCATTTTATTACACAGATTTAGGAATCTCAGAGGATCTGATTCCTTAGTCTCTTAAATCTTCAGTGGCATTAAATGCCAACACATTGTCCTTGGTCAAGACTACAACGTAGAAAGGAACAAGCTAATTAACTACTTAGAATTCCCTCTCCTAAGAGACCACATCGCCAAAGTGGCACCATGACACAGCTTGGTGTTTTGTTGGTCACTTTAGGAGAACACCATTTTGGAGGCCTTGGGTGGAGCTGGAGATAGAGCCATGGAGGTAGAATCGTGTCGGAAAACCTGGGTTTAGCCCCATTTTGTACTTGGGCGTTTGAGCTAATCGCTTAAGTCACGTAAAACAACAAGACTAATAAAGTCTGGGATACAGACTTTAACACCTCAAGTGCTGCCAAAAGTATTTAGAAGACAAAGCGAATCATAGGCACCCTTCACCGAGCACCTCCTAGACATCAAGAACCATGCTAGGTTCCCTACATTCTTCATTTAATGCCAATAACCCCACGAGGCAGTTATCACCTTCATTCTACAAATGGGCCCCACTCCTACCAATTAACTGGCTGAATCAGGATCTGACCCCGGGCCTGCCAACGCTCCCGCTGGTGGATTGCCCGCCTTGTCAGCTCGAGTTGGCAGGACGTGGGAGTAAAAACCCGGCGCCCCAGCCTTCACCGTGCTGCACGAGGAAGCTGGCTAGGCAGGCATGACTTTGTCAGTCAACCATCCCGCAGCCGGGCCCTGGGCTTTGTTAGCAGCCACTTGGCGAGGGCCCCGGGCGGGTGGGGAGGCGGCGCTTCCTCCAAGAGGAGGTGGGACCCCGGCCCCGACGACCTCGGAGCCGCCCCCGGCCCCGGATCGCCGACGACGTACGTGCAGGCCTGGGGATGGGGCGCTGGCTGCGAGCGGCGCGCCCGCCGAGATGGCTGCGGCTGGCAGGGCGGTGGGCGAGGCCGGTGACCCAATAAAGCGGCCGGGCCGCGGGAGGCCCCGCCCGGCCGGGTTCCGGCACTCGCCGCAGGGTCCCGGCCGGCGGCAGGTTGCGCGCCCCCGTCCGCAGCGCTCGGCGTGAGGGCGGCTCGGGAGGAGGGTGTGAGCGCGCGTCGCCGGGCCGGGACCCGGCAAGCAGCGGGAAAGGCGGGAGGCGGGAGCGCCGGTCGCCCGGGAGCCGCGCGGAGGGGCAGGCGGGGCGGGGCGGGGCGCGGCCGGGGGCCCGGGCGGCCGGGAGCCGCGCCGCCCGCGGCAGGCCCGGGCCCTCGGCCCGCCCCGCGCGCGCGCCCCCGCCAGCCCGGCCCTCCTCCTCCCCGCCGCCCCTCCCGCGCGCGTCCACCGGCTCCCCGGCTCGCGCCGCTCCATGTAGCCCCGGCTCCCCGGGCGGCCGCGGAGGAGGGGGCGACCACAAGATGGCGGGTACGTGGCCCCCTGTTCTCCGGGCGGCGGCGGCTCCTCGAGCCCACCCGCCCTCCGCCGCAGCCCTGAGTGGCTGCCGGGCCGGGGCCGGCGTGGGGTCCCGGCGCGGGAAGGCGCCCCCGGGGCGGGGGGGAGGCGGGCGGGGGGGGGGCGTCGCGCCGGGCCCCGGGGCGCTGACCGGGCCTTTCTTCTCTCCCCTCGGCGCAGACCTCTCGCTGCTTCAGGAGGACCTGCAGGAGGACGCAGACGGATGTGAGTGGCCCGGCCTCGCGGTGGCCTGGCAGTCCGCGGGGAGCGGCCGGGGAGGGCGGGCGGCGGCGAGGCCTGGGCCGGGCCCTGGCTGGCTGAGGGGACGGTGGGCGAGGGCGGCCCCAGGCGGGCTGGGGTGGCGATCGGGGGGGAAAATCTCGCGTCCGTGAGGAAACGGCGCGCCCAGGTTCCGCTGGGGGAGGGAGACGCCCGGAGTAACGCCCAAGTTCGCTTTCCGCCCTTCGCTCTCTTCTCCCGGCGCCCCCGAATCGCCTGCGGGCTCAGCAGTGGCGCGGCTGTTTTGGAAGGAGAAGCGGTGGGGCAGGATTTGAAGTGGGGTTTGGGTGTGTTTCTGCCCCTGGTGTCCCCTTCCCCCGTCACTCTAGGAAGGAAGAGGCTCGCGCGGGAGGTGTGTTTCCTTAGAGTCGCTCTTCCAGGAGCGCCCGGGGGTCAGCCTGGGCCCCGGCTAGCCGTCTGGGCTCCCCGACCCGGTTTTGGATTGTTTGAGGATGACATACCTGTCATTTTACTTTGGCTGGTAGCAGTTTTCAGATGCTCCCGATTTGATTAGTGGATTACGAGAAGGTTAGAAGGTGTGGCCTCCGCAGGAATTACTAGGTTTGGAGAGCATATTTCTTTAATGCGGATGTTCAGAAATCACCCAGCCCTCCTTCAGTGTTAACAGTGCAGCTTTCCTTTGAGGTACTGAAGTTTTTAAAGAGTTGACGCTTTTATTTTTAAAAAGACAAAGTTTCTGACATTTCCTGATGGCGACGGAATTGATATTTAGAAAGGAATTTTTCGTCTTATATGTACTTTTCTAAGCCTCAGAAAATAATTTGGGTCACGATAGAAAAGACAAAAGAGTTAAGCAGGTTTGTATTGAAAGAAGTGACAAATTGCAGTTAACTTAAAATAGTTTCTATTCTTGCTAATCTTCCAAAATAGCGACCCATCAAAAAATCAATAGGTTTTGAGATGCATTTTAAAAATGCAGAGTGTGCAAAATATATAAGCGAAGATCATGGGATACATAAGGGACCAAGAAATTGTTCTGAGTTGAGATGATAACCATAGTAGGATTGTGGTCTGTTTAGTGGAAAGCCTACCGGATGCTGAGATTGACTGTCTAGTACCTGTATAAGTAATTTCAGAGATGGCTGCAGTTTGAAATTACTCTTTTAAATACTCTGTAGTTAATCCTTAGCATTGTCTAATGTGGTTCCCTTACTCAGAGTAAACTTAATTTTTAGATTCCTGGTTGTTTTGAGTAAAGTAAGGGGGATTTACTATTTAGATGGATTATCTGAAACGAGTAATTTATCTTTAAAGTAAATGAACCACATCCAAACTTTTGCTAAGTCTGTGTTTTTAGTGAGGTGGCTCAAAACAGCTCTCTTAAAGGGAGCAGTACTCATGTAGTGAAGGGCAGCTTTAACATTTTATTTAATGTTTACCTTAAGCCACTTATCTGCCTAATAGTAAGTTTGAGATATTATTTAAGGCATCTGTTGATTTCAGATCTCTTGCCAGGTTAGGATTGGAGAAATGGCCCTGATTATGTTACCTCGAGGAGGGCTTTTTATATTTATGTTCGACTTCGTAAATAGAAGATTCATTTATTCAGCAAGTATTTATGACTGGAGCAAAAACTTCTCACTCCTGAAGGATGAAATGCAGTCTCAGTTTCTTCCTTAGCCCCCAAGAAGCACAGTGTAGAGGGGAAGGCATACCTGTGAAAAATTCAACCATGAGTTTCAACACTCTGCCAGGTACTGGGGATGGAGCTTTGAGAAAGATGGGCACAACCCATGCCCTCTAGTGGTTTACAAGCAGTTTTGAATCTAGGTGTACAGTACAGTATTACAGTTACCACTGGAGCCAGGCTGCTCTGTTTGTCTTAGCAGTGTCTTTTTGGGCAGACTTGGGCAACTCACTTAACCTCCCTATGCCTCAGTTTTGTCATTTGTAAGTAGGCATAAGAAATATTACCTACTTCATAGAGTTGTTCAAGGCTGTACATGAGTTAGTGCCTCTGAAGCACTTGGAACAATTCCTGGTAAACAGCGATGATTATGATTATGTTTGCTGTTATGAGAAAAGAGCAAGGGAAGCTTAAAAGAAGAGCAGAGAAGGAAACACTGATGTTGAACCTTACAGAATGAAGGTACTTAAAGATGCTGCCAATGCTCGCAACTAAATTTTTTTTTTTTTTGAGATGGAGTTTCACTCTTGTTGCCCAGGCTGGAGTGCAAAATGGCGCGATCTCGGCTCACCGCAACCTCTGCCTCCCGGGTTCAAGTGATTCTCCTGCCTCAGCCTCCCAAGTAACTGGGATTACAGGCGTGTGCCACCACGCCTGGCTAATTTTGTACTTTTAGTAGAGACGGGGTTTCTCCATGTTGATCAGGCTGGTCTCGAACTCCCGACCTCAGGTGATCCACCTGCCTTGGCCTCCCAAAGTGCTGGGATTACAGGCGTGAGCCACTGCGCCCGGCTGCAACTAACTTTTTAAAGATTCTGTTTCCTGTGCATTTTAATTTAGGATAAAACAGACATTGAAGGCACAATAGTTATTTGCATATTCATAATTTGGTTGAAGGCTTTGTTAGAGTAATTGCTTATTTTTCTCAGTTACTAAAGTTTTTACAGGTGATACCTTTACCCAGAATATTCAGGAACAAAGGACTTTTGGACATATGGCCAGTTGAAGGACCACTTCCCATCTCTTGTGAAGGGAGAAAGAATGAGGGGGAACACTGGGCCATGGTGCCTCCTTAGAGAGCAAGATGGTTGGTAAAGGACTGAGACAGCTGTCACATCCTGGAGAAGCTGGAGAAGGTAGAGGACCCAAAGGTAGAGGAACGGAGCTTGGGCTGCCCTTATAACACGGTTGTTATCTCGTGAGCCTGAGTTTCTCTGTCTATGGTAAAACTCCAGAGTATGGAGCCCAACCTCCAGAGTAGTTGTAAACAAGTCCTACTACTTCAGCCAAGCTAGGTGTAAGTTGGCCCTTGGGATGGGAAGAAATTGTTTTCTGGTCAAGCTCTAGAATCTTGGTTGACCTTCCTAAATGCAGAACCTGGACTATGAGGGAAGAGACAGTAAGTTCTGTTGTGCAGATGATCTAGGAAAGGACCTAGCTGGAGTCTAGGACTTGAAAGAGGGGCATTGCCAGACATTGCTAAGAGTCTCAGGTCTTTCGATTTGATTTGTTTTAATCCCGTCTCTGTACAGAGGCACAGAGTCGGGGAAAAGGTTGGTCAAAGACTGACTTGACTGATAACCTTTGGAGGAAAAAAAATCCTAATGAGGGAAAAATGGATGGTATTTGTGTGTGTGTGTGTGTGTGTGTGTGTGTACACATAATTTCATTGAAGGAGTTTCATTAGAACTTAAACTTTTATCAAGTAACTTATAAAGGTAAGTAAATGAAATCATTATCAGGTACTCTTAAATTTAGGAGAATAGGCTGGGTGCAGTGGCTCATGCCTGTAATCCCAGCACTTTGGGAGGCCGAGGTGGGCGGATCACGAGGTCAGGAGATCGAGACCATCCTGGCCAACATGGTGAAATGTCTACTGAAATACAAAAAAAAATTAACTGGGCGTGGTGGCGTGCACCTGTAGTCGCAGCTGCTCAGGAGGCTGAGGCAGGGGAGTTGCTTGAACCCAGGAGGTAGAGGTTGCAGTGAGCCAAGATTGTGCTACTGCACTCCAGCCTGGCGACAGAGCAAGACTCCGTCTCAAAAAAAAAAAGTTTAGGAGAATAATGCAATAAAAACCATATGTATTTAAGTTTAAAAGTGAAACTTTCAGTACTGTATCATGAAATACTTTGAATTTCAAATTGAAAGCAAACCAGTGACTCCATTTGAACATAGGTTATCTCAGCAGATTTCAGAGTTGGGTAAACCCTTTTTAACTTTTTATATTTAATTATGTTCCTTAAATAATGGGAGACAATACAAAATTGTAGATGTTTAGAAAAAATTATTTCAGATTTCTGTTTTAGTTTCCAAAGATGCAATTTTGATTCACATTTAAGTTGGTAGATTCCTAAAATGAAATGAGACTAAGATACGGTTAAGATTTGATGAGCCAATGCTTGTAAAAATAATTTCATTGAAGGAGTTTCATTAGAACTTAAGCTTTTATCAAAGTAATATGTTGAAGAATGTTATTTTTAAAGAATGGCTATGTAACGCTTAGTTTACAGTGCCTTTCATACACAGGTTATTCTTCACAGCAGTCCTGTGATGTGTAGGCTGTGGTATTCTAATACTAATAAGTAAGTTGACTAATGCCCAAAGGGACTAAAGAAACAAAACTCCTAAGTTTAGACGGAATTTTAAGCTAGGCCTTCTGATTCTAAATATCATATTTTGAATATTTTCTTAAATGGCCCAGTTTAAAATATTGATCAACCCAAACTTGTACAGGCAATTTCTTTGAACTCGTTCTTAAAGTACCCTTGAAAATTAATCTGGGATGCTGCATGTGGTTTAGTTTACACCTGGAGAATGATAGAGAGGATGGAGCTTGGGTATAAGACAGCTTATTTAGTCGTTAACTTTTATCTCAGCTGTAACTAAGTATGACGTTGAAAAGTTTTTGAAGCTATGTTATTGAGTATGCCATACAACAGACTTTTTTCATATTTAAGTTTTGGAATCCTTTTACATTATGCTGTTTTTCGGGTTTAAGGGCGGTGTTGAAGTAGAGTGAAGGATGGGTCCAGAACTAACTGAGGGTAACCGCCTAGACCGCACTCTGTGCAGAATCTTCAGGCCTTCCTACCATGTTTCAAAACCAGTTCTGATAAGCTTAGAGTCCTTGCTTCCGGTGGGAGGTGAGGAGCAAAATATTGGGGCTGTATCTGGTAGTGGCCAGGGAATCATTCAGAAACCTTTGGAAGGTGCCCTTGAACGTGAATCATATTTAGGAGTATTGTTAAATAGGGATTTGGGAGGGTGAGTCGTGAGACCTGGTAGCCTGTTTTGACTGCTGCCAACAAGCCTGGATGGAGAGATCTTTATTTAGAGATAATATCATTGATATCTTAGAAAAGAGTGCTTTTAAAATGGTTTCAGTGGTACCCACATGTGTGTTGGATCAATTAATGATACCTCTGCTAACAACTTCCCACATAAAATTGAAAGAGAGAGAGAGAGAGACAGAGAGAAAAACCCCTTTGTAAATATGCTTGGGCCTGTAGCTACACGATCCACTGCCCTCCCCCCTCCAAAAAATAAAAAACCAAGACACCTAAATGCATACTTTTTGTTTGTTCCTGCCTGTGAAAGATAAATAGACCTCAGGAGGTAAAGTTCAGAAGTCTGCTGCCACATTTGTTTGATCTCTGGTTTATTATTTCTGGTCCTTTTCTCTCAGTCTCCTCAAAACAATGAATGTATGTTTATTAAACTATTGTTACCTTGCTCCTATGTTTGTATTACATCTTTTTTTTATATTTTGGAGTAAAAGAATTTGAAAGTTCCTAAATTTGAATTAGAGTTGTGTTGTTGTTTTTAAATTGGAGCTGAGAATAAACCTAACTTAGTGTTTTGGGCAGAAGTCTGGATGGCACACCTATGGAATTTTGGCTGAGGAGGTATTCCCTCTAATTTCTATAAGAGGGTCTGGAACTTGCTCTGCTTTTAGCACAGATCTTTGAGCTGGTGACATCATCAATGCTGCTTCCTCCACATTCATTTCTTAACTCTCCTAACTTTTAAGTCATCTTAGCTTCTTATCTCCCTAGACTAAGGAGCAAACTTAACTTACTTTCTGGCCTTATTGATATGAATGTGGTTGGTATTTGAGCATCTATCATGCAGTCATTCTGGAAGATACCTCAGTATAGTTTTGTGTAGGGGAAAGAACACTGGGCTTGGTAAGCCTTTAGACCTGAGTTAATATTCTGGCCCTGCCATTTATTCTCTTTATAATCTGAGCAAGTTAACTTTTTCTCAGCTTTCTACCTTTAAAATGTTGATGGATTTTTGGATCATCTGCAGTTTTTTTGCTGTTACAAATAAAGCTGCTATGAACATTCACACACAAGTCTGTGTGAATATATATGTTCTTTCTCTTGGGTATACATCTAGAAGTAGAATGGCTGTTTAACTTTTTAAGAAACTGCCAGCCCGGTGCGGTGGCTTATGCCTGTAATCCCAGCACTTTGGGAGAACGAGGCGGGTGGATCACCCGAGATCAGGAGTTCAAGACCAGCCTGGCCAACATGGTGAAACCCCGTCTCTATTAAAAATACAAAGAATTAGCTGGGCGTGGTGGTGCATGCCTGTAATCCTAGCTACTCGGGAGGCTGAGGCAGGAGAATCACTTGAACCTGGGAGGCAGAGGTTGCAGTGAGCCGAGATTGCATCATTGCACTCCAGCCTGGGCAACGAGCGAAACTCCATCCAAAAAAAAAAAAAAAAAAAGAAAGAAAGAAAAACTGCCAAACTGTTTTCCAAAGTGGTTATATCATTTTCCATTCCCACCAAAAGTGTATGAGAGTTCCAGGTCCTCATCATCATTGTCAACACTTAGTGTGAGCAGTCTTAATTTTAGCCACTCTTATTAAATGTATAATAGTATTAATTTGTGGCTTGAATTTGCATTAATGGCTAATTATGTTACTCTTTTTATGTGCTCATTTGCCATCTAACTTATCTCCTTTGGTGAAGTGCCTTTTCACATCTTTTGCTCATCTTTTCATTGGGACATTTTCTTATTAAATTTTGAGAGTTCGTTATATATTACAGATACTTAAGACATATACAAAGGCAGATGGACCATCATGTCTCTACTACTCGGTTTTGACTTTCATTTATCCATGTTTCTGTTTTTGTTTTTTTTTTTTTGAGACAGGGTCTGGCTCTGTTGCCCAGGCTGGAGTGTAATGGCACTATCTTGGCTCACTGCAACGTCTGCTTCCCGGACTCAAGTAATCCTCCCACCTCAGCTTACCAAGTAGCTGGGACCACAGGCCTGCACCACCACGCCTGGCTAATTTTTTTGTATTTTTGGTAGAGATGGGGTTTTGCCATGTTGTCTAGGCTGGCCTTGAGCTCCTGAGCTCAAGCAATCCACCTGTCTTGGCCTCCCAAAGTGCTGGAATTACAGGTGTGAGCCACTGCACCCAGCCTGATGTAGATCACTTTTATATTTAAATCTATGAAATTCATTTTTGATAGAAATAACTCATTTATTCAATACTTCATTTATTTAAGATTGGTGGCAATTTGGACCTGAGTTAGTTCAAATTTTGTATTTGGATTACCTGTGGGAAAAAAGGTTACTACCAAAGTAATTGCGTTAAGAGTGCAAAGAAAATTTTTACTCACTGAAGGGAACAAATATCTATAATATTTGGGAGATCCACAAGTGTATGTCAGAGCAAGTGCTTTGTTATACTACCTTTCTGTTAAATACTGTTTGTATACATAATCTTGGTAACTAACTTGAAACTAGATAAACATGCCACTACTGTATTATATAAATAGAAATACATTATACATATGGTGTATATATATAAATATAAATACATATATGAATATACATATAGTATACTTCAGCAAATTATTCTTGCCTTAAATTCAGTTGTGCTATAGGACAATTTTGCATTTCTAAGGATTTAGTAAGCTTTTAGTATTGATATTTGAAGGAAGGGTTTCTGATAAACATTATTTATATTATTGCAAAGTACAAAATTAAAGTTTGACATACCTGTTGCTGGAGACTATAAAGATTATGTTGTATGGTCCCTGTAAAAGGCCAAATATTAAATAGTTTAGGTTTTGTGGACCATATGATCTTTGTTGCAGCTACTCAGATCTGCTGTTGTAAGGTAAAAGCAGCCATGACAATACAGAAATGAATGAAAGTAAGTGTCATCCAATAAAATTTTATTTACGAAAACAGAAGGTGGGCCAGTTTGGCTCGCTGGCTGTAGTTGGCCAACCCCTTCACTGTGCTATAAAATCCAAGGTCTGTAACATTTTTATTCTTGACTCATCACACAGTGTTCAGCAATACATCTCATCAGTGCTTAATGTAGAATAAGTATTGAATGAATCTTGATGTTTCACACCAAGCTAAATAAGACCGTAAACCTAATTTGGGGTCAAATAATGAAATTATTTTTAATTAAACTTGTTATTTTGAAAACTTTCAGACCTATACAAAAGCTGCACAGATATTGTAATGAATTCCCAACTCTTCACCTGAATTAAGCTGTTAACATTTTGCCAGTTTGCTCGTTACTTCTCTATACAGTTATGTACACACACACAATGTAATGTAATTTTTTGGTGTACCTTTGAAAATAGGTTGTGGTCATTGGGACCTTTAGCCTGTGTCTCCTAAGAACAAGGGCACTTTTACAATCATAGTAATGAAATTTGGGAAATTTAACATTGCTACAATCCTGTTATATAGTATGTAGTACATATTGAAATATCCCCAGTAATGTCCTTATGGCAACTGTCTTTTGCTGTAAGGACATTACTTACAAACTTACTAGTTTGGAACAATTTCTCAGCCTTTAGCATTCATGAAATTGACATTTTTGAAGAGTCCATTTGGTTTTATCTGTTTCCTCATGATTTGATTCAGGTTATTCTTTCCTTTTTTTTTTTTTTTTTTTTTTTTTTTTTGACAGGACTGCTACATAAGTGATAGTGTAGTTTTCTCAGTGCTTCAGATTAAGGAGCACCTGATAGCAGTGTCCATTACTGGTAGTGTGGAGGTGATGTCTATCAAATTGCTCCACTGTAAAGATTCTGTTTTTCCTATTGTAATTAGTAAGGAAATAGTTTGACAATGGGGAAATACCCTGTTTCCAAACATTTACCCATTTAGTGTTAGAATGTGTTGATGATTCTTGCCTGAATTAATTGCATTTACTAGCTGACATTCTGCTTTATAGAAGAGCCTGATCTTCCTCCCTATTCATTTGTTGGTATATTTATTTGTTAAAATATAATTTTAAAGCCCCAAATCTTTATAAGGTAACTCATTCTGTGGTGTATCTCATTGTCTTTCATTTTCTAAAATGTAAAGATGGGAAACAAAATGTGGCCGATTTATTGTGGCCTGAGCAGTATCTAGGGAAAAACTGAAGGGAAGGATAGACTATGAGCTTTTTTATGTTTTACGTTACATTATTAGAGATTATGTAGAGAATAGAAGGGTGTTTTGATCAATTTTGATAAAAGTTTGTACGAATTAAAAAGTTCTCTTTGGTGTGATACTTCTCAAGGTATTAATATGCTAATGTGCTTGTGAATATCTTAGAGAAGGATAAAGTATAGTAAACTCTTGACTTATCAATTATCCCTATGGACTACATTTTCATTAACAAATATTAATGAATGTGCCTCCATGAGAAGCATTGGACTCTGTTTTTTAGATAATGAAAAGTTTAGCAAGACAATCTTTAGGGAATTTATATATGTTGGGGAGGGAGAGGAGAAGGGAAGGTAGGAGAATATGAAAAAAAGGAAAAATACTTTGCAATTATTGGTGGAGTAAAAGCAAGGGCACCCAAGACGGCAGGGAATTAAAAGGAAGAACTCTTAATTAGAAAATAGAAAATGCCTCCTGGGTGTTGTTAGTAATAGGTAAATTTAAGCTGAGATGAGGTTAGAGAGGACAGAAATGGAACAGATGAAACCACATAAGACAGAAAAGTAGTGGGGCATGTTGCAGCAAATTGACTCCACATGGGCTGTGTACAGAGGAGGAAACTAGGTTGGGGCCAGATCCTGGACACCCTTGAATTACAGCATGAGAAAGAAAGTTGTACCTTAATTCAGACTGCCTGGGAGGCTTATCAGGGGGTGGAATGGTAGGGATTGGGAGGGAGGGCGTGCAAGGGCATCTATTGAACAGAGTGGGAAGATTGAAGTGGTGCTGATATATAAACTGGATTCGAATGAGGGGAGGCTGGGAGTAGATGGATCCAGGCAATTATGTTAATAACAGTCTAGGACCGTGGTCTTTAAACTTTATTACTGCATACCTACTAAAATAATTTTGAAAACTCTGTATCATGTATTTTAAAGTTGACATTCAAAATTTTCTCCATAAAATTTCCATATTTGCAAAGGATATATTTCTAATGTATTATAAATATCAGTGTTTTAAACATAGAGTTGTATCACTTTTTAAAATGGACTAAATACTATAGCACTTGGATACCCACTATTCATTTTTTAAGACTCACAAATATTCAGGCAAGACCGTGAGAGACAAATAAAACAAAAAAATTGTGAATAAATTCTTTAAATTGAGACTCTTGCATTTTTTTCTTTATCTCTTTTCATTTTCCACACAGAAATTTACCTTGATGTATTTTCATATTTTCATGCTTGAGAGTTGATTGCCCAGTCACATTTCTTTGCACCAAAAATAGGTAAAGAGAAATTTAAATTTTATGTCAGGCAAGGTGGCTCACACCTGTAATCCCAGCACTTTGGGAGGTTGAGGCAGGAGGATCCCTTGAGCCTAGGAGTTTGAGACCAGCCCTGGCAACATAGACCAGCAGCTCTACAAAAAATAAAGAAAATTACCTGGGCATGGTGGGTGGCACATGCACTTGTAGTCCCAACTAGGGAGGCTGAGTTGGGAGGACTGTGTGATCCTGGGAGGTCAAGGCTGCAGTGATCCATGATCACATGAGACTCTCTCTCAAAAATTAAAAAATAAAAAGAAATTAAAAATTTGAATTTCCCGTTAATATAAAACTTAAAGTTTTATTGAGTTTCCATTATTAATACTTGGTTGATCAACCAGAATATATTACAGATTGAAAAAACCTAGTAAATAACATTTTATCAAAAAGGCATCTCTTAATGAAATGGATGGGAATTTTACAAAATAATTATGTATTCATGGATAAATATAATCTATTGCTTAGAATGAGATAATACTTAACATCATTTCTACTTTTCATTTTAAGAGCTATAAGTGCTGAGAAACTTTGTTGCATAAATAAGTCAATGGGAATGGTAGATAGTGTATGTGCTGTCCTATTTATATTAAGACTACTAATTGGTTGAATGAAAACTATTAAAAACACATGGTTTCCCTACTTACTGGTTGAATGAAATGAGTGAAAACAAAAACAGTTGGAAACCACACACAGATATTCTGTATCTAGAAACAAACTGAAATGCAAAGTGGGAGGGAACATTTGCTTATTTGCCTAACACTGTTGCAGACATTTGCAGACATTATCACTGTGTCTTAAAAGTCTTAACCATTATTTTATAGATGAATATAATAAGTGACAAAATGGGATTTGAATCCAGATCTCTCTTACCTTAAAAATCTTCTGTTCTTTTCACACGGTTTTGCTATGACTATGTACAATTTTATGGTGGGCCCAACTTTTTTTTTGAGACAGTGTCTCAGTACGTCGCCCAGGTTGGAGTGCAGTGGCGCGATTTCAGCTCGCTGCAACTTCCTTCTCCTGGTTTGAAGCGATTCTCCTGTTTTAGCCCAGCTAATTTTTGTATTTTTAGAAGAGATGGGATTTCACCATGTTGGCCAGGATGGTGTCAAACTTCTGACCTCAGATGATCAGCCCACCTTGGCCTCCCAAAGTGCTGGGATTAAAGGTGTGAGTCACTGCGCATGGCTAAAGGAAAGGTGCAAGTTTTTTTTTTTTTTTTGAGACAGAGTCTTGCTCTGTCGCCCAGGCTGGAGTGCAGTGGCGCAATCTCGGCTCACTGCAAGCTCCGCCTCCCGGGTTCATGCCATTCTCCTGCCTCAGCCTCCCAAGTAGCTGGGACTACAGGCGCCCGCCACCACGCCCGGCTAATTTTTTTTTTTTTTTTTTTTTTTTTTTTTAGTAGAGATGGGGTTTCACCATGTTAACCAGGATGGTCTCAATCTCCTGACCTCATGATCCGCCTGCCTTGGCCTCCCAAAGTGTTGGGATTACAGGCGTGAGCCACCGCGCCTGGCCACAACTTTTAAACTATTACATTTTAGGCACTTTTTCTTAAATTTAAAAAAGCGAAAAATTGGAATTTCTCTTCTGCTACTTTGGATTTCTGTGTTAGATTCAGGGAACTGCAAGTAGTATAGAGAGAGGATACTTCTGGAGCTATGACAGTTGTTTTGTGCTGTTACATAATCTCACGTCTATACAAAAAGTCATTCAGTTCTATAGGTAACAAGGATTAATGTCATTGTTTTGTTGTTTCTTTCCCTTGTCATCTTCCTTCCTGATGTTCTCTTTATTTGTATTGTAACATATTTGATTCCTTTCATAATTTGGAACTAGAAGGTTATATTGAGCCTAGTTTATGTTTAGCAGCAGTTTTCAAAGGGTCTTAGAGATAAGATGAACTAAAGCTTTAAGTGTAGGGCCTTAGTTTATATCCTAGGTTTTCTCTTCCTATTAAGAATTCCATTCTTTTGGCCAGGCACGGTGGCTCACGCCGGTAATCCCAGCACTTTGGGAGGCCAGGGCGGGCGGATCACTTGAGACCAGGAGTTCAAGACCAACCTGGGCAACATGGTGAAACCCCGTCTCTTCTAAAAATACAAAAATTAGCCAGGTGTTGTGGCGCCTGCCTGTAATTCCAGCTGCTCAAGAGGCTGAGGCATAAGAATTGCTTGAACCTGGGAGGCGGAGGTTGCAGTGAGCTGAGATCACTTTTTAAAAAAATTATTTATTTATTTTGGAGACAGAGTCTCACTCTGTCACCCAGGCTGGAGTGCAGCAGTGCCATCTTGGCTCACTGCAACCTCTACTTCCCAGGTTCAAGTGATTCTTGTGATTCAGCCTCCCAAGTAGCTGGAATTTCAGGCACGTACCACCATGCCTGACTAATTTCTTTGTATTTTTAGTAGAGAAGGGGTTTTACCATGTTGGCCAGGCTGGTCTCGAACTCCTAACCTCTAAGTGATCTACCTGCCTCAGCCTCCCACAGTGCTGGGATTACAGGCATGAGCCACCGTTCCCGGCCAGTATATGCTTTTTTTTTTTTCCCCAAAAAAAAAAACAACAGTAACAATAACAACCTGGTTTGAACACTGTATTGCATGCTTTTTGGTCATTTAAAAAATTCAGATAACATTAAAAGGTGATGTATGGTTTTTTTACTTCATCAGTGAAAGAGGCTGGATTTTAAAAGCCATGGAACAGTATAGGGCTATTGCTGCTATTACAGTGTTCAAGAATCTGTAAACTTTAGTTATGCAGAGCTACATAAGAATTCAAGAGTCTTGAAGTACTAATGTCTCCATTTCTAGTAATACTCCTTGTCTTTGATCTATTTTGTCTCATAATAATATAGCCACTCCAGCTTTTTTTCTTTTTTCTTTTTTTGAGACATTCTCACTCTGTCACCCAGGCTGGAGTGCAGTGGAGCTATATCAGCTTACTGAAATGTCTGCCTCCCGTACTCAAGTGATCCCCCCACCTCAGGCTCCCAAGTAGCAGGGATCACAGGTGTGCACCACCACCCCCAGCTAATATTTTTGTATCTTTTATAGAGATGGGGTTTCACCATGTTGCCCAGGCTGGTCTCATCTCAAACTCCTGAGCTCCAGCAATCCACCTACCTCAGCCTCCCAAAGTGCTGGGATTATTGGCGTGAGCCACCACACCCGGCCTCCAGCTTTCTTATGCTTACTATTTTGTGTTATATCTTTTTAAAAAACTATTTTCAACCTAATGGTTGAAATTTTGTCTTTAAAAATGTATCTCTGGTAGTCAGACTATATTTCTGATAGTCTGATAATCTTTGCCTTTTAAATGAAATATTTTAGTCCATTTATATTTAATGTAATTATTGATCTAGTTGCATTTAGGTCTGTGATTCTGCTATTTATTTTCTGTTTGACTTATGGTTTTTTCCTCTGTTACTCCTTTCCAGACTTTATTTTGGGTTAGCTGAATATTTTTTAGTACTCAATTTTAGTTTCTCCATTATCTTTCTAGCTATACCTTCTAGTGTGTTTCAGAGATTACTCCTAGGATTGTAATTTTTTTTTTTTTTTTTTTTTTTGGGAAATAGAAGTGAACATTTGTCACCAGTGTCTGTACCAGAGTGGAACACTCCCTTTGTATGGAAGTGATTATCAATCATGATAGAGTGATAGCAAAACATTTGAAGCAGAATATGATTTTGTTACCTTCTAGGAGTAGGCTTCTTAAGTATGGTTGTATAACAGTCTGCATTTAAATTAGTGGGGTTATTCATTTAAAAATAAATGCTCCTGAGCCTTACTCCAGACTAACATAATCAGTATCTGAGTGTGGGATCTAGGTATCTGCATTTTAGGTAAGTGCCACAAGCTTGTCTTGAACATAATTATGTTTGACAGTCACAGCTGTAGGAGTTTTTTCCCACTGCCCTTTGCTTTTTATGGGCCAGAATCAATTTTATTGTTTATCTTTAAGATTAACAAGTATGAGACTGATGAAACAGTTTGGTCATAGTCATAGAATTCTACAGCCTTTATAAAGGTGCTTCAAGGTTATGCTAGCTTAACAGTCTTATAAAGGAGAAAACTGAGGCCAGATGAGAGTGGCTGAGTGGCTTTTACAGCTCTGATTTATAATTAATAAGGTATTTTGCTATGAATTGTAGACAGAATAAGCTGCAGTGTATAATTATGTTCATGGTTAGGTGTTGTTTGTAATCCAATTTGACAGTCTCTGCCTTTAGTTGGGCTATTTAGACCATTTGCAGTTAATGTAGTTACTGATATGGTTGTGTTTAAATCTCTTTATCTTGTTGTTTCTCATTTGTTGTCCCATCTCTTCCTTGTTCCCTTTATTCTCTTTTTCTGCCTTCTTTTAGATTACTTAGGTGGTGTACTGGCTTAGTAGTTATATGTCTTTGGTGTATGTGTGTTTCTTTTTAAATAATGATTGCTTTAGAGTTTATAATTAATATGCATTTTTACCTTTCCACAGTCTAACTTCAAGTAATATGTATCTCTTCACACACAGCGTAAGAGCTTTATAACAGTATACTTTACCCTTTTCCTGCCTTTGTGCTATTATAGTCATACATTATACTTCTACATATGTTGTGAACCCCACAATATATATTTATCCATTTATTTCTTAGTACGTATTTTTATTTAAGCAGTTATCTTAAAGATTTGAAAAATAAGAAATTTTTTATTTATCCCATATTAACCTTTTTTTTTTCTTTCTTTCTTTTTCTGGAGACAGGGTCTTGCTTTGTCTTCCAGACTGGGGTGCAGTGGTGCCATCTCAGGTCACTGCAGCTTTGACCTCCCAGGTTCAAGCAGTCTTCCTGCCTCAGCCCCTTAAGTAGCTGGGACTGCAGGTGCACGCCACCATGCCCAGCTAATTTTTGTATTTTTTTTTAGAGGCAAGGTTTTACTATATTGCCCAGGCTGATCTTGAACTCCTGAGCTCAAGTGATCCATCCGCCTCGGCCTCTCAAAGTGATAAGATTACAGGCGTGAGCCACTGTGCCTGGCCCCATATTAATTGTTTCTGATGTCCTTTATTCTTCTGTATAGATCCAGATTCTCATCTGGTGTAATTTTCCTTTTGCTGGAATGGTTTGCTTTATTATTTCCTATAGTGCATGTCTGCTGTTGATGATGTCAGTTTTTGTGTGGCTGAAAAAAATCTTTATTTCAGCTTCATATTTGAAAGATGTCTTGTTTCTTAGGTATGGAGTTGTAGGTATTTTTCTTTATGTACTTGAAAGATGTTAATGTCTTCTGGCTTGTATTTTAGATGGAAAAGTCTCCTATCATTCTTTTGTTTTTCTCTATGTAACATGAGTTTTTCTCCGGCTGCCTGAAAGTTTTTATCACTAGCTTTAAGCAATTTGATTATATTGTGCCTTGGTATACTTTTCTTCATGTTTCTTGCTCATGGGTTTCATTGAACCCCTTGAATCTGTCTGTAGATTGATAGTTTTTACCAAATTTGGGAAAATTTTGTCCATTATTTCTTCAAATATATTTTATATCTCCCATTCTTCTTTGGGGACTCCATTTGCACATATATTTGGATGCTTGGAGTTTTCCTACAATTGATTGATGCTTAATTCTCTTCCTCCCCCATATTTTTTCTGTTTCATTTAGGATATTTTTCTTACCCTTTTTCTTCAAGGTAACACATTTTTTCCTCTATAATGTTTAATCTGCTCTTGATCCCATCCCGTGTATTTTTCATATCTTTTTTTCATCTCTAAAAGATCAATTTAGGTCTTTCGTATCATCTTCCATCTCTGTTCTTAACATGCTCTTTTTTTCTGCCTTCTTAAATGTATGGAATATAGTTAAAATAACTTTCAATGTTCTTATCTGCTAATTCTATATTTTTTGTCCTGGGTCTGTTTCTGTTGTAGAATTTTTTGCCTCATGGTTTGTATTTTCCTGCCTTTTGTGTGCCTAGTAATTTTTTATTGGATGCTAGACATTGTAGAGTTTACCTTGTTGAGTGCTAGCTATTTTTATATTCATTTACATACTCGAGTTTTGTTCTGTGACACAGTTTCTTGGAGATAGTTTGTTTCTTTTGAAGCCTGTTAAGCTTTGTTAGGCAAAACCAGGAGAATTATTTGCCACTTCTTAGGCGTTTTGCCTCATTTATTTTAGAATTTTTAAAATTTTTGTTGTTGGAGACATAAACTAGTCCTTGTCCTTTGTGATAATCGAGGATTCGTTCACTTGATCGTTTCAGGTAATTATTTTTCCCAGAATACCGACTAGTTTCCTCACACACATAAACTGTTTCAATACTCACCTAAAGACTCAAAGGGACTTTCTGCAGCTTTCTAAAGTTCTTTCTCTGTGAAGGTCCCTCCTCTCTGATACTCTCCCTCTGCCAATTCTAGCTGCCTTGGCCTCCCTGAATTCTCAACTCTGTCTCCTCAACTCCAGGAGTCTGCTGGGATTATATTTGGACCCTCCTAGTGCTCTGGAAATTATTTCCAGGAAGTTAGCTGGAGGAATATAGGGCTCATTTCATTTGTCCTCTCTTTCTCAGAGATCACTGTCCAGTACTGTCTTTTGTCCAGTGTCTGAAACCATGGCTTCGTATGTTTTATCTTTTTTTTAAGAGATGGGGGTCTCACTGTGTTTCTCAGGGGCTAGAGTGCAGTGGCTATTCACAAATGCAGTTATAGAAGAGTACACCCTCGACCTCCCGTGCTCAAACAGTCCTCCTGCTTCAGCCTCCTAAGTAGCTGGGACTACAGACACTATCAGCATGCCTGGCTCTGTCATTTTATTTATTTATTTACCATTTAAGGTGTGAGGGTTAAGTTGGTTCCTGTTAATCCATCCTTTGTCAAAAGTGGAAGATCATGTTTAAGTGTTCTTTAAGTACAGAAGTTATTTTTATTTTAACAAAAGGAACTGTTGTGTTCTCTTTTTGATAATGTTCTGTTGGGAGTAAAAATGTTATCTGTTTAAAGTAGTCAGTTCTGTAAGATGGGCCCATGGTATATACACATTTACTTTAAAAACAAGCATTTTAAAATGCCCTAACAGCAATAACAGTTCATCAGGAAATGATGAATCTTTTCTGTCTCTCATATAGCAACATTTGGGAGGAGTTTCTTAGGTGGTTTTCTTTTTCTCTCTTAAGAGCTAAAGGAGCAACGACAAAATCTCATTGTGAGTGATGAACAGATTTATTTGTTTCAAAAATACTTAAATGCTTACTTTGTGCCTGGAAATATCCTGGAGATGAAGCAGTGTATGGGATAAAAATTTCTGTCCTCATGGAGCCAATAACTTACTCTAGAGAGACAGACTATAAGTAAAACAACTAATACGTACCAGATGTTGACAGGCACTATTGAGAAAGTAAATCAAGTAATGCAGGGGATAGAATAGGAAGTGCCAGGAAATAATAATAAAAATTTCTTGGAAAGCTCTTAGGGCTTTGGGAAAGGCCCTGATTTACCTCTGGATCGCATCCTTTCCAACCCCATGGTGTTTCCATCAGTAATATTTTCTTATTGCTAAAACTTCAATTTATATTTATTTGTTGACTGTTTACTTTCATTATATAACCATGTGCAACTCTGTCTTCTTTTAAACATTAGGAACAGAACAAAATAAATAATCTTTATTTTGCTTGAATGCCCTGGCTAGTAATCTAATCCAGTTTACTATATCACAGCCACAGTTCTGGAAAGTATATTTTGTATTCATTGTCTTCACTTTATTATATTTTCCTTTACCTCTTCAGTCAGGTTTGGCTTCTCGGCTTTCATGCAATGGAAAATTGCCCTTGTCACACAGCATGGCACAAAAGTACCAAATTCAGTGGGCACCTTTCAGTTCTTCCTTGACTCCTTTGGTAGTAGATGCTGTTTAATCATACTTTCACTCATTGCTTGGTTCCTTTGAAATAATTACCTTTTGGTTAGTTTTTAGCCATTCTTTCTTGGTCTTCTCTTCCTTCTCCTGCAGCTTGAATGGGTGTCTGGCCTTTTAGTTTGTATTAATACATACTTTTATTACAATGATCATTTTAAAGTAGATTGTTTTCTGTAGAATATTAGCTCTTTGAAGTCAGAAACATTAGTATTTTCATTGTTGTTTCTCCAGCATCTACCCTAGTACTTGGCACAAATGTATTTAATAAATATTTGTTTAATGAATGTAAATATATTAATGTTTTTAGCTTTCTTCTATTAAGTGAAGTTAGATACCAGTTTCATTAGCTTTATCTTCCACATTGCAGGACTAACTATATTGGTGCTTGACTTTTTGTGTGCCTATTCACAAGTTGTTAGTGTCTTGATTGAACATGTTCTCAAGACTGGTCACTTTCCTGCATACTGAGTTTCTGTAGCCTCTGACCTTTGTGCTTTTAGAGCCAAGTAGAACTTTGTGCTTATAGAGCCAAGTAGAACATATCTGTAGGAAAAGGAGAGGAGGTATCTTTTAGTTATTTGTGGCTTCTGGATTGATTCTGAGAGTCTCTTGTGATTTTTTTTTTGTACCATTCCAGAAACAGATTTGTACTGCTTCAGACAGGCAAGGGGTACATTTTAGTTTCAAAGTGTTATAAGGAGTATTTCTGATGTCTCTGATAGTTGGTGTGGATGACTACAGCTCAGAGTCTGATGTGATTATTATACCTTCAGCCCTGGACTTTGTCTCACAAGATGAAATGTTGACGCCCCTGGGGAGATTGGACAAGTATGCTGCAAGTGAGAACATATTTAACAGGTATGTGCATATTCTTTTTGTTAAAGTGGAAGTGGAAGGGTGGTTTTATTAACTTCAGTAGGGAAAATGAAAGTATCCACTTTAAAGGAGGTATTATTAACAGGCACAATCTGAGTCACCAAGTTTTATTCATAATCACAGCATGAGCAGTTTTGTACTTGTTTATTCTTTGATCCTAGTAAGCATACAACATGCTTTCTTTGCAAAAAAAAAAATTACCATTAATTACCATTGCTTTTCTGCCACTGGACATAATTTTGGTATTCATATAAATTGCTTATTGGGAAGTACATTATTCCTTCAACACATGATGTTGTATACCTGCTGTATGACGGGTGATGCTCAAGATCATTGGGTCACACAGCAGTGACCAAGAGCCAGCACTCTTCCTACTGCATTGTGTTTGTCCAGCCATGATCCCAGACCACCTATATCACACTTTTCTGGGAAATCAAAAAGTCTTGGTTCAGATTTTTTGGGTATAGCTATGCAAAACTCATACTACTAAAAATATGTAAGGGTAACATTTTGTATAATGAATGAGTGTGTTTTTTCATTGTGATAATTGAAGGACAACTGAAATGAATTTTTGGTGACTTTTTACCAAATCAGTTAGATAAAGATTAAAAAAAAATGTTGTAAATATTCAGTCTCATCTTGTTAAAATAAAATCAATACTGCCGTTTGCCACTTAGGAAATTATAGACCTAATATATGTTTTAATAATGTAATAAGAAAAAATTTTCTTAAAAAATATACAGATTTTGTCTTTTAAAATTCTAGATATCGGCCAGGTGCAGTGACTCATGCCTGTAATCCCAGCACTTTGGGAGGCCAAGGCAGGTGGATTGCTTGAGCCCGGGAGTTTGAGACCAGCCTGGGCAACATGGTGAAACAGCATCTCTACTAAAGATATTTAAAAATTAGCCAGGTGTGGTGGTGCATGCCTGTAGTCTCAGCTACTCAGGAGGCTGAGGTGGGAGGATTACCTGAGCCAGGGAAGTCAATGCTGCAGTTAGCCGTGATCACACCATTACACTCCGGCCTGGGCAACAGGAATGAGGCCCTGTCTCAAAAAATTAAAATTCTGGATATTAGCTATTGATGCCATTGAACATACATAATTTTGTTTTTTTTGTGTAGACAAATGGTGGCCCGGAGTTTGCTCGATACCTTGAGGGAAGTCTGCGATGATGAAAGAGATTGTATTGCTGTTTTGGAAAGAATTAGCAGATTGGCCGATGATTCAGGTATATGTGGAGAAAGTGAATTTACTCTATTCTAGAAAGGCTTCTTTGATCAAATTTGTGTTTCTAAAAACTAATGAACAAGTTAATGTGATATGAGATAGCTTTAAAATATTTCCTAAGTAATTATCAAACCCATCAGTGACAACAAAAGTAAAATTTGTTACTGAGACCTGGACATTTTACAGTGGGCTCATTTAGTTTAATTTTAGAAATTTCTCATCAAAACAAATCTAAAAACATTGTTTTGCATCATGTATAGTAATATTTTAGGATTAATAAAAATATATAGAATAATTTTGAATACATTAAAAGAGATGGAGGAGGCTGTAAATTATTTTAGGCAACTATAGAAAGCTTGCTTTCTGTGTGGTTTCTCACTTGCAAAAAAATGTTGATTAACCATTTGTAAAACTAAAGCTGGTTTATCTCCAAAGTGAAGATAAGAAAGTCTGCTTAAGAAAGAGGTAAACTTGATTTAAGGCTTAGAAAATGGTGATGTTAAAGTTTTTATAAATATATCTTTTGTTGTAGTAAAATATACTTAAAACTTAACACATAAAACTATTTTAAGGTAATATTAAACATATTTTTATACTTGATTTTAGAAACCATCCAAAAATCTTAAAACTTTTTCCCTTAAATCTATTATCTTTATTAAAGTATATTTTCTACCTCTGACAGACTTTTTGGCATCTCAGCAAGCCCTATTTTTTAATTTTTAGACAAGCTCATCTTTTGATGAACAGTTCATTTTAATGGGAATGTGTTAAATGTTTACATAAGCCTTAAATGTTTCTAATATTCTTACAGGGTGGGCAGAACATTTGTAGGCTTAACTGAGCAATAATCTACCTTTGTGTACATAATTGCTTATGTATGTGCTTGTTCTAGAATGGTTTTAGGAGGGGTCTCATCAAGCATAATTTTTACTTATTTTTTTAATTTGATTTAAGTTAAATAACAATTTAACATAAATTCATGGCACTGTTATAGCCTATTATGGTTATGTTCTTTAGTAGAGACAGATACTCTTTAAGGATAGATTTGTGTTTTCCTTTACCTGTTTACCAGCTCCAGAGTTTTTTTTTTTTTTGTAAGTGTGTGTGTGTGTATTTTAAAATATGTTCTCACATTGGTAAATTCATAGTAAATGTCTCTATTGACATAATTCCATTCATTCAGTATACATCAAACAGTACATACTCTATACCAGGTTCTAGATTAAATGCTAGAGCAGTTATTAAGGTGAACAAGGATTTGTGTCATCAAGTTAACAGTTTAGTGAATGCAGCCAACATATAAACAATAAATTATAATGGGAAGGATCGGGGCAGGCTTCAGAAAGTTAGTGACATTTAAGTTGGATTTGATAGATGAGGTATAGAGAGGGAAAAGGGCATACCCAGGAGGGGAAAAGATAGAGAAAGGAGTTCAAGATGGTGGCCCCTTTGGTCAACAATGAGGCCAACCTGACAATGAGACTAACCTGCTGAGTTTCCAGGTTAGAAAAATTAGGCTGTTAAGTAAGTTAGGTGAGGGCTAGATTGTAAAGGTTTATAATAAACCATGCTGATGACTTTACCTTTTTGTGATTTAGAACAGTGTAGTGTAGCAGTATGAACTGATATGGTGAAAAAGATGGGTGACAAGAAGACTTGATTGGAAGACTATACCAATTAATTGGGTGTTTTTGTTTTTGAGACAGAGTCTCGCTCTGTTGCCCAAGCTAGAGCAGAGTGGCGTGATATCCACTCACTGCAACCACCCCTGCCTCCCAGGTTCAAGCAATTCTCCTGCCTCAGCCTCTCGAATAACTGGGATTACAGGCATGTGCCACTACACCCAGTTAATTTTTGTATTTTTAGTAGAGAAGGGGTTTCACCATGTTGGCCAGGCTGGTCTGGAACTTCTGGCCTCAAGTGATCCACCTGCCTCAAGCTCCCAAAGTGCTGAGATTACAGGCATGAGCCACCGTGACCAGCCAGTTAATTGTTATAAGGATGAATTGTTGGATAGAAATTGAAGTACTAGGAGGGATTCCAAGGCTAACCTCTGGATAGAGTGAGGAAGAGAGAGGATTTGACCCTGAGGTTTCTAATTTTTAGGACTGGGCTTATTGTGATAGCTGGGTAAGATAAAGACTATTGAATAATAACATAGCTCTGAAGTGAATGAAATATGTATCCTTAGTTTAGACAAATAAGCAGCTGAGAACCTTTCGGTCTTCTGCCTTACCTTTCATTAGCTTTTATCTTGATTTTTTTATTCCCCAAAATTTACCATCTGCTTTTATTTTCCCCCGGAATGGATGGATGTATAGTGGTATCTCATTGTGGTTGTAATTTGCATTTCCTCAGTAACCAGTGAAGTTCATACCTGGTTATACACTTACTGGCTATTTGGGTATCTTTTTTTTTTTTGGAGATGGAGTCTCACTCTGTCACCCAGGCTGGAGTGTGGTGGCATGACCTTGGCTCACTACAACCTTCTTCTCCTGGGTTCAAGTGATTCTTCTGCCTCAGCCTCTCGAGTGGTGGGATTACAGGCATGCACCACCATGCCTGCCTAATTTTTGTATTTTTAGTAGAGATGGGATTTCTCCGTGTTGGCCAGGCTGGTCTTGAACTTCTGACCTCAAGTGATCCACCTGACTCAGCCTCCCAAAGTGCTGGTATTACAGACATGAGCCACCATGCCTGGCTTCTTCTTTTTTGAAATGTCTAAGTCTCTTCCCCCTTTAAAAAATTGGTAGTCATTTTCTTACAGATTTACAGGAATTCATTCTGCATATGAGCCGTATGTCATTTATGTGTATTAAAGATATCTTTTTCACTCTGTGGCTTCTCTTTGCACTCCGTGATGCTTCTTGCAGAAGAGAAGTGTTTTTCCTTTATGGGTCATGCCGTTTGTGTCTTCTTTGAGATTTTTTCCAATCTCAAAGTCATAAATATCTTTTCCTGTATTCTCTAACACAGAGAAGCCTTATTGTTTTTTGCCTTGACATTCAGATCTGTATTCCACCTGGAATTTATTCATGTGCGTGATACAAAGTGGAGGACAAGTTTCATTTTTTTTTTTAATGTGAGTAGCCAGTTGACACAACTGGGAAGACCATCTTTCCCAGTTCACCTTTTAATAAATCGGTTGTCTGTACATGCATGCGTCTGTTTCTGGGCTTTATTCCCCTGCCCCGCCCCATTAGTCTATTTGCCTAAGCGGGGCTTTGAAGAAAGAAAAGTTGCTGATTTCATTTTTAACTGAAACCATAACTTGTGTCCTCCTTTTGCTTCAAAAATATAAGCAATTGTCAGTGTTAACTTAGAAAATTCAGCATCCATGAGAAAAGCAGAGGCCTGTATGTTTACTTTTTTAAAAATTAGGTTTTTCTTCAAAACAGAAACACTCTATTTTGTTCATATCTGGCCAACTTCACATGGTACAACAGTATAATAGAAATTCCAGATATTGGTTTGTTGATAAGATTCTGAGCTTTGTAAAATACAGTATTATCTACTTAAAGGTATGTTAATTTCTCTGTTGATATCTGAAATCCTAGTAGACACATTCATACATATTTACTTTAATGTAGCTTTATTAATGCATAATAATAATGGGTATCAGAGTTCTAGTTAGGTCCGATACAATGACTTGTTACTGATAATCCATCATGTCTGTCTGTATTTCAGTCACTTGCATGTCTTCTATGAATTGCCTACTTGTATCCTTATTTTCTTTCTTATTATTTATTTGAACAGTGTGTTCACTTCCTAATACTCTGTTATACATGAATTTGCTCCCAGGCTGTTTTCCCTTTTAACTGAGTATTGGTATCTGTTATCTATAATAAAGTTTTTTTGTTTGTTTGTTTTTGAGACAGAGTCTTGCTCTGTTGCCCAGGGTGGAGTGCAGTGGCGCGATCTTGGCTCACTGCAACCTCCACCTCCCGTGTTCAAGTGATTCTACTGTCTCAGCCTCTGGAGTAGCTGGGATTACAGGCATGCACCACCACACCTGGCTCATTTTTGTATTTTTAGTAGAGACAGGGTTCACCATGTTGGCCAGGCTGGTCTGGAACTCCTGACCTCAAGTGATCTGCCCGCCTTGGCCTCTCAAAGTGCTGGGATTACAGGCACACCCAGCCTATAATAAAGTTTTTATAATGTATAATTAGTTGGTCTTACGGTTGATTTTTGGATTTTGTCTTCCCACCTCAAGATTGAACATTTAATATTATCTTTTAGTACTTTTGATCTTTATGATGTGCAGTAGGAACTTTTGTTCCGTGCTAACTAGCTGATTTTCCTACTGTTGCTTCTTAGACATTTCATCTTTTTGAAGCCCAGAAATTTGAAATGCCATATTTCTCACATTTAAATTTGCCATATGCACTTGGGTCTTTTCAGGTGTTTAAAAAATATTTGTCATCTTTAATTTTCATTTACCCATTTTTAGTCTTAGTTAAGTCTAATTATATATCTTTCATTTATTGACTAAGTTGAGATTAGGAACTAGTTTTTATGACTTGTCCTAGTAGGTTCTTAAATAGTGGAATTTATGGATAATACTATGTATGTGTCAGAGTATTGATGTAAATATCAGATAGGATATTTAACCCCTAGCACAGTGTGGCACAGTGTAGGTGATGAATAAATTTATTTATTGTTAAGAAATGGTTAGATACTCAGTGCATACTGTGAACAACAGAAGCTTGGATTGAAGATAAGGTCCTCCTTTCACTCATGGGATTGATCTGTGTATGATTCTGAAAAGGAATGCAGAATTAAAGGATGTTGTCTCAAGTCCTTTATATTTTGAAGATGAAAGTCCATAGCCTTCCTAAGTACCCTCAAGAACAGATAAAGGTTTTGTTGCTGCAGGAGAACATGTTTGCTCACATTGCCGTTATTTCAATAGAACCAACTGTGAGAGCGGAGCTGATGGAACAGGTGCCTCACATCGCACTGTTTTGTCAAGAAAACCGGCCTTCAATACCATATGCTTTTTCAAAATTCTTACTACCTATTGTGGTTAGATACCTTGCAGATCAGAATAATCAGGTAAGAGTACCATTTATATGTTCTTAAAAGAAATTTACGTAGTGTAATATATGGAGAATAGCCGAGCCTAAGTGTTCTCTTTGGAATGTTTTACTGTTTTTCAAAAATGAATATTTATCTTAGACAAGATGTGTTTAGAGTCTGACAAATCTAGTAGATCCCTTTAATGCCATTATGGACAATGCCTAGTAACTGCACTCTCACTTGGTAACCTCCTAGCGGTCCCTTAAAAGGTTTGTTACTTTGTGAGGCATCTTTTACCAGGATGGCTCTGTCCACTTCCTCTGTTACAGCACAATCTACGAAGTTCTGTAGTCTTTGTAATAGTTGAAGAAAATAAACACAAATATTTATTTGCGGAGTTTTGCCAGTTATGGGTCCCTTTGAGATGAGAAATCTTTGTTTATAAAAATCAAGTGATAGAATTTTGTCATGTTGCATATGTACTTTCTTTGTGTTGTTATTTTTCTCCTAGGTGAGGAAAACAAGTCAGGCAGCTTTGCTGGCTCTGTTGGAGCAGGAGCTCATTGAACGATTTGATGTGGAGACCAAAGTGTGCCCTGTCCTCATAGAGCTGACAGCCCCAGATAGCAATGATGATGTGAAAACAGAAGCTGTGGCTGTAAGTCAAATGCCATTTTTCCACTTATGCAAAATGTGGCTGATAAGAGGTGCTTATTAAAAGTCAGGCCGGGGTTAGGCACGGTGGCTCATGCCTGTAATTCCAGCACTTTGGGAGGCCGAGGTGGGTGGATCACTTGAGGTCAGGAGTTGGAGACCAGCCTGGGCAATATGGTGACACCTGGCTCTGCCAAAAAAATACAAAAATTAGCCAGGCATGGTGGTGTGCGCCTGTAGTCCCTGTTACTTGGGAGGCTGAGGCAGGAGAATCACTTGAACCTGGGAGGAGGTGGAGGTTGTAGTGAGCCAAGATCAGGCCACTGCACTTCAGCCTGGGCGACAGAGCAAGACTCCGCCTCAAGGAAAAAAAAAAAAATTAGGCTGGGCTGGGTGCAGTGGCTCATGCCTGTAATCCCAGCACTTTGGGAGGCCAAGGTGGGAGGATCACTTGAGACCAGGGGTTTGAGATCAGCCTGGCCAACATGGCAAAACCCCATCTCTACTAAAAATACAAAAAAAATTAGCCAGGTGTGGTGGCACATGCTTGTAATCCCAGCTACTCTGGAGGCTGAGGCACGAGAATCATTTGAACCTGGGAGACAGAGGTTACAGTGAGCCGAGGTCATTCCACTGCATTCCAGCCAGGTTGACAGAACAAGACTCTGTCTTAAAAAAACAAAACAAAAAAAAAAAAAGAAAGAAAGAAAGAAAGAAAAGGCTGCTTTCTGTTAAAGTTGCCACAAATCATTAAATTTGAAATACAATCAGGGCTAGAAAGGGACATAAAGGCTTACAAAGGAAAGTGTACCTTCTGCACACAATACGAAAAAATACATAATTGTAAATTATTATGTCAAAGTGGAAAACTGAAATGGTTATTTTATCAGTGCAGTTAAAATTTTAAAAACCCTGGACTGAACGAAGAAACACTTGAACCCCTTCAGTAGGTATTGAACACTTTTCTAGGCACTGTGTAAGCACAGTGGAAATAAAATAATACTTTGCTCCTGCTCTGACAGGTATGGTCTTTGTGGGAAGGATGGTCAGGCAAGTACATTTCCCAGGATATATGACATCAGTGATGGTTATCAGAAGAATATACAGATTGTTAAGTCATTACGCACATCATAAAGTCAAATGTAATAGGAAGTTTCTGGGTTTTTTTTTGACATGGTTTGCAAATATTCTGATTACTTGAAGGCCATGATAGGGCATGAATTAGTATAGAGTAGTATCTGTTGTGATTCACATCTGGTTCCTGAGTTCGGATAGTAGTAATTCTCATGGTAAATTAGAAAAGTGATAAATTCGTCTGGAAATTTATTCATATCTATTTGGATAGTAAGAGTTCACTCCTTAAGCCTAAAATAATATGGTTGCGTCTTTGTTGATATTTTTTAATAATCACACTATATTTAGTGCTTCTGGATCATCAGTAATGGGATGAATTAGATGATCTCTCTAGTCTCTTTCCCTTGAAGAATTTCTTGAATCTATTATTTTTAGATACTCAGTTACCAGTTAATAATAAATTTACTTTTTCAGTAATGTTTTTACTGAAGTGAACCTTACATGACATAAAATCATTTTAGTGTTAGTGGCATTTAATATGTTCACAAAGTTGTATAACCACCACTTCTTCCTAGTTCCAAAACATCATTATTTCTTTTTTCACTTTAGGATTTTTGCAATGAAGGAAATCAGTTTTGGGCTTGGCCTAATTTTTGGTTTATATTGAGCCGTTTAACTTGCTGTATTATAATTCTCGATGCAATGTAAAATTAGTAAAACATTACAATAAAAAATTTAAAAACTATATCCAGTGCTAGTAGGAGTCTTATGATTCTCTTACAGTTGTGTTTGTTTTTTGGTCATGTTTTATATTCCATGGCTCCCATATTTTCTCTATCTTAATAGATAGAGAAATAATAATTATTTCTTAATAAAAATTAATTTCTTAATAAAAATAATTCATTTTTAAATAAATTTAGTTATGCTACATCAGTGATATACAGCATAACTTTGGATTGTTAACTAGAGCATGGAGATGCTTATTCAAAAAACAAAACTGGTTTTGGGATTTAGGAGATGTAGGCGTTATCTCTAGTTCTGATGATGGTGGGATTTTCATGGGGATAGTGTTGAATCTGTAGATCAATTTGGAGACAATTGCCAGTTTCACAGTCTATGAACATGGTAGATCTATTTATTTAGGTCTTTGATTTATATCTTTAATCTTTTGTAGTTTTCAGCAGAAAGTTCTTGTGTGTATTTTGTTCGATTTCATATTTTTTAAAAGTACTTCTGTGAGTGATACTGTTCTTAAATGTTTCCAGTTCATTGTTCATTGCTAATTTGTAGAAATACAATAGATTTTTATATTCTAATTTATAGCCTACAACCTTCCTAAACATACTTATTCTGGTGGCTTCTTTGTAGATTCCTTCTGATTTTCTGTGTAGACAACCATGTCGTATTTGAATAGAGAGAATTTTCTTTCTTTGCAATCTGTATCTCTTTTACTTCTTTATTTTGTCCTGTTTGTACAGTCTAGCAATTGATACAATTGATAAATGACAACAGGCTATCCCATTTCTTTCTGTATTAACTGTGGGAACAATGTATCTAAATAGAGGGCCAGTTTTCAAATAAAGTTAATCCTCACTTTGCCTCCTATTGTGTTAACTGAAACATGCCTATATCAGAACTGTGTTCATGCTTTCCCTGGAACTGAAGCTTTGCAAAACCAGGACATGGTTCTGATATGTATGAGCTTTAGTTCACAGGGTGCTTTGCAAGGCGAGGACTGAATTTTTTCTTAGCAATACAGATATGCTAAATCTAGATCTTTCCTGGGGATAGTTTTCCCTTTGAACAGTCACCAATTTTTTAAATTGGGAAAATGTAGGTTTTTGTTTGTTTGTTTGTTTTGCTTTTAAAATTACCAGGCAAAATGATGAAGTAGTAGTAAGATGGAAACTGTGGACAAAAATGAAATTGTTAGGATTTTCTGTGGGTTTACTGGGCATGCAGTATTTATTGGTTGTTTTTATTGATTGTGGTTAATATCTGTCTTTGTTTCCTACTTAGATAAATAAGATGAAATTAATAATTGGCTATGAATGTTTTCTGTCATGTATATAGTATAATGATGCCATATCATATTTTATGTTTCCTCAAATTATATACTTTTATTATTTAATTTAACTGAAAGAGGCTTACTTGATATTTTCAGTGTGTGTTTGTTCTTACTTATTTTAGATAATGTGCAAAATGGCTCCCATGGTTGGGAAGGATATTACAGAGCGTCTTATCCTCCCTAGGTTTTGTGAGATGTGCTGCGATTGCAGAATGTTTCACGTTCGAAAGGTATTTTTTTGTCGTTTTTTTTCTGCTGTTTAAGAACATAGTTCTAGTGGTTAATGTACTGATACATGATATTTAAAAGATTATCTTAGAAGAACCTTATGTGTAATATTTTGAAATGTCAATGATGCTTTTGTTGTCAGGTCTGTGCTGCCAATTTTGGAGATATTTGCAGTGTAGTTGGCCAGCAAGCTACTGAAGAAATGTTGGTAAGTATTGCAGATATAAAGGAGTAAACAGTGTGTGTTACAAAGTAGTACATAAAGTTTGAAATGCACACATTTACTCCAAAGTTTTATTAACACAATTCCATGAATATAAACCAGAAAGATAATTTTGAATTTAGGAGTTTAAATATCTGTAATCTGGGCATTTGAATTATCTTTTTGATATTTATTAAAAATATGGATATGTTTCAGAACCATTGATCTGTTTTCACCTCTTCCATTTCTGTTAAGCAAATCAATTCTTACTTATTCAATTGAACCTTTAATTTTATTGCAACCCTCAAGAATGTTGATGACATATTAAATCTATAGCAAGTTAGTTTTAAATAGTACACAAGATGCCTATACTTGATGTATAAGTCACCATATCTAAAGAGTTTCTGAAGCCATCTCTTATGCAAAATAATTAAGTTCAGGGGCAAGCTCTTGTAAAACATTTAAGCTATGATTGTTGGGAGTGCTTTTGCATAGCCAGAAATATTGCATAAGACAATCCAGTATGCTTTTGCATAGCCAGAAATCCGACGGACCAAATTATCAGCACTTTTTATTAATTTATCAGTGATCTTTCATGTTGGGTAGGGTTTTGATTATCACTTTTGTGAAATAATACATTTCTGTCCGTTTTAAAGCAAACATAATTTTGACTCATAAGAAATAACTTAAAATTTAAGATATATTATTATATGTTATATATTTATAATTTAAGATACATTATTTTTTATACTTTTAGGAATAGACAGTAAATTAGATGTGATTTATTGAAAATTGTTGAGTATAAATACTAATAGATCCTACTTTTTAAGACAATCCAACATTTAAAACACTGAGGCTGGGCGTGGTGGCTCACACCTGTAATCCTAGCACTTTGGGAGGCCAAGGCAGGTGGATCACCTGAGGTCAGGAGTTCGAGACCAGCCTGGCCAACATGGTGAACCCTCATTTCTACTAAAAATACAAAAATTAGCTGGGCGTGGTGGCACACGTCTGTAATCCCAGCTACTTGGGAGGCTGAGGCAGGAGAATTGCTGGAACCCAGGAGGTGGAGTTTGCAGTGAGCCAAGATCGCACCACCTCACTCCAGCCTGGGCAAAAGAGTGAGACTCTGTCTCAAAACAAACAAACAAACAAAAGAAGCGTGAAAGCAGAAAATGAAAGCGAAGTAACTGATGAAATCTGCTATCTTTATCCAACTAACAAGACTCTTTCCTTTTCACATAGCTGCCCAGATTTTTCCAGCTTTGTTCTGATAATGTATGGGGAGTCCGAAAGGCTTGTGCTGAATGCTTCATGGCGGTTTCATGTGCAACATGTCAAGAAATCCGACGGACCAAATTATCAGCACTTTTTATTAATTTGATCAGTGATCCTTCACGTTGGGTAGGGTTTTGATTATCACTTTTGTAAAATAATACATTTGTGTCCGTTTTAAAGCAAACATAATTTTGACCTCATAAGAAATAACTTATAATTTAAGATATATTATTTTTTATACTTTTAGGAATAGACAGTAGAAAGACTACTATATTAACAGTTTGTGTGTTTTTTTGTAACAGGACAAAAATTTCTTTACACATTTAAGTCCTGTTGATTTTTATTTAATTGGCATGATGTATTATGTTAATTTTTAGATGTTAAACCACTTGCATCTTTGGAATAAGTCCCACTTGGTCATAGTTGTATAATTCTTTTTATATGTCGCTGGATTCAGTTTGTCAGTATTTTGTTGAGGGTTTTTGTGTCCATATCATGAGAGATAATAGTCTGTAGTTTTCTTATGGTGCCTTTGTCTGGTTTGTTGTCAGAGTAATAATGGCCTCATAAAATGAGTTAGGAAATGTTCCCTCCTCTACTGTTTTTGGGGAGAGTTTTTGAAGAATTGTTATTGATTATCTCTTAAATGTTTGGTTGAGTTCAGTGGTGAAGCCGTCTGGGCCTGGGCTTTTCTTTGTAGATAGTTGTAAAATTCCTAATTCTGTCTCTTCACTTGTTATAGGTCTGTTGTGTGTTTTTTTCTTGAGTCAGTTTTCATAGTTTGTATCTTTCTAGGAATTTGTACATTTCATCTAAGTTACTTAATTTGTTGGTATATGATTATACATAGGATTCCTTTATAATCTTTTAATTTCTGTAATGTCAGTAGTAATGCCTCTTCTTTCATTTCCTATTTGAGTAATTTGAGTCTTGTCTCTGTTTCTTGGCCAGTCTGCTAAAGGTTTGTCAGCTTCGTTGATCTTTTTACAGAACCAACTTTTGGTTTCATTGGTTTTCTCTATTTTTCTATTATTCATTAATTTCCATTTTAATCTTTATTCTCCCTTCTGCTTGCTTTTAGTTTATTTTGCTTCTTTTTCCAGTGTCTTTAGGCAGAAGGTTAGGTTGTGGATTAGAGGTCTTCCTTCCTTCTTTGAATTATCATCTGGGGTAAATGGCTTTCAACCCGAAAAACTTTATTTAGTATTTCTTGTTAATGTGGTTCTGCGAACAACAAATTCTGTTTTCATTTATCTGTGAATGTCCTTATTTCACCTTCAATTTTGAAAGACAGCTTTACTTAATGTGAGATTGAGTGTGTTATGCCACTGCCTCAGACCTCTTCTGTTTCTACTGTGAAGTCAGCGGTTAATCATATTGGGGTTCCCTTGTAAGTGATGTGTCATTTTTCGCTTGTTGCTTTCTAGATTTTTCTCCTTGCCTTTGACTTTCAGAATTTTTACTGTGATGTGTCCGTATGTGCACCTCTTTTAGTTTATACTACTTGGAGTTGAGTTGATTGAACTTCCTAGTTATGTAAGTTACGTTTTTCAATACGTTTGAAAAGTTTTGAGCCAATGTTTCTTCAAATATTTTTCCTTCTCTCTTCTCTCCCTCTAATATTCCCATTATGTATATGTTAAATGTGCTTAATGATGGCCCACATTTCTTTGAGGCCCTTTTCATTTTTCCTCAATTTTTTCCCCCTCTCTATTCTTTGGCTTGCATAATCTCTATTGATCTATCTTCAATAGAACAATTATTTGTTCTGCCAGTTCAGATCTACTGTTGAGCTCATGTACTGACTTTATTTTAGTCATTGCACTTTTCAGCTGTAGAATTCCATCTGGTTCTTTTTTGTAATTTCTCTTTATTGATGTTATACTCTAGTTGATGCAGCACCGTCCCCATAACTCCCATTACTTCTGTAATCATCATTTCCTTTGGTTCTGTGAACATGTTTATAATAGCTACTTTGAAGTCTTTTTTTAAGTCTGAAATCTGATTGCTCTCACAATCAGTTTCTGTTGCCTGTCTCTTTTATCCCCCTAATGTATGGATTTTTTTTTTTTTTGCCTGCCTTGTAATGTTTTGTTGAGAGTTGAACATTTTAGATAATATGTGTAGTTTGATACTGGTTGTCCTCGCTCCCCCATGGGGGCTTGTTACTGTTATTTGCTTGTTTAGTGACTGGCTGGAATGCTTGAGTGAAGACTATTTCCCCACTCCAGGAGGTACAGCTTTGGGTCTGCCCACAGCCACCCTGGTATGACAGGGGCTTAGTGGGTATGGAAGGGCAGCAGCCTGAGGTTCCCTTGGCTTCTTTCTCCTGGTGAGGAATCACCACCCTGTGAGGTAGACCAGTGCCTTTTGGGGCCCCAGCCTTTTCAGTGTGCCACACCCAAAGGAGGGTGGAAGAAAGGAGCCTCACCCCTCAGCTGCTCTCACTCAGGACTGGACCTCAGCATCAGGTAGCTGGAGCGATGCAGCCTGTGCCCGGGAGCTGCGGGAGAGCAGACCCCAGTGTGCTTGGCTACAGCACACTGCTGTCTCCACCTCACCTCACTGGAGGCGTTACAAGGAGGGAATGGTCAGCTGGGCGCGGTGGCTCGCACCTGTAATCCCAGCACTTTGGGAGGCCGAGACGGGTGGATCACGAGGTCAGGAGATCAAGACCATCCTGGCTAACACGGTGAAACCCCGTCTCTACTAACAAATACAAAAAATTAGCCGGGTGTGGTGGCGGGCGCCTGTAGTCCCAGCTACTCAGGAGGCTGAGGCAGGAGAATGGCGTGAACCTGGGAGGCGGAGCTTGCAGTGAGCCGAGATCGCGCCATTGCACTCCAGCCTGGGCAATAGAGCGAGACTCTGTCTCAAAAAAAAAAAAAAAATTAGACTCTCAGCTTTTTTATGATGTATACTACATTTTGTCAGTTTTCTTTAATTGTTATCCCTTCAATTGCTGCTTGCTCCTAGGGCCATTTCCAGGGGCTTTGAATTATTGTTTTATAATTTTCACTTACTTCACTGAGAAGTGGGTCAGCTGAGCTCCTCACACCGTCATGGCAGAGATCAATCTCAGGACCTTTGCATATTCATTCCCAAAACAAAATTGACATAGAGGGCAAGACTCTTAAGCCTTGATATTATATTAATGTTTTTGTTATATCCTGTATCGGCTTGTTAGAAAAGATTAACATAGCTTACTCAATTTTCTTTGTGAAGCTATGTATTTGGTCGTTGTTTTGGATTGGTAACATGCATTAGTTCCTGTTAATTTGAGAATATGGATATGTCAGTCATTTTAGAGATATACAGCTGTTCCTTGGTATCCATGGAGGATTGGTTCCAGGACCCCTTGTGGATACCAAAATCTGAGGATACTCAGAAGTCTCTGATACAAAATGGCATAGTATTTGCATATAACCTATGCACATCCTCCTGTACACTGTAAATCGTCTCTAGATTACTTACATCTAATACAGCATAAATGCTATGTAAGTAATTGTTACTCTATTATTTAGGGAATAATGACAAGGAAAAAAGTCTGTACTTGTTCAATACAGACACAACCATCATGGGTCTAACAATGTTTTCAATGTGTAGTTGGTTGAATCCACAGAACCTGTGGATACAGAGGGCAGGCTATATATGCTGCACCTGTCTGAGAAAAATGTGTATCTTATGCCTATTTTACACACACACACACACACACACACACACACGTGTAAATCCTATGCCTATTTAGGTGCAAAAAAAAGACAAGATAGTCTTTTGTCCGAACAATGTTAAGCCATTTGGGGAAGGTTATAATCTACTGTATTGTCCCTTCTCAAAAGTTAAAATTGAATTAAAAGTTAATTTTATTTCTGAAATTCGTTAATATTTATTCTTTGAGTGACTTGTGGGTTTTTTAGTGGTTTCCAGAACCTTTGTTTAAAGTCATTAGTTGTTTATTTCTTAAAGTCATTGAAACTAGTAAAAATAATAGCTTAAAATCACTTTATTTTGAGGAATAGCTCAAAGTAGAAATATTTTTATAGTGTTGGAAAATTACTCAATTACAGGCAGTGGGATGTGTTGGAGAGTTAAAATTGGACTTCAGTCCTGATTTCATTGTAACTATAGGGTAACACTGAAGAAGTCATTTTATTTGGATTTCAGTTTCTGTTTTTGTGAAATCAAGGAGGTAGATTAATAGTAGGATTTAATTAACTTATTAGACACTGTGATCTCTCTCCTCCACATTAAACTTTTTTCATTCTAATCTAACAACAAGCTAAACTAATGATTTAGATAAATTAAGTTTTCTATGTCCTTTATTGGGAACAAGCTCAGAGATTTAACAGTATTCAGAGAAGATTAAATTCGTGCATACAGCGTTAAAAGTGACCTTTTATCCTTTTATGGAAGTAATGTTTCCATAATGTTTCGTAAGTAAGTGACTTACGAAGGGGAGAAAAACCCTTAGTTTACACACATACAAGCTATTCTTTTCCCTCTCATGCATATAATTCTAGCCTTTTTAAAAAATCAATTGAGTCATTTTTTATGTATGCTTCTCCAAGAGTAGGTAAATACTAATAATAGATATCTCTACATTTATTTGCTTTTGTAAAAATCATGCTTACTATATAATTATTATCTTAAACTTGAAAAAGGTATTATTATGCTTTTTTTTTTTTTTTAAAGAAAAGAAATGCTAGCCAGGAGCAGTGACTCACACCTATAATCCTAACACTTTGGGAGGAGGAGGTGGGAGGATTGCTTGAGGCTAGGAGTTCAAGACCAGTCTGGGCAACATAGCAAGGACTTGTCTCTGCAAAAAAAATAGAAAAATTAACTGGATGTGGTGGCACATGCCTATAGTCCCCAACTATTCATGAGGCTGAGGTTGGAAGATCACTTAAGCCAAGGATTTTGAGGCTGCAGTGAGCCATGGTAGCACCACTGTTTTCCAGCCTCCACAGCAGAGCAAGAGCTGTCTCAAAAGGAAAAGGAATGCTAAACTTCAGGGAAATTGGTGTGTGGCAAAGTCAAGGTTTTAGTAACATACCAGTTTCCCATTGTTGTTGCCTTTGTCCGATTGTGTCCATCCTTCCATAAAACCTCTCATTTTCAAATGTTTTAAAAATTCCTGATTTTAAAAATAATACAGAAATACGACATGAAGTGGAATTCTATAACTTCTTTATCACCCCTCCTACATGAGACAGTCATCAAGAACAATAGTATATGCTTCAAGATCTTTGTGACATACTTTAAGTTAACATTATGTTTCTGGTACGTCTGTCTTGCTTCCTTCTAGTGAACAAATTAAAGTCTTTCCTACCTGAAAACATTAAATGTATTTATCACATTTTGTTGGCTTTATTGATTTTTATGTTCTTTGTGGCACTCTTGGTTTTCCTTATTCTTTTTGTTCTTGAGAACACAGCAGGACCTTCTTTAGTTTTGTTCTATGCAAATGTTTCATAGTATCTCATACTTAGATTATCATGGTTCAAACATTCAAGAGAGGATAAAAACAATTGAAAGTAAAAAAGAGCAAATAGGGGTTTGTTTGGGGTTTTTTTTTTAGACAGTCTTGCTCTGTCACCCAGGCTGGAGTACAGTGGTGTGATCACGGCTCACTACAGACTTAGCCTCATGGGTTCACGCGCTTCTTCCACCTCAGGCCCTGCCGAGTAGCTGGGACCACAGGCATGCGCCACCACGCCCTGCTAACTTTGGTATTTTTTGTAGAGACTGGATTTCGCCATGTTGCCCAGGCTGGTCTCAAACTGCTGGACTCAAGCGATCTGCCCAGCTCAGCCTCCCAGAGTGCTGGGATTACAGGCATGAGCCACTGCGCCCAGCCAGAGAAAATAGCTTGTAAGAATTTTTCAGTCCTAGCTAAAGTTCTGAATCTGGGCTTCCTTTAGAAAAGCTTCATTATTATCCTAAACATACTTCGGCATTTGAAAGTAGATTATTAAATATACATAATGTGTGCGTATATAATTCTTTTTCAAAATGATTCCTTTATTATTGTCCTTTTTATCTTCCTAGGTTCGCCAAGCAGCTTTTCAGTCTCTGGGACCTTTCATATCTACTTTTGCTAATCCATCTAGCTCAGGCCAGTATTTTAAAGAAGAAAGCAAAAGTTCAGAAGAGATGTCAGTAGAAAACAAAAATAGGTATAATTTTGAAACCATTTTCTAATTTTAAAACCTTGTTTTCTAATTTTACTGCTTTTAAACATTATTTCCACTATTCTGCAACAAATGTTATTTTTTGATAGTTTGCTATTTCTCTTGAATATAAAAATTGGTGAATATTTTTATAGAGCTTTACTTTAAGCGCATTTGTTTGTTAAGTATCTCTTTGGTTGGTTACATATTGAATGAGTAGATGCATGTAACACAATTAGCTAGATGCCTCGCACATAGGAAACTCTAAATGGTAGATTATGACTTTTAAAAAATGTTTATTTAGTACATTATTTAGTCAATCATTCATTGATATCTACAATATACAGGGTAATTGTTACACACTGTGTAGTATTTGGGTTTTTTTAAATTTGTTTTTAAGGAGTAAAACTTAATTTAGGAATATGTTTTATTGTCCTTTTCTGTCAAATAATTTAGTTGCGCATCTTGGATTCTTTGTCAATGGTGATTGTAATCTGTCAGTTAAAGGAGAAAGCCAGTATATTAGCCAGTATATCAGTTTTAAGTATATCAGTCTCATAAGGAAACCAAAGTTTTAAATAAAGCTTAAAGAGTCGGCTGTGATTTTTATTTTTAAATGTTTTTGCATTGAAAATTTTCTATTAAATTTAAATTTTAAAAATTTATTATAATATATATTTAGGGGAAAAACTAATTCAAGCCTAACTTACTAGTATGCGGGAAATGTACACAAACTTTTACAGTTATGCACTTGAAGTAATTTTAGTACAAATATTTGAAACAGTCCCTGCTATAATGCTTGAGTTACCATAGTGTCTTTTCCCTCCCTTGTCATGATGCTAATGGACATTTTCTTCTGTAGGTCTTGATACTGTGCTATTTGCTTTCTTGGTGTTTTGATTTGGCAGTTCTTCTTTCTTCTCTGCTGCCTTGTTTTACCTTTTTGCCCGTTCTCCTACTGTCCTGCTGAATAGCCAAACAAACCTGAGGTACTGTTTTTTGTAAAGGAAGAAAATCACTCAAACCTGTCTTCCTAGCAAGCAAAGTCTGTCAGTTTTTTTGAAAACAGGTGCTGCCAGGACTTTGACAAAAGTGATGATGGTGGGTGGGGAATGTTATCTATTTTTCATTTTTGAAATCAGCATACTTAAAAAATTACCTGTTTATACTGAAGACTGTTACATAACTTCTGTTTTAAAATCTGAAATGGGTCTAGTAAGAAACTATAAATTTGCAGAGAACTGTATAGGACGAGCTGGTAAACTTTCTTCTGTTTCACAACTACTCACTCGGCCTTTGCAGTGTATAAGCAGCCGTAGACATTACATAAATGGACAAGCTTGGCTGTGTTCCAGTAAAACTTCACTGACCTCAACAGTGTGCCTATCAAGGCCATGTTTGCCGCCTACCGGTGTGTAGCATTACTGCAATAGCTATTTAAAGGTAGTTCAATTCCTTGATTCTTCTTCCATTGTAATGAGGTATGTCTTAATGTCCAGGCAATACTACTTGTATTGCTGATCTTCAGTAATATTAGAGCTTATTAAATTATGTTAATGATATGGTAGGGGAAAGAGAGCATTCCTGGCTAAGGAAGGAGTTATGTTAAATATTGTAAAAGCTTTTGCATAGTTTGACAAACTATAAAGAAGTAGTCCTATATATTATTAAATCTCAGAACCATTAGTTTGTTTGCCCTCCCTTAAATAGCACAGTGGCATTTGTTTTAAGCTGTCTTAAACTGTTGTGGTATTAAGATTGATTGATTGATTATGCAAAAGTTAACTGAGCACCTCCTATGAACCAGAAACTGTAAATGGAAAGATAGAACTTCGTTCCTGTCCTCAAAGTTCTCTCAGTTTCTTAGATTCAGGTTTTTCAAACAAATGTCTTACAAAGTAAGCAAGTTTTTGGCAACATATTTCCACCACTGTTTATTGTATAGTGTTTCATCTGACCCTAGAAACATTTACTATCACTTTATTACTCTTTGAAGCATTTATTGATTCCAAACATCTGACTTACACATCAGATCTTTCACTCACCCTGGATCAGGCTGTTAATGCTTCTTTGAAAGTGCTGATAAAGCCTACTTCTCAGAAGCAGAGTTGAAATACTCAAATCTGCATTTTAAAAGTATGTAAAATAAGCATTCGTTATCACATTGTTCTCTGAATGCACCATGTTCTCTTAATTCTCCCTGTTTTTGTACTTGCTGCTCTCTGGGAAGCTTCTTGTTCCATCCATACCCTCGTTTAACAAAGTGCTGTCTTAGATGCACTGAGTTGTCCAGGAAGTACAGAGCTTTTGTCTTCATCATCAGTAGCGCTGTAATGAGAGCACTATTTTAATCCTATCCTTTTGGCTACATATTGGCATCTATCATCCAGTAGCCTCCCGGCCATGCAGTGTGGCGTCCAGCTCCTCCCTTTGTCTCCGCTGGGCCTGGCCCGTTGGTGCACATATTAATCCTGAATGAATTATTCTAGGGAAATATGGATTTGACCTCAAAAATCTGAAGTAACTAAACCACTTTTGCTGGATTTTTCCAGTTTAGCTTAATGCTAACTATATGAAAAAAAATTATTAGCACAAATTTGGAAATATTTCATGAATGCTAAAACTTCATTGAGTTAATTCACAGTACTTGGAAGGTATCCTGGAGCGTGTTTGCTTTTATCTCAGGATACAATACCTCTTTAGCCAGATGTTCTACAAGTCATTTTCTCCTTGAAATACCTGTAATTAATTTTCTAGGCCCATAGTCTCTACTAAGGAACTCTGAAGATATTAATTATAAACTTATGTAGGCACAAAAAGACACTTAAGATTCCTCCTTAAGTAGGTAGTTTCTGGACTGTCCTCTGGTGCTCTTGATACCTACGTCTCTTAGGAGACAGGATAATTCCCATTATACAGAGTCACAAAGGGCCTCAATTTTCAAAAAAAAATTTGTCTTGTACAATAGCATTTCAAAGTCTGACAATTAGGAATATCAGAATTTTAGCATTGAACAGCTTGATTTTGTATTGACTATTATACTTTACCAGGAAAAATTAGAATTTAGAGAATTTATACTTTCGACATTTTTGAAGCCATGCATGCTGTAGTTCTGTCCACAATTTAATACTGTACTAGGGAAACTTTGTCTTCTAGTTTCCTTTTAAAAAAATCATTCTAAGAGTTTTAAGTTTGGACAAACTAACAAGTTTACATTTATCAGACAAACAGTTATTTGACCAGTCATTCTCCGTTCATTTTTGCAGCTGAGAATATTAAAATTTAATTTTAACACCAAGGTGAGCTAGTGATCAAGGAACTTCAAGGCCCTGTAATTCCATCACTTTAGGAGGCTGAGGCAGGAGGATCGCTTCAGCCCAGGAGTTTGAGGCTGCAGTGAGCTATGATCATACCACTTTACACCAGCCTGGGCTACAGAGCGAGACCCTGTCTCTTAAAAAAACAATAAACAAAACAGAAGTTCATTGTATTTATTAGATAGTACATACGAGGTCTTACAAGTTTTACCCATTTGCTCTTCTCTTCCCCCTTTCTGAACAATATCTTATTATAATTTTAAAATTTTAGTTTGAATGATTTCAGAAATTTTGCAAGGATATCACAAAGAACTTCATATATCCATGTAGATTTTCCAAATACTGTTTTACCATATTTGCTTTATTCTTTTTTTCTGAACTCTTTGAGAATAAGTTTTAGACATGATATTCTTTTTACCTTTTTAAAATACTATGTATTTCTTTAAAACACAGATGTTAATATATAACTGTAGTCCAGTTACCAAAATTAGGAAATTAACATTGATACAATACTGTTAGCTAATCTAGCCTTTATTGAATTTTACCAATTGGCCCACTAATGTTCTTTATAACAAAAGGGAAAAATACATATTTTTTAATATGGACAAAATGGGAAATACATAATTCATAAACATGTAGAAGACACATTTATTTTGCATAACAGCACTAGCTTCAGGAGCTCCTTTGGAGTGGGAAAACATCTTACAGGTTATCTAGGCCAACTCCTCATTTTTATGAATAAGGAATAAGTGAGGAATCCTAGAAGTCCTTAAAAGGTTCAGAATTTTATATTAACGTAGTGCCAGTGCGAGAGTAAGAACGTTAAAGTCTGATTTCTTCACACTTGTAAACAATTGTATTATATATGCATACTGTATATTTTGTAGTTATAAGAAGAAAAATACCAGAATTTAAAATGCAGTCACAATGTGTTATGTTTTCAGATGACTTACGTATGTTTTTGTTCATCAGTATTTTAAAAAATAATCACCTGTTTGTGAAAATAATGGTTTTGAAAACAGCATTATGATGAGAGGGAACTTCGTAATTTCATGAGAATGTAGATGGTGACTGTTTAAGTGGGAGCTCACATAGGCATTAACATCACCCTCCTTTTGCACAGTCCTTTTAAGTCTCCTGTTAAACATCTTTTATTGTGTGTATTTAAAGGCACACAGATGCTTTTTCCTGTATTCATCTTACAAATTTACCTACATATTCAGCCATCCTTATTTCCCTTTCATGTTTCTTGGGAAGCAAGTCTCTTCACTGTTTAATCTGTTTTGCTGTGTTTTTGAAGCCCATATTCTTTCCTCTTCTCAGAAAGACATTGCTTTATCAGTTATTTCATCAATCTCTGTGTCTCCAGTTCTTTCATCTCTTCTAACCTATTTTCCTCAGCCTAAAAATATGCTCATCATTCTTTTATACAGGAAAAATGCCTTCACTCTTTGTTATTCTATGCAGTTGTGTTATTCTTTATTAATACTTGTTGCCTCCGCATATGTCAGCCCCACACATCTTTCTGAGTTGATGACCTCCACCTCTGTCTCAGTCTTTACCTCTTTCTCATAGATAATCACCACCTAGAACCCAACGTGGATAGCTAACTCAACCTCTTTCAACCTGAACCTGTTAGCTTTCTTGTGAAACTGTTTTTGTTACCTGCAGCATGCAATAAGTGGAAAAGTCCTGTTGATTTTTGCTGCTGTTTGAATGTGTTCTTCTGTAGTCCTGGAGACACTGCCTCCATCAGAACATCATCACTTCTTACCTGCATGTCTGTAATTCCTGCCTCCTATCTTACCTCTCAACTCATTTTCTACACTTCCTCCAGAATGGTCTTTCTAAAACAACAGATCTATTAACAATTTCCTTACTACATGATTTCCTGTAGTCCAGGATGAACTCCGGAGGTCTGCTGGTCTGGAATACAGTGGTTCATGTGATATCTTTCATCCTTGTCATCCATCATTTCCTCATTGCTGATTCCTGAATGCGTCACACCTTTTCTGCCACTCCGGCCTTTGCATGTCCTGTTTCTCCTTTAGATGCTTTTTTCTTCCCCTTAGCCCCATAAACATGTATTGGTTCTTCTAAGCACAACTCATGTCATTTCCTTGAAGGCCTTTTAATCTTCACTCCCATCTCCTCCTGTGTTCAGTGTGCTTGCATCTGTGCTTACCACCCTGTCTAGCAGCAATTTGCTGATATATCTTCATTTTTTCTGTTTGCCTCTAATTGTAATCTCAAGATCAAGAGCTGCATCTCATTCACATTTGAATCCTCAATACTGATTTCATTTCCTGGCTCTTAGTAGGTGCTCAATAAATGCCTGTTAAATTTAATTGAATCAAATAATAACACTTACAGTCGTACTTCAGATAATAGATGGCAGTAATCAGTGGACTTTAATGAATTTGTACCATCTGTCCTTATCAATTAAATTATGTCCTCATTTTAGGAAAACCTTGGGGAGTAGAGATGAATATTTTAGAAGAAACAGAAGTAATATTTACACTCAAGCAGATTTTAATATATTTTGTGAGATAGCAAATAAGTATCTTTCCTACTACTATCTTAAAATTGTTTTTATTTTATTTTCCTTGTGTAATGTAAGCAAATAGGCTTTAGGTCTCAGCTTTGCAATATGTCGTTGGAGTAGAGAGGTAATACAAATAACCCTAAAAATAAAATAATTTAAATGTTGTTATGTATCTTAAAATGATTGTAGGAATTTCTGTTTCCACTACTTTTCTTTAGTTATTTATTATTGAAATTAGCATGGTGTTATAGAATCCCAGGATTCTTAAATGTTACCTTCTCTAACTAATATATATTGCTTGACTATCTAGACTTATACTTAACAGGTATTTACATCTTTGAACACAGAACAGCTGATGGAGAAAGAAGCATTATAAATAATATACATAAACTCAGTTTGTACAGATAATCCGTAATTTTTAATGTTTAACTTGTCTAAATGCTATATGTAATATCTTTCATCAGTTTTTTTAAAGTAATTATCCTTTCATATTGTTTTTTTCCCACCAAATAAAACAATAAAAGGACCAGAGATCAAGAAGCCCCAGAGGATGTACAAGTCAGGCCAGAGGATACTCCTTCAGATCTCAGTGTTAGTAATTCCAGTGTCATACTGGAAAACACGATGGAAGACCATGCTGCTGAGGCATCCGGGAAGCCTCTAGGTGAAATTAGTGTTCCACTGGACAGCTCTTTACTTTGTACTTTGTCCTCAGAATCTCACCAGGAAGCAGCTAGTAATGAGAATGATAAAAAACCTGGTAACTACAAATCTATGTTACGACCAGAGGTTGGCACCACTTCACAAGATTCAGCTCTCTTAGATCAGGAATTGTATAACTCCTTCCATTTCTGGAGGACTCCTCTTCCTGAAATAGATCTAGACATAGAGCTTGAACAGAACTCTGGGGGAAAACCCAGCCCAGAGGGACCAGAGGAAGAATCTGAGGGCCCTGTGCCCAGTTCTCCAAACATCACCATGGCCACCAGAAAGGAACTGGAAGAAATGATAGAAAATCTAGAGCCCCACATTGATGATCCAGATGTTAAAGGTATGGAAGTCAATCAAGTTATTTATTCTGAAATTGATTAAAAATATTAGTGTCTATCTTAAAAAAATTTCATTTCAGAAAAAATTGTCATTTAATAATGTATTATGGACTGGGCACAGTGACTCATACCTATAATACCAGCACTTTGAGAGGTTGAGACAGGAGGATCACTTGAGACCAGGAGGTTGAGACCAGTCTGGGCAACATAGTAAGACCCCATCTCTACAAAAAAATAAAAAATTAGCCGGGCATGGTGGCACATGCTTGTAGTCCTAGCAACTTGGGAAACTGAGGTGGGAGATCGTTTGAGCTTAGGAGGTTGAGGCTGCACTGAGCTGTAATTGTGCCTAAGTTCAAATGGTGTCAAAGGATCATGCAGCAGCTTGCTCTGATAGTTCTCCAGCCTGGGCAACAGAGTAAGACCCTGTCTATTAAAAAAAGAAAAAGGTAGTATAACCATCATTATCATGTATTTCTAAATTCTCTTGATAAATACAATTAATCTGATTTTCAGGAAATTTTTTATTTAAAATAGGCTCATCGTTGCATTCCTTACTGTAATTTATACAGATTTGTTGATTGACAAATCACTCTCTTTGAAAGTTTCAGTCATTCAAACAGTGCTTTACAGTTTTAAAGTTTGGGCTCTGCCTTAACTATTTTGCACAGAGACTCATTACCTTTTTATAAGATAGCAGTACACGCAGTCATTCTTTTATGGAAAGACTATAGAATGTTTGTCGCACTACTGCACTGCAGCCTGGGCGACAGCAAGACTCTGTCTCGGGCGTGGGGGAGGAAAAGACTATAGAATGTTCACAGCAAGCATAGTCAACTTTTGATAAATGTTTAACGTCTTTACAGCTTCCAGCTTTCTGTTTAAATGTTATTATTTACCAACTTAAGTTTATTAAGTTTATCCAACTTCAATGACTCCGGTTTTCTTCTTTTTTTTTTTTTTTTTTCTGAGACGGAGTCTCGCTTTGTTGCCCAGGCTGGAGTTCAGTGGTGCTCGATCTTGGCTCACAACAACCTCTGGTTCAAGCAATTCTCCTGCCTCAGCTTCCCGAGTAGCTGGGATTACAGGCATGTGCCACTGCACCCAGCTACTTTTTTTTTTTTTTTGAGACAGTCTCACTCTGTCACCAGGCTGGAGTGTAGTAGTGCCATCTCAGCTCACTGCAACCACTGCCTCCTGGGTTCAAGCGATTCTTTGGCCTCAACCTCTCAAGTAGCTGGGACTACAGGCGTGCGCCACCATGCCCAGCTAATTTTTGTATTTTTAGTAGAGACAGGTTTCACCATATTGGCCAGGCTGATCTTGAACTCCTGACCTCAGGTGATCCGCCTGCCTTGGCCTCCCACCATGCTGGGATTACAGGTGTGAACCACTGCGCTCAGCTTATTTTATTTTTCTTAAACTATATTTTTATGAACAAAAGATTACCAGTTGTCCTTAAGCCGGTTCTGGGAGCTCTCATTGTATTATAGTACCTGCTAGTTCTCTGACATAGACTAGTCACTTAAATATTAATTGAAATATTGAAAGAACTGCTCTAAGTTTTTCTTTCAGCAAATAAATGCAAAGAAATATGCATAGATTGCTTTCTAAAAAGACTTACATGTACATACATACAAGTTTCTTGATGTGACTTTGTGTTTCAGAAGATATCTAATACTCTTTGTACTGTAAATTTACTAGCTGCAATTGAGAGACTTCAATACAAATAACAGCATACCTTGGAGATACTGCTGGTTCAGTTCCAAACCACTGCAAAAGAGCAAATATTGCAATAGAGTCACACAAATTTGTGGTTTTCCAGTGCATAAAACCACAGGTGCAGTGGCTTGCACCTGTAATCTCAGCTACCTGGGAGGCTGAGGCAGAAGGATAGCTTAAGGCCAAGAGTTTGAGACCAGTTTGGGCAACATAGCAAGACCCCCATCTCTAAAAAGATTTTGAATAGTAGCTGGGCATGATTGCACACTCCTGTAGTCCCAGCCACTCTAAAGGCTGAGGTGGGAGAATTGAGCCTAGGAGTTTAAGGTTTCAGTAGCTATGATTGCACTACTACACTCCAGCCTGGGTGAGAGAGTAAGACCCAGTCTCAGAATTTTATAAAAGTTGTGTTTATACTATACTGTAGTAAGCATGTGATAGCATTTTGTCTAAAAAAAAATGCACATACCTTCATTGAAAAAATACTAAAAAATGCTGATGATCATCTGAGCTTTACACAAGTTGTAGTCTCATTGCTGGTGGAGGGTCTTGCTTCAATGTTGGTGGATGCTGACTGGTCAGGGCAGTGGTTGCTGAAGGCTGGGGTGGCTGTGGCAATTTCTGAAAATAAAACAGCGTGGAAGCTTGCTGTGTCAGTTGACTCTTCCTTTCATGAAAGATGTATCCATAGCTAGCAATGGTGTTTGTTGGCATATTACCTGCAGGAGACATCTTTAAAAATTAGAGTCAGTCTTCTCAAACACCACCACTGCTTTATCAATAGGTTTATGTAATATTCTAGATCTTTTGTTGTCATTTCAACAATGTTCACAGCATCATCACTAGGAGGAGATTCCATCTTGAGAAACCACTTTCTTTGCTCATCCTAAGAGGCATTTGTTCAAGTTTGGTCAGGAGAGCCGGATATAGTGACCATGTGCCTGTAATCCCAACTGAGGACAGGAGGATTGCTTGAGACCAGGAGTTCAAGGCTGTAGTGGTTATGATTGTGCCTACATATAACCACTATACTCCAGCCTGGACAACATAACAAGACCCCATCTCTAAAATTAAAACAACAGAAAACGTTTGATTATGAGATTGTAGCATTTCACTCACGTTTTCAAGCTCCACTCCTAATTTTAGTTCTCCTGCTATTTTTACCCTACCTACAGTTACTTCCTCCACTGAAGTCTTGAATCCTTCAGTCATTTATGAGGGTTGAAATTACCTTCTTCCATACTCCCTTTAATGTGGATATTTTGACCTCCTCCCATGAATCGTGAATGCTCCTAATGGCATCTAGAGTGGTGAATCCTTTCCAGAAGGTTTTCAGTTTACTTTGTCCAGATCCATCAGAGAAATCACTATTTATGGCAGCTATAACTTTACAGAATGTATTCCTGAAATAATAAGACTTGAAAGTTGAAATTACCCCTTGATCCTTGGGCTGCAGAATGGGTATTGTGTTAGCAGGTATGAAAACAACATTGTCTCCTCATACGCCTCTATCAGAGCTCTTGGGTGACCAGGTGTATTGTCAGTGAGCAGTAATAATTTGAAAGGAATATTTTTCTAAGCCATAGGTCTCAACAGTGGGCTTAAAGTACTCGGCAAACCTTGCTGTAAATAGATCTGCTCTCATCCAGGCTTTACTTTTCCAGTGACAGAGCACAGGCAGAGTAGATTTAGCCTAATTCTTAAGGGCCCCAGGATTTTTGAGTAAATGAGCATTGGTTTTAACGTGTGTGTGTGTGTGTGTGTGTGTGTGTGTGTGTGTGTGTGTGTCACAGCGCCTCACTCCGTCACCCAGGCTGGAGTGCAGTGGTGCAATCTCAACTCGCTGCAACCTCTGTCTCCCAAGTTCAAGCGATTCTCCTGCCTCAGCCTCCCGAGTAGCTGGGACTACAGGCATGCACCGCCATGCCTGGCTAGTTTTTTTTGTTTGTTTGTTTAATGGGATTTCACCATGCTGGCCAGGCTGGTCTCGCACTCTTCACCTCAGGTAATCCACCCACCTCAGCCTCCCAAAGTGCTGGGATTACAGGCGTGAGCCACCACTCCTGGCCTGGTTTTAACTTAAAGTCATCAGCCACATTAGTCCCTAACAAGAGTCACCTTGGCCTTCGGAGCTTTGAAGCCAGGCATTGACTTCTCTTTAGCTAGGAAAGTTCTAGATGGCATCTTCTTCCAATAGAAGACTGTTTTATCTGTGTTGAAAATCTGGGCCGGGCGAGGTGGCTCACGCCTGTAATCCCAGAACTTTGGGAGGCCGAGGTGGGTGGATCATCTGAGGTCAGGAGTTTGAGACCAGCCTGGCCAACATGGTGAAACCCTGTCTCTACTAATAATACAAAAATTAACTGGGCATGATGGTCCATGCCTGTAATTCTAGCTGCTAGGGAGGCTGGGGCAGGAGAATTGCTAGAACCCGGGATGCAGGGGTTGCAGTGAGCCAAGATTGCACCACTGTATTCCAGCCTGGGTGACAGAGCAAGACTCCATCTCAAAAAAAAAAAAATTTGTTGTTTGGTGTAGCTACCTTAGTGGCTTAAGTAATCTTAGCTAGATCTTCTGAATAACTTGCTGCAGCTTTACCTAAGCACTGGCTGCTTCACCTTGCACTTCTATGTTATGGAGATGGCTCCATTCCTTAAACCTCATGAACCAACCTCTGCTAGCTTTCAGCTTTTCTTCTCAGATTCCTAACCTCTCTCAGCCTTTACAGAATTGAAGCCAGTTAGGGCCTTGCTCTGAGTTAGACTTCGGCTTAAGAGAACGTTGTGGCTGGTTTGATTTCTGTCCAGACCACTCAAACTTTCTGCATATCAGCAATAATGTTGTTGTTCCTTCTTCTTTGTGTGTTCACTGGAGTAGCACTTTGAATGTCCTTCAAGAACTTTTCCATCTGCATTTATAACTTGGCTAACTGGCACAAGTGTCCTAGCTTTTGGGCTTTCTTGGCTTTTGAGATGCCTTCCCCACTAAGCTTAATCATTTCTAGCTTTGGATTTAAAGTGAGAGACATGTTATTCTTCCTTTCACTTGAACTCTTAGGGGCTACTGTTGGGTTATTGATTGGCCCAATTTTAATATTGTTGAGTCTCAGGGAATAGGGAGACAGGAGAGAGATGGGTAAAGAAAGTCGGTAGAGCTGTAAGAACACACACATTTATCATTTAAGTTTGCCGTCTTGTATGGCTAGTTAGCAGCTCCCAAAACAATTACAATAGTAATATCAAAGATCACTGATCACAGATCACCATAGCGGATATAGCAATAATGAAAAAGATTGAACTAGTACAAGAATTACCAACATACAATACAGAGGCACAGCGTAAACACATGCTGTTGGAAAAATAGCACCAATAGACTTGCTAAATGTAAGCTTGCCACAGACCTTTAGTTTAGAAAAAGTACAGTTATCACGCCCAGCATGGTGGTGTGTGCCTGTAGTCCCAGCCACTCAGGAGGCTGAGGCAGAAGGATTGCTTGAGCCCAGGGGTTCAGTGCTTCAGTGAGCTATGATCATGCCTTGTGAATAGCTTTCTGCAAGTAACTCCAACTTGGGCAAAATAGTGGGACCTCACCTCTTTAAAGAAAAAAAAAAAAAGCCAAAGTGTAGTATCTACAAAGTGCAATAAAACAAAGTATGCCTGCACTTTCCAGGGAACAGAATGGATGGGGGATGATACCCCCACACACACACACACACACACACACACACACACACACACACCATGCACTTTATATGGGACAAAACATTTTAACCTTTCTTTCTTGTACAGTCTATTTTGAGTACTGTTTTGGTTTGGCTTGGGAGTGATCCCAAAAGGGAGTGGCTGAAGTGATTAAAAGGGTTGGTGAAAATTGCAGCCGAAATTCTGAAGATAATGAAAATATTCCACTACAACTTTTTGTGAGTGAATATGTTCAATTTTCTTAAGTTAGCAAGTAATGACCTAATAGACTAGAACCTCATCCTGTATGTTGCTTGTGTGTCTGTTGTCAGGCACTTAATATACTTAGATGAGAAATTTTATAAATGCTGCAGCATAATAGATTATCTTAAAATAGTTACTGATTGTTTTGTTTAAAATGTTTGAATTTAAAATGTTCACATTTTGAACATCCAAGTGGATTGTTACTTGGAATAAATGCTAAGCAATATTTTTTGCTAAATTTCTGATTTATTTGGGGAGCAGGAAGAATGCCTTATCTTAATTTTGAATCACCTTTGTAAGTAAGGTGCAACCCAAAACATAGGCAATGCTAGTTGCCAGATTTTTGAACCACTGCCTGGTAAGTTGTCCTTTTGGTTTGCTGCAAGCAAGACAGTGCTCATTTGGGATTATTGTGTTTGGGAGAAGATGCAATTCTCATTTTCAAAAAGAATTAGAGAAAAATAAGCAGTAATAAGATATGAGATGTTTAAATGTAACTGTGACAAGAATCTTTGTAATTGCCATTGTTTTATGTTGGCAGGGTTTGTGTGACTGCTCTTCTGCTAAAATAGCTTAGTAAGTAAGACTTGCCAGTTTGATTCATGCACTACCAAAACATAGTTAACGTTTACTGAAATTGACTCCTTTTAATAAGCCGGAGGCAGCTCCAGCAACTAGATAGCATTTCTCTTTTCATACTAACGCAGAATAATGTACAGTAGCAGATAAACATTTTTAATCTCATGAAAGCATATTAGTTTTCTACTTTTTCTCTTGAAGGACTAATGATTTACCACAGTAGAAATTTTTTTCCAGCTTTTTGATTGCAGTGTCAAAAAAGTATATATTTCATTGATAACGTACAGTGCAAATGGAGAACAGCCTTGTAAGAATATTGCAATTGTGTTTCTCACTTTGTCCATTTCCTTATTTTGCCTGTAGCACAAGTGGAAGTGCTGTCCGCTGCACTACGTGCTTCCAGCCTGGATGCACATGAAGAGACCATCAGTATAGAAAAGAGAAGTGATTTGCAAGATGAACTGGATATAAATGAGCTACCAAATTGTAAAATAAATCAAGAAGATTCTGTGCCTTTAATCAGCGATGCTGTTGAGGTAACAAACTCAGTAAAGTGTTTACCAAATGAGAGTAGTTTGAATCAGAAGTCTTTCATTGGGGAATAGTTGTAGCTAATCACTTTTAGTTTGTATGTTCTGTTTGTTGCTGATTTTTTAGCTCTTCGTTTTGCATAAAGTAATTGTTTTCATCACATCCTGTCCTCGTGACATTAGTGTCATATGAAATGCCTGGAAAAGTAAATCCCACTTCTGTCTATATGACCATTTAGTAGACTCAATGTTAATGTAGCTCACTGCAGTGAAATAGTCTTACTGGAAACAAAGCCCTTTATCAAGAATAATTAACTCTTCCCTTTTCTTTTTGGAGAGGTGCTTTGTTTCTGATCGGACCATTTCACTGCAGCAAGCAACACAGTATTCTGAGCAGAAGATCGGGACTTGAGGCCATGTTGCGGAGGGCCAGTGACATTATCTGGACTCTGGAGTGTGAGGGTGGGTACTGATCCTAGCATCATCTTCACTGTGTACTTGTAGCTGTTCTCTATGATCCTTCCCTAATTTCCTGCTGCATCTCCATCAAGCCAGCATTATTTGGTATCAGTGCTGCTTAGCCATTGTTTATACAAATGGGGAGAAGGAATGCACCACCGATTGCCAGAATCGCATGGTCACAGATCATAGTGGCTTGAATGAGAAGCTCAGGAAAGAGTACCTGCACACACTGGGGATGGCAGGAGGGTTCTTAGAGCTTTAGTGCATTTCTGTTTTGATTTCTGTTGGATGGCATGTGGTATAGTTAGAAATCTGTATAATACCACTGCTTTGGATTGAAGCCCTGACTATTTATTGGAGATTTGAATAGTATTAATATATCTGCATTTTAGAAGGTGTTTATGTTGTTGTTGTTGTTACTGTTTTTGGCTGTTAACATATATATAATTTGTGAAATTAGATATTAACAGCCAAGAATAGAAATAGAAGAAAAACTGCATATGACACTCCATGGTCTCTAAAACAATGGACCAAAAGAATCCTCTCAGTACTATTTCATAAATAAGCTAATTTGAGCTGTTTGGACCATTTCAAAATTACTTTCAAATATTGTTTTTAATTACTCTAATTTTTCTGGAATTGGTTTTCGTACACTTGACAACCTATTCAGCAAGTTAGATTTAAAGTAGGGTAGGTTCTTAGGTATGTTTATAAGCTTTTAAAAACATGAGGAATTTATATGTTTATTACTTTTGGCAGTCTTGAAAGGTAAGTAACTTAGTAAGATAGCTTAAATGAAGATGTACAGACAGGACAGCTCTTTAAGTAGTTATTTTTTCCTAACAGAATATGGACTCCACTCTTCACTATATTCACAGCGATTCAGACTTGAGCAACAATAGCAGTTTTAGCCCTGATGAGGAAAGGAGAACTAAAGTACAAGTAAGTGACCAAAAAATGTGTTCTTTTGTGGGTGTGTTCCTAATTCCTCTTTTAGAGCCCATTTCTGACCTAATTTGCCCCTTCTTTATGATGAGTGTTCTAAAAATTGACTAGTGTGTCATATTTTCCATAAGGAAATCGAAGTAGTAGAGAGAGGAACATGGAAGCACAAATCTTCCCTTTTCTACCTCTGTGATCCCATTCTTCATTCAGAGTGACCACGATCACACACCTTATTATCTTCCTTCATGTATTTTCATGGGCACATAAACATACACATGTGCCTCTTTTTATCATTGAAGACAGCTGTGGTCATCCCATCCTACCTAGGTATTTCCTCTTGTTCACATTGCCAATAATTATAAAATACAGCTCGATTTCAGAGATGAAAATATGAAAAAATACGAAAATTTTAAAGTGCCATCAGTAACAAGCTGCAGGGAAACTGTGCTCACGGAATCATTGAAATGTGGTAGCTGTGCCTTGCCTTGCTCTTTTCTTTTCTCTTCTAACAATCTGACCTGGTGACCTCTCCTGTGAGCACACCAGGACTCCTTCACCTTCACAGCAGCACAGCACAGTGTCCATGCCACACCCGTGGTCTCCATCGTAAGAAGGCACTGTGGGAGATGCTACTCGTTGTAGTTTCACTTTGATGCTATAAGCAGTGCTGCATTCACCATGACTGTCTGTACGTGTTGTTTGCTTCTATGACTTTATTATTATTATTATTATTATTATTATTATTATTATTATTATTAGAGATGGAGTCTCACTCTGTCACCCAGGCTAGAGTGCAGTGGCACCATCTCAGCTTACTGCAGCCTCCGCCTCCTGGGTTCAAGCAGTTCTCCTGCCTCAGCCTCCCAAGTAGCTGGGACTACAGTTGCGAGCCACCATGCCCAGCTAATTTTTTGTGTTTTTAGTAGAGACAGTGTTTCGCCGTGTTGGCCAGGCTGGTCATGAACTCCTGACCTCAAGTGATCCGCCCACCTCAGCCTCCCAAAATGCTGTGATTACAGGCATGAGCTACCGTGCCCAGCCTTAGGATTATATTATTATTGTTAGAAGTAGATTTCCCAGATCAAATGGTATATTTATTTTGTTATTGTTGTTAGAGATGGGGTCTCCGCTCTGTCACCCAGGCTGGAGTGCAGTGGCGAGATCACAGCTCACTGCAGCCTCGAACTCCTGGGCTCAAGCATTCGATCCTTCTGCCTCAGCCCCCCAAGTAGCTGGGACTACAGATGTGCACCGCCACATCTAGCCAATTTTTACTTTATTTACTAAAAATGAAATCAGTATTCAAAACAATAGTGTTTTGAAACATGCTTTTCCCCACTTACAGACATTTTCAGTATTTCAAATCTCATTTTAATGAGTTTATTTCCATTTTCATTTTGTGTATATGGATAATTCGTTTATGTAGCTCAAAATTCAAGATACTTAAAAGGCATTCAGTGATGTTCCCCTCTCAGTTTTTTCTTCTCCACTCATCCATTTTGCTTCCTGAGATACAACCAGTTTTACCTTTCTTTTATATCCTTCCACAGCTATATTTATACACACCTAAGCAAGATTGCAAATATGTTCTTCTTTTCCTCACATATATACTAATAATTAGACATGTGCACTTCAATTTTCTAGAAATAATTGCTTAAATTTTCATCTAAAGAAGACAAGTTTTTATTTTTGTTTTGAGACAGAGTCTCACTCTGTCGCCCAGGCTGGAGTACAGTGGTGCTATCCCAGCTCACTGCAGCTTCCACCTCCCTGGGCTCAAGTGATCATCCCACCTCAGCCTCCCGAGTATCTGGAACTACAGGTGTGAGCCACCATACCTGGCTGATTTTTTAATTTTTTGTAGAGACGGGGTTTCACCATGTTGCCCAGGCTGGGCTCAAGTGATCCACCCTCCTTGGCTTCTCAAAGTGCTGGGACTACAGGTGTGAGCCACTGTGCCTGGCTGGTTTTTGTTTTTTTAATGAACATGTTGCAAATCACGCAGAGCACCTGTTATTCTGCATTTGCTGGGTTATAACAAACATTGTCATCTCTGCCTACATTTAAAAGGCTCTGGTGTTATTTTAATATGTCTTTTCAATTTAGTAATTAATTCTAATTTTCCTTTGAGCTGAGATGTTATTCATTGTTCTCCTAGAGTTGCTTTTATTTGTTCATATATGTTTCCCTTAGCATGTTTTTCGTATCTCTTAGTTATTAGATACCTGAACATTTGACATTGGTTTTTCTCAACTATTTGAGATGCTATGTTAAAATCTATATATTTAAAAATAATTTTGCCCAATTTATGTCTAAACTGCTCAAAATGCATCTCAGCTGCTCAGTCACTGTGGTTTCTCTTTCTCCATTAGGATGTTGTACCTCAGGCGTTGTTAGATCAGTATTTATCTATGACTGACCCTTCTCGTGCACAGACGGTTGACACTGAAATTGCTAAGCACTGTGCATATAGCCTCCCTGGTGTGGCCTTGACACTCGGAAGACAGAATTGGCACTGCCTGAGAGAGACGTATGAGACTCTGGCCTCAGACATGCAGGTGAGTAAAGCAGTTAAAGAATTAGCAGAACGTGCATGTGGAAGGCACAGTGCTTTGCTTTTTGTAACCTAAAGAATTTCTGTTCATGTTCTAGCATGTTCTTAGTGTTATAGGAAATTATGTATGGAAGAGCTTAAGAGTAATAACAGAGCATGTTCTTTTTGCAGTGTCAGAGTCCCACAATTTGGCTTCTTCATTTTTATCTAAAGCATTAGAAATTGTTATCACATTCAACATGCCTACATTCCTAACTTAAAATGTATTATTATCTAGAGTTTATATGTAAATTAATTGTTCCGAATATAGGATTTAATTTTTCACCTAGAAATAGTATTATAAATGCTTATTTGATTTGCACAGTAGATCTGAAAATATTTGTTGAAACCGTAGTAGAACTCCAGTATTACTAGCACATGTGAAGTTCTGGGCCCTGCATGCCTTGAGCATTGCAGTACAGACAGGAGAAGTTCCGTGGTTCTTGCTCTCTCCTCATCCCCACACACCACCCCCAACCCCTTTCAACAGAACACACAAGGTAAACCCTTGCTTCACGTCATTTTGTCTGGACATCTGTGACTTTTGTGTGACCTCTTCCCAGGCTTGATGACCTGACCTCCCCTGCCAGGGCTGATTTCTGTATAAACAAAGTTTGCCCCTCTTTGAACACACCTGTTCCTTCAGTGAAGTTGATCTCTCAGTTATTTAAAAAAAAAAAAAAACAGTCTGATTAGGCTAATTTGTACTGAAATGTGATGACTTTTCCTTAAACTTCTTAGTAATTGTATTTTTCAAGGAATCAGTGCTGTTGACTCAGCAAGTTATAAGTTGGAAGTAATCTTGATAGGTCAAGTTCCTCCTTTGACCTATGAGGTTAGGAAAGCTGGGCCCAGGGGAAGTGAATTTATCCTTAACCAGGACCCAGAAGAAGTGAATTTATCTGTGTTCATATACTTTTTAAGTGCTGCATCTGGTCATGGAACCACAAAGGCCCAATTTCCATAGAGTGCTTTGTCCTGTGTATTCGTGTTTTCAGTCTTTATTCTACAGAACTGTAGGGTTCCCGTGGGATGTATCTTTCGGGGCACCTGGGTGACTCTGATGGCTCAGAATCTGGATGGGCAGTTTCTTCTCTCTGCTGCCCCCCTCTTCCATCAGAACATCTCTGCCTTCATCTGTCTTATATGTTGAACTTGGGCGTAAAATTTTATTTCAAGAGTGGATTCTGGGGGGAAGGGAAAGGAAATACAGTGTTTGCTCTAAACTGTTTCTCTTTAGGTAAAATTTTAAGTTACTATGTAAAAATTTTATGATTAAGGCACCATGGAGAAAAGGATGTTTTTAACTTAAAATTATTATAAATGCAACACATTTCTGTTGAGGGTTTCTTTTCCAAGGCTGTATGCTGATTTCCCTAGTCTTATATTTCTTAAATTGCCAATTCCTTAAAAACAAATTTTATTGTTCTGTTTTGTTTTTCTTAATCCAAGGTTTGGCTGTACAGGAATCTGAAGGGGAACAGTAAACCGGGGAGGGTGCTAGAGATCCTTTGGTCCATGTGCAGCCTCAGTACGTCGGCATGTTCTAGCATGTGCTTAGTGCTACAGGAAATTATGTATGGAAGAGCTTAGGAGTAATAACAAAGCCATGTGCAGCCTCAGTACGTCGGCATGTTCTAGCATGTGCTTAGTGCTACAGGAAATTATGTATGGAAGAGCTTAGGAGTAATAACAGAGCATGTTCTTCTTGCACTGTCAGAGCCAGGGTCCAATGTTCAGAGAGCTACAAAAACTTCACGATTGCTAAGCATTTTCTCCTCATAAATGAAAGGAAGATAATACGTACTAGGCAGGGATTTAAAATGTTTCTGTTACACTTTTCGATGCATAATTTAGGCATTTAAAGTTAGTATCTGTTATTCTGATTTAATTTTTTGAGGTTAGTAACATTCATATATAAATTAGCCTTTGTATATTGCCTAATGGTTAAAGTACTGCGTACTTTGTGGTTAGCTTACTAATGTGTTTTCATTTCTGCAGTGGAAAGTTCGACGAACTCTAGCATTCTCCATCCACGAGCTTGCAGTTATTCTTGGAGATCAATTGACAGCTGCAGATCTGGTTCCAATTTTTAATGGATTTTTAAAAGACCTCGATGAAGTCAGGATAGGTGTTCTTAAACACTTGCATGATTTTCTGAAGGTAACTTTTAAATTTTTTTGCATAAAAACACAACAAAATTCTGCCGTAATCTAAATCTTTATCTTCTGCTATCACCAAGAGAGGTTTCTTTGTGTTTCTATGTAAGAAAACACAGCCATAAGTTGATGTTAAGATGCAACTTAAAAAAGAAATGGTCCCATAATTATACTCTCACTTTTAAAACAGTATTAGATGATAGTTTACAGACATTTGTATCTTTTTCTTTTTCAAAATTATTGAGTGAAATGTATGTTAAAAAAAATCATTAGCTGCAGTCATCCCTCAGTACATGCAGGAGGATTGGTTCCAGGTCCCCCATGCACACCCAAATCCATGGAGTACTCCTGTGGAACCTGCGTATAGGAAAAGTCTGCCCTCCGTGTACTCCAGTTTCACATCCGGGAATACTGTATTTTCAATCTGGTTGGGACAAACAATTCAAGTATAAGTGGACCCATGCAGTTCAAACCCCTGTTGTTGAAAGTCAACTGTGTATTAAGTTTGGAGGCTTTGTGTGGTATTTCAGGCGTCTTGAGAATTTACGTTTAGCCCTCACTACTTTGATAGAGGAGCTGTGGTCTCCAAAGTGAATAGCCCTGATTTTTTACAAATTGTTTACTCCTGGAGTACTGTTGTTGTTTTTAGACTTTAGCCTTGAAATTGACTCTGGTAATTCTAAGGCTTGAGTGATAGAAGTAATTGTAGTCCTCCCTTTTAAAAAACACTGAGGCTGGGCACAGTGGCTCACGCCTGTAATCCCAGCACTTTGGGAGGCTGAGGCGGGCAGATCACTTGAGGTCAGGAGGTTGAGACCAGCCTGGCCAACATGGTGAAACCTTGTCTTTACTAAAATACAAAAAATTAGCTGGGCGTGGTGGTAGGCACCTGTAGTCTCAGCCACTCAGGAGACTGAGGCAGGAGAATCGCTTGAGCCCAGGAGGTGGAGGTTGCAGTGAGCCAAGATCATGCCACTGCACTCCAGCTGGGGGACAGAGCAAGACTCCATCTCAAAAAAGTAAAAAACAAAAACATTGAGACCATTTTATATTTTATGTAGATCATATTCGGAGTCTCGCTCTGTCACAAGGCTGGAGTGCAGTGGCAGGATCTTGGCTCACTGCAACCTCCGCCTCCCAGGTTCAAGCAATTCTCCTGCCTCAGCCTCCTGAGTAGCTGGGACTACAGGTGCGTGCCACTAAGCCCGGCCGATTTTGTGTTTTTTTGTTTGTTTGTTTGTTTGTTTGTTTTAGTAGAGATGGGGTTTCACCGTGTTGGCCAGGATGGTCTTGATCTCCTGATCTTGTGATCCGCCCACCTTGGCCTCCCAAAGTGCTGGGATTACAGGCGTGAGCCACCATGCCTGGCCTAAAATTTTTCTGATTGTCCCAGTATTGTCCTTTATAGTTTTTCTCCGCTCAATTTTGAATCCCTTAAAGTGCATATTAAATTTAAATGTTATCTTTCTTTAGTCCTCTTAAATCTAGGTGTCACTGGCATTTTTGAGGAGTCTAAACCAGTTGTTTTACAGAATTACCCTCAATTTGAATTTACACAATTTGATTCTGAGTAAGCGGGGTTTTTTTGCAGACATGTTAACCTGTGTAGGTTGTCATGTATTTTTCTGAATGTGCCACATCAGGGCTAATGTGGTGTTGGCTCTTCCCATCATTGGTGACGAGAAGGCTGACAACTCCATTGTAAAATGACCTTTTACCTTTTGTGGTTAATAGAGAATTGGTGAGGTGATACTTTAGAACTCTGAATATCTTTTTCTCTAGAGTCCTTCACCAGTGCTCTCATATCCAGGCATCTATACATGGTTCTTACCTGAATCAGTTAACTGTGTTGGTTGTGAAAGAGTGATTTTCTATTTTCATAATTCTTTCTGTTTTTTTTTAATTAATTAACTTACTTATTTTGAGACAGGGTCTCACTCTGTTGCCCAGGCTGGAGTGTAATGATGCAATCATGGCTCACTGCAGCCTCCACCTCTCCCAGCTCAGATGATCCTCCCACTTCTGCCTCCTGAGTAGCTGGGGCCACAGGCGCACCACCACGCCCAACTGAGTTTTGTATTTTTTGTAGGGATAGGGTTTCACTATGTTGCCCACACTGGTCTTGAACTCCTGGGCTCAAGTGATCTGCCCCGCCTTAGCCTCCCAAAGTTCTGGGATTACAGATGTGAGCCACTATGCTGGGCCATTCCTTCTGTTTTTATTAAGTAACATTCCCATGTAAAAATAACCTGTGCCTTCTCTCCTTCCCCGGTTTCGAAAGTTATTTTAGTATTAGTGGGGACTCTAGGATTTTAAAAATTCAACATAATGGAATCCATTTCTGTCATTTGTTTTGAGCATCAAATTTGACTAGTGGAGACCCCTTAAAGCTGCCTCTTGTGTCCTTTGATTTGTCCTTTGATTTTTAAGTGCATCAATACTTTCAGTTTCAACTTTCCCTTTCCCTGTCCCAGCCTGGAGTCAGCTATTTCTCCAAGGAACTGTGGTCCTTTTTAGTGGAGAATGGTCCTTAGAAACTGAGATCCAGGCACTGGAAGTGCTCATTGCTCCTGGCCTGTCATTTCTTTTAGGTCTTTTCAGGAGATAGTAGCTAGGAGGTGTAGATAGTAGCTAGGAGGTGTGATGCTTTTTTTTTTAATTAAATTACTAACTTCATATTGTTATGAACTGCTTCCAATTCAATACCGTTTTCTCTCTTCACTTTATATATTTTTTTCTTTTTACTCCTGGTAAAAAGTCTGTTCTTAGTAACATTAATGTGTAATATTTAGTTGTGGCTGGGCACAGTGGCTCACACCTGTAATCCCAGCACTTTGGGAGGCCAAGGCGAGCGGATCACCTGAGGTCAGGAGATCGAGACCATCCTGGCTAACACGGTGAATCCCCGTCTCTACTAAAGATACAAAAAATTAGCCGGGCGTGGTGGCATGCGCCTGTAGTCCCAGCTACTCGGGAGGCTGAGGCAGGAGAATCGCTTGAACCTGGGAGGTGGAGGTTGCAGTGAGCCGAGATCCCGCCACTGCACTCCAGCCTGGACCACAGAGTGAGACACTGTCTCAAAAAAAAAAAAAAAAAATTAGTTGTTTGCTGAGTTCCACAACATAAATGAAATAGTTTCAGAATTACTCCACCAATAATAATTCCCACATCAAATCAACTACATAATATTCAGGACTTCCTAGCACATTCTGTCCTTAGAACGTCCCTTGAAGATGTATGGTCAAAGTAGTCAGTTCACACTTTGGCTTTTTTCCCTGTGTGATTGTTTTCCATCTGATGCACAGTTAGGTTGGTTTGCTTCCGTTTATAAACTTACCTTTAAATATTTATAGAGCAGCTATTGGGATACATTTATTTTTTTTCTCTCAACAAATACTGAATGCCTACTCTGTGCTGTCACAGCGTCACACGCAGGGCTTACACACGTGGTTAAGAGCATAATTACTGCCTTAAGCGGGGCCATGGCAACAAGGATGTCATATGAATAAAGGGGGCAAGCCCTGTAATCAGGCTGTGCCCGGGGTACTGTGGGGTTTAGCGTGGCTCATTGATAGGCACAAGGAACAAAGATTTCCAGACAAGATGGTGATTCCTGAAGGCAAATGGAATTATTCAGGGAAAAATAAACTTAATACCAAATTTTAAAACACTTAAATACAGCTACTACATTTCCTCTTCAGAAGAATTAACCATATTGCTTACAGTCTGTTTTTAAGCACTCTAGTAAAAGAAATACTGTCTGTACCTTGTCCTGGTAAATATTTTTATTTTGTTACTTTAGCTTCTTCATATTGACAAAAGAAGAGAATATCTTTATCAACTTCAGGAGTTTTTGGTGACAGATAATAGTAGAAATTGGCGGTTTCGAGCTGAACTGGCTGAGTAAGTTCTAACAGTTTATTAGATTATGTTTTGGAGGGGTATATATTTACTTCATTTTTACATTTTCTCAGTTTCTTCATTACTTTGTGTAGATCCAAGTTTCTATGTGGTATTCTAGCCCTTTAACGCTTCCTGTAATATGTGTCTTACTGTCAGTGAATTTCCTCAGCTTTTTTATTTTTTCTTGAAAATGTCTTTAGTTCATCTTTATATTATTTTTATCATGGTGAAATACACATAGCCAAATTTGCTGTTGATGACATTTAGTCCATTCACAGTGTTGTGGAACCATTCCCTCTATCTAGTTCTGAAATGTTAACCTCCCGAAAAGAAAAACCCATGCCCAATAAGCATCTACTATCTATGGATTTGCCTGTTGCGGACATTTCATGCAAGTGGAGTCATATAACACATGGCCTTTTGTGCTTGGTTTCTTCATTTAACAATGTTTTCAGTTGTCCTCCATATTGTATCCTCTAGCTGAACCTGCCTTCCTTTTTGTGGTTGAGTAATATTCCATTGTATGGATATACCACATTCGTTTAGGGCATTCATCTGTTGAGGAACATTTGGGTTGGGGGTGTGGTCTTTTGTGAATAGTGCTGCTAGGAACGTTTATGTACAAGATTTAATATTTGAAATCTGTTTTCAGTTCTTTTGAGGTGAATTTGCAAGGCCATATGGTAATTCTGTGTTTAATTTCTTGAGGAACTGCCAAAACTTTTCCACAACAGCTATACCATTTTACATTCCCATCAGCAATGTATGGGAGTTCCAGTTTCTCTGTCTCCTCACTAACACCTATTTTTCTACTAAATTTTAAAAATATTTCTAAATTGGCCAAATAATAATTGTGCATATTTGTGAGGTATGTAATGATGTTGCAATACGTATCGGATAGTGGTCAGATAAGGGCAGTTAGCATATCCATCACTCGCTTATCATTTACAGCTGTTCTGATGGGCTTGGAACAGCACTTCATTGTGGTATGATTTGCATTTCCCTAATGACTAATGATGTTGAACACTTTTCCATAAGCCTGTCAACCATTTGTGTATATTTTGTGGAGAAATGTCTATCCAAGTCTGTTGCACATTTTTAAATTGGATTATCTTAAGTTGTGTTGTTGAGTTGTAAGAGTTCTTTATATATTCTGGATTATAGACCTCACCTGCATTTTCAAATGATGTCTTTGCTGAGTATGGAATGTGGGGCTGACAGTTTGTCTTTCAGTATATTAAAGATGCCACTCCATTGAGTTCTGGCTTGCCCACTTCTGACTCAAAACACACGCCTCCTCTTCTGCCATATAGTGCCGGGGTGTGAGTCCATCTAGTCAGGGTCAAGCTGGGTTTGCGTTTTGTGATTGCTGTGGTTACGTTCAGTGTACTTGGGGCTTCAGTTTTTCTCGCTGTGGGCTGCCACTACCATTGTCGTTTGCTGAGGGTGGCAGCTGGGGTACCAGTGGTCTTCTAGTGTGAGTATTCCACCCGGCGTTTAGCGGTACCTGCACCCCTGCGTAATGGGTGGGACCTCCTATCTGTGCTTGGTCTCGGGCAGGACTTCCTACAGCTCCTCCTGGAATAAGGAGCATTAGTTCTCCTCTCCCACAGTTGCAGTATTTTTGCTGGGCCCACAGGGTGGACAGGCTTTGGGGCCCCTCCACCAGCAGGTTAAGCCTTTTGCTTTGCACGAGAAAAGGGCCCAGCAGAGTGCTTGATGATTCATGGCTGTCAGTCAGTTGCTTCTGCCTGCTATGAGACATCTCTCCTGTTTTTCCTGACCATCTTTCTTGAAGCACCCATGGGAGGCAGGTACCCTGTGGAAGTCAGAAGGTTGTCTGGGAATGTGAGCTCCCTGTGTCGGGCACATCTGGCTTTGTTTGAGCCACCCCATGCTCCTGCCAGCCACCATCTGGCCCTGGGCAGCTGACTGCAATTCGAGCTGATTTCTCCCTGCCCTGTTAGGTGCTAGCAGGTGTCCTGTCCATCCGGGCTCTGCTGAGGGGCAGTTCTCTTTCCCATCTTGGGAAGTTAGGTTGTTTGTGTGCTTTGCAACCCCAGCTCTCTGATGGGCTCAAGAAAAGATCTTGAAGTTTATGTAGCTTTTTCTACTGTAGGGTCAGTGACGTTCTTTGCAGTTTTCTGTATTCTAAGCAGAAACTGGTCCTATTTGGAATTTTTATTTTGAATTTTGTCAGAAAATAAGTGTGTCTCTTTGAGGATGCATATTTGTATACACAGGTGCATTTATCATTGCTGCATAATCTATATTCATGTTACAGTTGACTTTCTGCTTATTAGAAATGTAAATCCTCTTGAACATAAAATCTGAAAGGCAAAAGTCTCACATCCAAGGTATTTCTTCAAGGCCATCATTGAAGCTTTCAGGTTAGCTTGGTAGATGTCATGAAAGTCTCAGGGCCCCTCAGATGTGATGGGAAGGTTGCTGGAGGACACCCTCCCTCTGTTATCCCTAGCAAATCCCTTCCAGGAAGGCTCCTCAGAGCCTCGACAGGTACACAGTGGACTCCCTCCCTCTGCGGGGACTTCTTACTGAGAAACTTGATTGTAGATGGAAGCTTCTCAGCACATTCCAAACTGTGACCATGGATCAGTGTGGGCCATGTTCCAGTTGAACATACTAGGAAGTGCTTTGCTCTGTCTCAGTCCCCATGGATGCAGAACTCTACAGCTTTTGTTTTCCTTACACTCTAAGGAACTTGAATAGCATGTAAGTGCATTTCCAGATACACAGAGACTGGAGGTAACTGTACAGGAGAGGTCTGCTTAATCACTCCTCTTTGCGTATGTTTGAGACAGGTGCTCAGTAATCCAGTATTACAGATGATTTAAATGGGTAACCTATTTTCATTTGTCTCGCTGATTTTTAAACATTGTCTTTTTGTAATTCCTTTTTGTAGACAGCTGATTTTACTTCTAGAGTTATATAGTCCCAGAGATGTTTATGACTATTTACGTCCCATTGCTCTGAATCTGTGTGCAGACAAAGTTTCTTCTGTTCGTTGGATTTCCTACAAGTTGGTATGTATTGAACTTTTAAAATTTTAGATCAGCAAACTCTAAGATCCTAGAATGGAAGCTGTTCCTCATTTCTCCATGCTCACCCTCCCAGGTCAGCGAGATGGTGAAGAAGCTGCACGCGGCAACACCACCAACGTTCGGAGTGGACCTCATCAATGAGCTTGTGGAGAACTTTGGCAGATGTCCCAAGTGGTCTGGTCGGCAAGCCTTTGTCTTTGTCTGCCAGGTAAGCGAGGCCCTGGGCTTACCTGTTTGTGAGTTTTTCTCCTAGAAGAATGTCTTCTTTAACTTCCTACCTCTCTCTCACCCTCTTCCTTACTCTTAAGGAACAGAACCTTATAGTAGCCTGGCTGTTTATAGGATCATCTGCCCCCATTGTTGGGCATCTGGTGGCCCCTCTCTCCCAGCTAGCCAAGCCCCTCCTTACACTGGCATGCACCACACACACCCCACGTGCCTGCTGTATGTGCTTGTTCCACACCACATGCCTGGTATGTGCGTGTTCTGCTCTGCACACATTCAGACGTGTGTATATGTACATTTCACAGTGCACATACATGCATGTTCCTCACTGTTCCTCACTGCATATTACACAGGCATACATACATGTACCCCACCACACACATACTGTGCACACATATACCATACCACGGTTCCCACTAGAGGGTGCTCATGTCTGGGACCCAGAGCGCAGGTGTGAAAATGAAACACCTGTGAATGAACACTCTAGGTCTCCGTAGAGCAGTTTAAAAACTGTGTCTGTCCGTGTGGGCAGTTAATTATGTAATTTTTGATTTGAGTTCCCAAGTACGTGGAATTTTGGTTAAAAAGCAATAACTAAAATTTGTACCTGTGGTCACTCAGAGATTTTGTTAGCCAGTAGTCGAGTTTTTGGCTACATTGACAGAGAAGCCTAGAGCAGCTGTTTCTCTTCCCCAGACTGTCATTGAGGATGACTGCCTTCCCATGGACCAGTTTGCTGTGCATCTCATGCCGCATCTGCTAACCTTAGCAAATGACAGGGTTCCTAACGTGCGAGTGCTGCTTGCAAAGACATTAAGACAAACTCTACTAGAAAAAGGTAGGTAGTGACTCCACTAGAAGAAGCGTGTGAGTAGAGAAGGAGGTCTGTGGACTGCACTGGATCAGCAGATATCAAAGCAGAAGTATTGTCTGCTCAGAGAAAATAATCTGGTGGAAGGAAATACTTTAGTTGTTCCGGTGATTCTCCCAAGAGGGCATGGAAGATGAAAGGGATTTTTTAATTAGCCCTCTACTGTTCTAGTTGGAGTTTATTTATCGGAAGCATGTATCATTTTTATCATTTAAAACTTAGGTTTTTTTGTTTGCTTGATATTTTGAGACGGAGTCTCGCCCTGTCACCCAGGCTGGAGTGCAATGGTGCGATCTCAGCTCACTGTAACCTCTGCCTTCCGGGTTCAAGCAATTCTTCTGCCTCAGCCTCCCCAGTAGCTGGGATTACAGGTGCCCGCCACCACGCCCAGCTAATTTTTTGTATTTTTAGTAGAGATGGGGTTTCACCATGTTGGCCAGGCCGGTCTCGAACTCCTGACCTCATGTGATCTGCCTGCCTCAGCCTCCCAAAGTGCTGGGATTACAGGCATGACCCACCGTGCCTGACCTAAAACTTAGTTTTTAAACTTGGGTGTTGTTTTTATGTACAAACCATTGCCTGGCAGCGTGCCACTTGCAATCTGCAGTATGGGGGCTGGTACCTACCTATGTTTGCTCTCCCTTCTGCTTTCTCTTCATTAGGCAAGAGACAGATGCCCCATAGTATTTGTTTTGTTGGAAATTATAATCTCTTCAAGATTAAAGGTGGTTTATTTATTTTAATCGACCCCCCCGCCGCCTGCCGCCCAAAACACCTCATAAATATAGTTGCACGGATGAATGAAGCACAGAAAGAAGTTTGTAGTAGATGTCAAAGAATAAGGATAAATGAATATTTTTTTTTCTCCTTTTTTTTTTTTTGTAGTTGGTGTTTGGAAGCATTTTTCTTTCACTGCTACTTAATGGCTAAGAAGTGTGATGTTTTCATCTATTTATTAATTTAATATTCCTTAGCTGTCATTGAATATCATGAGATTTAGTCTTATAAAAACAAGATAAATCTCATAACTCTTTTTATTCTGGCACTTTTTCTTCCTATAACAAATCAGTTTGGATTACTGTTTATGTTTCAGTGTGGCTTGTTTGTACTTGTAGAAATACCCAGTTTAACTGTTTACACTCGTACTTGACGGAACTCTGAAGTGTTCCGTTGGACTGGTTTCATCTGTCCTATGCACATGTCATTTCCAGACTATTTCTTGGCCTCTGCCAGCTGCCACCAGGAGGCTGTGGAGCAGACCATCATGGCTCTTCAGATGGACCGTGACAGCGATGTCAAGTATTTTGCAAGCATCCACCCTGCCAGTACCAAAATCTCCGAAGATGCCATGAGCACAGCGTCCTCAACCTACTAGAAGGCTTGAATCTCGGTGTCTTTCCTGCTTCCATGAGAGCCGAGGTTCAGTGGGCATTCGCCACGCATGTGACCTGGGATAGCTTTCGGGGGAGGAGAGACCTTCCTCTCCTGCGGACTTCATTGCAGGTGCAAGTTGCCTACACCCAATACCAGGGATTTCAAGAGTCAAGAGAAAGTACAGTAAACACTATTATCTTATCTTGACTTTAAGGGGAAATAATTTCTCAGAGGATTATAATTGTCACCGAAGCCTTAAATCCTTCTGTCTTCCTGACTGAATGAAACTTGAATTGGCAGAGCATTTTCCTTATGGAAGGGATGAGATTCCCAGAGACCTGCATTGCTTTCTCCTGGTTTTATTTAACAATCGACAAATGAAATTCTTACAGCCTGAAGGCAGACGTGTGCCCAGATGTGAAAGAGACCTTCAGTATCAGCCCTAACTCTTCTCTCCCAGGAAGGACTTGCTGGGCTCTGTGGCCAGCTGTCCAGCCCAGCCCTGTGTGTGAATCGTTTGTGACGTGTGCAAATGGGAAAGGAGGGGTTTTTACATCTCCTAAAGGACCTGATGCCAACACAAGTAGGATTGACTTAAACTCTTAAGCGCAGCATATTGCTGTACACATTTACAGAATGGTTGCTGAGTGTCTGTGTCTGATTTTTTCATGCTGGTCATGACCTGAAGGAAATTTATTAGACGTATAATGTATGTCTGGTGTTTTTAACTTGATCATGATCAGCTCTGAGGTGCAACTTCTTCACATACTGTACATACCTGTGACCACTCTTGGGAGTGCTGCAGTCTTTAATCATGCTGTTTAAACTGTTGTGGCACAAGTTCTCTTGTCCAAATAAAATTTATTAATAAGATCTATAGAGAGAGATATATACACTTTTGATTGTTTTCTAGATGTCTACCAATAAATGCAATTTGTGACCTGTATTAATGATTTAAAGTGGGGAAACTAGATTAAAATATTTGTCTTTTAACTAGTTTATTAGTTTCTCTGGAATCTGCCTGTGTCCCTGGGTTTGGGTTTTGCTCTTGGCAGCAGCAGGTGCCTCTTGGGTGCTCCTCCTGCTCCTGCCTGCAGCCCTAAGAGCAGGTGGGTGCCGAGTGTCTGGCACAGCTTGGATGCCGCCCACTGAAGACAGCAGAGGGGGGTTGTCTTGAAGCTCCCGAGACACAGTCAAGCATCTCTGAGCCTCGATGTCTTCGTCAGTAAAATGGGAATTAGTAAAACCTGCCCTGTTTCTCACAGGGTTGTTTTGCAGGCAAATGAGTTCCTGTGTGAAGGTGCTTTTGTAAAGTGCTGCGTGTATAAATGTTTGATGTTCCTGTAAGCCTGGTTTGAAAACCTTGGCCTGTCGGAGTCCCCTGGTGCTTCTGTGAGTTTTGGTTTTATTTAGTTAGCCAGCAGGGACTCCTCAGTAAGTCAAAATAAGTTCCTTTGAACTTCAGTGTGGGATTTGAGAATAGGTGGGCTGCTTCCTGTCTACACTATTACAAATAAGCCTTTGGCTGCTGCTTCTCGCATTATAACCCAGATATTTACACACTGCAAATATAAGTGTAAACAGATTCCACTGGGAAGGATGTTCAAATGAATAGATAAATGCATAGGTAATATGTGAAGTGGGTAATGGGAGTGGGGCTGGGGAGTAGCCGTGGAGGGTGTGGGGTGGTCTCCGAAGGCCTCTGAAAGCAGCATCAGCAGAGATCGGAGGAGGACCTGGCCGCTTGATTTAGCCTCGTGTGTGAGCTGCAGATTGTCTGCTATTATCATATATTTTTGGCCCCCAGTATTTCAGTTCTGAAAATTGCATTAGAATCATACACTAGTAGCATTTTTTTAAAGCAGTGGCTATGCTAACATGGTGTATTTGGGGGTAAAGAACTTGAATTTGGCTGGGCACAGTGGCTCACGCCTGTAATCCCAGCACTTTGGGAGGCCGAGGCGGGCGGATCACGAGATCAGGAGATCGAGACCATCCTGGCTAACACGGCGAAACCCCATCTCTACTGAAAAAATACAAAGAAATTAGCCAGGCGTGGTGGCGGGCGCCTGTAGTCCCAGCTGCTCGGAGGCTGAGGCAGGAGAATGGTGTGAACCCGGGAGGTGGAGCTTGCAGTGAGCCGAGATGATGGCGTCACTGCACTCCAGCCTGGGCGACGGAGCGAGAGTCCGTCTCAAAAAATAAATAAATAAAAGAACTTGAATTTAAGTTGCGCTATAGCGCTTGTAAAGTTAAAAATGCACAAGCCAATTCCCACTGCAGCCTTCGCACAGCCTGTCCTACCAAGACTACACAGCACTGTAAAATACCTCAATGGCAATGAATACAAAAGACACCTGCATTGACAGCTTTCACATCCTACCATCAAGGCACTCCCAGTGTGAAGACTTTCTAATGGAATTCAGAATAAGATTGGAGTGTTACCCATTTCATTTCAACTCTTAGTAGTTGCCAATGATGCCTTCTGTAGCGGCTCTGAAGAAGGCGAGGTGAGGTAGGCATGTTCTTGGCAGCAGGAGTCAACCTGTATGCGACAGGTGTCCTGGGTCCTGTCTCACGTGTGGCCTCCACTTACACAGGATCTCCTAAGGGAGGAAGCTGGGATTCCAAAGGCAGTATAAAGCCAAGCACATGTGGACAGTCCCCCACGAGATGAAAGTGGAAACAGCAAACCAACTAGTATTCACAACTTCTCCTTTCATAATATAAAAATGAGTAAGATGGTAAGCTGTCTTTGAGGGTATTTAATATTGGGTGGCTAATCTTAGACGATATTCTTTGATATCGTAGGACTTGTGAGTGACGAAGGATGAAGAGGAAAGCCTTACTTTCTGGAATAGCTTCTTAGTCACTGCCTAAAGTTCATTCTCTGCTCGCCCCCAATCTCCCCAGCAGGCCCTTCCACGTGGGGGTGTAGTTGACATGGGGCCCCACTTTCTGCCCGGCCTGGCTTGATCTGGGGTCACAGCACTCATGAGCTCTGCTGTCCCTCGCCTCTTGGGAGAAGCGTGCTTGCGAGCTTGTGACAGATGGAAGCTCAGTAGTGAGTTCCTCCATCCTTCCCTGATTTCTCCCAATCTCCAGGGAACAGACTTGCTGCTGGGCTGTTGGAGGGCTGGCTCGAGGAGTAGCTACATTTTTGGTCTTGGAGATAGTTCTGCGATGCTTTCTAGAACTCTCTTAACTCCAAGTTGGCAAGTGTTGAGTCACTGAGAAAGCTGCCATGCCAGCATCCTGAGACCCTCTTGTGATACAGCTGCCTGGGTGATTCTTCAGCCTCGGGGCGGGCGTGGCATTGGTTCTTCTCAGAGGGGAAGGAAGGTGTTCTCTCCACCCCCTGGAGTTCAGTAATTGAGTCTGAAATAAACTGACAGTAGGCAGGTTAACAGAAGAGCTTAGATGAATTTTTCACGTGCATGGGAGCATCACACTGAAGAGCCGATACCTCCAAACCCAGTGAGATGGAGAAGCTTCTGTACTCCCTCACAGGGGACAGGGAAGGGGATGGGGGCAACTTAGGGGAGGGTAAATGAACTTAGCCCTCGGAAGAACAGGTGACACCGCAACAGAGTATCCAGGTGTGACGTGTGAGCCTTCGGTTCCCTGGTGGATGAGGTTCCCCCGGGAGGGGTTCATGGCAGTTGAGGTCCTTCTGGAGGATCTGTCTTTGGGCATATGAAGATGTCCAGAGAAAGCCCCTCCCAGCATTTGCCATTCCACAACTCCCCTCAGTTCAGTGCAGCATAGATTGAGGTGGCATTTCCTGAACTCCTTTGCTGTCATACCTGGTTTGTTCAGGTCCCATGTTTGTTGTTATAGGGGTGACTTATTTCTGGGGGAGCTGGTGCCAAAACACCAGCTGTGCTTAGTGTGGGGAGGAAGGGCCAGGCAGGTGCTTGGTGGGCAGCACAGGGCAGGCAGGGGCTTCGGGGAGGGCAGCAAGGCTGTAAACTGCCTTCAGGAACTGGGACATGTTTCTGTGGAGGGTTCCAGAAGGAGATGAAAAGCAATGAGCCAGCAAGAGGGAAAGTCCCAGCAACTCAAAGCCAAGCAAATGGCCTCTTTTTTTTTTTTTGGGACAGAGTCTCGCTCTGTCGCCCAGGCTGGAGTGCAGTGGCGAGATCTCGGCTCACTGCAGGCTCCGCCTCCCGGGTTCACTCCATTCTCCTGCCTCAGCCTCCCGAGTAGCTGGGACTGCAGGCGCCCGCCACCACGCCCGGCTAATTTTCTGTATTTTTTTTTAGTAGAGACGGGGTTTCACCGTGTTAGCCAGGATGGTCTCGATCTCCTGACTTTGTGATCCGCCCACCTCGGCCTCCCAAAGTGCTGGGATTACAGGCGTGAGCCACCGTGCCCCGCCGCAAATGGCATCTTTAATCCTCTGACTCAAACGAGAGAAGAAACAACTGAGTCTGGAAATAAATGTGTAAAAAATGGTGTATGTTGCTGTGTTTTCTGATTCCTGCCTCAAGCCTTTCCAAGCTGGATGTGGACCTGCAAAAACAGGGCCCCAGGGGGGGATGGCAGGGTCCAGGGAGGGTGCAGGCCTTTCCTGCACGTGTGTGCATGTGGGGTGCATGTGTGTAGTGTGCACACGTGTTCATGTGTGGTGGGGGGCGTGGTGTGGAGTGCATGTGTGTGGAGTGTGTTCGTGTGCAGTGTGGGGGGGTGGTGTGTTATGTGTGGAGTGCCTGTGTGTAGAGTGTGTGGTGTGTGTGGGGGTGGTTTTTAAGTGACCTGGAGGGCTCAGGGCCTAGGGAGTGAATGTGTCTTTTTCTCACTAGAAAACCAGTTCCTGGTGTAGGTGAGGGTGGGAGGGAAGCCCAGCTCTCACTTTCCTCTACCAGAAATTCCAAAATGGAGGTAATTTTGTGATCTGAATATGGCAGTTTTGACCATGAGAATATTTTGACTAAACAAAAATTCCAACCATAAATTTTTATGAAAGGTATTTTGTGCAGTGAGCTCTACTAAGCCAGTTTAATTCTTTATCCATTTTCTATAGGGATTTAATAACTAACTATGTGTGTGTGTGCGTTTTGAGACATATAGTCTCACTCTGTTGCCCAGGCTGGAGTGCAGTAGTGCGATCTCAGCTCACTGCGACCTCTGCCGCCTGGGTTCATGCAACTCCTGCCTCAGCCTCCTGAGTAGCTGGGATTACAGGTGCCTGCCACTACGCCTGGCTAATTTGTGTGTGTGTGTGTGTGTGTGTGTGTATTTTTTTTTTAAATTTTTTTAGTAGAGACAGGGTTTCTGACCTTAGGTGATCCGCCTGCCTTGGTGTCCCAAAGTCCTGGGATTACAGGTGTGAGACACCACAGCCGGCCAACAGTTTTAGTTTTATCTTATAGAAATTATTTTCGTTAAGAATTCTTTTTCTGGCCGGGCGCAGTGGCTCACGCCTGTAATCCCAGCACTTTGTGAGGCCGAGGCGGGCGGATCACGAGGTCAGGAGATTGAGATCATCCTGGCTAACACGGTGAAACCCCGTCTCTACTAAAAAATACAAAAACAATTAGCCGGGCGTGGTGGCAGTCACCTGTAGTCCCAGCTACGCGGGAGGCTGTGGCAGGAGAATGGCGTGAACCTGGGAGGCGGAGCTTGCAGTGAGCTGAGATCGAGATCGCGCCACTGCACTCCAGCCTGGGGGACAGAGCGAGACTCCGTCTCAAAAAAATAGTTCTTTAATTCTTTTCCTAGAAAACTTGACAAATGATCAATAATCCACTTTCAGTCCATGTGATGTTTTGCAGCATGGCTATGAGTTTAATTTCTACCATGTCTTTCTTTTAGGGCAAATTTTGCTGATTTAGAGTTGACAAGATTACTTGCAGTTTTTAGTAATTTTACCATGATTATTTCACCCCATCTGCTTTTTAGTGTTAATATTACCAATAATTGTTGCTAGTTGGATACAAGACAGCTACTGAGTAGTATTTTCAGTAGTTCCATGGGAAGAGCCACCACCTCGCCAGAGGCTCCTGAGCCGCGTTTGGGTGCGGGCCCACATTGTCCTGCTGTTCCCAATCCCCAGGAGATGCCCGGCCGTGGACAGGAGAGCGCAAGCTGGTCCTCCAGCACCGTGAGGAATTCAGCGTGGACAAGAGGAAGTTCCGCAGGGAACATCCCACAGGCAGATGCTGAGGGGAGGGAGAGGGAGCCAGGAGGGCATCCACAAGGAAAGGGGAGCCCTAGCAAGCTCAGGCTAGAATAGGGGCTTGTCCCACTGGCTGGGCAAAAGGCCAAGGGATAACAGGGGTGGACACTGTAAGACTGCTGGCCCACCTTCCTGGATGGTCATTTACTGAGATTTTCCTGGTTTTTCTGTTGTAGCTTTTAAGTATCTAGTGAAATGTTGTTGGACATTTAGAAAGTTTCCTTTTTTTTTTTTTTTTTTGAGATGGAGTCTCACTCTGTTGCCCAGGTGGGAGTGCAGAGGCACAATCTCGGCTCACTGCAACCTCTGCCTCCCGGGTTCAATCAATTCTCCTGCCTCAGCCTCCTGAGTAGCTAGGATTAGAGGTGCACGGTGCCGCGCCTGGCTAATTAATTTTTGTATTTTCAGTAGAGACAGGGTTTCACCATGTTGGCCAGGTTGGTCTCGATCTCTGGACCTCGTGATCCACCCGCCTCAGCCTCCCATAAGTGCTGGGATTACAGGCATGAGCCACCGCACCCGGCCTGGTGCCTGTTTTCCAAAAGTTAACATGTGGCTAAGTCACCTGGGGACTTGGTTCAAATGCAGATTCAGATTCCATAGGTCTGGGGTGGGGCCAAGAGACCTGGCCTTCCTGAGACTGAAGCCATAATGCAGTCTGTTGGTGTAGGATTTTATCTTTGCCACGTTAAACTCTTTGCATAATTTTGATATCTTAACCCACAATGATCAGAGATTTTAAACATTTAATATTTATATTTTACTTCCTTGGCTGCAAATCAGCACTTCCAAACTCTACATGTCAAAGCCCACATGACCACTAGTGGTCGTCATGGCTTGTGGTGGTCACGGCTTGTGGGGGTCACAGCTTGTGGCTGTAGTGGCTGCTGCGGCATCACTGCCACCCTGGGGGCAGCCAGGGTCAGTCATGGACAGGGCACAGCTGCCCCAGACCCATCCGCTTGGCTCAGTCTTTTACTAGCAAGCCGTGTCCCTTTGCGAGTGGTAGGTGGCCTGCAGGGATCAGTAGGAGGCTGTACGCTTGATTGGTGAATCTCCCCACAATTTTAATTTGAGGCAAAGAGCCAAACCTTGTCAATGCTGAGTCCTTCCTTCCCCTCCCCAGCTGGACCTACTCGATCCCTTCAGTTTCTTGGATTCTGCCCGACATTCACCTGCTTTGGGTGTTCTGTTTCCCTCAAATAACAAGGACTCCTTATCTGTGCAGCACTCAAGATCACAGTCACCTTTCACAGCGTGGACAGAGTTCACGAGTCAAAATACAGGACACTCAATTCAACTGCAGTTGCGTGGGACATACTTACAGTTACACTAAGAAAACATCCATCGTTGATCTGAAATTCTGATGTAAGGGAGAGTCCTGTACCTTCCATGGCCTCCCTACAGCAAGGTCAGCCTAAGTGGGCAGGTGTGAGCCTGCCGAGCTCTCCACCATGGCTCCCTCTTCAGGGAGTTCCTTCCTGGCCTCGCCAGCCTGTGGTGCAGTATGCGTGAGGCAGAACTCAACCCTCCTCATTCGAGAGAACTTCCCATTCCTTCTCTCCGACTGCTCTCTGTCATTGGAACAGTCTTAACAGTAGTGAGATGATATGAGGGTTTTTATCCCCACATGAGAAACTCAAGAACTGCTGGTGTGACCCTTTTCAGAAGGCTAGAGCTGCCCTTCCAAAGGGGAGCTTCTTGCTCTAATTGTAGCTGCAGCGTTCAGCATCGCCTTCTGGTACCCAGGCTCTGGCCCCACAGGCAGGGGCCCCGCTGGCACCTCCATATCAGACACAGATCACGCCTGCTTTCCCTCCCAGATGCAGCAATTTTGATCCCGCAGGAACCTCTGAGCCCAGGGTACCCCCACAAACGCTTCATTCCCTCAGTCTCAGGGATGTGCGCGACAGTGGGGGCAATAGTGACCCATGCAGGCCATGTCACTGCTCTGAGCCTCAGTCTCCCGTCTGTAAAATGGTAGGCAGGCAGTCGGGCCACAGCTTATTCTGTAGCTGAGCCTTGAGGCTGAGAAATGAAACCTGCATCTTAAAGAATGCTACGTTCTTTCTTCCCCGACTCATCTCTGCACTATAAAGTTTAATGTTAATAACATGATGACTAAGTCACGGATCATGTCCTGTAGGGAAAATGAATTGGAGTATGACGCCAAAAGCCCTATGCCAGGTACTTACTAGCCATTATTTATCTAAGCAGCCTTTGGAAATCAAGATTATCTCCACCATTTTGCCAATGAAAAAACTGAAGTTCAACAAGACTGCTTTTGAAGGTTATGAAGAAAACCCAGACTTTCCTGCCTACACTGGGTGCGGTGGCTCAAGCCTATAATCCCAGCACTTTGGGAGGCCGAGGTGGGTGGATTGCCTGAGCTCAGGAGTTCAAGACCAGCCTGAGCAATACGGTAAAACCCCGTCTCTACTAAAATACAAAAAATTAGCCAGGCATGGTAGTGGTGTGCACCTGTAGTCCCAGCTACTTGGGAGGCTGAGGCAGGAGAATTGCTTGAACTGGGAGGCAGAGGTTGCAGTGAGCTGAGATCACACCACTGCACTCCAACCTGGGCAACAGAGTGAGACTCTGTCTCCAAAAACAAACAAATAAAAAAAGCCTTTCCTGCCTAAAGTCCACGTTCCTTCCAGTACCCGCACTGTTTGTCTAGAAGCCAGTTTCTAGCACGAGACCCGGGAACAGCTCAGCACGATGTCCGGTCACAGCACTTGACACTTGAGCTAGGCGGTGGGAGCAGAGGTCGGATGTCCGAGATCTGCTGGGGCTGAACTGAACACCTGTTGAATCATGCTTGTCTAGTAACAGCAAAGTCACCAGAATGCAGAGAATGAGCATCCATCACTTTGCAGGTTCGGAGGACCCGGCATGTGACGGGCAGCAGTACTCTTCCTGCTCTGCAAAAGAGCCCCTACATGTGGCATTTAAGGGCTTTCTGCCCCCTCCTCTGCCCAGGCTTGCTATCACGTCTCCTGGGTCTCCTGGGATCTAGTCTAGAACATTCCAGGGGGCACTGCCCACCTTCCCTAAAAGCTGTGGGATCTTATGCTGAAGCCTCTGCCTGCTAATTGACTCCGGCTTTTCCTTCTATCCCTCATGAGAACCATGGGCCAGGGCTGAGGCTGAACACATGGAATTGGGCACGGGTCCCCATCGAGAGCTCCAGAAAGCCCAGGCTGCATCTTGCTCAGCCTGGCTGGACGCAGAAGGTGTGTTTGTTCTTAAGATATCCTAATACATAACAAGCAATGTGCTCTTCACAGAAACAGCTGCAGTGAAAAAAAAAAAAGATCACACAGCACTAGAGCCCATCTTGGGAGGTGACCTCAGGTCTCACACCTCAGTATCTCCAGATCCCCAATGCTAAATGTACCCCATCAGGGCGTTTGAGACTTTCCATCAAGGAGAATTTAGCTATATAAATTTAACATTATAGATTTAACTACACAAAACAGAGAAGTCAGCTGTTTGTCTAAGCTTTCAATGACAGATATTTTAATTGTGGAATTTTTAAAGCAAACAAAGCAATGGAAACTTCATTTTTATTCTAGACCAGTCTATCCCAGACATGCTGATTATGGTTGGCTGTGCTGAGTCCTCATTTACCGTATGAAATGCAAATGTCTGTCAATTGCAATGCCTGGGGCCAAGCCAGGCCAGTGGACTTGTGTGCAGTTCCCACCGGAGCCAGGAGCTGCTCAGACAGCAGACCCAGCCCAGTCCACTGGGTTTTGCAAACACAGGCTCCCTCTGCAGCAGCATGGGCTTGTGGAAGGGAGGCATGCCGCCGCCAGCATGCATGCCAGGGGTCCGGGGTTCTCCCCGTGTCTGCAGAGGTGAGGGGTACAAAGTGAGCTGGAAACAAAACACTGTGTTCCCCCTTGGCCTTGAAGAAGTGCCTCAACCAACTCCTCGCCAGCTGCAGAGTACTCAATCTCCTCACAGAAAGAATGTGTACAAAAAAACTAGAAGCTTTTCTTTTTCCCAAATGGCTGTTGAATTTATTTGCTTGATCAATAATGGTCCTGGCAAAAATTAGTTAACCAATGCTGAGACATTTGTAATGAAATACTAATTTTAAAAATCCATGACACCTTGATAGAAATTAGAGTTTACACAAACAAAAAAGGAACCTTCGATATTGCCAGCAGCTATAAAGTGAACGTACTGAGACCGACAGGACAGCAAGAAGGCATTTGCACATTTATATCTGACACCCGACCATACTTTCAGTCACCAGAATATCTTCTCTCCAGATTTAAAAAAATAGTATGCTGATTTCTATAACAAAGCTTTTTTTCGTACAAAAATCAAATAATGGCCAACGAGTCACAACAGTGCAATAGGTAGAGGATTAAAAACTGCATCAAACAGGTGCTGAAAATAAATACTACCTAGGAGAAGGAGGTGAGAGCCCTCGTGTGGGGTTTGTTTTCGACCCCTTGAGTGTGTGTGGGGTTTGTCTTCCGAGCCACGAGCCTGGCCTGTCTCGCGGTGCTGTTCACTCTGACAGAGTGCGCCTGCAGCACGTTGCCTCCAGGGCCCAGCCTCCCAGAAGCCTCAGAGCATCAGAGCATCCGTCTCATCGGATGGACCAGAAACAAGAAAATGGGGTGGGGTGAATCACAGCTATCATTCAAAGGAAAGGAATTTTTTTCTATTGCTCAATCTTGTCAATTGGGAGTCCACCAGTAGGTTCACTGAGATGATATGGATAATTTCAAACTTTTGTTTAAGAGCATATATATGGCTTATTCAGGCAAGGAGACGTGTACATTCTAGCCCAAGCAAGCAATCGGAGTCATTCTGTTTTTAAGGAAGGTCAGTCGTTTAAAAGATTTCTGGTTTGAACAACATCCTCTGTGGATGCACCAGGCCAAGGTGACTACCTTTGACCAACCCAGTGAGAAGGCCTTTGCTGGTCCCCGCAGTGAGGAACTGGCAGGAACGGGCAGCCTCCTCCCCGCTGGACTGCACTGCCGGGGGCCGGTGGGCAGGCTCCACAGGCAGCCCCTGTCTGTGGCCAGACAGGCCGTCCTGGTGACTCGGGCTTATAGACTGTGGTTTAGAACTGCAGAAGGAGAGAGGAGAGTGGGCCAGGGAACACCCACCAGGCGCTGCTCTGACCAGTCAGAGAACGTGAGGCAGCTCCCCCATAGGGATCTGCACCGAGAAGGTGTGGAAGGCACAAGCAAGAGTGACGGTACCAGAGATCCCAGAGGGCGTGGCTCGCGGCGGCCACAGCAGGCGCAGCGCTGACCTGGGGTGGTTCCCCCCTTGAATGAGAAAGAGATCCTGATTCTGCTGTGATAAAAAAGCAAAGAAAGACGGTTTTTGGTTTAAAAAGAAGCCACTCAAGGGTTAAAATAGTTATTTTAAGTTAACAAAGAAAATTAATCTTCAAATAAGCTGACACTATCTGGAAAACTCATCTGTCCCTAAAGCCCACAATGCGTCCACTGCTTCGTCCTCCCATGGAACCTGAGCCTGACGTGAAGGAGTCAGACGTGTGACAGAGGAAGAGTCTGAGAAGAGAAGACACCTTTACAGAATGTACAGCGAGAGAGCCGGCCTGGCCCCCGGGTTACAGTAAGATGCACGGGTCCTTTCAGTCTCACGGACTCCAGACGGCCACGCAGGCTGCTCAGATGGACGTCTCCTTCCTATCCCTGCTGGGCGATGGCTTTGCCGGCTCCTTGCCTGCCTTTGGCTGCTCTTTAGCTGCTTTTGGCTCAAGGACGCCGTCTCTGGGCGGCTGGACGGCACCCCCGCGCCACTCAGGCTCCTCGTCCTCCTGCGCCTGCTGCTCGGCCTTGGCTCGCTGCATCTGGAGCAGCCGCAGCTGCACGCGCAGCTCGATGATGGCCTCGCGCTCCTCATGAATTGCTTGATTCAAATGATTGTTCTTTATCTTGGGGAATGACAGAAAGGGCAGTTATCACTTAAGGAAGTCAGAGGACGATTTCTCAGGAGCAGAGCGCGGTTAGCAAGGGCATCCTACAGAGGAATCTGGTTTTGTTTAAGTCAATGGGTTGTGAAACAGAAGACAAACACAGCAGGAATGCACAGTGCACAGTGAGCCACGTGACTCCTGAGAATGTGAGGCTGGAAACCCTGCTCCTGGTTACTAGAGAGAAACACATCCATGTGCCAACAGAAACCGTTATTTTAATAATTCAGTATCCTAGTGTTTAAAATAGACAACTTATAACTTTGAACTGGCTTCTCAACAGCCCTTAAACAAGGAGAAAATAAAAGTAATTTTAGCAGCAATTAGAAAGGGGAGTTAGAGATCAGATAAAAAACTAGATTTGTTTCAAAGGTGAATATCCTTTGTCTTTTGTGAATAGTATTACGGTAATTCTGAAATGTCCTACTCAATCAAACTACAGAAAATTACTATCAATTCTAAATCATCTGGATGTACTCGGCAAAGTTTAGGTCCTGAGGAATAGCAGCGGCCCTGCTGCCGTGGCCTCCACTCTGTGGCAGGTGCCAGCCTCCCCTGCGTGGGTGTGGCATGGACTAGGCTCTGCGAAGGGGGCATAGGTGTAAGCGCAAGCACCGAGTGCCACGCATGCACCCTGCCCTTGGCGACTGGGCATGCCTTGATCCCTTCCCTGCTAACTTAGTCCTGCTAAGAGTGGCAAGACAGAGCAGCCACATTGGACCCTACATGGAAAAAAGTGGTGTGGAGGATGATGGGCTGGACCGCCTGCCACACAAGAGACACCATCTTGTTTAAACCACTATGTTATTCTCTTTATTACAGCAATTCAGCCTACACCCCAAGTACAATACTTCTGGATTCTGTTTTCCTACTCAGAGTTTTAATACGATCTTAAAATGTTAAGAAAAGAACATCAGGTGCCAATGTGAGGCCTTTCTGAACAGGAGCTCCAGCAACCCTGGTCTCAGCACCTGCAGGGCTTCCTCCCACAGCACATTCCTGCCGCAGCAAGGGTCTCTGCCTTGAACCTTCGTGGTTGCCTCTGAGCTCTGCCCGCAGGCTCGGCAGAGAGGACTCTGTGCAGGGTGGCTGTGTGTGGAATTCTGCTTTTCTATGCAGGGTGTAGTTCTGGTTCGCACCAGCCACTGAGCGAACCCAAATGAGGGATGCAGAGCTGTCCCTCTATCCTTAGATTCCTTTCTGTGAAGAGGGTATCTTCTCTCACTCAATCCTTAGGCAAAATATCTGGACACAATATTTTATTTGGGGTAAGAAGGGAAACTGTGATCTAGACCTTTATCTCTGCTGCCTTCTCTTCACTGTGCAGCCTCTCCTAGTTTCTTAGCGCCGATTCCCTCTCACCTGCTGCTTCTCGGGCTGAGGCCAAGAGAAACTCCGTCTCTTGCTTCACCCACAGGGAGACTCGGGAGACTGTTCTTCCATCACTAGCGCTGATTTTTCTGTTCACCTTCTCTGGGAACAGAGACTAGGTCATTCAAAGCTGCTCAAGCTGACACAGTCAGGTGAGGCTTGCCTTTACATCGGGTGGAGAAAGGTCTACATGTCACACTAAAGTCACAGAACTCCAGTTCACAGCCTGAGGAAGACACACAGGTGCCATCTGCTTGGCCAGCACTTAGCTCAAGTCCCACAGACTCTCGGTGAGATGTCCCCCTAAATTCCTCTCTACTCAGCCTCCCAGCTGGTGACCAAGAAAAAGAAGGACAATTCTGAGGGGAAATATGTGGTCTCTACAACTTTCTAAAAGTTAGTATGCATTTTGGCTATTTCCCCCCAAAACTCACTTCCAGCTCTTCGTTCTGTCTCTGTAAGTCTTCCAGAATGATCTGCAGCTCCTCCTCATCCTCACTCTCGCTCTCGCTCTCGGAGGAGTACTCCTCAGTCTCACTTCGGCCGTGCTGCTGGCGACTGCAAGATGAGAGACAAAGGAAGACGCTACTGGATGTGCTTGTCTGTGACCTCCTTTTATATTTACCACGTTTTCAGGACTCTACTCAATATAACACCATTCTTAGGACCTGATAAATAAGAAACTTAAAGATGATGAATTTCACATGCCTAATTCTTTTGTAGGAAAGTCTGAGAGCTAAAACAATTATGGTTATATTTAAAGAAACATGCTCAGAAGCTTCAAAACCCTCGGCTTTCCTTTACCTCTGAATTTCAGCAATCTCAGCTCTGAGGCGTTCAATCTCTTCTTTTTCTGAGGCAATCTGCCGGCGCAGAAACTGCTCCATGGCCAGGAGCTCCTCCTGTTCAGTCAGGATCTCATTCTCCTGAAATAATGAACACTGGTGAACAGCTCTGAGAGTTTTAGTCCAGGAAATGTCACTTGTTTAGGGTCTCCCATGTTGCCCTGAATTCTTGAGCCCCATTGAGTGCTGAACACGAGTTACGTACTGCACAACCAAAAACATCCTATTTCATTAGGGTCAAGAAAAGGCTTCTTTGAGAAAAGGTAAAGTTATTTTGGGGGAATGACTAGATTTTTCTCAATAACAAAATGCCACACAGGAACCCCATATCCTCCTACTGCAAAGGCCCCTGTGAGGCCCCCACAGGGAAAAGCCAGGACTTGAGGGATGAAACTGGCTTCGGCTTCCCACTCTTAATGCCTCCCCATCTCTCAGGAAAGTAGGCATATACAGGGCCATGGTGACCTTTGATGGGGTCACTAGGAAAAGAAGGATCCAAGAGATGTCTGGCTGGTGTCAGCATCACCTTTAAGGCAGATCAGTGGGAAGGAAAGATCATTACAGAAATTTTTTCACCTTTCCATAAGCCACCGTCCTCTTTAAAGTCCTCAGGGTTGTTTTTTTTTTTTTTGAGACAGAGTCTCACTCTGTCACCCAGGCTGGAGTGCAGTGGCACAATCTCGCTCACTCCAACTTCTGCCTCCTGGGTGCAAGTGATTCTCCTGCCTCAGCCGCTGAGTAGCTGGGATTACAGGCGCCTGCCATCACGCCTGGCTAATTTTTGTATTTTTAGTAGAGACAGGGTTTCACTATGTTGGCCAGGCTGGTCTCAAACTCCTGACCTCAGGTGATCCGCCCGCCTCAGCCTCCCAAAGTGCTGGGATTACAGACGTGAGCCACCATGCCTGGCCCAAAGGTATTTAAATAGTCAATATTCTGCTTTACCACAATATGCATTTCTAAGATTGGTAAGATCATCAGTCTTATTAAAAGAATGGGGAAAAAATCCCTATCTGCCCAAGATCTAGAGAGCCCCTCTGACCTAGAGAAAAGAAGCAAGGCAGACAAAGCTTAAGAGAGTAACAGAAGGTGGCTGTGGGGATGAGGAGCTGGGTGCGGACGTTCTTTCCAAATGAGCAGGTACTGAGAAGGTAGTTATTTACCATGGTCACATGCCAAAATGAACTACCCACAAACACCAACAGCGCTGAGAACGTCTCTCCAGGAGATGAAGGACACAGTACTGCTCAAATATTTTTGAACACAGATGTCTTTCCTATACCTCTGCATACCTACTAAAGCTGACATTCCAACAAACACCAGACTGAAAAACCCTGAAACAAAGATATAATCTGGGACTCATCCTCTCCTCAAGGAAAACTATGTGCTCCTGAGAGGCAAAACAACGCATGTTTCAGAGGTGACACAGAAGGACTGAAACCTATTGGGCTTCAGGGAAACCACACGAGTTTCTGGAACCCTAGACACACTGTGGTCAGAGCCTAGAACTTCATTCCTTTCTGGTTAAACTCTGGCAATTTCCAGAACAAAGTGAGGCTGACTTGAGAACTTCAGAAAGAAATGAGCTCATCTTCAGCTCTATGCCTGGAATACAGTAGGCACGAAAGGGATATCTGTTAAATCAATGAAGGACTAATAAGACAATTTGCCTCCAACAATTGACTTTCACCTGTAAAGAATAAAATCAAAATATCTAAAAGGTGTTATTAGCAACAACTATTAGATAAAATCTGTTTCTTACATTTCAAGGATTCCAGACTTTGTAATGTCAGGTACAACGGTTTTTAAAATATTTTTAAAAGTCTGATCTCATTAATATGGAACAAGTACCACTAATCTGTAAATTAGGGAAAAGACCTATAATTCGGACCTGTGTGCACACTAAATGAGATTAAACGTCTAGAACAATGCCCAGTAAAGAGTCATTACTGAATATAAGGTAGTTTCTTTCGCCATAACTGAACATTTTAACAAACACAACATAAAGGAAGGGACAAATAAAACAGACACAGGCCCTCAAAATCACTTTATAATTTTGGTTAAAATATTCACATCTGTAGTAGAGCTTCTCAAGTTACTATTTTTAAATGACCATTAAGAGCCTTGCAGGCTGGGCGCGGTGGCTCACGCCTGTTAATCCCAGCACTTTGGGAGGCTGAGGCAGGCGGATCACCTGAGGTCAGGAGTTCTAGACCAGCCTGGCCAACATGGTGAAACCCCGTCTCTATTAAAAACACAAAAATTAGCTGGGTGTGGTGGCAGGTGCCTGCAATCCCAGCTATTCAGGGGGCCGAGGCAGGAGAATCGCTTGAGCCTGGGAGGCGGAGGTTGCAGGTTGCAGTGAGCCGAGATCGCTTCGACGCACTCCAGCCTGGGGGACAAGAGCGAGACTTTGTCTCAAAAACAAAAACAAAAAAGAGTCTTGCAAAAGAGAGAAAAAGATTTTAGGTTACCTGAGCAAGGAGAATATTTATAACTTCTTCATTTTCATTCATCTCTTCTTTGGAAACATCCTCTTTTGAAAGACTGGCTATCTCTTGTGCAATCTTGGTTTCACACTCCTGTCAAATAAGACAAATAAAAAAGAACTAGTCAGCCCATATGTAACACATATTCAACAAATCACACCACCACCAATCTACACGTTTCCTTCTCATTTCCTAGAATTGAAACAATAACAGTCAGATGAACCATCTAGCTGGATGGGCATTTGGTAACTGGGCTTGGAATATAACATGGAGATCTGAGTCTGTGCCTGCACTGTGAAAAATACTCAATTCTGGTGAATGTACTTGCCATTTCTGGTACCCTTCCACAGAAATTACCTATTGTAATACTTAGGGAGGGTGTGGTCAGGAGTGTAAATCTTGAGCACAGAATTTAGTGTTCACAAACATAAAGTCAAGTAACCAGCACCACCATCATGCTCTAGAACGTTTCCATTGCCACACAAAGTGCCCTTGGGCTCCTCCACCATCTGCCGGCATCTAGCAACCCGTCCTGGTCTCCATCGCTGCAGTTTTTCCTTTCCTTGAGTTTCATAACTGAATCAATCAGTAAGTAGTGTGATTATCTGGCTTCTTCCACTTAGCACAATGCTTTTAAGATTCATCTACTTGTCTGTCTGTATCAGTAGTTGCTGAGCAACATGCCATGGAATAAATGTACCCCAATTTGTTTATCCATTTACCAACTGATGGACATTGGGGTTCCTTCTAGTTGTAAGCTATTACAACTAGAGCTGTTAGGAACATTTCGCACATGCTTTGTGAGGGCAAATGCTTTCTTCTCTTAGAGAAATACCTAGGAGTGGGAAGCCTGGGTGCTATGGTAAGTAACCGCATGTTTAGCTTAATAAGAAACTGCCAAGCTGTTTTTCAAAATGGCTACACCATTTTGCATTACCAAGAGCAACCTATTCTAGTTGATGTATACTGTTATCTCAGAGTACTTTTAATCTGGATTTCCTTAATGACTAATGATGGTGAGAGTCTTTGCATGTGCTTGTCATCTATATATGATCTTTGGTAAAGTATTTGTTCAAATTTTTGCCTTTTAAAAATTGGTTGTTTTCTTATTAAACTGTAAACTTTAAAAAAAAAATCAAGTCCTTTATCAGATACAAGCTTTTGCAAATATTCTGTCGCAGCTTCTGGCTTGGATATTTATTTTCTTAATATCTGTTGAAGAGCATATTTTTAAATTTTTGATGAAATTCAATTTATCAAATTTTTCTTTTATAGTTTATAATAGGTTTTGTATCCTATTTAGGAAATTACTGCCTAAGCCAAGGACAGTAAGATATTTTCCTGTTTTTTTTTTCTTCTGGAAGCTTTTTTAGTCTTAGTTTATGATTCATTTCAAGCTATTTTTTGCATATGTTGTACAGATAAAGTTTTTTTCTTTGCATCTGTTCCAGCGCTGTTTGTTGAAAAGAATATCCCTTCCCCACTGAATTATTTTAGTATCTTCATTAAAAAGTAATTGCCCGCCGGGCGCAGTGGCTCACGCCTGTAATCCCAGCACTTTGGGAGGCCGAGGCAGGTGGATCATGAGGTCAGGAGATCGAGACCATCCTGGCTAACACGGTGAAACCCCGTCTCTACTAAATATACAAAAAATTAGCCGGGCGTAGTGGCGGACGCCTGTATTCCCAGCTACTCGGGAGGCTGAGGCAGGAGAATGGTGTGAACCCAGCGGGCGGAGCTTGCAGTGAGCTGAGATTGCGCCACTGCACTCCAGCCTGGGCAACAGGGCGAGACTCCGTCTCAAAAAAAAAAAAAAAAAGTAATTGCCCATATATGTGTAGGTCAACTTCTGAACTTTCTCTTCTGTATGTTATCCCTATCCAGTACATACCATCTTGATGAACTGCAGCTTTGTAGTAAGTCTTGAAATCGGGTAGTATGAGTCCTCCAATCTTCCGGCTATGTTCTTTTTCAAAACTGTTTACCTATTCTAGGTCATTTGTATTTCCACATAAATTTTAGAAGAGCTTATTCATTTTCACAAATACCATCTGTCTGGATTTTGATTGGGGTTGGACCCACAGACCAATCTGGGAAAATCTAACATCTTAACAATTATTGAATCTTCTGTTCCACATGCATGATTTCTCTCTCCATTTATTTAGGTCTCTCTCTTTTTATTTTTTTTTTTAGGTTCAATATCCAATTGTGCATTGCTAATATAAAGAAATACACTAGACATTTGTATATCTGGTCTTGTATCCTACAACCTTGCTAAACTCACTGATTAGCTCTTTTTTTGTAGATTCCTTAGGATTTTATATGTAGATAATTGTTGGGAATAGGCCCCCCAGAATCTGGCCATAAACAAAATCTCTGCAGCACTGTGACATGTTCGTGATGGCCATGATGCCCACGCTGGCAGGTTGTGGGTTTACCGGAATGAGAGCAAGGAACATGTGGCCCACCCAGGGTGGAAAACTGCTTAAAGGCGTTCCTAAGCCACAAACAATAGCAAGAGCGATCTGTGCCTTAAGGACATGCTCCTGCTGCAGATAACTAGCCAGAACACATCCCTTTACTTCGGCCCATCCCTTTATTTCCCATAAGGAATACTTTTAGTTAATCTATAATCTATGGGAACAATGCTTATCACTGGCTTGCTATCAATAAGAGGCTCTCAGCTCTGAAGGCTGAGACTCCACACCTCTATATTTCTGTGTGTGGCTCTCAGCTCTGAAGGCTGTGAGACCCCTGATTTCCCACTCTACACCTCTATATTTCTGTATGTGTGTCTTTTAATTCCTCTAGTGCCACTGGGTTAGGGTCTCCCCGACCAAGCTGGTCTCAGCAGATAATCATGTTATCCAAGAATAAAAACTTATTTCTCTCCAATATGTGTGTCTTTTTTCTTGCTTTATTGCACTGGCTAGAACGTCCAGTACAATGCTGAATAGAGGTGGTAACAGCAGAAATCCCTGCAGTGTACACCAATCTTAGGGTAAGCATTTAGTCTTTCACTATTAAGTATGATAATTGTAGATTCTTTGTAGATGTCCTTTATCAGGCTGAGAAAGTTATCTGCTGGGAATTTTATCATGAATAAGTATTGAATTCTACTAAATCTTCTTCTGCATCTACTGATACGATGTTGTGGGTTTTTCTTATTTTTAGTCTGTTAATATGATAAGTTACATTACTTCTGTCTTTAAAAGTCATTTATTCCTCAAAGTTGAAATTTGTGAAAATCTAACATCTTAACAATATTGAATCTTGTGTACCACATCCATGATTTATCTCTCCATTTACTTAGGTCTCTTTTTTTTTTAGGTTCAATATCCAATTGTGCATTGCTAATACATAAAAATACATTAGACTTTTGTAGAATCTTCTGTGCATTTTGTGAATTAATGAGCTGGCGTGAAAACATAGCATCGGGAAAATCGGTAAAGCAAAGTTAATCCATCCCTTCTTATATTGGTTCTGGCTGCTATACCATGATTCCTTTATTTAGGCAAGATGTAGAAGCAAGAGAAACAAAAGCCAAACCTCCATCAGCCCTGTCCTAGGTCAGTCAGGGGACTCTTCATTTAAAGGCTGACTGGCAATGCCATATGATTAACAATTACAATTTGCCCCTGAAGCCTGAGTGGTCCATCTCTAATACCTGATTCTAGGCTGAGACATGAAGGGAAAATTTTAACAGCAACACCAACACCAAAAACAAAAAACACGTAAAGGAAGCAAGAGATAGATAACCTAGTGAGCTAGGAAAAAGAAGGAAGAAAAATACGCAGAGGGCTTCTGCTACATTACATATCCTGGAGCGCACGTGTAAAAGTCCCATGAATGTGCCCCGTGTGACAAAGCTATCCTCCACATTAATACAAATCTCTAACCTCAAAGAAACAGAAGTATTCAGGTTGTCTTTGTCTCTTTAACACAACCACAACAGAGACCTACTATCATGTTCCCCAATTCAGGCAAGGGCTAACTAATGTTCCTTGGATGTGCTGTTTAGATGCTGCAGTTGATCTGCAATGTGGATTTTAAGGTGATCCAGAGATCTGGGATTTTACCATTGCTGTGGCTGGTACACTCACAGTCCCAGAACCAAGCAACACACACTAAACAAGAGGGAACTCAAAAGTCTGACTGGCATACCCTAAACTCATCAGGTATTGCAGGCCACTCTTATTATTATTACATAAATAGAATCTCTCCTGATCTTCAAGGCCTTCCAGGTGACCCTCATCACTACATTTCCAAAGAGCTGACTAATTCTAAATGCCTTAAATTCCCCAGCAGTCCCCAAAGGTGTGTCACCATCCAGCCTGTTTTTCATCCATAGAAAGCCCTGTTTACAGGTATAACCAAGCAGGAAATGACAAATTTTTTAGTAAAATCATTTTTAATTAAAACAAAACTTTCTAGGCCAGGCATGGTGGCTTATGCCTATAATCCTAGCACTTTGGGGGGTGGGAGGACTGCTTGAGCCCAGAAGTTTGAGACCAGTCTGGGCAGCATAACAAGACCCTATTTCTACAAACAATAAAAAATGAGCCGAGCATGGTGGCGCACACCTGTAGTCCCAGCTACTCAGGAGGCTGAGGTAGGAGGATCCCTTGAGCCCAGGAGGTCGAGGCTACAGTGAGCCATTATCGTGCCACTGCACTCCAGCCTGGGTGACAGAGCAAGATCCTGTCTCAAAAAAAAAAAAAAAAAAAAACTTTCTAGATTACACTGAAACATGTGACTGACACCAGGCTGCAATATCAATAATATAGGACTAGAAACATTTTAGTGAATAAATGTCCCACCAGAGAAGTTCACTTCAAGTGACATTATAATATTCTTAACAGAAAGAACTTGGGCTGGGGGTGGTGGCTCATGTCTGTAATCCCAGCACTCTGGGGGAGGCCGAGGTGGGAGGATTACTTGAGGCCAAGAGTTTGAGACCACCCTGGTCAACATCAAAAGAAAAAAGAAAGAAAGAAAAAAAAAGAGTACATAAAGTACATAAAAGACTCAAACACATTCTATTATAAACATTAGGTATCAAAATAATAACTCACCTGTCTTTTAGCTTCTCTCAGTTTTCTTTTGAGGGCTGTCAAAATTCTTTGTACTTCCCATAATCTTTCTTCTTTAGACAAATCCTTTATCCCACCCTGCAGATCTCGATGTAAACAATTCAAAAGAAACTCCTAGAAAGCAAATGCCACACACCTAGTTGCATTTCATATCCTCTTATCTTAAACTAACAACACGTGCAATTTCTAAAGATGAAGAATCAACTATTTTTCAATTATCCTTTATTTCATTAGAGTAAAATAATGGCACTAATTATTTTTTTGAAGATATGATTGAAAAATCATTCTTATTGTTTTGCCTATTAATTATTCACTAATTTGTATTGGTTCAATAATACTTAATCCACATCCCCATCTCCAATGTCATCATCATTAACTAGTAAGCATTGGGAGCTCAGGGCAGATACAAGGGAAGAAAAGCAAGCAGGGGTTTGATAAATTGCATGCAAATAAATAATCAAATGTAATTAACTTTCTTATTTAGTCTTGAATTACACACACACACACACACACACACACACGGCATTGTTACTTCCATCAAAATAGCACAGTAAAAAATCCCAGGATTTGGGCTCAAATCTTGGGTCTGTAATTAGTAATCATGTCACACAGGGTAAGTTACTTAACTTCCCTGAATTTTAATATTCTTATCTATAAAATATGGCTGATGACAGCAACCTTGTCAAGAAAAGGCAAACATCTTTAGACTATTTACAACGTGCCTGGCATGTTTCATATATTATCTCATTTGGGGTAATCTTCACATCAATCCTATAAGAGGATCCATTTTAAAGCAAGAACACCAGTGCTTAAGGTGGTTAAGAATTTGCCTAAAATCAGTTAACTAGATCAGAGCAAGAATTTAAAGCCAGGTGTTTTGATTCCAAAAACTATGCTCTTTCCACCATGGTATTCTGACTTATTTGGCATGAAACAGTACCAGATGGGAATTTCTGACTTCAGTGTGCCTAACATAGCTCCAGACACACAGAAAGTGTTCAGGAAACAAGAGCCCATCACCACTGGACTCCACAACAGCCAATGCAGAGGCAGGCTGTGGCAGGCAGGGTGCACACACCTGTCTCCTGATCTCCTCCTTGATGCCCGCCTGGGTCTCTGGCAGCGTGGGCATCGTGGCCATGTTAGACCATCGCAGAGGTTTCATCACTTGCTTTAGTACCACATTTCCAAAGAGTTCTTGCACATGTGTGAAAAACACATACAGGACTCGATTGCTGATCTAAGAAAAAAAGATTTACAAGAAAACCATTAAAACTATCATTCTATTTCACTTATTTGTGTCTATTACATAATATATCCTTTAATCCTGGACACATAAAGAAAATTCTACCCAGTAATGACAACACAGTCTTTGCTAGTTAATAGCCAATTTAAGAAGAAAATGGTAAAATATGAGTTAAATCATGTATTCAAGCACCAGAAAGATCTGAAGGGAAAAAAAGTCAAGAAAAGGATAGAGAAGTTGATGCCATCCATTTGTTTATTTTTTCTATCACAGTATTAACTGATTTAAACATCTTATTTTTTGTGTGTTTTTTGTTGTTGGTGGCGGTGGTGGTGCTTTTTTGAGATGGAGCCTCGCTCTGTAGCCCAGGCTAGAGTGCAGTGGCACAATCTCAGCTCACTGCAACCTCCACCTCACGGGTTCAAGCGATTTTCCTGCCTCAGCCTCCCCGGTAAGCTGGGATTACAGGCGTGTGCCACCATACCTGGCTGATTTTTTTGTATTTTCAGTAGAGACGGAGTTTCACCATGTTGGCCAGGCTGGGCTCGAACTGCTGACCTCAAATGATCTACCCACCTCAGCCTCCCAAAGTGCTGCGATTACAGGCGTGAGCCACCATGCCCGGCTAAAACATCTTATATTCTTTATTTTCAACTTACTTTGACATATTTTAACAGACGCAATGGAATGAATGAGGACCATGAGGGAAGTGGGAGCACCACAGTAGTAAAGCTGGGTTGAGGTTGAAAGCCCTCACTCCAGAAACAAATACCTGGACACAGCCAGCATTTAAGTATGGATGTTCATATGCTAGGAGGCCAGGGCATTAGGTTGGCTGAAAAGCTACTACAAGAAATTATTTCCTACCTAAAACTTACTCTTACAACACACTTGACTCTTCTATGATACAACCATCTCTATTATATTATAGTAATATTAAGTATCAATGTAATATTTACCAGATCCTGAAATCCTAATGATCAAACTAAAATCTGAGAAACATTTTGCTTTCAAAGCGTAATCAATGAGTAACAGAAGAATCTTTATTTTTTAGAGATAAAATCTTGCTCTGTCACCCAGAGAGGAGTACAGTGGCATGATCATAGCTCACTGCTGGGCTCAAGCAATCCTCCTACCTCAGCCTCCGAAGTAACTGGGACTACACATACATGCTACCACACCCAGCTAATTTTTAATTTTTATGTAGAGACAGGGTCTTGCTATGTTGCCTAGGCTGAACTCCTGGCCTCTCGCTATCCTCCTGCCACAGCCTCCTAAAGTGCTCGCATTAAAGGTGTGAGCCACCGCGCCTGACTGAAACGCTCTTTAGTAAATGAAAACACTCTCTAATAACAGTGACAGTGATTTATGGTGACTCAGAATACTGGCCAAAAAGAGGGCTTAAGATAATAAATATAACCTATCATCTCCCTTTTTATTGGCCTGAGTAAAATATCATTAACTGCAATTAAAAGAAAACATATACTCTATGACAGCACCAACTGAGCAGCAATAAAGGAAAGCCAAGTATGTATGTCGTAAAAAGATACCAATTAACACACTACCCAATTCCCTGAAGTTCCTTTTCAGATTCAGAGCCTATAACATGTCTCTCTAGGATCCATCCTTATGAATGAAATCCTCAGGCTAAATCTTTGACCAAACAATTAATGACAGGTCCCTTTGTGCCTGAGTTTGATGTGTGTCTGTGATCTAACGAAGCAATAATGCTATTGATTAAATAACTGGGATCTCTAAAATTCTACACACGAACTCTATAACTGTAGATGCCATGGGCTCCTCCTCCCCTAATGAAGGATCCTTGTCATCAGGTCTTGTTTATAAACCCACATCAAAGACTGTACCGCATTCAAATTACATCACTACAAGCTAAAGGGCAAGTATGTTATCTTATACATTGACACTGTCCAAATTATGAAAGGAAAAGACCCGTATTCAAGCTAATCCATTACCTATCTCCTCAAGTTCACTGCTTTACATGTGACTCAGCAATAGAAAATTACCCCAGTTCCCCAATGTCAGTACCAGAGGGTATATGTGTAGAGAAGACCATGTACCTGCACAGTTGGGCTGAGCACTATAGAAATGTTCTGTATATTCATTTTTGTTTCCAGTTCCTTTGCAATGACATGGTCCATGTGCACAATGAGCCAAGAAATCAGAAGATAGTTACATTCTGGCAGTTCTTTGAGTAAACGCTGGAATTCCTGCACTTTCTCAGTCTCCGTGGTCCTCCCACAAGCCTCTTCAAATCTGGGCATAAGCTCTTTGGTAAGCAAATTCTCTGGAAGGTCTCGCAAATACTGCTTCAGCAAACTGGCTACAGTGTTAGGCTCATAGTCTTCCAAGTTTGTAGACTCCTCCCGGTCATAGGCTGCTTTTAGCTCATCCACCTTTGATTTAATTCCTTAAAACATTCAAATTCAGAAGAGAGAAGATACTGAGAAAAGAAAATCAAACACACAAGTTTTCTTTACCATTATCCCCACCCTTGCTAAGGAGATGAGAACAGCAACCTGACCAATAACGAACCTCTTGTTATGAAATATTTATCTGCACAAAGGTCGTACAGTTCCTCTGTAAACACTAACATGTAAGACTACACTTGGCTGGGCGCAGTGGCTCACACCCATAATCCCAGCACTTTGGAAGGCTGAGGCGGGCAGATAGCTTGAGCCCAGGAATTCGAGACTAGCTGGACAACATGGTCAAAACCTATCTCTACAAAAAATACAAAAATTAGCTGGGCATGGTGGCGTGCGCCTGTGGTCCAAGTTCTTTGGGAGGCTGAGTTGGGAGGATCACTTGATCCTGGGAGGTTGAGTCTGCAGTGAGCCATAATTGCACCACTGGACTCCAGCCTGGGCAACAGAGTAAGACACTGTCTCAAAAAATAAAAAAAATAATTAAAAACAGGCCAGGCACCATGGATCACACCTGTAATCCCAGCACTTTGGGAGGCCAAGGCAGGAGGATTATTTGAGGTCAGGAGTCCAACACCAGCCTGGCTAACATGGCAAAAACCTGTCTCTACTAAAAATACAAAAATTAGCCAGGCGTGGTGGTGTGCGCCTGTAATCCCAGCTACTTGGGAGGCTGAGGCAGGAGAATCACTTGAACCTGGGAGGCAGAGGTTGCAGTGAGCCGAGATCACACCACTGCACTTCAGCTTGGGTGACAGAGCAAGACTCCATCTAAAAACAAAAAACAAAAAACAAACCCAAAAAACTAACTTCAAAAGTGAATTTAACCAAAAGTTAAATGATAATTGAAAAGCTCAACAGTCAGAAGTCAAAGCAACCATGGATATATTAAGCAAATATGCCCATTAATTCAGGAATTTGTTTTTAATGTAAAAACATTACACAGTGGCGCACACCTGTAATCCCAGTACTTTGGGAGGCCGAGGTAGGTGGATCACCTGAGGTAGGGAGTTCAAGACCAGCCTGGCCAACATGGTGAAACCCTGTCTCTACTAAAAATACAAAAATTAGCTGGGCATTGTGGCGGGTGCCTGTACTCCCAGCTACTCAGGAGGCTGAGGCAGGAGAATCGCTTGAACCCAGGAGGTGGAGGTTGCAGTGAGCCGAGGTCACACTACTGTATTCCAGCCTGGGTGAAAAGTGAAACTCTGTCTCAAAAAAATAAAAAAAAAGGTAAAAAGACAAAAATTAAACTACAATCCAAGTGTAAGTCTGGCTCTACACAGGCAGCCAGCTGCTTTTTCTAACAAGTCACAAGACTGACCACAAAAAAATGTGGCTTGGTGTACCTAAGTATGTTCCAAAAAGTTGTGGGTAAATTACTTTTTTATGTGTAAATATTGTACTGTAATTGCAAAGGGTGAATTAGCTACCCAAACAAACACTTTGAAAATTATTCTCCATTAAATCATCCCCATCTAATTTCTATTTTAAAGTTTGGATTATTTTAAGTATAACCTTAATCTGAACAGAGCTGGAACAAAAAAAATAAAGTATGGGTTTCTAAAATCGTTTTGCTTATTGAACAAAAGGAAACTAAAGCAAATGATTTGCAAACATTACATAAGATTTTAAGTCTTTAGTACAATCTGCATTAAGTGACGTAATTTAGTGGCGATTGCTCAGAAGAACACAAAGTAGTTTTTTGCTGTTTTTAATACTTAACACTTTCAGCCAATTATGTGAAACAAGCTACAAATTAACGCTGATAGTTTCTGTGGGTAAATGCAGTCTAAGCTGAACAGCACTTCACAGTGGTTCCTTACATCTGGACTTTGGCATTCCTTATCCTTTGTGAAAATCTTTTAATGGCATTATGATAAATCTGTAACTTATCCAGTATTGATAAAATAAAATCAATAACAAAACACAAAAATAACACTATTATTTTTATATAATCTTTATTTTGTGACAGAAAATTAGAATTCCCATTTTCTTACTTTTATGACAATATGGGTAAACCATAAGTGATAATAACTGAAATTCTTGGCAAAGATTTTTTCTCTTCCTCATGTATATTTAATTCTTCCCCCTATAGTACCTACCCAACAAATTGTACAAGTAGACAATTAGAATGTGTGTTTGGTTTGTCATTACTCTGAAACTGTTATCAAAATGTTTTCTTTTTAAAAATTGGACACTACAAATGAAGTGTTCCACAGAAAGAAAGAGCATACAGGTACACTTTAATCCAAAAAATACAAGAAAATGTAGATGAGTAAATTAAAATGTACAAAATCACTTAAATTGTCTTTCATATTCGTTTAAAATTAGATAAGCAAGAACTAACACTTCCAGCAAAAGGTCTTAAAATGCATAAGTGAGAACTAACATCTCCAGCAAAAGGCAGTATTATTATTAGCACTGTCCATGACAGTAGCATAAGTCGGGCTGACTACAGCACATTGCCACAGGTTAGAGAATAAACCCAAAACTCAGCAGAGCAGGAGTTCAGCCCCTAGCTGTTGCAAGGATGGGCAGCAGCTCTGTCTGAATGCTTTTACACACAGAGAAGAGTTCTATGACTCTGAATTTCCAAAAAAAATGCAGACATTAAAAGTAGGTCAGAGACAAAAAGAATCCTTTGAACAAAGCTGTGGAAAATTTTCAGAAAAACTTTTACCTAAAACAAAACTAATTCATGGCTATTAAGACCATGTGAGAGAAGCAACTTATGTTATTAATGTTTAAATGTTTAAAACTCAATTCAGTATATTATTATTATTATTTATTTATTTTTTTTTTTTTTGAGACAGAATCTTGCTCTGTTGCCAGGCTGGAGTGCAGTGGCGCGATCTTTGCTCACTGCAACCCCTGCCTCCCGGGTTCAAGCTATTCTCCTGCCTCAGCCTCCCAAGCAGCTGGGACTACAGGCGTGCGCCACCACTCCTGGCTAATTTTTTGTATTTTAGTACAGACAGGGATTCGCCATGTTGGCCAGGATGGTCTCAATCTCCTGACCTCGTGATCTGCCCACCTCGGCTTCCCAAAGTGCCGGGATTACAGGCGTGAGCTACCATGCCTAGCCAATTATTCATAAAAATCAAATATTTGTTTAAATATATTTATATAATACTAAGGAGTTATAAACTCAAATTCAATGCCTAATTTATTTAATTTTCTATAAAAAAGTAACATTTTACCAAAAATACTCTTAAATAATGGCATGTAATCTAGTGGATTATGTAACGGTTTTCCCAATTATCAAAAATATCTGCCCTTTCTCAGCAAAACTTAAGTATCAAATCTACCTTCTAGAATTGCGTATGAACCAACTAAATGAAAAAACTAAGTCTATCTCTCTATATATTCCACATGTGTATGACTTAACAACTCATCATGAAAGTACTTGTGACCAACAAGTATTATTATTATTATTTTTGAGACAAGGTCTCAATCTCGCCCTGGCTGGAGTGCAGTGGTACGATCATGGCTCACTGCAGCCTCAAACTCCTGGGTTCAAGTGATCCTCCTGCCTCAGCCAACAATTAACTTTATAAAACAAATCTCTAAACAGAAACTGATGAGGTACCAAGACACTGAATAATGGGAATGTAATAATTTGGAACACAGATGCTGCTACAGGTCAGGGCTTTCATCCTATCCTGGTATAAAAGTCATACCGCTTTCTAAGAAATCTTTTTACTTTTAAATAATATACATATTGCTTGATTTAGATACCCAATCAAAACACATTCTTTCCAAGTATGAAATTTAATTTGTATACATATGGAATAAAGATAAATAGAAAATCCATTTTGCTAATATACGTAATAGTTGCATGTAGCTGACCAAAGCATTCACATGTGGGGCCTAAACATTTACTGCTTCTTGGTCTTTTGGCTAAAGTTGGGTGTAGTATCTGTTCTAGGATTTCTGGAGCAGGGAGATGGAACAGAAGCTTGCTTGGACCACTCCATGTATTGACCGGGTACTGCACTAACTCTAAGAACCGCGCACCAAGAAAACCAAAACCAAAACCATGTCATGCCTCTTAGCTGAGCTAAGGAAATGCATTATATGACTGTGTCCATAAACGTGTCTCTTGGCCAAGAAGCTTCCTTCACACAGTTAACCTTTCTTTTCTTGCTGATGGCCCTCATACCACTGAGCCTCTGCTTAGAGAGGAAAGAAAAAAAAAAAAAAAAAAGCAGGCGCCTGGGAGTGGTGGCTCACTCCTGTAATCCCAGCACTTTGGGAGGCCGAGGAGGGCAGATCATCTGAGGTCAGGGGTTCGAGACCAGCCTGACCAACATGGTGAAACCCTGCCTCTACTAAAAATACAAAAATTAGCTGGGTGTGGCGGCAGGCGCCTGTAATCCCAGCTACTCAGGAGCCTGAGGCAGGGGAATCGCTTGAACCCAGGAGGCAGAGGTTGCAGTAAGCCGAGATCACGCCACTGCACTCCAGCCTGGGCAACAGAGCGAGACTCTGTCTCAAAAAAACAAACAAACAAAAGAAAAAAAAAAGCAGGGTCTGAATGCAGCCCTGTTAAGCAATGCTGCCAGTATACTTCACTTTGTTTTAGTCCTGGCTGCTGCAAGCTATGAACAACTAACGTGAAATCCTCCTAATGGAAGGAAATATTAAAAAAACAAATGCCAGAACACCAAAGAAAGGCTGGGGAGAGGGGTGGATTTTTGTGCAACTGGTAGGATCAAGGAAATGAATAAGGCTTAGGATCCAGGCCAAATTTTCCTCACAATAATTTTTCTTCCTTCGAAAAATGAAACTGAAGTTATTATTAAAAACCATCAAGTGAAGTGCACATTCCCAGTACCTGATACTCTGTAGATGCCTTCACACTTCATGCCATACTTCTCTACGTAATCTATACATTCACGGAAAACGGCTGGCAGCCGAATGCCATCATACATCATGGTCCTCTCTACTGCATCAGCCAAAGGAATTCCAAAAATGGGTTTGAGATTTGGAACATCAATCTGAGGCACCTCTGGCTCCTGAATTGGCTTTTTCTTTTTCTTCTTTTCCTTCCACTGTTTAACAACATCAGCTGCTGTCAAGTCTTTTGACTTCTTCTCTTTATGTTTTTCTTCTTTGTGCTTTTCTTCTTTATGCTTTTCTTCTTTGGGTTTCTCTTTTATTTTAAAATCCTTTTCCTTCTTTTTAGAAAAGCTGGGCTTCTTGAAAACATGGATTCCCTTGGACCTCTTCATTTTAGAAGGACTTTCTGCCTCATCTCCAGAGCTATCTTCCTGAAAGGCTGCATAGCCTTCAGCTGCCAAAGAAACAGAGACAGTATAAGTTATATGTTTGTTTAATGTCAAACTGTCCATATGCTTTCTAAAAACAGAACCAAAAAACGGTGCCACCTGGCACCAGCTAATCTAGCTTTTCACTTCTTGGCCAATTCCTCCTGGGCACTCCCAGCAAAGAAATGGGTTTCTTCTCAAAAAGAGATGTTGCAGTGACATCTCTTGACCACAAGAGGGGGACAAATAGATAGCAGTTACCATCCTTACAATATTAGGAGGGGAAACAGGGTTTATATTACATATGTGTGTAAGTGGAATTCAGGCAAACCAAACATTAGAGATACACCTGAAAGGCTCTACATAGAGGGCTAATGGAATGAATCCTTTTCTAAAGTAGACCGAGCATCCTTTCATCACGTGAGTCGTGTCCTCTAACATACTACGGGTTGAGTATCCCTTATCTGAAATACTTGAGACCAGAAGTGTTTCAAATTTCAGATTTTTCTGGATATTTGCATTATACCAGTTCAACATCTCTAACCCAAAAAATCTGAAATCCAAAATGCTCCAATGAGCATTTCCTCCAAGTGTCATGCCAGTGCTCAAAAAGATTCAGATTTTGTAGCATTTTGGATTTTCGGAATAGGGATACTCAACCTGTGTTCACTTTACCTACCCTAGCTTTTCCAGCTAAGTGCTGCCTAGCCTATAACTTTAGGCAATCTCAGAGAATGACGAACTGCACTACTGTTTATGTGTTTCAGTTATTCTCCTATGACACTTCACTCTCCTGTCACCAGCTGCTAAGTTCTTTATGGAGACTGCAGCAGGAACTGCAGACTCTTTTAAGTAGAGGATTGAACTGAGAAATTCCCTCATCTTTAGATGGTGGCCAAATCCACTGGGCCCACTTCCCTGCATCAGAAACCTCTGGTTTTTCACACACTGACAAATGTGCCCAATTGCTTTACCAACCATGTCAGAGTTGTCATAGTTTGGTTTTGTTGTTTTTTTTTTTAATATCTGTAACTCTCCTAATTCTTTTCCTTAGCTAGCTACCTTGCAAGCTATTATATAAAAGATAACAGCTATTTCCTAAGTTACCCTCTAACTAAAATACCATGTACCCCACACCAACCAGAATGGCAAGAATCTTAAGGACAAAATACCATGATGCTTTAGCAAGTGGAATATTCATACATTGCTGGTGAGAAGGTAAACTGGTACAAGCATTCTGGAAGACTGTTTTGCAGGGATCTACTGAAGCTGAAATACACATGGCCTACAAATGAGCAATTCCACTCCCAGGCATAAACATAACAGAAATACAAAAACATGTACACCACAGAAGCACTATTCATAACAGTCAAAAACTGAAAACCACCCAAACAAGCAACAAAAGTAGAAGAGATTAATAAACTCTAACATATAATGCAATGAAACAATATCTAGTGCAAAGATGAACAAATTACTGCCACATGGAATAACATGAATCAATCTAACAAACATGTTAGGTTAAAGCTGCCTCCTCATGTATTTTAAGTTTGGCCTAAAGGTTTCTCCGAACATAGGGAACTGTAACCTAACTGGATGTGTACACAGACTGTAATCTACTCTTGTACCAATTACAGAGTTTTGGCCAATCACAGGGGGGCAACTGTTCAAACTGCTCAAATAAGGCTAATGCCATGCTATAACCAATCCAGCTGTTTATGTACCTCACTTCTGTTTTCTGTGTGTCACTTTACATTTTCCGTCCATAAATATTACGTGACCATGTGGCAGCCCCAGAGTCGCTCTAAATCTATTCTGGTTTAGGGGCTACTGGATTCCCTAATCGTTCTTTGCTCAATTAAACTCTGTTAAACTGGCAAGGCAGGGTGGCTCACACCTGTAATCCCAGCACTTTGGGAGGCTGAGGTGGGCAGATCACTTGAGGTCAAGAGTTTGAGACCAGCCTCACCAACATGGTGAAACCCTGTCTCTACTAAAAATACAAAAATTAGCCAGGCATGGTGGCGGGTGCCTGTAATCCCAGCTACTTGGGAGGCTGAGGCAGGAGAATCACTTGAACCTGGGAGGCAGAGGTTGCAGTGACCCGTGATCACACTATTGCACTACAGCCTGAGCAACAGAGCAAGACTCTGTCTCAAAATAAAAACACAAAAGAAAAAAAACCCATTAAATTTAGTTTGTCTAAAAGTTTTACTTTTAACATATAATATTGGGTAAAAGAAGCTAGACACAAATAGAAGTATGCGTAAGTTTAAAATCAGGCAGCATCAATCAACAATAAAAGAAGTTTACTTATGGGAGGGGTAGGTGATTCCCTTTAAAGAGGCACAAAAGAAAATTGATAATGCTCTATTTCCAGATCCTTGTAGTGGTTACACAGGCATACCCACTCATCAAGTTGTATACAATTTGTGTACTCTGTGTAATTCTTCAAAAACAAATCAATTTAAAATGTCATGAAGTTCAAAATAAGGAATACTTAACATAACTCACTTTATTTGCTTTTAACATACTAAAAAGCCACGCTCAAATGATTCATCCTCCCTACTGAATAGGACCTCAAATGGAATGTATCATGGTATTTGCTTAAGATAAATAGCTACTTTATTGAAGGTTCCAAAAAAGTGTATCCCAAATAGCGAACACGACCTACCCAAGAAAAGTAAGATGCCTTAAGGGGAAAATTCCAGTATCTACCTTTTTTTGGGTGGGGCGTCAGCGGAGGAGAGGACAGAGTCTCACTCTGTCACCCAGGCTGGACTACAGTGGTGCAAGCATAGCTCACTGCAGCCTCAATCTCCTAGGCTCCTAAGCGGCTGTGACTACAGGCACACATCACCATGCTCAGCTAATGGTTTAAATTTTTGTTTCTCAGGCTCTTGAACTTCTGACTTCAAGCAATCCTCCCATCTCAGCCTCCCAAAGTGCTGGGATTATAGGCGTAAGCCACTGTGGCCAGCTTAATATCTTTCTAGACATCATTTTGAGTTATTACTTCAGGAAATATCCGCTAGAAAACTTTTCCATTTCTGGAAACTCAGTATTTTTATTTGTGAGATTAAGATCCCAAAATACAACTCTAATATACAAAAACTGAGACCCTGAAAAATAAAGAACAGAAAAGTCAAACAAGAATCTCTGCCTTCACATGTTTCCAGAAGACAGCTGGTACATGTAATTAGAGTGGAAGTTTATTTAAAATATATCTAGGACAGGCATAGTGGCTCACGCCTGTAATCCCAGCACTGTGGGAGGCCGAGGTGGGTAGATCACTTAAGGTCAGGAGTTCAAGACCAGCCTGGCCAACACGGCAAAACCCTGTCTCTACTAAAAACACAAAAATTAGCTGGGCATGGTGGCGCACGCCTGTAGTCCCAGCTATTCGGGAGACTAAGACATGAGAATTGCTTGAACCTCGAGGCGGAGGTTGCAGTGAGCTGAGATTGTGCTACTGCACTCCAACCTGGGCAACAGAGCAAGACTCTGTCCCAAAAAATAATAATAAAATAAAGTAAAATAAAATAAAATAAAAATATCTAGGCATAGGAAAAAATGGCACTTACTCCTCTTTTCCTTTTTCTTAAATTTCCCTTTTTTCTTCCCATGATCTTTCTCATCATCAGACACTACATCAGGAGGCTCATGGAGGATGTCATGGGGAGGTGAGGGCTCGCCAGTGCGGTACAATCCAGGAAACTTAGTAGGGCTGATCTCTTCAGAGCTGGGGGTCCGGGTAAGCCCGCTGCCATGCTCCACCCTGCGGTGTTCACTGGGGCTGCTGGTGGGGGGCAGGAAGCACTCAGTCATGCTGATGCCCTGACTAGGAAGGGACGAGGTCTTCTCTGTTACCTATCCATTACACCTGCACCAAGAGAAAAAACATTAGCAGAGTCACCTAACACCAAGGAACAAAAACACCACAGCATTTACAAATCAAAAATATTTTCTCCACAAACCCCCTTGTAAAAAACTCTTTCATTTTATTGTCTCGAGATATATTCCATGCATCACACATTTCAGTTCTCAGGGTTGAAAGCACTGGGATCTTCGAGTATTCAAAAAATAAATCAAATGAAAATCAGAGGTAGAGTTCTCAAAGTAGAATATGGAATTCCTTAAAAAAAAAAAACCACTCATCATTCTAAAGTGCTTCATTTTGACTGCTCCCCAACATAAAATCTTACTATTTTGCTTTATGACTAAACAACTATAAATAAGTTACAAAGACGACTTTATAACTACATATGAACAGTTCACATCATAATTAAATTTTATAATTAAAATGATATATTTAATGATTCATATAATTACAGACCACTGATTCTACGATGCATGCAATTTTATATGCAGCTCATGTATTGATAATAACTATATTTTTGTACTGCAGTTATGCTAAAAGAAATGAAGGAACCCTCATTTAATCAATCCTAAAATACATGCAAAATAGTTTTACTACAACAGATGCTACAAAGGACAAATGTAAGAGGAGTTCAAAATTTGTTTGCATTTTCTCCCTTCTTTAGGATGGTAGGTACACAGTCAAAGTACTGCGTTTGAAAGTTACTTGGATTAATTCTTATTCCTCTTTAATGTCATTATGATATTCATTTGAAATACTATCAGAATCACTTTTTCTCTTTGCGCTCATTTATTTTTTTTATTTTTTTTGAGAGATGGAATTTCGCTCTTGTTGCCCAGGCTGGAATGCAATGGCGCAATCTCGGCTCACTGCAACCTCCGCCTCCCAGGTTCAAGTGATTCTCCCGCCTCAGCCTCCTGAGTAGCTGGGATTACAGGTGCCTGCCACCACACCCGGCTAATTTTTTGTATTTTCAGTAGAGACAGGGTTTCACCATATTGGTTAGGCTGGTCTCGAACTCCTGGCCTCAGGTGAGTCACCCGCCTCGGCCTCCCAAAGTGCTCGGATTACAGGTGTGAGCCATCGTGCCCGGCCTCTCTTTGCACTCACTTTAAATGTTAACTTTACAATTTAAAAAATCCACAAGCCATAAGTGACAATTCTGAGACCATAAATAAAGTCAAAGGACAAGCAAATGTGGAAAAAAAAAAGTTGCAAATTGGGAGAGGTAATTTCTTTAAAAAGCAAAGAGTTATTAACAAATTAATGAAAATAGCAACAAATTAAGAGAACCAGACAAAGGATGTGAACAGGCAGTTCACAGAAAAGTGGCTAAAAAATGAGTGGAAACAATGTTCAACTTCAATTATAATTTTTTAAACAATGAGCTATCACTTTTCTAATGTAAGAGTGGCAAAGTACAAAATGGCACATATAAGATCCATTATGATGGTAAGGATAGAGGAAACAAGACTCACGAGAACACCTACTAATGGTAGAAGTATAACATGATCCTTTTTGAAAAGCAATCTTATCGTAGCTATTAAAATTTTAAATCTATTCTCTTTGATCCAGAATTCTGCTTTTAGGAAATTATTCTTCAGATATACTTTCACAAAAATGCAAAGATATATGCAAGAAAATATTCACTGCAGTACTGTAAAAACAAAAAACAAGATAATCTAAAATGCTATCAATAGAATACTGATTAAATTATGGTTTATCCAAATAGGCTATAAAGTCACACACACACACACAGTTTCTGAAAACATGTAAGAAACGGTTAATTACTGTTAACTCTTGGAAGCGTCAGAAGGGTAGACTTTATTCTAACACTTAAAAAAATGAAAAGGGGCCTGGCACGGTGGCTCATGCCTTTAATCCCAGCGCTCTGGAAGGCCAGGGTGGGTGGATCACTCAAGCCTAGGAGTTTGAGACCAGCCTGGGCAACACGGCGAAACTTTGTCTCTAAAAAAACAATACAAAAAATTAGCTGGGCGCATGCATGTTCTCACTCATAGGTGGGAACCGAACAATGAGAACACTTGGACACAGGATGGGGAACACCACACACTGGGACCTGTGGTGGGGTGGGGGGAGGGGGGAGGGATAGCATTAGGAGTATACCTAATGTAAATGATGAGTTAATGGATGCAGCACACCAACATGGCACATGTATACATATGTAACAAACCTGCACGTTATGCACATGTACCCTAGAACTTAAAGTATAATAAAAAAAAATTAGCTGGGTGTAGTGATACACGCCTATAGTCCTAGCCACTTGGGAGGCTGAGGTGGGAGGATCACTTGAGTTCAGGAGATGGAGGTTACAGTGAGCTGAGATCGCACCACTGCACTCCAGCCTGGGTGCCAGAGTGAGACCCTGTCTCAAATTAAAAAAAAAAAAAAAAGAACAAGCTGTTTTTTGATCCTGTAAAAATTATGTAACATTAAAAATCATGTTGACAATATTTAATGATGTGAGGAAAAAGCAATTTTATTTACAGCATATCAATTTAAATATATAAATATATGTATAAAATAACAGCATATTAATAACAATTATCTCTGGATTTAAGATTATGACTGATCTAAACTTTTTTTGTTTTTCTGCATTTTATAAATTTTCTACCCAATATGCACTATTGCTTACATAACCAGAAAAAAAAAATATTAAAAACAAAAAAGTTTTCACTGAAGGATCAATAAGCATCAGTATAATTCTGTTTTTCTTAATGGGCCCTGACTTTCGGCTATCATTTGGTTTTTTGTTTTTGTTTTTTTGAGATGGAGTCTCGTTCTTGTTGCCCAGGCAGGAGTGCAGTGGCGTGCTCTTGGTTACTAAACCTCTGCCTCCTGGGTTCATGTGATTCTCCCACCTCAGCCTCCCGAGTAGCTGGGATTACAGGCACCCACCACCACACCTGGCTAATTTTTGTATTTTTAGTAGAGATGGTGTTTCACCATGTTGGCCAGACTGGTCTCAAACTCCTGACCTCGGGTGATCCACCAGCCTTGGCCTCCCAAAGTGCTGGGCTTACAGGTGTGAGCCACCATGCCCGGCCTTGGCTATCGTTGTTTTTTTTTTTTTGTTTTTTTTTTTTTTTGAGACTCACTCTGTCGCCCAGGCTGAAGTGCAGTGGCGCGATCTCGGCTCACTGCAAGCTCCGTCTCCTGGGTTCAAGCCATTCTTCTGCCTCAGCCTCCCGACTAGCTGGGACTATAGGCGTCTGCCACCACACCAGGCTATTTTTTTTTTTTTTTGTATTTTTAGTAAAGACAGGATTTCACCATGTTAGCCAGGATGGTCTGGATCTCCTGACCTTGTGATCCACCCGCCTTGGCCTCCCAAAGTGCTAGGATTACAGGCGTGAGCCACCAGGCCCGGCCTTGGCTATAGTTTTTTAAAGTGCATTCCCTTTTCCTATTAATTGAAGTTTTGACAATCTAAGAGTTGAGAGTTTAAAAGGACCTAGAGTTCAACAAGGTAACAGGAACTATACATTAGAGATGAGGAAACTGAGCTCAAGTCCATGGAAGCTAAAACACAACTTGTGGGGCAGGCGCACAGGTTTACACTCCAGAAAAAAAAAATTGCTTATAGACATATCACCCACACGGATACCATGTTATTGTATGCTTCTCTGTCTTTGCTCATTCTCTCCCAGGAATCCAGCCTTCCTCTCAATATTTTTGCGTGGCTAATTCATACTCATCCTTTAACACTAGGCCTACAATTGGGCATGATTTTGTAGATGATGGAAACATTCTAAATTTGGATTATGGTGATGGTTGCAGAAACCCATAAACTGGCTAAAAATCATTAAATTATACACTTCGAGTGAGTGGATCTTATATGAGTTCTACCTCAATAAAGCTGTTTAAAAAAATCAAGCACTAGCAACACTTCTCCAAGAATCCTCCCTGGTGACCCACCCCATCCAGTATAAGCCACAAATACTCCTTTTCTGTGTCCTAGAACATCCTGAACATACCTCTTCACAGCACTTACCATACTGTATTTCAATTACATATGCATGTGTTCACCTTGCTAATGGTGAGCTCCAAAATTTAACACTACCTATGGCACACAGTAAGTAGTCAAATGTTTATTTAATAAACTAATTGGTATCTTTTCTGTTCTCAACATATTTACTGCTGATGAGACAAATATTAGAAGAAATGAATCTTGCCCTAAGCCTTAAGTTCTAATTCAGGAAATAAAGGGAATCAACAATTTATTTGAGTTCCTGTGGCTTCTGGAACGTTCACATACATTAATTTAGCTAACCCTGTGAGAAAAGCAGTATTTTTCCATGTTTATAAACAGAGAAAGTAAGGCTCAGAGAGCTTAAATAACTTTCCCTAAATCACATAGCAAGTAAGAGATAAAACTGGGATCTGTTTGACTCAAAACACTTTTTTTTCACTGAACCACCCTTCACGTATACACACAAAGAAAGGGAATAAATACATTTATGCCAGGAGGAACAGTGTGGTTAAAGACACACAGGAACATTTGGGACTTATTATGAGAATGGGGTGAAGACCAGCCTGACCTGGGCAGTTCTTGCTAAGAAGTAATGGAAAAGACATTAAAAGATAAGGTGGGCTCAGACACTAAATGTCATGTTGAGTTCAGACCTGGTGTGGGAGTCATTACCAATTCCAAAGCCAGAAAGTGACAAAACTGGGGCTAAGAGAGGAGTAAGGGCAGGAATACCAGCAGCAAAATGCCAGGTGGCTTTTGATCATTCACCCCTACAACATTTGTAAGTTATACTATACTACATTTCCATGTTCTCCTGGTACACAATTATTTTTGTTTCCATACTAGACTGATAAAGACAATTAGACAGTTTTGTTCATAAAGTATTTAATAGATTATCTGACAAAAGCTACTCTAAAGAAATATTTATTGACTTGTGCTATGGACTGAATGTGTCCCCTCAAAATTCATATATTGAAACTTAATCCCCAAGGTGATGGTATTAGGAGGGGGGGCCTTTGGGAGGTGACTAGGTCGTGAGGGTGGAGTTCTCATTAATGGGATTAGTGTCCTCTTATGAGGACACTCCCTCCTCCTCTTATGAATTCACCACCTCCACCCACCACATGAGAACACAGCAAGAAGGCCAGGTCTATGAACCAGAAAGTGGGCCCTCAGCAGACACTAAATCTGTCAGCATCTTGATCTTGGACATTCCAGTCTGCAATGAAAAGCAATAAATTTCTGTTGTTTATAAGCTACCCATGTTATGGTATTTTGTTATAGAAGTCTAAACAGACTAAGACAAGTTAATTCATCTAGAGCTGAAGATAAGTGGAGCCACTAAAGGCAGACATGAAGGAGTGAGAGTCTGAGTGCATGACGGTTTAGTAAGAAAGGAAGAACAACATGTTTGCATTAGGACACATTGTTTGACCACTGGGGAGCTATAGCAAGCCTAAACTTCACTGAAGAAAAGGGCAGAAGAGAGAGGTTTCAAATGGTCCATAATAAAATTTAAGTATAAATATTCAAAGGCAAGAAAACAAACAACAAAAATCAGAAATTCTTATTTCTGAGGCAAGAGGATACCTGGTGTAAATTATTGAAAATTTGAGTAAAGATTATTTATCCCTATTCTTCCTGGTACGTACAACTAAAATTCCCAGATCAGATTGAAAAGAAAAAAAGAAGAAGAAGAAGAAGAAACAAAAAAAGACTCTGAAAGGTAGACAGAAGGAGGCAGACCGGTTCAGTACCTCAGGATAGGAGGAATATGGTGGTGAGTTCTCAGAGTTTTCTTCTATCTCACACCATAGACTTGGAATGATAGAAGCTGGGAAACCCAGAAACACCAACAAGCATAGACAAAAACAGAAGAAAAACAGCTACAGTAATCAGGACAGTAAGGTGTTGCAGTAAGAACAGATAATAGATTGGAGGAACAAATAGAAATTCCAAAAAGAAATGCACACGTGTATAGTTAATTGATTTTCAACAAAGGTTCCAGAGGAATACAATGAGGGGACAATCTTTTTCAACAAATAGTGCTAGATAAGCATATGAAAAAAATTGAAGCTCCACTCTCCATGTCATATCATGTACAAAATATAATTCATCATAAATTACAGACCTAAAACTTAATAGCTAAAAACTATACAACTTCTAAAAACATATTTTTGAGGGCTTTGAGAGGGTAAAAACTTCCCAGACATTACCAGAAAGCACTAACTATAAAATTAAAAACTGACAAATTGGACTTCTGCTCATCAAAAGACACTATTAAGAAAATAAACAGGCCAACCACAGTCACTCATGCCAGCACTTTGGGAGGCCAAGGCAAGAGGATCACTTGAGCCCAGGAGGTAAGCTGCAGTGAGCCATGACCACAGTGCACTTCAGCCTGGGTGACAGCGGGAAGCCTTGTCTTGTAGGGAAAGAGAAAGAAAAAAAGAGAAAATGAACAGTCAAGCCAAAGACTTGAAGACTACATTTGTGTGTGTGTGTGTGTGTGTGTGTTGTGTGTGTGTATCTGACAAAGGATTTTATTTAGAATAATAAAAAGATAAAAAACCCATAAAAAAATGGGCAGAGTTGAACAAACAGTTTACAAAGGAAAATATAGTATGAAAATTGATCATATGAATTGGGTCACTTGTCATACCCAAATAAAACTGAGTCAAGAAGCCAAGAGGAAAAAGCACTCTGGGCACACACCATTGCTCCAAGAATGTAATTTTCTGCCAGCCTGGCCGCTGAAACTGCCTGCTGTAACCTGAAACTAGTTTTATCTAATCACTTCCGAAACAACCTGCTGCCACTCTAAGACTGGCTTTACCCATCTGGTCACTCACCACTCAGAGACTGTCAGTCCCCCAAACCTTACTAGTGCGATGAACTTTCTCACAGAGCAATATATAACATTTCTCTTTTTAAAAATAAAACCCCTAACCTTCTCTTTGTTCTTGGGACACAGCAAAGACCATCAGGTCTGTGTGAGTATGCCCTGAATTGCAATTCTTGCTTCCCAAATAAAATGTTTTAAACTTAGAGATTCATCTCTATATTTTATTTCATTTTGACATACTGATGGTTAGTAAGCCCAAGGAAAAAAATCAAATAAATGCAAATTAAAATTAAAATGAGCTATCAATAGACATCATCTAGAATGGCTAAAATTTAAAAAGAACAACAATCCCTAACACTGGCAAGGATATGGAGCACCCAGAAGTCTCACACATTGAGACCTGGAAAACTGGCAGTATCTTCACTTAAGCATATCCTTCTATATGACCTAGCAATTCCACTCCTTATTTACCCAAGAGAAATGAAAACAAATATTCACAAAAAAAACCCCACTTATCATCAGAGTAACTTTATTTGTAATAGCTAAAACTAGAAACTAGAAGCACCCACATTGCCAACAAACAGATGATTGGATTCATATAAGGGAATACTATTCAGCATTTTAATAAGAAACAAATAATCCATATATACAACAAAACATAATTTCATAAAATAGCATAAGAACACAATAGAGTACATAATATATGACTGTATTTATAGTAAGTTCTAGAACAGGTAGTCACCTAGGTGTCAAAAGAATTTAGAACTGTGGTTACTAGGGTGTGGAGAAGAGGCAGGGGTTGAATATGAAGTAGTAAGAGAGAACATTCTGTGTTGATGGCCATGTTCCTATCTACATCGTAACAGGCATGCGGGCTATAAGTATGTATACATTTGTTAAGACTTATCAAAGTGTACATTTCACTAAATATAAATTATATTTCAATAAAAACTCTGAGAAGGAAAATAAAGGGCCATGAATGCCTTACAGAGATGTGATCATAAGCCATTAAAAAATATGGATGTTGGCCAGACACAGTGGCTCACGCCTGTAATCCTAGTGCTTTGGAAAGCAAAGGCAGGTGGACTGCTTGAGGCCAGGAGTTCAAGACCAGCCTGGACGACATGGTGAAACCACTTCCCTACTAAAAACACAAAAATTAGCCAGGCGTGGTGATGCATGCCTGTAATCCCAGCTTCTTGGAAGGCCGAGGCACAAGAATCAGTTGAACCCGGGAGGCGGAGGTTGCAGCAAGCCAAGATGGTGCCACTGCACTCCAGCCTGGCTGAAAGAGAGAGACCCTGTCTCAAAAAACAAACAAAAAAGAAAAAGGACTTTCCTTTTCAAATATGGACCTGACCTCATGAAATTTCAGAGCACAGGGGATAAAAAGATGACACCAAAAGTGTCCCGTGGGTGAGGGAGCTGGGGAATCAGCTTACATTCACACCCAATATCACTATTTCCAATCATTCCAAAATGAAAGCATGTGGCTGGTTCCTGTGTAAAAGAACAATATCTCTCTAGAGAGAACTGAAGATTAAAAAAATTACTTCTGCAATAGCAAAAAGTATTAAAAGTATAAAGCAAAAACCACATATCCAGAATTTTACTTTAGAACCAAAAACAATCGTACATTTGAAAATGAATATTTCAAGTAAGAAGTACAGTTATGACAGTTACAACTGAGATGAAACAGACAAAAAGTTCACAAAACTAGACTCAAACTTAACTAAACAATTGTTTAAAAACATTCACTTCTCTGAAGGACTAGGTTATACATTGTTCTTAAAGTAGTATTTTCTGCTCCTATGCCAATATTAATCAGCACACACAGTAAGAATCAGTCACGCATGCAAGAGGACAAAGCAATATAAATAGAGAAGAAAGAAATTAAGTAAATTAATGTCTCCTGAAATTAGCTTTCAAGAATAAACCTACTAGTTTATTAAACTTGATACTATCTAAACATAAAAAGGCCTATTCCAGAAAAACAATAACTTGCTTAACTAGTTTACGAGTTAAACAGATTCAATATTTTGTAAACATTCTTTATCAATAAATATCAGCCTTAAGTTCACTAAAAGCAACCTTTCCTCACTTTTATAGTTTTAAAAAATAATCTGTAAATTAAAATTCTCTAATCTAGAATTGTATAAGGGAATCCAAATATTGACTTATCAATACCTTATACACTGAACACTAACCAGTATTAAAAGATTATTTGGAAATGTTATATTTTGTAAGCACTGTTTGCAGGCACAATACATTCTTGTTCTTCCCACAATAAGGAAATAAATTTGTCCCAGAATTTAAGTACAAGAGTGTCCTTTGAGAGGACCACTGAGCACCCCTCATGATAAATGAAGAGAACTGTGACAATGCATCTCATGAAATTTCAGAGCACTGGGGGTAAAAAGATGATACCAAAAAGTGTCCTGTGGGTGAGGGAGCTGGGGAAGCAGCTTATATTCACAGGATCAGGACCAATATGCCAACAGAAACACTGGAAGCTTAAAGACATTAAAGTATCTTCAAACGCTGAAAGAAAATTAGTTCCAACAATCATTCAAGTGTATAGTTAACTTAAGTATCGGGGGAACCCGCCCCCAATATTTCAACGTAGGTTCTTTCTATTTTCCATAAGTGTTGGCTGGCCGTGAAATAAAGAGAAAGAGTACAAAGAGAGGAATTTTACAGCTGGGCCGCCAGGGGTGACATCACATATCAGTAGGACCGTGATACCCACCTAAGCCTCCAAACCAGCAAGTTTTTATTAAGGATTTCAAAAGGGGAGGGAGTGTACAAACAGGGAGTAGGTCACAAAGATCACATACTTCAAAGGGCAAAAGGCAGAACAAAGATCACATGCTTCTGAGGAAACAGGACAAGGGCAAAATCAGAACTCCTGATAAGGGTCTGTGTTCAGTGGTGCACATATTGTCTTGATAAACATCTTAACAGAAAACAGGGTTCGAGAGCAGAGAACCGGTCTAACCAAAAATTTACCAGGATGGAGTTTCCCAATCCTAGTAAGCCTGAGTGTACTGCAGGAGACCAGGGCGTATGTCAGTCCTTATCTCAACCACATAGGACAGACATTCCCAGAGCAGCTGTTTATAGACCTCCCCCCAGGAATGAATTCCTTTCCCAGAGTATTAATGTCAATATTCCTTGCTAGGAAATGAATTTAGTGATATCTTCCCTACTTGCACGTCCATTTATAGGCTCTCTGCAAGAAGAAAAATATGGCTCCTTTTGCCCAACCCCACAGGCAGTCAGACCTTATGGTTGTCTTCCCTTGTTCCCTAAAAAGCACTGTTACTCTGTTTTTTTTGGTTTGTTTGGTTGTTTTCTGAGACAGAGTCTCGCTCTGTCACCCAGGCTGGAGTGCAGTGGCGCGATCTCAGCTCACTGCAAGCTCCGTCCCCCAGGGTTCATGCCATTCTCCTGCCTCAGCCTCCTGAGTAGCTGGGACTACAGGCGCCCGCCACCACGCCTGGCTAGTTTTTTGTATTTTTTTTTAGTAGAGACGGGGTTTCACCATGTTGGCCAGGATGGTCTCAATCTCCTGACCTCGTGATCCGCCTGCCTCGGCCTTCCAAAGTGCTGGGATTACAGGCGTGAGCCACCGTGTCTGGCCTACTCTGTTCTTTTTCAAGGTGCACTGATTTCATATTGTTCAAACACACATTTTACAATCAATTTGTACAGTTAACACAATTATCACAGTGGTCCTGAGGTGACATACATCCTCAGCTTACAAAGATAACAGGATTAAGAGATTAAAGTAAGACAGGCATAAGAAATTATAAAAGTATTATTTGGGAACTAACAAATGTCCATGAAATCTTCACAATTTATGTTCCTCTGCCATGGCTCCAGGTGGTCCCTCTGTTCGGGGTCCCTGACTTCCCGCAACAAATAAGGTCATTTTCAGACTAATAGTCTCAAGAAATTTACTTTCCCAATAATTTACAATCCCAATAATATACTTTCTCAATAATTCCTACAAAAACAAGGCAGTAAACAAACAGTAGGAAGACTTGATTGAGATTCAACCCTAGAGTGCAGCAAAGGGAAGTCCCCATAAAAGCAAATCTGTGACCAACTAATCCACAGTGAAGCATGAGGAAGAAGAGCTCCAAGGAATGATGGAAATTAGATACATCTGACCACGTGGAAAGCAACAATAAGACATGTTAAAGAGCCACTGGAGCTTTGGGGATAAATTTTTCATATAGGCTGGGACGGTGGCTCACACTGCTAATCCCAGCACTTTGGGAGGCTGAAGAGAACGGATTGCTTGAGCCCAGGAGTTTGAGACCAGCCTGAGCAACATAGCGAGACCCCTATCTCTACAAAAAATTTAATTAGCTGGGCATGGTGGCACCTGCCTGTGGTCCCAGCAACTTGGGAGGCTGAGGTGGGAGGACTGCTTGAATCCAGGAGATCGAGGCTGCAGTGAGCCATGACCTCACCACTATGCTCCATCCTGGGCAACAGAGCAAGACCCTATCTGAAAACAAACAAACAAACAAAACAGTAAACAAAGCAAATGAAAATAAGAAACAACTATCAACTCTAGGAGAAAGAAAAGTTAGATGGGAAAAAGAATCTGTAGTCCCCTGTTCAGTATTATACAATATTTATCTAGTTATCATAATGATAACATGAATACTGACTTACACACTGTGAAATGGTCATATTGGAGGACTGAACACAGGGAACTAGGGCAAGGGTATAAGAAACCTAAACCCTCATCTATCGTAATACCTAGTTAATAGACAACGTCAAAAACTGGTATCTCAAGAAATAGCAGTTTATTATTAGAAAAAAGGAAACAAATAGCAAAAGAAACACCTAAAAGAAAAAAAAAAACCTAAGACTGAGAGAGGTGCAAGGATGAGGCAGGGAATAGTGTTTTCCTTTTTAAGTCATTTATTACTGTGTTGGGGGCTGTACCCCCCAGGACTGGTGATTTGCTAGAAGGATTCACATAACTCAGCATATAGTTTGTACTCACAGCTAAGATCTACCATAGAGAAAGAATACAAAACAAAAAAAGCAAAGGAAGAAGCACATAGGGTGAAGTCCAGAGGAAATCAGACACCAGCTTCCTAGGTCCTCTCCAGCTTCCTAGGGTCCTCTCCCAGTGTGTAAAGCTGGACAGGTTCAATCTCTCCATCAACAGTTAACATGTGTGAAGTGTGGTCTACCAGCAGCTCATTAGATATGAGGAGCACATTCTCTTTTTTTACATTTATAAGCTGAAATGGGACAGAAATAATCCTTCAGACTGAGCAGATAAAGTTTAAAAGATTTCATATCAACAGTGAAATTCTTCTCATGATAATATGTTTGAGGTTTATGACCGGGACCCATTAAATGCAAACTACTCACATATACAGGCTCAAAAATAATTTCTCATGTACATTCCACAGAGCAATTATTATCCAATTTAGTAGCTGTATAATTAATCCTTTCATATCTATTAACTTTGTTTAGGCTTGTACTCTAATCAAGATTTTACTCTTTATTTGGGTTATTTTCTGTACCCTTCTTCTATACCGTGAGACTTAATCTTTATTTTAGCTTCTGCCCTACTCACATGCTTCAGACAAGATATGCCGGTATAATCAGTTTAGAAAATGTGAAATTCTCAAATTCATTATAATGAATATGAATGTATGAATGCCCTTTTCATGCTGACGACAACTATTAAAAGATTAATCGACCGGGTGGAGTGGCTAGTGCCTATAATCCTAACACTTTGGGAGGCCAAGGTGGAAGAACTGCTTGAGCCCAGGAATTCAAGATCAGCCTTGGCAACATCATAAGACCCTGTCTCTACAGAAAATAAAAAATTAGCCAAACGTGGGCCAGGCATGGTGGTAATCCCATCACTTTGGAAGGCCGAGACGGGCAGATCACTAGGTCAAGAGATCGAGACCATCTTGGCCAACATGGTGAAACCCCATCTCTACTAAAAATACAAAAATTAGCCGGGCGTGGTGGTGGGCGCCTGCAGTCCCAGACACCTGGGAGGCTGAGGCAGGAGAATCACTTGAACCTGGGAGGCAGAGGTTGCAGTGAGATGAGATCACGCCACTGCAATCCAGCCTGGTGACAGAGCGAGACTCCATTTCAAAAAAAAAAAAAAATTAGCTGAGTGTGGTGGCATGTGTCTATAGTCCCAGCTACTCGGGAGGGCTGAGGCAGAAGAATTACTTGAGCCCAGGAGGTCGAGGCCATAGTGAGTTATGATGGCACCAGCCTGGGCAACAGCACAAGACCCTGTCTAAAAAAAAAAAAAAAAAAGTTTTTAAAAACGATTAATGACAAGAAAGTAGGAAAATTAACAAATTATTTTCACCCGGATGGTAGAGCCTACTATACACCTAGGCTATATGGTATGGCCTATTACTCCTAGGCTACAAACCTGTACAGCATGTTACTGTACTGAATACTTGGTATATAAACATACCTCCACACAGAAAAAAGTACAGTTATGGTATTATAATCTTAGGCAACCACCTCTGTATATGCAGTCTATCCCTGACTGAAACATTATGTGACACATAACTATACATATATTAAGTATCAGAAGGAAAAATCCACTTTGGACTCTTGCCTTTATTATTATTATTTTTTGAGACGGAGTCTCACTATGTCAGCAGGCTGGAGAGCAGTGGCGTGGTATCAGCTCAGGGCAATCTCCGCCTCCCGGGTTCAAGCGATTCTCCTGCCTCAGCCTCCCGAGTAGCTGGGATTACAGGTGCCCACCACCATACCTGGCTAATGGTTGTATTTTTAGTAGAGATGGGGTTTCACCATGTTGGCCAGGCTGGTCTCAAACTCCTGACCTCAGGTGATCCGCCCACCTCAGCCTCCCAAATTGCTGGGATTATAGGCATGAGCCACCATGCCTGGCCTCAAGTAAATCTTAAATTAGAACTCAACTGAGGTGATGGGGGGACCAACACATTTATTTAATAAAAATAAAATTCACACATTGATTATAATAAGACCTGGATAATAGTATTTAGTCAAGATTCCCAAAGAGTGCACTGAAGCACCCAGGGGCACCGCAAGCAAACTCAGAGGGGAGTTTCGGGACATCTTAAATTTGAGGGAAACAGCAATACTGGACATCTTTCAGAAACAGCACAAAATACTAGCTAAAAGTAGTTCAGTTTCAACATTAGATAGCACTGCATTCCTCTTGACAATATATCTTGTGAAGCTGAGTTTTCTGGGGTCATGTGACAAAAAAAGAAAAGTGCCATGTAAAAATCAACATGGAACAAGAAATGAGGGTAGTGATGTCCAATCTGACTGCAAGGTATTACAAGCTGTACACTGTCCTACAGGCACACACAAACCATTAGTAATTTTAGTTATGTAGGAGTGAAATAAAAATATTATTTCCTCTTTCAACTTACGTGTATTATTTTTTCAAACGGCTATTAACTTCTTGTGATACTGTGATATAATAAGAAATACGGGCACGCTAGCTCACGCCTGTAATCCCGTATGGGCGGATTGCTTGAGGCCAGGAGTTTTGAGGCCAGCCTGGGCAACACAGCAAAACCGCGTCTCTATTTATTTTAAAAAATCTTAAAAATTAAAAAATTAAAAAATGCTTTGTAATAAACCAGTAATAGTAAGTAAAGTGTTTACATGGTTCTACGAGCCATTCATGCAAGTTCTCAAACCTGAAGAGGGGGTCTTGGGAATGTCCAATTTGGAGCCAAATGGGATAGGGTTGTGGGTAACCTGGGGACCCCACTACTTGTGATTGATATCTAAAGTGGGGGACAGTCTTGTAAGACTGAGCCCTTAACCTGTGGGGTCTGCATTAACTTCAGGTTAGTGCACTGCCAGCATTAGGTTAAGTTGTAGAACACCTAGTGCCTGCCAAGAATTGGATCATTGTTTGATATGGGAAATCCCTACACACTTCTGGTGTCAAAAGTGCTGTGAGAGAGTACAGAAAAACTGTTTTTCCCTTTTTAGTTGTTGAGATGTAAATACATATTAAGCTGTGTGAACCTAACAACATAATAAAGGGAACTTTTAAGTGTTCCTGTTAAGTAGATTTCAGGTCTAAGAGCAGAATATGTACAAGATAAGGCAGAAACATCAGTCACAAAAGAAAGTAGTAAGTCATGAATGATGCTTGGAATTAAAAGGACTCAGAAGTCAAGTTGAATAAACTCCCACTGGCCAAAGATGGGACAATATGAGTATCGATAAAATTAAACAACTGCAATAAGCTAAAATGCATCAATTATATTTAAATCCATGAGTGCACAATTATACTAAAAAATAAAAATTCATTGGTCACCTTTGAAGGATATAGAGGAACACCTCAGTTTTTGAATAGCTGATTAATAAAGTTGGGGAGAAATCGAGCATTTATCCTAAATTTCCTAAGTGACGTATTAATGCTGCCAAGTTTATCTTTATCAAAATCTTACGGCAAGTAAGTAAAGAAGAAATGAAAGAATATCGGAGCGCAGTGGCTCACGCCTGTAATCCCAACACTTTGGGAGGTCAAAGCAGGCAGACTGCTTGAGCCCAGGAGTTCGGGACCAGTCTGGGCAACATGGCGAAGCCCTGTCTCGATCAAAAATGCAAAAAATTAACCGGACATGGTGGTGTGAACCTGTGATCCCAGCTACTCGGGAGGCTGAGGTGGGCAGATCACTTGAGCCCAGAAGGTCAAGACTGCAGTGAAATGAGATCATACCACTGTATTCCAGCCTGCGCGACAGACTCTGTCTCAAAAAAAAAAAAAAAGAATATTATGAATATCAACAAGGAGTTAAACTCTATAAAATACTTTAAGAGATTTATTCTGAGCCAGATGTGAGGACCACTGCTACTCGAAAGGGGTCCCAAACCAGATCCCAAGAGAAGGTTCTTGGATCTCGCACAAAAATGAATTCAGGGTGAGTCCATAGTGCAAAATGAAAGCAAGTTTATTAAGAAAGAAAAGGAATAGGCCAGGTGCGGTGGCTCATGCCTGTAATCCCAGCACTTTGGGAGGCTGAGGCAGGCAGATCACCTGAGGTCGGGAGTTCGAGACCAGGCTGACCAACATGGAGACCCCGTCTCTACTAAAAATACAAAATTAGCCAGGCGTGGTGGCGCATGCCTGTGGTCTCAGCTACTTGGGAGGCTGAGGCAGGAGAATCGCTTGAACCCGGGAGACTGAGGTTGCAGTGAGCCAAGATCGCGCCATTGCACTCCAGCCTGGGCAACAAGAGCGAAACTCAGTCTCAAAAAAAAGAAAGTAAAGGAATAAAGAATGGCTACTCCACAGGCAGAGCAGCAGCCTGGACTGCTGTACTAAGGATACTTATTTCTTGATTATATGCTAAATAAGGGTGGATTATTTATGAGTTTTCCAGGAAAGAGGTGGCCATTTCCCAGAACTGAGGATTCCTCCCCCTTTTAGACCATATGGGGTAACTTCCTGACATTGGCATGGCATTTGTAAACTGTCATAGCACTGGTGGGAGTGTCTTTTAGCATGCTAATGTATCATAATTAGCATATATGAGTAGCCAGGATGACCAGGGGTTACTTCCGTTGCCATCTTGGTTTTGGTGTGATATGGCCGACTTCTTTACCACGACCAGTTTTTATAACCTGTATCTTGTGCCGACCTCCTATCTCATCCTGTGACATAGAATGCCTAACCTCCTGGGAATGTAACCCAGTAGGTCTCAGCCTCATTTTACCTAGCCCCTATTCAAGACAGAGATGTTCTGGTTCAAACACCTCTGACACTGACTCATGACATAGCCCCAGGAGGTCCTGAGAAATGTGCCCAAGGTGGTTGTTTTACAGCTTGATTTTATGTATTTCAGGGGGACAGAAGTTAAAGGCAGACATCAATCAATACATGTAAAGTGTATCCTGGTTCGGCTGGAAATAAAGCACAACTTGAAGCCAGGGCTACCAGGTCACAGGTGGATTCAGAGATTATCTGATTGGCAACTGGTTGAAAGAGTTGTTATTATCTAAAGATCTAGACTCAATAGAAAGGAGCATCTGAGTTCAGATAAGGGGTTGTGGAGACCAAGATTTTTATCATGCAGATGAAACCTCCAGGTAGCCGGTTTCAGAGCTCTTATCAGACATAAAAAGATGCCAGACTCTAGTTAATTTGCTTCTAGATCAGGAAAAAGATCTGGAAAGGGAAGGGGATTCTCTAGAAAATGCAGATTTTCCCCACAAGAGACAGCTTTGCAGGGCTATTTCAAAATATGTCCAATAAATATATTTTGAGGTGAAATACCTTGATTTCTTTCAGGGCCTGCCATCTGTCATGTGATGTTATACTAGAGTCAGATTGGAATTTGGTATCTTATTGCTACAAAGTCTGTTTTGTCAGTCTTAAGATCTCTGTTTTAATGTTAATGCTGGTCAGTTATGTCTGAATTCCAAGGGGAGGAAGGTATAATGATGCATGCCCAACCTCCCATTCCCTTCATGGCCTGAACTAGTTTTTCAGGTTTAGTTTGAAACTCCCTTAACCTAGAGGGGGGTCCATCAGTCAGTTGGGGGGCTTAGAATTTTATTTTTTGTTTACACCACTTTATAGATAAATAAAAATGGATACTGGCAATGATCATCAACGGCTGCTAATAACACCAAAAAAAGAGAGCAAGAGATAGAAAGAGAAGAGCTCCTTGATGGATGCACACACTATCCCTGAAAAATAAACAAACAAAACAATCTGATTATGTAGAAAATCAGTTTTTTCTCTGCTCTTATACCATGATATATAGGGGTTTACTCCACCAAGCAAGCAATCAACTTTGCAGTGGACACCAGCTGGGTGTTCTCCAATTTAATTCTGACACCATCCGTAGCATCAGATTCCACAGGTTGACGGCTCAGTCCCCAAGGCTGCCCGCCTCCAACTTCTGACGCCAATTGCAAGCCCTAGGCTGTTTTACCTGTGCTTCCGTCAGAGATATTTGAACCAGAGCAACTCCATCTTGAATAGGGGCTGGGTAAAATAAGGCTGAGATTAACTGGGCTGCATTCTCAGGAGGTTAGGCATCCTTAATCACAGGATGAGATTGGAGGTCAACACAAGATATGGGTCACAAAGACCTTGCTGATAAAACAGGATGTGGTTAAGAAGCCGGCCAGATCCCACCGAAACTAAGATGGTTATGAAAGTGACCTCTGCTCATCCTCACTGCTCACTATAGGCTAACTGTAATGCATTAGCACGCTAAAAGACACTCCCACCAGCATCATGACAGTTTACAAATGCCATGGCAACATCAGGAAGTTACCCTATATGGTCGAAAAAGGGGATGAACCCTCAGTTTCAGGAATTACCCATTCCTTTTCTGGAAAATTCATGAATAATCTAACCGTTCTTTAGCACATAATCAGGAAATAACTATAAGTATATTCAGTCGAGCAGCCCATGCTGCTGCTCTGCCTATGGAGTAGCGATTCATTTCTTTCTTTACTTTCTTAATAAACTAATGCTTTCACTTTAAGGACTCTCCTCAAATTCCTTCTTGGGTGAGGTCTAAAAACCCTATCCTGGGTTCTGATCAGGACATCTTTCCAGTAACACTTCTGATGGGACCAGCTATAAATCATGGTTCCCATGACCCCTGCCTTGGGTTTGATTAATTTCCTAGAGCAGCTCACAGAACCTAGGAATACACTTAGGTTTACACTTATGTTCAGTTTATTATAAAGGATACACAAAGGGTATAGATGAAGAGATGCACAGGGCAAGGCATGTAGGAAGGAGTGCAGAGCTTCCGTGCCCTCTCTGGCTACACTAACCTCCAGGAACTTCTACCTGTTCTGCAATCAAAAAGCTCTCGGAACCCCATCTTCTTAAATTTTTGATGGAGACTTCATTGGATAGGCATGTTGAAGTATGGACAAACATGCAGAAATGCGACTGAACAAAAAGGGTATAATCTAATACTAATAGATTGAGTGGGGAAACCCAGTAAGGCCTGTTTTGTTCAGATTCTTCTTGGCCTCTCTGTGCAGCATTGCTTCCTCCATGGTATGGGACAAGATCCATTTTGAAATGGGGGTCTTATGACCTAAAATCAGACAATGTAAGTCAGAGAATTCCTTTATGGCCAGCTTGTGGACAGAAAGCCGGGGGAAGATTAGAGCATGTTTTTAGTTTCTATGGCCTGCCTTGGGGAGAAAAATGAGCAAGTGAACAAAGACCAGGAGAAGGCCAGAGAGAGAGAGATCTGTCTTCTGAGGCCTACTTCTGAGATCTAAAGTACTCCAACATTATAACAAAAGACTGTCTTTCACCTTTATTGCTCAGAAGCTGTTTCAAAGCTTCTTCAGGAACCAAAGACAAAAGGCAAAATACTTTAACAAAAGATATGCTTATTGTTTAAGTCACTTAAGAAATAACAGGGGCTATGGGAGTTATGAGCCAGGAATTCTGGATGAAAACATATATGGACAGATAGATAAACAGATAGATCTATATATCTCATATCACACAGATCAAGCTGCAAAATCTATAGGATATACAATTTAGTTTCTTTAGTTAATGCTCTGGAAAAAAAAAAGAGAGGGAGGGTGAACATAAAAATTAAGAGTCTTAAGACTGAAAGATTGAAAAGACAAGCCACATTGAAATAAAATACTTATAGAAAATATATCCAATAAAGTACTATTACCCAAAAATATACACAGAACTCTTTAGGCCAGGTGCGGTGGCTCATGCCTGTAATCCCAGCACTTTGGGAGGCCAAGGCAGGCGGATCACCTGAAGTCAGGAGTTCGAGACCAGCCTGGCCAACATGAAAATCCCGTCTCTACTAAAAACACAAAAATTAGCCGAGAATGGTGGCAGGCGCCTGTAATCCCAGCTAATCGGGAGGCTGAGGCAGGAGAATCGCTTGAACCTGGGAGGCAGAGGTTGCAGTGAGCCAAGATAGTGCCATTGCACTCCAGCCTGGGGGAATTTTGTCTCAAAAAAAAAAAAAAAAAAAAAAAACTCTTTAAACTAAACAGTAAGAAAACAATTCATTTTGTTTAAATGGGCAAAAGACCTGAACAGGCACCTCACCAAAGATATGTAAATGGAAAATAAGCACATGAGAAGATGCTCAGCATGCTATATCATTGGAGAACTACCAATTAAAACAATGTGATACTACCACATACCATTATTATGGCAAAACCCAAAATGCTACCACCACCAAATGCTGGCAAGGATATAGAGCAACAGGAACTTTTATCCATGGCTGATAGGAATGCAATATGGCACAGCCACTTTGGAAGAAAGCTTGGCAGTTTCTTACAAAACTAAACATACTCTTCCTATATGATCCATCAATCGCACTCCTTGGTATTTACCCAAATGAATTGAGAACTTATGTACATGCAAAAACCGGCACATAGATGTTTATAGCAGGTATATTATAAATCCCCCCAAAAAAGGCAGCAATGGATAAACTGTGGTATATCCAGATAATGGAATATTATTTAGTGCTAAAAAGAGATGAGCTATCAAGTCATGAAAAGATACAGAGGAAATGTAAATGCATATTACTAAGTAAAAGAAGTTGAGCACAGTGGCTGACAACTGCGATCCCAGCACTTTTGGAGACCAAGGTGGGCGGACTGCTTAAGCACAGCAGTCAGAGAACAGCCTGGGCAACATGGCAAAACCTCATCTCTACCCAAAAAAAAAAAAGAAAAAATTAGCTGGGTGTGGTGGTGCACACCTGTAGTCCCAGCTACTTGGGAGGCTGAGATGGGAGGATCACCTGAGCCTAGCAGGTAGAGGCTCAGCAGTGAGCTGAGATCCCAGCGCTTCACCCCAACCTGCACGACAAAGCAAGACCTTGTCTCAAAAAAAAAGACGTTAATTAAAAAGGCCATATGACATTCTGCAAAAAGCAAAACTATAGAGACAGTAGAAGGATTAGTAGTAGCCAGGGTTTAGGGAGGAGGAAGAAATGAATAGGTGGAACACAGAGGATTGTTGGGGCAGTGAAGCTATTCTGTATTGGTACTTTAGTGGTGGACACATGTTCATTATTCATTTGTCTAAACACACGGAATGTACAGCATACCAGGAGCGAACTCTAACACAAACGCAGCTTTAAAAATAAAGTCTATTTTTGTAAAAGGTTAAGAAACACAAAAATACTACAAAAAAATGACACATTACCTTGAAAAAAAAGAAAGACTTAAAAGACATCAACCAATTGCCATGTATAGAGCTTATTTGGATTTTGATTTGAAAAAATTGTTAGGGGCCGGTCATGGTGGCTCACACCTGTAATCCCACCACTTTGGAAGGCCAAAGCAGGCAGATTACCTGAGGTCAGGAGTTTGAGACCAGCCTGGCCAACATAGCAAAACCTCGTCTCTACTAAAAATACAAAAACTAGCTGGGCATGATGGCGTGCACCTGTAATCCCAGCTACTCAGGAGGCTGAGGCAGGAGAATCGCCTGAGCCCAGGAGGCAGAGGCTGCAGTGAGCCAAGATCGTACCACTGCACTCCAGCCTGGGTGACAGAGACAAACTCTGTCTCAAAAAAGAAAAGAAGTGAAAAAATAGTTAGGAAAAAAAGTTATGAAAATCAGAGAAATCTGAATATTAATTCAATATTTTATATTAAGAAACAATTGTTAATTTTTGTTAGTGTGATCACTGTGTTGTGGTTAGAGATACACACTAAAATATACCTGGATGAAATGATATGACATCTGGGTTAATGTATGGGATGTGGTACCAGAGGACTTGGGGGGACAAAGGGCTCCATTTGGGTCCTACTTAAATTTTTGAAAATATATATATTAATTTTTATAATTTTCTTCAAAAAAATTTCCTAAAAATGAGATTGAGGAAAAAATTACCTTAGATTATTAACTACTGATATAGAATAACAAGTAGGTCTAATATCACCCACGATAGTTAGAGAAAATCCTCAGCTGACAATTCTAAGTAGAAGTTTCCTTAATAGGTGATCTGTAAACATTTAAATGTAGAGAGCTGCTCAAAAGTTATAAAGTGGTCAATTATCTTGGTTGGGTAAGTAAGAACCACCACCCCATGAAGATTTCAGTTAAGGTGTATTGGTTCGTTTTTATGCTGCTGATAAAGACATACCAGAAGTTGGGAACAAAAAAAGGTTTAATTGAACTTATGGCTCCACATGGCTGGGGAAGCCTCAGAGTTATGGCGGGAGGCTAAAGGCTCTTTTTACATGGTAGTGGCAAGAGAAAATGAGGAAGAAGCCAAAGTGGAAATCCCTGATAAACCCATCAGATCTCAAGAGACTTATTCACTATCAGGAGAATAGCATGGGAAAGACTGGCTCCCATGATTCAGTTACCTCCCTCTGGGTCACTCCCAAAACATGGAATTCTGGGAGACACAATTCAACTTGAGATTTGGGTGGGGACACAGCCAAGCCCTATCACAAGGTAACATTTTAGAGGAAAGAAATGGAAAATAGGAATAAAATTACTGTCTAGGATATAAAGGTACTGCGTAAGAATTAACAGCAGCTCACATTTGTAATCCCAGCACTTTGGGAGGCCGGGGTGGGAGGATCACTTGAGGCCAGAAGATGGAGACCAGCCTAGCCAACACGGTGAAACCCCATCTCTACTAAAAATAGAAAAAATTGCTGGGCATGATGGTGCACACCTGTAATTGCAGCAACTCAAGAGGCTGGGGCATGAGAATCACTTGAACCCATGAGGCTGAGGTTGCAGTAAGCCAAGATCATGCCGCTGCATTCCAGCCTGGGTGACAGAGTGAGACTCTGCCTAAAAAATAAATAAATAAATAAATAACAACAGCTGCTGCATTATTTCCTGGAATTAAATAAAATCTGGAGACAGAAGTAAAAATACTAATCTTACGCAGGCAAAATAGGCCAAAAGTCAAGATTTGGAATTAAAATGTTACATAGTAACTAAACTCTTTACTTACATAGTGAATTATTTTGATTAAAGAAAAGCAGAAAGTAAAAGCACTATTTACTAAACCATGATAATAAAAGTTCAAATTAAGTTGTTAAAAGTAACAATCATTATTTGTTTAAAAAAACTTGTTACACACACCACACACACACATTAGCAGATTGTTCCTGTCTTGTAACTTATATTCTATAACTCGTTATCATCATGTAAAACTATTCCATCATTTAGACCTAAAGGAAGGAAATGATGCTTTTATGGCTTCAGTTGACTACAAAAAAATTTTATACAATCATAACGCTTCTAAGACATTAATTTGAAAAGTAACCTGAGGAATATCTGAAGAAGCAAACTCTAATGTTGTAATACAGTTTTTTTTTTCCTTAAAATGCTAAGCTTTGTTGAAAAACTTAGAATTTTACCCACTGCTTTTCAATTGTTTGTTACCTCAGTAGTGGTAAGAAAATGGACTTAAGTAAGCTTTTCTTCAGCTTTATATCTGCAATTTCTTTTCTCATAATTTTCTCAAGCAGAAAGTCTAAGTTCTTGATTCATATTCCTATTTTGAAGCCAGGCACAGTGGCTCACGCCTGTAATCCCAGCACTTTGGGAGGCCGAGGCAGGCAGATTGCCTGAGGTCAGGAGTTCAAGACCAGCCTGGCTAACATGGTGAAACCCTGTCTCTCCTAAAAATACAAAAATTAGCCAGGTGTGGTGGTGCATGCCTGTAGTACCAGCTACTCGGGAGGCTGAGGCAGGAGAATTGCTTCAATCCGGGAGGCAGAGGTTGCAGTGAGCCACGATCACACCACTGCATTCCAGCCTGCACGACAGAGCAAGACTCCAGCTCAAACAAAACAAAACAAAAAAACAAAAACAAAACAAATCATATTTCTACTTTGGAAGGAAACATTGAAAATTGCCAATGTCCTACTTCAATTTTTGCATTTTCCTTAAAAATCTTTCTTCTCTCATCTCCCCCTCGATCCTCATTTCTCAATAATAGTTCCTTATTATGTATTTATCTGATGGCACCTATCAATGGCAGATTGTGAAAAGTCAATACATATAAAAAAGCTTACAAAGAAAGTTCTAGTCACACAACAACAGTTTTATAAATGACAAGTATACCTCATTTTTAAACATCGGCAATGGTATAAAGTTTTATTTTCAACCTATCACAATACCTGGTTCTCAATTTTTAGTGCTTCTGAACTAACTTAACCTTCACTTGTTGAGGGACTGCCATGCTTCAATACATGGTGCCAGCTCTAGAAGCAATTCCAAATGACTTCTGCCAGTATTTTTGTTTTCAATAACGTTTTATATAAAAGCTTCATAAAATAATTGTATAAACGTTCAAGGCGATCAGTTTGAAACACTTCCCTCAAATATAAAGAAACAGGCTCAGTGCCTGTTACACAATAGGTGTCAACAAATACTGATTCCCTTCCTGTACATATTACTTCCTCGTGACTGTTTACAATAGAGTATTTACATGTTCACACATACTACTTGCATGTATATAAAACATCTCTGGAAGAATATACAAGGAAATATTAAGTTTTTATCCCTTCAAAGAGATCTCAGCTGAGAAAAGGGTAAAGGGGGAAAGACAATTTAACCTTTATGTGCCATGGGTATTATCTTTTTCAAAATAAACTAAATTTTACATGTTTTTAACTAAAAAGACAATCATATTATTTATATCTCATCCAGCCGCCTATCCATCTGTAAAGAAACTAGGAAATATAGCGATGGAGTCAAAACGTCCAATTTCATCAAAAACTTACACATATGCAAAGAAACAAGAAGGAATGATCCATTAAAAAAAAAAAAAGCAATCACAGAAACTGTTCCAGGCCAGGCACGGTGGCTCACGCCTGTAATCCCAGTACTTTGGAAGGCCAAGATGGGAAAGAAAATTGCTTGAACCCGGGAGGCGGAGGTTGCAGTGAGCCAAGATTGCGCCACTGGATTCCAGCCTGGGCTACAGAGTGAGACTCTGCCTCACAAAAATAGAAAAAAGAAACTGTCCCTAAGGATGCCCAGACACTGACTAGACTGACTACATAAGAACTTTAAATCAGCTATTTTAAGTATGTTCTAAAGCTAAAGGAAACCATGTCTTAAAAACTGAAGGAAAGCAAGATAACTCTGTTTCACCAAAAAGAGAGTATTGATAAAGAGAATTTTTTAAAAAATCTAATAGAAATTATAGAATTGAAAAGTATAATAACTTAGATGAAAAGTTCACTAGAAGGGCTCAACAGCTTATTTGGGCAGGCAGAACAAAGAAACAGTGAACATGAAGATAGGTTAATTGAAATAGGTCAGTCTGAGGATCAGGAAAAAAAAAGAAAGAATACAGAATCCCTTAAAACAGAACATAAGAGATATACGGGAGGCTGAGGCAGGCAGATCACTTGAGCCCAGAAGTTCGAGACCAGCCTCAGCAACATGGCAAAATCCCATCTCTACAAAAAATACAAAAAAAGAAAAAAAAAAACAGCTGGGTGTGGTGGTGCACACCTGTGGTCCCAGCTACTCAGAAGGATGAAGTGGGAAGATCACTTAAGCCCATGAAGTGGAGGTTGCAGTGAGCTGAGATCACGCCACTGCACTCCAGCCTGGGCAACAGAGCGATGAGACTCTGTCTCAAAAAAAAAAAAGAAAAAGAAAAGATATTCCTAGATTAAGAAAAACTAAGAGAACTCACTGCTAGTAGACCTATCCTGTTAAAAAAAATACGCTAAAGGGAGTCCATCATGCTGCTTTGAAAAAACACTAACTAGACGATACTCAAATCCACATGAATAAAGAACACTGGTAAAGGTAATTACAGTCGGGCATGATGGCTCATGCCTATAATCCCAACAGTTTCAGAGGCCAAAGTGGATCACTTGAGCCCAGAAGGTCAAGGCTGCAGTGAGCCAGGATCATGCCACTGCACTCCAGTGTGGGCAAGACAGCAAGACCTTGTCGCAAAAAAAAAAAAAAAAAAAAGTATGTAGGTAAATATTAAAAAGAGTATAAATGTATTTTTGTTTGTATTTCTTCTTTCTCCTATCTGAGTTAAATAACTGCATAAAGCAATCACTGTAAATCAGTGTTGATGAGCATACAATGTATAAAGATGTAATTGTGACAATAACAGCATAAAGGGGGTAGGACTACATAGGAGTAAAGTTTTCTACACTATTAAAATTAAGTTGATATTAATCTGAACTAGATTGTTACAAATTAAGATGTTAATTGTAATCCCAGGTCAACTACTACGAAAATATATAACAAATGAAACATAAAGGAATTAAAATGGTACAATGAAAAGTATGTATTTAACACAAAAGGAGGCAGCAATGGAAGAATTGAGGAACAAAAAAGATGTATCAAAAACAAATAGCAATATGGCAGAAGTTCTTTCTTATCAGTAATATGTAAATAAATCAAACTCCTCAATTAAAAGATAGTTATTGGCAGACAGATTTAAAAAACAACAAGATGCAATCGTAGCCTGTCTACAGAGACTCACTTTAGATTCAAAGACAGAAATAAGCTGAAAGTAAAAAGATAGAAAAAGATATTCCAGGCTGGGCACAGTAGCTCACACCTGTAATCCCAGCACTTTGGGAGGCCAAGGTGGGTGGATTACAAGGTCAAGAGATGGAGACCATCCTGGCCAACATGGTGAAACCCTGTCTCTACTAAAAATACAAAAATTAGCCAGGCGTGGTGGCGCGAGCCTGTACTCCCAGCTATTCAGGAGACTGAGGCAGGAAAATTGCTTGCACCCGGGAGGCGGAGATTGCACTGAGCCAAGATCGTGCTACTACTGCACTCCAGCCTGGTGACAGAGCGAGACGAGGAAGGGAGGAAGGGAGGAAGGAAGGGAGGGAGGGAGGGAGGGAGGGAGGGAGGAAGGAAGGAAGGAAGGAAGGAAGGAAGGAAGGAAGGAAGGAAGGAAGGAAGAGAAAGAAAGAAAAAGAGATTTCATGCAAACAGTAACCAAAAGGGAACTAGAAAGTCTATGTTAGGCCGGGTGCGGTGGCTCATGTCTGTAATCCCAGCACTTTGGGAGACTGAGGCGGGTGGATCACCTGAGTTCAGGAGTTGGAGACCAGCCTGGCCAACACGGCAAAACTCTGTCTCTACTAAAAATACAAAAATCAGCCGGGCATGGTGGTACATGCCTGTAGTCCCAGCTACTACGGGGGCTGAAGCTGGAGGATCGCTTGAACCTGGGAGACAGAGGTTGCAGTGAGCCGAGATCGTGCCACTGCACTCCAGCCTGGGCAACAGAGCAAGACTCTGTCTCAAAAAAAATAAAAATAAAAGAAAGTCTATGCTAATACCAAACAATGAAGACTATCTCTTAAATATCATATAATGATAAATGGGTAAATCCATCAACAAGATACAACAATTGTAAACATACACTGCACATAACAACAGAGCCTCCAAAAGATACAAAACAAAAACTGACAGAAGTGAGAGGCGAAGAGGCAGTTCAATGATAAACGGAGACTCCCAATACTTCACTTTCAATAATGGATAGACTAGAGAAAAGATCAACAATGAAAAAGAAGACTTGAACAACACTATAAAGCAACTAGATCTATCAGACATCTATAGAACACCCCACCCAAAGACAATGTAATACGAATCCATCTCAAGTGCACATGGAACAGTCTCAGGACAGATCATATGTTAGGCAATAAAAGATGCCTCAATAAACTTTAAAAGACTAAAATCATACAAAGTATGTTCTCTGATCACAATGAAATGAAACTGAAAATCGATAACAGACAAAATGTTGAAAACTTCAAAAATATGTAGATAATTAAGCAACACACTTGACAAACACTCAACAAAGTACTCAACAAACTGGGAACATAAGGAACATCCTTAAACTGATACAGTGTATCAATGAAAAACCCACAGTTGCCAGGCATGGTGGCTCATGCCTATAATCCCAGCATTTTGAGAGGCTGAAGCAGAAGCTTGAGCCCAGGAGCTCCAGACCAGCCTGGGCAACATAGGGAGACCCTGTCTCTACAAAGCATACAAAAATTAGCCAGGCATAGTGGCTCATGCCTGTAGACCCAGCTACTCAGGAGGCTGAAGTGGGAGTATCACGTGAGCCTGGGAGGTCAAGGCTGCAGTGAGCCATGATTGTACCACTGCACTCCAGCCTGGGTGACAGAATGAGACCGTGTCTCAAAAAAAATAAGAAAAGAAAGAAAAACCCACAGTTAACATTATACTAAATGGTAAAAGACTGGAAGCTTTCCTCCTAAGATAAGGAACAAGACAGGGAAGTCTGTTATTGCCACTTTCATTTAGCATTGTATGGGAAGTTCTAGCCTGGGCAATTAGGAATGAAAAATAAATAAATAAAAGATACCCATATAGGAAAAGAAGAGGTAAAACTATCTCTGTTTACAGACAGCATGATCTTATATACAAAACTCAAAAGAATACACTAGAAAACTATGGGAACTAATAAGGAGTTCAGCAAAGTCACACGATATAAGGTGACAGAAAATAAGTTGTATATCTAAACACTAGGCAATTGTGAAAAACAATTGTGAAAAACAAATTGAAAAACAAATTTAAAAAACAATTTCATTTGCAACAGCACCTAAAAAAAAAATAGAAATAAATTTAACCAGGGAAGTGAAAGACTTGACACTGATAACTACAAATATTGTGCAAGAAATTAAAGACAAACTAAATAAGTGAAAAGACATCCTATTGTTAATGGATTGGAGGACTTAATATTTTTAAAACAGAAATACTACCCAAAATGTTTTACAAATTCAATGCAATCTCTATTAAAATTCCAATGGCCTTTTTTACAGAAATGGATCCTCAGTTTCATATGGAATTGCAAGGGACCCTGAAGAGCCAACAAATACTGGAAACAGCAAAGTCGAAGAATTCACACATCTCAATTTCAAAATGTACTACAAAGCCACAGTAATCAAAACAGCACATGGTACCTGGCATAAGGATAGCTATATCAACCATGAGAATCAAACAAAGAGTCCAGGGGAAAAAACCCAGACATTTGTGGTCAACTGATTTTTCAACAAGGATATCAGGACCACTCAATCAGGAAATAATGGTCTCTTCAACACATGAGGATGGGACAACTAGAGTACCACATGCAAAAAAGTGGACCCCCTCTGGCAGGGCGCAGTGGCTCACGCCTGTAATCCCAGCACTTTGGGAGGCCAAGGTGGGTGGATCACTTGAGGCCAGGAGTTTGAGGCCAGCCTGGCCAATGTGGTGAAACCCCATCTCTAGTAAAAATACAAAAATTGGCCGGGCGTGGTAGCGCTCGCCTGTAATCCCAGCTACTCGGGAGGCCAAAGCATGAGAATTGCTTGAACCTGGGAGGCAGAGATTGCAGTAACCTGAGATTGTGCCACTGCATTCCAGCCTGAGCGACAGAGTGAGACTCTGTCTCAAAAACAAAACAAAACAAAAAAACGTGGACCCCTATCTCACACCATATAAAAATGTGGACCAACAACTGAATATAAGAACTAAAACCACAGAACTCTTAGAAGAAAGTATGGAATAAATCTTCATTCCTTGGATTTGGCAATGTAGACATGACACCAAAAGCCTGTGTAACAAACAAACAAAAAAAAACAGATAAATTATACTGTAAAATTTAAACTTTTAATGCATCAAAAGTATATTATCAAGAAAGTGAAAAGACAACCCAGAAAACAGAAGTATTTGTAAATCATATATCTGATAAACATTTAGTAACCAAACATACAAAGAACTCTTTCAATAACCAACAATACAATTCAAAAATGGACAAAGGATTTCAGTAGATATTTCCACAAAGAGAATATACAAATGGCCAATGAGCACATGAAAAGATGTTCAACATCTTAGCCACCAGGGAAATGAAAATCTAACCCTCAACATGATACCACTTCACCCCAAGATAGCTAAAATTTAAAAAAGCAAATGGCAAGTATTGGCAAAGATGTAGAGAAATTGGAGAATTGGATTATAAAATGGTGCAGTCGCTTTGGGAAACAATTTGGCAGTTCCTCAAACTGTTCAACAAGAGTTACCACATGAGCTGTTTTCTAACAACACTTCTGACACCACATGTGGAAGTGTTTTTCCATACCAATACAGTTCTCCAACTTTCCAGACACCAACTGAGTGCCCTATAATTCAATTCTGACACTAACTGCCCAGAGTTTATGTCAGACTCCACAGGCTTAGTTCCACAAGACTACCCTCACTTCAGTTACCAGCCACAAGCTGCACATTGCCACCTGTACTTCTGACCAAATAGCTATAAATAGGGGTTCCCACAACCCCCTCCTCATGTTCAATAATTTGCAAGAATGGCTCACCGAAACTCAGGGAAACACTTTACTTATGCCTATCAGTTTATTATAAAGGATATAAATAAACCACCAAATCAAAAGGCACAAGGGTGAGGCCGAGATGGGTTCCAAGTATAGGAGTTTCTGTCCCATGAAGTTGAAGCAACACCTTCCCAGCATAAGGATGCATTCACCAACCCAGAATCTCTCTGAAAACCACTGTTTAGAAGATTTTATGGAGGTCCCATTTCACAGGCATGATTGATTACATCACTGGCCACTGATAACTGATCTCAATACCCAGTCCTCACCACCACCCCCTCACCCATCCAGGGGTGGGGCTGCAAGTTCCAACTCTCTAATCAACACAGTTGGTTCTTCTGGCAACCAGCTTCCATCCTGAAGTTGTCTAGGGGCCTACCAAGAATCACTTTATTAGCATAAATTCAGATGTGACTGAGAGACTTATTATGAATTCCAAAATATGCTCTATTACCTCTATTACTCAGGGAGTTCCAAGGATCTTTGAAGTTCTAGGCTAGGAACCAGACCAAGACCAAATATATATTTCTTATTGTATAACATCACACCCAGCAATTCTACTCCTAGGTATATACACAAGAAATGAAAACGTATGCCCGCACAAAAACTTGTACATGAATATTCACACCAGCATTATTCAGAATAGTCAAGAAGGAGAAACGACTTAGATGTTCAACTGATAAATGGATAAATGAAATGTGGTATATCCAGATAAGAGAGTACTGTTTTGCAATAAAAAATATGAAGTGCTAATATATCCTACAATATGGATGAACCCTGAAAACATTAAGTGAGGGAAAGCAGTTGCAAAAGATGATATATATGGTTTCATTTATATGAAATATCCAGAATATCTGAAATATCAAGAGATACAGAAGTAGATTAATGAGGGCAGGGGAAATAGTGAGTGACTACTGCTAATGGGGAGGTTTTTTTGGGGGAGTAATGAAAATGTTCTAAAATTGACTGTGGTGATGGCTGTACAACTCTGTATATACAGACTGTCCCCAACATACAATGTTTCAACTTGGGATTTTTCAACTTTACATGGTATCCATAAAATCATTCTGTTTTTCACTTTCAGTATGCAATAAATTACATGAGATATTCCACACTTTATTATAAAATAAACTTTGTGTTAGAGGATTTTGTAGGCTAATGTAAGTGTTCTGAGCATGTTTACAGTAGGCGAGGCTAAGCTATGATGTTAGGTGCATTAAATGCATTTTCCACTTACAATATTTTCGAATTGCTATAGGTTTATCAGGATGTAACTGTGTCGTAAGTAGAGAAAAGTAGAGAAGCATCTGTACTAAAAACCAATGAGACTGCGCGTGGTGGCTCATTGAGCCCAGCACTTTGGGAAGCCGAGAGAGGTGGATCACTTGAGCCCAGGAGTTTGAGACCAGCCTGGGCAATATGGCAAAACCCCGTCTCCACAAAAAAAATACAAAAAATTAGCCAGGCATAGTGGCACACACCCGTAGTCTCAGCTACTCAGGAGGCTGAAGTCGGAGGATCATCTATCTGAGCCTGGGAAGTCAAGCTGCAATAAGCTGTGGCTGCACCACTGCACTCCAGCATGGGTGACAGAGTGTGACTCTGTCTCAAAAAAAAAAAAAAAAAATTAAGTCACACAGACCAATGAATAACTACATGCTACATACCAATGAATTGTATAATTTAAAGGAGTGAATTTTATGGATACGTGAATTATATTTCAATAAAGCTGTTTTAAAAAAGAAAAGCAGGTTCAAGTCTTTGCCATGTTAAAAATCTGTTAACCCTTTATCACCCTCTGCTACCACCTCTTTCTATTCTCCCCTTCATGGCTAAAATTGATTTATTTATTATAATCTACATATGCTTTTCCACTCTCTAACCTCAACTCCTCAACTCAATGAAACCTACCTCGTCCCCCAACCATTCTATCAAAACTGTTCTCACACAGTTATCAAATTGAATAACCTCCTCAATACCAAATCAATAGACTCTTAATAACTTCTTTCGCTCAACTTTTCAAAGCATTTAAAGTATGGCTTTCCTTTTGTTTAGGCCAGGGTCCCACTCTGTCACCCATGCTGCAATGCAGTGGCACAATCACAGCTCACTGCAGCCGCAACCTCCCAGGATCAAGCGATCATCCCACCTCAGCCTCCTGAGTAGCTGGGACCACAGGTGTGCACCACCACAGCCAGCTAATTGCTTTTTTTTTGCAGAGACACCAGTCTCCCTATGTTTCCCAGGCTGGTCTCAAACTCTTTGGCTCAAGCAATCCTCCCACCTCAGCTTCCCAAAGTGCTGGGAGGACAGGTGTGAGCCACTGTGCCTGAGGCTTTCCTTTTTTAAAAAAAAAAATTAATTTCTATTTTTTCTTGAGAGTTGATTGTGAAGTATAACTTCCTTTAAAAATGATCCCAGCCCAATGCAGTGGCTCACACCTGTAATCCTAGCACTTGAGAGGCCAAGGCAGGCAGATCGCTTGAGCCCAGGAGTTCAAGACCAGCCTGGGCAACATGGCAAAACCCCATCCCTACCAAAAATACAAAAATTAGCCAGGTGTGGTGGTATGTGTCTGCAGTCCCAGCTACTTGAGTGGCTGAGGTAGGAGGATGGCTTGAGCCCAGGAGGCGGAGGTTGTAGTGAGCTGTGATGGTGCCAGATCCCACTTTGGCTTCTATGACATTTTCTCATGATTTCTCTACATCTCCAAACACTTAGGAATTTCCTTTCCCAGCTCTTCTTCTATCTGGCTTTAAATGTTCTCCACAGCCTATTTCCAGAACTATTTTATGTTAACAAACTCTTCTTATTTGGTGTTATCTAAATCAAAGAATTCAGATACCACTCATAATATAGCCTGTTATACTGTACTCCAAATCCACATTCACAGTTCCATAGCAGATGATTCCACCTGGATGTTTCACAGATAACTTCCACTCAATATGTTCTGAAGCTAAAATACTGTTTCTCCTCAAATGTGCTTCTCTTCCTGAATTCCCCATCTCAGTATATTTTACCATTGTCTCTTCAATCACCCAAGTTAAAATCCAAGTCATCTTATTCTATTATTTTTCCCTCACTCCCCATATCCAATTGTTGCTGAATCCTATGAATTCTACTTTCTAAATATTTCTATTACCCTCCTCCTCCATAACCCCTCTAACATTGCCTTAGTTTGGACCCTTATTTCTCACTTCGATTAGTGCAAAAACCTCCTAAACAGTCTTTCTACATCCATTCTTACCTTCTCTCCATCCCTTCTGAAATCCTTACTCTACAATTCCAGAATGATCTTTCTAAAATAAAAATCTTGGCCGGACATGGTGGCTTACACGTGTAATCCCAGCACTTTAGGAGGCCGAGGAGGGTGGACTGCCTGAGCTCAAAGTTTAAGACCAGCCTGGGCAACACAGCAAAACTCCATCTCTACAAAAAAAAAAATACCAAAAAATTAGCCAGGTGTGGTGGCGTTCACCTGTGGTCCCAGCTACTCGTGAGGCTGAGGTGGGAGGATCGCTGGAGCCTGGGAGGTCGAGGCTGCAGTGAGCCATGACGGAGTGCGGTGAGTGCCACTTCATTTCAGCCTGGGTGACACAGTGAGACCTTATCTCAAAAAAGTAAAAAAAAAATAAAAAGAAAAATCTTATCATGTCTCTCTGTTCATTAAAATACATAAACCCTATTGTTATCTACAGGAAAAAATGGTAAGGTCCTTGGAATGGCACGCAATACTTTTGAGGATACCTGCAACCTCATCTTCTGCTACTTATCACCACAACTAATGCTACAGCTACAGAAAACAACTTCCCATTCTCTTCCATATTCTGTGCTGACTGCACCCCTGGCCCGCGCGTGCCTTTCCGCCTGCCGCGCCCCAGGACACCCCAGCTCTGGGCGCCACCAGGGAGCTGCTCGCCCTGACCAAGGCCGGCGGCAAACCCTTCTGCGCCTGAGGCAGGCTGGCCTCTAGCTCGGTAGGAAACCCGCGCTCAGGCGGACAGCGCCGACTCTTTTTACTGAGTTTCCAGAGGAAGACTAGCCCAGCTACCGCGAAGCTGCCAATCCACCGGAGAGGGGGCTTCTGAACCCGGACTCCTGGGAACGTCGACAAGCACGGCACTACTACACCGAGGCCTCCACCGCCTGGGCCTGAGCACGGCCGGGCCATTCCCAAACTCGGGACGCAGGAGAGGATCTCGGAGAAGAAGAGGCCACCCTGAAGCACACAGTTTACGTCAAAAGTTTACATGGAGAAGGCGGTTCCGTTCTGAAGCGCGGTCTGCTGTCCTTTTGGGCGCGAGGCATGTGGTGTTCGCTGTGAAGCCTCCTGGGCCTGTTGGTCCTCCGATTTCATCCTCGGGACATAATGCTTACCAACAGTACTTGCACTGAGTTGACACTCGTGCACTCTTGACTCCAGATGTTTTTCAAAATGTATGTTCACACCAATAATTGCCTACTTCAGAGGCTAATAAGACAAAACCAATAAAACTGAGTGATGGTGTCTGTATTGGGAAAAAAAAAAGTGTTCCATGTTCTTTCTCACCTACGTTTCTGCCCACCTTTCCCTCTAAAAGTTCCTTCCCCATCCCTGCCCTAGCCCCCCAATTTCTGCATTAGTCATGACTAAGCCTTCTTTAAGCTTAAGGACATAAAATATACAGTACCTAATACAGTGCCTGACCTATAGCAGAGGGTTAAAAATGGGCTGAGCTGGCTTAGGTCTCTTCTTTGTCCTCTCAATGACTCCTATTTGCTTATAAAATAAAATTGTAATTATTCTGATGGTCTGCAAGATCCATAATTTGGTCTCTGCCTATCTCCCCAGTTTCAGGTCTTGCCACCACCCTGTATTATACTTGCTATTTTTGCAGATGCTACTCTCTAATTTTAGACTCCCATGCTTTTTCTCACACTGCTCCTTCTACCTAAATGCCCATTCTTTCTATGCCTGTACACTCCTGATTTTCATCACCTTCTACATAGTTTTTCCTTACAGTTTCCCTCTTCTTCAGCTCTTTTCTTCACTTTAAGAAACTGACCACTATCTCCTTTGTACATCCACTGTACCCGCATATGTTCTTCAATCAAAACAATCTTGTACTTGTTGACAGTTAAAGTAAGAGATAAGGTTCAACTACCCTGAAGGCAGGAACACTGCCTTCTGTATCTTTAAGTCCTCTTCACCTGGTCACAGTACTTTCTACATAGTAATTCCTGTATTCTAAATAATCTGCATTTTTCCTTGTACCCTCTTATACAAACTAACATAAGTTTCTATCAGGGATCTTTCAAAACAGAAACAATATTCTTTTGGGTTACATGCTGGGCCCGATCTCTTCTTGCCAAGCAAACAACTATGCAAATATAACTGTACAAATTAAAGTTATTATGCACTTTCTGATACCACTTTCCTATTCTAAATTAGGGGAGAAATAGTCTGGATAAGATCCATAATTAGAAACAATATCCTGAAGAGAAAGCAAACTAAGTTGTATTACATTGTTTCGAGATACCTTGTTTAAAGAGTCACTTCTCAAAAGCTACTACTGTTGGCAGGGCGCGGTGGCACACGCCTGTAATCCCAGCGCTTTGGGAGGCCTAGGCGGGCAGATCACCTGAGGTCGGGAGTTCAAGACCAGCCTGACCAACATGGAGAAAATGTCTCTACTAAAAATATAAAATTAGCCGGGCGTGATGGCGCATGCCTGTAATCCCCTCAGGAGGCTGAGGCAGCAGAATCGTTTGAACCCAGGAGGCAGAGGCTGTGGTGAGCTGAGATCATGCCATTGCACTCCAACCTGGGCAACAAGAGCGAAACTCTGTCTCAAAAAATAAAAAACTAAAAAAAAAAAAAAAAAGCTACTGTTAACTAACCTACCCCACTTGGATCTACCAGATACTTTGAATGAGAGGTGGAAACCACTCTACTGACCTCCTTCCTACCCCTACTACCGCCACTCCAGCTTACAGTAATTATTTTCACAAAGACAGAAAGGAGTTATCAAATGACCACAATAACTCTAAAAACAGAAAGTGAGGTGATCTTTCTTATTCACAGTCCCACTTATTCATTTAGAAATGCTGAGCACCAAAACAAAACCTTATCACAAGTTCAGTATTTCGTTAATAACTGCCAAGTATAATGGAATACTCCCCAAAGTACTGCAGCATTAGAACATGACCACTCCACTAAATTAAAAATTCAGCGAAAGCTTTTCTAACAAGGCTGGATGGAGCACTAACTCAACGGCCAAACGGCTGCACTTCCTGTATATGCACGTTCAAAACACCTCGAATTAACATGCTAGGGACCTTGAAGAATTGTACTAGGCCTTGCTCAAGAGGAAGGCTTTGTAATACTGAATCCCAAAACTTGAAACAGCAGAATTACTTCAGGGAAGACGGAGGTGTTAAATATTCTGTAAAACCTGTTTCACTCTCACAACGATCAGTTTTAAAAAAAAGAGGGAGAACACTGACCTCATTAAGAGCATTCTGACAACACACATAGTTGAACATGAGTTGTGAAAAGAATTTTCAACTTCAGATCTGTCTGTCCATTCCCACTGAAACCTGAAGGAAGGATCGCAGCACCCAAAGGCGCCCACTGCTCAGTGCCAGCGGTGGGCGACACCAGGAGCCTGTCCTGGTCCCCTGGGTAAGCCCTGGAGCCTGGCCACTATGCCGGGCACGATCCACCAACCGTGAGGGCTGGGTCCCCTAGCCTCTGTCCAGGCGCCCCCCAAGAGCTTCCCCGAGGCCTGGGGACTCCTAACTCTCCACCCCCGGCCCCCGAGAGCACCACAAACGAGGACGCCACGAAGGGAGGCCCGTCGGCCAGTGGGAGGGACGCACGGCCAAGGGGGGCGAAAACTGGGGCGAAGCTTTCCGGGGAGGAACCCACGCCAGGGGCAGCCACGCCCCCCACCCCCAACTTCAAACCCGAGCGCTGCGAGCACCGAGCCCCACACGCTGCCTGACAGACGCGGGCGCGAGGCCGGCGCGGGAGAGGGTTCCTCGGGCACTCCAGGGGTATCGCCGCGACCCTAGCACGCGACCGCTCCCTGCGACTGACCTGTGCCTGCCGCCGCGCGACCGTCCGCCCCGCCGCAGCCTCCGCCTCCTCGCGCTCACGCTGCCGCCGCAGCCACCGGAGCCGCCTCCTGCGCTGCGCCCCAGGCCGGCCTCGGGCGCCCCATTCCCACCCCGCCCAGCCTCTGCCTGTTTACAATGATTGGGACGGAACGGGACGAGGCGGTCCAGCGCGCACGCGCATTCCCTCCTCCCGCCGCAGCCGGCTTCCCGGATCCTCCTCTCCGCTCAGACGGCTGAAGCCGTCAAGGGCAGGCGACCTGGGCTCTCGCGCGGGGCGCGCTGGGAGGCGTAGTTCCCAAGGCCCCGGCGTCCAGCCAGCCCGAAGGCCTCTCGCCAAGGAAGCAAACTACAACACCCAGGAGGCACCGCGCCCCCTTCGTCCCCAGGCTCGCTGAGGAGACTGAAGAAGAGCGCGAGAGAACGCGCCGAGGGCCAGTGCTCTGCAGGCGCCTGCGCAGTCGGTGGCCTTGCGGGTTTCGGGGACGGACGGCTTACCCCGGTGTGGTGCTGGCGAAGGTGGCTCGCGGGCATCTCCTGCAACGGCCTTGAGGATGGAAAGGGCTTTCCTCTCCACGCTCTGGCCAGCCTGCGCCTCAGCTCCCGAAGTTGAGAGCTTTCCTTGCGCCAGCGTGCTTTAGTCGTTCCAACCAGTTAAACCAGACTGGGGGCCGCCCGGCTGGCCGCTGGGTGGGGCGGCTGCCCCGCCTTCGACTGGGTGTGGGATTGGAGGAAAGAGCGCCGTGGGCCTGTAGGGATAGGCGGGAATAAACCTCTGTCGGGAACATCCACGGAATTCCTGAAGCGGGTGTGGGCTTCTGCAGGGCTTCAGCGCGCCCCCGGCTCAGCAGTTACCGAGCAGCCCCCGAGGAAAGCTGCCCAGTCCGTGTTTGGCTGGCAGTAGAGATAACTGAATTTCTTCGAGAAGCCTTTCACCCAGGCTTGTTGAGTTGCTCTGCTAATGCGTAGCGAAGGCTGGAAACGGCTTCAGCAGTCTTCGTGTTTTCTGAAATGTGGCAGTTTATTAGGGGAGAGGAGGGACTTGGAATAGACGACCCTACCTGTCACTCGCATTCCTACGTGCAGCACTCTGTGGCACTTCGTTGCCCGTTTAGATTGGCCGCTGCTATCCATCTTGCTCTCTGCTCCCACATCAGCTTTCCTCAAAGCGGGCGGTAAATTTGTCCCTAGTACTCTGCGCTCCCTACTCAGTAAAGTTCAACCCCTGGGGCCTTAGATTCATTCAGGGGCCTCCCACGAGTGGATACGGGATGGTCTGAGGTAGCCATTGGTCTTTGACTTTCGGAAAAGCCTTCTCATGGCTCCTCTCGCAGTAGAACAGTCTTCTCTGACCACTGGGTTGGGCAGGTGAGCATGGCAGTGACAATTCTCTGCCTGTGACAGCACTGATTCGGCCAAGGGGCAGGCACTGATCCACGCTGGGCCTTATGGAGGCCTTGCCTGAAGCTGCTATGTGGATGCAGGAGGGGAGCAGAGGGAGTTTTCTACTGAGGCAATTGCTGATGGACGTGTTTCTTGCAACATCGAGTGGCCTAGCCAAAGGTGAGGGTGTGAAAGAGAAGAAAGGAGAAATGGAAAGGGAGAAAGAGCTGGCAGAATGTAGACCGTGGTTTCATTTGGAGGGCATGGTTTGTGGAGCTCTTTAAGTGCTGTGAGCATGTGAGCCTAAGTGGGTGAGCCCACTCATTCATTGATTTATTATTTGGAGCCAATATGTGTGGATATTGAATGTATTTGTTGGCTGCCACTTGAGCATTTATTCCTTCCATTTAAGCCAGGCAACATAACCATTCCCTCTAGCAGCAGAGATGGTCACAAGCCCAGTCAGAAACAATGAACCCACAAAGACTGGGGCTGAGGCTTCCAGTAAACTGTAGCTTCCTTGCTCCTCTAGCATGGTGTAAGTATATGATGCCTGGAAATGTGGCAACCGTTTTCCTCCTATAAGGGGAAACCCTAGAGGGATGGGAGTTTAGAGGGACAGCAACAAGTAGAGCCTGGGGTTGAAGTCAGTACTGTCAAATGAATGCGGGAAAGATGGAGAAGAACCTTGTGTTTGGTGGCATGATTTGAGCTGCAGTATCAAACCTCACCTGTTTGATTCTATGGACTATCCTATAGACTATTCGGGATTGTGAGCAAGGCCATCTTACAGACTATCCAGAATTGTGAACCACAAATTTCCTGTACTGTTTAAGCCAGTTCATATTAAAATTCTAAAAGTCCTAACTAATTCAGTTGAATTTCTTTTACATGACTCTGAAAGGTCCTAACTAATACAGGTTCCTACGTAAAAAACTGTGGAAGGGACTTTTAGCTATGTCTGTGTGGCATAGTCAGCAATTCTCTGCACACAAAACCAGTATAAAATTGGATAAATTGGCAAAAACAACCATTTCAGAGCACTGGAAATCAAACAAATACAGAAAACAATTTGAGAAACATCTATTCTTCAGAAACAGCTAGCAGGGACAGTAGATGTCTGTGGCCTTCTGGCCTGAGGCTGCTTCTCTCCCACCCTGTTGCACCAGAACTGCAGTTTTGCCAGTGTGGGTAGGAATAGCCAAGAAAACTAGCAGCTTTGCTGCCAAAGGGATGGACTCAATTTGGGGCGGGTGGTCAAAAACCCAAGGCTTTGCCAACTAAAAGTGACAAACTCATATGGAAATGAACAGGGCAAACCCACAGCTGTGCTTACCTGAGGTTACAGTCCCAGGTGGGGCAAATGGCAAGCCAGTCAAAAATATAACAGGGAGATTTTAGAAATAAGAGTCATTGAAGAGTTATGGTCACACCACCTCACTCCAGCCTGTACTTTTCAACTCTAGAAATATCATCCTTTTTTATAGAGTCTACTTCCCCACAGAAATACTCTATTTGTTAATTACATCTCCACACATCTCTGACTGATTGGGAAACTATGCATCTGCCTGGGGTTGACCCAAGAGACCTGTTAAGTAAATCCAAGGGAGACTTGAGAACTGGTGGCAACTGTGAATGTATTCCTTAATCCACACACAGATCCATTAGCAGAGGGAAGAAGACTCCCAAATCAAGGTGTTTGAGTGCAACCACTGCCAAATCATTGACTAGCCACAGCTATGCAAACACAGGGACAAAGCCCAGAAAGTCAGGGTAAATATAAAAATGTGAATTGAAAAACAGAGCAAAGATACCAGCAGCCACAGGCCATATAGAGACAGATTTTAAATCTGTGTAAATCCAGGAAGATAAAACAACAACAACAACAACAACAAAACTAAGAAAAATAAAACATCTAGAATTGCTGCAATATATGAAATATCTGCTTTTCAACCAACAATCATGGTTTATGCAAAGAAACAGTAAAGTGTCACCCACTCTGAGGAAGAAAATAGCAACCAATAGAAACAGACCCATTGGGCTCAAATACTGGATTCAGAAGCAAACTCTTGAAAGTAGGTCTTATAATTATGTTTTAAAAAGTAAACATTTTTCAAAGAATTAAAGGAAAATATAATGATAATTCTTTAACATATAAAGGATATCAATAGGGAAATGATTCTATAAAAATGAAATTTCTAGAGTTGAAAAATATAGAAGAGAAATATAAATTGTATTACATAATCTCAGTGAAAGATTTGAGATGGCAAAAAAGGTGTACTTGAAGATAGAGAAATTATCGTATTCAAAAAACAGAAAAATGAAGTAAAAGAAGAGCTATAATGACACATCCATAAAAAAGAGGATATTTTTAGCAATAAGCCAGACTCAAGGACATAGACTGTAGCTTTAAATAGAAAAAGAAAAAACAGGGAATGTAAACTAGTACAACCACTATGGAAAACAGTATGGAGTTTCCTTAAACAACTAAAAGTAGAACTACCATTTGATCCAGCAATCCCACTATTGGGTATCTATGCAAAGGAAAAGAAGTCATTATATGAAAAACATATGCACACACATGTTTATAGCAGCACAATTTGCAATTCAAAAGATATAGAACCAACCTGGGTGTCCATCAACCAATGAGTGGGTAAAGAAAATGTGATATATATATAATATCTTATATAATATATATAATATATATGATATATCATATATTATTATAATATATATAATATATATATATATATACCATGAAATACTACACAGCCATAAAAAGGAATGAAATAGTCTTTTGCAGCAACTTGGGTGAAGCTGGAGGCCATTATTCTAAATGAAGCAACTCAGGAATGGAAAACCAAATACCGTGTGTTCTCACTTATACTTGGGAGCTAAGCTATGAGAATGCAAAGGCATAAGAATGATATAGTGGACTTTGGGGACTTGGGGCGGGGCAGGGAAAAAGGATAGGAGGAGGGTGAGGGATAAAAGACTACGTATTGGGTACAGTGTACACTGCTCAGGATACAGGTGCACGAAAATGTCAGAAATTACCACTAGAGAACTTACCCGTGTAACTAAAAACCACCTGTACCCCCAAAACTATTGAAATAAAATAAAAATTATTAAAAAAGAATACCTACATAAAGAAAACATGCAAACAAAAATCTTAAAATTTTACCTGCATATAGATAACCATTAATAATAGCTTGGTATATCTCTCAGCCTTTGGGGTGTGTATGTATATTTTTTAGCATAACATTTTATTTTACTTCATTTGCTAAAACTAATGAAACCTGAATTTGGATTATTGAGACAAAAATCATACTGCAGAAAAGCACTAATTTTATTAAATTAAATATTGGAAGGGTTGGGGTTTTTTTTTTTTTTAGTGTTTTAGGTTTTTTTGTTTGTTTTGTCTTGCTATATGATGTTCAGGAACTACCATTCAATGAATTTGACAGATAAAGTTTGAACATATTGGTAGGGAAATAAGCCAATGATTTGAATTACTTATCTATACAGAAGAAATAGTTTTAAGATTTAAGACCATATGAAATAAACTGGGTTAAACTAGGAAAAAAAATGGTATTAATGAGAGAAAGAGCATGGTAGCACTTTTTATATTAGAGATCATAGGTAAATATCAGCTGTTATAATTTTTATTAAATATCAAACATCAACCGGGCATGGGCGGCTCACGCTTGTAATCCCAGCACTTTGGGAGGCCAAGGCAGACAGATCACCTGGGGTCAGGAGTTCAAGACCAGCCTGATCAACATGGAGAAACCCCGTCTCTAACCCCGTCTCTGTATTTGTATTCTCTAAAAAATACAAAATTAGCCGGGCATGGTGGCACATGCCTGTATTCCAGCTACTCAGGAGGCTGAGGCAGGAGAATTGCTTGAACCCAGGAGGTGGAGGTTGCGGTGAGCTGAGATCGCGCCATTGCACTCCAGCATGGGCAAAAAGAGCAAAACTCCACCTCAAAAAAAAAAAAACATCATTTTACCGGAGAATGAAACAAATTATTACATAATAGAGAATCATGAACCAAAATCAACAGTATTTACCTAATAAAGCTCAGGTTGACAGTTAAAATAATAATAAGAGAAAGAAAGAAGAGCCTCAGAGACCTGTAAAATTATGTCAGATATCCCAACAAACATGAAATGAGAGTCCCAGAAAGATAGGAGAGGGAGAAAAGAGGGCTAGAATTTTTTGAAATAATAATGCTAAAAAGTCCCCAAATTTGATTAAAAAAAAAACCCTACAAATACAAGAAGTTCTAATGAACACAAAGTAAGATAAACACAAAGAAAACTGCACCTAGATACAGCATAGTCAAACTGCTGAAAGCCAAGAACAAAAGAAAATCCTGAAAGTGGCAAAAGAAAAATGAGTCATTGGGGAAAAACAATGTGACATAGAGCTGACTTCTCATCAGCAACACAAGAGCTCATAAGGCATTGGAATGATATATTTAAGGTGTTAAGTGAGGGGGGAACTGTCAACCAAGAATTCTGTATCTAGTGAAACTATCTTTCAAAAAGGAAAGTGAAATAAAGACATTCCCAGAAAAACAAACCTGAGAGAATTTGTTAGTAGCAAACCTGCCCTCCAAGAAATATTAAAGGAAGTTCTTCAGAGTGAAAAGAAATTGCAGGAGAGTATAACTCTGATATGTAGAAAGGAATGAAGATGAGAAATTTTTAAAATATGTTAAAAAATATAAAAAGGCTATACACACAATTTTCTTAATGTCTTTTAAAAATATGATTAAAGCAATAATTTTATACTATATTGTTGATATTATATAAATGGAATATGTATGACAGTGATAGCACAAAATAAGGAGGAGGAAATGGTACTATATCAGAGCAAATTGACTGTAGTTTACTGAAATTAAGTTAGTATTAGCCTGAAAGAGATTGTGTTAAGTTAAAGATACATGTCTCAGTTCATTTGGTTCAACTATAACAAAATTGTACAGATTGGATAATTTATAATAAGTGGAAATTATTCTCACAGTTCTGGCATCTGGGAAGTCCAAGATCAAGGTGCCAGCATCAGTCAAGGGCTTTCTAATTGCGTCATCACATGACAGATGGCAGAAGAGCAAGATAGAAGAGAGACCTTGCCCTTCGACTTCTAGCTCTTTTATAAGGGTCCTGAAACCACTTTTGCAAAAAATTATAGCAGTGAGAAAATTATGACTGCGAAAGAGATCTGACCTAACCAATTCCATCTTGCCTTTAACCTCCAAACTGCCCCTGATTATTCCTGGGCATGAGCTAAGCTAACTTTGGGAGAAATTTAGTTTATAGTTTAAATGATAATAGCCCCTTCCAAAACTAAATTGCCTTTGTAAAACTAATAAAAATCCACCAGGTTAGGAGGATGAGAGGAGTCTAAATTCTGCTAAGATATACACATAGTTAAATGATTACCAGCCATTATTCTGGAGATCACAAGGCTTACAGCTTCCCCAATTACTAGAACCTAAGATCACCCTTTTGAGATGTCTTTTCAGGCTTTTGCATTTCTGATGACTGGATGGCCTCATCTGAACCAGTGGCTCTTCTAAGGCCTCCACCCAAAACTGGACTCAGCACTTGAGGACCATTTTCCACATCCCTACAATTGCATCCCCAGCCAATTAGCAACACCCATTCTCTAGCCACTGCCTGTCAAACTATCCTTGAAAAACCCTAGACTCTGAATTTTGGAGGGGGGTGGGGCAGATTTGAGTAATGATAAAACTCTGGTCTCCTGTTTAGCCAAATCGATGTATATTAAATTCTGCATTGCAATTCCCCTATCTTGTTAAATAGGCTGTATCTTGGCAGTGGGCACAATGAATCCTTTGAACAGTTATAGCCCTCATCTTATCCATGAGGGGCTCCACCTTCTTGACTTAATTTACTTTTTTTTTTTTTTTTTTTTGAGACAGAGTCTCATTCTGTCACCCAGGCTGGTGTGCAGTGGCTGCTCATTGCAGCCTCTACCTCCCAGGTTCAAGCAATTCTCATGCCTCAGCCTCCCGAGTAGCTGGGATTACAGGTGCACACCACCACGTCCAGCTAATTTTTGTGTTTTTTTGGTTTTTTTGTTTGTTTGTTTGTTTGTTTTAGTAGAGACAGGGTTTTACCATGTTGGCCAGGCTGGTCTTGAACTCCTTACCTCAAGTGATCTGCCTGCCTTGGCCTCCCAAAGTCCTGGGATTACAGACATGCACCACCACACCCAGCCTCTTAATTACCTCTTAATACTATCACCTTGGGAATTAGGTTTTAACTACAAATTTTGGAAGAGACACAAACATTCAAACCGTAGTATACATTGTATTCCTTAGAATAACCAATAAAAAAGTAATTTAAAATAATTTAGGTGAAATAAATAAGTGTAAAACTGTATTAAGTAAAATTAAGTAATTTTTTAATGAGATGATGTCTTATTTTGCCACCCAGGCTGGAGTACAGGGGCACAAACATAGCTCACTGTAACGTCGAACTTCTGGGCTCAAGCAATCCTCCCACCTCAACATTATGAGTAGCTAGGACCACAAGTATGCACCACCATATCCAGCTAATTTTTAAATTATTTCAGAGATTGGGTCTCACTATGTTACCCAGGCTGGTCTTGAACTCTTGGCCTCAAGTGATCCTTCCACCTCAGCCTTGTGAGTAGCTGGGATTACAGGCAAATTAAGTAAAACTAAAATGTTAAAAATATAGCTAAGAAATCAACAAAGGAATTAAAATTGTACACTAATCTGGGCACAGTGGTGTGTGGCTGTAGTCGTAGCTACTCGGGAGGCTGAGGCAGGAGGATCACTTGAGCCTAGGTGTTTGAGGCCAGCCTGGGCAATCTGGGCAATATACAAAATCCCAACTCCAAACAAACAAACAAACAAACAAACCAGAAAAGGAGGAACAGAGGAACTCAACAACAACAAAAAACAAGCAATTCAATTAAAAAACAGACAAAGGACATGAATAGACATTTCTCCAAAGAATATATACAAATGATAAATAAACATATGAAAAGATGCTCAACATTATTAGTCATTAGGGAAATGCAATTCAAAACCACAATGACATACCACCGTATACTCATTAGGATGGCTACTATTTAAAAACAAAACAAAACAAAACAAAAAACAGAAAATACAAGTGTTGCCAAGGATGTGGAAAAATTGGAAACTCTGTGCACTTCTGGAAAGAATCTGAAATAGTGCAGCTGCTATAGAAGACAGTATAATGGTTCCTTTAAAAATTAAAAATAGAATTAGCATGTGATCCAGGCATTCCATTTCTGGGCTTATGCCCAAAAGAATTTAAATGAGGAACTTGAAGAAATATTTGTACACCCATGTTCATAGCAATATTATTTGCAATAGTCAAAATATGGAAGTAACCCATGTCCATTAGTAAATAAATGGGTAAGTAAAATGTGGTCCATAGATACAAAAGAATATTATTCAGCCTCAAAAAGAAGGAAATTCTGACACATGCTACAGTATGGATGGGCTTTGAGGGCATTATGTTTAGTGAAATAAGCCAGTCACAAAATGACAAATACTTTATGATTACACTTATATAAGGCTCCTAGAGAAGTCAAATTCATAGAGATGAAAAGTAGAATGGTGGTTACCTGGGGCTGTGCACAGGAGAGAATTGGAAATTATTATTTAATGTGTATAAAGTTTCCATTTTGCAAGAAAAGAGAGATGAATGGTTGCACAACAATGTGAATGTTCTTTATGACTCTGAACTGTACACTTTAAAATGGTTAAGATGGTAAATTTTATGTTATGCGTATTATGCCACAATCAAAAACAATAATAATAAAAAGGAGGAACAAAGAAAAAAGAAAGATAAGGCATACAGAAAACAAACTTCAAATAGCAAGCGTAAATCAAACTATGTCAGTAATTACATTAAATGTAAATGGACTAAACCCTGCAATCAAAAGGAAAAGACTGCCAAGCTGGATTCAAAACCAAAAGCAAGTCCCACTATAGACTGTCTGAAAGAGACATACTCTAGATCTAAAGACACTTATCATTTGAAAGAAATAAGATGGAAACAGATATACCATGCAAGTAGTGATCACAAGAAAGTTGAATCAGCTGTTAACACCACACAAAATATGCTTCAAGACAAGGAATATTACAAGAGAGAAAGAGGGGCATTTCATAATGATAAAAGGGTAAATACATCAGGAAGAGATAAAAATTGTAAATATACATGCATCTAATGTCATATGTGGCATAAGAATTTTATCTGAATAATGCTGTTATCTAAAAAACAGATATAAGAGTTGACTAAAATATTTTAAAGATATCCCCATCCTTGAAAGAATAAAGTATAAGATTCCATAAGGCCTGTTGCCTATATCCTTAGTACTGGTACCTGAGGCCTCTTCCCTAAACAGTTCATTGGGTAAAAACACTGTTACGTAATTGAAATTTTCTATTTTGTATATTTAAAAGATATGATATTTAGAACTCATTACAAAAACAATGTCAGAACTGTATGAGTTTGCCTTTGCTCTTTGTAATAATTCACCTCACAACATATTAGCCTTAAACAACTGTTCTTCTGCTGGTCTTGCCTATGATCACTCAGTTGTAGCCAGTTGGTGGTTTCAGTGGGGGCTAGGCTTAGCTGAGGCACCTAGGGTGGCTGATCCACTCTCAGCAATGGTCTCTCAATAGCCCACCTTTCAATTGGATTTCCATAATTTTCTTCTGAAAGAGTCACACAAGCACTTTTCAAGCTCCTGTTTGCATGTTATTTACTAATATCTTACTGACCAAAACAAGTCACATGCCAAGCCCTCAGATTCAAGGGATGGAGAAATAGACTCTGTCTTTAGGTGGAAGATGCTGAAAATAATTAGTGGCCATTTATTTGGAGTCTATGACAAGAACTCTTCAATATCCTTGGCTTCTCAAGGAATTATATTATATCTTCCAAGGATCCATAAATTACTATGAATTGACAGCTTTGGCTGAACCAGCTGTCTTTTAGGGTAGTTGGCTAGGACTGTGGAAGTGCAAGAACAAAAATCAGAAGTGTGTTCACCATTCTATCTCTGATGACTGGTAGAATGCCTGGCATGTAATAGATGCTTAATAAATTTTTGTGTAATAAAGCTGTTAGACATCTTTCAGAATAAAGTGGAAATCTGTGTTAGCCCATTTTGCGTTGCTGTAAAGGAAGGCCCAAGACTAGGTAATTTATAAATAAAAGGGATTTATTTAGTTCACAGTTCTGCAGGCTGTACAAGAAACATGCCACCAGCATCTGCTTCTGGTGAGGACCTCAGGAAGCTTTTACTCCTGGTAGAAGATGAAGGCAGAGTAGTCATGTCACATGGCAAGAGAGGGAGCAAGAGAAAGGGGAGGAGGTGCAGGCTCTTTTAAACAAACAGCTCTCCTGTGAACTCAGAGCAAGATCTCTCATCCCCAAGGGGAGGGCATCAAGCCATTCATGAGGGATCCACCTCTATGACCCAAACACCTCCCACTAGGTTCACCTCCAACACTGGGGATCACATTTCAACATACAATTTTGAGGGGGCAAACATTGAAACTATATCAAAATCAAATTCAAACTCATTTTTTAAAATAAGGAGAATTTACTGGTACACCTAACCAGGAAGTGTAAGATACTGACTCCAGTTGCTTCTAGGGTTTCAAATGCCATCACCAGGACTCTCCGTTATTAACTTTAGATTCCTCTTTCTTTGGGTTGGATTCATTTTCTGGTAGACTTTCTCAATGTAGTGACAAAGATATCACCAAGTTTATTCTTGGGTGTTGTACCCTGTAACTGTATATATCTTCTTTCTCTGTTTAAAATAATAACATCTACTATTTCTGAAACGACTATTCTGTGTCAAGCACTGTACATTTAACTTAAATATATATTTATTTTTTGTTAAATATTTATATGACATAGTGGCTGAAGTCGTGGACCCTGGAGCCAGTCTGTCTGGATTTAACCCTATATCCATACAAATTCCAGATTATACCGAATAATTTTAGCTAACACTGTAGAATAGTTTATCCTTATATTTGAATTATGGCTATGTTTGAATGTTCCTTGCAATCCTTCAAATTAACAACAAAGCTATACTAAACGATCTGTCTCAAAATTTGGCAGTGAGGGATTGCGTGGTGGTGGTGCTGTTGGAAAGCTATTTTGTGCCTCCACACTTCTGCTAAATTCATTTTTCTTTCTCATTCCCTCCTGAGGTTGAGATAGTATTACTTCTAAATTCCCCCCTTTCTTCTGAGTTTTTGATATAACTTATCTACCCCCTCCTCAAAAGAAAGCATGCTAAGTCCTTTTGGTAGCTGAGCTTGCTCTTTCTTGAGTTTTTTTGGAGATAGGTTCTTGCTCTGTCCCCCAGGCTGGAGTGCAGTGGCACAATCATAGCTCACTTTAACCTCAAACTCCTGGGCCCAACGAATCTTCCTGATAGCTCACTTTAACCTCGAACTCCTGGGCCCAACGAATCTTCCTGCCTCAACTTCCCAAGCAGCTGGGACTACAGGTGTGTGCTACCATGCCCAGCTAATTTTTTAATGTTTTGTAGAGACGAGGGTCTTACTACGTTGCTCAGGCTGGTCTCAAACTCCTGGCCTCAAGCAATTCTCCCGCCTAGGACTCTCAAAGTGCTGGGATTACAGGTGTGAGCCACTGTTCTCAGCTGACTTTTTTTTCTACCTCCGTTATAGACTAAATATAGAAGAAAATATAGAAACGTTATCATGTTGACTGATTTGTTGAAAGTGGATGAATACTTCCCTCCCTCCAGTCCCATCCAAATCCTAAATGCTTTCCAGGAGTAAATAAACCATAAAGCTTATTCAGATAAGAAATTTTACCTCATAAGCATCTATCCAGTATAGCAAAGTTATTTGAATTTTCCATCATATGTTGTGAAGGCAATGCCTTGTTCAATCATTTCTTGGGGGGTAAATGGTAAAATTTATGTCACAAATTTAAATTATAGCATTTGCTTTTTAAGCATTATCAGTGATAACCGTGAGGCTATTTAGAATATTAATAATTTGGAGTTTGACCTTGTAGATAGTTTCAGTCTTAGATAAATCTCAACATCTAAAAGTATATAATGCTTCCTATGAAATTTTAAAATTTTTATTTTCATTTTTATCAGTTATCCATGCACATATTTTAAAGAGTCACATAGTACTTCAAGAGCTGTGGTGTAAACAGTGGTCAACTGTCTAACTCCCCTTCCCAATGCCAACATCCACTCTCCAGAGGCAATGACGTTCAACTCTTTTAACTAATTATTTTTATATTTACCTCTCTATTGCTAAATACAGATGCTCCTCAACTTATGATGGGGTAGTGTCCTAATAAACACACTATAAAATTGAAAATATCCTAAGTTGAAACTACATGTAGTAAACCTAACCTACCGAACATCGTAGCTTAGCCTCGCCTACCTTAAACATGCTCAGAACACTTACAGTAGCCTACAGCTGGGCAAAATTCTCTAACACAAAGTATATTTTATGATAAAGTATTGAAAAGATCAAAATTCGAAGTGTGATTTCTACTGAATGCATATCACTTTCACACCATTATAGAGTTGAAAAATGGTAAGTTGAACTATTGTAGGTTGGGGACTGTCTGTAGTGTGCTTACATTGTTATTTCTTGATGTTGAGAGGCAATTCTCCATGAATTTCTTGCATTTTTGAATGTCTCACAAGCAGAGGCACTTACAGCTTTTTTTCCAAGCTATCTTTTTTGGATATATGTACAGCAAAGCATTAGAAGAGATAGTCTCTCCGGAGTAGAGATCAGGTTTGCTCACTGTGCAGTATAATAAAGATGATGTCTCTTTCTGGGGCAAAGGCTGGACAGGTTTGTTTGCAGCCCATTATAAAAGATCGAATTTTCTATTTAAAGATTCCTCAGCTGTGATGCAAACCTTTTGCATGTGTAGTATCCACCTGTGCTGCCACACATCGCCCTCATGGGACTGAGTGAGTGTAAAAGGAATGATTGTGAATGTGAAGCTCATACCATTTGCTGTGCCACAACTAACAAAGTACTTTGCTTCTGACCCCAGAGTTTTGTATCTTCTGTTAGCATGCATGAACTGTGGCAGGCTAACTTGATAGCTTAAAGTACGGTAAAATCTCAGATTCTTCACAGTTCTTGACACTTGATTTTTCCACTTCTGGTACTACCAACTGATTAATCAGTATGGAATATGTGAGAAACTTCCTTTCCCTGCCTCCCATGGTCCCCATCTCTGTCACACACCTACATACACAGACTTCCTGTCTCCCTCAGTATAGTTAATATGACAATTTGGGTCAGATCAGTATTCAATATTTACATGATCGATGCTGTGCAAATACTGTTCACAGGTACATCATGTAATGTGCCATGATTACCTTTCTGTTCCTGCACAACTTTTTGTCTTCTGAAGATTTGATCAGCCTTCAGTGTTTACATGATTGACACTATGTTCTCAGATATATCATGTAATATGTCATAACTGCCCTTTCTTTCCTTCACAACTTTTCATTTTCTAAAGAGTTGATAATTGCCTTCTATTTATTTTATTGTGTTCTTAGTTTTCTATTTACTTATTGGTAATTTGTTCCCAAATTCTGCCTCAATTGTGTGTTCAATATATTTAAACACATAAGATGTTCTACTAGTTTCATCTTCTTGGAGACATCTCTCCCAGAGGTTCCCAACTTGCTCAAATTGCATTAGTTGCTCTCTAGGCATGCCTTCACTGTCATTTGGGGTATTCCTTTACCATCATCCTGGGCAGTCCCTTCATCATTTTATACTGGGTCCTGTCTCATTTGCTAGGGTTGTCATAATAAAGTATCATAGACTGAGTGGCTTAAACAACAGAAATTTATTTTCTCACAGTTCTAGAGGCTGGAAGTCTGAGATCAAGGTGTTGACAGGGTTAATTTCTTTTAAGGCCTCTCTCCTTGCCTTGTAGATGGCTGTCTTCTCTCTCTGTGTTCACAGTCTTTCCTCTGTGTGTGTCTGTGTCCTAATCTCCTCTTCTTACAAGTGCACTGCTCATATTGAATTAGGGTCCACCCATGTGACCTCATTTTACCTTAATTACCTCTTTAAAGGCCCTATCTCCAAAATACAGTCACATTCTGAGGTACTGGGGTTAGGACTTCAGCATATGAATTTTGGGGCCACAGTTCGGCCCATAACAGATTGCTTCTTTCCTGGATATGTCTTCTTCTTCCTTGGTTTACCCTTTCATTTTGGCAAAGCACATGTTCTAGTAGCTTTTTGAGAATTGATGTGTAGAGAATCATTTTTTGAGACCTTGCATATCTTAAAATGTCTTTTTTCTATGCGGACAATTAGTTGACTTGGTTTGACCAGCTATATTGATTGGCAATAATTCTTTTTCAGAATATTAAAGGCTTTGCTACAGTTTTCCTAGCTTCTAGTACTGCTGTTGAAAAATTCAATGTCACTCTGATTCCTAATCCTCTGTGAAAAATGCTTGAATTTTCCCACTCTCTGAGGGGAAAAAATGGTTTAAGATTCTTTATTTTGTCCCTAGTTTTATGAAATTTCATAATCATTTATCTAGAGTTTGGATTAATTTTATTATTTGGGGGAGTTAGGCACTTCATGGATGCTCTCAATCAAGGAACTCATGCACTTCAGTTCTGAGGATATTTTCATAAATTATTTCATTGATGCTTCCCTCCCCACTTCTCTGTTGTCTATTTCTGTAACTCTTATCATTTGGCATTGAATCTTTATACTGATCCTCTACTTTTATTGCCTTTTCTCTCCTATTTTTTTTTCGAATTTTTTTTTTTTTGAGAGATGGAGTCTCTCTGTATTGCCCAGTCTGTTCTTGAACTCCTGAGCTCAAGTGATCCTCCCATCTCAGCCTCCCAAAGGGCTGGAATTGCAGGCTTGAGCCACCATACCTGGCCTCCTTCCTATTTTCTAATTATTTGTCTTTTTGCTTAAATTTCTGGGAAATTTCTTCATTTTCAATGTATTTACTGAGTTTTTCATTTCTGTTTTCATAATTTCCAAGAAATTTTTGTTGTTATTGGTCTCTAAATTTTTTTACGTAAAAATTCGGTTTTCTACTTGCATGAGTTAACCTATCTTATTTTCCTGAGGCTAACAGAAAACAAATATATATCTTCTTGAATAATCTCTAATTCTCTCAGGTTGTGAGATTGCCATTTTTGTGGTTGTTTGTATTTGTTTTGGCTTCTGAATTTCTTTTTTATTTTTTTCTTTTTTATTTATTTATTTTTTTTAGACAAAGTCTCACTCTGTCACCAGGCTAGAGTGCAGTGGAATGATCTTGGCTCACTGCAACCTCCGCCTCCCAGGTTTAGGCGATTCTCCTGCCTCAGCCTCCCAAATAGCTGGGACTACAGGCGCATGCCACCATGCCCAGCTAATTTTTGTATTTTTAGTAGAGACGGAGGTTCATCATGTTGGCCAGTATGGTCTCGATCTCTTGACCTTGTGACCCACCCACCTCAGCCTCCCAAAGTGCTGGGATTACAGGGATGAGCCACCATGCCCGGCCTGATCTCTGAATTTCTTATTACAAACTTTCCTTAAATGTTCAGTAATCCTTGACTGTCCAAGTTTATTTAAAAGGGTAGAACTTTAAAAAAAAAAAAGCTGTATCACTCAGGCTGAAGTGCAATGGTACAATTGTAGCTCACTGCAGCCTCAACCTCCTGGACTTAAGCAATCCTCCCACCTCAGCCTCCCAAGTAGCCAGGACTATAAACATGGGCCACTAGGCCCCGCTAATTTTTTCTTTTTTTTTAAGAGATGGGGTCTCACTATGTCGCCCAGGCTGGTCTCACACTCCTGGACACAAGTGATTCTCCCACCATTGCCTTCCAATGTGCTGGGATTTATAGACATAAGCCACCATCCCTGGCCAGTCTGCAAGCTTTGTACATGTGGGTAGGGCTTGGGACTTGTGGGCCTCATTCATTGTCAGGTGGTCAGGCTGGGCCATTTTGTTGCATGTGTCAGATACCTGAATTCCTGCAAAAGATGGTTCCTCCTTTCCCTTGGGCATATAAAGTGTGGCAGCCATGAAGAATATAGCTCTTGGGTCTCTGACTGAAGGGATCACAACTGATTGATTGCTCCAGATACTCTGTTCCGAATGCATCACTGCATTCTTGCCAAGACCAGTCTTCCCATTGGCTTAGTCAATTACTAAGAGTTGCAGGAATACTAAAGCAGGACAATTCCTACAAGAAGCAGGATTCATCTCATGGGAGTCTTTGGCTTGAAGGCTCCTCATGGGCTTATCAAAACTTTCTTAGAACTGCACTGTAGTTTATGAATTCTATTCCTTCCTTGCTTCATTCTTCCCTTCCTTTCTTCCTTCCTTCTAACCTTTCTTCTTCCCTTTCTTCCTTCCTTCTTCCTTCTTTCCTTTCTCTCCTCTCCCTTCCTCCTCTCCCACCCTTTTGTCTTTCCTTTCTTCCTCCCTCTATTTACAAGTTTAACACATGTGTCATGACTGTTATCTCTCCCAGTTTCCACCAGTATCTTCCCAATTTTCTCTCAAGGCTGTTTTACCTAATTTATATCTCTTGGATGTCTTCTTGTCCCATCTTGGCATTTGCCTCTCAGCAGACTCTTACTAACAGACATAGTACAGAAATTGGAGTCTTAGAAAACAGACGAAAATATGGGGAGTTAGGATTTATTGACTCACCACTTGGCAGGTGTTAAGGATGCCATCTTGAAGGGTAAGTGGACACAGATAGTCCTGGCACATGTTCGTAGCCCAGTTGCTAAAGATTTTACCAGTGGTGAACTGGGAAAATGTCTAGGTGGAGGGGAGCACTCTTGCAGATAAAATGATTCAGGAATTTGAGAGCTATGAGGGGAACAATGCCTTCTATGACAGCTGAATTGGATAGTTGCTGATAAATTGTATTAATATCTTACAGATGGATAATTAGGAACTGAGCATCATTAATAAGCAGTTAATGGCCAAGAGCCATAAGGCCTTTTTGGGAGTACACAAGGAGGCCCTTATCTCCTGCAATAGAGAGCAGATACAGTGGAGCTCCAGGATGTTTGAAGTCTCAGCCAATAGCAGGTCTGTTATGCTAAGGGCAGAGTCCTGGTTGAGAAAACCTGGGACTCTGAAATATGGAATGGAGACAACTGGATGTTCACCTTTAAAGATGTTGACACTGTACCCACCCCCCACACTTTCAAAGGTGCCAACCTTCCACAGTAAGAGCTGACAGTTCTTCCATGATGGAAATCATTGCATAGGCCTCTCCCTGACAATATAAGAGGGGTATCCCTCAGTAGCTACTGCCGCTAGCTGTCCTGAGTTCCAAGCCAATAACTAGAATTGAATCCCAGCATAGCCTGGCAGGGACATGCTGGGCCTGATAGTGGGGGAAAGAGATGCTACTAAAGGAGTTGCTGGAATTGGCTAGCGTGTACTATTAGGAGTCAAGGGAGTACTACTGGAATTGGATTTTGAGCGTTCCTGTTCAAGAGATCAGAATGAAAGACTGGATAAGCAAGAATTCATTATTCTGGAACATTTTCTCAAGACATAAGATTTAACATGGTAAAAATCCCAAGGAACAGGGCAAACTTTTTTAGTTCAAAAGCCTAGAAAGGCTAGGAAAAGCAATAATTTAGAAGCCTAGAAAAAGCAATGACTAACACTCGGTGAAGCAGAAATGTCTGAGTTTCCCTGGGAGATGGTAGAGGAAAGAATGAAGAGGTTGAGGGAAGTTGGAATGGGTATAATATGTGAGGCTGTGTTGGAATGGGTATAATACGTGAGGCCAGAAGACCCCCCAGAGGGCCATGTTCCCCAGGAGGGCCCCAGGATGTGCCATCCACCAAGGCCATTAGACATGTGCTTGCTAGAGGGGCACCAGCATTACTAAGGTGTTCAGTGATCTCCTCCTTTGCAAGTCAGGAATGATGGTAGGAGAGACAGGCACAGAGCTGGACTTGCCAATATTCATGGGGAAAATGGGGCCTTGACATAATATAGGTTAGGCAGCAGCACTTAACATCCAGAGGCCAAGAGGCTTCATTTAACATAGTGACCAGTAAGGTCAAAGGGACAGCCATGGGGCGCAGCCAACGGGGAGTTATAAAGGTGGTTAACAGCACATGCTGTCCCTTAGGGAAAAATAAGCAGGCGGCTAACGAGCTGCTACTTGATATTGATACCCAAAAAAGGAAGCAAATATGAACCATTAGGAGTCCAAAGAAAGTCGTCCCCCATAAAGTCATAATTTCTTGCCCATTTCCCATGCCCAAGCCGATTGCCTGGCTGTCTGCTCAGGGATCTGAAAAGAAAAAGCCTGGAACATTGGCGATAAGGAGGCCTGGAGTGGAGGTATGTGGATGAACACATGGAATAGGGATAAAACGTGGGGACTGATTATTTCTTAAAAAGACTTTCACCCAATCCTCCTGGTTTTAGCTCTTAAACTTTTTGCCTACTGTTTCTAATTTCTGAGCTTTCTGGGGGAATTTCACAGTAAATTGACTTGCTTCGTGGCTGGGTTGGCCAAAGTGGTTAGCATATCAATCGCTTTGTAGCTTCCAAATGTCATTATTTTTGTCTCCTCTCTCCCATTCTCTTTGTCCTTGTGGGCTTGTGGTTTTTATTTTATTTAATGCTTCATTGTCATTTTGTTGGTGATATGGTTTGGCTGTGTCATCACCCAAATCTCATCTTGAATTGTAGTTCCCATAATTCCCACAGGTCATGGGAGGGACCTGGTGAGAGGTAGTTGAATCATGAGGGTGGTTACCCCCATGCTGTTCTCATGATAGTGAGTGAGTTCTCACAAGATCTGATGGTTTTATACGGGGCTTTTTCCCCTTTGCTCACCACTTCTCTCTCTCCTGCTGCCTTGTGAAGAAGGACATGTTGGCTTCCCCTTTTGCCATGATTGTAAGTTTCCTGAGACTTTCCCAGCCATTCTGAACTGTGAGGCAATTAAACCTCTTTCCTTCATAAATTACTCAGTCTTGATTATTTCTTCATAACAGCATGAGAACAGAGGGTTGGCTTCTAGGAGGGATTAGAGACTATTGCCTTTAGGTGGAAGTTGGCAAATTCTTTACCACAGAGAATCCTATTCAAGCTTTCCCTGTTTCAGTCTATAACCAGACATCTTAAGTTGTATTACTTTCATGGAAGGATTGAGCTTGGCTAGCTTTTGATGGACAATCAACAAAGAATTCCCTTCAAGTTTTCTACCAGTCATTAAAGAAACCTCTCCTCAACTCCAAGATGATTCACCAAAATATCGTATATACAACCCAGATGTGATTTGACCAGGCAGTCACAGTTAGGATGATGCTGGGAGAACCTCTACTCATAGACACTGAATTAGCAAGTAACTGTACTCATCCAGGCCACATTACTTTAACTTATCCACAAGGATACGAAAAATACTGTCAAACACTTTGCAAAAATCTGTATACACAATGAGCAGGCATACTTAGACTAGATAACGTGGCACAGAATTTTTGGTATTTGACAGAACTGAGTTTGAATGTTGGCTCTAATTCCTGCTTTATGTCAGGGTCAGCAAACTTTTTCTTAAAGGGCCAGATACTAAGCACTTTAGGTTTTGCAGTCCATATGGTCTCTGTTGCACTACTCAACTCTGCTGTTTATAGTGAAAAAGCAACCATAGACCGTATGTAAGCAAATGAATATGGCTGTGTTCCAAAATAACTTTATTTAGAAAAACAAGTGAAAGACTGAATTTGGCCCATGAGCCATACTTTGCTGATCTATGCTTTATGATTTTTTTTTTTTTTTTGAGATGAAGTCTCGCCCTGTCACCCAGGTTGGAGTGCAGTGGTGCAGTCTCATCTCACTGCAAATTCTGCCTCCCAGGTTCAAGAGATTCTCCTGCCTCAGCCTCAGGAGTAACTGGGATTACAGGCGTGTAACACCACATCCAGCTAATCTTTGTATTTTTAGTAGAGATGGGGTTTCACCATGTTGGCCAGGTTGGTCTCAAACTCCTGACCTCAGATGATCTGCCTGCCTTGGCCTCCCAAAGTGCTGGGATTATGGGCATGAGCCACTGCGCCCAGCCAATCATATTTTGTGTTTTTTTTGAGACGGAGTTTTGCTCTTGTTGCCCAGGCTGGAGTGCAATGGCACAATCTTGGCTCACCACAACCTGCCTCCCAGGTTGAAGCGATTCTCCTGCCTCAGCCTCCTGAGTAGCTGGGATTACAGGCATGCACCACCATGCCTGGCAAATTTTGTGTTTTTAGTAGAGACGGGGTTTCTCCATGTTGATCAGGCTGGTCTCGAACTCCCAACCTCAGGTGATCCGCCCACCTTGGCCTCCCAAAGTGCTGGGATTACAGGTAGGAGCCACCACTCCTGGCCAATCATATTTTTTTAACCTTTGTTAGGTCATTTGCAAAAATGGTGTTAATGCTAACTACTTTTTAGGGTTGTTCGGACACTTACGTGAAATAATATGGACCAAGGCAATGAAGTGGAGTCTCACAATCAAATAGACTTTGGGTTCGGTCTGGAATTTGCCACTTACTGTTTACAGGTGACCTTGAGTAAGTTTTTAAACCTCTCTAAAGTCTGTGGCCTGGCTGGATTGAACAAGGCCTGTGATAGTATGATTTGCAGAGGGTTGTTTAATGGAGCATAGACATTCCGATTCACTGCTCTATCTGTGGTTCTGCCTCTGGCTGCAACATGTAGATACGCTATTTGTGACTCAGCCAGAAACATTCACTTCAGCTCCCAATCTTTCCGAAGCACTTAATAGTTTTATTTAGTAATTTTTTCAAACAGATATTAGGTCACTGGCCCTCTCCCTTCCCATTTTCTCCTTCTTTTCCATTCATACCTAGCACAGAGCTTTCCAAACAGGAGAAGAGATGTCAGTCTTTATTTAAGGAATGCAGTGTTTCAGTCCTGTTGGATTCAGCTGTGCTTGTGGAGACGTGCCTTTAATGACTAAATTTTTAGTCTTCAAGTAAAGCAATCAGGTATTTCATCTTTTTCCTGAAGTTGAAACACAAAGAAAAGAGCCTTAACCAAAACAGGGCTTTGAAGTTTGCCATCAAAAGGATTTCCTTATAGTGGCTGTTGCAGGCTTTCAAAATGATAGGCTTTTAAAACTAGAGTGGGTTACCACTCCTTAGGGAGTCTAATTACAAGAAAAGATGATCAATTGAAATATCCTTCAATATTTTTGAAGTCTTTGATTTAAATGGCAGTATCTGGTAAACAAAGGATGTGAAATGTCCTACTAGTGAATATCTCAGAGTTCCTTTGTTAAGCAGTTTAAGTTGTGAAGTAAGCTGCAGGGTTCTAGAAGCTGAAGCAGTAACTAAAACCTAACATGGTTGGTGGAACTGTAAATTGGTGTAGGCTCCCTAGAGAGAAATTTAGGATATCTAACAAAATTTTAAATATACATAGACTGTGATCCAAAAACGTAGTCTAAGGTTATAATAGGACAAGTGTGGCATGCACAAGAATATTTAGACTATTGTTATTTTTAATAATGAAAGCTCCATCAACACGGGCTTGAATAAGTCAATTAAAATATATATATTGCAGTAGAATACTGTGTATAGTTTTTAAAAGACAGATTTTAAATTTTTGGCATGAATCATATTTATGACATACAGCAAACAGCAAAGTGTTCGTTATCTGGATGGAATATGCATGAGAACATGTTCTGTCTCTGTATTGTTTGAACTATTTATGAAAGTGATGCAATATGGGGGAAGAAAACAATGATGGTTTCTGTTTGGAAGGAAAAAATCAGCTGTGATTTTTATTTTCTGCTCAGGAAACAGAAAAAAGAATAGGATATTGGGCTAAAAAGATCTATGATCATCCAATCCAATTTCCTCACATAGAATATAAATAGTAAGACAATTATCCTAATATAATTCTGTATTTCAAATATAAGTAGTAACTTATTTTCGCAAAATGGTTGCTGAGAACTGTGATATGAAGTAAATCATATTTTTCCCCAATGAAATAATATAATAATTTATTTCATCATTAAAAACATTACAGATATAACCAAAATGATTTTTATAAATTAAAAAATACATACAACATGCAAAAAAAGTAATACAATAGTGTCATAAATTGAAGTATCTAGCCTTGCACAATAATAATATATAATACATGTTCATAATGTAATAAAATTTTCATTGATTTATCAGAATTTCGGTGGTGTTAGGGGATGATTTGTATGAATCATATTACTTACAAACTTGTCCAGGATAATTTTAAAAGATACTTCCTTTTTTATTAGTAAAGTTTTATGTAGCAAATGGACACACTTGAAATATTCCTTTTATACCAAGCTAGAAATCTTGCCATCCTCTTTCATTTCTCTCCCTTCTCTGTCTCTTTCTTGTCTGGCAGACATCTCTGAATTGATAGCTTATTGATAATAATTGAAAAGACTGAGAAACTTAGCTTTGAGGGCTATTTCCCAACCTTATTTTCATTAACAAACTCCTTTCACAGTACAATCTCTCTAACCCCATTAGAATTTTTATATGCCTTTTTCTCCAATATTTTATTATGAAAATTTTCACATATATAGAAAAGTTGAAAGAGTTGCACAGTGGTATACCCAATCATTAAATTCTACAATTGTCAATATGCTGTTCTATTTGTTTCATCACCTTTCTCTCCATTCTCTATCCATGTACCCATCCATCCATCAATTCATCTTATTTTATTTATTATTATTATTATTTTTGAGACAGAGTCTCACTCTTATCACTCAGGCTGGAGTGCAGTGGCACCATCTTGGCTCACTGCAATCTCTGCCTCCAGGGTTTAAGCGATTCTCCTGCCTCAGCCTCATGAGTAGCTGGGATTAAGGTGCCTGCCACCACGCCCGGCTAATTTTTGTATTTTTTAGTAGAAACGGGGTTTCACCATGTTGGCCAGGCTGGTCTCAAACTCCTGACCTCAGGTGATCTATCCTCCTCAGCCTCCCAATTTATCTTATTTTTAAATGCATTTCAAAGCAAGTTGCAAAACTGGCTCACACCTGTAATCCCAGCTACTCATAAGGCTGAGGTAGGAGAATCCCTTGAAGTCAGGAGTTATCAGCACCTGGGCAACATAGTGAGACTATCTCTACCAAAAAAAAAAAAAAAAAAAAAAAGACAAGGTGGCATGTGCCTGGAGTCCCAGGTACTCGAGAGGCTGAAGTGGGAGGATCACTTGAACCCAGGAGTTCAAAACTGCAGTGAACTATGGTCATGCCACTGCACTCCAGCCTGGGCGACAAAGCAAGATCCCATCTCTAAAAACATAAAAAATAAAAGCAAGAAAGTTGCAGACCTGAGTACAGTATATCCCTAAACACTTCAGCTTGCAAATACTTATCTAGATCATTGCATTTTTATAGTGTTGTTTTTATTTCAAGGTAAAATTCACATATAGTGACATAGACAGATATTAACTGTATCATTCATTCTATGAGTCTTTAAAAATGCAAAACTGCACCCAACCCCTATCTAGAAAACATTTCATGACCCAAGAAGGTTCCTTTGTGCACCTTCCTAATCAGTCCCCAGCTTTGCCCATACGTAGAAATAACTACTGTCCTAATTTTCATACCATAGATTAGTCGTGCCTATTCTAGAACTTCACGTAAGTGCCATCACACAGCACTATTTTATGTAAGGCTTCTTTTGCTCAGCCTGTTTTTGAGATTCATTCGTGTTGTGTGTTTCAGCAGTTCAAATCTGTTTTCATTTTATTTATTATTTTAAAATTTAACTTAATTTTTTTTTTTTTTTTTAGGATAAGATCTTGCTCTGTCATCCAGGCTGGAGGGCAGTGGCACAATCACAGCTCACTGCAGCCTCAATATTCCGGGCTCAAGTGATCCTCCTGCTTCAGCATCCTGAGTAGCTGGGACTATAGTTGCATACCACCATGCCCAACTAATTAAAATATTTTTTTGTTGTTGTTGAGATGGGGTCTCACTGTGTTGCCCAGGCTTGTCTCAAACTCCTGACCTCAAGCAATCCTCCCTCCTCAGCCTCCCAAAGCACTGAGATTACAGGTGTGTGCCACTGTGTCTGGCCAGTTCATTCCTTTGTTTGTTTTTGAGACAGGGTTTCACTCTGCCGCCCCGGCTGGAGTGCCGTGGCATGATCACGGCTTACTGCAGCCTCGACCTCCCCAGGCTCAGGTGATCCTCCAACCTTAGCCTCCTGAGTAACTGGGACTACAGGCATGCGCCACCATGCCTGGCTAATTTTTGTTTATTTTTAGAAACAAGGTTTCACCATGTTGCCCAGGTTGGTCTCCATAGTTCATTCCTTTTTATGGCTGAGTGGTATTACATCATTTAAGTATAGCACAACTCATTTGATCTCTTCTCCAGTTGATGGACATTTGTGTTGTTTCCACTTTAGGGCTGTCGGAAGACAAAATTACGATAACTTAGTTTAAAGATTGAATTGGCTTGTATTTGCCATCATGGAATCAGGCAGCACCTCATTCTATAAAGTGGAAGGAGTGTTTCAATGAGCTGGGTGGAGGCACTGGCTTTATAGGCAGGAAAGGGCTAAAGAAGGCAGAAGCAAAGAAAAAAGCAGATGGGTCTTTTCAGTCACTTTCCTTGCAGTACTGAACAGAGGTAAATTCCTTATTATACTGACTCAAGTTGACTGGAATCTCCTGATTTTTAGGAAAACTCGCCCATGTCAATGTTCAGTTTGATTATGTGGCAGTTAGTACAAGTGACTACATTCTGGTTTGATCTAGTCTCCCGGGGCCCAGTGCAGGAGACTAGTCCAAAACAACAGCCTCCCATAAACCTTGTTTAACAGGACAATTAGGAAAGAAGCTGCTACAAACATGCCAAGAACTATGCAGGGTCTGAATGTTATCCTATTTGCAAGATTACAAATTAGCCTGCTGCAATTTCATGGATGCTGGCAGATAACACAAGACTCCTGAGTGAGTGACAGTTTTCCTGCTCATAGCAATAGCAGTGGCCACAGTTATCGGAATTTGTGAGAGTTCCCTCTAGGCTCCAGTTTCCACAGGGTGACATGGAGAGAGCCAAGTGACATCTGCATACAGTTATGCAGGTGTTACAAGAGAGAAACCCTGAGCTTTAGGATTCCTAATCTTTTATAATTGCCCTGGAGGGCGACATTATTGTTACCTTCCAAGGCTGTTCTCTGTGCAAACACACAGATACCTCAGAAAAAGGCAGCCAGTACTTCTGCTCACAAGATGTGTAAAATACCAGAGACCTACGGAGAATTGTCTCCTGACAGAACATTCTCGTACAAATCTTTTTGTGAACATCTGTTTTTATTCCTCTTGGGTAAGAACCTAAGAGTAGTCCTAGCTACTCGGAAGGCTGGGGTGAGAGGATTGCTTAAGCCAGGAATTCGAGCTTACAGTGAGCCGTGAGCTACGATCACACCACTGACTCTAGCCTGGGCTACAAGTGAGAATCTGTCTCAGGCATAGATAATCCCTCATAGAGATGTTTATTGGACCTTTCCAGTGGTCATAGGTTTCACAAAAAGTCTGAGGCGTGACCAGCTACACGTTTTACCGAAAAAGCTTGTGGCAGTGGCTCATACCTGTTATCTATTAATAGCAACCTGGGAGGCTGAGGTGGGAGGATCACTTGAGCCCAGGAGATCAAGACTTCAGTGAGGCATGATCATGTCACTGCACTCCAGCCTGGGAGATAGAGCAAAACTCTATCTTAAAATATATATTCAAAAAATATATTAAATATATATTTAAAAATATATAAAATATATAATATATTGTATTGTTTTCACTTTAGAGCTCTCAGAAGACAAAATTACAATAACTTAGTTTAAAGATTGAATTGGCTTCTATTTGCCATATATAATATATATAATATATAATATAGATACAAAATTTGTATATATATAATATATACAAGTATATATTATATATTTATATACAAGTATATAATTATATATTTATATACAAGTATATAATTATATATTTATACATATAGTATATACATATTTGTGTGTATATATATAAATTTGTATATATATTTTTTATATATATATACAAAATTTTTTCCTGGAGGGCTGTTGCAGGGTTCCACCATCTTGCAGCTGCCTGAGACATGGCTTCTGTTTGTTAAGTCCCTATTAAATGTTTCTTTCTGAGAAACTGGAATTGTCAGCCTCTTTCTTTGGCCTTTCAGCTCCCTCAGTCTTTGGGAGCAGGTTTGCACAGCCCGGCTTACTGCAGAACATTTGGTGAACTAGCCAGGAACTGAGACCAAGAAATGGATAAAGGCACTGAAGCATCCTTGGGGGAGACCCCAGGGTGGTGCCACATCTGTGTGGAACGGTGCAGCTCACGTTTTAGATGCTTGTGGACCATGGTGTAAGTACAGGGATGCTCCCCAAATGCTGGCAGGCTTAGAATGACCTTTATCCGAGAGCCACCTACCTCACTGCGGCAAGGGAGGGCAGAAAGGGGCAAACAGCCCTGCAGGGGGGCTGCCACCTCCGTGAACAGAATGTGAACAGAACGGAAGCCCAGCTAGCAGCAGAAGCAAAAGTAAAAGAACTTGAAGAGGAGGCCAGGCATGGTGGCTCTCACCTGTAATCCCAGCACTCTAGGAGGCCAAGGAGTGAGGATTGCTTGAGCCCAGGAGTTTGGGGCTGCAGTGAGCTGTGATTACGCCACTGCACTCCAGCCTGGGCAACAGAGCAAGACCCTGTCTCTAAAACAAGAAATTTTAAAAATTAATCAATTAATGAACTCTGTGGTCAGAACTCAGCTTAATTAAAAGCTGGTATTATGGCTGTGTTGTGTGTGGGGGAAAAAAAGCTGATTTTTTTTATTTCTTATTTTTCTGAGACAGAGTCTTACTCTGTTGCCCAGGCTGGAGTAGAGTGTCACTATCGTGGTTCTCTGCAGCCCTGACCTCTGGGCTCAGGAAATCCTCCCACCTCAGCCTCCCATTGTATTTGGCACTACAGGCGCATACCACCACACCTGGCTAATTTTTAAAACTTTTTGTAAAGACGAAGTCTCACTATGTTGCTCAGGCTGGTCTCGAACTCCCAGGCTCAAGCAGTGGTACCTCTGCCTCAGCCTTCCAAAGTGTTGGGATTACAGGTGTGAGCCACCACACCACACCCAGCTTTCTTCTCTTTTTGCATCCTGTATCTGAGAATTTGTTTTCAGTTGACTGAGCATCCCCCCTTGCAAAAAATTTATATGTTTGGTCCCTCTGTGTGGTGCGTTTCTTGTTGGTATGATTTTTGCGTTTTGGAAAGCTTGAAATTGCCCCAGTTTGGCTCCTCTAAGACTTAGTTTTCAATTTCCTTCCGCTGCTGCTCCTCCTTCATTTGCTATCTTCAAGACCACGTGAAGAATCTAGAGGAGACTTCTAGCAACCCTGAGACCCCTTAAGAACATAGAAAAAGGTGTCACACACCCCCTTTTGGGGGTCTTCTGCCTTCCATATGGAGTCCCAAGAGTCAAGGGGAGGTTTCTTTTGGGTCTAGAGCTCTGTTCTCTTTTGTAGTGATGTTGGATATAAAATACTCCAGGAATAAATGCTTGGTGCTGCAAAGTAAAACCAGCACTCAGGCAAAAGTTTAATCCTCTCAGCAAGGCAATTTACTTCTGCAGAAGGGTGTCACTCACGTCAATCGAGATCACAAGTACACACAGAACAAAGGACACCAGGATATTTTTATCCTTAACGCAGTCCCTATCCCTGTGCCACTCCCACATGGGCTGGGGTCGGACCGCACAGTCTGAGCTGACCCGATTGGCTACTTGTACATATTTTCCTAAATATAGCAGGGGAGGGGGACGTGAGGTACAGAGGTGGATCGTGTGAGACGTGCAGTTGTGGGGGAACAATGGGTACAGGTAACCAAGGGAACAGATGTGAGTTATTGATTAGAGCTGATGTGAAGGGGAAGGCTGTTTACGGTAAGTAGGGGCAAGGAAGAACAAGAAAGTTGAGTTTGAGAACAAAGGATAAGGAAGTTAACAGGCTAAACACTTTGAAGAGAAACTCAGAAAGATTTATTGTTTCTTACGAGTGAGTTCTCTGGTCTCTCTAGCTGTGGGAGTACCAGGGATGCCTTGCTGCTATGAGAGAACGTGACCTTTGGGTGTGCAGTGGCTGAAAAGTCACCAGTGAGGGCTGCGGTTTTGGAGGTTTATAATGAGTGGTTATGACTGCAGGGAGCTACTCGTTTCTTTGCATGTTTAGATAAGAAAAGCATGGCTTGGACAGCTAGAGGCTATGTATCTTAGTCCATTTTGCATTGCAATAAAATAATCACCTGAGGCTGGGTAATTTATACAGAAAATAGGTTTATTCGGCTTACAGTTTTGCAGGCTGTCCAAGAAGCATTATGCTGGCATCTGCTTCTGGTGAGGGCCCCAGAAAGCTTCCACTCATGGCAGAAAGTGAAGGGGAGCAGGAGAGAGAAAGGAAAAGAGAGGGAGGGAGGTGCCGGGCTCTTTCACAGTCAGTTCTCTCTGGAACTAAGAGTGAGAACTCACTTTTCAGAGAATGGCACCAAGCCATTCATGAGGGATCTGCCCCTGGATTTCAAACGCCTCCTACCAGGCCTCACCTCCAACCTGGGGGATCAAATTTCAACATGAGATTTCAAGGGGACAACTATCCATTCTGTAGTACTATGGAAACACTTGCCACCAAGGGACAAGACTCCCATGGGGAGTGGGCTGATCACAGAGTGGGTTGCTTGGCGCTGGCTTGCCCACCAGCCTCAGGGGAACGTCCATGCAATGAGGTGCACTATGGAAGCATTGCACTGCCCAGTCCTGTGCTGTTTCCCTCTTTAGGGGAATGTGAAAAAAGACACAAAGTGAGCGCATGCTGTTGGAAAAATGGCGCCGATACACTTCCTCCATGCAGGGTTTCCGCAAACCTTCAATTTGCAAAAGATGGCAGTATCTGTGAAGCACAGATAAACAACAAAAGTTGAAGGTTTGTTCAAAGCAAAGTGAAGCAAAATAAAATGAGGTCTGCTCGTATAAGATTCATAAAAGAAAACCCAGAGAGCTCTGCTCCAGTCACTATTGCTACTAACAACCTACCCCAAAACACAGTGGTTTCATTAGCTCGCAGATCTGTTTGGGGCTGAGTTTTACTGGGGGAGCTCCTCTTGGATCCACGTGGTGTCAACGGAAACAGGTTGAAGGCTGAGACTGATTAAACTCTTCTCAACTCTCCTCATTATAGCAAAATTCCGTTTTCTATACTCACTGTCTCTGACTTTCTCCTGCCATGTTCTCCTTTTAAAATTATTTTTAATGATTCATTTTGAAATAATTCCAAGCATAGAGAAAATTTGCCAGAAAGGTAAAAAGACTCCCATCTTCCCCAGTTATTAGTACAATTAATAATAACAGATTCCCCAGTTATTAGGGCAGCCACTATGGAGAACAGTATGGAACTTCCTCAGAAAACTACAAATAGAACTACCCATACCCACCGATCCCACTGCTACCCATTTACCCAAAGGAAAGGAAGTCAGTATATCAAAGAGACATCTGTGCACCTGTGTTTATTGCAGCAGTAGTCATAATAACCTGGATGTGGAATCAAACTAGGTGTTCAACAACAGATGAATGCATGAAGAATATGTAGTATATTTGCACAATGGAATGCTATTCAGCCATAAAAGAGCGTGAAATCCTGTCATTCATGGCAACATGGATGGAACTGGAGGACATTATGTTAAGTGAAATAAGCCAGGAACAGAAGGTTAAACACCACATGTTCTCACTCATATGTGGGAGCTAGAAAAAGTTGATCTTGGTTGGGCACAGTGGCTCATGCCTGTAATACCAGCACTTTGGGACCCTGAGGCAAGAGGATCCTTTGAGTCCAGGAGTTCAAGACCAGCCTGGGTAACATAGCAAGAATCCTGTCTCTATCAAAAAAAAGTTTTTTTATTTCATAGAAGTAAAAAATAGAACAGAGGATACTAGAGGCTGAGAATGGTATGGGGAAAGGGGGATAGGGAGAGATTTGTTGAAGTATACAAAATTACAGCGAGATAGGAGGAATGAGTTTTAGTGTTCCATACCACTGTAGCATAACTGTAGTTACAAATAATACATAGTTTCAAATAGCTAGAAGGAGGATATTGAAGGTTCCCAACACAAAAAAATGATAAATGTTTGAGGTGATGGATCTTCTAATTACCCTAATCTGAGCACTACATATTATATGTATCAACACATCACTATGTATCCCATAAATACGTACAATTATTATTCAATTGAAAAAATAAAGTTAACCTAAAAAAACCTTTTAAAACTTATGTTTACACTACACTGTAGTCTACTAAGTGTGCGATAACATCATGTCTAAAAAATGTACGTACCTTAATTTTAAAATATTGCTAAAAAATGCTGACACAGATGAGAAGTGAGCATATGTTGTTGGAAAAATGGTGCTGATAGATTTGATTTATGCAGGGTTGCCACAAACCTCCAATTTGTAAAAAATGCAGTACCTGTGAAGGGTAATAAAGTAAAACACAATAAAATGAGGTATGCCTGTATAAGAGAGAAATTAAGTATAATGACACAAAAAACATTTCAATAGCTATTTTATAATTTCAGTTATTTTATATTTCATAAACCCATTATTATGAGCCCAAATTTGACTTTTAATATTTAACAACTGATATATGCCATGTTCTTTGGTTAAAATTAATTAGGCAAGAAAAACATAACAATGTGATGTTATCTAGCTGTGTTTGTTATGTTTTGATCCTTTAGAATAAGATATTTTAATTAGTCTGATTAGACTGATTAGTGTAGGCTGATTTGAATAGTCATGCTCTAGGAAGACTAAGAATGAAAAAAAGCTTAATTAAGAACAAATTAAGTAGTCATTACTTTGTTGATTCTTGTCTAATTATAATATATAATTGAATCTCTCACCTAAACTAGCATTTCTTTCCTTCTTTCTCTCTCTCTCTTTCTTTCTTCTTCTTCTTCTTCTTTTTTTTTTTTTTTTTTTTTGGGGGGGGGGAGATATAGGGTCTCACTCTGCCACCCAGGCTGAAGTGCAATGGCTCAATCAACAGCTTACTTCAGCCTCAACCTCCTGAGCTCAAGCAATCCTCCTGCCTCAGCCTCCGAGTAGCTAAGGCTATAAGGCACATGCCACCATGTCTGGCTTAAACTAGCATTTCTAACTAAAGAATTTGTTCATTTGTAAACAACATTAGAAACAAAAAAGATATGCAAAAAATTGAAGAATCATTAGGAGTTAAACATGTACTTTTGAAAGTTTGACATTGGAAATATCTAAAATCATGAAATATTTAATAGGCTAATATTTAAAAATCTATACTTTAATAAATATCAGGTATACAGACAAATTTGCTTATCCAGAAGTTGATCTAGATACAAAAGATAGAAGATACAATGCCAATATAAAGTTCTTCTGTCATTTTATACTGCTTTCCTGTTTATTTTTAAAAAGTTGCTTAATATACATTTTCTCATTTGTCCCTTTAAAACCTGTATCTTGAAAACAGTAATTCATTTGTCGTTTTGAAATAGCAGGCTTCTCAGCTATTATATTTATCTTATTATTATTATTACTTTTTTTTTTTGAGACAGTCGCCCAGGCTGGAGTGCAGTGGTGCGGTCTCGGCTCACTGCAACCTCCGCCTCCCGGATTCAAACAATTCTCCTGCCTTAGCCTCCCGAGTAGCTGGGACTACAGGCACCTGCCACCAGGCCCGGCTAATTTTTGTATTTTTAGTAGAGACGGGGTTTTGCCATGTTGGTCAGGCTGGTCTTGAACTCCTGACCTCAGGTGATACGCCTGCCTCGGCCTCTGAAAGTGCTGGGATTACAGGTGTGAGCCAGCACACCCGGCCATTTATCTTATTATTGAATGAAATTTACATCCTCATGAAATACTGTTTTAGTTATCTTAGCAATTTCTGGGACTTTTGATGCATTAATGAGTTTGTTACTTTACTAGCTACAGAATGTTGCGGCATGCAGTGGTAAAAAGTCAGGGGTAAGGTCCCTGATTGCGAAGCTACTAGTATACTAGATATAAGATAATCTTTTCTGTCAGAGAACCTTATCAATGGAAAAACGACTTGACCACCAAAACGTCTCTGCTACCAACATAGCAACCCTTAATGAAGGATAGCCTTGAGGCATAGTAGTTGGCTAGACAGTAAATATGAGCAATTAAGGATCCCCAGATTTACAAGAAAATAAACTGCAAAAAGGAAAATGCTAAGGTAGACAAACAGACAAACTGATTTTGTAGGAAAAACTGATAAGTCAGGGCTTTCTAACATATCAATTTGAAATTATTTTCAATTTAAAATGCCATATATGGCCAACCTATCAATTCAATGAGAAAGCAAAATTAGGATATTTGTACACATCCAAGAACTTAGAAAGTATAGCTCCCACACATTCCTTTTTAGGAAGATTTTGAGGATATATATTTTAGTGAAATATGTGGACAGCCAAGAGAAAGGAAGATATGGGATACAACAAAGATTTAAACTGACCTAGAAGCCTATTAAGAAGAAGACATGCTTCTTTTTCAGATTAGATAAAAGAAAGGCCCTTAGAGGCCAGGTGTGGAGGCTCACGCCTGTAATCCCAGCACTTCGGGAAGCTGAGGCCAGCGGATCACTTGAGGTCAGGAGTTTTGAGACCAGCCTGACCAACATGGTGAGACCCCTACCTCCCATCTTTACTAAAAATACAAAAATACTCAGGTGTGGTGGTGCATGCCTGTAGTCTCAGCTACTCGAGAGGCTGAGGCAGGAGAATTGCTTGAACCCGGGAGGCAAAGGCAAAGTACAGTTAGCCGAGATCGTGCCACTGTACTGCATCCTGGGTACCAGAGTGAGACTCCATCTCCATCTCAAAAACAAAAACAAAACAAACAACAACAACAAAAAAGCAAAAGGCACTTAGAAATGCCAAGAAAAACAGAAGGTTGTACAGGATAGTCTTGATTCAAACCTGAAACATGCTAAAATGTAATTGTAACATTTTGAGCAAGTGATAGTGTTTTAGAAGAGAATATTTTTTGCCCATGATTCTAGAACTTCTTTCAGTTGACACTGGAGTTCTGACATTGACCATATAGAGGAGGAAACAGAATCTTAGCATATTTTTTAAAAGCTCTGTGACTAATAATACCTACATATTATAATAATGTGCATGCTACTTAATGGTTTTCAACTTTAAAAAGTCAACCAATAGACAATTCACGGAAGACTTAATACCGGAACCTAAGTTGAGAGGTGATAGTTGCAGAAGAATCTTATATCCTGGAGAGGCAAGGAATGTTGTATAAAGTTAATGGATCATGAAATAGAAGCTTAAGTGTTTTATTTCAAGTTTCAAAGGTTAAAAAAAAGAAAAAGACATAAGTAAACTAACAATAAAAATTGAGAGGAGAAAGGCAATAGTATGGGTTAAATCCTCATCTTTTAGAGCAGGGACTTGTTAGATGTTATCCATCTAATCTGAAAATAGTGGTATGGAAATATAATATTTAGAATCCCGAAGGTAATGATCAAGAGAACAAAGTATAGAAAAATGATTGCCTATGAGGGTAGGCCTAGAGTGGGAAGGACTTTTCATTACAAACCCTGCTATACTCTGATTTTTTTACTTTTTATTTTTTTCATTGCTCGTCAGCTGACTTTAAGCTGTACTCTTTTTTTAAGTAATTTACATATATCGTGTTGATAAAAATTTGTTTAAATGAGAAAAAATTTAGATGGAAATGTATTTGCATGACGGCATCAAAAATAGACCAAAGCAGCTATTTCAAATGCTTGCAATTTTTGGTTTTAAAAAACCTGGTTGGCTTATTTTTGTAATTTTTCAGTTTTGTTTCTAAATGAGGAGCTAGAGAAGATCTCAAACTGCTGTTGGTGCTATTGGTTGTCATTTGTTCAGAAATCATACATTGTGAGTACAGATCTTCTTTTCTTTGTGAGTAAAAAGCCTAATTGAATTTTTTTTTTTTTACTGTATAGTATTTTCTCTTTTAACATCGATGTTTGAAGAACCAGAGATAGTGTGGTATGCTATATAAGAATTGTGACCAGATAACTATATGGTATAGATCTAATGGAAAATATCTTGACAGGAACTTGAAAAATTATCATTTTTGTGTTCCTTGTTGAATTGTTTGTGATTGAACAAAGCATTCCTTATGCTTCCCCACTTTTTAAAAATAGTGGTCAAATATACGTAACATAAAATTTGCCATTTTAGCCATTTTTAAGCATACAGATAGTGGCATTAAGTACATTCACATTGTTGTGCTACCATCACCACCAGACATTGCCAGAACTTTTTTATCTTCCCCAGCTGAAACTCTGCACCCATTAAATAACTTCCACTGCCCCTGCCTTACTCCCATGACCACACCTCTACTTTCTGTCTCTACAAATTTGACTACTGTAGGTATCCAATGTAAGTGGAATCATACAATATTGTTTTTTGTATCTGGCTTATTTCACCTAGCATAATTCAAGTTTCATTTACGTTGTAACATGTCAGAATTTCATTCCTTTTAAAGACTATTTCATGATATGTACATACTACTTTTTATTTATCCATTCATCTATGAACGTTTGGGTTATTTCCACCTTTTGGCTATTGTGAATAATGCTGCTGTGAACATTGGTGCATAAATATCTGTTTGAGTTTCTGCTTTAAATTCTTTTGGGTATATATCCAGAAGTGGAACTGCTGGATCATATCGTAATTCTGTGTTTGACTTTCTTTTTTGAGACGGAATTTCACTCTTGTCACCCAGACTGGAGTGCAGTGGAGCGATCTTGGCTCATTGCAACCTCTGCCTCCCAGTTCAGGTGATTCTCCTGCCTCAGCCTTCTGAGTAGCTGGGAATACAGGCATGTACCACCATGCCCGGCTAATTTTGTATTTTTAGTAGAGATGTGGTTTTGCCTTGTTGGCCAGGCTGGTCTCAAACTCCTGACCTCAGGTGAGCTGCCCGCCTCGGCCTCCCAAAGCCCTGGGATTACAGGTGTGAGCCACTGCGTCTCGACTGTTTGACTTTTTTGAGCAACCAACATCTTGTCTCCCATAGTGGCTGCACCACGTTACATTCCCACCAACAGTGCACAAGGGTTCCAACTCTCCACATCCTCACCAACACTTGTTATTTTCTGTATTTTTTAAAAAGAATAGTCATCCTAATGAGTGTGGAGCAGTAACTAATTTGGTTTCGCTTTGCATTTCCCTAATGATAAGTCCTGTGCTTATTGGCCGTTTGTTGTTTTGTTTTGTTTTGTTTTGTTTTTGAGAGTCTCACTCTGTTGCCCAGGCTAGAGTATAGTGGCATGATCTCGGCTCACTGCAACCTCCACCTCCTGGGTTCCAGCCATTCTCGTGCCTCAGCCTCCCGAGTAGCTGGGATTACAGGTGTCCACCACCACTCCCAGCTAATTTTTGTATTTCTAGTAGAGATGGGGTTTCATCATGTTGGCACCCCTGACCTCAAGTAATCCACCCACCTCAGCCTCCCAAAGTGCTGGAATTATAAGTGTGAGCCACCGTGCCTGGCGTTTATTGGCCATTTGTATATCTTCTTTGGAGAAAGGTCTATTCAAGTCCTTTGACCATTTTTAAATTGGGTTGTTTGGGGCTTTTGTTTTTGTCATTGAGTTGTAGGAGTTCTTTATATATTCTAGATGTTCATCCTATAGCAGATACATGACTTGAAAATATATTTTCCTATTTGGTGGGTTGCCTTCTCACTCTGCTTCCCACTTTGAGCAGTAGGGTTTTGCTGTTGTTTTTTGTTTATTTTGAGACAGGGTCTCACTCTGTCACCCAGCCTGGAGTGCAATGGTGTGATCATGACTCATTGCAGCCTCCACCTCCCTGGGCTCAGATGATCCTCTACCTCAGCCTCCCAAATAGCTGGGACTACAGGTGTGCACCACCATGCCCAGCTAATTTCTCTATTTTTTGTAGAGATGGGATTTCACCATGTTCCCCAGGCTGGGAGCAGTAGTTTTATATAAATTAAACCTTATAAAATTAAGGGTAAAACAATGAAGAACTATATAATAGTCCACCCACCAAATAAGCACAGTAATAGGAGTAACTAATATTTGAGCTGCTTCATCTGATCCAATTATTGGATAAGCATTTGGTGGCTCTCAAACTTTCTGTTTTAAGGCTGAAATTTTTTTTTTTTTTTTTTGAGATGGAGTCTAGTCGCACTGTTGCCCAGGCTGGAGTGCAATAGCATGATCTCGGTGCATTGGAATCTCTGCCTCATGGGTTCCAGCGATTCTCCTGCCTCAGCCTCCTGAGTAGCTGGGATTATGGGCGCCCGCCACCATGGCTGCCTAATTTTTTTTTTTTTTTTGTATTTTTTAGTAGAGACGGGGTTTCACTATGTTGGCCAGGCTAGTCTTGAACTCCTGACCTTGTGATTCTCCCGCCTGGGCCTCCTAAAGTGCTGGGAAATTTTTTTAACGTAATTACTGCATTATTTTTAAAAATTGGGGCTGGGTGCAATGGCTCATGCCTGTAAACCCAGTGCTTTGGGAGGCTAATGTGGGAGGACCAGTTGAGGCCAGGAGTTTGAGGCCAGCCTGGGCAACATAGCAAAACCCTGACTCTATGAAAAAAAAAAATGTTTTTTTAATTAGCCAGGCATAGCAGCGTACACCTATAGTCTCAGCCACTAGGGAGGCTGAGGTGGGAGGATTGCTTAATGCCAGGAGTTTGGGGCTGCAGTGAGCTATGATTGTGCACTCCAGCCTAGGGTAGAGAGTGAGACTTTGTCTTTAAAAAATTGGAATAGAAACAATGACCATTCTATTCTCTATCAAAGTGTACCCCCTTTACACCTCAGTTGGGGTAAATAAAACCCTGCTCCAATAAACCTGATTGCCAAAATCACTGCTTTGAAATCACCCCAGGACTCACCAGGAGCCCCCTCTTCAGGACTGGGAAATCCTGCTCTAGAATTCTCAGGCTTCCCCTTTCCCCTGGATGAGCCATTCCACTGGATAGCTCTATCACCCTATGGTGGGGAGGAGAATTTGAAATTCAGTTTTACAATAGTCATTCTTAAATAATGAAATTCAGAAAATAAGATTAAAGTGTAGAGTTTACTCTGGTGCAAAGCTTGAGGATAGCCACCCGGCAAATGCAGACTCCAGATGAATAGGGTCAGCATTTTAAAGTAGAGACGTTGGCTGGGCATGGTGGCTCATGTCTGTAATCCCAAGGCTTTGGGAGGCCAAGGCGGGAGGATCACTTGAGGCGAAGAATTTGAGACCAGCCTGGGCAACATAGTGAGACCCCATTACTAAAAAAAGCAAAAAAATTTAGCCAGGCATGGTGGCATGTGCCTGTGGTCTCAGCAGCTACTCAGGGGGCTGAACCAGGAGGATCACTTGAGCCCATGTGTTCAAGGTTATAGTGAGTTATGATGGCACCACTGCACTCCAGCCTGGGTGACAGAGCAAGACCCTGTATCTAAAACAAATAAATAAATAAAGTGGAGAAGTTAATGTCTCCCTTATATAGGCAGAGACAGAGAAGTTTTAGCAGGATTATAACATTTTTTATATAAGACCAGAGCATATATTACAGCAATTTGATTGATTACAGATTGCTACATTCCAAGGAAGATGATTTCTTTGTGAGGAGGGGTAATGGTCTGAGGGGCCCTTACTCTGGTGCTGCCTGGTCTTCCTAATTACTTACAGGAAAAAAATGCAGAAGTTGCAGCTGCATGGCACGTAACTTAGGCCTCATAGCCACATTCCTCTCAAGGCTCAGAATAATTTAAGGTTCTAATAGCTTTAAGTTAGCATGATTTAATTTCACACAATTTAAAAATGACATCAGCCCTTTTTCCAAGAGAATTACACTTTGTGAAATCCCCTCTGTGCTAACTTTAGAAAGATTCAAATCTTGACTCAGTCTCTGGCTCACAGGGTCTCCCATCCATGAGGCAAGCCAAGGCACTTGTATGGCCGGGAAAACAGAGCCGGGACCACGAAACACACATCTGCTGGACTTCCTGCCTTTGACCCTGCTCCAACATTCATGGCGTTGTCACACTTTATTAACTTATAAAAGCTAACTAACTACTAAGGAAATTCAATGCCACCCTAAGAAAAGCAAATTGCCAGTTATTTTGACATCAGAAGTTGTTTGAAAGTTCTGTGAAAGGAAAGCCCAACTGTGATCTTAGGGAAATTAATTTTAAGAAACATAATTTTCAAAGGTGATAATTATTTTTCAAGAATATTGCTGACCATTGACATCTGAAATAGGCTTTTGGGTTTTTTTTTTTCGTGTTTTGTCTTTCACAAAGATTATTTTGACATTTTTGCTTCTGGGAATTTCTTTCTTGGCAACACATATAAAAGTATTAAACTGGATGAAGTTGACATTCTCAGCATTTGAAGTTTGTCTTTGATTCCTTCAAAAAAGAGAGCAAATGACATAAAAGGGAAGAGGAAGGCCATTCAACATCATTAAAACTTCTTTGAAAGTTTAATAGGCTTGTGCTATGGAAAACTAAAATGAAACAAAAGCATTTTTCAAAATGATGGAATTTGGGGATCTCCACTCAACTTTCCCTAATCTCTCCTTTGCAGAGATGTAGGGGCTGAAGACATGCAGGTTGCTCCCCCAGGACACGGGCTGGTTAGTAGCAAAGGGGGTTTTAGAGGCAGGCTCCACCAGGTCACCGCATGTCTGGGCAAGTGACCTCACCCAAGGCCTCACTCTCCCTAGCCCTCTCCCCAGCCTTTACGCAGACTGCTTCTTAATCCTAAATCAGCCACAGAAAACAAAGGAGCACCACCAACAGCCTTTTTTTTCTTTCTCTTTTTTTTTTTTTTCGAGATGGAGGCTCACTCTGTCACCCAGGCTGGAGTGCAGTGGTGAGATCTTCACTCACTGCAACCTCCACCCCCCAGGTTCAAGTGATTCTCCTGCCTCAGCCTCCCCAGTAGCTGGGAAAAGCCACCACACCAGGCTAATTTTTGTATTTTTAGTAGAGACAGGATTTCACCATGTTGACCAGGCTGGTCTCAAACTCTGACTTCATGTGATGTGCTGGCCTTAGCCTCCCAAAGTGTTGGGATTACAGGCATGAGCCACCGTGCCCGGCCCACCAACAGCCTTCTTTTTTTTTTTTAGACAGGGTCTCACTCTGCTGCCCAGGCTGGAATGCAGTGGAGCAGTCCTGGCTCACTGCAACCTCTGCCTCCCGGGTTCAAGCGATTCTCCTGCCTTAGCCTCCCGAGTAGCTGGGATTATAGGTGCGCACCACCACGCCCAACTAATTTTTGTATTTTTAGCAGAGATGGGTTTCACCATGTTAGCCAGGCTGGTCTCCAATTCCTGGCCTCAAGTGATCCACCCGCCTGGGCCTCCCAAAGTGCTGGGATTACAGGCGTGAGCCACCGCGCCCAGCCGAGCCTTCTAATTGTAAAAGATAGGCAGCTTTCATTTAAAAAAATCCAAGATGGCTCTACACCTAGCGATGTGAAATGCTGTAGTCTATTAAGGGAAAAAGCAAGTCACAGAAAAATAACAGGATTCCATTTACAGTTTTTAAAAATTATATATCTGTGTGTATACATGGTTTAAAAAAAATAAATGAAATCATACCATCAACCTAAAGAGGAAACTCAGAGAGACAGACTCGGAAACAAATGAGCTCATTTGGGACTATGCAAGGGATTGCAATCCGTGGAAGCGTGTGCTATGATGGCTCATAAGGTTTAAAAGACAAAGAGAAGTCCATGCACGCTGCTTTGAAACAAGGCTGGCAGGTCACAGAAGCTCACTGCAGGAGCTGGCGTCTGTTTGCTGGTGGAGGCGGCCGTTGCCAGGTCACTATCCCGTGCTGGTGGCGGATCTGGAATACCACAGCCTCGAGAAGTCCTTGCAACAAGTCCTGATGCGGGTCTACGTGCAGGAACGTCTAGAGATGGGTCCCGTGGCCAGCATGTGGGCGTGAGGGCCTCTTCATAGCCTCCCCCAACTCCATTTTGCTAGAGTTTAGAGTTTGACCTAGGTGACTCCGTTTCGGTACCAGCAACTTTCATAATACACCCCGCGCCATATACATGTAACCCTCCCACCTTTTTTTTTTTTTTTTTTTTTTTTTTTGACAGAGTCTCACTCCGTCGCCCAGGCTGGAGTCCAGTGTCGCAGTCTCGGCTCCCTGCAACCTCTGCCTCTGGGGTTCAAGCGAGCCTCCTGCCTCAGCCTCCCGAGTAGCTGGGATTACTGGTTCCTGACACGACTCCTGGCTAATTTTTGTATTTTTCGTAGAGACGGGAGTTTCACCATGTTGGCCAGGCTGTTCTCGAACTCCTGACCTCAATGATCCGCCTGCCTCAGCCTCCCAAAGTGCTGTGATTACAGGTGTGGGCCACCGCGCCCGGCCTGTAACCCCTTTTTAAGGGCAGCTTCTTCCCACCCCAAAGGCAGGCCCAGGCCCATCTCACTGTGCTCTGCTGGGGAACGCTGCTCTGCGCTGGGCCCTCCCTGTTTCCGGAGAGTGGGGCTGCCCCTCCGCCGTGCAGGCCTGGCTGAGGCTGGGCCCGCTTCCTCCTGACCGCTGCAGCCCCCGGGGCTCCCCAGACAAAGGCAGTTACACAAAGAAACAAAGGAAGGCTTAGAAGGGTACACGTCCTTGCTAACTCAGAACGGCTCCTGAGCTGCAAAAGATGGGTCCTAAAGCTGGAGCTGTTCCCTGGGAGGGAGGCCTCTGTGTGCCCCTGCCTCTGTCTGAGCAACTCACAGCCTCCTCACTGTCCCCAAAGCTGACTGCCTGCAGCCTCTCTGCTTGCCCGCCGGCCGCCTGTCGCTAGGCTGCCCCCAGGCTGCCCCCTCCCCCTCTACAGACTCGTGCTTGGCTTTCCCTCTCTTCCTGAGGTATCTATGGGACCCCTTTAGTTTGTAAAACTGGGCCTCCTTTTCCACTCCAGAAATTCTCCAGCATAAAATCTGTGCTCTTGGGGAGTGAGGAGGAGAGGTCTTCCTAGGAGTGCAGGGGTGGGGTGGAGCCGGGGTGGGGTGGAGCCGAGCTGGGGCGGGAGGTCTTCCATCTGTTGAATCTATAAATACTCTGAGAGACGTCTGGGAGGGGAAGCAGATGGAAAGAAGGTGTGATGAAGGGGCTTTCACTTTTTGCTCCATGTATTTCTGCCTTGCTGCATTTTTTTTACAATCAGCATGAATTCATGCTTTACTTGTGTAATGATAAAAGGGAAAGAGATGCCTGGCTGGCTGAAATGAGTCGTGGGTTTACAACGTATACATTTTCATTTGCCTTCTGCTTTTCACGGACCAGGGGTAGTCTCTGGAGTGAGGCCACCGGAGGAAGTAATGCAAGACGATGTCAAGGGAGCTGCAGCAGGCCAAGGGCGTTCTCCAGCTTGCTGATGTTTGTGCCCCAGATAGTGAAGTTTAGAGGCAGTTCGTCTTCAGAAGCACTTCAAATAAATACATTGTATTAGTCCGTTCTTGCACTGTTACTGGAGACTGGGTGATTTATAGAGAAAAGAGGTTTAACTGGCTCATGGTTCTGCAGGCTGTACAGGAGGCATGGCTGGGGAGGCCTCAGGAAACTTACAATCATGGTGGAAGGTGAAGGGGAATCAAGCATGCATTACATGGCTGGAGCAAGAGGAAGAGAGAGAAGGGGGAGGTGCTACACACTTTCAACCAACCAGATCTCGAGAGAACTGGCTCTCTAGCAAAGGGGAAGTCCGCTCCCATGATCCAATCACTTCCCACCAGGCCCCTCCTCCAACATTGGGTATTAGAATTAGGCGGCAGTGGCTCACGCCTGTAATCCCAGCGCTCTGGAGGGCCGAGGCGGGTGGATAACTTGAGGTCAGGAGTTCAAGACCAGCCTGGCCAACACGGTGAAACCCCGTCTCCAATAAAAATACAGAACTTAGCCAGGCATGGTGGCACGTGCCTGTAATCCCAGCTGCTTGGGAGGCTGAGGCAGGAGAATTGCTTGAACCAGGGAGGCAGAGGTTGCAGTGAGCTGAGATTGCCTCACTGCACTCCAGCTTGGGTGACAGAGCAAGACTCCATCTCAAAAAAAAAAAAAAAAAGAATTAGACATGTGATTTAGGCGGGGACACAAATCCAAACCATATCGTACATATATAAGGAAAGCACCCAGATCAACTTAGTCTTACTGGCTGTGAAATTCTATAAAGCTCAACAGTGGTAAAAAGTATCTGCTCACAGTTGAAATCTGGCTAACAGAGGCAAAGGACTTTATAACTGATATGAGACCTACTGATATCACAAATGACAACATCTTTGTAGACCAAGTTTACTTTTTAGAATATGGAATTCTTTTTTTTTTTTTTTTTTTTTTTTTGAGACGGAGTCTCGCACTGTCGCTGGGCTGGAGTGCAATGGCGTGATCTTGGCTCACTGCAACCTCTGCCTCCCGGGTTCAAGCAATTCTCCTGCCTCAGCCCCCCTAGTAGCTGGGATTACAGGTGCCCTCTCACCACACCTGGCTAATTTTTTGTATTTTTAGTAGAGAGGGGGTTTTGCTATGTTGGCCAGGCTGGTCTCAAACTCCTGACTGCCCTTGTGATCCACCCACCTCAGCCTCCCAAAGTGCTGGGATTACAGGTGTGAACCACTGCACCCGGCCAGAATTTTGTTTTAATTTTAAAAAGAAGGCTCAGTGCAGTGGCTCATGCATGTAATCTCAGCACTTTGGGAGGCTGAGGCAGGAGGATTGCTTAAGGCCAGGAATTCGAGATTAGCCTGGGCAACGCAGCAAGACCTAATCTCTTCAAGAAAATTGAGAATTAGCCAGGCATGGTAGCACATGCCTGTAGTCCCAGCTACTCAGGAGGCTGAGGCAGGAGGCTGACTTGAGCCCAGGAGTTTGAAGCTAAAGTGAGCTATGATGGTGCCACTGAACTCCAGCCCAGGTGACAGAATGAGACCCTATCTCAAAAAAAAAAAAAAGAAAAAGAAAAAAAAGCCAGGCGCCGTGGCTCACACTTGTAATCCTAGCACTTTGGGAGGCCAAGGCAGGCAGATCACTTGAGGTCAGGAGTTCAAAACCAGCCTGGCCAACATGATGAAACCTGGTCTCTACTAAAAATACAAAAAAATTAGCTGGGTGTGGTGGCCAGCACCTGTAATCCAAGCTACTTGGGAGGCTGAGGCACAAGAATCATTTGAACCCAGGAGGCAGAGGTTGCAGTGAGCTATTTTGCCATTGCACTCCAGCCTGGGCGACAGAGAGAGACTCCATCTCAGAAAAAAAAAAAAAAAAGAAAAGAAAAGGAAAAAGAGCAAACAAAAATACTTTCACTATAAGACTGGAATGTTGAAAGAGAATCAGTTTTCTAAATAAATAATTCACTGGGAGGCCATTAGACTGAGGAGGCTTCAGCACCCTGGCTTCCTAGTAAGCAAACGAAACCCACCTCAGTGTCAACGGTCATATCGTAGGCCAATCGGAACTAACTTCTAACTAGGGACTTTTGCTGGATGAATTTCTTTGCCTTGCTTCTGTATTCACGTTGTCAAAACCCCAGTGTCCCTTCAGTGGTGCCCCAAGCTACTTAAGGTCTGGTGCTGCCCAATTCATGAATCTGTCTACTCAAGAAACTCTTTAAAATTTTAATGTGCCTTAGTTTATATTGTAACAGGGTGATATGGGTTAAGGAAAAGAAACCTTATAAAAGAGGTGATTAGTGAAATGTTGGATATGAAGCAGAGGTGATCGCCCTTGCTGCTAAAACCATTAGCTATGTAAAAGCATTCTGCACAGCACATTTTAAAATTAATTACTGCTTGTTAATACAGGTTGAGTATCACTTATCCAAAATGCTAGAGACCAGAAGTGTATGGAATTTTGGAAATTTTTGGATTTTGAAATGTTTGCACGTACATAATGAGATATCTTGGGGATGGAATATCTAAACACAAACCCTATTTATGCTTCACGTACAGCTTATACACATAGACTGAAGATAATTTTACACGATACGTTAAAATGATTTTGTGCATGAAATGAAATGTTATTTTATTACCCTTTGTGGACATGCTTGCCTGGGGGAATCTGGGAATGAGTGGAAAATATCTATTGCAGCTAAGGGGCTGGGAAGGTCTTTTTTCCCTTGGAGCCACTGGATAAACCATGCGTTGTGTGCCTGTGTTTTCACTGAGACCCTTTGCATGAGGTCAGGTGTGGAGTTTTCCATTTGTGGCGTTAGGCTGGCACTCTAAAAGTTTCCGATTTTGGAGCATTTCCAATTTCAGATTTTCAGATTAGGGAGGCTCAACCTGGAGAGCAGCATTTGAAAAAAATAATAAAAAGTGTTCCTTAAGGAGTATGAATCTAGAAAGTAAATGTTTTCCCTGCACTTGATAATTTAGTGAAATCAAATGCAGAGAAAATAACTGACCTCCTTGTAAATAAAACCAATTTAGTTTTTAAAAAAGTGCCTACTGGGAAATGGGGAGCGCCTCTGCCCGGCCGCCCCGTCTGGGAGGTGAGGGGCGCCTCTGCCCGGCCGCCCCGTCTGGGAGGTGAGGAGCGCCTCTGCCCGGCCGCCCCGTCTGGGAGGTGGGGGGCGCCTCTGCCCGGCCGCCCCGTCTGGGAAGTGTACCCAACAGCTCCGAAGAGACAGCGACCTTCGAGAACGGGCCATGATGACGATGGCGGTTTTGTCAAAAAGAAAAGGGGGAAATGTGGGGAAAAGAAGGAGAGATCAGATTGTTACTGTGTCTGTGTAGAAAGAAGTATACATAGGAGACTCCATTTTGTTCTGTACTAAGAAAAATTCTTCTGCCTTGAAAAAAATAAAATAAAATAAAATAAAAAATAAAAAAGTCCCTAAAATTGTGATTTGCAAATATGGACACTTTCACTATTGTATCAGACTTTGCCCAAAAAAGTGAGTATCTGTTTTATATGGTACTTACATGGACAGAGTTAAGACAACCGAGATCTGACTCAGTTTGCCTTTTTAAAAATGTCCTAGTCATTATAGCTTCATACCTTTATACAAGTGACCTTTCTAATAGTGGCTCATGAGCAATTACAATAGAAACAGTCAAATTCCCAAGGCTAGGAATGTAAAATGAATCCAACTGTTTAGAGGTGGAAGCTTCTAAAAAAGAGCAATCTGCTATCTTTGAGTTGTTTGCCATCTTGTCATTTGTCCTCGTTTGCTCTAAGTACCCGCATTGTTCTGCATTCCTGAGTTTTTGGATGTCCCAGGGACTGGTCCTTGTTTAGAGCAATGTTCTAGTGTTCGTCATGCAAATGTGGTTTTGCTTTAAACATGAATTCAATGTGTTTGCTGATTTGCAGATGCCTTGATTGTTCATCATACAAACCTAGCTCTGAGGACCTCATGAATTGTGAAATGGGTAATGCTTTAAAACAAAGGAGGTTGTTATTTTGTTCTCCTACTTTGAGCATTATTTTTTTGGCATTTGCCAATGTCCAAGTAATTTCCCAGCTGTTGAATAGAGTTCTATTTCTTAACCCATAAATTTGCAACTTGAAAGGATGCTTGACTCAAGGGCTTCTGAAACTAACACAGTTTGAGATTGGCATTGCATAATAATAATTTGCCCTACATATTTGGTACCAGGTTTTGGATATTTTTGGCTACCTCTGACAACCAGAGTAATTGTTCTGTGTATGTCTTTCATTTGGCACATGAAAAGGTACAGATCCTGCCTGGAGACATGTGTACTCTTTTTGAGGGAATGAAATATTCCCAGAGCACTAACAGTCAGAGGCTTACTGAATTCAAGCCATGGCATTTCAACCCATGCAACAGTGCATGGGCCAAGAGTGTGGCCCCTCACACTGAGCTTTGACTGCCCGCCTAGATGGAAACAGCTCTCCACTGCTCCATTCTCTGGTGCACGTAGTTCATCGCCTCAAACACCATTCTCTGGTGTTCACAACACACTGGTGCTAGTGATGTTAGATTCAAAAATAACTAGCAGACAATTAACGTGTCCAGGCAATCTTGCATCATGGGGAGTGGTAGGACTGGCTGAGATTTGTATCGATGTGATTCATGCTGTCATGGTACGATCTGTATTTTTGCATATTTCTCTTCAAAATAAAAAGTCTGACATACCCCATTCCAAAAAGAGACTCTTACTCCCCTGGCTGAGGATCACTGCTTTAGGAAGCAACAGGGAAAATCTAGAAGTATCTGAAGAGGAGAGAAGAAAGGAGGAGGAGGCCCCAAATGTGAGTTTCCTGCTTTCTCAAGTGAGTCAAATTCTGACGGACATGGTCTTCCAACAGAAAATCATTATTAGGTTCAAACCCACTGTTTTACAATAAACATTACTAACTGCTTTGCCATATAAATGCCTGTAAACACATAAATATCTCATTAGAATCCTGCTAAACTTCCTTCAAGGGAAACAGAATCAATATTTAGCAGCTGGGCAAATTGCCAAAAATTCATATTAATTTCCCCTTGAGAGAACATGCCTTTCAGAGCCCTTATCCCACCATCAGAGAAGCCTCTGATACAGGCGGTGCCTAGGACACCACCAGATAGGCCGGTGACGCAGCCCTCTGTGAGGAAACACGTCAGTCAGTCCACCTGGTTGCTCTTTCCATCCCTCTCAAGCCTTCTGTCCTCTGTCTCAGCCATGTGAGCAGGGCGTTCTGGAGTAAACACACAGCAAACCACCACAAGCCAGGGAGGCCGCACACCCGCCCTCGTCTGCCTCTTTGTGATTTTAAGAGGTTGTTGTCTGTCGGGCCTCCGTCTCCTCGTCTGTTAAGTGAGGAGTTGATGAGCAGTGCCTCTCAGTCTCATACACTGAGGAACTCCAGTGGCAGAAGTGAGTTTCACCCAACCCAAGGGTCTAGGGATGAGGCCCAAATAACCTTGCCAATAGTGGGAATGTTTCTTTCAAGACTTACATTTTTATTTTTAGAATTTATGAGAATCTAACATTCTATTCTGTAATATAGCTGTGTTTATTTAAATATTAAAATAATGTCTTGCCAAGTGGGGTGGCTCACACCTGTAATCCCAACACTTTGGGAGGCTGAAGTGGGAGGATCACTTGAACCCAGGAGTCTGAGGTTGCAATGAGCTCTGATTACATCACTGTACTCCAGCCTGGATGACAGAGTGAGACCCTGTCTCAAAAATATAAAATAAAATAAAATAGTCTTAAATCACTTCCCATGAAATAAAGGTAATACGCTACATTCTTCTTGTGCCTTTGAGAACTGCCTGGCTTCTCCCCATGAGCCTGGGTACATGTGCCTCAGTTTAAGTGGCATGACTTGGGTGTGGGCCATCAGCAAGGTGCTTCCCGTAGTGTCATGCTGTGACAGGTGTGCTGGGTTGAATGCTGGCCCCACAAAGTTGTCCAGATCCTAATCTCCTATGAATATGACCTTGTGTAGAAAAGGGACTTGGCAGATGTCATTAAATTCAGTGTCTTGAGATGGGGAGATCAGCCTGGATTAGCTGCATGGACCCTATGTAATCACCAAGGCCCTTCTAAGAGGGACAGAGAGGAGTCACAGTTGGAGGAGAAGGAAGCAGAGACTGGAGTGATGCCCTTTGAAGGCCAAGGAAGGGGCCATGGGCCAAGGAATGTGACAGCTGTTGGAAGCAGGAAAAGGCAGAAAACGGATTCTCCCTTCAGCACCTCCAGGAAGAACCTGCCCTACTGACACCTTGACCTTAGTCCAGTGAAACTGACTTCAGACCTCTGGGCCTCCAGGACTGTTAGATTATAAGCTTGTGTTTTTTTAAGCCATCAGGTTTGTGGTGCTGATTTGCTACAGCAGAAACAGGAAATGAATATAAAATGGTATAAAAACCCAGCTTATTTCAGTAGTTTTTCTCAGTGCCAGAAATCCTTGTTCATAGATTCATTTTTTTTTACGCATTGCTAAGTAAATCAGAACAGTAGCTGCTTTTGTTCGGGCGTGCAGGTATACAAGACCATTTTCTCCTTCAGAGGACACATTGCTGGGTGCTCGTTTGAAGCCGACTCTCCTGTTAATGGCCTGACAGCTTACACTTTTTCTCTAAAGGAGGAGTCCATGAGACAAAAGAGTACATAAACAATTGTCCCTGCCCAGTCAATACACCCAGGCAGCCCTGGCCCGGAGGGCCTGTCTTAGCTCAGACTTGGTCAAGGAAGAGCAAGAAGATCCCCACGTGACATCTGCCAGAAGTCCCTCTCAGTCTTAACTGGCTTTGTCACTCTGCAGGAGTTAAGGGGCCAACTTCCGACTCCAGTCTCACCTCCAGTTTCTCACACTAATTTCTCTTGCAAAAATTTAACTGATTCATCCTAGGGAACTTTTCATTTTCATTATCGTGACACAATTTTCCCTCCTTCCTTCCTTCCTTCCTTCCTTCCTTCCTTTCTTTTTTCTTTCTTTCTTTCTTTCTTTTTCTTTCTTTCTCTTTCTTTTTTGTTTTGAGACGGAGTCTCGCTCTGTCGCCCAGGCTGGAGTGCAGTGGCATGATCTCGGCTCACTTCAATCTCCATCTCCTGGGTTCAGTGATTCTCCTGCCTCAGCCTCCTGAGTAGCTGGGACTACAGGCGCCCACCACCATGCCCAGCTAATTTTTTGTACTTTTAGAAGAGTCAGGGCTTCATCGTGTTAGCCAGGATGGTCTCTACCTCCTGACCTTGTGATTTGCCTGCCTCAACCTCCCAAAGTGCTGGGATTACAGGCATGAGCCACTGTGCCTAGCCTATGGTGACACAATTTTCAAGCAAAAGGTGAAATCAAGCAAATGTTTGCAGTTTATGACTAATCATTTTAACTGTACTTTTAAACAAATTAAATGTTTATTATTTAAATTTTTCATTATGAAACATTTCAAACATATTCCATAGTCCTGGACTACAGCCACATCTCATTGCCACCCTTCTCCCCAACCCAAAGCCTCCTTTGCATCTTCCTCTTGTATCCCCCAACTTTAACCAAAAAGTATGGGACACCTCTCCTCCCTCCCTGGCAACCAATCACACACCCATTACTATCCCATTAAAACCTAATCACCCTTACCCCACTTAATGCCAGTATCCCATCCCACAGCAGGCTTTAAGGGGACTGAAACCTGTTATCAGTTGCCTGCTACAGCACGGGCTTCTAAAGCCTATAAACTCTCCTTACAATTCCCCCATTTTACCTGTCCCAAAACTGGACAAGTCTTACAGGTTAGTTCAGGATCTGCACCTTATCAACCAAATTGTTTTGCCTATCCACCCTGTGGTGCCCAACCCATACACTATTTTGTCCTCAATACCTTCCTCCACAACTCACTATTCCATTCTTGATCTTAAAGATGCTTTTTTCACTATTCCCCTGAACCCCTCATCCCAGCCTCTCTTTGCTTTTACCTGGACTGACCCTGATACCCATCAGTCCCAGCAGCTTACCTGGGTGGTACTGCCACAAGGCTTCAGGGACAGCCCTCATTACTTCAGCCAAGCTATTTCTTATGATTTACTTTCTTTCCACCCCTCTGCTTCTCACCTTATTCAATATATTGATGGCCTTCTACTTCGTAGCCCCTCCCTTGAATCTTCTCAACAAGATACCCTTCTGCTCCTTCAACATTTATTCTCCAAGGAATATCAGGTATCCCCCTCCAAAGCTTAAATTTCTTCTCCATCCATTACCTACCTTGGCATAACTCTTCATGAAAACACACATACTCCCCCTGCCGATTGTGTCTGGCTGATCTCTCAAACCCCAACCCCTTCTACAAAGCAGCAACTCCTTTCCTCCCTGGGCATGGTTGGATACTTTCGCCTTTGGATACCTGGTTTTGCCATCCTAACAAAACCATTATATAAACTCACAAAGGAAAACCTATCTGACCCCATACATCCTAAATCCTTTCTCCACTCCTCTTTCCATTCCTTAAAAGCAGCTCTAGAGACTGCTCCCATATTAGCTCTCCCTGACTCATCCCAACTTTTTCATTACAAACAGCCAAAGTGCAGGGCTGTGCAGTCGGAATTCTTACACAAGGATCAGGACTGTGCCCTGTAGCCTTTTTGTCCAACTTGACCTTACCGTTTTAGGCTGGCCCTCATGTCTGCATGAGGTGGCTGCTGCTGCTCTAATACTTTTAGAGGCCCTCAAAATCACAAACTATGCTCAACTCACTCTCTACTGTTCTCATAACTTTCAAAATCTATTTTCTTCCTCACGCCTGATGGATATACTTTCTGCTCCCCTCTCCCCACCCTCGGCTCCTTCAGCTGTACTCACTCTTTGTTGAGTCTCTCACAATTGCCATTTTTCCTGGCCCAGACTTCAACCTGGCCTCCCACATTATTCCTGATACCACACCTGACCCCCATGACTGTATCTCTCTGATCCACCTGACATTTACTCCATTTCCCCATATTTCCTTCTTTCCTGTTCCTCACCCTGATCACACTTGGTTTATTGATGGCAGTTCCACCAGGCCTAATCGCCACTCACCAGCAAAGGCAGGCTATGCTATAGTATCTTCCACATCTATAATTGAGGCTACCACTCTGCCCCACTCCATCATCTCTCAGCAAGCCAAACTCATTGCCTTAACTCGAGCCTCACTCTTGCAAAAGGACTATGTGTCAATATTTATACTGACTCTAAATATGCCTTCCATATCCTGCACCACCGTGCTGTTATATGGGCTGAAAGAGGTTTCCTCGCTATGCAAATGTCCTCCATCATTAATGTCTCTTTAATAAAAACTCTTCTCAAGGCCGCTTTACTTTCAAAGGAAGCTGGAGTCATTCACTGCAAAGGCCATCAAAGGGCCTCAGACCCCACTGCTCAAGGCAACAATTATGCTGATAAGACAGCTAATGAAGCAGCCATTATTCCTACTTCTGTCCTCACGGCCAGTTTTTCTCCTTCTCATCAGTCACTTCTACTTACTCTCCCGCTGAAGTTTCCACCTATCAATCCATCCCCACTCAAGGCAAATAGTTCTTGGACCAAGGAAAATTCCTCCTTCCAGCCTCACAGGCTCATTCCATTCTATTGTCCTTTCATAACCTGTTCCATGTGGGTTACAAGCCACTAGCCCGCCTCTTAGAACCTCTCATTTCCTTTAAGACATTTGTCCTGCATTTCACTCCATCCTTGGCTACCTTCCCCTTGTTCTTTGGACTCTCCTCCCAGCCCCCCTTCTTGTTTACTTATACCCAACCCCTGAATAACAATGGAAGGTTTCTTGTAGACACTATGTTCTCATAACTTTCTCTACATACTATAAAAATTGAACCTTCTCCTCTGCCCAGTTGCCCCATCAATCCCCATTACAACCTCTAACTGCTGCTGCCCTCACTGGATCCCTAGGAGTCTGGGTGCAAGACACCTCTTTTGGTGCTCCCTCTCATCTTTTCACTTTACATTTCCAGTTTTGCCTTACACAAGGTCTCTTGGAAGGAGGAAGCTCTGTAGATCCTCCACCTATGTGTGTCCACCTGCTGGTTGGACAGGCACATGTACATTAGTTTTCCTTACCCCCAAAAATCAATTTGCAAATGGGACTGAACAGCTTCCTGTTCCCCTCATGTCACCAACACTTCACTACTATTTTGTTTTGTTTTGTTTATTGTTAATATAAGAAGACAGGAATAGGCCTTGACTTACTGCTGAAAAAGGAGGACTCTGCATATTTCTAAATGAAGAGTGTTGTTTTTACCTAAATCAATCTGGCCTGGTATATGACAACATAAAATACTCAAGGATAGAGCCCAAAAGCTTGCCAACCAAGCAAATAATTACACTGAACTCCCTTGGGCACTCTCTGATTGGATGTCCTGGGCCCTCCCAATTCTTAGTCCTTTATACCTGTTTTTCTCCTTCTTGTTAGATATGAGTTCTAAATTTCTTTTCAAAGAATTAATATGTCAGTAAGTTCAATTCTTTGCCTTCTACTTTTAAACTTAACTTCCTTGTAAAGCAACCTTTTTTGATTGCTTACTCCACCCTGACTCATTCCGATTCCCTATGCCACCCTGACTCATTCCGATCACCTGCTCCACCCTGACTCATTCAGATTACCTGCTACCTGCTCTGCCCTGACTCCCGCCAAAGCACTCACCCCATCACTGTCTTTAAATTAGCCAATCGGAATTAGTTCAGCCTGTGCAGTCTAACCCCAGCCAATAGGGGAACGACACAGCAGCAGGGGCCAGGTGCGTCAGGGATAAGAATCCCTTCCCCTCCCTTGTCCAAGTGTGCACTCACCATTGCTTCATCTGTAAGGGCTCACCCTTCTACAGAAGTAACTTGCCTTGCTGAGAATTAAAAAGAAAATTTTATATTTGAGTGCTATTCCTTTTGCAGCACCAAAACTATATATACAACATTCTCTTATTTGGACCTTGTGTCTTCCATTTAGTTTCTCAATTCATTCAAAACCACATCCAGGCCATCACCAATCATTCTATATCACAAATCCTCCTTCTAATAACCCCACAATATCACCCCTTACCACAAAATCTTTCTTCAGTTTAATCTTTCCCACTCTAGGTTCCCACGCCGCCCCTAATCCCGCTCGAAGTGGCCCTGAGAAACATCGCCCATTATCTCTCCATACCACCCCCCAAAATGTTCACTGCCCCAACACTTCACCACTATTTTGTTTTGTTTTTCTTATTAATATAAGAAGACAGGAATGTCAGGCCTCTGAACCCAAGATAAGCCATCATAACCCCTATGGCCTGCACGTATACATCCAGATGGCCTGGAGCAACTGAGGAACCACAAAAGATGACATTCCACCATTGTGATTTGTTCCTGCCTGACCCCAACTAATCAATCGACCCTGTGACATTTCCCTCCCCACCTCCCACCCGCCCCAATGAGTCTCATGATCTCCCCACTCTGTACCTTGTGACCTCCGCCCCTGCCAGCAAGAGATAACCACCTTTAACTGTAATTTTCCGTTACCTACCCAAATCCCATAAAACTGCTCCACCCTTATCTCCCTTTGCTGACTCTCTTTTCGGACTCAGTCCATTTGCACCCAACTGAAATAAACAGCCTTGTTGCTCATACAAAGCCTCTTGGTGGACTCTCTTCACATGGACGCGTGTGACAGGACTCTGTTCTGAGCTGCTCACTGGGGGCAGGTTGCCTTCTGCTCAGGAGGCATTTGTGCAGCACTGCAGTTTATAAGGTGCCTTCACATCCAACATTTCACTGTTCCTCCTCCTTTAGGGTGAATATTTATAACCCTCATTTTGCATAAAATAAATGAGATTCAGGCATCCCAAGTGACCAGCCCAAGGATCTGCAGTCATTAAGGAGCAGAGCTAGGACTAAATGATGGTCTGGCCCCCGAGCCCAGAGCTCCTCCTCACAGAATATCTGGCCAAGTATAAACCGGGTAAATATCCCTATTTAATGTGAATATTTAAAATTGGACCACTCTTTTGGAAGCTCATAAGCACAGTATGTGTTTGTCCTGATACCAATTTTAATTTAGTAATTTTGGAAAGGGCATTTCAGGCAGAGGGGATAAGCCGAGTGTGTGTGGAGTTACAAGCAGTTTACGTATCTGGAGCATGAAATGGGAGTCAGGCAGGGGTGGGAGAGGAAGCTCGAGGGTGGGCGGTAGCCAAGGGTTTACATATCCTGAGAAGAGCTTGGATTTTACACACTTGGGAGGAGACGAGAAGTGACTATTACTTTTAAGCAAGGAATAATATGACATAGCTGCATTTTACAAAGGTCACTGGGGTAGCTGTGAGGACAATGGATGGAAAGTGCCAAGCACAGAGGCAGAAGGACCTGCTAGGTGGCTGTGCATGGGTCAGGGAGCCATGGGGAGAAAGTGGGGTTCGAGGGAAGGGAGGGAAGGAATCCTGGCTCAAGGTCCCTGCCTACCAGAGAGACCACGGGAAAGACAGATTTATGTACATGTACATCTACACCTAGTCTTACAGTGCTAATTAGCAGATGAAGCATTGTTTTCTAGTTTAATTTTTTTATTGAAAAAAATGTTGAGATAATGAACATACAACAAAATGCATAGGTATTAAGTGTGCAGCCCAATGGGTTTTGACAATTGTGTAACCTGTGTAGCCACCAGGACGTGATACATTAAAGTGCTTTTGGCTGACAGCTAACTCCAGGTAGGGACACTATGAGAAGGGAACAACTTTTTCTCTCTCTTTTTCTGCCATGTACCTAAGGCCCGTTGCTATGGAACAATGCCAGCATTACACCTTCTGATATCTTCATCTTCTCCAATCTCTGGCGTGACCCTGGAGAAATTATGAAAGAAGAAAGGGCAGGAATAAAGATGGACTGAGCACCAGTGTGAACTGTACGCCAGTGATTATGAGTACCAAGGCCATAACCTCCCAGCCTCATAGCCAGACAATGACATGGGAACAAATGGCTTCATTTTGTGGGTGGAGAACTTGAGCCTCAGAGGTCATATGTATTGTCAGGCAAAGCCAAAAAAGTGACTTACTGACCACCAAGAATGAACAGCTAGAGCTCAAACTACAATGGACGTTTCTTAGAAACTCCTAATTCCAAATGTGTTCACTCCAGACAAGGATCTTGGACATAGCGACAAAGTAGCATTGGCCACATCCAATGAGAACAGCCATCAGGACAGAGGCCAGCCTTGTAGCTGGAGCTTGGTGAGGTCAACATAGGTCAGAGGGAGAGGCCAGCACACAGCTCTCTCAGGAACACCACTGGGCTATGGGAGGATCGAGAGACAGATGGTGCCTCCACAAGAGGCGTGGATCCAGGACTCTGGAGGGCCTGGGGCTCCCCAAGTGAGGGTCCTTGGGTGCAAGACTGGGGTAACACTGATGCACCTCTCGGCTGTAGCCACCACTGAAACATGCTTTGGGAGCAGATGTTTGAAGCCACAGGAATGTGATCTGTGCCATTGTAGGCATGATGTGTCAAAAATGTGGTTTGAAAGGCCCATATTTCTTGAAAGCCCTGTGAGATGGTTCAGTAGAGATGCAGGGTCATCTTCACTTGAGTTATACCAAAGTGCTCAGAGTTTCTGTTTGGTTTTTTTATTTTGATGACAAACTTGCTGTTTTAAAAATGCCACAGAATGGCCAGGCACAGTGGCTCATGCCTGTAATCCAAGCACTCTGGGAGGCCAAGGCAGGCAGATCACAAGGTCAGGAGTTCAAGACCAGCCTGGCCAACATGGCAAAACCCTGTCTCTACTAAAAATACAAAAATTAGCTGGGCATGGTGGCAGACATCTGTAGTCCCAGCTACTGGGGAGGCTGAGGCAGGAGTATTGCTTGAACCCAGGAGGCGGATGTTGCAGTGAGCTGAGATTGCGCCACTGCACTCCAGCCTGAGCAACAGAGTGAGACGCCATATCAAAAAAAAAAAAAAGCCACAGAACAAATAAAACTGTGTTATGCTTCATGCTTTTTGGTGGCTCACTTCATGTTCTTTTGACAGTTCCAGTATGTTTCTATTGAAAAATTGTGTTTGGCTCACTGCTGGAACTCACCAAGGGCCTGCTGGACGGGCAAGAAAAACCCAGGGCAGGGGCCAGGTGGGCTCCTGGGAAGGCAGTGGACCTGAAGGTTTCATTTGACTCTGCAGCGGGTTTCTGTGCCGGATGACATTCTTTCAGTAAGGCTGGCAGCAAATTGGACTTCACTATGGTGATGATAGCTGTTCAGAGGTTTGGGTACCTTGCAAGGAAATCCTATAAAGTTCTAATAATATTATGAGAATGCTCACAATATATTGTCAAGTTAAAAAAAAAAGTAAGTTACAATACAGCATTGCAGTTAGATCCACTATTGGAAGAAAGAGTATATAGTCACCTTTGTATACAGAAAAAAAAGGCTAAGGAAGGCCAGATGTGGTGGCTCACGCCTGTAATCCCAGCACTGTGGAAAGCCAAGGTGGGCAGATCACTTGAGTCCAGGAGCTCGAGACCAGCCTGGGCAACACAGCCAAATCCTGTCTCTACAAAAAATATAAAAAATCACCTGTAGTTGCAGCTGCTCGTGAGGCTGAGGTGGGAGGATCATTTGAGTTCAGGGGGTGGAGGTTGCAATGAGTCAAGATTGTGCCACTGCATTTCAGCCTGGGTGACAGCAAGACCCTGTCTCAAAAAAGAAAAGGCTAGAGAAACATGATATTACTTAGGTTTTAAGGCTGTCATGAACTAACAGAGACTCACTGAAATTCCTCAAGAGTGGAGAGGCTCATTGAGGGGAAACACCTGCACAATGATAAGGAAAAGCCACGAATAGTCAGGACTGAAGATTACTCTGGAATCAAGGCAGGTCTAGAGGCCTCAGAAGGAGCCTGTGTGATGGCTTTGCTCTGCTCTGTGGCTGACCAGCTTCCTCACCTTTCTGGATTGTTTCTCTTGCTCACAGCTTCTACTTAGATTTTCTTCCCTTCACAATTTTGGCCTGCACAGGACCTGGCAGGGCCACCCTGGCCCTCCTAGTACAACTGGAATCTTTCAGCTGAGGTCCTGCTTCTGGTCTTGTCATTCTCCCAGGGGCTTCTGGTTCCAACACCCACAAGGGAATATCCATGGCCCACCTGTGTTTGTGCCCAGCCTCATGAACAGCCCAGGCTATGGGACTGTCTTGGGATACCTGTGCTCCCAGCCCAATTAGCCAGGCAGTGTGGGTTACTTGGTGTTAGCCTGGCAGTGCCGGTGGCCTGGACATGGGAGTGGGGCCCCTTAAAAGAAAGAGCTGGCAGTGTCCCCACCATAAGTAATAAAGATAAGAAACACAACGAAAACCTGAATGGTAGAAGAGGATGCAGTTCCACGCTGGTGAACAGGGGCGCCCCACCTTGTGCAGCCCGAGGCTGTCTGTGCCTGGCCCAGAGCAGAGCCTGCCCCGCCTGCCAGGCCTGCCTGCTCACTGCTCCTGGTTCCCAGCAGAAATATCTGGATTTGCCAAATGATTAAATCATGGGTGGTTGTTTTTCAGTCCATCATACAGACCCTTATCATGGGGAGAATCAAGCATTAAATGAAAATAGTTTTTTCCTTTCCCCACCTTCAGTAGAAGTTTTTCTTTTTATCTGGAAATCAAAGAGAGGGCCGGGTACAGTGGCTCTTGCCTGTAATCCTAGCACTTTGGGAGGCCAAAGCGGGTGGATTGCCTGAGCTCAGGAGTTCAAGACCAGCCTAGGCAATAATGCAAACCCTGTCTCTAATAAAAATATTTAAAAATCAGCCAGGCATGGTGGCAGACGCCGGTAATCCCAGCTATTTTGGAGGTTGAGGCATTTGAATTGCTTGAACCTGGGAGGTGGAGGTTGCAGTGAGTCGAGATCAGGCCAGGGCAGTCCAGCTGCTTGGGCGACAGAGCGAGACTCTGTCTCTTAAAAAAGGGAAAAAAGGAAAAAAAAAAAAGAGCAATCAAAGAGAGGAGGAGGAGAGTCTCTGATAAAGGCACGGACATCAGGAGCTCCATGGGGTGCGAAGGGCCCTCCTTCACGGACACTCCTCCATCTGCCAGAGAAGGCAGCAGCTCTGCTGTCTGAATTTTGTCTTCAGAATTGCTGAACACCTGCACTGCTTGAATTTCATTCAAGATTCCTAGTCAGTAGGAATGTGTTCTTTCAAGAGGTCAGATTAATTTCTGGAGCCTCAGAGCGTGAACACGCCTGGCACCCTGCCACTGGCCCCAGGGGTGGCCGGCGTGGCGGTGCTCTGGGCGCTGTTGGAATGAGCTCTTTTGTCCTACAGTCTGTGCTTGTGTAGAATGGGTCCTCAGAGGCAATCTGGTATGTCTGTTCAGAATAGTCACAAAACGGAGAGTTGTAAACACTCTGATAGACAAGTTCGCTTTAATAAATTAACAGTCACCTTTAGATGATTACATGGCTAAGGCTCCCTCCTCCTCATCCGGGAGTGCTGGCCCTGCCAAACCTATCGGACTCTGTATAGCTGGCAACTGCAAGGAAATTCCAAGTCGGGAATGTAATGGAGGCCCTGTGATGGGGGCAGGAGGCACGGGGGACAGAGGAAAGCCATGCAGAGAAGCCGTTTCACACATTAGAAACGTGGCAACAGATGAGAGCCGTTTGTTAGTGTGTTTTATGTGATTAAAATACACTCTTCAAAACTATTCTCATGTAATTTAAAAACCAAGGCTTGGAGTTCCTTGCTGGTATTCTTACTGGTTCTGATTAGTTTAAGGGAGCTGGAATGCAGCTGTTTGAATGCTATGAACTGAATTTGCACTCTTGAACTCCTCTATAAGGAAAAAGAAGGAAATTTCATGGTAGGAGAAGGCACAAACTATAGGATTATCTGTCCTGAAATTTTCCTGCTCCAACCTAAGCCCCTCTGTGGAAACTATTTGGTAGAGTTTGAGAACAGAATCTGTCGTTGTCCATCCAAAACATGATAGATCAGCAGCAGTGGGAGTTTCCAGTTAGGGCAACAGCGTTTTGTTCCCACAGCGTGCTAACATTTTCATCAGAAACTGAGTATCTAGACCTTCATATGAACCCATTTTCTGGGCACTGATAACCAAAGTGCTGCAAAATTGTGAGGACCTTTCTTTCAGAAGTCTCCTCCTCTTTTTTTTTTTTTTTTTTCTATTTTTTTTCTGAGACAGTCTCACTCTTTTGCCCAGGCTGGAGTGCAGTGACGTGATCTTGACTCACTGCAACCTCCACCTCCCAGGTTCAAGTGATTCTCAAGCCTCAGCCTCCCGAGTAGCTGGGACTACAGGTCCCAGAGCCACCATGCCCCGCTAATTTTTGTATTTTTAGTAAAGACGGGGCTTTGCCATGTTGGCCAGGCTGGGCTCAAACTCCTGGCCTCAAGTGATCCATCCGCCTCAGCCTCCCAAAGTGCTGGCATTACAGGTTTGAGCCACTGCGCCCAGCCAAGAAGTCTCTTCCTCTTTGAAGGGCCTCCCCAGCAGCATTAGGGGCCTCTCCTTCCAGCTCCCATGGAACCCCTATCCTGGCCCTTCACACAGCTGTCCTGGTTTTTAATGTCATTCTCTCCCATTTAACCTGATTTTTTTAGGAAAAAAGTTTTAAGATAAAAGTGTCTTTTTAGTTTAAATGTTTACTTTTTGAAAAGGTAGTACATTCTCATGGCTCAAAACTCAAAGCTACAGGCCTGGTGCAGTGGCTCACACCTGTAATCCCAGCACTTTGGGAGGCCGAGGCGGGAGGATCACTTTAGGTCAGGGGTTTGAGAACAGCTTGGCCCACATGGTGAAACCCCGTCTCTACTAAAAATACAAAAATTAGCTGGGCGTGGTGGCATGTGCCTCTAATCCCAGCTACCGGGGAGGCTGAGGCAGGAGAATCACGTGAATCCAGGAGGTGGAGGCTGCAGTGAGCCAAGATTGCGCCACTGCACTCCAGCCTAGGTGACAAAATGAGACTCCATCTCAAAAAAATAAAAATCAAAGCTACAAAAGGGTGCACTGTGTAAAGTCTCTTCCTACGCATGCCTGTTTCTCAGCTCCCGTTTTCCCTCCCTGGAGGCAGCCAGTGTTTTTATTTTCTTGTGAATTCTTCCAGGTATCTTATTTGCATACAAGCAAATATGTACACAATTTTTTCTCTTTTTCTTGTTTTAAACAAATGCCAGACTATATGTGTACATACTTCTGTACCTTGTTTTTTTCTGTTAACAATATTTCTTAAGAGATAATTTCTATCCATCCATCATATTCCATTATAAGAATGTATATAATTTTATTAGCTACCATGGTTGGACATTTAGGTCCAAAATTTTGCCATGGCCGGACATGGTGCCTCATGCCTGTAATCCTAGTACTTCGGGAGGCCAACGCAGGTGGATCACCTGAGGTCAGGCATTTGAGACCAGTATGGCCAACATGGTGAAACCCCATCTCTGCTAAAAACACAAAAAAAATTTAGCCAGGCATGGTGGCACGTGCTTGTAATCCCAGCTACTCAGGAGGCTGAGGCAGGAGAATCGCTTGAACCCAGGAGGTGGAGGTTGCAGTGAGCCAAGATCACGCCACTGCACTCTAGCATAAGTGACAAGAGTGAAACTCTGTCTCAAAAATAAAGAAAGAAAGAAAAAAGAAAAAAGAAACAACAACAACAACGAAATTTTGCCATGACGATGCCACAATGGATCATTTCTCACAGTGTAAGATGATTCTACAGGATCAGCTCCTAGACTTGAAACCGCTGGGTCAACGCGTATATGCCAAGGCACCCCTCTCCCCACAGAGGCTGTGGAAAGTTACATTCCCATAAACAGTGGGACCGCTTCCCACAACCTCCCCTAGGTTAGGCGTTATTTGATGATTGTCAATTTGACAGATGAGAAATGTTGATCACTGTCAATTTGATAGATGAAAAATGGCATCTCCATCTTTTTATTCTGTGTCCCTGTTCTAATTTGCAGTTCTCACATTTTGAGAAAGGTGGAGAATCTTATGTGTTTAATGGCCATTGGCATTTCCTGGTCTGTGACTAGTCTATCTATTTTTATAAATCAGGTTGTTCTTTATCTTACTGACTTATCAAGAATATATTGTACAATTTCTCATTTGTCATTTTCATTGTTTAGGGTGTGTTTTTCATTCCCAAATTAAAATTTTAGTTTTATAGTAAAATGTATCAATCCTCTCTAAAAGCCAATAAATGCTTTTAGATTTTTTAAAATTGTAATTCAAAAGGCCTTTCCCACATAGAGACTAAAAAAGTTTTCTCTTTTTTGGGTATTTTGTGGTTTAGTTTTTTGCATTGAAATGTTTGATTGATATTGAGATTTATGTTGGTACAAGGTGTGAGGTATGATTCCAGCTTCATTGTCTTTCAGGTGGTTACCCAGTCATTCCCACATTTATTTAATTACAGTTCCCACTGGTGTGCAGGACCACTTTATCTTATACCTCATGCTTTATGCATTTGGAACTATTTCTATACTTATCTCTACCATAAAAATGTCTGTTCATATTAATTACTATAGCATTTATAACATGTTTTAATATCCCTCACCTGATTTTAAATGCATTTTGTAAGCAATTTATTATTGGTGTTCTTCTGGATGCAACAACAGAAATAGATTCTTAAGCAAGAAAGCACATTTAATTGGAAGATTTTTGTGGGAAGTCTAAGAATCAAATTGGGGAGGACAAAGAGAAGATCAGCTCCAGAGAATCTGTTGGTAGAACTCTTCTCCAGAATGGTGTCATTAAGTGACTGGCCTCCTGGGTAACTGTCTTCAAGTTACACATTCTCGAGACAGAGATGAGCTGTCTTGGCTTAGGTCAAGTGAATGTCTTGATCCCAGCTGTGCTGGGATGCAGGGTTGTTACAGCATAGAAGAGGCCACTGAGAGGTCATAGTGAGAAGGAAGTTGCTCCAGCTAATGTCTACTACACACTTGGAATCTTGCCACCCTTCTTCTCTGAATTCCTGACATTGCTAATATATAATGTATTTATATTGAAAAGTAAATGTTCAGATGTCCCTAGTATTTCAGCAGACTAGATTGCCTGGGAAAGTTCCAGATAAAAAAATAATAAGAAATGCCGACAAAATATAACCAAATATATATATTTTTTTGAGATAGGGTCTTGCTCTATTGCCCAGGATGGAGTGCAGTGGCATCATCATAGCTCACTACAGCCTCAAATACCTGGAATCAAGCAATCCTCCCACCTTAACCTCCTGAATAGCTAGGACTACAAGGCATGTGCAACCACACCTGGCTAATTTTATTTTTTCTAGAGATGATGTCTCACTATGTTGTCCAGACTGGTCTTAAACTCATGGACTCAATTGATCCTCATGCCTCACTCTCCCAAAGGGCTGGGACTACAGGCATGGCATGAGCCATCTCACCCAGCCCCAAACCTTTTTTTTTTTCTTTTAATATGCAGTTGGGCTTGTAAATAATTAAGGAAATTCCCCAGATTAAGAAAAGAAAGAAGTCTGATGCTGAAGCTGAAAGTCAGAATGACACTGTTACGAGGCGTTGGCCTGTGGAAGGTAGAGATTGTTGTTTAGAGGCCTTCTCTCACCTCCCATGGAGCTGAGATTCTTGATAAAAGGGTGGACTGGAAAAAATTCTCTTTCTGACAATAATAGAACAAATGACAAACAACTGTGTTGGTATGGCTCTGGATAGAGCAAATGTTTCCCTGAAAGTTCACGATCATGAAAGTTCATGCCTTCATGCTATTCTGGAGTTCAAAAATGTATCCTACCAATTTATACTGACTCCTGTAAACTGAGAAATTAACATCAAGGGTTTCTGGGCTGGTAACCCCCTGAAACAGCTGTAGAAGCAAATAAAAATCCTCCTAAAAACTATATATCCACAGCTCAAGTCTCCTAGAAATTACCCAGACAAAGCCCCACTGAGCACAAGCTTACACTCCAAAAGTATAAAACACGTGGAAAGAGGCCACCATACGTACACTAGAAATTAAAACTTTAGCCATTGGAGTCAAAGACATCAGAATGCTACTCTGCCAAAGTCTTTAGCTACTATAAAATCATCTCTGGGTATCATTACTGCCTTAGTGACTACCGATTTCATTTGACCAGCAACTCATAAACACACATTTATCGTGCTGAGAGAGCCTCAGAATAAAATTGCCCCGCTGATAAAACATTTAGAAATGCCCACAGTTTCCCGTCAGTAATTGTCTGTACCCCACAACCAATTTAGGCACAGTCTACCAATTTATGCTTTACCCCTCAAATACCAATAGTAATGGATTTTAAAAGTTTAATTATCAACACCCTAATTGATTCTCTCAAAAACAACAACAACAACAAAAACCCAAACTGGAAGAATCTACTAGCAGTATCCAGAAGAAAATCTCTGCAAAAATCCAGTAGAAAAATCCACTTAAATAAGGGGCAAATTCAAATTAGTTAAGAAAACACAGAACATAATCTTGGACTCTATCCAAAGGCAGTGAATACATGATTAGACTCACATCAAATAGAAGGAACATTAAACACAATTTCTTGTATTCTATGCTGAGAACTTAAAAATCAGTAATCCTTTTTCATAGGTTCCCTGAATCTCAAGTATTGGACCTGATAGAGTTCTTACATTTTTGGTTGCCCATTTTTAGTACCTAGTATGTAACTGGATAAAGGAAATAAAAAACTGGCCAGGCGCGGTGGCTCACGCCTGTAATTCCAGCACTTTGGGAGGCAAAGGCAGGCGGAGCACCTGAGGTCAGGAGTTCGAGACCAGCCTGGCCAACATGGCAAAACCCCATCTCTACTAAAAATACAAAATTAGCTGGGCACGGTGGCACATGCCTGTAATCCCAGCTACTCAGGAGGCTGAGGCTTGAGAATCACTTGAACCTGGGAGTCGGAGGTTGCGGTGAGCCGAGATCGCGCCTTTGTACTCCAGCCTGGGCAACAAGAGTGAAACTCCGTCACAAACAAACAAACAAACAAAACTATAGAAAATTATTATTGCATTACTCATTTATGAATTATGAATAGCTTGGAATAATAGTACAACATGTAGCAATTGAGGAATAAATCATTGTTTATGGATGATATTTATCATGCCCTTTATTAAAACTCAAAATACATTTTTTATCCTAAGAAAATATGTTACATACTTGAGATTCGAACTGGCCTTCATAGATGTTCTTTTCATATTTTAGCTAAAAGAATACTTCTTCTTTTTTTGTCTTTTTTTTTTGAGACATGGTCTAACTCTGTCCCCCAGGCTGGTGTGCAGTGACATGATCACTGCTCACTGCAGCCTCAACTGCCCAGGCTCAAGTGATCCTCCTGCCTCAGCCTCCTAAGTAACTGGGACTACAGATGTGCACCACCACATCCAGTTAATCTTTTACTTTTTGTAGAGGCGTAGTCCTACTATGTTGCCCAGGCTGGTCATAAACTCTTGGGCTCAAGTGATCCTCCTGCCTCAACCTCCCAAAGTGCTGGGATTATAAGCATGAGCCACTAAACCTGACCAGGACTACACCTTGACTGATTTACCAGATTACATTAGGAAGAATTTTTAACATGTCAGACCAGAAAAAAATTGTGAGGCCTCAAATAAACAATATTTAAATATTTCTAACACGTGGATTTCCAGTTGTTCTAGTTTGTGTGGAAGTGGGTTTCTAAAGAGAACACTTAATAAAGCTGAAACTTTTTCTGAAGCATATCTAGTGAAGACCTTTAGCTTTTACTTGTGCTTTATCCTAAGCCCTTTTTCTGCTAATCTCTGTATTTCTTTTGGGGATCCACTGCTCCCCCACTCTGTCCCCATGACTTGGGAGGATTGACTTCCAGTCTGGGCCAGTGGGAGTCTTATCTGGGACTCCTAGCTATCTGAATAGTGATGATCTCTTCCTGCTGAGATTGACATGTGAGCCTGGTGTAGTGGAGGGCTCCCTGAGATTATGGCCATGCAGAGTACCAAAGAGCTGCAAGCAAGAGACCATTTCCTGCACTTGGACTTGCCTAAAGCCATGGTATCCCGAGGCTTTCAGGTATCTGAGCCTTCTCCCCAGTATTTTCTTTTTTTTTTTTTTCACCTGAGCTAGTTTAAATTTGATTTCTGTCATTTGTAACCAAACCTCCCCTATGAGAATACTAAAGGGAGTTCTTTAGGCTGAAATAAAAGGACACTAGATGGTAACCTGAATCCACATGAATAAGTAAAGAGCACTCATAAAGGTAGCTAATGAGATAAACATAAAAGACAGTATCAATATATTTTTTGTTTGTAACTCTTTTTTCCCCACCTATCTGATTTGAAAGACAACTGCATAAAGCAGTAATTATAAGTCTATGTGATGGGCACACAAAGCATAAAGATGTAACTTGTAAGACAATAACATCCCAAAGGAGGAGAGAGGAAATGGAGATACATAGAAACAAAGTTCTTGCATACAACTGAAATTAAATGGTAGTAATCAAAACTAGATTGTTATAACTTAAGATGTTAATCATAATCCCCAGGGCAACTGCTCAGAAAATAACTTATAAGAACACATAGTAAAAGAAATGACAAGAGAATTAAAATGGTACATGACAAAATGTCTTTAATGTAAAGAAGAAAGGGGCAGTAAAGGAGAAATAGAAAAAAAAGACAAAAGACAAATAGCAAACACAAAGCAAAATAGCAGATATAAATCCTTCCTTATCAATAATTACATTAAAAGTAATGGATTAAAATTTCTGTAATTAAAAGGCAGAGATTGGTAGCATGGATTAGAAAACATGATCCAACCATATGGTGCCCACAAGAGATACACTTTAGAGTCAAAGATATAAATAGGTTAAAAGTAAGAAGATATAAAAAGACATACCATGCAAAGAGTAAACAAAAGAGAGCTGAAGTGGTTATACTAATATCAAACAAAATAGTTTTTAAGGTACTAATTGCTACTAGAGACAAAGATATTTTATAATTATAAAAGGGTCATTCATCAAGAAGATTTAAGAATTATATACATATATGCACCTAACAAGAGCTCCAGAATATATTAAGCAAAAACTGACGTAATTGAAGGGAGAAATAGACAATACAACAATAATAGTTGGAAACTGCAATACCCAATTGTCAATAATGTGTAGAACGACCAGACAGGAGATCAATAAGATAATAAGTGACCAAATGTGTTAACATGGTATAAGTCCTGTTATACCACGTTACCAGATCTGTGCTGTCTACTAGCCACACGTGGCTACTGAGCACTTGAAATGTAGCTAGTCCACATTTGGATGTGCTGTTAAACATACACTAGATTTCAAATAATACCAAAACAAGAGAATGAAAAATGTGCCATTGGTAATTTTTATATAAGTTATATGTTAAACTGCTAATTCGGATATATTGGGTTAAAGAAAATATATTATTCAAATTAATTCTACATGTTTCTTTTTACTTTTTTAATGTGGCTACCAGAAAATTTTAAATTACATGTATGATTCACATGTCTTGCTGTCCTGCGAGACTGCTTCAGAAACCAGAGAGAAGAGTCTGTGGTCTATGATTTTAATATGGAAAAATCTCAAGGCTGAGCCTCTTGTTCAGGGATGAGAGTCACTGCAGACTAATCAACGAAGTTTCAACAAACTGGTCCAGTTATGGATTGTATATGGTTTTTGGCTTAAAAGAAATAATTTATTCCACCTTCAAATAGCACAGAGAAACTAGAGAATATTGATCTTTTCTAGAGAAATTCAGCCAAAGAGAGAAATCTAACTGCATTAAATGAGAAATTCTATTACACAGATAAAAAGACCACTATTAACATGTGAAGTTATCCAACACATATATACATCTTCAAAACCAAGAACCTCAGAAATCGCAATTAGCTAACTTCATCTAGATCATTTTAAGTCATGCCCCTTTTGATAATCACGAAACCTCATCCTTCTTTACCTGCCACTCTGTCTAGAATCAGTGCTTTTCTGGCTGTGCCAGGGACTGCCTCTGCACTTTCAAGCTGGACATACAACGTCATTCTGGTGTGGGTATATACAGCCAAGTATCAGGCAATCACAACACGGAGTGATAAACACTATGAATGGCAAGTGTTTAGGATGCTATAGGCACCCATGCATAGTGGAGATGGCTTGGGCCAATCATTCTCCCCTTCTTCATTCTCTCCCTACTTACTAACAATCCTGAATTTTATTCAGTTGCTAATTCCTTGTCACTCTTGCAAACAGTGGTAGCCAATGAGACATAAACAATTGTTGGATGGGCTTCCTGAAGGCTGACTTGACTTGGAGGTATATAATTTTTACACTAATCTCCTTCTTCCTTCTTGGAAAGCAAATATGATGGTTGGGGCTCCAGAAGGCATCTTGAGACCATGAGACAAATTTTAGGACAGCAGAGCAAAAGGAAAGCCTGCTTCCTGGTGACAATGTAGAGCCCCCATTCCAGATCTGGTCTATGTATTTTCAGAATTCAAGTTATGTGAGAACAAACAATCTCTAGTTGTTCAAGCTACAATTACTTCAGGTCTTTATTGTTAGCCATTAAAAAATGAAGGGACCAAATAGGGGTGGAAGGGGAGACTAGGAAAGCTGGGCCTGTGGTCTGCCATGACAAACTCCTGAGAATAAAGGCCCCTGGAAATCCTCAATGGAAACAGGCTTCCATAGAAAGACCTCAAAGTTGTGGCCACTAGTTAGGCAAAGCCATCTGAGATAACTCAAATTCTGCATGGTATTATTTTAGAACAGTTGTATGATTCTTAGAACATGAAAAAAATACAAGGGTCAATTCAATTAGATTCAAAGTTCTTGAACCTGATATTCAAAACAGACTTATTTCCATATTTGAGAATTTCACCAAAGGGTACTTAGAGAAAAAGACAAAAATATGTCTTTTTTTTTTAGACGGAGTCTCACTCTATTGCCCAGGCTGGAGTGCAGTGGCACGTCTCGACTCAGTGCAACCTCTGCCTCCCAGGTTCAAGTGATTCCCTTGCCTCAGCCTCCCGAGTAGCTGGGATTACAGGCACCTGCCATCATGCCTGGCTAATTTTTGTATTTTTGTAGAGATGGGGTTTCACCATGTTGGCCAGGCTGGTCTTGAACTCCTGACCTCAAGTGATCTGCCCGCCTCGGCCTCCCAAAGTGCTGGGATTACAGGCGTGAGCCACCGTGCCCGGCTGAAAAAGACAAAAACATATCTTAAGAATCAAAGATATGCAAAATCCAATCCACTCATTGACCTGGGTGGAAAGGGCAGACTTCTCTGAAAAGTTGGGAAGACGTAGGTAATGTGTATCACTTGGAACGGAGAACAACGTCTCCCTAAACCTGATGCTCCTTCCTGGGTAGGAAATCATTTAGTGTACCATGGGTCTTTCTCTGCCTTTATATTCATTCTGCCTCTGAGAAGAGAAACAACATGACTGGCAAATTTGGGAAGAAAACTGGGCATACTCTTCGTCTTGGTAGTAAATTATCTGTAAAGAGCACGTATTTTGCCCTGCTTGTCCAGGGGCAGGCCCTTCTTGACTTATGTTTTGGGGTGTGTCTGGCTAAATGTTGGCTAAGTCTTGACCTCTAATCTGGTCTTCCTCTATTTCCAAGTTCTCTGGCACCTATTTTACTGAGGCCATAGAAACCTCTGTGACCTGTTTTGCTTAACCAGAACCTGTTTTTCAACCATGAAATGATTTGGAGGATCTGGGATAAAAGACTCAAAACTATATCATTAGTACTATTGTGTTAAGAATGGGCATATTTGAGTATTTTAGAGGATTTGGCTTATTAGAACACAACCTCACAACTCCAATTTAAAATTGGTAAGTGTGAAATTGAATGAGAGTTGATTCTGAGTTGAAATCTTCCTGTTTATGTGCAGTATTGGAAATTTCAACAGGCTCACCTCAATAGTGAGTTTATTAGCTGTTGAAGTACTCGGCAAATACTGAATGAGGGCCCTGTAAAAACGATTATTAGATATATAGTTAGGCTGCTAGAAGAAATATTTGTAAACTGTTTTTAAAAACTTACGGAAGAACTAAGTTTGATTTTGTAAATTATATACATTAAACATTAATTTTAAAAATGAACATTAGTTTCTGTGTAGTGTCTTCTGCAAATAAAATTTGCCCTCAAGGACACCAAAAAAATTCATATCATCATGCACGGTCTTCTTGCTAGGTTGCTAAAGAAGTCCCTTAGTCTCCCACAAAGCCTGCATGGGTCAGCAGTCTAAAAATGGCCTCAGCCACGTGGCTAAAGGTGTATCTGCAATACTGCAAATAGCCCAGTAGAAACCTGGACACCAGGTTGAAGTGTGGGAAGCGGAAGTGTAGGGTAATGATGAAGTTAGGATGCTGCTGAGGAATGTCCTGGGGTCAAAGGCTACACCATTGTGAGCCGCTCAGTGAAAGGCGTGAGGAACGGACGCAGAGGGACAAGTGTCTCAGATTGATGAAACCATACTTACAGGGGGAGTGACAGAGGCTCCAGGGGATGTCCACCTGGACTGCTGAGATGGGCCTAGTGGTGAGCAGGGACATGCTGCCTGGATCTGAGAGGTCTGCTGCACAGTTGACACTTACTTGTCTGAGGGCACTGAGGAGCCACTGTTTAAAGCATATGTAGGTTAAGATTCGCCATCACTCATCCACAGAAGAGCTGGTGCCCATTGAGTGTGAGACATTAGGTGCTGAGGAGCTGTGTTTAGGGCAGTGACAAACCAAAGAAACAAGGTCCCTGCCCTCAAGGGCCCCACAGTCTAAGAGGAGAATGCATGATAAACAAGTAACCGATGAATACTTTTGGAGAGGTGTCTGCTGTTAAAGAAAGCAGACAAATGGGATGGGGGAGTGGGGAGGGGCTGCTCCTTTAGAAGTGGTCAGAGGGCCAGGCACAGTGGCTCATGCCTGTAATCCCAGCATTTTGGGAGGTTGAGGCGGGTGGATCACTTGAACTCAGGAGTTTGAGACCAGCCTGGCCAACACGGCAAAACCCCGTCTCTGTCAAAAATAACAAAAAATTCGCCAGGCATTGTGGTGTGCACCTGTGAACCCAGCTACTTGTGAGGCTGAGGTGAGGAGGATCGCTGAGCCAGGGAGGCGAAGGCTGCAGTGAGCCAAAATGGTGCCACTGCACTCCAGCCTGGGTGACAGACGGAGACCCCATCTCAAAAAAAAAAAAAAAAAAAAAAAAGGGAGGTCAGAGCAAGGAGCCACAATCTGCACAGAAAGCAGGTCCAGCAGGGGAAACAACTCCTGCGACAGCCTGAGGGTGAGAGAGACGGCAGCACGAGCTTGGCCTGCTGAGGCAGGGGTCAGCAGTGATGGGAGTGGGGATAAGACATGAGACAGGAAGAGGAGATGCCAGCCGAGGCTGTGAGACAAGGAGTCTTGGGACACAAATGCAGTCCACAAACCCAGGGCTGCAACGCATTCTGTCTCATTGTTTTCTTGGAATCAAGTAAAATCCGACTCTGAGCCTCATCCCATCCAACACTGGCCAGGAGAGAGGCTCTGCCACCCATCTTGGGACTCACAGAACCCTGGTGGCAAGTCTTGGGGGCTTTGGACAATGAGGGCTGGGCTGCTAATATTTCTAAGTAGAAACCCCTGGAAAGAAGCAACTGCAGGCTCGGGTTTCCCGTGAGTCACGGGCCGAGAGCGCTGGTCTCCACGGTCAAGAGACCTGGGCCTCTGGGACCTACCTTCCTGGCCCCTCTCTCAGGCCCTCAAAGGCCTCATTCTCTCCCTTCCCCTAGCAGAACACCCCGGAGCCAGGGAGGCTTCAGGAAAACAAGAGATAGGTTCTCTGCCCTTGCTCGACTTCCTAGTGGGTAACTCATACCTTTCCGAGGCAGACGAGCGCAACGGCCTTGCTCTTTGCCTAGAACTGGGGGTGGAAGCAGTAATTACCGGTACACGTGTTCTAGAAAGATTACGCTGGCTGCAGAGGGAAGTACCTAAGTTAGACGGGCAGGAAACACATTTCTGCCATAAAGATATTTCGCCGGTGACTGTGCCTAACTTCAGGGGCTATCTTCAGCCCAGTGAGGGAAGTCCTGTCTCCCTGACTGGCGGGGCGCCTGCACTCTCCAGGCGTCATTCGGTGAGTCACAGCGCGGACTCCAGGTTTCCCAGCATTACTGGGAGGGGGCAGAATTCTTTTCCTCTTTGCATCTGCACGGAGAATTCTCATCTCAAAAGCCAAACCTTGGAGTTGTTGCTGACTCCACACTTCAAGCAGACTTTAAAATAAAAGGAGGTAGAACATACTTTTTTTTTTTTTTTTTAATTGAGACGGAGTTTCACTCTTGTGGCCCAGGCTGGAGGGCAGCGGCGCATTCTCGGCTCACTGCAACCTCCGCTTCCCGGCTTCAAGCGAGTCTCCTGCCTCAGCCTCCTGAGTAGCTGGGATTACAGGCACGTGCCACCACACCTGGCTAATTTTTGTATTTTTTAGTAGAGACGGGGTTTCACCACGTTGGCCAGGCTGGTCTCGAACTCCTAACCTCAGGTGATCTGCCCGCCTCCGCCTCCCAAAGTGTTGGGATTACAGGCGTGAGCCACTGCGCCTGGCCCACATTTACTTTTTACTGGTTAGTTAAAGCTCAAAGGTCAAAGAGCTGTAATGGCTAACACCCACCAGCTAATGGCGCTAATGGCATGTCTGCCTGGCTTACTGAGCTCAGTGCCTGCCAGGTCTGGAGCAGCCCCATGGGGCCGGATGCGCCATGTTGTCTGCAATGTCTCCTGGAGCCTTGGGCTTGGATGCCTCCCCTTCCAGCTCAGCTTCACTCTCTCTGACTGTCCACATGACTAGCTGCTGTGTGGACACCTTCAGCAAAAGCACAGCTTTCCTGGTCAAACGTTGTATCTGTCCTTGAAACTCATCCTACCTTCCGAATGCCCCAGCTCCTTTCTTAAGTCACTCAGGCTGTCCTCTTGAGTTCTTCCCCTCTCTAGATCCCCCAGGCACGAGGCTGCCAAAACATGGACTCTGAAATAAGGTGGATTTTGCCATGGCAGCACAGTTTGTGGCTCTCAATTCTAACAGTATCCTGTGGGAGAGCTGAGAAAGGTTTTTCCCTACCTTGATCCTTCTGCAACTCCTTGCAACCTTTAGATCATTCTTATAAAGTTGGTTGGCATCTGAAGGCCCACAGAGCAAGCAGAATAGTAAAGTATTCATTTAAAAGGTTCCCCCATATTGGAATAAAGCATATGAAAAAGCAGACAGCAAAATGTTCTAAGATCTGTTCTGAGAGAATCTGTAGAGACATCCTGAGAAAAGAACATTCTTTGCTGATTGTTTTTTTTGTTTGTTTGTTTTTTAAGACAGGGTCTTGCTCTGTCACCCAGGCAGAGGTGCAGTGGCACAATCAGGGCTCACTGCAGCTTCCGCCTCCCTGGGCTCAAGTGATCCTCCCACCTCAGCCTCTAGAGTAGGTGGGACTACAGGCACATAATTACTGTGTCTGGAGTTGGCTCCTGCTGGTGGGTTCGTGGTCTTGCTGACTTCAAGAATGGAGCCGCAGACCTTCTCAGTGAGTGTTACAACTCTTAAAGATGGCACGGACCCAAAGAGAGAGCAATAGCAGGGTTTATGGTGAAGAGCAAAAGGACAAAGCTTCCACAGGGTGGAAGGGGACCCGAGCTGGTTGCCGCTGTTGGCTGGGGTGGCTAGCTTTTATTCCCTTATTGGCCCCTCCCCACCATGTTCTGTTTCTGTCCTATCAGAGTGCCCTTTTTTCAATCCTCTCTGCGATTGGCTACTTTTAGGATCCTGCTGATTGGTGTGTTTTACAGAGCACTGATTGGTGCATTTTACAACCCTCTTGCTAGCTACAGAGCGCTGATTGGTGTGTTTTACAGAGCACTGATTGGTGCATTTTACAATGCTCTTGCTAGCTTCAGAGCACTGATTGGTGCATTTTACAATCCTCTTGTAAGACAGAAAAGTTCTCCAAGTCCCCACTCGAAACAAGAAGTCCAGGTGGCTTCACCTCTCATCAACATGCCCGGATAATTTTTTTATTTTTGTAAAGACGAGGTTTCACCATGTTGCCCAGGCTGGTCTTGAACTCCTGAGATCAAGTGATTTGCCCACCTCAGCCTCCCAAAGTGACACCGCACCCGGCCCGCTGATCACTTAAACACTATCTTCTTTAGACAGAATGTCAAATTTATGTCTATGCTGAAGTTAACAAAAAATATGACTCACTCATTTCAATTTTTTATTAAAATACTTTTTTGTTAATAGGGACAACCAAAGAAAAATACACAATTTTATATGTTGTAGATCATATAAAATACAATAAACATAAACTCTTGGGAATGCAGAATAGATTTCAAAATCTTAAAAGAAGCTTTCATAAAAATAAACTTTAGAAATGTGGCTTATATTTACTGCATTTTTTCAGAAAACTTTCTTTTCTCCATTTTAATGCTACCCTGATTATAAATAATGGTCCAAATTTCTAACATCTTATCAATTTTGCTTTCTGGAATTTTAGAAATCACATGTCTAAATGAAGACCTCTTTTTTATACCACCCTACATAAACACAGAATAGATTTTATTTAAATTACCATTTGATTTGGCACCACTATTGTAAATACAATTTTAGTAATAATTAAATGTTATGGGGGAAAAACTAACAGAAAAACCTGCTAACAAGCACAAGTCTTACTATAAGAAAGGATCTTTTATATATGGCTTTTATGATACCCACTGATTTAAAACCTAGTGCTTTAAAAATCTGGTTATAAAAAAAGTAATAACCTAATTTTTTATTAAAAAAGAAAAAAGAATTTTTACCAAAACTTCAATATAGAAGTGAATGTGCTTAGAATGGTAATAGAGGATCTAACTTTTAACCAGGCTATCAACTTCTGGAATATTTACTTTCAATTTGGAAAAATATTGTTATTCAGAACCTGAAATACATTATAAAACTGGAAATGGAATCTTTTAGGTGAATTCTTTCTTTCAAACCCTCATAAATCAGAAAAAATAAGCCAAATTTGAAGGCAAAAGATCTTTACATTTAGGGATAGTTTCTAATGAAAGAAATCAAGATAAGAAAAATCAATTAAAACAATGTGGTTTAAGAAATTATCCTCCTAATGTAGGGGGTGGGAAACAGATATTACATTTTAAAATTTAATGAAGACCTAAAAAATGATAAATGCAGTTTTAAAATATTTGTTGTCATCATTAAGAAAACATTAGGCATGTTGCCAACACACACACAAACATCACTCCACTCACAGTAGGAAATGACTGAAAAACAGCAGAGTTGAACTGCAGCAGGAGACTGCAGATTCCTTTCAGCTTTCTGTCTAAAGTTCCAGAATACTTTCAGCTCTACAGATGCTCATGAAGAAGGGGAGCTAAATGTTTTCAAGGCACTTTTAAATGAGGCATTCTAGGTAAAAGGAAGAAAAGGAGACCCTAATGTTTCCCTACCAAAAAATATATCCATGAGCTAAATCTCAACTTTTTAAAAGGCTAAAATATCTTGAATATTCATTAGAGTTATTTGAAAGAGCAGAAAAGGTATTAAGACCTTAATTTATAACAGTTGATCATAATATTACAAATGATCTTTTAACTAACTACTATTCAGATCATGAATAATACAAAATGTGTCCAAGAGCATTATCTATTTTTATATACTAAAATATGTAGACGTATAAAGAGGTATTCCTAAAAAGTTGCTTGTAGTTCAAATATGCACTAGAGCAATTAGTAATTTTGTAAAATTGAGTCTGTAATATAAATATTTATGTTTTAGATTCATGCTTTAAGATTGAGATTTTATTACTATGAAGGGCACATAGTATCTTTATTGAAAGAAACATTTATTGAAACATTATATAAAATGTTGACTAAATTCTGTAGTGTATTTGGAGTGAACATCATCTTGAATAGAGATTCTAAAATTTCATAATCTTAACCTCCGACGATATGATTATACTTGTTTAAAAAGAACATTATATCCAGATATAAACTTAACAAATGAAATATTACAAAATATGAACATAGATAGTTTTGTTTCCCATAATAATTCCCAGCATTTTCACCCTGTCCTGTTCATACGAGTCAATTCTCTTCTTCAATTCCTGTCCCATCAGCCGTCTGCTGAAAAACACTGCTTTGTCTTGGCTAAGGCTGCACAAGTTCAGTCTCGCACTGGCTCAGCCTCCCCTTTCAGCAACACCATTTCCCTACCAGGGTACAAGCTGTTTCCTGGTGCTCTAGGTGGAGTCTGATTTGGCATTCGTTCCCCATCCCTAGTGCTCTTTAAGCTGGTACCTGAAGTCACAGAAACGCTTTGCTTGCTAATTATTTACACCAGCAGTGCATTTAAAGCAATTTCATAGGTACACCCTGAAAATCTTGGTAAAGATTCTTCATCACTGCCTATGTCAGCACTTTGGGCAGGGGAAATGGAAGAGAATAGGAAACTTTCTCTAAAGCTTTGTCAACACATGTATTATAGAATGGATTCTACTATGTAAGAGTTCTCAATTATAAAATATGGTAAGCATTTACCTTTTAAAACCAACATAAAAGGGATGAAATTAAGCTTTTTATGATGATATTTTTATATGAGTTATCAGAGTGGTATATCAAATATCTACTCTATTTATAAAATGGATAAAACAAGGCACAATGAGGAATGATGTGCAACTATAAAAACTCAGTGTGCTAACAGTAGCACATGAAGAAATCATAATTCACATCAACATGCTTCTGCTAACACTTTCAAAGCAAAAACCTTTTGGAATGCTAGAGGAAAACCACGTCAGACTTCATGTTAAAAACCTCAGATCTTTCAAGGAATTCTCTGCGCACCTGCTTCTCATATGACCAAAGTTGTACATGTATTCAAAGGAAAGGGCTTATTGCTAGGGGGCAATAAAATCAGTAAGAACAGTTATATAATTAAACACATCACTGGCTATGTCATATTTTTAAAAGAAACTTATTCCAAAGTCTTTACAACTTAACTTACTGGGATTCTGATACAAGATACAACCAACAGACTTACAGAATAACTTTTTATACCTATTATTTTACTAAGTTGCTTTGGTTTGCATTTGTCTTCTTTAAAACATGCAGTTCATACATTTGACAGTTTTACTACCATAGTCAATACATTCTGGACCAATGCACTCGCAGCAGGCATTATGAAACCAGCGATATTTGGATGCTCCCATGGACTCACAGGATATTTTACACTGATGTATGGACATGCAGTCATCAAAATAAACCACAGTACACATGTGTTCTGAAAAACAAAAATTTAAGATTTCAGGGCAAGAAAGAAGAAAAACAAAAAAATAAAATGCTTTATTACCTAGTTGAATATTAACAGTTATTTATCTTGGTTCTCTTATTACTGGTCTGTACATGACAAAGATGAGGTACAGGAAAAAAGATCTTCATTTATTAATTATGTTGAGAAGGAAGTCAGATTCTCCCACTCCATCTGAAGAAGGCAAAGGGCTTCCTTAGCTTCTTTTATTAGATTTCAGGCTTTGATCGAAAAGTTGGATTATTGGGCTTAAAAACATTTGCTATGTTATACAGCTGTGCTTTTAAACTGGGCATTTCCTTTTTTTTTTTGAGATGGAGTCTCACTCTGCCACCCAGGCTGGAGTGCAGTGGTGTGATCTTGGCTCACTGCAGCCTCCGCCTCCCAGGTTCAAGTGATTCTCTGCCTCAGTCTCCCGAGTAGCTGGGATTACAAGCATGCACCACCACAGCTGGCTAATTTTTATATTTTTAGTAGAGGAATCAGAGAATCCACAGAACTAAGTAGAAAATGATAGATCCATAAGTTAAAAACAGACAACAAACAGAACTGCAAATGCAGGCCAGGCATGGTAGCTCAAGCCTGTAATCCCAACACTTTGGGAGGCCGAGGCAGGTGGATCACCTGAGGCCAGGAGTTTGCAACCAGCCTGGCTAACATGGCGAAACCCTGTCTCTACTAAAAATTAAAAAAATTAACCGGGCATGGTGGTGGGTACCTGTAACCCCAGCTACTCGGGAGGCTGAGGCAGGAGAATCACTTGAACCTGGGAGGCAGAGGTTGCAGTGAGCCGAGATTGCGCCATTGCACTCCAGCCTGGGCAACAAGAGTGAAACTCCATTTCAAAAAACAAACAAACAAACAAACAAACAAAAACCTGCAAATGCAGGAGGAGCAGTAGAAAGAGACTGACTCTATCTGGGGGAATAGGTGCCCAGGAAAGATGTCACAGAGAAAAAACTTTAGTTGTGTCTTGAAGACAGCTGGAGTTTCCAGGAATTAGCTTCTTGCTAATTGCTTCATAAATTTAAATAATCTTTGAGCAAAATTTATGAATTATTATTTAATATCTGTTATGTTGATTACTTACATTTTAATAATGGAGAAAATGATAACAAAACATATTATTATTGCATTCCATATGTTTCTAATGTTTTCCAAAATCTAGCATTTGTTTTACAAAGTACTTTAACCTAAAAGGGAATAAGAAATCTTACACTGTCATTTAACAGAAGCTGTTTTGCCTTTTACTATTAATGTTCGAAGCTCACACTGTTTTTTGTTTTCTTGGTTTTTTTTTTTTTTTTTTTTTTTGAGATGGAGTTTTGCTCTAGTTGCCCAGGCTGGAGTGCAATGGCGCGATCTCGGCTCACCGCAACCTCCACCTCCCAGGCTCAAGCAGTTCTCCTGCTTCAGCCTCCCAAGTAGCTGGGATTACAGGCATGTGCTACCACGCCCAGCTAATTTTGTATTTCTAGTAGAGACGAGGTCTCTCATGTTGGTCAGGCTGGTCTCAAACTCCCGACCTCAGGTGATGTGCCCGCCTCAGCCTCTCAAAGTGCTGGGATTACAGGCGTGAGCCACCGCACCCAGCCCGCACTGTTTTATATAGGTAGGAATGTAATGGAGGGCACAACTAATAGTCAAGTAAGAGTACAAATTATACTATTTATACATAATTCACCTCATGTTTTAAGAAATAATTGCAATTTTCATAAGTGCTTTATGCTTCCACAGTAAAATTATATGGTGCCTTTTGTCAAAAAATATCAAAGATTTTATAAAAGTCACATGCTCTTTACATTCCAAAATTATGATATGACCTATCTTCACTAATAAATGCTCTTAAATATGCTTCTGTAATTTGTATAAGTTATTTTCTCACTTAATTCCTTTTCTGACCAACAGCACCCATTTGCAGAGAACTGGCTGGGGTTAGTTTATGCCTGGAAATGAGATGTCTGGAATACCAACTTGCTTATAAAGAAATTTAGCTAATGACTTTGGCATCATTTTGGTACGGGTGCTATTATAAAAATCTGACTTCATGGGATACTCTGAATGTCACCTGACAATGAGCAATATTTTATTAGAGAAGCAGCATTGTTGCTATCTTATGAACAGAATAAAGCCTAGCACAAATAAATACCAGAATTAGGAACAATTATCTATTTTCCAATACAGTACAGCCTCTGCTGCCAGGAGTATGGAGGAATTCTGACAATATGCTGACATGCCTCTTTATCTTTTTTTTTTTTGGTGAGACGGAGTCTTGCTCTGCCACCCAGGCTGGAGTGCAGTGGTGTGATCTCGGTTCACAGCAACCTCCGACTCTCAGGTTCAAGCAATTCTCCTGCCTCAGCCTCCCTCGTAGCTGGACTACAGGCGCCCGCCACCACACCCGGCTAATTTTTGTATTCTTAGTAGAGATGGGGTTTCACCATGTTGGTCAGGCTGGTCTCGAACTCTTGACCTCGTGATCCACCTGCCTCGGCCTCCCAAAGTGCTGGGATTACAGGCATGAGCCACCACGCCCAGCCGACATGCCTTTTTATCTACTCAAGGATTGGAGATATTTTTTTTCTCTTATCCTTCTGGCATGTGCCTCTAGATATGATGGGATCAGGGTTATTGAGTCTAGAATTTATGTGAGATGATACAAATTCAAAACCAAAAGGCTGCTCCAAAAGATGGTCTTATATAGGTTTTATAGATTACATGGACAGACCACATGAGGGGGCGGAATGGAAAAAGTCAACTGTTGGCAGTTACCTTTGTCACTGGAATAAGGCGCGTGAACATTATTGCTGGGGACAGACACATTCTGGTGGTGTGGCTGGTTCACAGTTTCTAAAAATGAAACCAGATTCTCATGATGTGAAAGTTCTTCTGCAACAGGGAAAGAAACGATGTTCCAATTCAACTGAGTATCTCCTTCTGTGAGTGCCCGGAAGAGAGAAGGGATCGGTTCATGCAGCTCCTCCACTGTGCTCTTTGAAGTTGGAGGTGTGTCACTATAATTTCGAGGATTACACATACCTGGGTTGGGGGTAATATCATAAGATTTTGTTAGTTACTGCCTTGCAATCAGAGCTATAACACATTAAAATTATGTAACTTCTAGGATTACACATGGATATTTTCCTACCTTTTTTTTTTTTTTTTTTTTTTGCTGGGTGAGCCTAAATGATGATATTCTTCTACCCCAGTAGCTTCAAGCATACTGAACGCTCAGATCTTGTTTTTTAAATACATAATAGGAACCAGAGCTCCTTGGAGGAAAGACTGATTTGAAGGCTGGGTCAGGAAAGTACAAAGTGAGCCAGGAACACATTTGTGCCAGAAAGTAAGGAAGTGCACCATGAATGATGGGACATGCTGAAGAGACACAGGAGGACAACTGAAGGGGCTCCTACTGGCTAATAGACAATTTGAGCATTAAAATAATAATAAGCTGAGCGCAGTGGCTCACGCCTATAATCCCAGCACTTTGGGAGGCCAAGGTGGGAGGATCACTTCAGCCCAGGAGTTTGATACCAGCTTAGGCAACATAGCAAAACATCATCTCTACAAAAAATAAAAAATATTAGCTGGGTGTGGTGGTGCATGCCTGTAGCCCCAGCTACTTGGGAGGCTGAGGCGGGAGGATTTCTTGAGCCCAGGAGATAAGGCAGCAGTAAGCTATCACTGTACCATTGGACTCTAGCCTGGGCAACCCCATGTCAATCAATCAATCAATCAATAAACATGGATTACCATCTTGTAAACAAAACAAGAATCAATAAGTTCTTATATATAAATAAATACAAGAGAAGGGAATGATATTCCTTACCAACTGATAAATGTAGAAGAAAGGAAACAGAAAATCACCATTTGGCACTATCACAGGGGTTTGATTCGGATGGGAATGGTCAATGGATATTAAGTCTGATGAGTGACTGTTAGATAAGAATATACTGATGTATTCTTGGAAAGTTCTCCACAAAATACTAATCACTTACAAAAGGTCATTAATAATGACTTTAATGTGGAGAAGTCTGGCGGGCACCAATATGATCAGAAGATCAAAGTTAACATCACCAGTGATGGGAGGTGGTGATGTTGCCAAGAATGTGTGACATAAGTCTGGTCACAAGTAAACATCAGGCACATCAAGGCTGAGGGAAATCCTGTATAATCAAGGTCTGTACTCTTTAACACTGTCAAGAGAAAGACTAAAGGACTGCTTCAGATTGAATGAGTCTGAAGAAACATAACTACTAAACGCATCACATGTTCGTGGATAGGACACTGGGCCAGAAAGAAAGAAGAGGTACCACTGGGACAGCTGGTGACACTGAATGGGGTTTGTGGATTGGGTAGCAATGTTATATTGATATTGGCTTCCTGATTTGGAGGGCTGTATGCCAATTTTTAGGAGAATATCTTTGTTGTTTGAAAATATAGACTGGAGTGTTTAGTGGTAATGGGACATTGTTTGTAAAGCTTGCTTTGCAAAGATTCAAAAAAACATGAATGATCATGTGTGTGCGTGCGTGTGTGTGCATGCATGCATGTGTGTGTGTCTGTAGGGAGAGGAAGGGTATTGAGCAATGAAGCAAATGCAATGATAAAATGTTTTTGTAAATTGACATAATAATTATACTTATGAGTTACAGTGATGATTCAATACAATCATGAATAATGATCAGATCTGGGTAATTAACACATCCATCATCTCAAACATTTTTGTGTTGGAACATTCAATATCCTTCTTCTAGCTATTTGAAATGTATAATACATTATTGTTAACTATAGTCATCCTATAGAACTAGAGAACACTAGAGAACTCATTCCTCCTATCTAGCTGTAATCTTATATCCTTTAACAAATATCTCTCTATCCTCCTGTTCCCTCTACCCTCCTATCCTTCTCAGCCTCTACCATCCTCCGTTCTACTTTTTACTTGCATGGAATGAACTTTTTTCTAACTTCCACATATGAGTGAGAACGAGAGCATGTGGTGTTTAACTTTCTGTTCCTGGCTTATTTCACTTAACATAATGTCCTCCAGTTCCATCTATGTTGGCATAAATGACAGAATTTCATGCTTTTTTGTGGATGAATAGCATTCCATTGAGTATAAATACCACATTTTCTTTATGCATTCATCTGTTGTTGGACATCTAGGTTGACTCCACATTTTGGCAATTGTGAATACTGCTGCAATAAACACAGAGGTGCAGATGTCTCTTCGATATACTGATTTCCTTTCCTTAGCATAAATGTATAGTAATGGGATTGCTGGATATGGTAGTTCTATTTGTGGTTTTTTGAGGATGCTCCATACTGTTTTCCATAGTGGCTGTATTAATAACTGGGGAATCTGGGTGAGGGAAAATATAAATCTTTTTATCCTTCTGGCAAATTTCTCTATATTTGAGATTATTTCAAAATGAATTATTAAAAAATAATTTTAGGTCAGACATCATAGCTCATGCCTTTAATCCCAGCACTTTGAGACGCAGAGGTGAGAGGACTGCTTCAGGCTAGGAGTTCAAGACCAGCCAGGACAATATAGTGAGACTCTGTCTTTATCAAAACAAACAAAAAAATTAGCTGAGCATGATGATGCGTGCTTGTAGTCCCAGCTACTCAGGAGGCTGAAGTGGGAGGATCACTTGAGCCCTGGAATTCAAGGTTGCAGTGAACTATGACTGTGCCACTGCACTCCAGCCTGGGTGACAGAGTAAGACCCAGTCTCTAAAAAAAATAAACAGATGGAAATAAAAATAATTTTAAAAGGAGAAAAATGGCAGGAGAGAATCAGAGACAGAGTATAGAAAACTTTTTCAGTGAGTTTTGCTATAAAGGGGCAAGGTGACACAGTGTTTAATCAGCCCCAGCCTTCAAGCTGTCCCAGCTGACACCAAGTGGATCAGAGAGGAGGTATCCCCACAAAACTCAGCCCCAAAGGCAGACTTGGGAGCTAAGGAAATGATTCTTGTTCTTTTAAGCCACTATGTTTTGTTGTAGCTTGTTTAGTAGCAATAGTTACTGGAACAGAACCCTCTGTGTTTCTTTTTGTGAGCATTATATAAGCATACCTTATTTTATTGCGCTGTATTTTACTGGACTTCATAGATGCTGTGTGTTTTATAAATTGAAGGTTTGTGGCAACCCTGCTCTGAGCTAGTCTATCAGTGCCATTTTCCCAATAGCATGGGCTCACTTTGTGGCTCTGTGTCACATTTTGGTAATTCTTGCAATATTTCAAACATTTCATTATTATTATAACAGTTATGGCGATCTGTGATTACTAATCTTTGATGTTACTATTGTAATTGTCTTGCAGCAGCAGGAAGTGCCTCCATATGCAAGCTCAACTGATAACTGTTGTGGTTGTATTCTGACTGCTCCACCAACTGGTCATTCTCCTGTATCTCTCCCTCTCTTTTGGCCTCCTTTTCCCTGAGACACAGCAATATTGAAATAAGACCAATTAGTAACCGTACTATGGTCTCCAAGTGTTCACGTCTCTCACTTTAAATTAAAAAAGTTAGAAATGTCTGTCTGCTCTCTTTCACAGTAAACAAACAAATAACCCAGTATTTTTTAAGCCAAAAAAAAGAAAAAGAAGAAGAAAGCTTAGTGAAGATGGCATGTTGAAAGCTAAAACAGGCCAAAAGCTAGGCCACTTGTGCCAAACAGCCTAGTTGGGAATGCAAGGGAAAAGTTCTTGAAGGAAATGAAAAGTGTTACTCTGAACACATGGATGCTAAGAAAGTGAAACAGCCTTATTGCTGATATGGAGAAAGTTTGAGTGGTCTGGATAGATCAAACCAGCCAAAATATTCCCTTAAAGTTCAATCCAGAGCAAGGCCCTCTCTTCAATTATGTGAAGGCTGAGAGAGGTAAGGAAGCTACAGAAGAAAAGTCTGAAGCTGGCAGAGATTGGTTCATGAGGTTTAAGGAAAGAAGCCATCTCTATAACATAAAAGTGCAACGAGAAGCAGCAAGTGCTGATGTATAAACTGCAGCAGGTTATTCAGAAGATCCAGCTAAGTCATTGGTGAAGGTGGCTACACCAAACAACAGATTTTCAATGTAGATGAAACAACCTTCTATTGTAAGATGATGCTATCTAGGACTTTCCTAGCTAGAAAGAAGTCAATGCCTGGTTTCAAAAGCTTCAAAGAACAGGCTACGTTGTTGGGGTCTAATGCAGCTAGTAACTTTGGGTTGAAGCCAATGCTAATTTACTATTCCAAAAACCCTAGGGCATCCATAAGATTTATGCTAAACCTACCCTGCCTGTACCCTAGAAATGGAACAACAAAGCCTGGATGACAGCACATTTGTTTATAGCATGGTTTACTAAATATTTTAAGTCTACTGTTGAGACCTACTTTTCAGAAAAAATGATTCCTTTCAAATATTACTGCTCACTGACAATGTACCTGGTTACTCAAGAGCTCTGATGAAGACGTACAAGGGGATTAATGTTGCTTTCATTCCTGCTAACACAGCAGCTGTTCTGAAACCCAAGGTTGAGAGAGTCATTTCAACTTGCAAGTCTTATTATCTCAGAAATATATCTATCAGTGCCATTTTCCCAATAGCATGTGCTCACTTTGTGTCTCTGTGTCACATTTTGGTAATTCTTGCAATATTTCAAACATTTCATTATTATTATAACTGTTATGGTGATCTGTGATTACTAATCTTTGATGTTACTATTGTAATTGTCTTGCGGCAGCAGGAAGTGCCTCCATATGCAAGCTCAATTGATAACTGTTGTGGTTGTATTCTGACAAGAAATATATCTTGTAAGGTTATAGCTGCCATAGATATGATTCCTCTGACGGATCTGGGCAAACTAAATTGAAAGCCTTCTGGAAAGGATTCACTATTCTAGATGCCATTAGGAGCATTCATGATTCATGGGAGGATGTTAAACTATCAACATTATCAGGAGTTTAGAAGAGACGTTGAGTACAACATTCATGGATGACTTTGAGGGGTTCAAGACTTCAGTGGAGAAAATTACTGAAAATGTAGTGGAAATAGCAAAACAACTAGAATTAGAAGCGGAGCCTGAGGATGTGACTGAATTATTGCAATCTCATTATAAAACTTGAACAAATGAGGAGTTGCTTCTTATGGATGAACAAAGGAAGTGTTTCTTGAGATGGAATCTACTCCTACTGAAAATGCTATAAACATTGTTGAAATGACCACAAAGGATTTAGAATGTTACGTAAACCTAGTTGTTAAAGCAGTGCAGGGTTTCAGGATTGACTCCAATTTTTTATTTTTATTTATTGAGAGAGAGTCTTACTCTATCACCCAAGCTGGAGTGTAGTGGCACAATCATAACTCACTGCAGCATTGAACTCTTGGATTCAAGTGGATCCTCCCACCTGAGCCTCCCAAGTAGCTAGGTCTAGAGGTGTGCACCACCACGCCCAGCTAATTTTTTCCATTTTTTGTAGAGATGGGGTCTCACTATGATGTCCAGGCTTGTCTCAAACTCCTGGCCTGAAGCTATCCTTCTGTCTCAGATTTCCAAAGCTCTGGGTTTATAGACATGAACCACTGCACCTGGCCTAATTTTGAAAGAAGTTCTACTGTGGGTAAAATAGTATCAAATAGCATGACATGTAACAGAGAGCTATTTCATGAAAGAAAGAGTCAACTGATGCAGCAAACTTCAGTGTTACCATATTTTAAGAAACTGCCAGCCAGTGTGATGGCTCATGCCTGTAATCTCAGCACTTTGGGGGACTAAGGCTGGAGGGTTGCTTGAGGCCAGGAAATTGAGACCAGTCTAGGCAACATAGTGAGACTCCATCTCTATTTAAAAAAAGAAGAAAGAAGGCTGGGCGCAGTGGCTCACGCCTGTAATCCCAGCACTTTGGGAGGCCGAGGGGGGCGGATCATGAGATCAGGAGATCGAGACCATCCTGGCTAACGTGGTGAAACCCCGTCTCTACTAAAAATACAAAAAATTAGCCGGGCATGATGGTGGGCATCTGTAGTCCCAGCTACTCGGGAGGCTGAGGCAGGAGAATGGCGTGAACCTGGAGGGGCGGAGGTTGCAGTGAACCGAGATCGCGCCACTGCACTCTAGCCTGGGCGACAGAGCGAGACTCCATCTCAAAAAAAAAGAAGAAGAAGAAAGAAACTGTCACAGATACTCCAGCCTTCAGCAACCACCAGCCTGATCAATTAGCAGCCATCAAGATCTAGGCAAGAGCCTCCACCAGCAAAAAGATTACAACTGCCTGAAGGCTTAGATGATTTTTTGCATTTTTTAACAATAAAGTATTTTGTATTTAAGGTACGTATTTTTTAAGACATAATAAAATTGCACACTTAATAAACTACACTATAGTGTAAAATAACTTTTATATGCACTGGGAAACCAAAGTATTTGCGTGACTCACTTTATTGGGACCTTCGCTTTACTGCAGTGATCTGGAACCAAATCAGCAATATTTCCGTGGGGTATGGCTATACTTTTGAAAGCTAAATTATGTTTCATTTTTGTTTCGCATCTATTAGGTGTAAGATGGAGTTTCACTTCTTCCTCAGATTAAAAGTTTAAAAAGTTAAACCAAATTTATAAATTCCTGTTTTTATAAATTCAGGGAGGAGAAAAAAACCATCTATTTCCTCATTTTGTTAGTTTAAGGATCATGGCAAGAGCTGAGGAGAACAAAGTTGTGTGTGCTCTTCATCACATTTTTCAATACAGCTGAACTTGAATAACTTAGGTTGTATGACAGGATCATGGATTAAATGATCAAATCTGATCCCTTTATTCATAAAAAGAAGAAATAGGTGCAGATAAGTCAAATGACTTGTCCAATATTATGTCATCTAGGATCAGAGCCAAGATCATGATGTAGCCTCCTGATTTCATGTCTACTACTCTTTCTAATAACTATATCTATACGTAATCTTTAAGTGGTATCAAAAAGCAAATAATACTTAGAATGCTCATATTATACAACTATACATAATATAGTCTTCTGCCAAATTTATAAATAAAAATTAGTGGCCGGGTGCAGTGGTTCACACCTGTAATCTCAGCACTTTGGGAGGCTGAGGCGGGCACATCACCTGAGGTCAGGAGTTCGAGACCAGCCTGACCAACATGGAGAAACCCTGTCTCTACTAAAAATACAAAATTAGCCTGGCATGGTGGTGCATACCTGTAATCCCAGCTACTCGGGAGGCTGAGGCAGGAGAATCGCTTGAACCCGGGAGGTGGAGGTTGCGGTGAGCCAAGATTGCACCACTGCACTCCAGCCTGGGCAACAAGAGCGAAATTCCATCTCAAAAACAAACAAACAAACAAACAAAAAGCCAAAAAACAAACACACAAAAAAATTAGTAAATAGAGTTGAAGGTAAACAACTGAGTTCAAACGTTATAAAAGCTAAATTTAACATCTACTGAAGACTTTAAAGAAATTTCAGCCAGGCATGGTGACACACATCTGTAGTCCCAGTCACTTGGGAGGCTGAGGCAGGAAGACTGACAGAGCCCAAAAGTTCCAGGCCAGCCTGGGTAACTCGTGAGACCCTGTCTCTAAAAAACAAACAAATAAATAAATGAAAGCTCATTATCAGATATTTCATTATATCAAAACAATTTGGGGGCAGTTTTGTGCATTTAACAAATTTAGGACAAAAACATTCATAAATTAAATCTCAATATACTGCACTAAAACTAGTAAACCTGATGTCCCTGATTTGCTGTTAAAGATACTAAGGTCTTTTCCACTTTCCCTAGCCAACTTCTCCAAATTCTATATGACAAACTTGATAACCATATTCTGTAGCAAATTCACAATGCAGCCTTGTCTCATACATTGATTCTAAAAGTTGAAAACCAGTAAAAGTAGTTACCTTAACATAATCCTATGAAAATTGTTTATGACAGAACAGTCAGTATGGTAGGACTTCCTTGTTCAATGTCATATTGTCAAAGGACAATACTTCTGATTTTGAGATAAAGTGAACTTTTCTTTGAACTTCATAAAACAGTGAAAACCATGCTACATTTCACATGGCATGACCTGAGAGATGTTCTTGCCAACAAATATTAAACCTAAATCTAATCATTTTCTTATAGTTAACTTCAAATAACTAGAAATACAGAGGGGCAGAGGAACAAGTTAAAGGATACCACAGGAAGCAGTCAAATCCGGAATGTGGGCTATTCTATAGGTCAACTGATACAGTTCCTTCATTGTCAAGTGGCATGACAGAAATGAAAGGAGGGTCAATCTGGATGAAAAACACAACAAGCAGATTCAATACAAGAATTTTGAATTAATTTGAACAAGTGAACTATAAAAACACTGAGACATCTGGAGAAACCTGATCATGAACTGAATTTTAGATTTCACCAAGAAATTATTGTTAATTTTGTTAGGTGTTACAACAGCATTATGATTAGAAAAGTCAATGTCCACCTTTTTTTACAGATTGACACTGAAAGAAAGTAGGGGTAAAACGTATTTGCTGTCTGCAATTTGCTTTTTTTTTTTTTTTTTGAGACAGAGTTTCACTCTTGTTGCCCAGACTAGAGTACAATGGCACGATCTCGGCTCACTGCAGCCTCTGCCTCCTGGGTTCAAGTGATTCTCCTGCTTCAGCCTCCCAAGTAGCTGGGACTACAGGCACCTGCCACCACATCCAGCTAATTTTTTTTTTGTATTTTTAGTAGAGATGAAGTTTTGCCATTTTAACTAGGCTGGTCTCAAACTCCTGGCCTCAGGTGATCTGCCCACCTCGGACTCCCAAAGTGCTGGGATTACGCATGAGCCATCGCGCCCGGCCTGCAATTTGCTTTTAAATACTTTAGCAAAGAAATAAAAAAGGATAAAGTGAATGTGGCATATTCTGGACCACTGCTGAACCTGCGTGAGGGATATACAGTTCATTATGCTATTCTCTCCACTTCTGTGTATATTTCAATATTTTTATAATAAAAAATTAACGCCAAATTTAATTCCTTTATGGAGAATTATTTTCTTGTTCAGTTTTGTTTTTTCTTGGCATTTCTATGCTTGGAATTTTCTTTCTCTGTAGCACACAAAAATGTTTCAGCATATCTTGAAAACTTATTCTGCTTCTCAATGATATGCTTGAACCCAGTTTCTTTCTTCTCTTCACTTACTGCTTCAGTCAGAATGCTTCATCCCATGCCTCCTGTGTGCTTATCATTCTGCAGCTATCCTTAACTGAACTCCTGGTTAAAGCTATTGCTTCCTTCAACCCATGTTGTTATCTTTCTTGGTTTTCTATCCTGTTTTGTTTGATTGATCCTCTACTAATTCTTTTAGAAACGGTAGGTGAGAAGTAAACTTTGAGTTCTTATTTGTCTAAAAATGTTTCTATTTTACATTCACATTCCTGATAATTTGACAGGTCAAAATAGTTTTCCCACCAACCACTTAAGTCATTGGCCCAGTGATACTGATGAGAAGTCTGATGGCAGTGTGATTTTTAACTTCTTGTATACAAACTCTATTATTCTTTCTGAAATATTTTAGAATATTTTTTAACCTAGAAGTTGTAAAATTTTGTGAAGATGTGCCACATGTAGGTCTTTTTTCACTCATCTCACTCAGCATTCTGAAGGCTCTTTCAACCTAAGGACTCACTGTTTTTTTTCTCAGCTTTGGTAATTTTTCTTCTACTATTCGATAATTTCTTCCCTCCTTCCTTTTTTCTTTTTTTTTTAATTCTTCTGGAGTGCCTATTCTTTCCCTGTTATATTATCTGCCTGTTTTCACTATATTCTATGACACTCCAATAATATTTTCAGACTCTCTTATTATTTTTCCAATTGCTTTTTTTTTTTTTTTGAGATGGAGTCTCGCTCTGTCACCCGGGCTGGAGTGCAGTGGTGTGATCTTGGCTCACTGCAAGCTCCGCCTCCTGGGTTCAAGCAATTCTCCTGCCTCCTGAATAGCTGGGATTACAGATGCCCACTACCACGCCCGGCTAATTTTTGTATTTTTAGTACAGACGCGGTTTCACCATGTTAGCCAGGCTGGTCTTGAACTCCTGACCTCAGGTGATCTGCCCACCTCGATCTCCCAAAACGTTGGGATTACAGGTGTGAGCCACCACACTCGGCTTCTTTTTTTTTTTTGAGACAGATTCTCGCTGTGTTGCTCAGGCATCAGTGGCACGATCTCGGCTCACTGCAACCTCCGCCTCCCGGGATCAAGCGATTCTCCTGTCTTAGTCTCCTGAGTATCTGGGACTACAGGCATGCGCCACCACGCCTAGCTAATTTTTGTATTTTTAGTAGAGTTGGGGTTTCGCCATATTGGCCAGGCTGGTCTCGAACTCCTGACCTCAGGTGATCCATCCGCCTTGGCCTCCCAAAGTGCTGGGATTACAGGTGTGAGCCACCATGCCCGGCCCCATTTGAATTTTAAATTTGCAAAAGCTTTCTTATTCTGATTGTTTTTCATAATACAGACATGATACTTTGTTAACTTTTTCTAAAAGATAACAATCAGTTTTTAAAAGATTTCTTTTATGTCCTAAATATTTCCTCCTTGGTCTGCTTTTTACTTCGTTCTTTCTTTTTTTTTTTTTTTTTTTTTTTTTTGAGACGGAGTCTCGCTCTGTCGCCCAGGTCGGACTGCGGACTGCAGTGGCGCAATCTCGGCTCACTGCAAGCTCCGCTTCCCGGGTTCACGCCATTCTCCTGCCTCAGCCTCCCGAGTAGCTGGGACTACAGGCGCCCGCCACCGCGCCCGGCTAATTTTTTGTATTTTTTAGTAGAGACGGGGTTTCACCTTGTTAGCCAGGATGGTCTCGATCTCCTGACCTCATGATCCACCCGCCTCGGCCTCCCAAAGTGCTGGGATTACAGGCGTGAGCCACCGCGCCCGGCCCGTTCTTTCTTTTAAGCTACACTTATTCTATTTTTCTTTCGCATCTAGTCATTAGGCTGGAGACACCTTCCCTCCCTACAATGCCTGAATGAGGAGGCCTTGCCTGGGTACCAATAACACATCAGTGGCCCTACTTCTTTTCAGCTAGTTCCCTTCAATTTCTCTAGAAAGAAATTCTCCAATTTCTTTTTCCTAGAGAAACTTCTTAATTACTTGGAACTTTTTCTGACGAATGGAGGAGGGAATTGGTTATCAAATCATACAGCTGTTCTACAGACAGATCTTCAAATAATCTCGCTATTTTCAAATTCATTTCTCACACCCACACTCCATAAAGCTGCAACTGGAGCCTCTTTGGGGTTTAGCCGGAAAGGTCACTCATACTCTCACCATAACCCCCTTTTATGCAATTTGTTTTGGTGTTCCTTCCAATCTGTTTACTAAAGAGCAAGCACATCTGGGCCGGGTGTGGTGGCTCATGCCTGTAAATCCCAGCACTTTGGGAGGCTGAGGCAGGTGGATCACCTGAGATCAGGAGTTCAAGACCAGCCTGGCCAACAGGGTGAAATCCCATCTCTACTAAAAATACAAAAATTAGCCAGGCATGGTGGCATGTGCCTGTAGTCCCAGCTACTCGGGAGGCTGAGGCAAGAGAATAGCTTAAACCCAGGAGACGGAGGTTGCAGTGAGCCAAGGTTGAGCCACTGCACTCCAGCCCGGGCGACAGAGCAAGACTTTGTCTCCAAAAAAAAAAAAAAAGGGAAAGCACATAAGCACATTTGTCTTTCCTTTTAGATATCTGATGCAGACTCAAATTACAATTGTTCCTTTTATTTATCTTTGTTTTTAGAGTTATTTCCAATCTTATCCCTTTATTTCATTTTACTGGCATCCTAAGTGGAAGGGAAGAAAATATGTGAATTTAGACCATCATATTGAACCAGAAGTCACATTAACTTGAAGGAGTTGGAAAATGTGATCAACCATTACCTGCATATCAATCTACTCATCCATTGATCCATTTCTTCCAGATATTTGTATCCAACTTCCTACAGAACATCGCCACTTGGGAACCTTATAGGCCCCTCAAATTCAACTGTCTCAGTCATCTTCCCTAACATACCTGGGTCTTAGATAAGCTTATCTTGGTTCCCTGTCACAATTTATCCAGTCACATAAACAGAAGCCTAAAGGTTATTCCTGGCTCCCATCACCCCTCAGTTCCCATTTCCAAACTGTCACCAAATCTAGTCGAGTTTAACCTGTAATTATTTTTCTAATGAGGCCACCTCTCTTCATCTCCTCTGCTATCATCCTAGACCAAGCCCCCATTACATTTTGACTGAATTTGGAAACATAATTGTTTAAGGGATTTTAAACTGTCTTCTATTCTCTTTAGAAAACTCCAGCTCCTTTAAAACACACATTATTTAATGTTACCATTCCTTTTCCCTCCTTTTGGCTATTATCTTTGTATACTCAGCCATTTCTCCCCTACTTACTAGTAACTTCAATACCTGGATCACTATCTCATTTCCACCACTGGACCCACTGTCATTCTTGACAATTTCAATATTCACATCAAAGATTCACTCAACACTCTGGCCAAAATTTCAATTCCTTAATGATACTGATTTGTAAATCCACCCTACTTTACCTACCTCATAGGTCAACTTTAATTCCTCCCTTTTCTCAGATCTTATATCCAATTCAAACCAAACTCTGACAGTTTCCCTCCAAAATATTTTCAGAATCTGAGTGCCACCATTTCCACTGCTATCAGTAATCCTAATCAAATCCACCATAATCTTTTACTTGAACTACTGCAACAGTCTCCTAATTTGTTTCTTCTCTTTACATCCTTAAATCTACCTCCATATAAAAGTCAGAATGATCATTTAAAAGTGTAATTCAAGGCCGGGTGCAGTGGCTCATGCCTGTAATCCCAGCACTTTGGGAGGCCGAGGTGGGTGGATCACAAGGTCAGGAGTTCGAGACCAGCCTGGCCAACATGGTGAAAACCTGTCTCTACTAAAAATACAAAAATTAGCTGGGTGTGGTGGTGCACACCTGTAATTTCAGCCACTCAGGAGGCTGAGGCAGGAGAATCGTTTGAACCTGGGAGGCGGAGTCTGCAGTGGCCAAGATCACACCTCTGCACCTCAGCCTGGGTGACAGAGCAAGACTCCATCTCAAAAAAAAAAAAAAAAAACAAAAAAAAAACGTGTAATTCGGATATCACCACCATACACTCTCCAATGAGTTTCCATTATACTTAGGATATAATCCAAACTCCTTTCCATGGTCTCCAACACCTGGTCCTGACCTACCTCTCTCACTCATCATTCTCTACCCTTCTCCTTATTTACAAACATCTAGCCATACTGGTCTTTCTGTTCTTCAAACTTGTATATTTAGTCATTGCATGTAAGACATATTTTGATATTAAGTGGTTCACCTCAACCTTTTTGTTATTGGTTATCTAAAGTTGCTGAGAGTTTGTTGGGGAGAGCCTCTTGTTATTTCTTTTTCTTTTCCCAGCCTCTCTTAATTTATTCTTTTTCCAACAGACTTCTTTTTGTTTTTGTTTTTTTTTTTTTGAGACGGAGTCTTACTCTGTCACCCAGGCTGGAGTGCGGTCACATGATCTCAGCTCACTGCAATCTCTGCCTCCTGGGTTCAAGCAATTCTCCTGCCTTAGACTCCTGAGTAACTGGGATTACAGGCACCCACCACCACGCCCAGCTAATTTTTTTATTTTTAGTAGAGACAGGTTTTCACCATGTTGGCCAGGCGAACTCCTGACCTCAGGTGATCTGCCCGCCTCAGCCTCCCAAAGTGCTGGGATTATAGGTGTGAGCCACCGCACCCAGCCTTTTTTTTTGAGACAGAGTCTCACTCTGTCACCTAGGCTGGAGTGCAGTGGCCCGATATCGGTTCACTGCAACCTCCGCTTCCTGGGATCAAGTGATTCTCCTGTCTCAGCCTCTCGAGTAGCTGGGACTACAGGCATGCGCCACCACACCTAGCTAATTTTTGTATTTTTAATAGAGACAGGGTTTCACCATGTTGGCCAAGCTGGTCTTGAACTCCTGGCTTCAAGTATCTGCCTGCCTTGGCCTCCCAAAGTGCTAGGATTACAGGCGTGAGCCACCACTCCCAGCCACCATGCCCAGCCTCCTCGCCCAGCCTCCTCTTGTTTTTTCTAAATATGGTTAACTTTCCCAAAAGTTAGAACTTTCCAGTGATGAGGACAAGAAGAAACCAAAGCTGAGATGTATGGTTCATGTAAGTGCTTTCTGTAAATGGAAAAAAAAAAAAAAGACTAAAAATATTATTGAAAGATACCTTTTGATGTAAATAAGTATAGTTATTCTAAAGGTATCTTAGAGTTTTTAAAAGATAAAGATATCTTAGAGTTATTCTAAAGGTATCATAGAGTTTTAAGTACAACTATGTACTTAAAACGTGCGGATAAGCACAGTGAAGCTTTTGGTGGTGCTAGCAATGTTCTGGTTTTCCGTATGGATGCTAGTAACAGGGGTGTGTAAAGCTCAGGTAAATTTATTTTGCTGTACACTTTTGGGGTATACTTTCTAGATGTATATTTCAAAAATAGGTTGAAAAATATATACCTCTTTACTAGTTGTATGATAAACAACTTGAGGGAGAGCGACTAGGGGTATAAAGAAGGGAGGCATTTCATTATAAGCACCTTTTTGGCATTGCTTGAATTTACTATGTTCAAGGATATGTTCAAGTAGTAATTTTAGTTTTTAAATTATATTTTGAAGAGAAATACATATATGTTAATAGCAGTAGATGCTAGATGGCTTTCTTTTCTATATTTTTGCAAAACTTAACATAATACTTGAACCTTAAGTAATCTACCTAGATATGCAAAATTATTACTTCATGAGTTTTAAAATGCTGAATATATTAATACAATACTCCAGATACATAATTATTGGACAAGGCTATTAAAAATGCTTTTTTCCAATTACATAGCTGTGTGAGGCTGTATTTTCTTTATATACTTCAACCACTACAACACAGCACAAAAGACTGAATTTTTCAGAGTATAGAGGGGTCCTGAGATTCAAAAAAAATGTTTGAGAACAGTTGCATTAGAAGAACAGATGGCAGGAGACTAGCCATAGTAGCTATATCGCTACGGCAAAATGTGCTGGCAGTTACCCAGAAAAGCTGATGGGATTCACAGCATCTGATCAAATAGACCTCATTGTGAGAGGGGTTTGAGAGTAGACACAAGTTTTCATTGCTGGCACTTAGTTTCCTCAGCATGAATACGGAGTAAATTAGAATCTCCAGAGGGTGTGTTTAGTTTTTTAAAAGAACCAAATCAACATTATAATTGTCTTTTTCTGAAAGCAAAACAACTCCTATTATTTTGAAACTACAGATTACAAAAGAAAGAAACAATTTGGCTGATGATGTTAGAAGACACAGTGAAGCCAAAAGGACACTGCTGAGAAAAATAATGACTGAAACTGAAAAATGAGGGCATGGCATTGTCTAGGGCAGCTTTCCTTAATCTTTTAAAACCTGGGCTCTGTTTTGATAAACATAAAAATCTCACTACCATCTGTCCTCTCTCAAATTGTCATATTTATACGATGCCTCTAAATGAAGACTCAATGTGTAAAGCCAAGTGTAGTTCAGCTGAGGCAATTTCATAAAGAGCCACAAAAATGCAGTCTAAGTATGCAGTTCTCAGGCAATCTGGCTGAATCCAAAGAGAAAATCTAAGTTCATAGACTACAGCTTTGTCCTCAGTCCCAGTTATCTTTTTGGAGATCATGAAAAATCAGTAGTTGTAAACAATTACTTATTAAAGCCAACATCATTACTAGCTCAAGAGTAACAGTTATCATGGCTACAGATGAAAGCTACTGTGTATATGATGTGATTTTAGAATGATAACCACCTTCACCTTCATCTTCACAAGAAGCTGAATAATGTATAACATCTAGAAGCCATGTAACATAATGGATCACGGAGCATGGACCCTTGAAGCAAGACTGCGTGGCTGGAACCCTGGCTTTCCTCCATACTAGTTATTTGACCTTAGGAGGTCACTGAGTTCTGGCCACAGTTTCCTCATGTGTGGAACAGATGAGGGAAAATAACACTCTCACACTCTTTAGGTTTGTTGTTAGGACTGAATGAAGTAATACATGGAGAGTGCTTGCCACATACAAGATGCTATAAAAGCATTAGCTATTATTAAGTTTCACAAAATATTCCATGACTGACTAGATCAAATCCAATTTAGACACTGCTACCCTGACATTTTAAAGAATTAAAAACTGTTTTCCTAGACAAAATTCTCTAATGAGCCACACAGTATATAGGGAATGCCTGATGTTAAGAAATCAGGATCTTTTTTTCTCTTCAAGATATCTTTAATCAAAGAAGCATCAAGTTTTAAAAGTCTACAACTAATTCACTCCATAGTACAGTCTCATCTGAGTTTCTCATTAAAAACAAAGTGATACCATGTTTATGGGTAGGAAGAATCAATATTAAAACTTCAATTCTCTACAAATTGATCTATAGATTCAACGCACTTCTAATAAAAATACTAAGAAGTTTTTTTCAAACAAGTCTCTTTATTCTACAAAAGGATACATGGATAGACATATTTCTTTTATATGGAATTGTATTGTCCATTATAGTTTTTTCCTCTGGGATCTATTTTTTAAAAACACTTTAACTTTTATTTTAAGTTCAGGGGTACTTGTGCAGGTTTGTTATATAGATAAACTTGTGATTCAGGGGTTTGGTGTACAGGTTATTTCATCACCTGAATACCAAGCATAGTACCCAGTAGTTTTTTTTCTGAACCTCTCCCTCCTCCCGTCCTCCACCCTCAAGTAGGCCTCAGTGTCTGTTGTTCCCCTCCTTCTGTCCACGTGTTCTCATTATTTAGCTCAATGAGAACATAACGGTCTTTGGTTTTCTGTTTCTGCGATAGTTTGCTAAGGGTAATGATAATGGCTTCCAGTTCCATCCATGTTCCCGCAAAGGACATGATCGCATTCTTTTTTCTGGCTGCAGAGTATTCCATGGTGTGTATGTACCACTCTTTCTTCATCCAGTCTACCATCGATGGGCATTTAGGTTGATTCCATGTCTTTGCTATTGTGAACAGTGCTGAAATGAACATATGTGTCTTTAAGGTAGAATGATTTATATTCCTTTGGGTATATACTGAGTAGTGGGACTGCTGGGTCAAATGGTAGTTCTATTTTTAGTTCTTTGAGGAATCGTTACACTGCTTTCCACAATGGTTGAACTAATTTACACTCCCACCAGCAGTATGTAAGTGTTCCCTTTTCTCCACAACTTCGCCAGCATCTGTTATTTTTTGACTTTTTAATATCATAGCCACTCTGACTGGTGTGAGATAGTATCTCATTGTGGTTTTGATTTGCATTTACGTAATGATTAGTGATATTGAGCATTTTCTCATTTCCCAGGCTCTAGTGATCCTCCAGCCTCAGCCTCTGTAGTAGGTAGGACTACAGGTGTGAGCCACAATGCCCAGCTAATTTTTTTTTTTTTTGGTATTTTTTGTAGAGATGGTATTTCGTTAAGTTGCCCAGGCTGGTCTCAAACTCCTAAACTCAGTGATCCACCCATCTTGGCCTCCCAAGGTGCTGGGATTACAGGCATGAGCCACCACACCTGGCTAGTATGACCATTTAAGTGATATTGATTCTTCCTATCCAAGAGCATAGAATGTTCTTCCATTTGTTTTGGTCATCTCTGATTTCTTTGAAAAGTGTTTTGTAATTCTCACTGTAGAGATCTTTTATCTCACTGGTTAGGTATATTCCTAGGTATTTTATTCTTTTTGTGACAACTGTGAATGGGATTGAGTTCCTAATTTGGCTCTCAGCATGGGTGCTGGTTAGTGTATAAAAGCGCTACTGATTTTTTGTACATTGATTTTGTACCCCAAAACTTTGCTGAAGTTGTTTATCAGTTCAAGGAGCTTTTGGGCAGAGACTATGGGGTTTTCTAGATATAGAATTGTGTTGTCTGCAAACAGGGATAGTTTGACTTCCTCTCTTCCTATTTGGATGCCTTTTATTCCTTTCTCTTGCCTCATTGCTCTGGCCAGGACTTCCAATACTATATTGAATAGGAGTGGTGAGAGAGGGCATCCTTGTTTTGTTTTTGTATATTCTGGGTAACAGTCCTTTATTAGATACAACTTTTGTAAATATTTTCTCCTAGTCTGTGGCTGATCTTTTCATTTTCTTTACAGTGTCTTTTGCAGAGTAGAAATTTTTAATTTTAATGAAATTCGGCTTATCAGTTCTTTCTTTCATGTATTGTGCCTTTGGTGTTGTATCTAAAAAGTCACTGCCAGGCTCACGCCTGTAATCCCAGCACTTTGGGAGGCCGAGGCGGGTGGATCACTTGAGCTTAAGAGTTCAAGACCAGCCTGGGCAACATGGCAAAACCCCATCTCTACAAAAAATACAAGAATTAGCCAGGCGTGGTGGCACATGCCTGTAGTCCTAGCTACTTGGGAGGCTGAGGTGGAAGATGGCTTGAGCCTGGGAGGTCAAGGCTACAGTGAGCTGACATCATGCCACTGCACTCCAGCCTGGGCAACAGAGTAGAGACCCTGTCTCAAACAAAACCCCAAAAATTAAAGTCTCTGCCAAATCCAAGGTCATTTAGATTTTCTCTTATGTTATCTTCTAGGAGTTTCACAGTATTGTGTTTACATTTATTTAGGTCTGTGATCTACTTTGAGTTAATTTTTGTGAAACAGGTTTGTGTATAGATTCATATTTTGCAGATGGATGGCCAGTTGTTCCAGCACCGTTTGTTAAAAAGACTATCTTTAGGCCAGGCGCGGTGGCTCATGCCCGTAATCCCAGCACTTTGGGAGGCCAAGGCGGGCAGATCACTTGAGGTCAGGAGTTCGAGACCAACCTGGCCAACATGGTGAAACCCCGTCTCTACTAAAAATACAAAAATTAGCTGGGCGTGGTGGCTCATGCCTGTAATCCCAGCTACTCCGGAGGCTGAGACAGGAGAATCGCTTGAACCCGGGAGGCGGAGGTTGCAGTGAGCCGAGGTCGCACCACTGCACGCCAGCCTGGGCAACAGAGCAAGACTCTGTCCCCCCAAAAAAAAAAAAGAAAAAGAAAAACAAAACAGACTATCTTTGCTCCACTGTATTACCTTTGCTCCTTTGTCAAGATCATTTGACTACAGTCATCCCTTGATAGATCTGTGGGGGATTGGTTCCAGGACCCCCCAGGAAACACCAAAATCCACAGATGCTCAAGTCTCTTATATAAAGTGGTATAGTTTTTGCGTATAACCTACCTACACACAGCCTCGTGAATACTTGAAATAATCTCTAGATTACTTATGATACATAATACAGTGTAAACATACTGTTAAGTAACATGTAAACAGTTGTTATACTTTATTGTTAAAGGAATGATGACAAGAAAAAAATTCTGTACATGTTCAGTACAGACATAACCATCATAGGCCTAATACTTTTTTTTTTTTTTTTTTGGAGACAGGGTTTTGCTCTGTCACCCAGACTGGAATGCAGTGGCACAATCTCAGCTCACTGCAACCTCCACCTCTTAGGCTCAAGCAATCCTCCCACCTTAGCCTCCCAAGTAGCTGGGACTACAGATGTGTGCCACCATGCCTGGCTAATTTTTTTATTTTTTGAAGAGATCACATTACCTAGGCTGGTCACAAACTCCTGGGCTCAAGCAATCCACCCTCCTCAGCCTCTCAAAGGGGTGAGATTACAGGCGTGAGCCACCATGTCCAGCCCTAACTACATTTTTGATCTGCAGTTGGCTAAATCCAATAATACAAAACCCAAAGATACAAAGGGCCAGCCGTATATTTATGTGGGTCAGTTTCTGGGCTATTATTTTCCTTTCATCTATTTGTCTGTTTTTTTGCCATTACCACACTGTCTTGATTACTGTAGCTTTATAGTAAGTCTTGAAGTCCAGTAGTATCAGTCCTCCAACTTTCTTCTCTCCTTCAATATTGTGTTGGCTATTCTGTGTCTTTTGCCTTTCCATATAAACTTTAGAATCAGTTTGTCAATATCCATAAGATAAATTGCTAGGATTTTTATTGCAATTGCATTAAATCTATAGATGAAGGCCGGGTGTGGTGGCTTACGCCTGTAATCCCAGCACTTTGGGAGGCTGAGGCAGGGGGATCACTTGAGGTCAGGAGTTTGAAGCCAGCATAGCAAACATGGTGAAACCCTTTCTCTAATAAAAATACAAAAAAATTAGCTGGGCATGGTGGCAGGCACCTGTAATCCCAGATACTTGGGAGGCTGTGGCAGCAGAATTGCTTGAACCCGGGAGGCAGAGGTTGCAGTGAACCAAGATTGGCCACTGTACTCCAGCTTGGGTGAAAGAGCGAGACTCCATCTAAGAAAAAAAAAAAGTCTATAGATGAAGGTGGGAAGAACTGACATCTTGACAGTATGGAATCTTCCTATCCATGAACATAGAATATCCCCCATTTATTTAATTCTTTGATTTCATTCATGAGATTACTGTAGTTTTCCTCATACAGACCTTGCGCATATTTTGTTAGATTTATACCTAAGTATTTGGGGGTGCTAATATAAATAGTATTGTGTTTCCAATTTCAAATTCTACTGTTCATTGCTGGTATGTAGAACAGCAATTGCTTTTTATATATTAACCTTATATCCTGCAACTTTACTGTAATTGCTTATTCATTTCAGGAGTATTTTTGGTCAATTCTTTCAGGTTTTCTACATAGACAATCATGTCATCTTCAAACAAAGATAGTTTTATTTCTTCCTTCCTACTCTGTACACCTTTTATTTCCTTTCCTTGTATTATTGTGTTAGCTAGAACTTCCAGTATGATGTTGAAAAGCAGTGATAAGAGGGGACATCCTTGCCTTGTTCCTGACTATAGTGGGAAAGCTTCCAGTTTCTTACCATTAAGTTTGATGTTAGCTCTAAGTTTCTTGAAGATATTCTTTACCAAGTTTAGAAAGTTTCCCTCTAGTCCTAGTTTGCTGAGAGTTTTTATCATGAATGGGTGTTGGATTTTATTAAATGCTTTTTCTGCATCTATTGATATAATCATGTGATTTTTTTTTCTTTTTTAACTTGTTGATGTGATAAGATTACATTGCTTGATTTTTTTTTTTTTTTTTTTTTGAGACGGAGTATCGCTCTGTCACCCAGGCTGGAGTGCAGTGGCACAATCTTGGCTCACCGCAAGCTCTGCCTCCCGGGTTCACACCATTCTCCTGCCTCAGCCTCCTGAGTAACTGAGACTACAGGCGTCCGCCACCACGCCCAGCTAATTTTTTGTATTTTTAGCAGAGATGGGGTTTCACTGTGTTAGCCAGGATGTTCTCAATCTCCTGACCTCGTGATCTGGCCGCCTTGGCCTCCCAAAGTGCTGGGATTACAGGCGTGAGCCACCGCACCACACCCAGCCCACATTGCTTGATTTTTGAATGTTGAACCAGTATGGCATACTTGGGATATATCCCACTTGGTCAAAGTGTAATTTTTATACATTGTTGGATTTGATTTGTTAATATTTTGTTGATAATTTGCCTCTATATTCATGAGAGGTATTGGTCTGTAGTTTTCTTGTAATATCTTTGTCTAATTTGGGTATTAGGACAATGCTAACCTCACAGAATGAGTTGGGAAGAATTCTCTCTGCTTCTGTCTTCTGAAAGAGACTGTAGAGTCTTAGTATTTTTTCCTTAAATGTTTGGTAGAATTTACCAGTAAACCCATTGGGTCTGGTACTTTCTCTTTTAGAAGGTTATGAGCAATTGATTCAATTTATTTAAAAAATATAGGTTTGAAGTCTCGTGTGAATTTCTTCTTGTGTGAGTTTTGGCAGATTGTGTCCTTCAAGGAATTGGTCCATTTCACCTAGGTTATCAAATCCATGGGCAAAGAGTTTTCATAGCATTCTTTTATTGTCCTTTTACTATCCATAGGATCTATAGTGATGTTCTCTTTTTCATTTCTGCTGTTAGTAATTTGTGTCCTCTCTTTTTCTTAACCTAGTTAGAAGATCATCCATTTTATTGAACTGTTTGAAAAAAACAGCTTTTGATTTCGTTGATTATTGATTTCTTATTTTCAATTTCATTGATTTCTACTCTAATTTGTATTACTTCTTTTCTTCTGCTTACTTTGGATTGAGTTTGCTCTTCTTTTTCTAGTTTTCTAAAGTTTGGATTACTGATTTTTAGATCTTTTGTCTTTTTGAATATATATATTCCAATGTTATAAATTCCCCTTAAACACTGCTTTCATGGCATCCCTCAAATTTTGATGTTTTCATTTTTTATTTAGTACAAAAGGTTTAAATTCCTCTTGAGATTTCTTCTTTCATCCATGTGTTTAGAAGTGTGTTGCTTAATCTTCACATATTTTGGGATTTTCCAATTATCTTTCTGTTATTGATTTTTTATTTAATTCCATTGTAGTCTGAGAGCAGACATTGTAGGATTTCTATTCTTTTAAATTTGCTAAGGTGTGTTTTATGGTTCAGAATGTGATCTATCTTGGTGAATGTTTCACATAAGCTTGAGATAAAGCTTACATGCTTGGATATTCTGCTGTTGTGGAATGAAATAGTCAATAGATATCCATTATATTCAGCTGATTAATGGTGTTTTTGAGTTCAAACATGTCCCTATTGATTCTCTGCCTCCTGGGTTGAGGGGGGTTGAAGTCTTCAACTATAAGAGTGGATTTCTACTGCAGTTCTGTTAGTTTTTGCCTCACAGAGTTTTGTTTTTGTTTTGTTTCATTTTGAGACAGAGTCTCATTCTGTCACTCAGGTTGGACAGTGCAGCTGCACAATCTCAGCTCACTGCAACCTCTGCCTCTCAGGCTCAAGTAATTCTCATGACTCAGCATCCCAAGTAGCTGGGATTATAGGCATGCACCACTATGCCCAGCTAATTTTTGTATTTTTTTTTTGGTAGAGACAGGGTTTCGCCATGTTGACCAGGCTGGTCTTGAACTCCTGCCCTCAAGTGATCCACCTGCCTCAGCCTCCCAAAGTGGCATGAGCCACTGCACCTGGCCCTGCCTTACATAGTTTAATGCTGTTGTTAGGTGCATACACATTAAAGATTGTTATTTCTTTTTGGAGAATTGACCCCTTTATCACTATGTAATGTCCCTCTTTATCTCTGATAACTTTCCTTGCTGTGAAGTCTTCTCTGTCAGAAATTAATATAGCTGTTCTCACTTACATTCGATTAGTGTTACCATTGTATATCATTCTCCATCCATTCACTTTTAATCTATATGTCTGTATATTTAAAGTGGGTTTCTTGTAGGTAACATACAGTAGGGTCTTGTTTTTTGATCCACTCTAACAATCTCTTTTAATTGGTGCATTTAGACCACTGATGTTCAAAATGATTACTAATATAACTGGATTAATATCTATCATATTTGTTACTATCTTCTATTTGTTGTTCTTGTCTTTTGTTCCTATTTTTGTCTTCTACTCTTTTTCTGCCTTTTTGGTTTTAATTGAGCATTTTATTTGATTCCATTTTCTCTTCTTTTTTAAGCTTCTACTTTTTTTAGTGGTTGTCCTGGAGTGTGCAGTATACATTTACAATGAATCAAGTTCACATTTGAATAAACCATATCACTTCATGGGTAATGTGAGTACCTTATAATGACAAAATAATCCTAATTCCTCCCTCCTGTCCATGTATCATTGTTTTCATTCATTTCACTTATATATAAGCAAACATAAGCATATATTATAATGTATATATTATATATAATATATATAAATATATATACATACAGTAGTTGTCCCTTATCTGCAGTTTTGCTTTCCAGTTTCAATTATCTGTGGTTGACTATCATCTGAAATTATTAAGATATTTTGAGAGAAAGAGACAGAGATCACATTCACATAACTTTTATTACCGTATTATTTTATTTTATTTTTATTTTATTACCATATTATTGCTATAAATTGTTATTGTTAATCTCTTACTATGCCTAATTTATAAATTAAACTGTATCATAGGAATGTATGTATAGGAAAAAGTATAGTATTTATAAGGTTTGGTACTATCTGTGGTTTCAGGAATTCACTGTGGGCCCTGGAATGTATCTCCCACCGATAAGGGGGAACTACTGTATATACAAATATATAATATATATACATACATAGCACACATAATTAAATACATTGTTGCTATTATTTTGAAAGAGCTGTCATCTGTTAGATCAATTAAGAATAAAAACGTTGGCCAGGCGCGATGGCTCACGGCTGTAATCCCAGCACTTTGGGAGGCCAAGGAGGGCGGATCATGAGGTCAGGAGTTCGAGACCAGTCTGGCCAACACAGTGAATCCCTGTCTCTACTAAAAATACAAAACATTAGCCGAGAGTGGTGATGTGCGCCTGTAGTCCCAGCTACTCAGGAGGCTGAGGCAGGAGAATCACCGGGGAGGCGGAGGTTGCAGTGAGCCGAGACTGAGCCACTGCACTCCAGCCCAGGCGACAGTGCGAGACTCTGTCTCAAAAAAAAAAAAAAAAAGAATAAAAATGTTTCACTTTATCTTCACTTATTCTTTGTGTGTTCATTGCTACTGGAGAAGAACTTCTTTTTAAAATGTCTTCTAAAAAGGCAGAGAATATATAGGAAATATACTACAAGCAACTTCAAAGTTCTTTTTAGGATAAGGAAGGCAAACTATGTATATAAGTGATTTATAGGCTGGGCACAGTGGCTCACGCCTGTAATCCCAGTACTTTGGGAGGCCAAGGCAGGCGGATCACGAGGTCAGGAGTTTGAGACCAGCTTGGCCAACATGGTGAAACCCTGTCTCTACTAAAAATACAAAAATTAGCCAGGCATGGTGGCACGTGCCTGTAGTCCTAGCTACTCGGGAGGATGAGGCAGGAGAATAGTTTGAACCCAGGAGGCAGAGGTTGCAGTGAGCCAAGATCACACCATTGCACTCCAGCCTGGGCGACAGGGCAAGACTCCATCTCAAAAAAAAAAAAAAAAAGTGATTTCTAAAATCCTTTAAATCAGTGCAGTTTCTTTGCTTTGGCTGAGACTCACATTTAAGGTCATATATAAATACTAAAAACAAAAAGTAACTTCTAAATATTCATAATGCAATCTCAGACCTCCTTTTGTGGCAACTTAAGGGACTTTTATAAGCAATTTTAAAGTATAGGGTCAATCTGTCATTTCTAAAAGTGAGGGAAGTTACATAAATCTAATAGGCCCAATAGGTATCACACAAAAGGGTTTTTTTTTTTTAAGTTTAATCTGGAATAAAGGTACTGCTATTCAGTTTCTCAGAGAAACACCTTAGAGTTAAGTGATCATTATTCCATTTTGGCTACTTAGAGAAAAATCTCCTTAACTTAAAAAATGAACAGTTACCTAACATAGCTTTTTTTGGAAGAAAAAGTTTATTGAAATTGTTCCTGAATATTATGCTATGGCTCATATTTTATACAACTCACAAGTTTTGATGGGCTCAAAGCAGAAAAGGATACTTAAATGAATGTTCTTGAAGAAAATTCACTCTAAGGAAGAAGCTACTATTACTAGTAGAAAACATCTATGGCTGGAGTTAATTTTGGAATTAGGTCCTGTGCTATTTGACCCAATGGATAAATTACATTCAGTTTTCTTTTTTAGTCGGTTTTCTGAATCAATGCATCAGCTTTAAAAGTAAACTCTGAATAGGCCTAAATGACTCTAGTCTTCGGTGTCTTTAAGTACTTATTGGGTAACAGTTGCAAACATCTAGACCAAACAAACATCTCTGGCAAAATAAAACCCAACAAAAAAGTACATAAGGCATTATCCTTTGGCATACCAATTCTGGTATATGTGTTCAGTGAAATTCAACACTGACGATGGTTGAATTTGGGAAGAGATTGGAAAGTGATCATTATGTATCTAAAACTAGGTAGAGGAAAATACAGAAAGTGCCACGACATTGGTCTGGACAATAATTTTTTTTTTTTTTTAGATGGAGTCTCACTCTGTCACCAGGCTGGAGTGCAGTGGCATGATCTTGGCTCACTGCAACCTCCACCTCCTGGGTTCAAGCAATTCTGCTGCCTCAGCCTCCCAAGTAGCTGGGACTACAGGTACACACCACCACACCCAGCTAATTTTTGTATTTTTAGTAGGGACGGGGTTTCACCATGTTGGCCAGGATGGTCTTGATCTCTTGACCTCATGATCCGCCCACCTCAGCCTCCCAAAATGCTGGTATTACAGGTGTGAACCACTGCGCCTGGCTGGACAATGATTCTTTGGGACATGAATCCAAAAGCACAGGGAACAAAAGCAAAAACAGACAAATGGAATTAACTCAAAGTAAAAAGCTTCTGCACAGTCAAGGAAACAATCAATATAGTGAAGAGACAATCTACAGAATGGGAAAAAATATTTGCAAACCATACATTTGATAAGCGGTTAATATAAAAAATATGTAACGAACTCAGGGGGCTGGGCATGGTGGCTCACGCCTGTAATCCCAATGCTTTGGGAGGCTGAGGTGGGAAGATCACTTGAGGTCAGGAGCTTGAGATGAGCCTGGGCAGCATAGAGAGATCCCATTGCTACAAAAATTAAAAAGTAAGCTGGGTATGGTGGTGTGCACACTCCAGCCTGAGCAACGGAAGAAGACCTTGTCTCAAAGCAAAAAAAAGGAACTCAAACAACCTAACAGTGAGAAAACAAATAATCCAATATTAAAAAATGGGCAAAGGGCCCAGGTGCGGTGGCTCATGCCTGTAATCCCAGCATTTGGGAAGGCGAGGTGGGTGTATCATGAGGTCAGGAGTTTGAGACCAGCTTGGCCAACATGGTGAAACCCCATCTCTACTAAAAATACAAAAATTAGCCAGGCGTGGTGGCGGGCACCTGTAATCCCAACTACTTGGGAGGCTGAGGCATGAGAATTGCTTGAACCTGGGAGGTGGAGGCTGCAGTGAGCCAAGATCGTGCCATTGTACTCTAGCCTGGGTGACAGAGCAAGACTCTGACTCAAAAGAAACGGGCAAAGGATCAGAATAGACATTAATCAAAAGAAGACATACAAATGGCTAACAGATATATGCTGTATATGTAAAAATTCTCAAAATCACTAATCATCAAAGTAATACAAATTATTTATTTTATTTTATTTTATTTTATTTATTTATTTGTTTGTTTGTTTGTTTGTTTTGAGACAGAGTCTACTCTGTTGCCCAGGCTGGAGTGCAATGGCACTATCTTGGCTCACTGCAAACTCTGCTGCCTGGGTTCAGGCAATTCTCGTGCCTCAGCCTCCTGAGTAGCTGGGATTACAAGTGTGTGCCACCACACTCAGCTAATTTTTTTTTTTTGAGACAGAGTCTCGCTCTGTTGCCCAGGCTGGAGTGCAGTTGCATGATCTCGGCTCACTGCAAACTTCACCTCCCAGGCTCAAGCGATTCTCCTGCCTCAGCCTCCCGAATAGCTGGGATTACAGGTGTGTGCCACCATGCCCAGCTAATTTTTGTATTTTTAGTAGAGACGGAGTTTCACCATGTTCACCAGGCTGGTCTCAAACTCCTGACCTCAGGTGATCTGCCCTCCTTGGCCTCCCAAAGTGCTGGGATTACAGGCATGAGCCGCCGTGCCCAGCCAATTTTTGTATTTTTAATAGAGATGGTGTTTTACTATGTTGGCCAGCCTGATCTTGAACTCCTGACCTCAAATGATCTACCTGCCTCAGCCTCCCAAAGTGCTGGAATTACAGACGTGAGCCACTGCACCCAGCCCAAAGCAATACAAATTAAAACCACAATAATGGCCAGGTGTGATGGCTCATGCCTGTAATCCCAGCACTCTGGGAGGCTGAGGCGAGTGGATCCTGAGGTCAAGAGTTCAAGACCAACCTGGCCAAGATGGCGAAACCCTATCTCTCCTAAAAATACAAAAAAATTAGCCAGGCATGGTGGCAGGCACCTGTAATCTCAGCTACTTGGGAGGCTGAGGCAGAGAATTGCTTGAATCCAGGAGGCGGAGGTTGCAGTGAGCCAAGATCATGCCACTGCACTCCAGCCTGGGTGACAGAGTGAGGTTCCATCTCAAAAAAACAAAACAAAACAAAAAAAACACCACAATAAGATATTACCTCATACCTTTTAGAAGGGCCATTATAAAAAAGATGAAAGGCAACAAGTGTTGGAGAGGGAGGGCATGGAGAAAAGGGAATCCTTGCATGCTGTTGGTGGGAATGTAAATTAGTACAACCATTATGGAGAACAGTATGGAGGTTCCTAAAAAAATTAAAAATAGAACTAGCTCAGTATGTCAAAGAGATGTTTGCACTCTCATGTTCCCTGCAGCATTATTCACAATAGTCAAGACAGAGAATCAACCTAATTGTCCAAAAATGGATAAAGAAAATGTGGATATGTACAATGTGGTATATTTATACAATATAAAATACAATTCCACTTTATATACAATGGAATACTATTCAGCCTTAAAAAAAGAAGGAAATCCTATCAGTAGCCCCCAGCCTTTTTGGCACCAGGACTGGTTTTGGGATGAAACTGTTCCACCTCAGATCATCAGGCATTAGATTCTCATAAGGAGCATGCAACTGAGACCCCTCGTATGTGCAGTTCACAATAGGGTTCGAGCTCCTGTAAGAATCCAATACTGCCGCTGACCTGACAGGAGACGGAGCTCAGGCGGTGACGCTCGCTTGCCTGGTGTTCACCTCCTTCTATGTGGCCCGGTTCCTAAGAGGCGGCGGACTGCTACTGGTCCATGGCTCAGGGGTTGGGGACCCTGATTTACAACATGGATGAACCTGGAGGACATCATGTTAAGTAAAATAAGCCAGTCACAGAAAGGCAAATACCGCATGATTTCACTTATATGTGGAATCTAAAAAAGTTGAACTCACAGAAGCGGTGAGCAGAATGGTTACCAGGAGCTGAGGAAAGGGGAGGTGTCCATCAAATAATGCAAAATTTCAGTTAGATAGAAATAATAAATTCAAGAGCTCTATTGTACAACATGGTGACTATAGCTAATAACAATGTATTATATTCTTGAAAATTGCTGGCTGGGCACAGTGGCTCACACTTGTAATCCCAGCACTTTGGGAAGCCAAGGCGGGAGTATCACTTGTGTCCAGGAATTCAAGACCAGTCTGGATAACACATTGAGACCCCATCTCTACAAAAAATTTAAAAATTAGCGAGGTGTGGTAGCATAGTGCCAGCTACTCGGGAGGCTGAGGTGGGAAAATCACTTGAGGTTGCGGCTGCAGTGAGGTGTGATAGCATCACTGCACTCCAGCCTGGGTGACAGAGACCCTATCTCAAGAAAAAATAAAAAAGAAAATTGCTAAGAGAGTAGATTTTAAGTGTTCTCACCATACACAGAAAAGGTGAGGTAATGTATGTTAATTAGCTCTATGTAGCCATTCCACAATGTATACATATTTCAAAATAACCTGTTGCACTGGGTAAATATATACTATTATTTGTCAATTAAAATTAATAATAATAAATAATGTATCTAAATAATTTGCATAGTTTTTCTTAAAACAGAAAACAGAAAATTTGAACTCCTAGCACCTATTTATTCCTTAATATTAGAAAAGTAACATGTTAGAGCGAAGCAAGACAGAAATCCATTCTATGCAGGAACCAACGGATCTATCTAGATCTGACCTGAGATACAAGAGAGAGTCATAACGAAAAACCTGGATGTTCCAAAAGGAAGATGCCAAGACCCGTCAAGGTTAGTACTGGACTGTAGCCCTGAGTTCAAAGTCAGAGTTCAAGGAATTTGCCTAACAAAGAGCAGGATTAAGGAAGAAACATTTGATCCACTAGGTGGTAGAGCCTGTCCCAGGGTTGTGTTCCCAGCACAGAGCTGTCTGATCCTGTTTTCCTGGGTTTTGCAGGCACTGTGCCTGTTGCCTGACACCACCCACCTTTTCCGGCTCTTTCCCTGTGCCCCTTTCTTCCATTCACCACAGCGACATCTAGGATCTATGAGTTGGTATGGCAAAATGAGCCAAGCTGTGGTTGCTAAGCAGGTTTTCAGCAGGCTTCACAGCCTGGTCTTGGAGCTTATGATGCTTCCAATTTATTAAGTATAGCAAATGATCTTGGTACTATAAAGAATCTGCTATTTCTATATCAACATTATACAAACAGTGCACCACTGAATTATAGTGTTCCACGACATGCTAAACAGGTGGCTCAAGATGAAAAAGTTCATGCTTGCCATGTTTTATTTATTGGCACAAGTTATTAATTTTTTCTTTTATTTTTTTGAAACAGGGTCTTGATCTGTCACCCAGGCTGGAGTGCAGGGGTGCAATTATAGCTCACTACAGCCGCAAGCTCCTGGGCTCAAGTGATCCTCCTGTCTCAGCCCTCCAAGTAGCTAGGACTACAGGCATGCATCATTATGCCCAGTCAATTTTTTGTTTTTTTATTTTGTAGAGACAGAGTCTCCCTGTGTCGCCCAGGCTGATCTTGAACTCCTGTGCTCATGCGATCCTCCCACTTAGGCCTCCCAAAGTGCTGGGATTACAGGTGTGAGCCTCTGGGCCTGGCCTAGTTTTTTTCTTTTCCTTTCTTTTTCTTTTTCTTTTTTTTTGAGTTAAAGTCTCACTCTGCCGCCTAGGCTGGACTGCAGTGACTCAGACATGGCTCAGTACAGCCTGAACCTCCTGGGCTCAAGCGATTCTCCTGCCACAGCCCCCGCTCCCACCCAAGTAGCTGGGACTACAGGCACATGCCACCCATGCACAGCTAAATTTTTTATTTTTTGTAGAGACGGGGTTTTGCCATGTTGCCCAGGTTGGTCTCAAACTTAAGTGATCCGCCTGCCTTGGCCTCCCAGAGTGCTGGGATTATAGGCACGAGCAACTGCGCTCAGGCAATTTTTTCTTCTAATTTAACATTTCCCATAGAATTCAACATTTATTTATTTATTTAAAAAAATTTTTTTAGAGACAGGGTCTTACTCTGTTGCCCAGGCTGGAGTGCTGTAGTGCAATCAGAGCTCACTGCAGCCTTGACCTCCTGAGTTTAGTAATCCTCCTGCCTTAACCTCCCAAGTAGCTGGGACCATATGTGCATGCCATCACACCCAACTAATTAATTTTTATTTTTGGTAAAGATGGGGTCTCCTTATGTTGCCTAGGCTGGTCTTGAACTCCTGGGCTCAAGTGATCCTCCTTCTGTGGCCTCCCAACGTGCTGGAATTACAGGAATGAGCCATCATGCTTAGGCAGAATCCAACTTTTAATGCACATTAAACATGAATCAAAAGTTACAATGTCTTAATGCCATTAAAGAGTCTATTATTAAATCATTCATCATTTCATGTTGTTCTAAATGTATTTTAAGCTACTATGTAGTAGTGTAGGATTCCATTTACATTATACAGAAAAATTCCAGCTAATAACTGCAGAAGTAATGATAAAAATAGAAAATCATTGTTCTACAACTTTTCTTCTTCTTCTTTTTTTTTTTCTGAGACAGAGTCTCCCTCTGTCACCCAGACTGGAGTGCAGTGGCACTATCTCGGCTCACTGCAACTTCTGCCTTCTGGGTTCAAGTGACTCTCCTGCCTCAGCCTCCCTTGTCGCTGGGATTACAGGTGCCTACCACCACACCTGGCTAATTTTTGTATTTTTAGTAGTGACGGGATTTCGTCATGTTGGCTAGGCTGGTCTTGAATTCCTGACTTAAGGTGATTCGCCCCCTCTTGGCCTCCCAAAGTGCTGGGATTATACGCGTGAGCCACCACACCTGGCTGTTTTACAGCTTCTAATGAAGTAGCTGACTCAGGCAATGGTCATCAAGAAGGGGTGAAATCACCAGGTGAAAGGCTGATGGGGACCTTTATCACAAAGGGATCAGACTTTCACCGTCGGAACTCATGGGATCAATTTTAGCATTACTAAAAGCAGGACGTCTGGATATTGTTTGCCTTTGTGTACACTGTACCACTGTTCCCTCCTCCCAAAAACTGAGCCTCAATCTAATCAAGCCTTCATATCTAACTTCCAGCCTATAGGAAATAGAAAAGACCAACTAACAAGTTAAATAACCAAAAGAAGCAATCAACCAAATCCAGAATGTGGTTTATTTTGAAGAAACCAATCATGACTGACTAGTTTATTCAAAAAGCCAATGGAATATTAAAGGATGGGAGAGAGGGGGAGAAGAAACTGTTTTAGAATAAAAGAAACTTAAGAAATCTAACAACCAAATACAGTGAGTAATCTTTGTTGGATCTTGATTTGAGTAAAACAACTGTAAAAAACATTTAGTCAATCAGTGAAATCTAAGTATGATCTGAGTGGTATTAGACGATATTAAAGAAGTACTGTTAAATGGCCGGGTGCGGTGGCTCACATGTGTAATCCCAGCACTTTGGGAGGCTGAGGAGGGCAGATCACTTGAGGACAGGAGTTCGAGACCAGCCTGGCCAACATGGTGAAACCCCATCTGTACAAAAAAATACAAAAAAGTATCTAGATATGGTGGCGTGTGTCTGTAGTCCCAGCTACCTGGGAGGCTGAGGCAGGAGAATCACTTGAACTCAGGAGGTGGAGGTTGCAGTGAGCCAAGACTGCACCAGTGCACTCCAGCCTGGGCGAGAGAGCAAAACTCTGCCTCAAAAATAAAAATAAAAATAAAATAAAGATGTGCTGTTAATTACATTAGGCATAGTAATGACATTGTGTTATGTAAAAATACTCTTTTTTTGAGATGTATAACTAAAGGACTTCACGGATAATAGTGAAATGATTTACTTTGTAATACCTAAGCAAAACAAAAAGGTTGTGGGGGAAGATAGAGACATATACCAACAAACAGATGAATGGATGAAACAAGTCTGGCAATGTATTAATGACTATTGGAACAGGTAGTACGTATCACTGTACTCTCTATTTTTGTGCACATTTGGAAAAGTAAAAACAGTAAAAAAAAAGAAAAAAGAGCTTGTGGGTGGAGATCTAGGATCCAAAACCCACAGGATTTCAGGAATATGTTGGACAGCAAAGATTAAAATCAACTATGGTGGTTACTCTTACCTTAAGAAAAAATCAGAAAAGAGAAGCTCTTATACAAGGGAGCCACAGGGGAAAGTTTCCTAGAGAAAGTATGTGCTGAAGTCCACAGAATGAGAGAGGAAAGGAAGGCTGCACTCTAATTTGTGTTCTCTCAGAGGTCTGTGCCCCACCCATGAAAAGTATGGGGACTATTTCAACTTAGGAAGGAGGAGCAGCGGCAGGTTTGCAAAGGATGTTAAGAGAGCCTAATTTGGAAGAGAGCTGCCTACAAGGAGGAGGATTGCTGTATAAATAGAACTGGAATATCTCAGTTTTATCCTAGAAAGTAGAAAGATTAACTTAACTTAAAATGAAAGATGAAGTTACATTATGAACTTACTCAAAGTTTAAAACTGGACATCCAACCCTTAAAGGTAAATAAGCTTTTTTTAAAAAAATGAGAACTAGCCTGGAAGCATACCAGTTGCTTCTAAAATTGTAGAGATATAAGCATGTATAATTATTCTTTCTCAGTGGAAAAAAATGCAGAACTCTCTTCCTAAAAGAAGACGCTGAACAGCACTGTCATCATGGTGTGATGGTTAAGACACACACATATATAACACACATACACTCACATTCATACACTCGCACAAACACTCTCACACACATACATACACATTATTTTAGGCAATGCTATTAATAAAAGTTCATTTGTGTATTTTGGCATCCATGTTTAAATTAAATTCTTATGTGTGAGGCTGGGCACATTGGCTCACGCCTGTAATCCCAGCACTTTGGGAGGCTGAGGCGGGTGGATCACTTGAGCCCAGGAGTTCGAGACCAGCCTGGGCAACATGGCGAAACCCTGTCTCCATCAAAACTATAAAAATCAGCTGGGTGTTGTGGCTCATGCCTGCAGTCCCACCTACTTGGGAGGCTGAGGCAGGAGGACTGCTTGAGCCCAGGATGTTGAGCCTGCAGTGAGCCATGATCACACCACTCCACTCCAGCCTAGGCAACATAGCAAGACCCTGTCTCAAAAAAAAATCTTATGTGTGTATATCAGAGATTAAGATGACTATTTCCTCTTTTTTAGTTTCACTGTACATATTAAATTAATATACAGTTAATGACCTAAAATAATTCAAAGCTAGCTGTTAGAGATACCAAGATGAATATAAGAGGACAGAGGAAAAGATACTTCTGCCCCCATTCTCTCAGAATTCACTACAAAACACTAAAGAAAAACAAGAAATGGAAACACTAACTCTATCTGTGGAGAACCTAAGAGCTAAAGGTACCTGACTGAGCAGTCTTCACACAGGCCATGCACCCCACAGAACCCTGAGGAGACTCAGGAGCTGGAGGTGCCAGAGTGGCAGAGGCAAGCCTATTCTGTGGGGTAGTTATACCTTCAGGTCCCTGTCTCTTCTTCCACAACTGTAGGAGATGAGAGAGTTAGTCTTTAGAGAAATTAAACCAAAGAGGCCCTGGACTGGGAATGCCAAAAATGGCAAAGGGTAGAGATGAGTATGGGAAAAAAACAAGGAACGTAAATAAAAGTATGCTTACTGTTTACTGTGACCTCACCCCTCAGGTTCCCAGAACATTTGCAGCCTGGCATACTGCCCCATACCCCAGCCTCAACACCAGCAGGAAACCAGGAGATCTTTCTCTAGAAAAAATGTGCAACCCTAAAGGGAAAGATCTATAGACATGAAATAGAGGGCTCGTCAGTGAAAAAGGCAGTTCATCCTCCAACCACCTTTTCGTGAGGCAAACTACATTCCATGCCCTGTCCATGGATTAAGTACTCCCAGTCCGTTTTGGAGTACCTAAATTCTACAAAGGAATAGACAGCCAAGGGTCACCAGACACCTGAGAAAATGGAAATCATGCAAGGAGTAGAAGGAAAAAACTCAACAGCAACCACAAAACAGTACAATTAAGAATCCCATAAAGATAAGAAAAATATGTTACATATAAAACAAGAACAGTATGTTCCTTAAAAAAGGACAATCAGAGAAGGGCTCTTGGAAATTAAAAAAGGAAGTAAAAATTTAAAAAATTAATACAAGGGTGAAAAGATTAGGAAATCTCTCAAGAAGTACACCATACACCCAAAATACAGAAAGACAGATAATGGGATAACTCATTTAATTAATTAGTGCTTACATTATTATGCATCAAATGAGTATATATTATTAATTCATTAGAGTGATTATTAAGGTAAATACTGATTTCACTAGAAGGAGTGATAAAATCACACTGGGAAGATTAAGAGATAAGAGAACTAAATGCTTGTCTACCATAAGAGGAAGTCAACTGATAGTTTCTAAAATCAAAGAATCAAGAGAGTAGTATAGGGTTATTATTCAGAATTATGGAAGCAGTGCAACGCTGAAAAGTTGAAAGTGGTAGTCTCTGGGCATAGGATCAAAGGCTTGGAAAGAACTGAGATGGGATTGTTTTAGTACTATGTGACTTAAAAAGTATATGCATATAGCCTATTTCGATAAAGGATAATGTAAAAAAGATCAATATGATGATATTCCTGTTCTTAAGGAGGTGATACTCTGTCGAAAAAACATGCAAAACAACAATTATAGGAGCATGCAATAAATGATCTCTCAGAAGCATAGAGGATCCTTTATCTCAGTCAAATAAGGAAGGTTTCCAAGGAAAGGGGATACTTGAACTGGGGTTTTAAAAGTTAAAAATGAGTTAACTGGTCAGAGAAGGGCTGACAGGTGTTTCTTCCTACACACGTAAGTTTTCTTTCTAACACACAAATGATAGCATTCTATAAACATAATTTTGAACCTGACTTTTTTTACTTAACACATCTTGGAGAATGTTTCTTCTTATAAAACCTACTTCTTATTAAAAACAAAAAAAAAATGCTGCTGCTTATAAAAAATTCAACAGTACAAAAACTTTCAAAATAAAAAGTTAAACATTCTGCCTTGGCCCCCCACTCCTACTTCCCAAGGATAAGCACTTTTAAATACATGTATAGGTAAATACTACTGAATACAATTGAATGTAAAAATACAATGTTCTGTATGTTTACTATATTTCACACACATACTTGTTTATGCACATAAACTACATTTATATTCCTTAAAGTCTCTTAAAGCCAAGGATTCTGTGATAAGAAATATTAAGAAGTCTCCCTTGGTATCAACTTACCAACACAGTCACAGCACTCGTCCCAAAGGGCCCCAAGACACAGCATGCACTCCTTACAGCAGGAGCAATTGCCTTCTCCCGGCCGGCACTGGCAGAGCTCCTAGAAACAAGACAGATGTTAAACTTCAAATTCCAAATAATCATATATAAAACTGCTACTTTTTAAGCAAAAAACCCTGCCATATTTGCATTTACAGTAATGTATTCTTCACATAATTTTTTATTCAACATTATTAACTATTCATCAGAACATAAATATCTACAATGTCACGTAGATTTTTTTTGGATATATTCAGTGAACATACTTTGAATGCTTTTACCTTATTTTGAAATAAGGAAAATATTTTATTTTATAATCCATAACTTGACTACCCACACCACCTCAACGAATAATTCAGTACAAGAACAAAACCTGCTTCTCAGCTATTATATTCGTTGTCCAAATTTAAACAAATAGCCAACTTGTAGGGTTCCTCAATATGTAAAATGTGAGTAAAAGAACTTTGGAAATTCTATTTTTATTGTTCCATGATACAGAAAAAAGTGTGCTTGGTATGGTAGATTATTTACAAAGAAGGTGGCAATTATTCCCCTCTCTAGGTCTCCCCTCTTTGCAATGTAGCTTTGCAGCTCCTCTGATCAAAGGACAGGGTCAATTTCTAGACCTCTTGAATTTAGGTGATCCTGAGATTCACTTTGGTCAAGAGAGTTTGGTGGATATGAGATTATGTCACTTCTGAGTTTAGACCTCAAGAAGCCTTGAGTGCATCTACTCTTTCTCTTAGAACTTTGCCCAGCTGCCATGTGAAGCCAGGATATGGCCATGTGGACAAGTCAGTCCACCTGGGGCCATCCTAGATCAGCCAGCTTCCAACCAACCAGCAGCTGCCAACAGACACAGGAATAAGGCCAGAAAACCACCCAGCTGATCCAGGCTCAAACTGTCAACCCACAGAAACAAGAGTTAAATAAATGGCTATTGTTTTAACCCACTAAACTTTAGGGTGGTTTGTTATTCCACAAGAGCTAAGATAGCTTGCTCTGTACATGAAGTTCTAAAGCAATTCCTTTAGCACTTGCCCCTGCCCTCCCCTTGCCACCAGACTGCCAGTCCTGAACAAACCCAACTGAAATGGAAATTCCATAGCCACCACTGATTACTTGCTTTCCCTGGTTTAAGATACCATATATATTTATACGAAAAACATTAATATTTTATTATTTTGGTGGAAATAACTTATGACAAAACTGATTTTACTCTCAGGCTTAGAAGGAACTTCACAGGTCAACAAAACCATCCTTCCATGTAACACCTGAATCGCTTCTATAGTGTTCCATCAACATATGGCCATTGCAGCCCACAGCTGACAAGGAACTTAACAATCCAAAGTAGCCGGTCCTAATCTTATAAAGTTTTAAGTGTTTTCTTTTGTGGAACTGAAGCCTGATTCCCAGAAGCCTGCTCCTTAAGACCCCCCTCCTCCAAATATAATTTCTCTTCAACAAAGCCGTTCTAATTTTTCATGGCACCTGCACTGGACAGTTTGGAATGTCTGCCCTGATTGGCTGCTACCTGCCTTTGATTCCCACCCTGTCTGTCTGCAGCTCTGTTTTGAACTATATGACCTTTCTTCTCTCTGGCTACAAATAATTGGAACACAGGTGAAAAACAGACTGTAGCTGGTCAATCAGATTGTCTTCCAAGATTCTGGAAGTAAGACACAGATAATTGTCAATCTCTGTTAGGAATTTGAACTAGGGGATCATACAGAGCTGGTACTGGGGAGGCCGTTTCAAAATAAGAGGTAAAAAATTATCCTGTGGCCCCCCCATTCCTACTTTCCAAAGATAAGCACCATGACATTCATGGTCACAAGGAGAAGAGAAGGGAGGGAAGACGCCATTCTGATTCCTAATAATGCTCTAGTTCTTGGCTCTAGTCCTTTGCAACCAGCTGCACTTCCTGTTCTTAGAGATACTATTATCAGTTGGAGATATTCTTCATTGATATATTCATATCAATTGGAGTAGGCTTTATTTATTTCCAACCAAAAACGCCCTGTTTAAAACAAAATGATTTCTATTTTTATTCCCCCATGTCCTCATTTTAGATCAAATACTCCCATGGTTTCTTCACTTGTTCCCCATGACATGATGTTAACCCTGCCATTAGCTTTGTCATTAGGTGAAAGTGTGGTAATCTTAAATCATCATCATCCCCATCCCCCCCCTTCCCTGCTCCTCCTCCTTATGGCATAATGTAACTAGCCAAGAAGGAGAGAATCCCACTTACCTCCTTGATTGTGAACACTAGTTTTTAAAATTAAAGAAGCCTAAAATTTGTTTGTTTGGGGTAGCAATATGCTGTCAGCAACTGTGCTACTTTCAAATCATTCCAACAAATCATTTCAGTAAGATTTTAAAAATCTGAGACCTAATGGAATGCTATTGATATGTATGTTTTTAAAAATTAACTAGTGCAATGTAACTATTATTTCTCATTTCTGTACCTCAATACCGTGCTTTCAAAATGTAAACACAGACCACAATATTTATCCCTACTAAATTCATCTTATTATATTTCTACACTATTAGAGTCAGCCCATTATTCTAATACGACATTTTTTGCAGCACCGATTTTAATTCCTTGGGTTTTGTTATTGTTTTTTGTCTCCAAAAGTCCCCTTGCTAATTATACAGCACTTTCAAGAATCAACACTTGTGCTATTTTCTAACTAATTCATTAGTTTGATATAAGTGTATATGTGTGACCTAATATATGCACATTGTAATATTTTGGTACTGCAGAATTTTGTACACTCAGGCTGCATTCATGTGACATAGACATTAGGTAACTTTGCTGGGCCTATCAGAAACAGAGGGACTGAAAGGGCAGAGACTTAATGAGAAGTATAGCTGTTTCATCACAAAACTGGTGATGCGTGATTCAGACAGGCTCAAACTTAGTTGGAAATGTAGAAAAACAGAGTTGCCAAAGCTATACTTTGTCTTTGGAGTAAAAGAACATTTTCTGAGTACGCACTTTTTAGAAACACCATCAGATAAGAATACTAACAGTCTTTTTTTTTTTTTTTTTTTTAGATTTATAAAGGTTAGCACTTAGTCACAAGAAATAAAGCTTTTTAAAAAATTTTAATTTACTTTATATGTAGAAAATATCCTTTCACTATCTTAGTTGCTTATACAGGTTGAGTATTCCTTATCTGAAATGCTGGGTACCAAAAGTGTTTTGGATTTTTGAGTTTATTTGGATTTTGTAATATTTGCATTATACCAGTTGAGCATCCTGTATCCAAAAATCTAAACTCTTTCAATGAGCATTTCCTTTGATGTCATGTCAATGCTCAGAAAGTTTCCGATTTTGGAGCATTCTGGATTTCAGATTTTTGGATTTGAAATGTTCAACCTGTATTTATATTATTAACTAAACTAAGGAGAAACAAATTAGAAAAGTAACAAATCTATTCAAAGAATATAGTCTCTCCTTTTTCTGCAGCTTCCAAATGGTAGCTTGCTAAATGAATTACTGTATATTATGCCAAATAATTTTTTTAAATGAATGTCAATTTAATAGTTCCCATTAGAGAAATCTGAGTCTGTGAAGCATTCATTATGCCTTTTACTGTCAGGTATTTGTGAAGTGTTTTAAACTAGAATGAAAAGGTGGGTGAGAATGAGATTACTGCGAACAAACAGAAAGTTAAAACTAACGGCCTATTTAAAAGTCGCTTGAACTTGCCCAGGTTATCTAGCTCTGAAGATTAAATGTATTTCACACCCTCTTAATAGATGCCTGTCCTGCACTTTTACATACTGGTGTAAGAGAGTAATATGCTGTAGTCATATGCTTACTGCTTTATAATTTAGTGATAGAATACAACGTTAAAAGCTATGGTAAGGAGAAACAAGAGGGAAACGACAGAGATAAGCTTTCATTACTGTACAATTAAAGAGACAAAAATCCAGTTTAAGACTTTAATGGTAAAAACTACTATTAAAACTTGTTGGACACCAAACAACAATATCCTGGCTAATATTTTTCTTTCTTTCTACATTACTACAGAAAAGACTAAAAAACCATTGTCTTAATAAAGCAGAAATTTAATCACCATAAATTAAGAAATGTTCATAATTTGGGTAAATGAGCCTCCACATACATCAAATACTCTCTATTCTTCATAACTCACGTCAGCATTCTTTTTAGGAGATGGGCAAATAAGAAAAACAAGCTCTTCAAACCGACCTTTTGAAAACAGAGTTTGTGCCTGAAAACAGCATCTGTGCCTTTTCCATTTTCAAAAACACACCTCTTACTTTTCAGGAGAAATATAATAGGCAAATTTAATAGATGGCATTTAAAATCTTACTGCAAATCAGGAGAGCAAAAATATGTCTACTCTATGACTACTGTTTTTAAGTCAAGAAACAAACTGAAACAATGAATTTCCACATGCAAATAATTATAAATAGCAGTTTTATGAAGCTCATCAAGTAATTCATTCTTTTCTATTCATTCTACATGCCCTTAAAAATCACATTATTGAATAATGTTTGGTTGTGAACATATTTAGAAATGTATAATATTTTTAACAGCAAGCAAGCTGCGGTTAGGATGAATGTTTCTAAATATAATAACATTTGTAAAGTGCTTTGAACTCAAGTATTGAAAATAGAAAAGAAAAAACAACTCAGAACAACTCTCTGTGATGAAACAAGGATTACAGAAAAACATAAAAACTGCCCCATTTAAATCAAGCAGAATCTGTTCTTCAGAACACTTAAAAAGAAAACTTTAGGCCGGGTGTGGTGGCTCACGCCTGTAATCCCAGCACTTTGGGAGGCCAAGGCAGGCGGATCACAAGGTCAGGAGATCGAGACCATCCCGGCTAACATGGTGAAACCCCGTCTCTACCAAAAAATACAAAAAATTAGCTGGGCATGGTGGCGGGTGCCTGTAGTCCCAGCTACTCAGGAGGCTGAGGCAGGAGAATGGCGTTAACCTGGGAGGCGGAGTATGCAGTGAGCCGAGATGGGGCCACTGCACTCCAGCCTGGACAACAGAGCGAGACTCTGTCTCAAAAAAAAAAAGAAAACTTTACCCCTAGCTGTTTCACTTATAAGAACACATGTCTTCTATAACCAGAAAGGCTAAAGTCAAGATAAAAAGAAAGGTTTTACCAAAATTTTAAAAGTATTTCTTTAATTATATAAGACTTTGGAAAATATCTACTAGAGTAGAAAGAAAGAACCCTAAATTCCTCCCCCTTTGGTAAATTCCTATGCATGTCTAACAAAATAATGATTATATACTACCTTGATCTAAAAAAATAGCATTTCTCTATCATAAAAAATCTGTCAACATAATTTAATCAGCGCATAATAGTACATCAATGTGCCAAAATTCAGAAACAGTGATTAAATTCTTAATCCTTTCCACACCTTGTCCACTTTCTCATTTTTTATCACCTTCATAAACTTCATCAGTTTCTATTTTACTATTATTTCAAAGTCTCCACTCCTTAAACAGAAAATACGGTAGAGTTGAAATTTAGAATCTTCTCTTTGGACTGGGTTATTTATATATTTTACTAACCTCACTATGACTAAATTTGGGTTCTGCTCAGTTGAATGGAACATGTGATCAAAACTAAACACCAAGTTCCCTGAAGTCCAAAATAAAGACTGACTCAATGCTTCCAATTATTTACTGCTACCACCTCCCCCAAAGTCCTTAAATGGGTTCTATTTAACCCTTATAGGCACTGTGCTAAGTATTTTATATGCATTGTCTTGAATCTCATAAAGATTCATGTCGTTATTATCCTTATTTTTTAAGTGAAGTCATGAAATTTATACAACTTCATTCAATTAGTGGCTAGAATTTGACCCCAGTTATGGTTAGGTATTCCTGTTTTGTAAACATTAAAATGAGAAATATAAAAGTTATTTTTCATTAAATTAACATTTTAATAATTACAGTTATTACTCTCTTAGAAAGAATAAGCCTATAATTAAACTTAGATAATTCTTTAGATTGTTTAATCAAAGGCATTATTATATCTTTCACTCTCAGTACCTGAATACAACTAGAAATGCTATTGCCCAAGTTTAATCATTGTTTGTAAAGGTAAAATTGGACTCATTGGCTAAGAGTTGCAAAACCAGTGACTTGGAATGCAATACTTAATTTTTTTTGTTGTCGCTTCAGCTGGTTAATGACTATATCTTCTGCTTCCCTAGTCTGCAAGTCACAGAGAAAGTGTGGTTGTTCCTCATGTGGAGAAGAGAAGGCTGAGAATGAGTGGTTTCATGATTTCTGTGAGTTCACACAACTGCGGCTTTGAAACAAGGTCTTCTGACTCAAGGCTTTTTCTACCACCACTGCTCTTGCATGTTAGAGGCAAGGTAATATGGAATAAGACATCTTCTATGTGTAAATAACTATGCTAGATGTTCTTAAAGTTTGGTAGACACGTTGTTCAATAATTTTATGATGGAAAAAAATTAAAACTTTACACTAAATGGTAAACTGAAATTTATACATTTGAGCTACTCTCTATTGACCAGTATGAGTATTTAGAGAGAATTTGGCAAACTGTTTTCAAAGCTTATATGAAATGAAAGTCTGGCAGGATGAAAAGTTTGAGGGAAAAATCTAATCATTCAAAATGTATTTTACTACATTTATATTAAGGAAAACCTTCAATATGACAGAGAATTTCAAATTTTTAGATGCCAGAAGACAGATTCGATCATCTTTAGAGAAGAATCTTATTCCATATACAGTCACGCTTTATCGCTTAAGGATAGGGATACATTCTGAAAAATGCATCCTTAGGCAATTCTGTTGTTATATGAATATCAGTATATACTTATACAAACCTACATGGTAGAGCCTGCTATAACCCTAGGCTATATGGTATGGCCTATTGTTCCTAGGCTACAAACCTGTACAGCATGTTACTGTTCTGAATACTGTAAGCAATTATAACACAATGGTAAATATTTGCATGTCTACACATATCTAAACATAGAAAAGGTACAATAAAAATACAGTATTATAATCTTATGTGACCACCATCATATATGTTGTCTGCCATTGACCAAAATGTTGTTACACAGTGCCATGACTATACAACTGATGCTCTGGTCAGATATTAATTATTTATGCAAAATAAATTGAGGGGGAGTATATTTATCCAAGATTAAGATTAGACTTTAAGAGTTAACATTTATTGTATGAACTCCCAAATTTCTAGGCCAGAAATGGAAACTAACAACTTGAGGAAGAATCTTATTAATATTGACTCTCAGTTACTGATAAATATTTCCATTCTTGTTGCAAAGATCTGAGAGATTTGTTAACCCTGTTGCTATAATAAAACAAGGAAACGTCATTGAAAACAACATTATATTCTAGTAAAGATAGCAAATGACTTGGACTTACAAGATCTGGTTTTAAGCCCATAAGCTGTTTGCAACCCTGAGTCTCGGTTTCCCAGTCATAAAAAAGGAATGGTGTTCCTGGATTTTCCCTTACAAACTTGGGCATCCCAATGAGATAACGAATATCAAAATGCTCCGGTGACCCAGCAATCCCATTCCTAGGTATTTACTCAAGAAAAATTAAAACATAGGTCCATAAAAAGACCCATATGGGAAAGTATCAACATCATTCATAATTACTGAAAACTGGAAACCACGCAAGGTCCAACAATCAGTGAATGGATAAACAAATTGTAGTACATCCACACAAAGGAATCCTACTCATCAATAAAAAGGAAAGAACTACCCAACACACACAATAATATGGATGAATCTCAAAGCATTATACTGAATGAAAGAAGCTAGACAGAACAAAAGGCTATATACTGTATGATTCCTTTTATATAACATTCTGGAAAAGGCAAAACTATAGAGAAAAAAAATCAAATCAGTGGTTGCCAGGGGCTGAGGCTAGGGAAAAAGCTAGGTCCAGCTACAAAGGGGGCACAAGGGAATGCTTTAGGGTGATGAAAAATATTCTCTATCTTGATTGTAGTAGTAGTTACATGAGTACATGTTTGTCAAAAATCATAAAACTGTACATCTAAAAACAGTGAACAGGCTGGGAGCAGTGGCTCATGCCTGTAATCCCAGGATTCTGGGAGGCCAAGGTGGATGCATTGCTTGGGCTCAGGAGTTTGAGACCAGCCTGGCCAATACAGCGAAACCCCATCTCTACTAAAAAAATACAAAATTAGCTGGGGGTGGTGATGCGTGCCTGTAATCCCAGCTACTCAGGAGGCTGAGGCAGGAGAATCACTTGAACCCAGGAAGCAGAGGTTGCAGTGAGCTGAGATGGAGCCACTGTACTCCAGCCTGGGTGACAAAGCGAGACTCTGTCTCAAAAAACAAAAAAACAAAAAGACAAAAAAAAAAAAAAAAACCCAGCATGGTACACTGGGGTTTCTTCATAAATTTTAAAGAAATAAACCTAAACTGAAAAATATAAAGCATTAAGTTGGTATTAAAGCAATGCAGAAGACAGTTCTAACTCTGAAAATATATTGCTTTAATTTACTTTTAACCTAAAACTGAAATTTTCTAACCAAACATAATTTTTTTCAAAGAAACATAAAATAATGCTAGTGAAAATGTAAAACACAAAAGTTGTATATACCATAAAATTGTTAAAAATAATCTAAACAGAGAATAAAAACCAGAAGGAGCTATATCAAAATAGTAAGAGTAGTATGTGTTTGGATAATAGGACTAAGAACGTTTTACTCTTTTTTTCTACTTCTCTGTATTTTCTGAATTTGGGGGTAGAAAATATATTTTTATAATAGCAAATAAACATTTAATTTATTTGGATATTATGACTTCTTAAGATCCAGTTTAATTAATGTTTGAACAATTACAAAAGATATTTAAAAACACAAACTGAGGTTCTTAAATTAAGGAAACTAAGTATTTATAATGTCTTGAGCTAAAAAACAGAAATGTAGGAATAAATCTAATTAAGTATTTACTTGCATATTGTGTAAGCATAAGTAATCAATGAAGCATTATATTATACCTATGCTGACACTACTTTTACTTAGGTCAAATGAGTATTTTAAAATAAATAAATAAATAAATAAAATATTCAATTAGCCCCTATTCAAAAGAATAAACAATTATAATTAGATTGGGTTATAACAAATCTGTTTTGCCATAATACTCTTTAAGGAGGGCATCACATGAATCTTCAAACCCAGGAGAGAAATATCAACCCAACCTCATTAGCATGTTGTTCTTTACAAATTCTAACTGATTGGTAAACTTTTGTCCTGAAAATAACATACACTTGAATGAATCAGTATTGAAAAGAGTACTTATTTTTGGCTAAATAAGTCAGCATACAAGTTCATGTATATATATGAATTACCAAAATATATCAAACAGTGCCTCTTTCTCACATAAACCTAGTAACAAACATTTAGATGCTAATCCTACTTACTGTACAAGTCCCCCAGTGAATTTCTTTAAAAGAATCCAGCTGGAGTGAGTTGGGAGTAGGTACAGATGAGACTGACCACATGTTGATCACTGTTGAGGCTGAGTAATGGGTAAATGGGGGGGTTATTTTACAATTTTTCCTACTTTATGTATGTTTGAAAATGTCCGTGTGTCCCAGTGAAATCCTCATTTTGTTTTAACAATGCAACAGGTGAAACAACTAGTGAAAATAAATTTTAATCTCCATTTATATATTAGCAGCTACTATAACTGCATTAAACATTTGGAGGGAAACGATGTATTCTTTCTTTAAATTATATCAGGCCTAACTCATTACATTTGAACATTAATTTCAGAGATTTTCATGGGGTGTTAACTGAAGCAAAACAGGACAAAAATAGGTTAGCGCCACAACTTTTTTTTTTTTTGAGATGGAGTCTCGCTCTGTTGCCCAGGCTGGAGTGCAGTGGCACGATCTCGGCTCACTGCAACCTCCACCTCCTGGGTTCAAGCGATTCTCCTGCCTCAGCCTCCTGAGTAGCTGGGATTACAGGTGCACGCCACCATGCTCGGCTAATTTTTGTATTTTTAATAGAGACGGGGTTTCACCATGTTGGTCAGGCTGTTCTCAAACTCCTGACCTTGTGACCTGCCCGCCTCAGCCTCCCAAAGTGCTGGGATTACAGGCGTGAGCCACTGCACCCAGCCATGGCACCACAACTTTTAAGAGCAGGAAAATGGGATGAAGAGGAAAGAAACAATTTAGGAAAATAATGTTCACGAGAGAAAAGAGAAAACATTTTACATTGTAAACCAAAATATTACTAGTGTACTAACAAATCAAGATAACTATAGCAAGAGACTAAAGTTGAATCTAATTTGCACTGATTAAGAAAAAAAGAAGAAAAAGTTAATTCTTTAGTTTACTGTAATTAAGGAAGCCCTAAACTTACCTGAACTATTTATTTTTAACTTAAGACAAAATATACTTTTAAAAGCTAGAATTATTAATGAGAAGTAAACTATTTTAAAATTCCAACTTATTTCAGAAAACTTAAGATTTATTTAATAACTAAATCAATTTTTAGAATAAAAAAGCAGACTGTCAATTTAGCACATAAAAGAGCTAAATAAATGTTCAGACAACAAAGTACTAAAATGATGCATTATCTCTGAACCCAATTTTGAATATTTTCATGAAATACAATGTTTATGTCATCCTAAAAACTATCATAAATATTAGCCAAAGTACTCACAAGTTAATATAGGAGTTTTTCCACTCTTAATACAAAATGGGACTTGAGATTTCTGGGGTATAGCATAATATTGATCCAAATTTTAAAAATTATTTTCACAAAAGCAGCAGGGGAAAGTAGTAAAGATCTTCTTAAAGGAAAATCCCATATTACCAAATTTTTTTTTTCCTGAAACAGGATAACTAAACCCCTCATTATATGAGCAAGGAAGTACACCCAAGATGAATTTTACTTTCTTGATGTTTAAAGTTAGATTTCTTTCCTGTTAGAAGCACAAAATAAATATTTATATAGGGACCACCTTTAGGCACAGCAACTTGTAGGAGTGGCAGGAATGACTGTACTGCTTTGCAACCATGCTGGTAAAAAATATTTACATAAGAGCTTCCAGGGAAAATTTTTCATACTTAGTTATAAGTGTAGAGGATGCAATATAAACAAATGTTCTAATTTATCCTCATAGTACATCAGTTCAACATTACAAATGTTCAAACTAAACCAATTTAACAAAAAGAAACCTAAATTCTCTCTACAAGGGAACTAATATCTTTTTATAAACTTTTATAGCATTGCATCTTTGTCTTTCTTAAAGTACTTATCTTCCACCTTATTGTATTCATTTCTGTACATCTTCTGCAAGTTTAAGGAGAAAAGCAGCTCTCGTTATCTAAAATGTCAATGTGCCCTGTACTTCGCAGAACATGAAAGTGGAATTTTAATAACTCAGTATGTTGGAATGGAAAGCAAAGCCACAACAATGTTTAACCTTTTCAGGTTCACCAACTGCTGTGAGAACTTCCTGACAGCTGTGGACCTTTTCCCCAGAAAACTGTGCACAGGCAATTTTGAATATAACCTTGGGGATCTCCTGAATATAATCCGGGGGATACCCCTTAAGAGGTCCAGGGCCCCAGTTAACAATCACTGGCACATGAAATACCAAGAGCCAAACCATTCTTCAACTAAAGAGAACAGGGATAAAAAGAGGATGTTCAAGTTCAGGTTTCTATCAGATCAGTTAGGCTACTCCCACAATAGACCAAAAAGACAAGAACTAGGCATCTACTGACCATCTACTCATGTCCAATCACAACAAGAAAATCAGCCAATCAAAATAAACAAATAACCAACAATTCTCTTCAGGAAGATGATTAGCCTCAGAGCAGAGAACACATTCCAGCATCAAGGCCTTCCTTATCCCCAAGTGTTCTCTGCTGTAAGTCCAGTCTGTAAGTCCTATCTAAATACATGGATCTCCCAACCAGGTTTTATTGCCTCATTCTTAATTATATATTGACAACCAAAGAAATGTATACATTTGAAGAAATCCTGACACATAAAAAAGACATAAAAGAAAAAAAGATCTCGAAAGAGATAATCCAGGTAACAGAGTTGGGGGAAGGGGACACACACCTCCTCCACCAGCAAAAAAAATTCCAATAAGTATCCTTGAAGACACTGAGGAAAATAATGCATCCAAAAAAAACAAGTAAATAATATTAATAGGAAAAATTAACAAGCAATAAATAAGAGCTCTTGAAATGTAAAAGTTATTGCTAAAATTAAAAAATTCAATAGAAAGAGTCCAAAGGTAAGGTCAGGAAATTTCCCAGAATATAGAGTAAGAAGGTATGATGGGATAGAAAAGAGCTAATATGCTATACAGAAGCAATGAACAATCCAAAAATGAAATTAAGAGAATAATTCCACTAACAATAGCATCAAAAAGAATAAAATACTGATAAATAAATTTAACAAAAGAAATGTAATACACAGAAAACTACAAAATATTGTTGAAAGAAATGAAAGAAAATCCAAATAAAAGGAAAGGCACACATGTTCATGAAACAAAGACATAATACTGCTAAGATGGCAACACAGTACTCCCCAAATTGATCTACAGATTCAATGCAATCCCTATTAAATCTTAGCTGGCAATACCAAAGCCACAATTCATGAAAGAAATAAATGATAAGCTGGACTTTATTGAAATTTTAAACTTCTGCTCTGCAAAAAATACTCTCCAAAGAATCAGATGACAAGCCATAGACTAGGAGAAAATATCTGCAAAAGACTTTTCTGATAAAGGACTGCTATACAAAACATACATACAGAGACCTCAACAATAAAAAAAGTAAACAACCCAATTAAAAAATGGGCCAGAGATTCTTAACAGACACCTCACCCAAAAAGGTATACAAATGGCAAATAAGTATAAGACGCTCTCCATCATATGTCATTAGAGAATTGCAAATTAAAACAATATGATACCACTATATACCTATTTAGATGGTGAAAATCCAAAACACTTAAAACACCAAATGCTGGTGAGGATGTGGAGCAATAGCAACTCTCATTCATTGCTGGTAGGAATGCAAAATGGTACAGCCACTTTGAAAGACAGTTTGGCAATTTCTTACAAAACTAAACATAGTCCTACCCTACAACGCAGCAATTACACTCCTTAGTATTTAGCCAAATGAAGTGAAAACTTATGCCCACACAAAACCTGCACATGGATGGTTATAGCAGCTTTATGTTATTTTATAGGGACAGGGTCTCGCTTGGTTATCCAGGCTGGAGTGCAGTTGTGTGATTATAACCTACTGTAGCCTTGAACTCATGGGCTCAGCCATCCTCCTACTGTGGCCTCCCAGTTAGCTAGGACTACAGGTGCACACCAGCACTCAAGACTTTTTTTTTCTTTTGGTAGAGATGGGGGTCTCACTACAATCTTGAATTCTCAGCCTCAAGGGACCCTCCTGCCATGGCCTCCTAAAGCACTGAGATTATAGGCCTGAGCCACCATGCCTGGCTAAGCTTTATTCATAGCTACTAAATCTTAGAAGCAATCAAGATGTCCTTCAATAAGTGAATGGATAAACAAACTCTAGTACATCCATACTAATCAGTGAGTGCAATATTAATCAGTAAGTACATTCATACAATGGGATATTATTAGGTAATAATAAGTGATAAAAATAAATGCATTATCAAGCCATGAAAAGACATAAAGGAAACTTAAATGTATACTGCTAAGTCAAAGAAGCCCCTTTTAAAAGGCTACATTCTGTATGATTCCAACTATATGACATTGTGGAAAAGGCAAAACTACAGAGACAGTAAAAAACATCAGTGGTTACTAGGGGACTGGGGGGAGGTAGGGAGGGATGAAGAGGTTGGCTATGGGGATTTTTAGAGCAATGAAACTATTCTGAATGATACTGTAATGGTAGATACAAGACATTATGCATTTGTCAAAACCCATAAAAATGTAAAACACAAAGAGTTAATGCTAATGCAAAGCATAGATTTTAGTTAATAATAGCATATCAATATTGGTTCATCAATAGTAACAAGTATACCACACAGATGCAAGATGTTAATAATAGAAGAAACTGGGGATATGTGGGGGGAATGGGTATATGGGAACCCTTTATACTCTCTGCTCAATTTTTCTGTAAACCTAAAACTTTTCCAAAAAATAAAGTCTATTATATATTTTTTTAAGATCCCAGCTGGCTTTATTACAGAAATTGACAAGTTGATTCTAAAATTCATATGAAAATGCAAGGGACCCAGAACAGCCTAAGCAATCTTGAAAAAGTACAAAGTTGGAGAACTCAGACTTCCTGATTTCAAAACATACTACAAAACTACATAATCAAGACAATGTGGTACTAGCATAAAAATAGAGATATAAACCAATAGAATAGAACTGACAGTCCATAAATAAACCGTTTATGGTGAAATGGTTTTGAACAAGGGTGGCAATATAACTCAGTGGGGGAGAAATGTTGCTGGGACAAGTGGATATCCATATACAAAATAATAAAGTTGGATCCCTACTTCACTGCAGGCTTGAACTCCTGGGCTAAAGCGATCTTCCCACCTCCATCTCCCAAAGTGCTGGGATTACAGGTACATGCCACCACACCTGGCCTAAAACTCTAAAATTCTTAGAGGAAAACATACAAGTAAATCTTTATGACTTTGGCTTAGGTAATGGTTTCTTAGATACAACACCAAAAGCACAAGTAACAAAAGAAAAAAACAGAAACATTGGATGTCATTAAAATGTAAAACTTTTGTGATACAAATGATACATAGTAGTTGAAAAGACAACCCACAGAATGAGAGACAATATTTGCAAATAATGTATCTGACAAGGGTCTTGAGCCCAGAATATATAAAGAATTCTTACAACTCAACAATAAAAAGACAAGCCAATTTTAAAATGAGCATAGGTTCTGGGTTGGGCATGGTGGCTCACACCTGTAATTCCAGCGCTTTGAGAGGCCAAGACAGGACGATCACTTGAGACCAGGAGTTCAAGACCAGCCTGGGCAATACAGTGAGACCCCCCATCCCTATAAAGAATTTAAAAATTTTAAAAATTAGCTGAGTGTGGTGGCACATACCTGTAGTCCTAGCTACTCAGGAGGCTGAGGCAGGAGGATCGTGTTGGCCCAGGAGTTCAAGGCTGCAGTGAGCTATGATAGAGCAACTGCACTCCAGTCTGGGCAACAGAATGAGACTCTCGTCTAAAACAAACACACACACACAAAAAAGAGCACTGGTTTTCAATAGGTATTTCCCCAAAGATATACAATAAGCTAACCAGACATGGTGGTGCATGCCTATAGTCCCAGCTACTTGGGAGACTGAGGTGGGAGGATTGCTTGAGTCCAGGAGGTTGAGGTTGCTGTTAGCCGTGATTGCACCACTGCACTCCAGCCTGGGTGACAGAGCAAGATCCTCTCTCAAAAAAAAAAAAAAATACATACATACACACACACACACACACACACACACACACATGCATTCACTAAGCACATAAAAAGATGCTCAACATCATTAGCTATTAGGGAAATGCAAATCATAACCACTCCACAAAGGTGCTACAATAAAAAGGAAAGATAAGTGTTGGTGAGGCTATAGGGAAACTAGAACTCTCATACACAACTGGTAGGAATGTAAAATAGTGCAGCCACTTTAGAATAAACACTTCAGCAGTTCCTCAAAATGTTAAACACAGAGTTGCCATATGGCCCAGCAATTCTACTCCTAGGTATATACAAAAGAAAAATTAAGAGATACATCCAGGGTTGTCTGTAGCAGCTCACACCTGTAACCCCAGAACTTTGTGGGGCCAAGGCAGGAGGATCGTTTGAGGACAAGAGTTCAAGACCAACCTGGGCAACATAATAAGATCCTGTCTCCACACACAAAAAATTTTTTTAATTAGCCAGGTATGGTGGCACACACCTGTAGTGCTAGCTACTTGGGAGGCCAAGGTGAGAGGATCGTTTGAGCCCAGGAGTTCAAGGTTACAGTGAACAATGATTGCACCACTGCCTGTGTGCACAGGCAGTAAACAAACCTGTGTAACACAGTTTATCTCTTAAAAAACAAACAAAGATACATCCACACACTGAAACTTGAATATTCATAGCAGTATTATCTACCATAGCCAAAAATATAAGTAACTCAAATATCCTCCAACCAATAAATGGATAAATAAAATGTGGTATGCCCATTCAGCAGAATATTATTTGACCAAGGAATGAAATACTGAATATGTTACAACACACAGGAACCATGAAAACATTATGCTCAATGAAAGAAGTCAGACACAAAAGACAAGGTATGATTCCATTCATATTAAATGTCCAGAACAAGCATGTAGAGAGAAAGTAAACTGCCTAGGGTTTGTGGGGAGAGAGAATAGGAAATGACTTCTAAAGGGTATGGAGTTCCCTTCTAAAGTAATGAAAATGTTCTGAAATTAGATTGTGGTGATGGTTGCACAAGTCTGTCGATATGCCAAAACCACTCAATTGTACCCTTAAATGGGTAAATTTTATAATATATGAATCATATATCTCAATAAAACTGTTTTTTAAAAAAAATCTAACAGAGAATCCATCTTAGATTTATACTAATAAGAGTTCCAGAAAGAAAAGAGGACACTATACATAATTATATATTATACAAAAATATAGTTATATAAAACGTATATATTATATATGTATGTATGTTAGGACAAGATATATATATATATATATATATATATATATATATATATATATATATATATAACAAAAAACAAAACAGGGCATTTCCTAGTCTTTGGCTCAAAACTGATCCCCAAAAGACTCACAAGATACCAAACAGAATGAATGAAAAGACCAACACTAGACTCAACAGTTTAAATTCCATAATATGAAGGCTAATGAGATGATACTAAAAGTTTCTAGAGAGAATAACAAAGTTACCTATAGAGAATAAGAAACAGACTGGCATCAGACTTCTTATTGGCAATATGGAATGCTATTAGATAATAGAGAAATGTCTCCAAAGTTCTGAGGGAAAAGAATTTAACATAGAATTCTGTATTCAGGCAAACCATCAGTCAGGTGAAAGGTGAGAATAAATACATCTTCAAGACATGCAGGACCCAGAAAGCTTACTTTCCACACAGGCTTTCTTAGGAAGTTACTTGAGGGCATGTTGGGACAAAATAAGGGTTACTGTTAAAAACAACAAGATACGAAATCCAAGAAACACTGGAACCAACTTGGGAAAGTAATGATGGAAAGTCACCATAAGACAGCTTGCATCAGACCTAGATTGCAATCAGTTAAGTCTGGAAACATCAAGACTGAAGGCTCCATTTGGGAGGAAAAATACATTAAGTACTTAAAACAATATAAGGTGCTAATGATTGATGATACAAGGTAAAGAAAGATAATTAGAAACTCAAGAAAAACAAAATCATTCAAGAAGGGAAATGTAATCATAGTACCTATGTGACTACAGTCAACAGTCAACAATATTTATATAATCATTACAATATAAACATGGTTTATTGCCAGTTTTAGAATATACCTGTAAATAAAGCATTAGAAGATTCAAATAGAGTTACAAAACAGAGAAATAAGGTTAGTAATTACCTATAGTGCACTCACGTGCCAGGCATTGCTCTAAATACTTTACACCTAATCCTCACAATACTCGCACAGTATGGTTATTATCCCTGCTTTACAGATGAGGAAATTGAGGCATTGAGAGATTAACTAACTTGCCCAAGGTCATACAACCAGTAAGTGGCAGAACTGGATCCAAATTCAGATAGCCTGGTTCCAGAGTTCATACGCTTAACCATTATACTATGCAGCCTCTCAGAATGTAGATGTTATCAACCTTGACAATATAAAAGTAAAAGTACAGGTAACACTCCGTTCCCCACAGATTTTGATGCAGCCCATCAGAATTCCAAAAGTAGCCCATCAGAATGCCAAAAGTAGAAAATTTCAAGGGCAGTACTCATAAATGCAAGGGAAAAAACTGATTTCTTTGCTTTCTATGATGTTAAACATGGTAGCTTCACATGATCTCCCAAGACTGGAACCCAAACAAACCCTCTCTTCAATTCCCTCAAGAAATGCACTGTTCTTAAAACTCACTTATAGTCTGTCTCATTGCTAAAAAAAAAAAATAATAAAATAAAATAAACTTTAAAAGGAAAGGACTATTAATATTCTCCACTTACATCAGGAATAAAGAGATAGTGTCTCCAGTTGATAGAACAGAATAGAAAACCTTAAATATATTGAAGAAATTGAAAAAATAACCAAGAGATAAACTCAAAACTGTGATACAAGTGTGGCAGGGCAGGAGTGGGAAGGATGACATGATGAGCTATGACCTTATCTGTTATAGCAGAAAGGCAATTTTAGATATATAACATCTAAAACTGATGAATCAAGAAATAGTAGTACAAGCATATTATTTAGGCATATGGCTAAAAATTACTAACAGAAGTAAAAATATAAGAGTTAGATTAAAAGCGGTTTTCCCAGGGTAATAGAATGAGTAGGGAGAATTAGATCAAGAGATTCAATTTTTCACTATGTAGCCTTCTAATAATTTAATAATTTATTACTCTGATGAAAAAAAGAGAACATTTGACACATACTAGTTGGTTTCTTTCTTTAAAACTGCCTAGAACTAGAAGAAAATTTTGAGCTCACCTAGCCAGCCAATTCACTTTACAGTTTATATGTGGCAGAGTGTATTTTCCACAGATGGCCACACCATTATATCCCATCCACATGTTCAGCTTACAACATGACACTGTCACTCCTCCAACAGAGGTGGGGCCTATGTTCCCTCCACTTAAATCCAGGTGGACCTGCAGGAGAGATCATATAGCAGGATCACAGAGACACACACATATATACACAGAGAGAGTGAAAGGGAGAGAGGGAGGGAGATGGGGATAGAGAAGGGAGGAAGGGGAGGAGAAGTCAGGAAGAGACGTATACCTGAAGAATCTTCCCAGCCCAGGTATTAGACTTTATCAGTGAGCCTTCAGATTTTCAATGTCCAATACGTGGCCACTAGTCATATGCAGCTATGCAGCTAATGAAATTGAAATTGAATTAAATTTAAAATCAGATTTTCAGCCATACTAGTCACATTTCAAGTACTTGGTAGCCACGTATGGCTAGATTCTACTGTATTGCACAGGGTAGATGTAGATCTTTTCCATCATCGCAGAAAGCTCTATCTATAGTGCTGTTTCAGATAATTCCACCCCCACCACCTTCAAGCCGCCTTGCTAATGCCACGTGGAACAGAGATGAACTCTTCCGCAGAGCCCTGCTCAGAATGCAAATTCGTGAGCAAAATAAATGCTGTTTCCAGCCACTGGTTTTTGGGGTGGTTTGCCACACAGCCATAGTAAGAGGAACACATGGAAACTAAAGATCAGAATGTGAAATAATCTGCTAGAGTTTGGGAGTCCACAAAACTAGGTGAAGAGTGGAACTAATCACATTTCATTTCAACACTCAATAAATGTTTGTGAATAAACAAACAAGAAAATCCTCAATATTTGAGCCCTAGATCTTTTCTTTTTTTTTTTTTTTTTTTTTTTGAAATGGAGTCTTGCTCTGTCGCCCAGGCTGGAGTGCAGTGGCATGATCTTGGCTCACTGCAAGCTCCGCCTCCTGGGTTCACGCCATTCTCCTGCCTCAGCCTCCCGAGTAGCTGGGACTACAGGCGCCCATCACCACGCCTGGCTAATTTTTCGTATTTTTAGTAGAGACGGGGTTTCACCATGTTAGCCAGGATGGTCTTGATCTCCTGACCTTGTGATCCGCCCGCCTCGGCCTTCTGAAGTGCTGGGATTACAGGCTTGAGCCACCGCGCCCGGCCCAGCCCTAGATCTTTTCTAAATCCAAGTAGTCTACCATCCACCAGGATAGTTGTGTCCACTACTCCAGAAAAAAGTTTGATGTTTCCTGGCTCTGAAGCTACAACGGAATATCAGAAATGTCAGCATCCATGAATTTGTGACTGAAAATACGTCCTAGCTGATTTTGTTTACTAGAATCACCATTTGAGTTAGGTGAAGCTCCATTTGCTTTTCCAGTTTTTTTACACTGATATAGTACTCTTTACATTTTGAAGTATTTTGTTTTTTTACAATTTTTTTTTTTGAGACAGAGTCTTGCTCTGTCGCCCAGGTGGGAGTGCAGTCGCACGATCTCAGCTCACTGCAACCTCCGCCTCCTGGGTTCAAGTGATTCTCCTGCCTCAGCCTCCCAAGTAGCTGGGATTACAAGCATGCACCGCCATGCTCAGCTAATTTTTGTAATTGTAATTTTTTAAATTTTTTTAATGGCCAGGCACGGTGACTCACACCTGTAATCCCAGCACTTGGGAGGCCGAGGTGGCAGATTGCTTGAGCTCAGAAGGTTGAGACCAGCCTTGGCAGATCGCTTGAGCTCAGAAGTTTGAGACCAGCCTTGGCAACATGGCAAAACCCTGTCTCTACCAAAAATACAAAGTAAATTAGCCAGGCATGGTGCCACGTGCCTGTAGTCCCAGCTACACCAGAGGCTGAGATGGGAGGATCGCTGGAGCCTGGGAAGTCAAGGCTGTAGTAAGCTGTAATAGAGCCAAAAAATTTTTAAAGAGTCAAACAAACAAAAAAACCTTTACAAGTATCTACCCATATTAATCAAAAGCTTTCTCTTTTAAATACTCCCTTTAAAAGCAAGGTATTTTAAATAAAGTACAATTTTTTTTTTTTTTGAGACAGGGTCTTGCTCTGTCACCCAGGCTTCAGTGCAGTGGCACAATCATAGCTCACTGCAGCCTCAACCTCCTGGGCTCAAATGATCCTCCTGCCTCAGCCTCCCAAGTAGCTGAGACTACAGGTGTACATGATCATGCCCAGCTAATTTTAAAAAAACTATTTGTTGTAGAGACAGGGTCTCACTGTGATTCCCAGGCTGGTCTGAAACTCCTGGGCTCAAGTGATCCTCCTGCCTCAATCTCTCAAAGTGCTGGGATTACGAGGCATGAGCCACTGTGCATGGCCAAAGTACAATTTTTAATTACTTGAACTAATGCAAGTTATAGAGTTGAAGAGTCAAGAATATAATTTGGAATTTAAGAGAATTTCCATCTAAACATGAATACAGCAAATGTTATGAGACTTTATTGTGAATAATGAATAATGAAGCTACATTGAAACAATCTGGGAGGTACCACAGACTCCTCATCTGACCATAGCACAAAACTGGGCTTCATTTGCAGACACAAAGTTTCCAGCCAACACAAGCCTAAGCAGGCGTGCCTTATTAAGATTTCCACATACAAAATTAGGTGATTAAAGAATTAGTGTTAATTTTTAAACTGTAAAATTGGTCTAATAGCTATGTTGGTAAAGAGTTCTCTTTTAGAGATACATATTAGAATTATCAACAAAACAGTATCAAGGGATTTGCTTGAAATTAAAACAGCTGGGAGTGAATAATGTAGGAGGGTATAGATAAAATAAGAGTAGCCATGAGGTAGTGACTGCAGTAACTACTCATGGATGGTTCATTATATTCTTCTCCTTTTATACCTGAAAATGTCCACAGCGAAAAAGTTAAAAACTGAACAGCAAACACACTTCTCTAGTTAAATGTTTTGGTTTGAAATGCAAAGTTAGGGTTATCAGAGTACGAAATGGGGGCAAGTAGAATTCCAACTATTAGCGAGAAGGACCAAAATGTCAGAAATAAGCACAAAATGCTTCTGATGTATAAAAACAATTGTCACTCTAGCACATATACACAATTACTCTCAAGTGAGGGTTACAGTCATGTTAGCTGACTCATACTTTACATAGAATGCTAATGTGTGTGGCTACTGAATTTCTGAGTGCACAGCCTGCAACTAGAAAGGAAGCTAATCAGGAGTTCAATACGAGCCTGTTAACTTAGCCACATTACTTCCTCTTACTTTTCTCCCCAGAAAAATGAGAGTGGTGGCTACATTAAGAGGCCTGCCTTGATGATTGGAAGAGATATAACTTCGAAGTATCTTGAAAGCAGATTGTCCAATCCCAGCCAACAACTTGCCTGCAACATTGTGGGAGACCCTAAGCCACAGCCACCTGGCTAAACTGCTCCCAGATTCCAGGCCCTCAGAAACTGCATGAAATAATACATGTTTATTGCACTAAGTTGCTATGTTTTGGGGTAATTTGTTACATAGCAATGGACAACTAATACATCATACTTAGGGTAACAATTTATCTATTATTTGACCAGCTAATTTTTTTTCTAAATACATTCATTGAACCTCTTTGCTATGTTAATTAGATTACACAGATTAAATCATCTGAATAGAGTGCTCATCACCTTGTAATGACATGTTTATACAACAGGATATTATACTCAGTATTGAACTTCTTGAATCTAACCTTGCCTATATATATTGATTGCTATGAGGGTAAAAATCCAGACCTGTGTGTCATGATTCAGTACCTCAGGCCCTGACCCAATACTCAGGTCTTACTCTATATGATATATGCACTCTATATCTGTATATAAACATAATGTTTCTGCTCTACAATATATTTTGATATTAATAAAAGTACTCTTAGTCCTACCTGAATGAGGCATTTGCTCACATCACTAGCACAGAGTGCTTTGTTACAGCTCAGTGATTCTGGAAGCCATGTCAGGAACATCAGGATGGCTAGAGTAAGCACAGCAACATAGTGTAACTTCATGTTTCTTCAAAGAAGATGATCAGTAACTCCCAGGAAACTAAACAAACAAACACAACTTTAATTCAAAGGCAAGTGCTAGGGTAAAAACAAATATAAAAATGAGAAACAAAACATAAACTAAGACTCATTGTTTGTGTCAATATACTTTTTCTTTCTTTTTTAGAGTCTTGCTCTGTTGCCCAGGCTGAAGTACAGTGGTGTGATCATAGCTCACTGCAGCCTTCAATTCCTGGGTTCAAGTGATCCTCCCACCTCAGCCTCCCAGTTATCTGGGACTACAGACAATACCACCATGCCTGGCCTTCAAAAAACTTTTGAGTGATCATTTAAAGATCATTCTCAATGAAAGATTATATAAACATTCAAAAATAAACAATAATTTTGTATAATAATGGCTTCATAGCCATCTTCAAGGACCTAGAACTCTACAGTTCCTCAGACTATCCAGAAATGGTGACTGTGAAAGTAGAGTGAGTATATCTAAACCCTCAGTAACTTGAGAGTATATCAGGCAAATAACTAGCTTCAATACTGCACTGCTACTATTCAACTTTAATTTTAGGTCCATTATTCAACTGTAAGCCCATATAAAACTATTAATATTGTATTATAATTTTAAGATATTTAATTTTAATTCTTAGAATCAAAACAAAATTTTAAATGGAAATTATTCAGGCTTATTTAGACAGAATAAAGCAGCTCAAAGCAAGAAGTAGAGTCCACAGAGTCACTTCTTAAATAATTGAGCAAATAACAAAAGGCTGTTTAATTACTAATTGCATTAAAAACTCTAGGTAATTATTAGAATGTGACGATATTCTTTTTTTTTTTTTTCTTTTAGACGTTGTCTCGCTCTGTCGCCCAGGCTGGAGTGCAGTGGCGCAATCTCGGCTCACTGCAACCTCCGCCTCCCGGGTTCATGCGATTCTCCTGTCTCAGCCTCCCGAGTAGCTGGGATCACAGGAGCCTATCACCACGCCCCGCTAATTTTTGTATTTTTAGTAGAGACGGGGTTTCACCATATTGGCCAGGCTGGTCTCGATCTCCTGACCTCAGGTGATCCACCCGCCTCGGCCTCCCAAAGTGTGGGATTACAGGGGTGAGCTACCGCGCCCGGCCAAGATATTCTTTTAATTCTATTAGTACCACACATTCTTCAAAGTTATTAAGAAGATACTACAGTTCAAAAAGAAGAAGGAAAAAAGACTAGCACAAACACAGTCTGACAGGGGCCAAACAGTATACAGTTATTAAACTTTAAATACGGGAAGATATCATTTCTTCAGGTTAAAACACCTCCCTATCAAACATAATAAATTAAAATAAATGACTACTGACGTAAGAGGGATAAATAGTGAGTTTATGGGGGCATTTATGATTACTCTAAACTTTTATTCTAAGTGTTACAAAGTACATTAAAGGAAAAATAATAAAAGGGTGAAAAGAATAAAGGGCTTTGGACCTGGTATGAGTCAATTTTGAAAGAGAAAACCCTGGTGATCGTTACTGAGGCTCACAAAGCATTCCCTAAAGACCGTTAGTAACTAATTTTCTAATGTATCTAACGCCGCATACCAAGTAGGATGATTTCTGGAGCAACCAGTACATATTTGCGGAGGCCAAATAAGGTTATTTGGAGACTAACTGTCGTGGAACTAGTTTTCATCCTACAACCATGAAAACTGGGATTTCCCCCCTTTCCCATCTTTTACGGTTGTCTTATGAAATGTTCCACAAATTCATCTTACTCCCCAAATTTCACTGGAAAAAGTATTCAAGTAACTACGACCATGTCGAAATCAGGTAATAGAATTAAAGGACTTATCTTTTCCTAAGGAGTTAGAAACCATCATGCATCAAAATTGTTTCGCATACATCACGCCCAAGTTTCTCGTTAAGGGAGATGGCACTGACAGCGACCAGGGCAGAGCCGAGCCTCTGTAGAGCGGTGCCAGGGCCCCGAAGGCGCCGGACGCCCCGCGAGGCAGAGGCCGGTAGCGGTGTGGGGGACCGGGCACCCGGAACCACCCCCACCCCGGCTCGGCCGACGCGGGCTGCGGAGGACGCGGGCCGGCCCAGAGATGGTCTGGACCAAAGCGGCGCAGAGATGCTGCTGGCTCCCGGCGTCCGGCCTGTGCGCCCGCGCCCAGCACCCCCACTTTGTCCTCCGCGCAGCCGGGCCCAGGCTTCTCCCGGCCCCCGCGAAGCTCGCCGCGGCCCCGGGCCTCTAGAGGGCCGAGCTCGGCGCCCGGCCCCTTCCCAACCAAGAGGCCAAGAGGCTGCACAACCCCCCAGCCGCTCCCACTCACCATGCGCCACGGTCCCGCGAAGTCGCCCACCCCTAGATCCCCGCCGGGTCGGCCGAGCCCGGGGCGCGCTGCGGCGGCTTTGAGTGCGAGGCCAGGCCGCGCCTCCCGCCGTCCCCTCAGCGCAGCGCCCGCGAGCCTCGGGCACCTTAAAGAGACAGGCCCGCCCGCCGCCCTCCTCCCGGCTCCTTGCTCCCCGCCCCTGCTCCCCTCTTCCCCTCCGCCCCCGCTGGGGTCCACAGCCGCCAGCTCCCGCCAGGAGGCGTCTCTCACTCCCCCGGCGCTCCTGTCAGCGCGCACGCCCCCATCTCGGCCCCGCCCACTCCCCCCGCCCCTCCCAACGCCACGCCCCCTCCGCGCCACCCGGTTTCGCCCCTCCCTCGTGCCACGCCTCCACCGCAGGCTCCCGCCCGCCCGCCGGCCCGCAGGCCACGCCCCCAGGCGCACCCACCCCAGCTGCTCAACGCGATTTCCCTTCGCGCTTCTCCGCACCGGGATCCCCAGTCCCTCAGGTTCCGACAGACCCTCCTGTCAGGCCCATTCTCCGGGCCCCCTCAGTTGCAGTGTTAAGATCAACAGTGTTAAGATTAAAGCCTTGTGATGTGCTAGCCACTACGCTGAGGATATGCCGTGTACTAAAATTCCTCAGGACTCCTCACAGCTGCCCTGTAAGGAAGCGGCCATGGCCGGGTTCTAGCGATGCGAGGCCGAGGCTCGGGGCGCTGAGTAGCCTAGCGCGTCGCCGAGGAGAGCTGGCACGTGAACCCCTTGTCGTTTGCCGTCAGAGGTAGGATTTATATAAAATGCGCGTTTCCTAGGTCTACCTCAGACCTACTGAATAAGGATCTCCAAGGGTAGAGCTTTCGAACTTCGTTCACCAATTCGATAAAACTTGCCAGGCTCCTTGTGAGTGGCTGGCGCTGAGCTCTGCATCGGAGCTCTGCATCGGGAGTCGAGAAGAGGGGGCGCCATGGATCCGGGCGCGGAGGTCGCGCAGCCTAGGTAGAAGGTGCGCGGTTAGCACGTAGGTTAAAAACATTGAGAATGACACTCAGTTCTTTCCCACAACTCTGGGTTGCTTTTTTTTTTTTTTCTTTTGAGACAAGGTCTCACTCTCACCAGGCTGGAGGGCAGTGACAACATCAGGCTCGCTGCAGCCTCCACCTCCTAGGCTCAAGCAATCCTCCCGCCTCAGCCTCCCGAGTAGCTGGGGCTACGGGCGCGCACCACCACGCCTGGCTAATATTTTATTTTTTTGTAGATATGGAGGTCTTGCTATGTTGCCCAAGCTGGTTTCAAATTTCGGGGCTCAAGCGATCCTCCCACCGCGGTCTCCTAAATCGTTGGGATGACAGGTGTGAACCATAGTGCCCGGCCGGAATTTGCTTTTTAAAGAAGATTCCAGGGTGATTAAGTTAGAGCCCGCTAGACCAGACCGTCCGCGGGGCACCTTCCCTTGGAAATGATGACCTAGTGTCAAACCCTTATGCTGGTAAATCGTAAATGCCTACCACCCACCTTTGTTGATTGGAAGGAAACAGAATGAAAACAGCTGATTGGCTGGGGGTGGATTGCATTACTGATGTTAGCCCACTTTTGTACAATAAATATGGGTTTTAAAAATCATCCTTGAAAATTATCCTAGAGAAATAATTAAGGGTATACCCAAATTTAAGTATAAGAATCTTATTCTTGGCATTATATACTAGTTAAGTGAATTAGGAAACTTCCGATCAATGCACTAATTCAGCCATTAAAAAGTGATACCGCAGATCAGAGGTTCTCAAACTTTTTCGTCTCGGAATCCCTTTACACTCCTGAAAATTATGGAGCATGCCAAAGAGGTTTTGTGTATGTGTGCTACATCTGTTAATACTTTCAAAATTAAAACAATTTTTTACATATTCATTATTTCATTTAAAAATAACAAACCCATTATATGATAACAAATATTTAATGAAAAATAAGTATATATTTTAAAACAGTAGGAAGAACAGCGTGGTTTTAGATTTTTGCTATTGCCTTTAACATCAAACTTAATAGCCACTGTTTTTATATCTGCTTCTGTATTCAAACTGTTGCAGTATCATGTATTATGTAGTTTCTGCTTGTGAGAGAATGAGGGTGAAAAGTCAAATAATGCCTTAGAATTAAAATTAAAATAATTTTGAGCTCACAACCTCCTGAAAATGTCTTGGGATCCCTCCCTAGCAGCCCCAGATCACACTATGACAATTAGTGTTGCAGATGAATATTGCGACTAGAGATATTCATGATACATAAAAAATTTTAAAGTACTGCATAGTTTTTGAATAATTAATTTTGTTGTTGTTTGTTTGTTTTTGAGACAGAGTCTTGTACTTTCACCTGGGCGGGAGTGCAACGCTGCCATCTCGGCTCACTACAACCTCCGCCTCCCGAGTTCATGAGATTCTTCTGCCTCAGCCTCCCGAGTAGCTGAGATTACAGGCGCACACCACCACGCCCGGCTAATTTTTTGTATTTTTAGTAGAGATGGGGTTTCACTATGTTGGCCAGGCTGGTCTTGAACTCCTGACCTGGTGATCTGCCCACCTCGGCCTCCCAAAGTGCTGGGATTACAGGTGCAAGCCACGGTGCCCGGACTAGAGTTATTTTTAAAGTGCTGGAAAGATAATGATGGTATTAGTGGTTATCTCAGTGAGATGGAGTGTTGTCTGTTGTTAATGATGTTTTTTTCTTTTTGCTTGTCTGCATTTTCTGATGTCTTTGCTTGTATTAATTTGATAATAAGAAAAGTAACACAGTTATTTTTCATTTAAATTAAAGATCCTCTTTGACAGGACCTGGAAGGTCAAATGGTAGTTGAGCCCTCAGGTGAATATCAAGTGGTTCCGGATCTCAAATGGTTGGCCATTTGGGAATCTGGGAGCCACGGGGGTCACTGCAGTGGCTATTTTATTTCACCAGAAGACTTTCTGATCTTTGCAAGTGAGAGAGTCTGACAACAATGTGATAGAGCTTCTTAGTAGGGTTCAATGAAAAGTTCAAAGGATTCACTCCCAATCCTCAATCGGATACAGATGTGTCAGTGGGTGGAGTCTCTCAGCCAGCCACAGCTGCTCTACCAAATTACCTCATGTTTAGTGGCTTAAAACAACACAAATTTGACAGGGCGAAGTGGCTCACACCTGTAATCCCAGCACTTTGGGAAGCCAAGTTGGGAGGATGCCTTGAGCCCAGGAGTTCAAAACTAGCCAGGGCAACATGGCACAACTCCAACTCTACTAAAAAAAAAGTAAAAATTAGTCAGGTGTGGTGGCATACACCAGTGGTCCCAGCTACTTGGGAGGCTGAGGTAGGAGGATCACTTGATCCTGGGAGGTTGAGGCTGCAGTGGGCTGTGATCACACCACTGCACTCCAACTTGAGCATGGGAGTGAGACCCTGTCTCAAAAAATAAATAAATAAATAAATAAATGAAATGAATTTATTACTTTACAGTTCTGGAGGCCAGGAATTCTAAAATCAGGGTGTCAGCAGGGCTATGTTCCTTCTGTAAGCTCTAGGAGAGAACCCATTGTCTTGCCTTTCTAGCTTCTAGAGGCCACCTAGAGTCTTTGGTTTGTGGTCCTCCCTCCATTTCAAGTCCAGCAGCTTTAGCATCTTCAAATCAATACCTCCCTCCTCTTTTTCTCACTCTTTGTCTCAACTCTTCGAACACAGTCACACTCCCTCTATGACTCTGACCTTCCCACCCCTCTTTACAATGCCTTGGGATTATGTCCAGCCCACCTGGATAATCCAGGATAATCTCCCTATCTCAAGATGCTTGGCTTAAACACATTTCCAAAGGCCCTTTTGCCATATAAGACAACATATTCACAGGTTAGGATACAGAAGTCTTTAGGGGTTGGTGGGATGCATTATTCTGCCTGCCATGGGGTTATAACAAGGACAATTGTAGTTTGTGAACTTCTGATCTAGAACTCACTTCTCAGGGCTGGTGGATTATACCCTTTCAATTCTAGGCCTTCCTTTGCCCCAGCTAATCCACCCCAGAGAACAAGGAATGAAAAGAGGTTGAAGGACAGGTTAAGTGCTGCCATTGGTCTGTATTCCCCACTTCTAAGCTCCACATTGCTGGTTCTATATGGCGGGAGGGCAGGCCCCAGCCCTAACCTGCATGAGTCAGGGTGAGGAGTCTAGGAAGGGAGGCTTTCCAGCATGAGGCTCTGCAGCCCAGCAGAGGCAGGAAAATCACTGTCTCCCCTGAATGATCAGCTGACTGTGGCAGGCTGGGATTCTGGTTTAGAATCCATATGCCCATTCTTATCTCTTTCCACTTGAGTGAGTCAATTGAGTTAGTTGATTTGGTTTTACAGATTTGGAATAAAGTGAGCTACACTTTCTCAGCCCGTGAGCCTGCTCTTGCGGGAGGGAAGATGTGCTGGGGGTGGAAGGCTATATGAGGAGAAGCCTCCTCCTCTCCTCTGCTCTCCTCCCTCCTCCCTCCCTGCCTTGTTAGGGGAATTACTGCAAAGGGGTCAAAAGAATGAGGAAAGAAAAGGAATTACTTCCAAAGACCTCTCACTCTTCCTGTTTTAAACAAGAAGAAATACAGGAATTATCACAGAGGTTTTGGTTTGTTTTGTTTTGAATTGTGAAATCCCTGTACTTCCCTCTACAATTAAGGAGTTGTTAATCCACCAGGCAAAGGTAAGGTGCAGGGGCTTGGGGGCTGTAGGATTCTCAGGTAGATCCTGGGAAAGGAATCATGCAGGCCCCTCCATACTGCTCTTTCAGCAAAAGATATTTGCAAACGGTTATCAAGAGCTATTGAGATATCTATAAATGTTCTTAAAAACCTCTAAGGCTTTACAAAATCCAATATTTATATCTGGCTCATTGTTGCCTACCAAATTTGGCCCAAACTCTATAGCTTATATATTTAAAATATTTAGTAATTTTCATTTTAGCTCCCCTCCACCCCCCACCCCCCCACCCCCGCCATTACAGAAGCAATATATGCTTGGCTGGGGAAAATCCAAAAACCATGGAACTTCATAATGAGAACCCCATGCCATCACATCCCCTAGATATTACTCCTAGCAAGAGTTTCAGGTATATCCCTGCTTTCTTTTTTTAGTTACATATCTTAAGATGTATTTGCAAAAAGAAATTATCTTAAGCACACTGCACTGAAATTTGTTTTTTCCACTCCATACCTTGGAGATATTGTGTGTTCAGTTCCAGACCACTGCAATAAAGCAAATATTGCAATAAAGTGAGTCACATGAATTTTTCTGTGTCCCGGTGCATATAAAAGTTATGTTTACACAAGAATGTATTAAGTGTACAATAGCATTATGTTAAAAATGTACATACCTTAGTTAAAATATACTTTATTGCTAAAAAAAAATGCTAAAGATCATCTGAACCTTCAGAGGATTGTAATTTTTTTGCTGGTGAAGGCTCTTGCTTGGATCTTGATGGCTGCTGACTGATCCAGGTGGTGGTTGCTGAAGGTTGGGGTGGCCGTGGCAATTTCTTAAAATAAAACAACAATGGAGTTTACTATATTGAACAACTCTTCCTTTCGTGAAAGATTTCTCTGTAGCATGCAATGCTATCCTATAGCATTTTACTCAAAAAGAACTTCTTCCAAAACGTTGAGAGCCAATCCTCTCAAACCCTGCTGCAGTTTTATTAACTAAGTTTATCTGATATTCTAAATCATTTGTTGTCATTTCAATAATGTTCTAAGTATCTTCACCAGGAGTAGATACCATTTCAAGAAACTGCTTTCTTTGCTCATCCGTAAGAAGCAACTTGTTATCCATTTAAATTTGATCATGAGATTGCAGGCTCCATTTTTTCAGGTTTCACTTATCATTCTTGTCCTTTTGCTATTTCTACCACATCTGTACTGAAGTCTTGAGCCTCTCACAGTCATCCATGAGTGTTGTACTCAACTTCTTCCAAACTCCTGTAAATGTTGATATTTTAACCTCCTCCCATGAGTCACGAATGTTTTTAATGGCATCTGGAATGGTGAATCCTTTCTAGGTTTTCATTTTACTTTGTCCAGACCCATCAGAGGAATCACTATGCATGGCAGTGATAGCCTTACTAAATGTGTTTCTGAAATAATGACTTGAAAGTTAAAATAACTCCTTGATCCATGGGCTTCAGAATAAATAGCATATTAGCAAGCATGAAAACATTAATTTCCTTGTACATCTCCACCAGAACTCTTGGATGACTGGGTGCATTGTCAATAATCAGTAATATTTTGAAAGTACTCTTTTTTTTTTACCAGTAGGTCTCAACAATGGGCTTAAAATATTCAGTAAACTATGCTATAAGCAAATGTGTGCTGTCATCCAGGCTTTGTTGTTGTTCCATTGTTAGAGCACAGCAGACTAGATTTAGTCTAATTATTTTATTATTATTATTTTAATTTTTTTAGAGATAGGTTCTCTCTCTGTCACCCAGGCTAGAGCGCAGTGGTACACAATCTTGGTTCACTGCAGCCTCCAATTCCTGGTCTCAGGCAATCCTCCCTCCTCAACCTCCTGAGTAGCTTGGACTACAGGAACATGCCACCATGCCTGGTTAATTTTTAAATTTTTTGCAGAGATATGGTCCTGCTATATTGCTCAGACTGGTCTTGAACTCCTGGCCTCAGGTGATCCTCCTACTTTGGCCTCCCAAAATGTTAGGATTACAGGTGTGAGCCACTATGCCTAGCCTAAATTTAGCATAATTCTTAAGGACCCTAGAATTTCTGGAATGGTCAGTGAGCACTGGCTTCAACTTAAAGTCACCAGCTGCAATCCCCTAATAAGAGAGTCAGCCTGTCCTTTGACATTCGAAGCCAGGCATTGACTTCTATTCCTAGCTACTCCTAGATGGCATCTTTTTCCAATAGAAGACTGTTTTGTCTACATTGAAAATCTGTTGTTTAGAGTAGCAGCCTTCATCAATGATCTTAGCTAGGTCTTCTGAATAACTTGCTGCAGCTTCTGCATTAGCACTTGCTGTAGCTTCTGCATCAGCACTTGCTGTTTCACCTTGCACTTTTATGTTATGGAGACAGCTTCTTTCCTTAAACCTAATGAAGCAACCTCTGCCAGCATCAAACTTTTCTTCTGTAGCTTCCTCACCTCTCTCAGCCTTCATAGAATTAAAGAGAGTTAGGGCTTTGCTCTGGATTAGGCTTTGACTTAAGGGAATGCTGTGGCTGGTTTAATCTTCTATCCAGACCACTCAAACTTTTTCGATATTATCAATAAGGCTACTTTGCTTTCTTATCGTTTGTGTCTTTATGGGAGTAGCACTTTTAATGTTCTTCAAGAACTTTTCCTTTGCACTCACAACTGGGCTGTTTGTTGCAAGAGGCCAAGTTTTCAGACTATCTCAGCTTATAATATTTCTCACTAAGCTTAATCATTTCTAGCTTTTGATTTAAAGTGAGATACTTGCAATTCTTCCTTTTACTTTAACACTTATAGGCCTTTGTAGGGTTATTAACAGACCTAATTTCAATATTGTTGTGTCTCAGGAAATAGCAAGCCCTGAGGAGAGGGAGAGAGATGGGGAATGCCAGTCAGTGAAGCACTCAAACACACAATATTCATTAATCAAGTTCACCATCTTATATGGGTGTGTTCGTGGCACCCCAAAACAATTACAGCATCAAAGCTCACTGATCATAGGTCATCTTTACAGATAAATAATACTGAAAAATTTGAAATATTGCAGGAATTACCAAAATATGACCTAGAGACACAAAGTGAGCACATGCTGTTGGAAAAATGGCACTGATGGACTTCTTGACACAGGGTTACCACAAACCTTCAATTTATAACAAACATAATATCTGCAAAGTACAATAAAGCAAAGCTCAGTAAAACAAGGTATGCCTGTAGATATGTAAGACATCTTTCCATACCAGTCTAGGTAGTTCTGCATCATTCTTTTGGATGTTACACAATTCCACTCCATTGGCCAAGCTGGTCTATTTTCACACTTCACACTTTTCCACTCTTATATTTCTTCACATTTTTCTTTTTGCTTGGGACAAGATTCTTACTTTTTTCTGGCAACACAAATTCTACTCACTCTTTAAACCCAATTCAAAGATCAAATATCATCTGAGCCGACACAGTGCCTGGCACGTAGCAAGTGCTCAATCCATGGTTATTGAATCAATCAATTAAATGAAGGGCCCTCCCAGCTGAAGTCTCCAACAGCCTCTGAGCTCCTAAGCATGTATTTGCACTGGCCTTTCACTACTATTGTATATATGTTTTGTTTTTTCAGCTAATTTGAGATGCTTCCTCAGAGCAGGAATTGTGTCATTCACGTGTCATGTCACTGTGCGCAGGGGTTGCTGAGGTACTTAGAGGATCCACAGAGACTAGGACTTGTGGTCTTCCCTGTATTAGCCAAGATGACAGTAGTCAAGAGGTGGAGGTAAAAGCATTCATGAAAAGAGAAGACTACATAGGCAGAGTCAAGAGCTTAATAGGTACTTTAAAAGATCAGGAAAAACAGAAATCAGTGAAGCTGGAATAATTAGGAAGGCTTCCTCGAGACTTATGCTTGATCTGAAGGGAAGGTTGAACTGGAAGGGGCAGAGGGGAAGGAGACGTTGGAGTGGAGGTGAAGGAGGGGTAATGATGGAAGGATGTTTGGCTAGGAGGAGACCTGAGTTCCCTGCAGCAGGCCACCAGGGCAACCACAGTCCATGATGGCAAAGCCACATTACTGTGCACAAGTGGGATCATCCAAGTGCCCAATAGACTTAATGCTCATTGTGTGTGCATGATAAAGTTTACATATCATAAAATTTACCATTCTAACCATTTAAAAGTATACAACTCAGTAGCAATTTAGTGGTTCAATTTAATACAGCCACAATGTTAAGCAACCATCATCACTATCATATTCCAGGACGTGTTTATCACCCCAAAAGGAAACTCAGTACCCGTTGAACAGCACTCCCCATTCATTCCTCCTCCCCCATCCCTTGGCAACCACTAATCTGCTCTCTGTCTCTAGGGATTTGCCTATTCTGGACATTTCATGTAAATGGAATCATATAATATGTGGCTTTTTGTGTCTGGCTTCTTCACTTAGCACAATGTTTTCAAGATTCCTCCATGTTGTAGCATTTATCAAAATTTCATGCCTTTTAATAGCTGAATAATATTCCAATGTTTATATATACTACATTTTGTTTATCCACTCATCAGTTCACGGAGATTTGAGTTGTTTCTGCCTTTTGGCAATTGTGAATAGTAGTGTGCTATGAATGCTCATTTACAAGTTTTTGTTTGAACACCTATTTGGTTGTTTTTTTTTTTAACAGATCAAAGTGTATGTATTTATCATGTACAACAAGATGTTTTGAAGTATATATACATTGTGGAGTAGTTAAATATAGCTAATTAGTGAATGCATTAACTACCTCACACAGCTATCATTTTTGTGGTGAGAATACTTAACATCCACCATCTTTGCATTTTTCAAGAATACAATGTATTATCATTAACTATAGTCACACTGGATTTCTTGCCCTTATTCCTCCTACCTAACTGTAATTATATATCCTTTGACCAACATTTTTGACCACAATTCTAGTTCTCTACTTTTTACTATTTTTTTTTTTTTTTTTGAGACAGAGTCTTGGTCTGTCACCCAGGCTGGAGTGCAATGGCATGATCTGGGCTCACTGCAATCTCTGCCTCCCAGGTTCAAGTGATTCTCCTGCCTCAGCCTTCCGAGTAGCTGGGACTACAGGCACATGCCACCAGGCCTGGCTAATTTTTGTATTTTTAGTAGAGATGGGGTTTCACCGTGTTGGCCAGGCTGGTCTGGAATTCCCGACCTCAGGTAATCTGCCTGCCTCAGCCTCCCAAAGTGCTGGGATTTACAGGCATGAGCCACTGCCCCCAACAACTCTAGTCTCTACTTTATGAAACAAACTTTTTAGATTCCACATATGAAAAGATCATATGGGATTTGTCTTCTGGACCTGGTTTATTTCACTTAACATAATGTCGTCCAGGTTCCTCCAAGTTGTTGCAAATGACAGGATTTAATTCTTTTTTATGTCTGAATAGTATTCCATGGTGTATATATGTCACATTTTCTTTCTTTCTTTTCTTTTCTTTCTTTCTTTTTTTTTTTAATTGAGACAGGGTCTCACTCTGTCATCCAGACTGGAGTGCAGTGACACAGTCATAGCTCACAATGGCCTTGAATTCCTAGGTTCAAGTGATTCGCCTGCCTCAGCCTCCTGAGTAGCTGGGACTACAGGTGCATGCCACCATGCGCAGCTAATTTTTGAAAATTTTTTGTAGAGACAGGGTCTCGAAATGTTTCCTGGGCTGGTCTAAAACTCCTGGGCTCATGCAATCCTCCCATCTAGGCCTTCCAAAGTACTGGGATTGCAGCATGAACCACTGCAGCAAGCCTCATTTTTATTTTTATTTTTATTTTTTTAGAGAGAGGGTCCCGCCCAGGCTGGAGTGTAGTGGCTATTCACAGGCATGATCATGGCTCACTGTAACCTCAAATTCCACACTAACAGGAGTGAGGCAATATCTCATTGTGGTTTTGTTTTGCATTTCTTGAACACCTATTTTTAGTTTCTTTGGGTATATACCTAGGAGTAGGATTCCTGAGTCACATGGTAATTCTACGTTCAGCTTTTTGAGGAACTGCCAAAGTGCTTTCCACAGCAGCTGCACCATTTTCCCATTCCCACTGGCATCGTATGTAGGCTCCTCTCTGCATCCTTGCCAACAATTCTTATTTTTCTGTTTTTTTGTATTGTAGCCATCCTTGTGGGTGGATGTTTGTATCCTGCCTTATTCCATGAATGATTGGAGAGGCTTACAAAAACACATACAATATAGAAAAGGCCAAGCAAGAAGGGAGCATAAGGTTAAGATTCTCTTAATAAGATCTTAATAAGATTGAGGCACAGAGTGACTCATCCAGATGAGTGTAACATATTGGTTCTAAGTATCCTAGCAGTAAAGGCAAAGATAGAAAGCACAACATATTATAATATGCACAGTATTTGTAGGATAAAACTAGAAGTATTACTTTTCTTAATACTGGTGTTTGAGAGAAATTTATCCCATGGGTTCCCATGAAAAAGTGCATTGAATTATTCAACAAAAGTATATATTTGATCAATAAGTTGAAGATCTATTATATGCCAAGCACTATATGTCAGGCACTATCTATTGCTAGCGTGTAATTCTGGACAAGTAACCTAAGCATCTCCATGCCTCAGTGTCCTCATTTGTAAAATGGAGATAATAATAGTATCTACTTGTTATGATTGTTTTGAGGATTAAATAAGATAATGTCAAGTGTCTGGCACAGAGTAGGCTCTCAAGAAATGTCAGCTGCTGCCATGGTAATGATGATATTGGTCATGATGATAAAGAAGATGCTACCCGAACTTTGGAGCTTACATTTCAGTGTGTATTGGGGGAGGAGGGAGACAGGTAATAAACAGATAGACAACTAAGCCTATAATTACAAAATAGGATGAGCTCTTTGAAGGAAGTCAACAGCATGCCAAGAGAGAGAATAACAGGGAGAGCCTCACTTAGATAGAGTGATAGGGAAGCTATCTGTGTGGCGACGACATGGAAGCAAGAGCCAGGGAGAGTTCCAGGCAGAGGCAACAGCATGGATTAAGTCTCTAAGATGAGAAAGAAGAAATGAGGTTAAAAAGATAGACAGGAGTCACCAGATCGTGCAGACTCTGGAAGCCCTGGGAAGGATTCTAAGTGCAACGTGAAGTTGCCGAAGGTTTTAAAGCAGGAAGTGGCATGTGTACATTTATGTTCTTAAAAGATTGACCCTGGCTATGATGTGGAAACTAGATTTGAAGTAGGTGAGGGTGGAGCAAGGAGACCAGTGAGGCTGTTGAGACAAGGCTGGTTTCAGCTGGAGTTATGGCTGTGAAGATGGACAGATATGATGTATATTTTGGAGTGGAAGTGAGACTAGGTAACAGACCAGAACCAGGAGGGTGTAAAGGAGAGAAAGAGGAAGGATTGAGGATGACTCCTAGGTTTCTGTGTTGATTGTTGGTGGTGCCATTGGGTGAATTGGGGAAGAAGGGGAAAAAAGCAGGTTTCAGAGAGGAAATCAAGAGACTGGGTCATGGCAAGTTTGAGATGTTCATTAGGCGTCCACATGGAAGTGTCGATTAGGTTGCCACTTATGGGGTTTGACACTCAGAGAGATTTGGGCTGGTGACTTAAATTTAGGGATGCCTACAATATCAGTGACACTGAAAGCCCTGGAAATAGGTGAGCTCCCCAACGTGAAAGAGTTATATAAAGAGAGAAGACAAGACAACTAAGCCTTGAGGAAGTCTCACGTGTAAAGATTTGGCAGTGGTCAGAGAAGTAGGAGGAAAACCAACTCTTGGTCCCCTACATGGTGTACGATCTACTATCCTTAGCACCATGCTTAAAATAGGAAAGCATTCCTGAATAGAGATAGGGTACAATACAGAGACATTTAGCTTTTCTATGAGGCACCAAAACAATGTGGCTCAGTTTACTCAATTCTGTGCACTTGCGTTGTCCCCTTTCTAAAGGTCAGTTTCTCAGCTCATTGCAAGTTAATTATTTTTTTTGAAGCCCAGGTCTACATGGGGGAAAAAATGAAAAAGGCAATGGAATGAATATAAGCTGGTGCAAAGCAATGGAGACAGCTGCTTGGATTAACCTTTTGCTTTTGTCACAGGTGTTATGTGGTGGCCCTCATTCTCCATGCATGGAGCAGACTCTAGGATCTGCAGTTACTGTATGATGAGCCCTTCTGAGTATTTTGCTTGGTAAGTGCACACATGTCATGTCCCTGATTACAGCAATGTGATGTTGGACATTTTATCACCAAGAAAAGTGGGCGCGATTGTCTGGCTCCAATCCAAATGCTGGCGTTTGCCAACTAACAATAGTTTCAACTGAAATTCATTTAACAGGGAAGAGAAGGAATGGCTTTGATGAGATTCCAAGTACAGCACAAACATCAGGCTGACCTGCAGGTTGGGCAAGGCAGGGTCAGAAACAGCAGCGGAGCCTTGCTGGGACTCCCACTATCATCTAAACAACAACATAGCAGCAGGACCTTTCACAGAGAGTTCCCAACCATGTGAGAACCGTAAGAGCCTGTAGGGTCACACAGTCCTACCTCCTCATGGGGCAGCTGAGGAAGGGGAAGCCAGGGAAGCTAGGGGTTGCCCAGGGATGTGGGGGGTATTTTGTAGTCAAAACTCTAAGACAGCAGTGGGGGTCAGGCCCCGAGTGTTGACACATTCATGGAGCAACAGCCACGTGTCCAGCACAGGGCTAGGCACTAAAGATATGTCAAACTTAAATAATGAGATTTAGAAAACATTAGTAAGTATATAGTTTATTTGAGCACACAGCTTGAGAACAGCCACCCAGGGAAACAGACTCCAAATGAATGGGATCAGCATTCCAAAGTGGAGAAGTTAAAGTTTCACTCATGTAGGCAGAGACAAAGAAGTTTCAGCTGGATTATGACATTTTCCATACGAGGCTAGTGCATACATCATAGCTATTTGATTGATTACAGATTGCTACACTCCAAGGAAGATTACTTTATTATTTCATGAGGAGGGATTATGGTCTGAGGGGGGTTCTTATCTCTGGCGCCATTTGGTCTTCATAATTATTTACAGGAAAAAAGGGCGGAAGTTGCAGCTGCATGCCACATGACTCAGGCCACATGGCCACATTCCTCTCAAGGCTCAGAATAATCTAAAGTTCCAACGGCTTTAAGTTTGAATTATTAATTGCACAGATACAAAGAGGAGCAAGACCAAGAAGAGAGAGAGAGCTGTAAAGAAATAGCCATAAACAAATAACAAATGAAAGAATGTGACCAAGTTTTCCAACAAAGGTGTGAACACAGTGCTATGGGAACCAAGAGGCCAGCTGGCTCTAACTTTGTTTTTAAATCTAAATCAGAGGCAGACTGATAATTGCCATTTTTTACTACAAATTGAGGATACCGTGTTATAATCAGTGCTTCGGGCTGAGACGGAATGATAGTTAATGCTCCCAAACCTGTAGTGGCCTTGTTTTCTTTATATCTCTAAGCCTGAGTCACTGTATAGACCAGAATAAAAACGTGGTGATGTTATACCCCATACTGGGAACCTGACAATTCGTGGATAATAGAGCCTGGTGCCTGGCACAAAATAGGTGCTCAAGTATTTTAATTAATATCTCTACAAATAGATACATTAACACTGCTCAGGCTTGGAAAATAATTTAAGCTCATAAAAAGAAAACATTGGTAATAGGACTGGTGATACAGAAATTCGTAGCATTTCAACTTAAGTTAGATATAAATACTGTCTGCCCAGGTGGCATGCAGTCCTCTTTCTTTACCTTTCAAAATCATCTCAGAAAATTTCCTTGTGCATATGTCTCATATTCCAGTTACTGTTGCTACATAACAAATTACCCCAAAACTCAGTGGGCTACAACAACAACAACAATCATTTTCATTCTCTCATGGGTTTTGTGGGTCAGGAATTCAGGAAGGGCTTGGCTGGGTGGGTTTCTTCTCAGCATCTCTCATGCAGGTGCTGGTGGACAGAGGCTGGAGCTGGAAGGGGGAGGGCAAGTGTGCAGTTGCAGCAGCTGGGGATAGGCTGGGCATTCTTCTTGCTTCATGTAGTCTTGGGTCCTCTCAGGTGGTGGCTTGAATCATCTCCTTGGGCTTCCTCCCAATATGGTGGCTTCAGGGCGGTTTTTCTGCTTATATGGCAGCTCAGGACTCATGGATGTCCCAGAAGAACCAGTTAGGAGCTTTTTTTTTTTTTTTTTTTTTTTTTAAGATGGAGTCTCACTCTATCGCCCAGGCTGGAGTGCAGTGGCACGATCTTGGCTCACTGCAACCTCTGCTTCCTGGGTTCAAGCCATTCTCCTGTCTCAGCCCCCTGAGTACCTGGGATTACAGGAATGCACCACCACGCCCGGCTAATTTTTGTATTTTTAGCAGAGATGAGGTTTCATCATGTTGCCCAGCTGGTCTTGAACCCCTGACCTCAGGCGATCTGCCCCCTTTGGCCTCCCAAAGTGCTGGGATTACAGGTGTGAACCACTGTGCCCAGCCTGAGCTGTGTTACCTTTTATGACCTAACATTGGAAGTCATATAGTACCATTTCTGTTTTACCAACCTCACCCAGATGAAAGGAGTGTCATTGTTAGAAGAGTATGTGGAATGGAATTTATTGTCATGGCCAACTTTAGAAAATACAATCTATCACATCCCACAAAACCCGAAATTCTTGTAATGGTTCCTTTTTATTTGTTTTTGTTTTCATTAACTCAGCTCAGAGATAACTTAAAACTTGCCTTTGCAGTTGCCTGCTCTGGGTCTGGTCTGCCAGATAAGATGGCAATAATGAATCAGTGTGTCTCAAAAACTATTTTGTAGAACATAGTTTCAAGAGACCTGATTAGATGTTGCTTGAAAAAAGTTAGAAAAAAGAGGGATTGAATAGGTTTCTTTTTAATAGAACTTTTCAGAGCTCTTAATTTACTAATGAACCTTTTATTATAGATCATCTGTGGAGCACTTGCAGGACTAGAGTTCCAGCAACACTGGCCACTAATTATTTTTGGATGCTTTGCTGGATTCAACTATAATCTAACAATAAGTTTCTTTATGTTTCAGGGTGGACAGTTTATGTGTCAGGTATGTGTATTTATAATTAAAATCAAATATTATTACATAGGCTTTGCACCTGGCGAGGTAACATTGAGAGTAGTTAATCTCTAGACTGGAATCCATCTGGAAGACCACTCAATAACTTGTGATTAGCTGGACCTGGTGATGCAAGCCTGGAGTCCCAGTTACCCGGAGGCTGAGGTGGGAATATCGCTTGAGACCAGGAGTTTGAGGCTACAGTGAGCTGTGATTGTACCACTGCACTCCAGCCTGGGTGACAGTGCAAGACCTCATCTCTTAAAAAAAACAAACAACTCAAAAAACCTCATCATTGAGCACCTATGATGTGCCAGCAACTGTACTCAGTGGTGGGGACTTGACGACAAACAAACCAGGGATGGGATCCTTGAGCAGTCACCATCTGACAAGTGACTGGGAAAGATGAATAATGCCCTTCACCAAGATTCTTCTCTGATCCACAAATTCAATTACCAATTTATTTGTTCACTGCTCTTAAACTTAAATATTTTTTAGTAGGTAATAAAGACATGTTTAAACACTCTTAACTTTTAACAATTTCTTTGTAAGTACTGTAATAGTCTTCTTTTCCTTTAAAAAGAAAAAATACAAAAAGAAGGAAAAGGAAAATCTATTCAAAATAAAGTATTCCAGATATCTGACATTGCTGCATTGCTGTATCATTCATTAACATTCACAAAAAATAAAATGAGTGCCTTCCGTGTGTGTGCAGGCATTGTTCTAGGCAAAGAAGATTTAGCATTCAACCAAAACTTCTGTTCTCATGGAACCTACCTACTCGCAGATCCAAGCCATGGTAGTTTGTTCAAGAACCTTCAGCTCTTTTCTGCTTTGTTGTCAAAGGCTTCTAAAATTGGATCCCCTCCTCCTTAGTTCTTCCTGATCCCTGACAGGGATCCTGTGCTTCAGTCAGCCTCCAATCCCAACCACCACCACCAACAAAATCACAAGAAGACACCTAGGCTATTATTCTTAACCTGTTTCCCAGTTTCTATTTGTTAACCCCCTCTGGATTAGGCATTGTTGTCTTTGATCTTGACATGTGCCTCTATGTGGAGAGTGTATTTTTGCTCACCAAATTTTTACTCATTAAACTTTACTGGTGCTATGCTTGCTAACTTATTTCAGATAATTAGAGCTTTTGGATGCTTTCTCCAGGACAAACTGTTCCTTTCCCCATCCTCAGCCTTCCATGCTGTTAATGTACAAAATCAGATGATTTAAACATAAATCATCTTGAACTCTAGAATGACCTGGTCCCCTTAGCGAAAAACTGTGGGATTCAACACTACTCCTCAGTGATGATGGTAAGGCTACGTGGGCAGTTGTTTAACCATTATCCCCAGGTGCCCTCACCCACAGCCAGCCTGCTCAAAGGACTATTTCCCATTCCAATAATAATGACAGAGCTAGGAGGGAGGCCATGACTAATAAAGACATATAAGATGTTATTGCAAATTCTTTTTTCTATCCATATGAATTATAAACTAAAAAATATTGACAAATATCAGCAATTACATCGAAAGAAGAAGGTGGTTGTCAAAAATAAAAACCATTGTTATGTTTTATAAATGTTATTGAAGTCCACAGGAAATACATTAATTTGGTGGGTGTAAAATTGGAAGAATTTTGAAAAATGTATGCAGTGGTGTAACCACAAACACAATCAGGATATTTCCATCCCTCCAGAGTTGCCTTATGTTCCTCCTCCCAATCTGTTTCCTGTCAACTAATTATCTGCTGTCTGTCACTGTAATATTGCCTGTTCTAGGAAATTAGATGAGTGGAATTTTCTATTATGTGGTCTTTTGAGTCTGACTTCTTTCAATAATTATACTGACTTTGAGATTTATCCATATTGTTGCATGTATCAGTAATTCATTCATTTTCATTGCTAAGTGGTATTGTATGAATACAGTTTATTTATCCGTTCATCAGTTGATGGACGTTTGGGTTCATTCCAATTTTTAACTATTATAAATAAAGTTGCTATAAACAATATGCAAGTCCTTACGTTAACATAAGTTTTCCTTTCTTCTGGGTAAATTTCCTGGAGTAGAAATGCCGGGTCATATGGTAAGTATATGTTTAATATTGTAAGAAACTGTCAATGAATTTCCAAAGTGACTGTACCATTTTACATTTTATCAGCAATGTATGAGCGTTCCAGTTGCTCCACACTCTCACTGATGGTTGGTATTTTCAGTCTTCTTAATTTTAACCATTCTAGTGGGTGTATAGTGGTATGTCATTATGATTTTAATTTGCATTTCCCTAATGACCAATGATGTTGAGCATCTTTTTATGTGCTTGTTTGCCATGTATACATCTTTTTAGGTAAAGTATGTTCAAATTTTGGCCCATTTATTGGTTTTTGTAGTTATAAGAATTTATGTATTCTGGAATCAAGTATTTTATCAGATACATGTTTTATAAATATTTTCTCCCAGTATGTGGCTTATATTTTTTATTTTCTTAACAGTGTCTTTGAAGAACATAAATTTTTAATTTTAATGAAGCCCAATCTGTTAATTTTTCTTTTACAGTTTGTGCTTTTTCTATCCCACTTAAGGAAACTTTGTCTAACTTAATGTCACTAAGATTTTCTCCTGTTTTCAGCAGGCGCGGTGGCTCATGCCTGTAATCCCAGCACTTTGGGAGGCTGAAGTGGGTGGATCACCTGAGGTCGGGAGTTCGAGACCAGCCTGACCAACATAGAGAAACCTTGTCTCTACTAAAAACACAAAATTAGCCAGGCTTGGTGGTACAAGCCTATAATCCCAGCTACTCGGGAGGCTTAGGCAGGAGAATCACTTGAACCTGGGGGGCAGAGGTTGCAGCGAGCCGAGATTGCGCCATTGCACTTCAGTCTGGGCAACAAGAGTGAAACTCCATCTCAAAAAAAACCAAAACAAAACAAAATTTTCTCCTCTTTTCTTTTCTTTTCCCTCACCTCCCTCCCTCCTTCCCCCCTCCCTCCCTCCCTCTCTCTCTCTCTCTTTCTTTCTTTCTTTTATCTCATTCTGTGTTTCAGGCTGGAGTGTTGTGGCCACAATCTCAGCTCACTGCAACCTCCACCTCCCAGGTTCAAGCGATTCTTGTGCCTCAGCCTCCCAAATAGCTGAGATTATAGATGTATGCCACCGTGCCTGGCTAATTTTTATATTTTTAGTAGGGACGGGATTTCACAACATTGGCCTGGCTGGTCTCGAACTCCTGAGCTCAAGCGATCCACCCACCTTGGCCTCCCAAAATGCTGGGATTACAGGCGTGAGCCACCATTCCCAGCTGTTTCCTGTTTTCTTTTAGAAGCATTATTCTTTCAACCCTTACAACTGATATCTTGATCCATTTTAGGTTATGTCTCATATGTGGTGTAAAGTAAGGGTAAAGGTTTATATTTTTGCATATGGCTGTTCACTTGTCACAGGACCATTTACTGAAAGCACTATCCCTCCCCCCATTGAATTTCATTGGCACTTTTGTTGAAAATCAGTTGCCTCTACATATGTGGGTCCATTTCTGTATTTCTAGTCAGTTCCCCTAATATATGTGTCTATATTTATGCCACTACCATACTCTTGATTACTGTTGCTTTTATAGGAAGTCTCAAAATTAGGTAATATAAATACTCCAACTTTACCCTTTTGCAAAAATTTTAGGGTATTCTAGATTATTTGCATTTTCATATAAAGTTTAGAATCACCTTGTCAAATTCTACAAAAAAAAAAAACCCTGCTGGGATATTGATTTGATTTGTGTACAGACAACTTTCTATATTGATTGGAATTGTACAGTCAGACAACTTATGATTGACATATTAACAATATTGAGTCTTTCAATCCATGAGTACGGTATATCTTTTTTTTTTTTTTTTTGAGACAGAGTCTCGCTGTGTCACCCAGGCTGGAGTGCAGTGGTATGATCTCAGCTCACTGCAACCTCCACCTACCAGGTTCAAGTGATTTTCCTGCCTTGGCTTCCCAGGTAGCTAGGACTACAGGCGTGCACCGCCACACCTGGCTAATGTCTTGCATTTTTAGTAGAGATGGGGTTTCACCATATTGGCCATGCTGGTCTCGAACTCCTGACCTTGTGATCTGCCCACCTCAGCCTCCCAAAGTGCTGGAATTACAGGTAAGTATAGTGTATCTTTCCATTTATTTCCAAATTTCTCTCAGCACTATTTTTTATGTTTCAGGATATAGAACTTGCACAGTTTTCTTGAGTTCATTTTTATTTCATATTCTTTTTTATTATTTTATTTTAAGTTCCAGGGTACATGTGCAGGATGTGCAGGTTTGTTACATAGGTAAACATGTGCCATGGTGGTTTGCTGCACTGATAAACCCATCACCTACGTATTTTACCCAGTATGCATTAGCTGTTTTTCCTGATGCTCTCCACATCTCCGCCCTCCCCCAACAAGCCCCAGTGTGTTTTGTTTCCCTCACTGTGTCCATGTGTTCTCACTGTTCAGCTCCCACTTATAAGTGAGAACATGCAGTGTTTGGTTTTCTGTTCCTGCATAGTTTGCTGAGGATAATGGCTTCCAGCTTCATCCACGTCCCTGCAAAGGACATTATCTCGTTCCTTTTTATGGCTGCATAGTATTCCATGATGTATATGTACCACATTTTCTTTATCCAGTCTATCATCGATGGGCATTTGGGTTGATTCCATGTCTTTGCTATTGTGAATAGTGCTGCAATGAACATACATGTGCTTGTATCTTTATAATAGAATGATTTATATTCCTTTGGGTATACATACCCAGTAATGGGATTGCTAGGCCAAATGGTACTTCCAGTTATAAATCTCTGAGGAATCACCACACTGTATCCCACAATGGTTGAACTAATTTACAGTCCCACCAACAGTGTAAAAGCATTCCTATTTCTCCGCAACCTCGCCAGCATCAGTTGTTTCTTGACTTTTTAATAATCACTGTTCTGACTGGCATAAGATGGTATCTCATTATGGCTTTGATTTGCATTTCTCTGATGATCAGTGATGTTGAGTTTTTTTCATGTTTGTTGGCCGATGGAACAGAATAGAGAACTCAGAATAAAACTGCCATCTACAATTATCTGATCTTCGACAAACCTGACAAAAACAAGCAATGGGGAAAGGATTCCCTATTTAATAAATGGTGCTGGGAGAACTGGCTAGCCATACGCAAAAAACTGAAACTGGACCCCTTCTTTACACCTTATACAAAAATTAACTCAAGATGGATTAAAGACTCAAATATAAAACCAAAAACTATAAAATCCCTAGAAGAAAATCTAGACAATACCATTCAGCACATAGGCATGGGCAAAGATTTTATGATGAAATTGCCAAAAACAATTTTAACAAAAGCAAAAATTCACAAATGGGATCTAATTAAACTAAAGAGCTTCTGCACAGCAGAAGAAACTATCATCAGAGTGAACAGACAACCTACAGAATGGGAGAAAATTTTTGCAATCTATCCATCTGACAAAGGTGTAATATCCAGCATCTACAAACAACTTAAGCAAATTTACAAGAAAAAAAAAACCATTGAAAAGTGGGCAAAGGACATGAATAGACACTTCCTATTTCATATTGTTGATGCTGTTTTCATTTGTAATTTCCAAGACTTCCTATCATATAGAAATACAATTGATTTTTGTATATTGACATTTTTGTATATTGGTTTTTGTATCCTGTAACTCTGCTAAACTCAGTTATTAGTTCTGGTAGCTTTTTTGGTGGATTTCTTAGGATTTTTTTTTTTGAGATGGAGTCTCACTCTGTTACCCAGGCTTGAGTGCAGTGGCATGATCTTGGCTCACTGCAACTTCCACCTCCCAGGTTCAAGCAATTCTCCTGCATCAGCATCCCGAGTAGCCAGGACTACAGGTGCATGCCACCACCCCCAGCTAATTTTTGTATTTTTTTTTTAGTAGAAATGAGGTTTCGCCATGTTGGCCAGGCTGACATCAGCTGAACCACTTTGGCCTCCCAACGTGCTCAGATTACAGGTGTCAGCCACTGCGCCCAGCCAATTTCTTGGGATTTTCTATATAAGAGACCTGTCATCTTTGAATAAAGATAATTTTATTCTTCTTTTAGGCCTGATGCTTGCTTTTTCTTCTTATTGCCTTATGGAACAAATTAGGACCTCCAGTTCAATGCTGAATACAACTTGTGAGAGCAGACATGCTTGCCTTATTTCTGATATTAGAGAGAAAGAATACTCTTTCTTTCATTAGTGTTTTATCTGTTTCATTAGTGTTAATAACTGTTCCATCAGATATTAGTGTTTCATTAATAAGTACAATGTAAGCTCTAGGTCATTTTTAGATGCCCTTTAGCAAGTTGAGGAAGTTACCTTGTATTTCTAGTTTGCTGAGTGATTTTTATCATGAGTGATTTTTTAATTTTGTCAGGCACTTTCCTTCACCTCTTGTGGCATTTTCATTGTTTTACTTTTTGAGTCTTTTAATATGGTGAATTACATTGACTTTCGAATGTTAAACCAATCTTGCATTCCTGGGACAAACCCCACCTTGCATTGATGTATTATAATTCTAATGTTACTGGATTTGATTTGCAAAATTTTTGTTAAGAATTTTTGTGACTATGTTCATAATAAATGTTTTCTTTTCTTTTCTTTTTTTTTTTTTTTTGAGACGGAGTCTTTCTCTGTTGCCCAGGCTGGAGTGCAGTGGTGTGATCTCGGCTCACCGCAACCTCCGCCTCCAGGTTCAAGCAATTCTCCTGCCTCAGCCTCCCAAGTAGCCGGGACTACAATCATGTACCACCATACCCAGCTAATTTTTGTATTTTTAGTAGAGACGGGGTTTCACCATGTTGCCCAGGATGGTCTCAATCTCCTGAGCTTGTGATCCACCCATCTCAGCCTCCCAAAGTGCTGGGATTACAGGCATGAGCCACGGCGCCCAGCCAAGAAATGTTTTCTAGTTTTTTTGTTTTCTTTGTTTTTTTTCTGGTTTTTGGTATAGGGTTTCTAGCCTGTTAACATGAGCTGGAAAGCATTTCTTTTCTTTTTTTCCTCTGAATTTTTCTTCTATTTTCTAATTAGCATAGAGTTGATATTGTTTATTCCTAAAATGTTTGGTAGAATTCACTACTTGGGACTGGAGATTCCTTTGTTCAAAGGATTTTAAATGCAAATTCACTTTTTAAAATAGATACAGGACTATTCAGGTTATCTATTTCTTCTTCAGATTTGGTAGATTGTGTCTTTCAAAGAATTTCTCCATTTCACTCAAATTACAGAATTTATTGCAGAATTTATAAAATTCTTTATAATATTATGAGCCGTTCAATGACCACAGGATTTGCAGTGATGTCTACTCTTCTGCATATAATATTGATCATTTTTATCTTCTCTCTTTTTTTCCACCTGATCACTGGCTGGAGGCTTATTAATTTTATTAATCATTTTGAAAGACCCAGGTTTTGGTTTCATGGATTTTCTGTATTGTTTTCCAGTTTTCTACCTTATTGATTTCAGCTCTTAACTTTATTACCTTTGTTTTGCTTACTTGTGTCTAATTAGCTCTTATTTTTCTAGTTTCTTAACATGGGAACCTAGATAATTGGTTTGAGTACTTTCTTTTCTAATATTTTCCTTGAAGAAACTATCTTAGCTGCCTCATAAGTTTTAATATGTCATGTTTTCATTTTTAGCCTGTTCAAAATACTTTATAATTTCCCTGTGTAATGTCTTCATTGATACAGTGATTATTTAGAAGTGTGATGTTTAATTTCTAAGTATTAGGAATTTTGTGGATTTCTTTCTGTTATTAATTTCTAATTTGATTATATTGTGCTTAGAGAATAAACATTGTATAATCCTTTCATTAACACATCCTGGTCGGGCGCGGTGGCTCACGCCTGTAATCCCAGCACTTTGGGAGGCCGAGGCGGGCAGATCACGAGGTCAGGAGATCGAAACCATCCTGGCTAACACAGTGAAACCCCATCTCTACTAAAAATACAAAAAATTAGCCAGGCGTGGTGGCGGGCGCCTGTAGTCCCAGCTACTCGGGAGGTTGAGGCAGGAGAATGGCGTGAACCTGGGAGGTGGAGCTTGCAGTGAGCCAAGATTGCACCACTGCACTCCAGCCTGGGCGACAGAGCAAGACTCCGTCTCAAAAAAAAAAAAAGAACACATCCTATGGCCTCAAATATAGTCCATTTTGATAGATATTCTATGTGCACTTGAAAAGCATGTATATTTTGCTATTATTGGGCATGTTCTATAAATGTTAATGTGGGAAAATTGGGTTGACTTTGTCCATATGTTCTGTATCCTTACTGATTTTCTTTCTATTTAGTCCATACAATTTTGAGGCCAGGCATGGTAGCTCACATCTGTAATCCCAGCACTTTGGGATGCCAAGGCGGGCAGATAACTTGAGGCCAGGAGATCAAGACCAGCCTGGCCAATATGGTGAAACCCTATCTCTACTAAAAATACAATTAGCTGGGCATGGTGGCACGTGTTTGTAATCCCAGCTACTTGGGAGGCTGAGGCATGAGAATCTCTTGAACCTGGGAGGTGGAGGTTGCAGTGAACTGAGATCACACCACTGCACTCCAGCCTGGGCAACAGAGTGAGCCTCCATCTCAAAAAAAAAAAAAAAAAAAAAAATTGAGATAGAATTGTTGAAATCTTGAACTACAATTGTGAATGATTCATTTCTCCTTTCAGTTTGCTCAATTTTGCTTCATATAATTTGAAACTTTGTTATTAGGTACATAAAAATTTACTATTGTTATATCCTCTTAATGAATTGACTCTTTTGTCATTATGAAGTTACCCTTTTAGTGACTGGCAATATTTCTTGCTGTGAAATCTAGATTCGTGATATGAATAAAGCCATTTGCATCTTTCAGTTAATTAATATTAGCATGTTATACATTTTTCCATCCTTTTACTTTTTAAAATGTAGACTTTTTGGGCGCAGTGGCTCATGCCTGTAATCCCAGCACTTTGGGAGGCTGAGACGGGCAGTCACGAGGTCAGGAGATCGAGACCATCCTGGCTAACCCAGTGAAACCTCGTCTCCACTAAAAAAAAAAAAAAATAGCCGGGTGTGGTGGCGGGCACCTGTAGTCCCAGCTACTCAGAAGGCTGAGGCAGGAGAATGGCATGAACCCGGGAGGCGGAGCTTGGAGTGAGCCAAGATCGCAACAGTGCACTCCAGCCTGGGAGATAGAGCAAGGCTCTGTCTCAAAAAAAAAGAAAAAAAAAATAGACTCTTTGGAGCAGTTCTACGTTACAGCAAAATTGAGTAGAAAGTACAGAGACTTACTATATACTCTTCCCAACACACCCCCACAGCCTTCCCAACTATCAGCATTCTGAACCAGTATATTTGTTATTGTCAATGAACCAACATCCACACATCACTATCACCCAAATTCCACAGTTTACATTAGGGTTTACTCTTCATATTGTACATTCTATGGGTTTTGACAAATAAGTAATGACATGTGTCCATCATTACAGTATCATACACAAGAATTTTATACCCTAAAAATCCCTTGTGCTCTGCCTATGCCTGCTCATCCCTCTCCTTCCTCTAACCACTGGCAACCACTGATCCTTTTACTATAGTAGTTTTGCCTTTTCCAGAATATCAGAGATGAAATCACAGAGTATGAAGCCTTTTCAGTTTGGCTTCTTTCGTGTAGTAATAGGCATTTAAGGTATCTCCAAGTTTTTTCATGACTTGATAACTAATTTAATTTTTTTTTTTGAGACAGAGTCTTGCTCTGTTGCCCAGGCTGGAGTGCAGTGGCGTGATCTCAGCTCACTGCAATCTCTGCCTCCCAGTTTCAAGCACTTCTCCTGCCTCAGACTCCTTAGTAGCTGGGATTACAGGCGTGCACCACCACGCCTGGCTAATTTTTTTGTATTTTTAGTAGAGATGAGGTTTCACCATATTGGCCAGGCTGGTCTCGAACTCCTGACCTTGTGATCTGCCCACCTTGGCCTGCCAAAGTGCTGGGATTACAGGTGTGAGCTACCATGTCTGGCCGATAACTAATTTCTTTTTGGTGTTGAATAATATTCCATTGTTTAGGTATACCACAGTTTATCCATTTACTTACTGAAAAGCATCTTGGTTGCTTCCAAGTTTTGTCAACCATGAGTAAAGCTGTTATAAATATCCACGTGCAGCTTTTTGTGTGGACATAAGTTTTAATTCATTTGGGCGAATACCAAGGAGTATGGTGGCTGGATCATATTATAAGAGTATGTTTAGTTTTGTAAGAAACTGCCAAAGTATCTTTCAAAGTGGCTGTTCCATATTGCATTCACATCAGCAATGAATGAGAATTTCTGTTGCTCCACGTCATCACCAGCATTTGATACTGTCAGCATTTCGGGTTTTGGCCATTCTAATAGGCATGCAAGGTATCCCCTTGTTTTTATCCTTTTAACTTCTCTTTGCATTTTCATTTAAAGTGGGTTTCTTATAAATACCCTATAGTTAGGGCTTGCTTTTTAATACAGTCAATCTTTGCCTTTAAATATAAATTTACATTTAATGTGATCATCAATAAGGTTACGTTTAAATTCACAATCTTGTTATTTCTTTTCTAAGTGTTCCCTCTGTTCTTTATTCCTTTTTCCTCATTTACTGCCTTGTTTTTAATAATTCCATTAATCTTCATTATTGTATTATTAGCCATACAATTTTTTATTTTTTATTTTTCCATAAGTTATTGGGGTACATGTGGTGTTTGGTTACATTAGTAAGTTCTTTAGTGGCGATTAGTGAGATTTTGGTTCACCCATCACCCAAGCAGTATACACGGCACCCTATTTGTAGTCTTTTATCTCTCGCCCCCTCCCACACTTCCCTCCAAGTCCCCAAAGTCCATTGTATCATTCTTATGTTTTTGTGTCCTCACAGCTTAGCTGATATGTTCTCACATATCAGTGAGAACATACGATGTTTGGTTTTCCGTTCCTGAGTTACTTCACTTAGAATAATATTCTCCAATCTGGCTGCGCGCGGTGGCTTACACCTGTAATTCCAGCACTTAGGGAGGCTGAGGTGGGTAGGTCACCTGAGGTCAGGAGTTCGAGACCAGCCTGGCCAACATGGTGAAACCCCCTCTCTACTAAAAATACAAAAATTAGGTGGATCTGGTGGCGCATGCCTGTAGTCCCAACTACTTGAGAAGCTGAGGCAGGAGAACTGCTTGAATCAGGAGGCGGAGGTTGCAGTGAGCCGAGATCGCACCACTGTGCTCCAGCCAGTATTACCGATTTGGATGCCCTTTATTTCTTTCTTTTGTTTGATTGCTCTGGCTAGACTTCCAGTACTATGTTGAAGACGAGTGGTGAGAGTGGGCATCCCTGTCTTGTTCCAGCTCTCGGAGGGAATGCTTTCAACTTTTCCCCATTCAGTATTATGATGGCTGTGGGTTTGTCATAAATGGCTTAAATTACATTGAGGTATGTCCCTTGTATGCCAATTTTGCTGAGAGTTTTAATCATAAAGTGATGCTGGATTTTGTCTAATGCTTTTTCTGCGTCTATTGAGATGATCATGTGATTTTTGTTTTTAATTCTGTTTATGTGGTGTATCACATTTATCGACTTGCCTATGTTAAAACCATCCCTGCATCCCTCGTATGAAACCCACTTGATCATGGTGGATTATATTTTTGATATGTTGTTGGATTCAGTTAGCTAGTATTTTGTTAAGGATTTAGCATCTATGTTCATCAAGGATATCGGTCTGTAGTTTTCTTTTTTGGTTATGTCCTTTCCTGGTTGTGGTATTAGGGTGATTCTGGCTTCATAGAATGAATTAAGGAGTGTTCCCTCTTTCTCTATCTTGTGGAATAGTGTCAAAAGGATTGGTACTAATTCATCTTTGAATGTCTGGTAGAATTCTGTTGTGAATCTGTCTGGTCCTGGGGTTTTCTTTTGTCGGTAATTTTTAAATTACCATTTCAATCTTGCTGCTTGTTATTGATCTGTTCAGGGTATCTGATTCTTCCTGATTTAAGCTAGGAGGGTTGTATTTTTCCAGGAATTTATCCAATTCTTTTAGGTCTTCTAGTTTATGTGCTTAAAGGTGTTCATAGTAGCCTTGAATGATCTTTTGTATTTCTGTAGTGTCAGTTGTAATATCTCTCGTTTCGTTTCTTGGTGGGGTTATTTGGATTTTCTCTCTTCTTTTCTTGGTTAATCTTGCTAATGGTCTATCAATTTTATTTATCTTTTCAAAGAACCAGCTTTTCATTTCATTTATCTTTTGTATTTTTTTGTTTCAATTTCATTTAGTTCTGCTCTGATTTTGGTTATTTCCTTTCTTCTGCTGGGTTTGGGCTTGGTTTGTTCTTGTTTCTCTAGTTCTTTGAGGTGTGACCTTAGAGTGTCAGTTTGTGCTCTTTCAGTCTTTTTGATGTAGGTGTTTAGGGCCATGAACTTTCCTCTTAGCACCGCCTTGGCTGTATCCCAGAGGTTTTGATAGGTTGTGTCACTATTATCTTTCAATTTGAATAATTTTTAAATTTCCATTTTCATTTCGTTTTTAACCCAGTGATAATTCAGGAGCAGGTTATTTAATTTCCATGTATTTGCATGGTTTTGAAGGTTCCCTTTGGAGTTGATTACAAGCTTTATTACACTGTGGTCTGACAGAGTGCTTGACATAATTTCAATTTTCTTAAATTTATTGAGGCTCGTTTTGTGCCATATAATATGGTCTATCTTGGAGAAAGTTCCATGCACTGTTGAATAGAATGTATATTCTGTGGTTGCTGGATGGAATGTTCTGTATAAATCTGTTAAGTCCATTTGTTCCAAGGTATAAAATACATTGTTTCTTTGTTGACTTTCTGTTTTGGTGACCTGTCTAGTGCTATCAGTGGAGTATCGAGGTTCCCTACTATTATTGTGTTGCTGTCTATCTCATTTCTTAGGTCTGTTAGTAACTGTTTTATAAATTTGGGAGCTCCAGTGTCAGGTGCATATATGTTTAGGATTGTAATATTTTCTTGTTGGACAAGGCCTTTTACCATTACTTAATGTTCCTCTTTGTCTTTTTTAACTGCTGTTGCTTTAAAGTTTGTTTTGTCTGATATAAGAATAGCTACCTCTGCTCACCTCTGGTGTCCATTTGCATTAAATGCATTTTTCCACCCCTTTACTTTAAGTTTATGTGAGTCCTTATGTGTTAGGTGAATCTCCTGAAGGCAGCAGATAGTTGGTTGGTGAATTCTTATCCATTCTGCAATTCTGTATTTTTTAAGTGGGGCATTTAGAACATTCACATTCAATGTTAGTATTGAGATGTGAGGTACCATTCCATTCATCGTGCTATTTGTTGCCCATGTACTTTGTTTTTTTTGTTTTTTGTTTTTGCTTTTTAACTTGTATTTTTGTTTTATAGGTCCTGTGAAATTTACGCTTTAGAGGTTCTGTTTTGATGTATTTCCAGGATTTGTTTCAAGATTTAGAATTCCTTTTAGCTGTTCTCGTAGTGGTGGCTTGGTAGTGGCAAATTCTCTCAGCATTTGTTTGTCGGAAAAATACTGTTTTGTTTTGTTTTGTTTTGTTTTGTTTTGTTTTTGAGACAGAGTCTCACAGTGTCTCCCAGGCTGGAGTGCAGTGGCACGATCTTGGCTCACTGCAACCTCCACCTCCTGGGTTCAAGCGATTCTCCTGCCTCAGCCTCCCAAGTAGCTGGAATTACAGGCACCCGCCACCACGCCCAGCTAATTTTTTTGTATTTTTAGTAGAGACGGGGTTTCACTATGTTGGCCAGGCTGGTCTCAAACTCCTGACCTCGTGATCTGCCTGCCTTGGCCTCCCAAAGTACTGGGATTACAGGCTTGAGCCACCACACCTGGCCAAGACTGTATCTTTCCTTCATATATGATGCTTAGTTTCACTGAATAAAAAATTCTTGGCTGATAATTGTTTTGTTTGAGGAGTCTGAAGATAGAGTCCCAATCCCTTCTATCTTGCAGGGTTTCTGCTGAGAAATCTGCTGTTAATCTGATAGGTTTTCCTTTATAAGTTACCTGGTGCTTTTGTCCCACAGCTGTTGGATACAGTGAATTCTAGATTTCTCTTCAAAGAATCAGTATGTCAGTATGTTCAGTTCTTTATCCTCTATTTTAGAGTTTAACTTCCTTGTAGTTTCAGTTAACAGCCTTTTCCATCAGTTTTAATCAGTAGTACACATCTGTTCCCCTGGTCACCTGCATCATCCTGACTCATCCCAGTCACCTGCTTTGACCTGAGTCACCCCTGGTCACCTGCTCTGACTTAAGTCACCTTTAGTTACCTGTTCCTAACTGTCCTTCCTGCCAAATTACTCACCCTGCCACTCTGCTCCCTTTAAAATAGCCAATCGGAATTAGCTTAGACTTTGCGGTCCAACCCTAGCCAGTAGGGGAATGACACAGCAGTAGGCGCCATCTGCGTCAGGAATAAGAACCCCTTCCCCTCGCTTGTTCAGGTGTGCCCTCACCATTACTCCATTCGTGAGTCATACCCTTCTATAAATTAAAAATTGCCTTGCTGAGAAAATTAAATTTATGTTTGAATGCTATTTCTTTGTGGCACCAAGGAACAAGCATTTTGTTTCTAACACAGCTCTTAAGGTTATTTCTTTCATCTTAACTTTAGATAACCTGATGACAATGTGCCTAGGTGATGATTTTTTTTTTTTTAATGAAACTTCCAGGTGTTCTTTGTTCTTCTTGTATTTGGATGTCTAGGTCTCTAGCAAGGCCAGAGAAGTTTTCCTCAATTATTCCCCCAAATATGTTTTCCAAGCTTTTAGATTTCTTTTCTTCCTCAGAAGCACCGATTATTCTTAGGTCTGGTCATTTAACATAATCCCAGACTTCTTGGAGTCTTTGTTCATATTTTCATATTCTTTTTTCTTTGTCTTTGTTGGATCAGATTGATTTGAAGACCTTGTCTTCAAGCTCTGAATTTCTTTCTTCTACTTGTTCAATTCTATTGCTGAGATTTCCAGAGTATTTTGCATTTCTATTAGTGTGTCCAATGTTTCCTGAAGTTTTGATTGTTCTTCCTTTATGCTATCTATTATCTTGAATATTTTTCCCTTCACTTCTTATATCATTTTTTGGATTTCCTTGCATTGGGCTTTGCCTTTCTCTGATGCCTCCCTGATTAGCTTAATAACTAACCTCCTGAATTCTATTTCAGGTAAATCAGGGATTTCTTCTTGGTTTGGATGCATTGCTGGTGAGCTAGTGTGATTTTTTGGAGGTGTTAAAGGGCCTTGTTTTGTCATATTACCAGAGTTGGTTTTCTGGTTCCTTCTCATTTGGGTAGGATCTGTCAGAGGGAAGGTCTAGGGCTGAAGGCTGTTGTTCAGATTATTTTGTCCAATGGGGTGTTCCCTTGATGTAGTACTCTCCCCCTTTTCCTATGGATATGGCTTCCTAAGAGCCACGCTGTAGTGATTGTTATTTCTCTTCTGGGTCCAGCCACCCAGCAAGTGTACCAGGCTGCAGGGTGGTACTGGGCGTTGTCAGCACAGAGTCCTGTGATGTGAACACAAAGGACACAAAGACATAAGAATGGTACAGTGGACTTTGGGGACATGGGGGGAAGGATGGGAGGGGGCAAGGGATAAAAGTCTACAAATAGGGTGCAGTGTATACTGCTTGGGTGATGGGTGAACCAAATCTCACAAATCACCAGTAAAGAACTTACTCATGTAACCAAACACCACATGTACCCCCAATAACTTATGGAAAAATAAAAAATAAAAAAATATGGCTAATAACACAATAATGAAAATTAATGGTATTATTAAAAATAAGACAGGAAATGAGGAAAAAAGAATGAAGAACAGAGGGAACACATAGAAAAGAAATACCTTGTGAATTTAAACTTAATCCTATAGATGATCACATTAAATGTAAATTTATATTTAAAGGCAAAGATTGAGTGTATTAAAAAGCAAGTCCCAACCATATGGTATCTCTCAGCCGTGGATAACGGCATAGTATTTGGGGTGTCTCCTGGGTCCTGCAAGAGCAGTCCACTTCCTTCAGAAGGTCTGTGGGTCCTTTTGGGATTCCTGATTTATTGCTGCAGTAATTCTGGAGGTAAAATTCATGATGGAAGCCTCCACACGCTGCTCTGTCTGTCCGAGTCGGGGCTGCAGTCTAGTCCTGTTTGATCCCCAAGGCCTTTTTTTCAGAATCCGTAATATTTGGCCTCGTCCACTTTAACATGCCCAAGACACTTGGAGGGGTCAGTGGGAAGAGGAACTAAGCCTTTCCAAGTGGCTGATCTCTGTCGCCATCCTGCTACTTTCCCCAGCTCTTCAGGTAAATGCAATTTATTACATCTGACAGCTGGCTCTGCAGCTGTGGTGCAAGCAAGCCATCTCTTCTTTCATCTCAGCATACATTTCTTGAGTGACTGCTCTAACATTTATAGTATACATCTTACAACTTACCACAATGTACCTTCAACTAATATCATACTACTTCCTGCATTTTATAAGGACATACAACAGTATACTTCCTTTTCCCTCTCCCAGACTTTGTACCATTGTTGAAATACATTTTATTTCTATACACATTATAATCCTTACGGTATTTTTTGCTGTTTTGGGTACTTTTCATTCCTTTGCATAGATGCAAATTTTTATCTTTCCACTTTTGTAAAAATTACTTATTTTGCTTTTATTCTGAAAGATGTTTTTGGTAGATACAAATTCTAAGTTGATAGTTTTTTTCCCAGATATTATTTCTTGAAATCTTTTTTTATTGCCCCTTCTTTTCCTCTCCTTCTGGGATTCTAATTACATGTATGAGGCCAGGCCACTTGATATTGTCTTATAGCTTACTGGTGCTCTGTTCATTTTTTTTCAGTCTTTTATCTGTTTTACATTTTGGATAATTTTTTATTGCTATGTTTTAAAACCCACTGGTCTTTACTTTTGCAGTGTCTAATCTGTTTATCTCATCTAGTGTGTTTTTCATTTCAGATATTGTATTTTTTTTTATTTCTCCAGAAGTTTGATTTGGGATTTAAAAAATTTGTCTCTTATTCTTTGTTTGCCACCATGACTGCAATTTTGTACTTTTTGTAGAGATGAGGTTTCACCACATTGCCTAGGCTGGTCGCAAACTCCTGAGCTCAAGCGATCCATCCACCTCGACCTCCCAAAGTGTGGGATTGCAGGTATGAGTCACCATGCCTGGCCACATCTTTCTTTAATAATAAAACTTTAGGCTGGGCACAGTGGCTCATGCCTATAATCCCAGCACTTTGGGAAGCCAAGGCAGGAGGATCACTCGAGGCCAGGAGTTCAAGAGCAGCCTGGGCAACATATTTGAGACTCCATCTTTACAGAAAATTTAAAAATTACCCGGGCATGGTGAGACATACCTATAGTCCTTGCTACTCAGGAGGCTGAGGTGGGAGAATCTCTTGAGCCCAGAAGTTTGAGGTTATAGTGAGCTGTGGTCACACCACTGTGATCACTCCACTCTAGGCAAAAGAGTGAGACTTTGTCTCAAAAAACTTTTTTTAAATAAAATATCTAAATGTCCAGGAGAGGACTGATTAAATAAATTATGGTGCAGTCATAGGATGAATGTTTAAGGAAATCAGTAAGTTATTTTGCTACTGAGGCAAGTGAAAAAAATTATAGCAATTTTACTTTTGTAAATTTTTAAAAAAGTATGCCTCTGTGTGTGTGTGTGTGTGTGTGTGTGTCTGTGTGTCTGTGTCTGTGTGTGTTTCAGATACTACTAGCTGCCTAACTGATATATACTTCCCACTAGTCCTATACTAACAGAGCCTGATTTTGAGTGAGGTACCTAGGCTATACATATTCACTTGCCCAGACTCTCTTGCTGCAAAGTGCCAAGGAATCCAGTTGTGACCAATGAGACAAAGGTAAAGTTGCTGTGTTGGGCTTCTGGGAAAGTTTTAAAAAAGAAAATGAATTCAGTGTCGGAGAATGCAGCAATTATTTTGTGTTCTTGAAGATAATAGCCAAATACCAGTGATCATTATTGGAAAGAAATAGCCTGGGTTTTTTGGTTTGTTTGCATTTGTTTTAGTTTTAAGAACATCCCTGAACAGTTGAATCATCCTTTGACTGTCTACAGAAATGCACAAAGAATAAAATAAAACCATCTGTAATGTCTACCTTCATAAATATCTGCTGATGACTTTTTTTTGTTGTCTTTTTTTTGAGACAGGGTCTCGCTCTGTTGCCCAGGCTGAAGTACAGTGGTGCAATCTTGGCTCACTGCAACCTCCGCCTCCTGGGCTCAAGCTATCCTCTCACCTCAGCCTCCTGAGTAGCTGGGACTACAGGCATACACCACTATGCCCAGATAAATTTTGTAGAAACGGGATTTCACCATATTGCGCAGGCTGGTCTCAAACTCCTGAGCTCAAGGTATCCATCTGCCTTAGCCTCCCAAAGTGCTGGGATTATAGGCATAAGCCACTGCGCCCAGCCCTGCTGATGACTTTTTAAAAATTTTATTTAATTTTATCTGTATTTAATACAAGAAAAGGAATTTAATGTTAAGCTAAAGGAATTACAAAGAATTTGTTAAGTATCCATTGAAAATAGGAATTATAAGAAAAGGTTTGTTCCTAAAATTTTACTCTAAATTTAAAATGGTAGTATGAAAATCACGTGGCTAGAATTACATATTTTTAAATGAATGTTTTAAAATGAGCATAGATGTAGGCTTCCAGTTTGTAAAAATTGTTCAACTGTCTCATAATAATCAGAAAATACCATTGATGTGAGAACAACCTGCTTTTGTAAATTAAGAAAATGAAATAAAGGTTAAAAAACACTAGTCTAGGCCAAACGCAGTAGCTCATTCCTGTAATCCCAGCATTTTGGGAGGTCAAGGCAGGCAATCGCTTGAGCTCAGAAGTTTGAGACCAGCCTGGGCAACATGGTGGAACCCAATCTCTACAAAATCTACAAAAGTTATCTGGGTGTGGTGGCGGCTGCTTGTAATCCCAGCTACTTGGGAGGTTGAGAGGAGAGAATCACTTGAACCAGGGAGGTGGAGGTTGCAGTGAGCTGAGATCACACCACCACCCTCCAGCCTGGGCAACAGAGGCTCTGTCAGAAAAAGAAGAAGAAGAAAAAAGCCTTATTTAAAAATAATTCGCTAAGATAAATTTAAAAGAAGTTGTCAATCTTTTTTTAGCCTAATTTAAAAATAATTTGCTAAGACAAACTTAAAAGAAATTGTCAATCTTTTATTTTTTGAGATGGAGTCTCCCTCTATCGCCCAGGCTGCCAGGCTGGAGTTCTGCTGCCTCAGCCTCCTGGGTAGCTGGGACTACAGGGCCCGCCACCACACCTGGCTAATTTTGTTTTTGTATTTTTCGTAGAGATGGGGTTTCACCGTGTTAGCCAGGATGGTCTCGATCTCCTGACCTCGTGATCCACCCACCTTGGCCTCCCAAAGTGCTGGGATTACAGGTGTGAGCCACTGCACCCTGCCAGAAATTGTCAATCCTTAAGCAAAATGTCAACTCTCTTTTAGGGTACAAAGCAAGTATGCACACCAGAGAAAATGATTCTCGGCGGTACTATTATACATTTAAAAATTAAAAGTATACATGTGTGAATTCAAAGCATCACATTTGTCTTCTCATCTGAATGAATTACTTTAAGCAACAGAGGTTTGACTTTAGTTTTAAAGTCATTGTTTCTTATATTCCACCTGTTACTTGAAATTGCACCTGCTTTCTCCGTATTTGCAACACAAACAGGACATTTTACTTTACCAGACATGTGCCTTGAGCACAGCCATTGTCTCTTCCAGTTCCTTCCTGGGCTGTGAGTACAATACATATCTGCTGTCTTTTGGAAGCCGTTAGCATTCATAGAACCTCTCCACTTTGTTTCTTCATTTTTTGCTAGAATACATTCTTAAATTTTGTTTTCCAGGAAGGCCACATGGATTTATATGTTGCCAAAAAAAGAGAAGATCTGAATTTTAAGGGGAATAGGATTTCAGTTTCACAATGCAGTAAGCAGAATTCTAAAGTGACCTTTCCCCAGGTGTGATCTCATCCTTTGAACCTCGGCAGGTCCTGTGAAGATGATGAGATATCACTCTGTCACTATAGTAAAGGAAGTTTTGCAGATGTAATTAGTTGATCTTAAGATAGTGAGATTGTTTGGTAGGCCTGGCCTAATCACAGGAGCCTCTCACAGAGATTGTGTAAGTCAGAAATTTAATGCACGAGAATGGCCTGAAAATGGAGGCCTTGTGTCAAGGACACAGGTGACCTTTAGGATCCGAACAACCCTAGCTAACAGTCAGCCAGGCAACAGTGACTTCAGTCCTACAACTGCAAGGAGCTGAATAACTGCTAACAAGAAGGAGGTTGGAAATGGAGTTTTCCTAGGAGCCTCCAGACCAGGCTCATTCAGCTAGGTGGACTCCTTGATTCCAGTCTCAAGATTCCTGAGAGATCTCAGAGAACACAGCCATGCTGTGCCAGACTTTGGCCTCCAGAAGAGTTTTTTTTTTTTTTAGTTGAGACAGGGTCTCACTCTGTCACCCAGGCTGAAGTGCAGTGGTGAAATGACAGCTCATTGCAGCCTCAACCTCCTGGGCTGAAGCAATCCTGCCACCTCAGCCTCCCGAGTAGCTGGGACTACCAGCATGCACCACCAAGTCCAGCTAATTTTTGTATTTTTGTAGAGACAGGGTTTTGCCATGTTGCTCAGGCTGGTCTTGAACTCCTGGGCTCAGGCAATCCTCCTTGAGCCCATCTGCCTTTGCCTCCCAAAATGCTGGTGTGTCCGGAATTGGTGGATTCTTGGTCTCGCTGACTTCAAGAATGAAGCCGTGGACCCTCGCGGTGAGTGTTACAGTTCTTAATGATGATGTGTCTGGACTTTGTTCCTTCAGATGTTCAGATGTGTCTGGAGTTTCTTCCTTCTGGTGGGTTCATGGTCTTGTTGGCTTCAGGAGTAAAGCTGCAGACCTTCGCAGTGAGTGTCACAGTTCTTAAAAGCAGCGCATCTGGAGTTGTTTGTTGCTCCTGTCTGGAGTTGTTCGTCCCTCCCGGTGGGTTTGTGGTCTCGCTGGCTTCAAGAGTGAAGCTGCAGACCTTCACAGTGAGTGTTACAGCTCATAAAGGCGGTGTGGACCCAAAGAGTGAACAGCAGCAAGATTTAGTGCAAAAAGCAAAAGAACACAGCTTCTGCAGTGTGGAAGCAGACCTGAGCGGGTTGCCGTTGGGGCTGGGGCAGCCTGCTTTTATTCCCTTATGGAGCCCCACCCACATCCTGCTGATTGGTCCATTTTACAGAGAGCTGATTGATCCGTTTTCCAGAGAGCTGATTGGTCCATTTTGACAGGGTGCTGATTGGTGCGTTTACAATCCTCTAGCTAGACACAGAGTGTTGATTGGTGCATTTACAATCCTCTAGCTAGACATTAAAGTTCTCCAAGTCCCCACTAGATTGGCTAGACACAGAGCACCAATTGGTGCATTTACAAACCTTTAGCTAGACACAGAGTGCTGATTGGTGTATTTACAAACCTTTAGCTAGACATAAAAGTTCTCCAAGTCCCCACTGGATTAGCTGGATACAGGGTGCTGATTGGTGCATCCACAAACCCTGAGCTAGACACAGAGTGCTGATTGGTGCATATACAATCCTCCCACTAGACAGAAAAGGTCTCCAAGTCCCCACCTGATTCAGGAGCCCAGCTGGCTTCCCCTAGTGGATCACCTGCCCACCAGGGCCACAGGCGGAGCAGCCCACCAGTCCTGTGCCCCGTGCCTGCACTCCTCAGCCCTCGGGCAGTCGATGGGACGGGGCCGCGGAGCAGGGGTGGCACCCGTCGGGGAGGCTCAGGCTGCGAGGGAGCCCACAGGGCAGGGGTTGGGGGGCTCAGGCATGTCGGGCTTCAGATCCCGAGCCCTGCCCCACGGGGAGGCAGCTGAGGCCCGGCGAGAATTCCAGTGCGGCGTGGGCCGGCGGGCAGTGCTGAGGAACCCGGTGCACCCTCTGCATCTGCTGGCCCGGGTGCTAATCCCCTCACTGCCTGGGGCCAGTGGCACCAGCCGGCCGCTCTGAGTGTGGGGCCCACCGAGCCTGCGACAGATCCGGGAGAAGCCGGCAGGAGCCCAGAGGAAAGTTTTCTTTGTGAAGGGCAGGGCGCCCTGGAATGGGTTCGCGAGCCAGCGCCCACCTGGAACTTGCACTGGCCCATGAGTGCCATGCGCAGCGCTGGTTCCTGCCTGTGCCTCTCCCTCCACACCTCCCTGCAAGCAGAGGGAGCCAGCTGCAGCCACGGCCAGCCCAGAGAGGGGCTCCCACAGTGCAGCGGCAGGCTGACGGGCTCCTCAAGCATGGCCAGAGTGGACTCTGAGGCCAAGGAGGGCTGAGAGCGAGCAAGGGCTACTAGCATGTTGTCACCTCTCACTGGGACTATAGGCATGAGCCACTGCACCAGACCCAGTGTGTTGTTTTAACCTGCTAAATTTATAGTAATTTGTTATTAGTAATTTTTGTTTGTTCGTTTTTGTTTAGAGACTTGCTGTGTTGCCCAGGCTGGTCTCAAATTTCTGACTTCAAGCAATACTCCCATCTCGGCCTTCCAAGTAGCTAGAATTACAAGCTCATGCCACTATGCCCAGTTTATTAGTAATTTGATATGTAGTAATTTGATACTAGTGTAGCAGCAATAGAAATCTAATACAAAAAGCCTTTCAGAACTTTGAAGACTTTCCACTAGAGGCCATAGAGCATAGTTATTATCACACACTCTGGAGCCAGACTGCCTATGTTTGAATCTAACTCAGCCACTTTTTAGCTGGGTAATGTGTACTCTTCAGCAAGCTATTTAACCCCTCTGTGCCTCAGTTTCTTCAGCTGTAAAAGGGGCAGCATAATAAGAGTAATCCTATCTCATAGGTTTGTTGTAAGGATAAAATAAGTTAATATAATAAAGTGCTTATAATAGTGCTGATGGATATAACAGCAACCATATACATATAGATATGCTTGCTATTTTTTTTTCTTTTTTCTTTTTTCTTTTTTTTTTTTGAGACTGAGTCTCGCTCTGTCTCCCAGGTTGGAGTGCAGTGGTGTGATCTCAGCTCACTGCAACCTCCACTTCCCAGGTTCAAGTGATTCTCCTGCCTCAGCCTCCTGAGTAGCTGGGATTACAGACGTGTGCCACCACGCCCTAGTTAATTTTTGTATTTTTAGTAGAGGTGGGGTTTCACCATGTTTGCCAGGCTGTCTTGAACTCCCAACCTCAGGTGATCTGCCCACCTCGGCCTCCCAAAGTGCTGGGATTACAGGCATGAGCCACTGTGCCCGACTCACTTGCTATTATTATTCCATTGCCTTTTAGCATCCTGTTTTAGATGAGAAGTCTATGAGCTGATTTCATGCTCATTCTTTGTAGTTTATCTGCTCTTTCTCCCCAGATGGTTTTAGAATTTTCTCTTTAGGGTTTAGAAATGTCATCAAGGTGAGCCTAGCTAGGTATATGTCTTTGCATTATTTCCATTTGCCATTAAGCCCTGTAGACCTGAACACTCAGATCTTTATTAAGCTAATAATTATTTTTTCTTTGTCTTTGTGTGTGTGTGTGTGTGTGTGTGTGTGTGTGTGTGTGTGTGTGTGTGTGTGACAAAGAGTCTTGTTCTGTCACCCAGGCTGGAGTGCAGTGGTGCGATCACAGCTCACAGCAGCCTCGACCTCCTGGGCTAAAGCGATTCTCCCGCCTCAGCCTCCTGAGTAGGTGGGAATACAGGTGTACACCACCACACTCATCTAATTTTTAAAATTTTTTGGTAGAGATAGGGTTTTGCCACATTGCTCATGCTGGTCTTGAACTCCTGAGCTCAAGTGATGCACCCGCCTCAGCCTCCCAAGGTGCTGAGATTACAGGCGTGAGTCACCATGGCCAGCCTTTTGTCTCCTTTAAAAAAAAATTATCCTTTCCCTGTTTCTATGCACAGTCTCTGTAATGACTACTCTATTTATAATGGAACTCCTGGTTCACCTATTTATGTTTTCTTTCTTTCTTTCTTTTTTAAGACGGAGTTTCGCTCTTGTTGCCCAAGCTGGAGTGCAATGGCGTGATCTCGGCTCACTGCAACCTCCACCTCCCAGGTTCAAGCAATTCTTCTGCCTCAGCCTCCCGAGTAGCTGGGATTACAGGCATGTGCCACCACGCCCAGCTAATTTTGTATTTTTAGTAGAGATGGGGTTTCTCCATGTTGGTCAGGCTGGTCTTGAACTCCCAACCTCAGGTGATCTACCTGCCTCAGCCTTCCAAAGTGCTGGGATTACAAGCATGAGCCACTGTGCCAGGCCTTATGTTTTCTTAATTTTCCATTTAAAATTTACATTTCTTTTGTAGGAGATGGCAAGTGCCCATGGACTCTCATGGATGCTTCAAACAATCCTAATGTACTTTTTTTTTTTTTTAATTTGAACAAGTTGATTTAAAATTTCAACTGAAGACTGAATATTTAGGAACAGGCATGAGATTTTTTTTAAAAAAGGGTCGTATTGAACTGACACATAAAAGAATATATAAATATTTCTTTTATATTTTTTATATGTCATATAAAAATCATTTTATATGACATATAAAAATGATTTCATATTGGTAGCAAACAAATAGATTAAATAGAGCGAATCCTAAAACACATTCATATCTATTCAACTTTAATACCATGGTAGAATCAGTATTTCAGATTGGTGAATTTGTGCAAAAAGCAGATGAATTCCCAGATATTCTCCTAATCCAGACTGTGTAGCAATGGTAGTCTCTTTTCTCTATCCTGACAGATAGAGTTTTCTAATAGCTCTTGATTTTCAGAGTAAAAATAGAGTAAAATTATAGTATGGCCACCCAATAGATTCATTTTGCCCACTGCCCATATAGAGCCAATTTATCAAGACAGGGGAATTGCAACAGAGAAAGAGTTTAATTCACACAGAGATGGCTGCATGAATTAAACTCTTTATGGGATACCAGAGTTTTATTATGACTCAAATCAGCGTCTCTGAATTCAGAGGCTAGGGTTTTTCAGTGATAGTTTGGCAGACAAGGGAATGAGTGCTGCTGACTGGTTGGGGATACAGTTGCATGGGTGTGGAAAATGGTTCTCATGTGCTGAGTCTACTTCTGGGTGGGGCTGCAGGGCCAGTTGGTAGATCCAGGTGGAGCCATCAGTTGTCAGAAATGCAAAAACCTGGCCAGGCACGGTGGCTCACACCTGTAATCCCAGCAATTTGGGAGACTGAGCTGGGCGGATCACCTGAGGTCAGGAGTTCAAGACCAACCTGGCCAAAATGGCGAAGCCCTGTCTCCACTAAAAATACAAAAAATTAGCCAGATGTGGTGGTGCATGCCTGTAGTCCCAGCTACTCAGGAGGTTGAGGCAGGAGAATTGCTTGATCCTGGGAGGCAGAGGTTGCAGTGAGCCGAGATCACACCACTGCACTGCACTACCGCCTGGGCAACAGAGCAAGAATCTGCCTCAAAAAAAAAAAGTGCAAAAACCTGAAAAGACATCCCAAAAGGCCAACGTTAAGTTCTATAACAGTGATGTTATCTGCAGGAGTAATTAGGGAAGTTGTGAATCTTGTGAGATCTATAATAATGGCTCGTCATTTGTAGCTACCCCTTAGCAGAATTCAGGCTCCTCTCATTCTCCTAACCTGGTGGTCTTTCATTAGCTTTACAAAGGCAGTTTAGTTTGGGGGAAGAGCTATTATCATTTAAAGTATAATCCAAATTTCTCCCAAAGTTAGGTTAGCCCAAGCCCAGGAATGACTAAGGGCAGTTTGGAGGTTAAAATCAAGATGAGGGTTGATTAGATCAGATCTCTTTCACTGTCATAATTTTCTCACTGTTATAATTTTTACAAAGGCAGTTTCAATGGAGTACAAGTCTCTATGATGTTTCCCTTCTCTTCTCACTGCCAGCTCTGTTCTACACCTCAAGGACCCTTGTGTGAATGTCACCTTGTTTGAATGTCACCTTGAATGAATGACACCTTACGTGAATGTCCTCTTCCATGAATGATGATTCTGTACCTTGCATGAATGTCATCTTGCAAGAATGTTGCCTTGTGGGAATGACACCTTCCATGAATTATGTCTTCAGTGAATGACACCTTGTCTGAATGTCACCTTGCATGAACATCCCCTTGCATGAATGTCTCCTTCCATGAATTACACCTGTGAATGACACTTTGCATGAATGTTGCTTTGCATGAATGATGCCTTCCATGAATGATGCCTTCCATGAATGTTGCCTTGCATGGATGTCATCTTGCATGAATGTCCCAATTCTGTGCACGCTCTTCAAAACAGCAGCACCTTGGCCACCACTTGGGTGTTCACACCTGCAGAGAAATTCACCCTCAGAGAACAGATCCAGAGGAAGGAACCATACGGACCCTGAAAGTAGCTTCAGGGTTAACTGGGTAGGGAATTAGAGTCCGGGAAACTTGTAGCATGGTCAAGAAAGGGGCTAGAGGAGTGCGTGTGGAGTCAGTGAGCATGTTCCCTTGCCTGGCAGATACCCCATCCTGTGAGGACCTCTAAAGCACAAAGTCTAGGGCAGGGGCCCCTCCTGGTTGGGGCTAAGGCAGCTCTGCCCATACTGTCCAGTTTGCCCCAAACAGACTCTATTTACACCTACTGTCATGATGTACTTTTTAATAGAGCTTCCTTTCACTCATTAAAAATGTCCCAGTTTGGATGACAAATTCTATAGTCACTCCGCATATGTAGACTTCAGCTCTATGAAGGCAGGAACCACATCTATTTGGCGCCTAGCATAACATCTGGCACATAGTAAGGGCTAAAAAAAAAACTGCTGAATGAACAGTTTATCTTTCATCCATGTTGCTGACAAAAAGAGTCAAACTCTCCCCTAAAATATTTAAAGAGATTTATTCTGAGCCAAATATAAGTGATGAATGGCCTCTGACACAGCCCTCAGGAGATCCTGAGAACATGTGCCCAAGTTGGTTGGCCTACAGCTTGGTTTTAAATATTTTGGGGAGACATGAGGCATCAATCAATACATGTAAGATGTATGGTCTAGAAAGGAAGGACAACTCGAAGCAGGGGCTTCAGGTCATAGGCCAAATATTTTCTGACTGGCAATTGGTTGAAAGAGTAAAGTTATTGTCTAAAGACCTAGAACCAATAGATGGGAATGTCTGGGTTAAGTTAAGGGGTTGTGGAAACCAACTTCCCATGATGTAGAGGAAGCCTCTGGTAGTAGGCTTTAGAGAGAATAGATTGTAAATGTTCTTGTTTTGTTTGTTTTTGTTTTTGTTTGAGACGGAGTCTCACTCTGTCACCAGGCTGGAGTGCGGTGGTGTGATCTCAGCTCACTGCAATCTCCGCCTCCCAGGTTCAAGCCATTCTCCTGCCTCAGCCTCCAGAGTAGCTGGGATTACAAGTGCACGCCACCACACCCAGCTAATTTTTGTATTTTTAGTAGAGATGGGGTTCACCATGTTGGTCAGGATGGTCTCAATCTCCTGACCTTGTGATCTGCCCGCCTTGGCCTCCCAAAGTGCTGGAATTACAGGCATAAGCCACCGTGCCTGGCCTTTTTTTTTTGAGACGGCGTTTTGCTCTTATGGCCCAGCTGGAGTGCAATGGCACGATCTCAGCTCACTGTAACCTCCACCTCCTGTGTTCAAGCTATTCTCCTGCCTCAGCCTCCCAAGTAGCTGGAATTACAGGCGTGTGCCACCATGCCCGGCTAATTTTTTTTTTGTATTTTTAGTAGAGACGGGGTTTCACCATGTTGGCCAGGCTGATCTTGAACTCCTGACCTCAGGTGATCCACCTGCCTCAGCCTCCCAAAGTGCTGGGATTATAGGCGAGAGCCACTGCACCCAGCCTGTAAATGTGTCTTATCAGAGCTGATTCTCTTTCAGATCAGGAAAAAGGCCTGGGAAAGCCAACAGGATTCTCTTCAGAATGTAGATTTTCCCCACAAGAGACAGCTTTGCAAGACTACTTCAAGATATGGCAAAGAAACATAATATGGGGTAAAACACTTCAATTTCTTTCAGGGCCTGTGATCTGTCATGTAATGCTATACTAAAATCAGGCTGGAATTTGGTATCTTATTGTTACAAAGAGTCTTCTTTGTCAGTCTTAAGACCTGTTTTAATGTTAATGCTGGTCAGCTGGGCCTGACTTCCCAAAGGGAGGAGGGTATAATGATGGGTGTCCGACTCCACTTCCCACCATGGCCTGAACTAGTTTTTCAGGTTATCTTTGGAATGCCCTTGGCCAAGAGGGAGGGTCCATTCAGATGGTTGGGAGGCTTGGAATTTTATTTTTGATTTACAATATGAAGTTATATTTGAATTTGTCATGAAGTAGGGATCTATCATTTTATGTCTTCCAACTGACCCAGTACCATGTGTAATCATTATTGTCTGTTACACACCAATCGGAAATACTGCCTATATCATGGTACAAAAGTTCAATATATATGAATCTGTTTCAGGATTCTCTCAATTTGATCTATTTGTTCTGTACTAATAACATATTTTTTTTTGTTTAGCCCATTAGAGAATGTATATTTAAACCATTATTATTTATATTATCTGTTTATATAACACATCTGTAGAATATTTTTCTTACCAGAAGTGTTGTTCCAGAGGGCAGTCATGTCAACATGGGATGGGGGTTGAGGCTCTGGAGGAAAGAGTTTTCTAATAGCCACAGCTGTTCAGAAATAAACAACAGGCTGGGCATGCCTATAGGCATGTCCCAGCTATTCAGGAGGTTGAGGTGAAAGAATCACTTGAGCCCAAGAGGTTGCTGCTGCAGTGAGCTGAGATCAGGCCATTGCACTCCAGCCTGGGTGACAGAGTGAGACCCCATCTCTAACAACAAAACAAAACAAATTAAAAAAAAAAAGACTTAGAAAATTGTGCCTACAGTGTAAAGCATTAAAGCAAAGTGTCAGATCTCCAATTCAGGAAGCCACGGGGGAATTTAATTCTTATATAGCACCAGCAGCCATCAAGGAATTGGTGTGGGGGTAAATTTAGGTTTCCATTTAAATTTGGCAAAATCCAATCAACCAACCATATAAGTATAGTTTCTTTCCCTTCTGTTATATTTACACAGTAACTCATTGTGCAAATGTATAATGTATTTTTAGCTCACCTTTATTTTATAGAAGTGCTAAGTCAGCAGTTCTCAAAGTGTAGTCTACAGACTTTCCAATGATAGGAAAACATTCTTTATTATTTGCAATTGTAAGTGTTGCCATTTGTACCAAAACAATGGTACATGAAACTGTTGGTGCCTTAGCACAAACTGAGGCAGCTGCAGCCAACTGTACCAGGAATTATTGCATTCTCCATTGCCAAGCTCTCATTGTTAAAAGCAAAAACCAAACCAAAACAAAACAAACAAACAAACAAACAAACAAAAAAACACCACCAAATTAGCTGGGAGTGGTGGCACATGCCTGTAGTCCCAGCTGAGGTGGGAGGACCCAAAGAGCCCAAGAATACAAGGTTATAGTGAGCAGTGATTGTGGCACTGCACTCCAGCCTGGGTGACAGAGCAAGACGCTGTCTAAAAAAAATAAAAATGAATTAAAAACCCAACTTTATTTTTTTTGTTGTTGGAGGCGTAGTTTCACTTTGTTGCCCAGGCTGGAGTGCAGTGGCACGATCTTGGCTCACTGCAGCCTCCACCTCCTGGGTTCAAGCAATTCTCCTGCCTCAGCCTCCCAAGTAGCTAGGATTATAGGCATGCGCCACCACGTCCAGCCAATTTTGTATTTTTAGTAGAGACGGGGTTTCTCCATGTTGGTCAGGCTAGTCTCAAACTCCCGACCTCAGGTGATCTGCCCACCTCGGCCTCCCAAAGTGCTGAGATTACAGGCATGAGCCACTGCACCTGGCCATAAAGGCCAACTTTTTAATGTTGCTGATAAAACAGTAAAAATTATTGATTTTATTTAATCTCAATCCTTGGGTCCACATCTTTTTGTTACTCTGTTTAAAAAATGGGAGAATGCATAAAATACTTTTGTTGCATACCAAAGTAAAGTGATTGGAGAAAAGTCCTTGACTGAGTTGCAAATCTAACTGCTTTTTCCATGAGACTGACGAACTATGGTTATATAACCGAATATCCCAGCCTTGAAAGACATTTTGAAACCTTTGTCCCTTGGGCCAGGCGTGGTGGCTCACACCTGTAATCTCAGCACTTTGGGAGGCCGAGGCGGGCGGATCACGAGGTCAGGAGTTTGAGACCAGCCTGGCCAATATGGTGAAACCCGGTCTCTACTTAAAAAAAAAAAAAAATACAAAAATTAGCTGGGCATGGTGGTGGCGGGCGCCTGTAATCCCAGCTACTGGGGGAGGCCAAGGCAGGAGAATCATTCGAACCCAGGAGGCGGAGATTGCAATGAGCCGAGATCACGCCATTGCACTCCAGCCTGAGTGACCGGGCAAGACTCTGTCCCCCTCCCCGCCCCCACAAAAAAAAAAAAAAGTTTGCCCTCCTTTCATCACATGTGGGTTCTCATGTTTGGCCTCTGTGTGGCGTGCAGCCAGACTTGAGCAGGCTGCAGTTACGCACGCGTGGCTCCTTCACAGACATATTCTTGAAAATAAATGAAGCAAGCATGTCACTTTTTAAGGAAAACAATGGCAAGTGTTTGTTGCCAATGAGAAAGCCTATGCTTTCAAGTGAAAACTGGAATTTTGGAAAACTTGTATATGTCATATAGAGTTTAAGAGCTTCCCACTACTTAAACAATTTTTCTGATAAGATCACTGGTGATAAAATGTGAATTTTTTTTTGATTTTGTATAATGAAAGGTGTCAGCATTGGAAGATCTGAATACTTCAGTGAAACGTTATTTTCCAAATGATGAAGGCATGATGGTACAAAATAATGCACTGGCAAAAGATCCATTCAAAGTACAAGACAGTCAAATGAATTTTAATATAACAGAATTAGGAAAAGTTCATAAAAGCTCATGGATATGGTTTCTGATTCCACAAGGCAACTAACCTTTTAGAAACTGCTTGTCATGTTTTGATGTGGAATTAAAGAATAATGCCCATAATTATCTAAAAATCTATTAAAATATTTCTCTTTTCCTACTGCATATTTGTGATGTCATATTTTCTTTAACACCAAAAAAGCAAAACCAAAACAGATCCCGACACATTGAGTGTGGAAGCAGAAATGAAATTCCAGCTGTGGCTGGGCACAGTGGCTCACGCCTGTAATCCCAGCACTTTGGGAGGCTGAGGCGGGCGGATCACGAGGTCAGGAGATCAAGATCATCCTGGCTAACAAACACGGTGAAACCCCGTCTCTACTAAAAAACACAAAAAATTAGCCAGGCGTGGTGGCAGGCGCCTGTAGTCCCAGCTACTCGGGAGGCTGAGGCAGGAGAATGGCGTGAACCCGGGAGGCGGAGCTTGCAGTGAGCCGAAATCGTGCCACTGCACTCCAGCCTGGGCGACAGGGCGAGACTCCGTGTCAAAAAAAAAAGAAAGAAATTCCAGCTATCTCCTATTAGGCTAGACATTAAGAAGATTTGCCAAAATGTAAAATAATGTACTTTCCTAATTTTTCGTTTTGGAAATATATTTTTTATAAAAATAAACACAAAATAGGTTTACTGATTAATATTCTTTAAAATTGTTTTAATCTCTAATATAGTAAATATCAAGATATCTCACAAAGACAAAAGCTCTCAAAGTACTTTCGGAGTCCAGCGGGTACTATGACCAAAATGTTTGAGAACTGGGACCGAGGTAAATGCTGTGTAAATCCTCAAATGACACATATCCTGACACACCCCATGGAGTCCTAAGTGTGTGCTGGTTGATTTCATGCATAGATGCATGTAAATCAGCAGGACGGCTGGAAACTTGCCCACATGACCCGGTTCAGACAATTCATCTCCTTTCTAAAGTTCACTTATGATACCGGACTTTTTCATGACTATCCACCCTGTGCTTAAAAAACACACAGTATTAAGAACGACATAAATACTTGTTCTACAACTCAGGCAATATGGAAAGGGTGTCAAGAAGTAATAGGTTAATTCAGGAGGGGGTTTTGAAAACTTCTGAATGTCAAATACAAATGGCCTTACAATGAATAGAGGTGGTGCTCCTGAGACCTAAAGGTATTGTGTACCCATGTGGCCTCATGATTGCTAGTTATTAAAGGGAAAAACTTGTTTTTTGGGGTGACTTAAGACATCTACTAAATACTCTGGGACGATCGTTATCAATGTAAAGGAATTGTTAAAAGGTGAGGAAACTAGTCACTAAGAGAAACGGAAAGGCAAGCCACACACTGGGTAAAAACATCCATGATAATTGTATCTGACAAAGGACTTTTATGCGGCTTATAAAGGATTCCTACAAATGAATAATAAGAAGACAACCCAATTAAAAATAGGCAAAATTTCAAAAAATAAGACGTATAAATGGCCAATCAGCATATGAAAGGTATGCTCAATCTCTTTAATTACCAGAGAAATGTAAATTAAAACCACAAGATACCACTACACATCTAGGAGAATAGCTGAAATTGAAGACTGACAATGCCAAATATTGACGGGGATTCAGAGTAACTGGGCCTCCTACTGGTTGCTGATAGGGGTATAAAATGATACAACTGCTATTGAGAACTTTTTTTTTTCCTTTCTTTTCTTTTTTTTTTGAGACGGAGTCTTGTTCTGTTGCCCAGGCTGGAGTGCAGTGGCATGATCTTGTCTCGGCTCACTGCAACCTCTGCCTCCCAGGTTCAAGCGATTCTCATGCCTCAGCCTCCCTAATAGCTGGGACTACAGGCACGCACCACCATACCCAGCTAATTTTTGTATTGTAGAGACGGGGTTTCACCATGTTGATCAGGCTGGTCTGGAAGCCCAGATCTCAAGTGATCCACCCACCTTGGCTTCCCAAAGTGCTGGGATTACAGGCGTGAGCCACTGCGCCCAGCCGATAACTGTCAGTTTCTAATAAAGTGAAACATGCACCTACTCTATGACCTAGTGTTTGTACTCCATGGTATGTACCGAAGAGAAATGAAACAATATGTCCACAAAATAGGCTTGCAGATTCACAGGTTTATTAACAATAGTCCCAAACTGGAAACAATCCAAATACCAACAAGAGAACGAATAAACAAATTTGTACAATACACTACTACTCATTAATAAATTACGACTCATTACTGTTAGGTGCAACATGGATGAATTTCAAAACATCATGTTGAGAAACAAGGCAGACAAGGAAGTATGTATGACTCTATTTCTATGAAGTTCAAGGCTAGGTACAACTAATGTATGGTGATGGGAAATCAGCACAGTGGCTGCCTCAGGGGTAGTGACTGGAGAGAGGCATGAGTGAACTTTCTAGAGTAATGAAAATGTTTTACAATATCTTAATTTGGGTGATGGTAACATGAGTGTTTACATTTGTCAGGATTTATCAAACTGCCTAGTTAAGATCTGGGTAATTTTATTGAATACAGACTATAACAATGAAAAAAAACTGAGAAAGTTATTGATATTCTCTTGAGTGATGAGTGCATAGGTGGTGCCTTTTAAACTTGTAAACACATGCTACATATGTGATATACTTTTTTTTTTTTTTTTTTTTTTTGGAGACAGAGTTTCACTCTTGTTGCCCAGGCTGGGGTGCAGTGGCGTGAGCTCACTGCAACCTCCGCCTCCAGGCTTCAAGCGATTCTCCTGTCTCAACCTCCCAAGTAGCTAGGACTACAGGCAGGCACCGTCACGCTTGGCTAATTTTTGTATTTTTAGTAGAGAAAGGGTTTCACCATATTGGCCTATTTTCTTTTCTTTCTTTTTTTTTTTTTTTGAGACGGAGTCTCGCTCTGTCGCCCAGGCTGGAGTGCAGTGGCACGATCTCGGCTCACTGCAAGCTCCGCCTCCCAGGCTCACGCCATTCTCCTGCCTCAGCCTCCCGAGTAGCTGGAACTACAGGCGCCCGCGGCCACACCCGGCTGATTTTTTGCATTTTGTTTAGTAGAGACGGGGTTTCACCGTGTTAGCCAGGATGGTCTCGATCTCCTGACCTCGTGATCCGCCCGCCTTGGCCTCCCAAAGTGCTGGGATTACAGGCGCGAGCCACTGCGCCTGGCCTGGCCTATTTTCTTTTATGAGGACGCTGTCCATGTACAAAAAAACTTTTATTTGCAGTTATTATATAGCATTTAACCACTGGGAAAACCCAACCATTTTTTTAGTTGTACTTTTTGCTATTTTTATGCTAATACTTAATTTGTTTAAAGCCATTTTGATTAATGGAATTGTTTTAATTTGCCTCAGTTTTTTCTATGAATTCTACTTTTACTGACTGGAAATACTTTGGGTGACTATCTCTGTGGAGGCTTAAAAAAAAACTCCATTTTAGGTACAAAGACGGCTCCCAAGAAGTCACTTAAATAATGATGAATTACAAGATATTTTAACCACTAAACTCACACAAGCTTTTCCATTATTATCTAACAAAAATTTTGCCCTAAATATTTAAAAATAATTTTTACAAACGGTGAAAATGCTTCCTTTAAACTGTTTAAAAAGAGGACTATTTCATTGCGTTTTACAGAGTCAATTTCTTCTATATAAAATTTTGGGTTTTTATGTTTTAAGATATCAGAGACAATAATTTTCTTTTTGGAAAACTATGTATTTAGGTCTGCACTCAATTTCTAAAATAACTGTCTAATTGTTAAGTCCCATTCAAATGAGCTTCATGGGGTCTTTGAGATGTTTCCAGTTATGAAGTTTGTAGCATGTCTAATACAGGCAATCCTGTTCTATTGTGCTTTGCTTTATTGTGCTTTGTACATATTGGCGTTTTTTACAAATTGAAGGTTTGTGGCAACCCTGCTTCAAGCAAGTCTATTGGTGCTCTTTTTCCAACAGCATGTGCTCACTTTGTTACCATTTTTAGCAATAAAATATTTTTAAACTTATGTACATATTTTTAGACATAATGCTATTGCACACTTAATATAGTATAAACAAAACTTTTATATGCACTGGGAAACCAAAAAATTCCTCCTGACTCGCTTTGTTGTGGTATTTGCTTTACTGAGATGGTCTGGAACCTAAAGTACGTCTGAGGTATGCCTGTACTTAAAAATTCACTTGTGAGACTTCTCATTATTAAATAGATTTGAACTTGAAAGGCTAATTCTTCAAAGGCTGTTTCTTTTCCCAGGATGCATATTTCTGCAATTTTGCTAGCTGCCCAAGTAAAATTAAGTAAAAAAACAGTTAGCACACATTTCACTCTTTTTTTCTATAAAAATATAACTCTTTATTAAATAACATGCACAAATATCAACTAGTCATTAAACAGATATTTAGAACAAATTGTAAAGAAATACAAATCCTTAGGTACAATTTAGTATCTTGTTCATGATATTTGAAGAGTTTAAAAAGAATCACTGATTAAACTAACCATCCTTTTTCTTTCTGAATCCAAAACCTTTTCAGGCATATACTCCATTCCAAATTTTTTTCTAGCATTTCAGAGCTTCAGAATATCTTTAATACCAAAAGCCCTTAACTACTTATTTGATTATACATTTCCAATGAGAAGGCATTAACTTTTCTTTTAAGCTATCATTAGCTTTGAGTCTCTTTATAAAAGAAATTTGTAGAAGCATAATCATGGCAGAGAGGCTCCAGCTTTTTGAGGTACCATTTAAGAGAGTGAGAACTGTGGTTAAGACTAAAAAGCTGGGATGACTAAAATTCACCAGATTCCTTCTTGTCGCTTTTATCTTCTAAAAGCCTGTTCTGTTTGGGCCAACAGTGCTATTTCCCAGACCTCTGGTTGAACCATCAGAACAAAATGCCCTATAAACTTACCCCTCTCTGATTTTCTATAACTTCAAAGTTCAATTATCTGGTTTTTTATGATTTGCCACAGTATCCCATCCAATTTCCTTTTTAGGCAAAAGTATAAACAAACTTTGCAGTAAGTTTTCATATTAAAAAGTATTGCTTTTATAAATTAGCTTTTAATGTTCCCAGGCTTAATAAACTTAACTTCAACAGAACCAGTGCTTCGAAATCTACCCTGCCTTTCTGGCCCAATTTATCCAATAAAAAAGGCCAAAATCTCTCACCTAAATTTCTAAGGAAAACTACATCCAACCTTTATAATAAAGTCCTTGCACTGTGTATTTTTTTTTTACATGTGCTGCTTTATTGCGCATGCCAAGTACAGTAAGAATTAAAATATAAACTGACGTAAAAATTCAAAAATCCCTAAGCTTAATATGTACCTTTGCACATTTACATTCTCTCCCATTAGCTGGAATTACCAACTTGCACTAGATCACTTCATTCCTCACATATTTGCTTCACTTTTCTCTATCGGAACAGAAAACATTCAGTATTATAATTCAAGAAAGTACTGTGGAAAGTTTTGCAAATTTTACCTCATATATTTATGATAAATTGTACGCTAACCTAATTTTCCTTTCAAAAATGTCTAACAAGTTCAGCAGCAGATTTCAGACCTGAAATATTCCTGAATATTTAATTTACATCATGTTATAGGAGAAACTGGATTTTTTTTAAAGTATATTGCTAATTTATTATAAAACAGCATACCAAGTTTTATTTCAATTATAAAATTTTGCAAATTATGTTTTGCATCTTGATACAAGGAAAAAAATACAACATATTAACCTGTTTTTCATAAACATTTCAGAGATTGACTGGAATATTCCTATATTTCTTTTACTTATTTTGACTACCAAATATCTTTGATTTGCATACTTGGTTTTTATTTTAAAAGTGCAAAGGCTATTAAGCTTAAAACATTAAGCAATGTAAAAAAGTTTTACAATGATTTAACATGACCAATAAAATTTATTAAACGTATTTACATATATTCACAGATTCTTTCATAGGTGAATATTAAAATAGACATTTACAATTTCAGAATTTTCATTCAAAGGCATTTATTTTTTTCCTGGGGAAATAGGCTTTACTGTGAGATGAAAAAAGAGCTAAGTTTCTTTGTATGACTAAGTCTAAATAATATGTCCAACACAGTAAGTCACAGGTCTACTAGAGGAGACTAGTATGAAATGCCTTACACTACTGCAGGCATCAATTATGGAGAGTTAAATTATAGGAAGCATGCAATACAACTAAGCCACATCTTTGCAGTTATGGTGATGAAAACAAGCTAACTGAAACACCTGCATGCTGTATTTAAAAGTTTTCTACCTGTACACACTACTACTACACTCCATACAAACCACAACTTTGGTCCAATAAAACATGAGACAAAACAGTTTTACAGGTATTTCTTTGTACATGTTTTGACTACCAATCCCTTTATACAGTTTGACCATTAATTACAAGATTTACATCTGCACAATATGTATAAAATAAGTTATTAAAAAGGAAGACAATATTAAAACTTTCAAAAAGAAAACTGTACAATTTACAGATAATAAACTGAAGAAATTTTGTGCCAAGTTTTTCTCCCACATTAGAAACTATTTGGTAGGAATTGAACCTTTTAGTTTATTGATATATATTTTTTAATAAAACCTGAAAGAGATTTGAATACTAGTGGTTATCTTATTACTTAGAGCGCTAACAACTTCCAGCGCTGTTAGCAGATTCTCAACTTTTTAAATACCTACCAGTCTGCCAACATGCTCTAATGCAATAGTTACCTTTCCCAATATAAATAATAGTTTTCTATTAGAAACTGTGTTTGGATCTAAGATCCAAAATAATTCTCATTTTTTATAAAATGACAGTGTTTACTACATAACCAACTATAATCGAACTTTACTAACAATTGTAAAGGCATGAGTATTTTTGTCAAAAGGCAGTATTCCACAGTATAATGCTTGAGCATCACCAGTTTAGGACAATACCATCAGGAAGTACTGACTGCTATATAGGAGTCAATTCAAAGTCGTCGTTAACATCAACAAGGGGAACATAAAACTCCTGGATTTCGTAAATGCTGATAGATTTATAGGTGGCAGGATCAAGTTCCTGGAGTTTGAGCTGCCATTCTAACCTCTGGACAGCATTTAAAGCCGCAGCTTCATGTTGTTGCCTCATTAAAAGACAGGTCTATTTAAAAGAAGAGAAGAGTTACTTGATTATTCTGTTAACTTTGCTTTGTTTAAAAATTAATCTCATCCAGTTTCTTTAGGAACTAAAATGGACACATCAGGAGCATAAAAAGCATTTGAATTACAAGTCCATTTCTTTCTTTTTTTTTTGAGACAGAGTCTTGCTCTGTCTCCCAGGCTGGAGTGCAGTGGCGAGCTCTGGGCTCACTGCAACCTCCGCCTCCTGGGTTCAAGCGAGTCTCCTGCTTCAGCCTCCCAAGTAGCTGAGACTACAGGCATGTGCCACCACGCCCAGCTAATTTTTGTATTTTTCTTAGAGATGGGGTTTCACCATGTCGGCCGGGCTGGTTTTGAACTCCTGACCTCAGGTGATCTGCTCACGTAGGCCTTCCAAAGTTCTGGGATTACACGTGTGAACTGCCACACCCGGCCTACAAGTCCATTTCTGTTTTATCCTGTTTGTACACACATACCAACTATTTGTGGGTCTGCAACTTCATTTTCACCTTATACAGCACGGGTCCCCAACCCCCGGGTCACGGACTGGTACCGATCCATGGCCTGTTCAGAACTGGGCCACACCGCAGGAGGTGAGTGGCGGCAAGCAAGCATTACCACCTGAGCTCAGCCTCCTGTTAGATCAGCAACGGCATTAGATTCTCATAGCAGCTCAAACCCTATTGTGAACTGCACATGCGAGGGTTCTAGGTTGCATGCTCCTTATGAGAATCTAATGTCTGATGATCTGAGGTGAAAGTTTCATCCCCAAACCATCCTCCCACCCCAACCCATGGAAAAATTGTCTTCCACGAAACTGGTCCCTGGTGCCAAAAAGGTTGGGACTGCTGTTATAGATTTTAATTTGAAAATATTATTTCAAATTATGAGATTTCAAATTATCAAAAGAAACATGAAAATCTAGGGGGGAAAGACTTCTGAAATGATTCAAAATCTCAAATCAAATAATTTATAGATTTGAAAACTATATTCCTTTTCTTACCATTCTCCTATTCTTTCGTTATGTTCAAGCTATAACCAGACAGGTACATTGGATAGTAAGCATGAAGACCCACACTAGAAACTGCATTTTCTGTGGCAGTTTCCTCTTTCATACTACAACTAGTCCTTAAAATGGACTTGTGGTCTTTATCTTTCCAATTGTGGCCCAGTGTGAGGATTCATGACTAACCAGTATTTCCCCTCCTAATTATTTCTCCCTAATACAGCTGTAGAGTTTTTTTTTTTTTTAAGAAGGGGGAAGCATTCATTTAAACTGACTTCCAAACATACATACCTTTAATTTGTCAAATTTATCATCCACATCTTGTAACCAAGACATGAATTGTCTTGCATTAAAGCGATCCCTCACAGAAGTTTTACTGTCATCAGACTAAAAGAGAAAAGTGAGTATTATAAAATACAATAAATCACTTTAAAATCTATATGCCATTATAGTATTTTTATGGTATATGCTGCTTTCTTAGTAACGATGAAAATATATTTTGAGAAATATATAAATTGAATACTGCTGAAGTTGGTAAAACTTTTATTTCCACATTGTGTAGACAGATTGGTTATTAGAATTCTTGGGATGGTAGGTTTAATTATTAATTAAAATAGATTCCTATTGCTCTAAGTCAAAGACATTTCTCAAAAAGGCATGTTACATTAAGTACTGTGCCCGTGACATTATTACTGTATAACCAATTACAGATTTAATTTTAATGTTACAGTTTACTATCTGTAGGGACAAAAAGTATCCAGGTGGGAGAGAGCTGCCTTTGAGGCCAAAATTTCTTCCAGGACCAATATCTGCGGTGCTCATGAAGAAATTCTTTCTCATGAAGAAATTCTTTATCAACACTTAAGAATACCAGTTTTGGAATTAACAGACTATATTCAAATTCCAGCTCTGTATCTTACTACGTGATCTTGAACTAATTATACAGTTTCAGTCTTATACTCTGTAAAATGTGGTAACCTCTCTTCAGCTTGTTTTGAGAATGAAAAGTGTCTATAAAGCCCTCATCATAATGCTTAGGTACACAGGAAGCACTCAATGCAGCACTCACTCCATTACTACCACTACCAGTGCTGTCAAACTGACATCCAGGCAGCAGGTAGCTCCCACACTCACATTTTCTTTTTTTTTTTTGAGATGGAGTCTCTCTCTGTTACCCAGGCTGGAATCTTGACTCTCTGCAATCTCCACCTCCCAGGTTCAGGCGATTCTCCCGCCTCAGCCTCCCAGGTAGCTGGGATTACAGGCACCCGCCACCACACCTGGCTAATTTTTGTATTTTTACTAGAGATGTGGTTTCACCATATTGGCCAGGCTGGTCTCGAACTCCTGACCTCGTGATCTGCCCACCTCTGCCTTCCAAAGTGCTGGGAATACAGGCGTAAGCCACCGTGCCTGGCCACTACTCACATTTTTAGCAGTTATAATTTCTTCATTGGTGCCCCAAGTTAGATGTTTTGACTATTTAAAATGTTATTGTTGACTCTTAAGTATTACAAGTTTATTTATTTATTTTTCTTTACCACATTTCAGGTGCTCAAACAAGTTTATTTTGAAAAGGAAGAAGTGATAAGAGAGTAGACTAATGGATGATCTGAGCCTCTACCCAAAGAAAAGTAGACTTTTTTCCCTTTAGTTCCTTCCAAGGCTACTCCCATAGGAAATAACGCATGCTACTTGAGACCTTCTACTCTAAAGCCAGCTGTAAAAGGGTGGATAACAGTTCCATATTTAAATAAGTCACCAAAAATGCAGAAATGTTTTTAGCATAAGTTTCTCTCTGTCAAGAGAATACACCTCACATTTTGGTATCTCATCAAGCTGAATTTCTTCCCCCATGTCAGACAGGTAATGTGTGCACAATGCAACAAGGTTTGAGAGAGGCCTGTCTCACACAGTGTGAAAACCCAATCATCAGGCTTATGATCCACAAAAGGATCTCAGCAAGCTTAATTTAATCTAAAGTCAGGTGGTCTGGATCATTAAGAAAATCTGGGGCAGGGAAAATGAATTACTCAAGTTATCAAAATCCCTTTATAACTGAAAATTTATACTGTTCTAGGAAAACGCATTTATTTTTTAAATTCTCTTTTTAACCTGTATGATACTGGGCATTCCTCAACTCTGCTGTATTTGATTACCAATATGTTTTCATCTATTTTAAATCTTATCAGAAATTTCTTAATGTTTTTGTCTAACAGTTTCCCACCTCAATTTCCAGCTCTGCTATGAATTTGTTTTTATTTTTAATGAATTTAATTAATTACTTTACTTTTAAGAAACAGGGTGTCGGCCGGGCGCGGTGGCTCACGCCTGTAATCCTAGCACTTTGGGAGGCCGAGGCGGGTGGATCACGAGGTCAGGAGATCGAGACCATCCTGGCTAACATGGTGAAACCCCGTCTCTACTAAAAATACAAAAAATTAGCCGGGTGTGGTGGCGGGCGCCTGTAGTCCCAGCTACTCGGGAGGCTGAGGCAGGAGAATGGCATGAACCAGGGAGGCAGAGCTTGCAGTGAGCCGAGATCGTGCCACTGCACTCCAGCCTGGGCGACAGAGCCAGACTCTGCTTAAAAAAAAAAAAAAAAAAAAAAAAAGAAACAGGGTGTCACTCTGTCATCCAGGCTGGAGTGCAGCGGGCGCAATCATACCTCACTGCAGGCTCGAACTCCTTGGCTTAATCGATCCTCCCACCTTAGCCACCTGGGGTAGCTGGGGCTACAGGCATGTGCCACCATGCCAGGCTTTGAAATTTTTATGTCTTTTGTCATTTCAATGAGTTTTGGGAGAAAGAAGGAATCAACAGGTATGTATATATTTACTCAACCATTCTGAGCTAGAAATCAAGAGACTTTTCATTGTAGCTCGATTATAAACCTCAATTTATATTGCTCTAAAACTCATTTCTCTCTGATTGCTCAAAACTTAAAAAGATCTCAAGATACCACTGTTTAGTCCAGCCTATAAGAACATGGTTAAACTGTTAATTGCAGTTATTAAAAACCATCCATTCTTCCCTTTAAACATCTTTAAATATGAAAGTTCTAGAAAGTCCCTCAGTGGCCTCTCCAGTGCCTATTTCTTTAGTCACACAGTTCTTTCTGAAGAGACACAATTATTCATGTTAATAGCATCCTCAGATATCTCTGAACACTTTCATTTGAAATAAAAGTTGGAGACTTAAAGTTTTTTTTTTGTTTTTTTTTGAGACAGGGTCCCACTCTGTTGCCCAGGCTCGAGTGCAGTGGTACAATCCAGCTCACTGCAGCCTTGGCCTGCCAGGCTCAACAGATCCTCCTACCTCAGCCTCCCTGGTAGCTGGGACTACATGTGTGCCCCACCACACCCAGTTAATTTTTATATTTTTTGTAAAGACGGGGTTTCACCATGTTTCCCAAGCTGGTCTTGAACTCCTGAGCTCAAGTGATTGCCCACTTTGGCCTCCCAAAGTGCTGGGATTACAGGCATGAGCCACCACACCCATTCAGTGCCTTAAGTTTGAAACCTACCTATCTAGTTCAATCTTGATTTTTTTATAGATGAGAAAAATAAAGCTCAGAAGAGTCTAAAAATATTTTTCTGTGATATACCCTATTATCCTTTGTACTACTAGCTTATTTCCTTTAGAACAGCATTTCCTAGTCTGTTTTCAGGTGATAATCCTTCACTGTTTATTATAAAAATTTTAATCTTTAAATTCTTTCTTTTCTGGTTTATAAGCCATAAACAAATTCTGAAAACTAGTATGACTGGTTCTGAGTTCATGTAATTTATATGTGGCAGTAAACTTTATTGAAGATATTTCTCCAGTCTTCCACAGTTCATGTATTCCACCAACATTCAAAGTCAAACCAGAAGACTCGCTCTGTTTTTAGGACTGTCACAACCTAGAGGTGCCATCTAGCTGCACTATTTTTCAGTGTACAATAGCTTTCTAGCTGCCTGAAGGTCAGAACTAAAGGTATAAACATTCACTTTAGAAACAAATTATGTGTACCTGTAAGGGCACTATCCTAAATGTACAGGTGTTTTGTGATCATCTGCTTTTATAATAGAAACCTAATGTTTACAGTGCTTTAGAAAATGGAGGACCAGTTGATCTGGAAGTACTCTGGCTTGAAAGAGTTTTTTTTCTTCTTTGACCTTTAATGATTGTTGAGTTCAAGTTCTTTCTATGGAAATAGATTCTAAAAATAGCCAAGTTGCATTTTTTCAGACCATTACTTCTAAATGTATCAACAAACATTTTACCTGAGAGTCCAATGGTACATTGTATACTTCGGCATCCAGCAAAACAGTACAAGCACTAAATGGCAGTGTTTGATTTGCCAATGTTCTTGCAGCTCTGTAATGAACTCGCAAAACTTCTTGTTCGTTGGATACAATGAGTTTTTCCTAGTTGAATAAAGAATTAAAAAAAAATAAATTCTTCAACAAATTTTTGTTTAAGAACAGTCTTACTCTCTCGCCTAGGCTGGAGTGCAGTGGTGTGATCACAGCTCACTGCAGCCTTGACCTCCTGGGTTCAAGCAATCCTCCCACCTCAGCCTCCGTAGTAGTTGGGACTACAGGCATGTGCCATGAAGCACAGCTAATTAAAAATATATATATATATTTTTAGAGACAAAGTCTCACTAGGTTGCCCAAACTGGTTTCAAAATCCTGGGCTCAAGTGATCCTCCCACCTTAGCTTCTCAAAGTGCTGAGATTACAGGCCTGAGCCACTGTGCCTAGCCTCTTCTCACTCTGTCACCCAGGCTGGTGTGTAGGCATGATCCTAGTTCACTGTAATCTCGAAATCCTGGACTCAAGCAATCTTTCCACCTCAGCCTTCTGAGTAGCTAGTACTATAGGTGTGGACCACCACACTTGGCTAATTATTATTTTAATTTTTTTTTGTAGAAACAGGGGTCTCACTATGTTGCCCAGGCTGGTCACCATCTCCTGGGCTCAAGAGATCCTCCCCTCTCGGCCTCCCAAAGCGCTGGGATTACAGGTGTAACCCACATACCTGGCCAACATATTTTAAGTCATTTTATCTTATTCAAAAACAATTTGTTAGGCCAGGCATAGTGGCAAGACCCCATCTCTACAAACAAACAAGCTAAGTAACCCAAATTTCAGAGTAGTCTTTTCTTCACAGTAGGCTTGAGAAATTTGAGAACTCCCAGTGTTCCAAAAGTAGAAATACATTTTCTCTCTCCAAAACTACCAGTTTCTCTATTTTTAAATTATTTTTCCAAGTATGGTGGTATAAAATAGTGGCTTTTAGTGTATTTATCAAGATGTTCCACCATCACCAGAACATTTCCATCACTCCAAAAAGAAACCTGCTACCCATCAGCAGTCATTCCTTACTCCCTCCACCCCCTTCCTCTATGCTCCTAGTAACCAACAATCTAACTTTTGTCTCTATGAATTACCTATCTTGAACATTTAATATACATGGAATCACATAATATGCAATATGTGGTCTTTGGTGATTGGCTTCTTTCACTTGGCATAATGATTTCAAGGTTCATCCATGTTGTAGCATGCATCAGTACTTTATCCCATTTTGTGGCTGAAAAGTATGTTCTACTGCATGGATATACCACATTTTATTTATTCATCAGTTGATAGACATTTGGGCTTGAAGGGTGGCAGAAAACGCTACCCCAAAATATGCCACTTTGGCATAAACATTATTTTGAGCTAAAGGCAATCTGAAGTCAGCAGGCTCAAGAGTGCTCTGACCTCCCCTTTTCTACCTGAAAGCCAGAGATAAAACTCCCATGGGAAAGATGCTCTCCTGAAACCAGGAGGAAAGAAACATTCTTGTGACCAGTGACAGGGAATCAAGGCCAAGAGAATTCTGTACAAACAGACCTTGTTAAAATAACTTTCATCTTCCTTTAGCTGTCCAGTAGATTTTAGTTACTTTTCCACAGCTGCCTTTCTTTCTTCAACCTAGCATAAAATCACTCAGGTTTTGCCACGTCTTTGGCTCCCATGTGACATAAATCTTAAATAAATCTGCACATTTTTCTCCTGTTAATCTATGTCAGATGAAGTAAGATAAAATCACTTAAAATATGCTGGCCAGGCACAGTGGCTTTTGCCTGTAATCTCAATGCTCTGGGAGGCTAAGGTGACCTTAAGGCCCAGCTGGAGACCTTAAGATGGTGGAGGTCAACTTTTGCCTCCCCTACAGGCTGTTCACACTTTGAGGCTAATATGAAAAATGCTGCTATAAACGTTCACACTCAAGTTTTTGTTTGGATGCATGTTTTCATTTCTCTTGGATAAATAAGTAGAATGGAACTGTTGGGTCATCTGGTGACTCTGTTTAACTTGTTGAGGAACCACCAAACTGTTCCATAGTAGCCGTATCATTTCACATTCCTATCAGCAATGGGAGGGTTCTAATTTCTTCACATCCTCACCAGCACTTGTTACATATGTCTTTTTTATTACAGCCATTCTACTGGGCGTGAAGTGGTATGCCCTTGTGTTGGCAGTTTTATAATGAATATTTTTATAGAAATAAACATACTGTATGATGACATCAACTACTTGTAAACCTCTGACACACACAATAAAATCCTGTATTAAGTGGGGCCCAAAATTATTATGTAATATGCAGAGTCATTCTACCACAAGGTTCATAATATGACCTAGGCAATCTTCTGCATTTAGCAAACTGAGAATTCCTGGGGTCCAGCTGCAGATCCCAACCCATCCTAATATTTGCTACGGACTTGTGCCATCTGGTCCTAACTATATTCTTTGGCCTAAGTATCAATGGGGATAACCCTGGGACCTGTAGCTAGCTAGAACTTCATGGAGAAGTAAAGCGAGTCCAGGAACTCGCCAGTTTAATAACATACATCATTTTATTGGCCCTGTATGGAAGACTGGGCTGTGAGAATACAAAGAATGTGCCTAGTCTTCTAGGTTTCCCATTCTCCCCACCCCCACGTTTCCCATTCTCTCCTCTCCTCGACTCCCAGGAACTTTGGTCTTCTCCTGATGGAGAAAACAGGCCATATTATATCCAAAAATGTATTATTGCAGAGTTTTAATGTTTTTATAAATTCATGAAAAAAACAAAGAAACATGGTCCTAATTAACTTAATTCTTATATGACAAACGATATTCAAAGAGGTAGGCCTAACACTTTTGATTTATTAAGTACAATTTAAAGTGCAACTTGAAGTAATACATATCCAAAACCTTGATGCAAAATTAAAAATAGCCAGATGCGTCTTCCTAAAAAGTTGGTTGTAGTCCTGCAGAGATTAAAAGCAATAACCAAAAATCCCTCAAAAGCAAACACCATGTGAGAAATAACTTTTTCTTTTTTCTTTTTTTTTTTGAGATGGAGTCCCACTCTGTCGTCCAGGCTGGAGTGCAATGGTGTGATATCAGCTCACTGCAACCTCCGCCTCCCGGGTTCAAGTGATTCTCCTGCCTCAGATTCCAGAGTAGCTGGGATTACAGGTGCCCACCACCAAGCCTGGCTAATTTTGTATTTTTAGTAGAGATGCGATTTCACCAGGTTGGCCAGGCTGGTCTTGAACTCCTGACCTCAGGTGATCCACCTGCCTCAGCCTCCCAAAATGCTAGGATAACAGGCGTGAGCCACCATGCCCGGCCAAGAAATACATTTTCTAAAGTCAGAGCCTCTCTCCCCTAAAATAATTGAGATGTTATTTTATGATAAATGTTGCTTACCTGACAATCTAAATAGTACACTTTCGATCAGCATTCTTAATTTTGTGTTTTTAAACCCCTAGAGCAGAGCCTCTCAAACAGTGTCCTCTAAGGATAGGTTATGGGTGTGCCAATGTATTGCTTCCTCTTAGTTTCTTGGGTGATAGAGTGCAGCATGGGGAAGTTCTGAGGAAATGGGCAGGGATTCTGGCTGTAAACTTTGTTCATTTAGTATAGCATTCAAATGTTACCATTTTCTGTGGGGAAAATGACCCTTGAACAGCGTTGCTCTTAATTTGAGGTCCTCACACCCTCAAGAAACCTGAAGATAGAATAGGGGTAGGGTAGTCGGTGAACTTGGATTGGAAAAAATTATGTCTTTATTTTCACTAACTTCCAACTGGCATTTCTTTCAATCATGAATATGTCTACAAACCACAGTAGAATCATAAGTATCTGCAGCTTTGTCATTCATAGAAATCACAAATATTTCTAAATTATTAATATATTACAGATGTACTGATATCCTCCCAAATTTTTATACTAATTTCTTCTTCAAAATTCCTGGCTGGCCACAATGGCTCATACCTATAATCCCAGCACTTTGGGAGGCTAAGGCAGGAGGATTGCTTGAGCCCAGGAATTTGAGACCAGCCTGGGCAACACAGTGGGACCCCAACTCTATAAAAAAATTTTTTTTTTTGAGACGGAGTCTCACGCTCTGTCCCCCAGGCTGGAGTACAGTGGCATGATCTCGGCTCACTGCAACCTCCGCCTCCTGGGTTCACGCCGTTCTCCTGCCTCAGCCTCCCGAGTTGCTAAACGCGTGTGCCGCCACACCCGTCTAATTTTTTGTATTTTTAGTAGAGACGGGGTTTCACCATGTTAGCCAGGATGGTCTCGATCTCCTCACCTGCCTCAGCCTTCCAAAGTGCTGGGATTACAGGCATGAGCCACCACACCTGGCAAAAATTTTTTTAAAAAATTAGCTGGGTGTAGTGGTGCATGCTTGTAGTCCAAGCTATTTGGGAGGCTGAGGCAAAAGGATGGTTTGAGCCTGGAAGGTTGAGGCTGCAGTGAGCCATGATGATCACACCACTGCCAGCCTGGGTGACAGAGTGAGACTGTCTCAAAAAAACAAAAGAAAATCCCTGCAGTTGTGAGATCTGCTGCTATATGACACCTAACTGCAGTTCTGCGTAGAGATACTTCTATGACACAGCTGGCCGGAGATACTTGTATGACATAGCTGGCCAATATCAAGCAATTTTGCAGCTAGTAGTTACTGAGCCACCACACGGTAAAGTTGTTTGTTCTCGTATCAGTCAGACATTTAAAGTTGCCCTCAAGTATTATACAATTCTAAATTGTTTATTGGTCAAATACGAGTAAGATGTATCATTTTTTTATTAAAGTTCTACAAATTGCACAATTCAAGTAAGAATTTATTTTTTATATTATACTTTTAAGTTTTAGGGTACATGTGCACAACGTGCAGGTTTGTTACATATGTATACATGTGCCATGCTGGTGTGCTGCACCCATGAACTCATCATTTAATATTAGGTATCTCTCCTAATGCTATCCCTCCCCGCCTCCCTCCACCCCACAACAGGCCCTGGTGTGTGACATTCCCCTTCCTGTGTCCATGTGTTCTCATTGTTCAATTCCCACCTATGAGTGAGAACATGCACTGTTTGGTTTTTTGTCCTTGCGATAGTTTGCTGAGAATGATGGTTTCCAGCTTCATCCATGTCCCGACAGAGGACATAAACTCATCATTTTTTTTATGGCTGCATAGTATTGCACGGTGTATATGTGCCACATTTTCTTAATCCAGTCTATCATTGTTGGACATTTGGGTTGGTTCTAAGTCTTTGCTACTGTGAATAGTGCCGCAATAAACATACGTGTGCATGTGTCTTTATAGCAGCATGATTTATAATCCTTTCGGTATATACCCAGTAATGGGATGGCTGGGTCAAATGGTATTTCTAGTTCTAGATCCCTAAGGAATCGCCACACTGACTTCCACAATGGTTGAACTAGTTTACAGTCCCACCAACAGTGTAAAAGTATTCCTATTTCTCCACATTCTCTCCAGCACCTGTTGTTTCCTGACTTTTTAATGATCGCCATTCTAACTGGTGTGAGATGGTATCTCATTGTGGTTTTGATTTGCATTTCTCTGATGGCCAGTGATGATGAGCATTTTTTCATGTGTCTGTTGGCTGCACAAATGTCTTCTTTTGAGAAGTGTCTGTTCATATCCTTCACCCACTTGTTGATGGGGTTTTTTCTTGTAAATCTGTTTGAGTTCATTGTAGATTCTGGGTATTAGCCCTTTGTTAGATAAGTAGATTGCAAAAATTTTCTCCCATTTTGTAGGCTGCCTGTTCACTCTGATGGTAGTTTCTTTTGCTGTGCAGAAGCTCTTTAGTTTAATTAGATCCCATCTGTCAATTTTGACTTTTGTTCCCATTGCCTTTGGTGTTTCAGCCATGAAGTCCTTGCCCATGCCTATGTCCTGAATGGTATTGCCTAGGTTTTCTTCTAGGGTGTTTATGGTTTTAGGTCTAACATTTAAGTCTTTAATCCATCTTGAATTAATTTTTGTATAAGGTGTAAGGAAGGGATCCAGTTTCAGCTTTCTACATTTGGCTAGCCAGTTTTCCCAGCACCATTTATTAAATAGGGAATCCTTTCCCCATTGTTTGTTTTTGTCAGGTTTGTCAAAGATCAGATGGTTGTAGATATGTGGCACTATTTCTGAGGGCTCTGTTCTGTTCCATTGGTCTGTATCTCTGTTTTGGTACCAGTACCATGCTGTTTTGGTTACTGTAGCCTTGTAGTATAGTTTGAAGTCAGGTAGTGTGATGCCTCCAGCTTTGTTCTTTTGGCTTAGGACTGACTTGGCAATGCGAGGTCTTTTTTGGTTCCATATGAACTTTAAAGTAGTTTTTTCCAATTCTGTGAAGAAAGTCATTGGTAGCTTGATGGGGATGGCATTGATCTATAAATTACCTTGGGCAGTATGGCCATTTTCACGATATTGATTCTTCCTACCCATGAGCTTGGAATGTTCTTCTATTTGTTTGTATCCTCTTTTATTTCATTGAGCAGTGGTTTGTAGTTCTCCTTGAAGAGGTCCTTCACATCCCTTGTAAGTTGGATTCCTAGGTATTTTATTCTCTTTGAAGCAATTGTGAATGGGAGTTCACTCATGATTTGGCTCTGTTTGTCTGTTATTGGTGTATAAGAATGCTCGTGATTTTTGCACATTGATTTTGCATCCTGAGACTTTGCTGAAGTTGGTTATCAGCTTAAGGAGATTTGGGGCTGAGACGATGGGGTTTTCTAGATATACAATCATGTCATCTGCAAACAGGGACAATTTGACTTCCTCTTTTCCTAATTGAATACCCTTTATTTCCTTCTCCTGCCTGATTGCCCTGGCCACAACTTCCAACACTATGTTGAACAGGAGTGGTGAGAGAGAGCATGCCTGTCTTGTGCCAGTTTTCAAAGGGAATGCTTCCAGTTTTTGCCCATTCAGTATGATATTGGCTGTGGGTGTGTCATACATAGCTCTTATTATTTTGAGATACATCCCATCAATACCTAATTTATTGAGAGTTTTTAGCATGAAGGGTTGTTGAATTTTGTCAAAGGCCTTTTCTGCCTCTATTGAGATAATCATGTGGTTTTTGTCTTTGGTTTTGTTTATATGCTGGATTACGTTTATTGATTTGCGTATGCTGAACCAGCCTTGCATCCCAGGGATGAAGCCCACTTGATCATGGTGGATAAGCTTCTTGATGTGCTGCTGGATTCGGTTTGCCAGTATTTTATTGAGGATTTTTGCATCGATGTTCATCAGGGATATTGGTCTAAAATTCTCTTTTTTTGTTGTTGTGTCTCTGCCAGGCTTTGGTATCAGGATGATGCTGGCCTCATAAAATGAGTTAGGGAGGATTCCCTCTTTTTCTATTGATTGGAATAGTTTCAGAAGGAATGGTACCAGCTCCTCCTTGTACCTCTGGTAGAATCTGGCTGTGAATCCATCTGGTCCTGGACTTTTTTTCGTTGGTAAGCTATTAATTATTGCCTCAATTTCAGAGCCTGTTATTGGTCTATTCAGAGATTCAACTTCTTCCTGGTTTAGTCTTGGGAGGGTGTATGTGTTGAGGAATTTATCCATTTCTTCTAGATAATTCCAGTTTATTTGTGTAGAGGTGTTTATTCTCTGATGGTAGTTTGTGTTTCTGTGGGATGGGTGGTGATATCCCCTTTGTCATTTTTTATTGCGTCTACTTGATTCTTCTCTCTTTTCTTCTTTATTAGTCTTGCTAGTGGTCTATCAATTTTGTTGATCTTTTCAAAAAACCAGCTCCTGGATTCATTGATTTTTTGAAGGGTTTTTTGTGTCTCTATTTCCTTCAGTTCTGCTCTGATCTTAGTTATTTCTTGCCTTCTGCTACCTTTTGAATGTGTTTGCTCTTGCTTCTCTAGTTCTTTTAATTGTGATGTTAGGGTGTCAATTTTAGATCTTTCCTGCTTTCTCTTGGGGGCATTTAGTGCTATAAATTTCCCTCTACACACTGCTTTCAATGTGTCCCAGAGATTCTGGTATGTTGTGTCTTTGTTCTCGTTGGTCTCAAAGAACATCGTTATTTCTGCCTTCATTTCGTTATGTACCCAGTAGTCAGTCAGGAGCAGGTTGTTCAGTTTCCATGTAGCTGAGTGGTTTTGAGTGAGTTTCTTAATCCTGAGTTCTAGTTTAATTGCACTGTGGTCTGAGAGACAGTTTGTTATAATTTCTGTTCTTTCACATTTCCTGAGGAGTGCTTTACTTCCAACTATGTGGTCAATTTTGGAAGAAGTGCGGCGTGGTGCTGAGAAGAATGTATATTCTGTTGATTTGGGGTGGAGAGTTCTGTAAATGTCTATGAGGTCCGCTTGGTGCAGAGCTGAGTTCAATTCCTGGATATCCTTGTTAACTTTCTCTCGTTGATCTGTCTAATGTTGACAGTGGGGTGTTAACGTCTCCCATTATTAGTATTATTGTGTGGGAATCTAAGTCTCTTTCTAGGTCTCTAAGGACTTGCTTTATGAATCTGGGTGCTCCTGTATTGGGTGCATATATATTTAGGATAGTTAGCTCTTCTTGTTGAATTGATCCCTTTACCATTATGTAATGGCCTTCTTTGTCTCTTTTGATCTTTGTTGGTTTCAAGTCTGTTTTATCAGAGACTAGGATTGCAACCCCTGCCTTTTTTTGTTTTCCATTTGCTTGATAGATCTTCCTCCATCACTTTATTTTGAGCCTATGTGTGTCTCTGCACGTGAGATGGGTTTCCTGAATACAGCACACTGATGGGTCTTGACTCTTTATCCAATTTGCCAGTCTGTGTCTTTTAATTGGAGCATTTAGCCCATTTACATTTAAGGTTAATATTGTTATGTGTGAATTTGATCCTGTCATTATGATGTTAGCTGGTTATTTTGCTTGTTAGTTGATGCAATTTCTTCCTAGCATTGATGGTCTTTACAATTTGGCATGTTTTTGCAGTGGCTGGTACCGGTTGTTCCTTTCTATGTTTAGTGCTTCCTTCAGGAGCTCTTTTAGGGCAGGCCTGGTAGTGACAAAATCTCTCAGCATTTGCTTGTCTGTAAAGTATTTTATTTCTCCTTCACTTATGAAGCTTAGTTTGGCCGGATATGAAATTCTGGGTTGAAAATTATTTTCTTTAAGAATGTTGAATATTGGTCCCCACTCTCTTCTGGCTTGTAGAGTTTCTGCTGAGAGATCAGCTGTTAATCTGATGGGCTTCCCTTTGTGGGTAACCCAACCTTTCTCTCTGGCTGCCCTTAACATTTTTTCCTTCATTTCAACTTTGGTGAATCTGACAATTATGTGTCTTGGAGTTGCTCTTCTCAAGGAGTATCTTTGTGGTGTTCTCTGTATTTCCTGAATTTGAATGTTGGTCTGCCTTGCTAGATTGGGGAAGTTCTCCTGGATAATATCCTGCAGAGTGTTTTCCAACTTGGTTCCATTCTCCCCGTCACTTTCAGGTACACCAATCAGACGTAGATTTGGTCTTTTCACATAGCCCCATATTTCCTGGAGGCTTTGTTCGTTTCTTTTTATTCTTTTTTCTCTAAACTTCTTGCTTCATTTCATTCATTTGATCTTCCATCACTGATACCTTTTCTTCCAGCTGATCAAATCGGCTACTGAAGCTTGTGCATTCGTCATGTAGTTCTCGTGCCTTGGTTTTCAGTTCCATCAGGTCCTTTAAGGACTTCTCTGCATTGGTTATTCTAGTTAGCCATTCGTCTAATCTTTTTTCAAGGTTTTTAACTTCTTTGCCATGGGTTCGAACTTCCTCCTTTATCTCGGAGTAGTTTGATCATCTGAAGCCTTCTTCTCTTAACTCGTAAAAGTCATTATCCGTCCAGCTTTGTTCCGTTGCTGGTGAGGAGCTGCGTTCCTTTGGAGGAGGAGAGGCGCTCTGATTTTTAGTTTCCAGTTTTTCTGCTGTTTTTTTCCCATCTTTGTGGTTTTATCTACCTTTGGTCTTTGATGATGGGTGACATACTGATGGGGTTTTGGTGTGGATGTCCTTTCTGTTTGTTAGTTTTCCTTCTAACAGACAGGATCCTCACCTGCAGGTCTGTTGGAGTTTGCTGGAGGCCCACTCCAGACCGTTTGTGTGGGTAACAGCAGCGGAGACTGCAGAACAGCAGATATTGGTGAACAGCAAATGTTGCTGCCTGATCATTCCTCTGGAAGTTTTGTCTCAGAGGAGTACCCAGCCGTGTGAGGTGTCAGTCTGCACCTACTGGGGGGGTGCCTCCCAGTTAGGCTACTCGGGGGTCAGGGACCCACTTGAGAAGGCAGTCTGTCCGTTCTCAGATCTCCAGCTGTGTGCTGGGAGAACCACTACTCTCTTCAAAGCTGTCAGACAGGGACATTTAAGTCTGCAGAGAATTCTGCTGCCTTTTGTTTGGCTGTGCCCTGCTCCCAGAGGTGGAGTCTACAGAGGCAGGCAGGCCTCCTTGAGCTGCAGTGGGCTCCACCCACTTCGAGCTTCCTGGCCACTTTGTTCACCTACTCAAGCCTAGGCAATGGCGGGTGCCCCTCCCCCAGCCTCGCTCCCGCCTTGCGGTTTGATCTCAGACTGCTGTGCTAGCAATGAGCGAGGCTCCGTGGGCGTAGCACTCTCTTAGTCAGGCGCAGGAGATAATCTCCTGGTATGCCGTTTGCTCAGTGGGAAATGCAGAAATCACCCGTCTTCTGCGTCGCTCACGCTGGCAGCTGTAGACTGGAGCTGTTCCTATTCGGCCATCTTGGCTCCACCCCTCAAGAATTCTTAACTGTAAGGTGGCAAGACTTTCTGTAACCTGGACAGGTACACAGATGAATATATACTAGGTGGTTTCAAACGTCTTAATAGTTGAAATAGCTATTGATGTGTGTTATATTACCTGACTTCTTATTGCTAACAAATTGCTCATTGTCAATGGGTCATGCAGTGTTGTAAATTCTGTATTGTGCTTCTTTCTTTCATTTGTTGCTTCTCTTTGTAATTCTATGAATTTTTTAAATTTAAAAACATTCTGAGAAGAGGTTCTAAATTTCTTAGACTGTTACAGAAGTCCACAGTAGGAAAAAAATTAAGAACCTGTGCCAGGAAAATCAATCATGTATGAACCAAAGAAGTTATATACAAATTTTGTTTGCATATGAGTATGTATATATTTCTGTGAAGAAGGATCATAGTTTACACCACATTTTCAGAGGTCCTCAACCCTCCCCAAAGGTTAAACATATTTTTGTAAATCCAAGTGAAATGACTTATAATTCCTATAAATAACCCGATAAAGGTTTTTCTTCCTGTAATTTCACGCCAAGACTAACCATTGGAAGGCACATACTAAGGCCGACCTACGTGGACAAATAAGCATAGCCTTTATAAGTATTTTGCCCTTTTGCCTTAAAACAGCTGGTACCAAGCAATGATTCCAAAACTTGGAAAGCCAAATGTTCCACTAGGAATCTACTGCTATAGTTCTACAAATTCAACAAATAACAAGAAGTTATTAGAGACTTACATATTAAAAATATACTCAACATAAATTATAATATGGGAGCAGCTATCCTAAAATAGGCTTAAAATTTTTCCATCTAATAAACACAAGATAAAACCAAATCACTTCTCAAAATGGTTCTAAATTTTAAAAATCCACTAATAAAAAATTATAGGCCATTTTAATTTATTGCTAGAAACCAGTTATTTTTAGCATAAGTGTAAATTTAAACATTTCTTACCCTTTCAATACTGTGTTGCAAACGTAGTTTCATCCTTACAACTTCCTGTTGTCGAAAAAGCTCTTTAAGTGGATCTGACAGTGAAGGTGGTGGTGTAATCTAATTAAAAAGATATATATAGTTTAAAATATTAGGTTTTATTTACAATAATGGGCTATTCTTTTAAAATTAAACCCTTTTAGTGCATAAAAAAACAAATTCTGATGTCCTGTGAATTAAATAATACAGCACTAGTTATAGAACTGATTGTTACTTCTGTTTGGAAACATTGAGCACAGTTTAGATGTTTTGATTCTAAGGCCACAACAAATTTCAAAGAGCAAATTAGAAGGACTATGGAAGTTATTCCAGCGAGACACATTTTAGATCATCAGTAAGTGACAGCTCACAGACAAGGAGGGAAGGAGGAGTCACAAAACCAGAAAAGCTGGTATAAACATGCAGGAAACACTAGTAAAGATTAAAGCAGTTCAATTGGTATCTATATAGTGAGGTCTGTCTGCAGACATGATAAATATCAAACACTAAAGTCCTGAGTGTTACATTTAATTCTTTTATAAAAGCAGATGAAATGGTCTGAGAAATTGTTTTCAAACTTTATTACATGTAATATCCCAATGACTTTGTCTATCCATACTCCAAAAAGCTTCTGGTTCATCTCTAATTTGATATTGTAGTGTAATATCAAATTACACTACAAACCCAGAAGAGAGGTGTTTTCCGGTAGATGCTGGAGGTTAAGGAAGCTGATTCAATCTATGCGTGTAACTGCACTGTTACAATAAGATACACTGGCCGGGCATGGTGGTCCACACCTGTAATCCCAGCACTTTGGGAGGCCAAGATGGGTGGATCACGAGGTTAGTAGTTCGAGACCAGCCTGATTAAATGGTGAAGTCCTGTCTCTACTAAAAATACAAAAATTAGCCAGGTGTGGTGGCACATGCCTGTAATCCTAACTTCTCAGGAGGCTGAGGCAGGAAAATTGCTTGAACTCAGGAGGTGGAAGTTGCAGTGAGTTGAGATCATGCCACTGCATTCCAGCCTGGGTGACAGAGCGAGACTCTGTCTCAAAAAAAAAAAAAAAAAAAAAAAAAAAAAGGGACATCTTGGCTGGGCATGGTGGCTCTCGCCTGTAATCCCATCACTTTGGGAGGCTGAAGTAGGATTGCTTGAGACTAGGAGGATTGCTTGAGACCAGGAGTTTGAGACCAGCCTGGGCAACATATTGAGACCCCCATCTCAAAAAAAAAATTTAAAAATTAGCTGGATGTGGTGGTGTCTGCCTGTAGCCTCAGCAACTCAGGAGGCTGAGATGGGAGGATAGCTTGAGTCCAGAAGTTTGAGGCTGCAGTAAACTATGATTGCACCACTGCACTCCAGCCTGGGCAACACAGGGAGGCCCTGTCTCTTAAGTTAAAAACAAAACTAAAAACAAAACAAAACAAAAGATGTCCAAGAGATGGCAATAACCATCTGTGATCCCTACTCTTTTTCTACCCCTTGGAGAATTTGTATTTTCCCCCTTATTCTTGCTTATAATTACTGCCAGCATATTATGGCAAAGTAAGATATCTTAGCATGTTTTGGCAAGTTATAACACTTCTGGTTTAACAGTCAATTCCACATGAAAGTAGGACAACCAGGTATTTTCCACTTCTTGATGTAGTGCCACAGGAATCATGTAACACCATATATGAAAAGTTCTTGACAAAAATCACACCTGGCTCTACAGACTCTATAATCAGCATTATGAGAGACTGAAAACATGTTAAATAACACCACAAAGACTCAATCAGTTGAATCACAATGTGGAAAATTCTACAGGACAAACAACTTACTGGAACTGACCATTTCTCAGGCCTCTAATTGCAGTAATTCATTTGTTTAATTTCTGCGTCCTGTGAACTGCTTTAAACTTAGCATGAGTTGTAGGTAGTTTGGTGCTGTTTTAGTTTTGGAAAACCATATAGGCCTCTAGTTATTTCAAGGAATGTAGAGGACGGATATCTACTGTCTGACACTGAGGTGCCAGAGAAAGCTTCCTCAAGAGGGCAAATACCTGACCTGCATCTTAAAGGAAGAGCCAGAGTTAGAGTTAGTGAAACGAATCATGTGGGAAGAAAGGAAAAGGAGGGAGGGAGGTAATTCCCAAAAGAGGATGGCATGCAAAAACAAACAGAATGGTATCTGCAGACAACTCTAGGTTGGTGCAAAAGTAATTGCGGTTTTGCCATTACTCTCGTCGTCATCATTTCACACCATTTTGTCAAATTTGATGTTCTAAGAACTTAAGACCGCAGAAGAGATCAGCAGGGGCAAAATAATACAGGCTGCAGTCTACTCTGTAAATGTGCTTTTCTTAAAGTATGTTCCACAGAAGATTGGGCCCACAATTTCTCTTACAATTCTTTACAATCTTACAATTCTGTAAAGATCTACAAAAATGCTTCCAAGAACAAGTTTGGAAAACACTGTATACTTGTATAAATGTACCCACTTAGAAAACTCCCAATACATCAAAGGTTCTGGTAAGTTCTGCAGTGAACCTATTTTTAGATTAACAGTGCTTCCCAAACTTATTTGACCATGAAAGCCTCCCCCATTTGCACAGGAGGCATTTAAATAACATGCTGTGGAAGAGGTATTATGTAGAACATGTTAGGGTTAAGTAACAGAGAACCATGAAAGGTCTGACAGCTTGCTGCTCTGTGTGAACAGACACCATGGGGACAAGATTGTAGGCAGGGAATTGAGGAAGCAGCTTACTATTGTGTTGGTGTGAGATGGAGGAGGGAGTGAAGGAAATGGGTTCGAAAAATACTAGTGACTGGCCCAATAAACATAAACAAGAAGGAACACCTCAGAAGGACTTGAGGCTTAGTGTGAGAACGGGAGGGTGGTAAGGGACCACAGGAGGGAACAGGAAAGGAGAAAGAGAAGCAGGTCATTGGGTAAGTTCAGCTCAGTGCTGACTTACTGAGTTTCTGGAGCTTATGGACATTCAGGTGGAGCTATGCAGTTACAAAAAAGAAGCCAAGGAGAGAGATCTGGGCAGGATATTTAAATGTGGTAATCATTAACATAGATCACATACAGAAGAAAGGGAAAATCACCAAAGAGATATGGAGGTTTTCTGAGGAAACTTTCCCTCTGCTGTTTTCCCCATCTATCTTTTAAGTAAATCATGCTTGGAGATTTTCTCTTTCAATATCTGGGTCCCAGGAGTCTTGAGAATACTCGCTCCCCTGACAGCTTCTCATGGATGCACTTTCCTTTTATCACCCACTCTTGGAACCCCTCCAAGATTTCTGTAGTGTGTAATCAGTGGCCACAGTAGAGACTAGGTTGTAACAAATCTCGTTTTCCTCCCTGTTCATTTGATTTTGGAGATTTGACCTGCAGTTTTACTCCCCTTGATTTCCTCTGGAAAAATGGCAGCATTTTGATTAAATTATGATTAAAGTACTGGAAGGAAAAACAAACTGACTCTGGGTATGTTTTACCACATTTATTTTTTATTTTTGTAGACATCCTGTTGGTCTTGAACTCCTGGCCTCAAGTGGTCTTTCCACCTTGGCCTCCTAAAGTATTGGGATTACAGTTATTGTTATCAGGCCTGGCCTCCACTTTATAATTTCTAATGGGTTCTATAATTGGATTACATAAATGTGAGGGAAGATTACTTTTATAAAATGGCAATTAGTTGGCTGGGAGGAAACAAATGGATAAAGCCATATTGGAAAGTAAGAAAAAGAATGTAGGGCCCACAAGATTTTTGTTATTCTGGTCTTTATTATTTTTCAAACTAAATTTTAAACAAATGAGTTTCAGTCCAGTAAACTCAAACACACAGCATTTTATGTACAAAGTCTGGAGTTCTTATTATTAGCTTGAATAAATATGACCCTTACAGTGATTTGCAGCTGTATAAAATAACAGCAACCACCTTAAATCTATATAGTGTTCTAAAGTTTTAATGGGCTTTAGCATATACTATTTCAACCTGCCTTGAGGTAGGGGAGACATTTATTCTTGTTTTACAGATGTGAAAACTAAGGATCAGAGATGGGAAATGAATTAATTAAGATCACACAGTGGGTCTGTAGCAAAATCCACTCTGCAGTAATATATGCAAATTGGAAATCTACAGTGCTTTCTACTATATTGTGCTGTGTTTTGCTGCTTTAGTAATTCTCATTAAAAAATAAAAATTAAAAAAACTTCCCACTACATCCAGGAATATTTCTCACCTATGCTTTTAGTCTCTTTTAGAACAATATTTGACACAACTAAACTTCTAATATAACTAGACATATCCCGAGAATTGTTTCAAGGAAGTCAAACTTGAATTACATCACCTTTGCAAGAGTAAGAAAAGGTGACAGTATGAATATTACACACATTTATGTGTTTATATAGAGTCTGCATATGTATTGTAAACACATAAATGTGTCTATGTTAAACACATAAATGTGTCTATGTTAAACACATAAATGTGTTTATGTTGTTAAACACGTAAATGTGTTTGTTACATTAAACACGTGTTTAACATAAATGTGTATAAATTCCTGGATAAATTTATACAACAAATGTATACATATATAAAGTCAACAGATTGATTTAAGGCAGCAACATAATATGGTTCACCTGAAATGATTTTTACTGAAATAGTTTGTATAAAGTTCTAATTTAAATTTGTTCTTTATAGTTATACCTGTATTTGAAGCCTATGTCACTACATATTATTTCGGCTAAAATTTCTTACTCTTTAAGGGAAAATAAAGTTGGGGAATGAAAGAAACAAGAACGTTACTAGCTTTATATCTCGACTCACTGACAGATTATTTTGCTGAAATTATCTATCTACTAGAAAACTTCAAATTACGTATGTGGCTAGCATTATACTTCTATTGGGCAGTGTTACAGGTGTATAGCAAGTGATGATGTTACTTACTGTGGGAATACAAATCTTGCTTAAGGGGTTTCCATCCAGGAGATATGATCCGTTAAATGTTACATATTCGTCATAGTACTGAGGTGCTTGAGGAATCACACTACACAGTAATTTGCGTTTTTCTTCTATTTTTTTCCTTATGTGCAAGTATTCAAAATATGGATTTGCTCTCTCTGAACTGTATGGCTGAATCTCATCTAGTTTTAGAGAATCTACAATGGCTGCCAGAGATTGCTGAGTTTTCTCTTTTGCTTGTAGTAAAGAGGGACTCACTTGCACAGGCTGAGGTACACGTGACACTTTCCTTTTCCGTGGATGGTGAATTTGAGGATCGTCATCTTCAGTTAATCTTATTCTTCCTCTAGGAGATGAGGATTCACTGTCTTTTTCTGATAATAGTGTACAGCTAGCAAGAATCTGTTTGCTTTGATTTGCCATTGTATTTGCTTTGTTTCTAGTCATTCTTTGAGGGATTTGGTTTTCAGTTTTATCATCTTCGGCATTTTCTTCTAATTCTACTTTAACTAACTGACCATATTTATGCATTTCTGGTTGAGTTGACTGCTGTGAATGGTTTTCCAGACTTGATAAAATGCTTTGTTGAGATTCCTCATCTTCTATGGAAAGCAAACACTTTTCACTTTCAGGACAATGTTTTGGATCTTGTTCATTTAGGTTTCCTTTTGGCATCCCTGCATTCATTTCACATAAATCAGAATCACACCTACTCAAATGAGTTAAAACCAAACTCTCCAGTTTGTTTTCTTTTTCATGTGAAATGACCTGAGTATCAGTTGTGCTATTCTCAACTTCATGGCCACTGGAAGACTTGTAAGTTAGTTTGCTAAATGCATAATGTGTATTTAGCTGGGTAGAGGCATCACTTCCATTAAAGTCCTTTTCTGATGGTAACACAGGTAAAGTATAAGCTTTCTCAAAGTTTGGTGATGCTTCTTGAATAGTGCTGTCAGAGTACACTGGGACAAAGGCATCTGTTTTTTGAACATCTCCTAGGACAAAAGTATTTTCTGTATCTTTTGTAGATTCATTATCAGTATCTAAAGCAGAACTAATAATCTGAACTGCATTTTTTTGTTGTAAAATACCTGGCTCTTGATTAGCAACATATGACAAAGACATATGTTTAGAAATCGATTCAGCATCTGAAAGTGATTGGCTGGGGAAAGAGCAAGGCTGCTGTGGAGGCATAAAGGATGCCGGATCCTGAGCACAAGAGTTTCCTGGCAGTTCAGTCTGGCGCAGGGATAAAAAATCAGCATTTTCTTTCAATACCTTATTTTCAGAATTACAAAAACTCTGAAGAGAGGATTCTTGATCAGGTATGTTAGAATTTGGGCAGATAAAGTCTCTGGTGCTTAATGTCTCTAGTCTATCAACAGGCATCTCCCATGATTTATTCTGGATCACACCAACCTGACTAGATGGCTCTAAATGCACTGGACTGTCCATTACAGTGTTCACTGGGGCAGTATTCTTGATGAGATTTCTATCAGCTGAAACATACTTGCTGTTTGAAGCTCCAGTTGGAGAAGTTGCAAAACTGGAATGTATGTTAGATACATTTGAAAGGTCTCTTTCAGGCACATTTGAGAATACCTCAGGTTTGGGAGAAGGACTAGTATCTCCTGGCACAGTTAATAAGCTACCTTGATTGCTCTCTTCTGATATTGTTTGGAATTGTTTGGTATGTTCACAAATGACAGAAGGCATGCTACATCTTCGAACTTCTATGGTAGGTCTCCCCTCGCTTATAATTAGTTTAACATCTTCTACAGAAGATGACCTAAGATGGGATGTTGAAAGTCTGTTTGCATATGGTGGTTTAATCCGCTCCGGCAAGTCAGCCAGGCTGTCCAATTCCCTTTCATGAAGAGCAGGAGATTTGGCAATTGACAAAAAAGGTGACTGGGAAAAGGACATTTGGGATTCTGAACTCTCTAACATAAAGTCAGAGTCATACTCAACTGGAGGCCTTGGGGTTGTCACTGTAGTATGGCAGGAATCTTCTGAACTAGCAACAGAAATCATGGATACAGATCTGGAGCTGAGACCCGGCTTTTCATTTTCTGATCTAGGAGACCTGTTTAAGCTATTATCTGAAACAAAAGATGACTTCCCTAAAGTCATTACATTTTTGGTGTCAACAGATTGTGATCTGTTACTTACAGCATCTTTAGGTTGTTTCTCCTTGGTATATGCATCAGTCACTTCTGAACTCTTTGACCTAGTAAGTTCTTTATTTTTGGATTCAGTTGGTGTATGCTTTGTTTTTTCTTTATCTTTTATTTTAAGTTCTAAACAGTTTCGGTTTCTCAACCGTTCCTTTTCTTTTTGCTTAATTTTTTCCTTATGTTTTTTGTGCCACTGTTCTATTTCTAGGTCTTTAAGGCTTAGCATTCGTTCAAAACTTGTCTGCATTAAATCATCATTCACTAACCTCTTTTCTTTAGGTCGGGTATCTTTTGATGCTGGTGATGACTTAGGTTTAGGCTTATCTGCTTCAGATTTTAGTTTGAGTAAGCTATTTATTTGAATTTTATCTTTATGTTTGTCTCGTTCTTTGTATCTATCTATATCTTTATCTTTTTTATCTTTTTCTTTTCCATCTGGAGTTTTCAAAGGTTCATCTTTTGTTTTTTCTTTAAGGGATAAGGGTTTTTCATGTTGTGCTTTATTACCGTCTACTATACTTGATTTTTTTTCTTCCTGTATGTGTTTGGAGTTAGTTATATTTATACTTTCTTTATCTCTAGATTTTTCCTTTTTATCTAGCTCCCTGTCTTTTTCTTTATTTTTGCCTTTTTCTGATTTACTGTATTCACTATTATCTGATTGTTTATTTTTTTTCTCCATCAAGTGCTTTTCTTTGCTTTCTGCTAGATGCCTCTCTTTTTCAGGCTTTTCTTTGTCATGTTTCCTATCCATCTTTTCTCTACTTTTCTCTCTGTCGTCAGTTTTTTTAATAGCAGCAGTATTTTTGCTCTTCTCACCTTCTTTATGGCATTTTTCTGTGTGATGCGAATATAGCTTGTCCTTTTCTTTTATTTTATCAACACATTCACTAAGATCTAATTTGTCTTTTTCTGACTTATGCTCATGTTTTATCTTCTTTTCTTTTTCAAAGGTTTTTCTTTCCATCTTCTCAATGTCCTTTTCTTTAATTTGAGATCGCTTCTCAGGTTTTTCTTTACTTTCCTTTATATGCTTTTCTTGTTTTTCAATGTCTATTTCCTTTTCCACTAAATGAAGCCCTATAGATTCCTCAATGGCACTCATACCCAAAGAAGTAAATTCTGAGTCTTTATCTGTGGGTATGTTTTCTCTCTCTTCTTTTAGATCTTTTATTTTTTCCTCCCTAAAAGATTTCTCGCTTTCCTTTTTAATCTTGTCTCGTTCCTCTTTAAAGTTCCTCTCTTTTGACACATGCTTTTCCTTGGTTGATTTATCATCTTTGATGTTTTTTTCCAATTTTGATTTTTTTTCTAATGTTAAGGATTCATGTTCCATATTTAAAAAGAGATCTTCAGTTTCATCACTTTTAAAAAAATTCTCTTTCCAAAATTCTCTATCAAATTCCACACTCCTCTGCAGTTCTTTGGCACTATCCTTAGTTTTGTATTTTTCCTTTTCACCTTCAATTTCTTTTTTATGCTTTTCTTTTTCCCTCTCTTTATGCTTCAATTTATGTTTTTTTAATGTTTTACCTTCTTTATCCATTTTTTTCAGTGTGCAATCTGAATTTTCAAATGTTGGACTATGATCTTCATCCTTTATTTTGGCATTTGATTTTTCACCAAATTCTAAGTGGAAATCTTTCTGATGTTTGCTTTTTTCCTTATGCTTACAAGATTTTACACTTGAACTTTCTGGCAAGAATTCAGATTCTGTATTATCATACCGAACAAGATCAGGCTGTAATGACATTTCAGAACTTCCTGGTGATAAACATGTTTTAGTATGTTCTTGTTTTAGTGGTGTTGACTGTTTTTCACTTAATCCACAAGAATGTTTGGGAGATTTACCAGTGGAAATATGAAATAAATGTAATGAAGTATCATCTTTTGGGCTAAAAGATTTCCTAAAGTTCCCCTCCTCTCTGGTCTTTTCTGAACAATCTAGTCCAGTATTTACTGTCAAGTTTGTTATTCTTGTATTTTCTTTTCCTTCCTTTTCTTGCTTTAGCTCTTGGTTCTCTTTATTTTTATTCTGATTTTTCAATTTTCTTTTAACTTTGCCTTTCTGTTTGTGTTCACCTGAAACTACATATTCCTTTTTGGTTTGCATATCAGAATTTGATGTTTCAGGGATGACGGAACATGAAGTAGAAATCTTTTTATTCTGAAGAGCTTCTTCATCAGAACTTTCAGTACTTGAATATAAGACCCTAGATGGCTTTTGTTTTTTACTTTTAAATGATTTAGGATAGAAGGCTTTCTCCTGTTTTGCAAATAAATGAGTTTTTTCTGCTTCAGGTTCATTTTCTTTTCGTTGTTCTTTCCTAAGAATATGCCTATCATCAATCATCTTATTAATTTCTTCATCATCATCATCTTTGAACTCATACTCATCAAGGGCAGATGGAAGAGGTGTTTTACTGGGAAGTATCTGTTTACTTTCACAGATGAGAGAGTCTTTCTCTGTTTCAGAGTCAATATTTTCATCAACACTAGAAGGATTTACAGATTGAGCCTCTTCGGAATCTAGAATAAAAAAAAGAAAATGTGGTGTGGGTCAAACAAAACACAACTGCCAGAAAAATAATTTTTTTTTCTGAGAAAAAGATATAGCTTATACAATACATATTTCAAACAATTCATAATCACTTCAGATTTATATGGAAATAATGTAATAGCAATGTGTAAGAACTCTGATAGTGTTGTAGAACAGCTTTTCTAGAGAATATGCTTTATGGTGAGGCTCCTTTTGACACTTCTAAAAGCACAGTATATGTTAAAATCACAATATATAGTATAAAAACATAGTCCTGCAGTCAACATAGAAGCGTGTATCTCTTTGATATACTGATTTCCTTTCTTTTGGGTGTATACCCAGCAGTTGGATTGCTGAATCATATGGTAGCTCTATTTGTAGTTTTTTGGAGAACCTCCAAACTGTTCTCCAAAGTGGCTGTTTCTCACCAACAGTGTACAAGGGTTCCCCTTTCTCCGCATTTATGCCAGCATTCATTATTGCCTATCTTTTGGATAAAAGCCATTTCAAATGGGGTGAGAGGAAATTAGTATACTGAAGAGATAACCTGCACTCCCATGTTTACTGCAACACTATTCACAATAGCCAAGATATGGAATCAATCTTGTGTCCATCAACAGATGAATGGATAAAGAAAATGTGGTTCATATACACAGTGGAATATTATTCAGCCATAGAAAAGAATGAAATTCTATCATTTGTCACAACATGGATGGAACTGGAGGACAGTACTTTAAGTGAAATAAGCCAGACACACTAAGACAAATATAGCACTTTCTCACTTGTATGTGGGAGCAAAAAATTAAACTCATGGAAATAGTAGAATGACAGCTATCAAAGACTGGGAAGGGTTGTGGAAATGGGGAGATGAGAGTTAATGGGTACAAAAATACAGTTAGATAGAATAAATTAGATCTAGTGTTCAGTAGCACAATAGAGCAACTATAGTTATTTATTCCCTATTTCACCATAACTAAGAGAGTAATTAGAATGCCCTTACCACAAATAAATGATAAATGCTTGAGGTAAACCAATTACCTTGGTTTTTTACACATTGTATACTTGTAGCAAAATATCACATGTACCCCACAAATTATGTACAACTATTATGTATCCATAATTGTTAAACATTTAAAAAATTAACCAAAAATACACATATTTATATATACATTTATATACATGCATTTATATATATAATTACCCAGGGGTCTCGATTAAGGGGAAACATTAGCTACTAAAATGTTATGTAAATTCTGCACATATGCACTTTTTTTAGGAGAGAGAATATTTAACTCGAATAAGATCCTTTAATCCAAAACTGACTAAAAAACACTAACTTAAAGGATTTAATTATATAAACATCACAAATTATGTGTTTCAGAATATTTTTTGTATTTTTGGTAGAAACGGAGTTTCACAAATTGCCCAGGCTGGTCTTGAACACCTGAGCTCAAGTGATCCACTCACCTTGGCCTCCCAAAGTGCTGGGAATACAGGCACGAGCCACTGTACCCAGCACCCAGCCCTGTAAATTATCTTAAGGGAGTTAAACATAAACTGAGAGATCCATGGTTTGTCATTTGTGATCCTGATTCATCAATTTGAAGCAATGCATTCCAATTCAGATATGCCTTTTTTTCTAATGGTTCTTTTAAAAGATGCCTACTTTTTTAAAAGGAAAGAATGTAAATTCTAACATAAATAAGTTATCCTGACACTAATGTCCATGATGAAAGTGGAGAAATTTCTACAGGTGAATGACCCTCACCCTGGCTCTGGAACCTGGGCCACACATGCTCATCAGACTCATCTCTCTGCACGCTGGTTTCTCAGTGCCATCTGCAGTGACCCTGTGTTGCTCAACCAGAGGCTGGCCAGCCTGTGGGCCTCAGCAAAGACCACTACACCTCCATGATGCCATTTCACTTGCAGACCACTTCCCTTTCTTTACCTGAGCAGTCCCCAATTTTTAAATTTAATCACTCAAGAACATAGATCAACCTGATCCTGAGCTCTAGTGAGGCAGTAACTCTTCAAAAAATGTTTGTTCTGCCTTTCTTAGTAGATGACTGCTATGGTGAGAAAATCACCTAAAATCTGCAAATCCTCAAGTTCCCTTAAGTAAAAAATGGCCATGTTTATCGTTATACTAGTTGTTTTCTATTTTTCCAATTTTTAAAGTCTCTGCTATCTATAACTAAATTTAAACTTGTATTTAATAAAACATTTTATACAATTATTTCTAACAAAACGCTCTTTAAAAATTTTTAATGTTGATCATCTCAATTTATTCTCAACAGTTTATTCTTATTTGGGAAACCAGGAAGGAAAGTGAGAAATAGGTTAAGCAACTGTTAAAACATTTTATTAAAATTTTTATTAAGGCATTTTTCTTTTTTCTTTTTTTTGAGATGGAGTCTCGCTCCGTCGCCCAGGTGGAGTGCAGTGGCGTGATCGTGGCTCACTGCAACCTCCATCTCCTGGGTTCAAGCAGTTCTCCTGTCTCAGCCTCCCAAGTAGCTGGGACTACAGGCGCCTGCCACCACGCATGTCTAATTTTTGTATCTTCAGTAGAGACAGGGTTTCACCATGTTGGTCAGACTGGTCTCGAACTCCCGACCTCAGGTGATCCACCCACCTTGGCTTCCCAAAGTGCTGGGATTACAGGTGTGAGCCACCATGCCCAGCCAGCATTTTTCTTCTCCGTGAAAAAAAATTAAGCTCCATCTTATTATTTAAATGCATTTAAATACATTTGAAAGTTCTTGCACATCTCAAGGCGACTTCAGATATTTGCAACTAAGACTGTAACATTTAAAGCATGGTGAAAATGTATTTGAATTCTCTATTATCCTTAGGCTTAACTGTTCCCCTGAACCATCAATGTCCATCTTTTCTTGTATGGTATCCAAATGGAACAGCAACCAAATGAAGCAGATGTGGCTGATGCGGGGAGATAACAGTATATAGTGGAAATCCCTCCCTCAAAATCTCTTAAAAAATAATAGGCAGAGAGGTGTTGACACATGACATCTATTCTCATGTTGACATTTGACAAAGTAATTACATTTCACATGCCTAATGAGATGATTTTAAAACATCTGAATTGTACTAAATATATATTTTTAGAAAATATATTACTGTCACATATATTTCAGGAGTAGGTGATAATGATACAAAACTAAATATACCATAACTAAAAAAGAAACAAAAAACAAAAAACTTCTAGTCAACTAACCTGGATATTCCTGGACTCCTTACAACTACCTCAAAAACAAGACTAAAAACATTCAACTCATTACTTTTCCTTCCACAACTGCTTCCTCTTACTGCTTAAAGTCAGTATTCCTCACCTCCGTGGCATACCAACCAATCCAGCTATTCAAATTTTAAAATCTCAGAGCCATTTCAAACTCTCTCAATTCCTCAACTTCGAAATTCAGCCATTCAGAGTTTTGATTTCTGGAGTCTCTTGTTTTTTTGAGAGACAGGGTCTTGTTCTGTTGCCCAGGCTGGAATGCAGTGGTACAATCATAGCTCACTGCAGCCTCCTACCTGGGCTCAAACGATCTTTCTGCCTCAACCTCCCCAGTAGCTAGAACTACGGGTGTGCGCCACCATACCCGACTAGTTTCTTCTTTTTTTGTGGAGATGAGGACTCACTATGTTGCCCAGGGTGGTCTCGAATTCCTGGCCTCAAGTAATCCTCCCACCTCAGCCTCCCAAAGTGCTGGGAATACAGGTGTGAGCCACTGTGCCCAGCCTGGACTCTCTCTTAAATCCGTTTTCTCTCTATTCCCACTACTACTGTCTCAGCTCAGGGTCTCATCATTCCTTGGCTAGATCACCTTAAACAACGTGACCAGCACTATCTATCATATCTCTTCTCACCTGAGGGCTCCCCACTGTAGGATAACATAAAAACTCCAACAATGATAAAGAACTCTCAAAATCTGGACCATCATCTCCACTATTACCACCATTTTCTTTTAAGGCTAGTCAAGTGAAGTAGTGGGAATGGAACAGCAACAAAGACACCTGTAACTAGTTGTAATCAATTAGTTGTAAAGACCAATGGACTCAGAACAGCCACTACCACTATTTATTAAGCCCTATTATTAGCTGAGCAAATAATATTTGGTCTTTACAACAGGTGTTATTATCCCCATTTAAGAGACAAACTGAGCTACTAAGCAGTTTTTCCAAGGCCATCTACTAAGAGATGCAGCCCAGAGTATTTCTGTCTGATTTCACAGTGTGTTATACCATGACTCCCCTCTTTCATTGCTTCTTGCTACACACATTAGCCATAATAGTGGAGTACTTCCTCTTCCCCAAAATTCCATGCATATTTATATGGGTTCTAATCAGCTTCTCTTTATTATTTTCCAACTTTTTAGGAGATATTTCAGATTAATGGTCAGGGAGAGGAGCAGTTCAGGAATTTATACCTATGTTAGTCCAAGTGCAATGGTGTTTACAACTAATTGATCACACCCAGTTACAGATTTATTCTTTTCCTACTCTCACTGCTTCATTTAACTAGCCTTTTAAAAAAATGTATATATAGGAAGGGATTAGGGTAGTAATCTGTTGTGGGAAGGAAGACGGGAAGTAGACTTGTCTTGAGAGTGTATTTGCATTGGAATTTACTTATGTTTATTTGAAGTGGTTTGGAAGGAGGTAAAGTTAACCTCCCAATCACTCCTTGGGAACATCACTGGTTTAGAATCATTTCAAAGGTGTGTATTTTTACCACAATATCCCCAATGCATTCTGTGTATTCTAGATGAGTAAGTGCTTAAACACACACATTATTTAGCTTTCTGTAAACTTATCAAAGCATCACTTTATTAAGAGCACCATTTATAGCACCCAGGGAATGAGAAACTTTTATATGTTATATTATGTTCGGTGAAGGATGAGAGGGGTGAGAGTGTGGTTACTGAGGGAAAAGAAGACCCATTTATGGAATTTGGAAGTCTTCTGTAAGGAAGGTAACATCATTATGGTGGCTGTAAATTTCTCCTTTTGTTTTCCACATTATTCAGAAGTTACTTCCAACATAAGCCTGTGATCTACACAGAGGACTTTCGTAATGTCTAGCACATAGTAAGTGCTTAATGTTAAATTTATAATGAGTTTTAGAACTGTATTAAGATATCAAGAAATTAAGTGGGGGTGCTTATGGTGGGATAAGAGAGAAGTGTAGAAAGAGATACAAACATGAAATACAAATATATTCACTATATAATTTTGTGTAGTACCCAGATGGCAACTATCGTCTGGATAATTCATTGATGTTTCCTCTAAACTCAGCAATCTGAAGAGGTGCCAAACATTTCATCCATATGCCATGACTTCCCATACTAACTGCCATGCGGAGCACAGATATGCTATTTGATTTGCTTCCCATGCCATCCATAGCTATCATATAGCTTGCGCTTTCACACACGCACTGACTTGCCTGTCTTCCTACACTGAGCTCCTGGTTTTCTCAGCTGTTGAACATTTTTGCCAAACAAAATTTCTTATTTTATACAATGGAACCATGTTTATATAGTGGTGTTTGTATAATTATTTATATATGTACTTTATGAATATAAAATAACTGCAAACACAAGTAATAATACAATTAAGATAAAGGAGGAAATTAGGTAAAATGAATCTTTAGCCTCCTTCAGAAGCTCACTGAAAGACTGTTCAATTGTGAAGCAGAGGAAAATTAAAGAACGTATATGAAATACTTATTTCACTTAGATTGAGACACAGAGTCACTAAGTCTGTCAACATTTTGAGAAACAGCAATGAAAAATAAGGTTTTAAAATTATGGGCAAAATTGTTATGTAAATGATTTTAATAATTGTACAGCAAGTTTATGTCAATACTGAGTGCCACAAATGTTTCAAAAGAAGTCCGATGTTCATGTCAGTCTTGACAAAAATTAAGAAAATTGATCAGAACCATTAAAATTACGATCTCCTATTAAACCCCAGCAAAATCCCCACAAGCAAGTTCTTCTTCCCAACATTCAAATCACTACAGGTAAACTGTAAAAATTTGAAATAAGGTAAGAAAACACTTGAAAAAATGTGCTTTAAAAGAAACTATGGGTTGGGCACGGTGGCTCATGCCTGTAATCCCAGCACTTTGGGAGGCCGACGTGGGCTCATCACCTGAGGTCAGAAGTTCCGAGACCAGCCTGGCCAATGTGGTGAAACGCTGTCTCTACTAAAAACACAAAAATTAGGCAGGCGAGGTGGGGGGCGCCTGTAATCCCAGCTACTTGGGTGGCTAAGGCAGGAGAATCGCTTGAACCTGGGAGGTGGAAGTTGCACCATTGCACTCCAGCCTGGGCAACAAGAATGAAACTCCATCTCAAGAAAACAAAACAAAACAAAACAAAACAAAACAAAAAAACCCCAAAACTATGGAGATGCAATACTCAAAATCCAGACTCTGGGAAAATTTATCAGGGAGATTTATCAGGTTATTTCAACAGAAAATTCCAAGAACATAGGAAAGAAAGGAGGGGGAATATCTATAGATTAAAAGATACTAAGATATATTAACCAATAAAGATTTTTAAAACACATATTTTACGAGGCAATTAGAACTAGAAATTTTAAGATGATAAAAATTAATTAGCCTAAATATGATAATATTGTAGTACACTTAATCACAATTAGAAGCAGCCCTATAATTTAAAAAAATTTTTTTTTAGATAGGGTCTCCGTCCATTGCCCAGGCTGGAGTGCAGTGGCACGATCGCAGCTCACTGTAACCTTGAGCTCCTGGGCTCATGCGATCCTCCTGCCTCAGCCTCTCAAGTAGCTAGGACTACAGGTACACACCACCACATCCAGGCCATTTTTTTTTTTTTTTTGGTAGAGATGAGGTTGGCTGTTGCCCAGGTTAGTCTCAAACTCGAGGCCTCAAGCGATCCTCCTGCCTCTGCCTACTAAAGTGTTGGGATTACAGGCATGAGCCCAAAGATTTTAAATTAGTTAATAGTAGGCTCTATGGCAAAACAAACAAACAAACAAACAAACAAAATCATTATTTCATTTTCAGCATCCTTTTTGCCCAACAGAAAGTGTAACAGTCAAACATAATGAAGAACTGTCTTGGCACACTTCAAAATAGGTGTAATTAAATCAAATAAATGTATACAAAATTCATATTCCAGTTACATGCTAACAGCAGGATCATCTGACTCTGAACTTCCTATACTCAGTAACAATCAGCCTGGTGTAGTGCAAAGTCACATCGGTTCTGGCATTAGCCCTAGGTTCAAATCTCTGCTCTGCCATGTAAAAGATCAGTAATCTAGTATTAGGAATTAATACTCACAGGACTGTTTTAAGGATTAACTAATTTATGTAAAGTGCCTGACATATACCTGGCACATATACCATGCATGTGATAAATAGTAACTCACTGCCTACAAAAAAGAGACGAATGTATCATGTAAATTAAAAACTTATAAATAACATACTTTTGACATCAAATACTGCCAAATTCAATAAAGCACATACGTCAATTTTAAAAGGCCAAAGTCTAATCCCTTATTTGTTTAACATTGTACTATAAGATTGAAGACAAAAAGATTCAAGCTTGCTCCGGGCACTTATTTCACTTATTACAGGGCTACAATGGAAGTATGTGGTCCTTTAGAATAAGGGCAGTGGAAACCATCAGTCTTTCAAATAAATAATGGAAATATATAGATATAAACTTTTCATGGGCAGGGAAGGAGAGGTGCAGGGAGGCGTGAGGGCAAAGAAGAAGTAGAGTGAAACACGATACTTATTTTCTTGTATCTAATATTTCATGTATTAGTGTTTGGTGGAATTTATACTTTTATTATAAAAGTACTAGTCATAATTGACAGTTATTTGTGTAAAATATTTTCTAGCACTCCTTAGAAGGGAAAGGAAATGGAGTGGAGATAGTAAACAGGGGAGGGATACAATAATATCAACTTTGTTGCATTTGCTAACTACAATTTGATGCCAGTATATAATTTTTAAAAGTTTCTATAGCTAAGTAGAGAACTTTTCACTGAAAATAAGCATTAGTAAAAGGTTAAAATGAGTACTGTACTTATGCAATTCTATAAATTGTCTCATTCATCTATGTCCATCTTACATGTCTAGAATACCACTATGTAATGCTAATAATACATCTGTCATGACCATAAAGCTAGTAAGTGGCAGAGTTACATCTTCAAATCCAAGTTTCTCTGACTCCAAAATTGGTACAACCATCATGCTATGTTACTTCCTAGTATATAAAAGACACCAAATATATACTGTATAAACATCCAATAAAATGATGCCATACTTTGTGACCTTTCCGTAAGTATCTGAATATCTTCTACTTCTATCTTTATTTCATGATTGAGTATATTGACAAAACAACCCTGCCACAAAAATCTAGGCTCTAGAACAAAGTATTATTTTAAATGAGATTTACTAGTATTGATTTACATAAGTGTTTATGAGTTTTAAATTAAGAAAACAAAATGCTATGAAACATACTCACCTGAGATTAAAATTGAATTTCAAATGTGATTTGTGTTTGTCTATTCTTTACCTGATTCTGAGATATTCACGACTCAGACATAAATATCTTGATTTACCTATAAACTATTAATATAGTTTATAAAGAAAAAAGTCATGCCTTGACCTTAAACAATTACAAACTAGTGATTATAAACTGGTCTTTTTATTTTTTTGAGACAGGGTCTAGCTCTGTAGCCCCAGCTGGAGAGTGGTGGTATGATCACAGTGTTCACAGCTCACTGTAGCCTCAACCTCCTGGGCTCAAGTGATTCTCCCACCTCAGCTCCCTAAGTAGCTGGTACTACACGCGTGCCCCACCAAGCTTGGCTAATTTTTTTTTTTTTTTGTAGAAATGGGGTTTTGCCATGTTGCCCAGGCTGCTCTCGAACTCCTGGGCTCAAGTAATCTGCCTGCTTTGGCCTCCCAAAGGGCTGGGATTCCAGGTGTGAGCCACCACATCTGGCCAGGTATTCTTTCAACGGTAGAATTATTACTAAGAAAAAACTATCTTTACATTGGGAATGGTATTTGTTTATATGGCTTTTTTTATTCAGATGGGCTAAGTGCATAAAAAAGTCCTAAGCTATATTTTAGTGATATTTTATTTTAAAATAACATTTATTGTGCTTCTGTTATAAAACTTCATGGTAGAAAGTCACAAAAACAGAGAGATGGGTAAAAGAAAAGAATAAACGCTACCTATAAAATAATCCCACCACCCAGGAGAAACATTTTTAATAGCTTAAAGTATTACGCTTGATTTTATCTGACTTAATTAACTTGGAAATAATAAAGAGAACTTTGAAACCTTAGGCTTGTCCTCTTGGCCCTTTTAAATGACCTGATCTACTACTGTCATTTCAGAAAGCATGCTTATACTCCATGGAAAGTCCAAAATCATGCTATTATTTTAGCCTGCGTCATACTTACTGGAATTTTTGTCTCTGTTCTTGTTCATCAGCACAAAATGCCATCATATCCTCAACAGCATGACACAATGAACTCTCAGAATCGAAATCATACGAGTACTAGGAACTACTCTTTTCTTGGTAACACTCTTCACAAAGTTCTCTGAAATTTTGTTCTAAAGTATGTCAATTGCTTGTTGCTGTCATTCTGGATTTTTTTTAATCAAAATCTTGAGTTAGAGCTGGGCACAGTAGCACACATCTATAGTCCCAGCTACTCAGGAAGCTTCAACAGGAAGATCTCTTGAGCCCATCAGTTCAAGACCAGCCTGGGCAATATAGCAAGACCTCATCTCAAAAAAAAGAGTTAAGTCTCCATGTTGTTTAGTTTTATATTTTGTGTCACTAAAAAGCAATATATTTGAATAATTTTCCAGAAAAAGAATAGAAAGTATATCCAAGGATGTTTTTAGCCTTTTTACCTGATTGATGGTTGGCTGATGATAGCATTCTAGGTTTAAAATAATTCCCTTTGATCTAAAAGTAAGTCTTTCTTCAGTTAAGAGACACTTTCATTCATTCATTTTTTTGAGACGGAATTTCGCTCTTGTTGTCCAGGTTGGAGCGCAGTGGTGCGACCTCGGCTCACTGTAACCTCCGCCTCCCAGGTTCCAGTGATTCTCCTGCCTCAGCCTCCCAAGTAGCTGAGATTATAGTAGCCTGGCCAATTTTTCTTTGTATTTATTAGTAGAGACGGAAACCGGTTTCACCATGTTTGTCAGGCTGGTCTTGAACTCCTGACCTCAGGTGATCCACCCTCCTCAGCCTCCCCAAAGTGCTGGGATTACAGGCGTGGGCCACCGCACCCATCTCAAGACACTTTCTTCAATTTAAAAAACTATTTTCCTAACATTTGCATTTTGTAAGATAATGTATGTTTTGTCCATTTTTTAAAAACCATTTTCCTCATATTTCCAACATCTTTGTTTTCCACATTCTTCATATGTCATCAAATTAGATCTTCAGCAATGTCTAGTCTATTCTTTAGTCCTTGACAGAATATTTACTTTAGTAATCATATATTATCTTGAATTCCAAGGACTTTCTTGGTCTCTGATTACCCTCTTTCACTGCAGCTTTTTGTTATGGTTGGTGGATCCACTGCCCTGTGTAACCTCCAAGGATACTAGGAACTTACCCTGCTGCTTCCTACATTATTTATGTTTGAGGATCAACCGTTGTGTTTGTTCATGCTGTCCCTTCTTATCTGTCATTCACTTGATTTTCCTCAAATCTCTGGATTTCTTTTCATATTGATACAGGGGAAAACTCATTTTTCAGCAGTTTTGTGGAGAGTCTCCTCTGAGTGAGAGGCTTGTTAGTAGTGATCTCAGCTGAGGCTGGTTCCCTGAACCAGCTGACTCTGAATTTCAGAGATTCTCTGGGGCATCATTGGGAGGAACATTTCACATCTGCAGCAGGACTCTATGTCTCCTATTGAGTGGCTCCTTTGTTACACAAACAGCCCACTAACTAAAACTAATGTATTCAAGAATTATGTACATGTAACTGTTATTTATGTTGCCTAAACAAGTAACAGAAAAATGCACCTGCACTTTGGGAAACAAGTCTTTACAGCTTTCACATCCCCAAACTGATTGAGCAAGGTAGTTTAGAAACAGGAAAATAAAATATGAGGTAATTTTACAGAGTCTCTTCTAAATTTCCATTTCTAAATTTCAATTTTCTAAAGCAAAGGTTATGAATTTTAATTCTACTTTACAAAAGAAGTCATACACATCTGTTCAGAGGTAAGTATGCCAGATAAGAACTTATTTTCATTGTATTACTATAGTATTACATATTGGTAAGAGATTACAGTTAAGACTTTAAGTGTGAGATGGGAAGGAAGAGAATATAATCAATAGCTGAAAATATCTTAAGTCTAAAAGCAAAATCTACATACAAAATAAAATCAAGTACCACATCACTCTGTACTCCCCTCAATCATACGTCTTTCTACTAAATTATCAGTAAAACAGAATTTGATTCTATAATCAATCAAGAATTTTTCCTCTGAAAATAAGACTTGTATCACTACAAAAATTTTGATGTCGCTAAAGGAAACTGACAAAATTACCCAGTCTCGGCTATTCCATCATAAATATATACATTACATGGAGGTCCTTTTAACCCATGGCTAGATAAAACATTTTTCTGCAGACAGGATGAGATAGCTAAAGCTGAACTCATTTTTTTTTGTATGCATATATAATATTTTTAAGCCAAAGGTCATTTTTTGGTGTTCTGCCCAAATGTACCCTTTATGGAGAGTTTTAGTCTTAAATATTCAGCAACATCTCACTACTATAATTATGTGACAGACTCACTTTAAGTTGCTAGGCACTGGTAGAAATTCAGTTTCTAAGGAAAACACATCAAGTTAATATTTTAAACAAAAAACCTATTAGCTTTGGTATTTGCAATAAATAACTACATTTTTTGGGCAAATACATTTGAAATTTGTCTACATTTATATGAACTTCAAAGAAAGATACTTAATAGTCTTGTGTACCCTAAAGTTTAAAGACTTACATTAATTTGCAGCCATCCAGAAAACACTGCAGCTGCAAGCAGAATTTGCCATTTATTTTTCTGATATGTGTGTGTGTGTGTATATATATACATATGTGCAAGTCAAAGATATTTTGACTTATAGACACTGCTAAAAGTGATTTCTTACAGTGTATGTTAATTTAGGTATTCGCAATTTCTTTCCTTTTTTCCTCTAGGTAACATTGACATGTATTTTTCTTTTGAAAAAAAAAAAAAACTACCTGGAATTTAAAACTCTTGGGCTTTGGAGCTAGGCTGATATAATTAATTTACATCTGTATGTGTTCTGTTTGCTTAAGACAGAGGTAGAAGCAAGTTGGTGATATATACATTTAAAAAGTTTAAAAAACTAAGATTCAGAAATCTGTGTGTAAAGCACACCACATACGTTAGAAAGCAGAGGAGGAAAACTAAAGCATGCAAAACACTTGAAGTGTTCATTAAAGAATACCTCATTGCCTACCATGCTGTATGCTCAGCCCTCTGCACATAACAGATACCTAAGTGCCTATTTAATTTTTCTAAGCACTCACATCACAGGGATATGTGACAAAGGTGCTGAACACCAAACTTGATGCTTGCTGCTATTCAACAACCTCAGAAATAGGCTTAATCAAGGAGGTAGCTAATAGTCCTGCTTAAATAAAACAAGGTTCTTGGTTTACTAATGGATTGCAATTTTTTTGTACGAGACTTGAACTATTATCTAATAAATACACTGGAAGCTACTAAGACGTCATTTAAAAAGGACAAAAATAAAATACTATTTACATTTTAACTACATGTTAAATGAAAAATCTTTTATTATAGGTATACTCATATGCAAACTACTCTATAAAATGCTCTATCAAGTCTAGATTCCCGATCATCAAATTTGTTGATATATATATTTGGACATACTAAAAACACCCGATGTAACCTCTTCTTGTAGTCTTTATGCTTCTAGGTTAAAAAAATTTACTTTAAAACTTCCTAAGCTAATGCTTCTCCCTACTTATGGTGAACTGTTAACATCACATAATCCATTTGATAAAAAATTCTGGTACATTTTGACTTAAATAATTTTTTTTGGATCTCTTATTAACTATTAGAACTCCATTGTAAGTAAGTACCAACAGTTGTATTTTCATAGTTCCTGAAATATAAAACTGAGGAAATAAGTTGTACAAATTATGACAATATATTTATAATAGTACAATTTACTGTTATAACACTGAGAAAAGTAGGCTTCAAAGTCCTGGTCATTTTGTTTATTTTATGACACAGAAACGCACTCAGTAAACCAGTGGGTAACAACATACTACTGTAATTTCAAGTCTCCTAATCTGTCTTCAGTGAGCTCTAGAAGTAGCTTGCCTATTTATTAATGGAGCATTTTTCTTGATTAAGTTGAAGTATGCAAGTGAGGAGCATTTATAGGAGCCACTTAATAAAGCCAGTTTACTGACAAGGTAAGGTAGAAAATGGTGAATAGCTCTTTTGACAATGACTGGCATTTTAAACTTTGCTCATTAGACATTCTAAGTAATAAAACCAGTGTCTGGCAAAGTTGTTAACAAAACCTCTACTTTGGCAATTAATGAGTGTCAGTAAGTATGCGGGAGGGGTGTTATGTGACAAGTTACCCACTTCTCCATTTCCACGATTATGGTTTATGAGCAAGATCTGGTTTTCTGAATATGACTGAGTTCTCGCACCGTAGCAAGAAGCAATCATTTGAAGCAAACACTATTGCTGGACAGAATTTCTATAGAGGAAGGTAACATGGACTTAGACTAATGGAAAAAGGCAGAAGTTAGGGGAAAAAAGACTAAAGAATTATGCAAATTTAAAAGTGCCAAACATTTATACACAAATAAGCTGTATTAATCAGGACATGTATTCCTGCAACAATATCATAAATGTCTGATACACATGACATAAAACTGCTACTCAAAGTGTGGTCCATAAAGACAGGCAAACCTGCAAATTGTTTATTACTAAACCATCATAAAATAAAGAGCTGGTACCAAACATGGAAATCAATTACATCACAAAGCACACTACTTATTTTAGTGGACATTTTTTTCCATAATATTTTTTCCTTTCTGATTAAGGAAGCAATGTACTGACAGACATTCTGGCACAAGCTCCTTATCTTGAGGGCTGGTAACAAACAGTTAATGGAAAGGCTACTCTGAGTAGCACTGGCATAAAGCACAATGACTAATGAATAAACCACATTTAGAATGCTACGTACATGATACCCTCTTAGTTACTCCAAATTTATTAAGTTCTGAAATTAATAATCTTGGTTATTCTTTAACTTTCAACACTTAAAGTGTATCTGTCACATAGATGATGTGCTATATTATTAGATAATGCTATCTGGCTTCATATATACAAACATCTATGGGCAGTTACATGATTATATATTAGTATGTTCTGAATTTAGATTGGATGAAGTTTGGTACAGTTAAATCTAACAAGGACCTCATGTAAATTAAGTAATAAATTTTGGGTATTTTCATCAGTCTTTTTCAGCAACTCCAAAATCTTTATATGATACTTACTGATGATTTTTGTATCATTCCTTGAGGGACTTTGACCAAGCAATAATTCAGGCACATTCACCATGTGGAAAATAAATATTCTGAAAAATCAATACATAGCTGATGAACACATGAAACAATCAAGATCAGTGAAAATCAAAAAGGTTCTAGAAGGTGTGTTCTGCACTAATTAAACATGTAAGTTGAAATAAAATACCTCCCTTCTTCCGTGGGAAAATTTGTTGCAGCACTTCTTTCTAAAAGCAAGTTTATAACAAAGCTGCTTTTCATAGCTACAATTTTCAGAAGCGACAGCAATTAAAAGAATTAGTAGCGATTTTTGAGATTTCTTAATATCCAGAGGGCAGCCAAATATGTAATATTTAGAATAGCATAACAGTTAACATATCATATAAACAATTTTTACCTTTAAAATCTTATTTTCTTTCCTTTGAGACAGGGTCTCACTCTGTTGTCCAGGTTGGAGTACAGTGGTGCAAACACAGCTCATGGCAGCCTCGACCTCCCAGGCTCAAGTGAACCTCCTACCTCAGCCCCATCCCGAATAGCTGGGACTCCTGGTGCGTGCCACCATGCCCTGCTAATTTTTGTATTTTCTGTAAAGATGGGGTTTCACCATGTTGCCTGGGATGGTCTTGAACTCCTGGACTCAGGTGATTCACCCGTCTCGGCCTCCCAAAGTGCTGGGATTACAGGCGTGAGCCACTGCACCCAGCCTTAAAATATTACTCTCTTTCTCACCGAAGTTAATGCAATTTCAGCTATTATGATCTTTATTCCAGTTTAGACTGGACAAAAACGTTCAAAGGACTCTCAGTTTAGCTGGAAGATGGACTTACAAAAATTTTGAAAGCTGAAATTGACAGGAGTCAATTATGTTTTATGTTTTCTCCATTTTCTTAATCAGCTGTATCCTCAGTACCTAAGCAATGCCTAACCTATAATGAGTGCTCAAAAACAGCTGTTGAATAATTGAAAGAAGGAAAAGGAAGAAGAGGAGTTTAGATGACTCTCGAGTGTATGACTTATATGTGCAGATGAATGATGTTACACTAATTAAGATAGAACACGAAGAGGAGTGTAATGGTGGGGGTATGCTGATTTTTGAGATTTTGCTGAGGAAATCCAGGTGGAAATATTCAGAGAACAGCCAAATATGTAAGTTTGAAGCTTAAGAGAAATGTCTGAGATAGATGTATTTTAAAATCATTACATAAATGGTAGTAAAAACTCTAAGTGTGGGTGAAATTTACTTGAGAGAGTATGCAGCATGAGAAGAGGGTCCAGAAAGTAAAAATCTTGAGAAAACCAACACAGGGGTGTTTATGGAAAGGAAATGAGGAAGTTACGAAGACAAGAATCTAGGAGGAAATTGAGAAGGAAGAGTCTGGGGAGCTGGACGAAAGCCAAGGAGAACTTTGTCCCAAGAACCAAGGCAAGAGAATTTTAGGAAGAATATGGTCAACAGTGTCAAATTCTATGGAGAATTTCAAAGGATAAGGACTGAAATACCACTGAGGGGTCTGGCAGTGACAGCATGTGCAATCTTAGTAAAACTAGGTTCCATGGAGGAGTCAGTCTACAATGTACCTTAAGAAGCTTAGTTGTGAAGGGAAGGGCATAAATGATTAAATAAACGGGGATGCAGGGCAGGAGAAGATTTTGTTGAGTCTTGTAAATATATGTGTAAAAAAATTATCAATGATTGTGTCCGACTGTACTTTGACCTTTCCATCCATCCAAATCATCATCTCCTCTGCCACTAGCTACCTAAGACACGTCTCCTTAATGGCCTGGTATACATCCTTCCAGATTTCGCTCCATGCTAATAAAATTTTACACAAACATGTACGTAAACATACATACAGATTTTAAAAACACTGTTCATTTTACAAAAATGAGATATAACTATTCTTGATTTTTTGAACTCAACAATACCTTATAAAAATGTCTTCAAGTAACCCTACAACTCCAGGCACAGCACTGACATGCTTTTCCATGGCTGTGCAATAGTTTATGGTGAGGCTATACATTGATTTAATCAACCAATCCCCTAGTGATGGCTATATTTTTTGCCCCTAAAAAGAATGTTATAATAAACATAGGATACTCCCACAAGTTTGACTGCTAGATCATGAAGCATGAGTATTTTTAAGAGCATTTTTGTGATGGTAAATTTTGTACTTACACACAAGTGGACAGAATGTTATAGAGACAATTTGTCTCAGCTCCAGTGACCATCAATCTTTGACCAATTCACACCTCCATTCACCCCATCCATGTATCATTTTGAAGATCTTGTTCATATCCTATCATTTCATTGATAGATATTTCAAGTATGTATCTCTAGGACTCTTGAGTTTTGTTAGCTGTTGCTAGACTGTTTTTCAAAAAGATGGTAAAATTTGCATAACCTCCCTTTTTAACCCTTTCCTTATTAGGTAACCACTTCATAAGTTGTTGGTTTATTCTCCCACTATTTCTTTTTTTAAAATGTGTAAGAAAATATATGTATTTATATGCTTTTAAAATCTTTAAATGTTTGCAATTATCCTTTTACCCTGACAGGTGAGTAGTATCTCAGCCAGGTACAGGATTCTTATGTTGCAGTTCTTTTCTCTCAGTAGTCTATCTTCCAGTATTGCAAATCTGAAGTCCAGTGCCAACCTGACAGTATTTCTTTGCCCATAACTTGTCACTTCATAGCTAAAGAATCTGGCCAATGTATGTCAAGGGGTATATATGTGTGTTTTCATCAAATCAATCTGAAGCTCAGTGAACTTCAAAACTGATAGGCTTTTTCGGCTCAGAAAAATTTTCTTCTATTATTTGCATAAATATTATCTATCTTCCATCTGTTTTTCTCCTTTTTAAATTCCTATAAATAACTATTATACACGTTAGTTCTGTTACGTCTCCTGGATCTATTCCTTAGGTCTTTTACCTTTTCTTTCATGATTCTCTTTGAATTTTTGCTCTATGTTTTGGAGATTTATCTTATTTTTCCAGTCTAATAATTGAAGTCTCCAGTTGAATAATTTAAGTCTCCACAGTGACTATCCCCCACTTCATCAACTGAGTTTTAAGCTCAGAAAAGTATTTTTATGCTGTACTTGAATTTTCTTAAGTGCCCATTTTTTGTTGTTGTTGAAGCTGTTTCCTCTAATAGTTTCACTTAGGTGGGTTAACATTCTGTTTGTTTAAATTTATCATTCTCTCACTTTTCTAGGCAATCCTGGAGGGTTGGTAAGCTCACTTATTTTTATTGGATAGTGAAGAGGTGAAAATAGATACTAAAAGCAAAGTTGCCACCTTCACAATTTTTTCTATAGTTTTAGCTCCATTCGTTATTTCCTTCAAATATCGATGTCAATCCTTTACCATTGTTATATTTTTCTTCTTCATTCCCCACTTTCCCTGTCTCCTCTTCCTAAGTTAGTTCCACTTTTGGATGGGTGATAGTTTAGTTGAAGCCGTGATTGTTTCCTAAGTTAAACAAAAGAACTATCACTATTGCTGGTCCCTTCTCAAAAGCATAGAAAACATATAAGGCTTTTCCCTTAACATATAATCTTAAAAATTTCTTAGTACTAAAAAAAAAAAAAAGTCCCTCAATATCTAGATATTATATATGCCATTTATCTTACCTGAGTTTTCTATAAGATTTTCCCAGAGAAGAATAAATCAACTATTAAACACATATTTCTCAGTCTTGCCCATTAAAGTCTGATGAGCCTTTTAAATCATTTTTATTTTTTTCTACATGGTCTTCTTCTGTTTCTTTTCCACACAAAATATCTGTTAAAGAACCAAGGCTGTTTGGCTTTCTCACAATCTGGAATTTGCTGATTGCATACACTTGGTATAGTTCAACTTGCTCCGCTGAGCTTGGCATTTCCTGCAAATTGGTAGCTGGATCCTGAGGATGAAGAGACTAAGGTTTGATCCCTTTGATAAGGCCATAGCAGGAGTACAGTATATTCTTTCATCAGGTGTGCAAGTATATAGTATATTCTTTTTCTCTTTATGTGGTGTTAGCAACTGTTGATATTCAATGCTTAGAGATATATTAACTATGGCAAAATAGTAATATTTTAACTTTTTTTCTTTTTAGCTGGATTAATATTATAAAGATACTTCTCTTTACCTATGATGAAATTATCCAGTGACAGAGTTCATATAACGAAGGCAAGATAAATGATTTTTCTTCCTATTCAATTTTTGTTTTTGTTAACAGGCATGATCTTTCTATGTTGCCCAGGCTGGCCTCAAGGGATCTTCCCACCTCAGCCTTCTAAGTAACTAAGACATCAGGTATGCATCATTATGCCTAGCTATTGGCCTATTTTTTAAGATGACAAACTGGCTCTCTATCATCCTCTTATGATGATGAATTAATTTTTTAACTTATCATAAAGAATTAAACAAGATGGCAGACTATAGAGATATCAGACACCCACCCTCTCCAGAGTGAGCCAAAATTGCAAATAGGTAATCATACCTTGAATAGGGTATCTAGGAAGAGAACATTAAAGTCCAACAGAGAAGTCACAGGAAACTCTTGAGGCAGAGAAGGGGAAGGAACCAAGCAGCCTACTTGTCTGAGATCTGCTGGCAGCTGTGAGGGGCTCAATATTGGGCCAGGGGAAAGAGTAAGTGAGAACTTTAGTAGTCCACAACCCCATCACAAACTGCTGCAATCTGAACTACAAGAGAGCTCCTCTACCCATACCAACCCTGAAACTAGTGTGGGCAGCGATTTGGAGACCCTGCACAAGCATTGCACCAGACAGGGAACTTGCACTGGGTCACTATCCCCTTTCCCCGCCTCTGGTACCTAAGCGGCTGGAACTGGGCACCACCACGACAGCCCAGCTGTCAGGAGACTTCATCCTGCCCTGGGAACCATAGCCCCCATATCTCCACATCCCAGGAGCTTCCACTGACATTCCCCCAGTCTCCACCCAGAGGACTATAGTGGCACAGTGTTGGCTGGACCCAAAGGTGCTATGGGGTTTCTGGTACTCTAACTCAAGAGAGTATTCTCCAGGGAAATAATGGTGCACTGTACCAAAAACGAAGCCCCTGGGACAAAGGAAACTAAAGCAACAGCTTTCTAGAGCCCAGAGCTCCCTGCATACAGCTGTGAAAAGTGACCCCACCACCAGCAGCACAAACTGTGTGCTCAGCCTTGTGAGAGAGAGATCCCCCGTCGCCCCGCCACTGGTGGAGCAGCTTCTGTGCCTGGGCTCACATGTAGAGTGGGATCCCTTCTGCCGCTCCAAACACCATTGCAGGCACAGCTGTTGCTGCTACCACGGGAGGCTGGGGTGAGCGAAACAGAGAGCTGCCTGTCTAGGCCTGTGAGTGGTGACTGTGCCCCTACTGGTGGCATGGCCTTTGTGCTGGGGCCTGTGTACGAAGGGTGGATTCCTTCTCCATTCTGTGCGGCTCTGCTGAAGAGAGTGAGAAAGCCTGAGAGTTGTGTCTGGGACTGTGTGGTAACCCTGCACCACAGCCACTGCCAACACCAGCATTCACTACTTAGAATCCAGGGGATCATCCCACCACTGGCACTGCCCCTACCACGCTGGGACCTGAGAACCTGTTCACCTGCCCAGCCCACTGTGCCGTTACTGGCATCTAAGTAAGCTACCTGGACATCTAAGAATTGACCCACCTGGTCCTGCTGACACCAGTGCCAGAATATGATGGGCTGGGGCTCAGAATAAGGCATGTTCAGCCCACCACTGCCACCACTGGGGCCAAAGACTGGCCCACCTGACATGTCTGTCCCTAGCAAAACTTCACCATAAACTCCACTAACTGCACCCTAAACAACCAAGTAAATCACAGATACCAATGACATTGTTTATAGCCAAAGAAATCATACACATTACACTGCACTATCACGCGCACCCAGAATCAAAGCCAAAAGGCCCTATCCAACTAACACCATTGATATAATCTTTGGGAAGAAGCTCTCCCCTATGAAAGCAAACTCAAAAAGCTGGAAGAAGTAACTGTTACACCAGATACACAGGTATGAATGTAGGACAAAAGGAAACATGAAAAAAGAAGGAAATATGACACCCCCACAGTAATTCCTGAGCAACAGATCCCAATCAAAAAGAAATTCAAGAATCCTGGGGGAAAAAATTCAAAACTATGATACTAAGGAATCTCAGTGAGATATAAGAGAATTCCAAAGACAATACAAAGAAATCAGAAAAACCATTCAAGATAGGAATGAGAAATTTACCAGAAAGATATCATAAAAAAGAACCAAACAAAAATTCTGGAACTGAAGAACTCCTTGAATGAAATACAAAATACACTAAAAAAACTTCAACAACAGACTAGACCAAGCAGAAGAAACAATCTCAGAACTTGAAAATCGGTCTTGGCCAGGCACAGTGGCTCACATCTGTAATCACAGCACTTTGGGAGGCCGAGGTGGGTGGATCACTTGAGGCCAGAAGTTCGAGAGCAGCCTGGCCAACATGGTGAAACCCCTGTCTCTTTAAAAAATGCAAGAAATTATCCAGGCGTGGTGGTGCACACCAGTAATCCCAGCTACTCGGGAGGCTGAGGCACAAGAATTGCCTGGACCTGGGAGGCAGAGGTTGTAGTGAGCCGAGATCACACCACTGCACCCCAACCTGGGCAACAGAGCCAGATTCTGTCTTAAACAACAACAACAACAAAATCAGGTCTTTCAAAACTAACCAGACAAAAATAAAGAAAGAAAAAAAAAAGAATGAACAAAGTCTTTGTGATATATGGGATACTACAAGCAACCAAATATATGAATTACTGGTATCCCCAAAGGTGAGATGAGAACAAAAGGGATGAAAAACCTATTTATCAAAATAGCAGATGAAAACTTCCCAAGTCTAGCAAGAGATTCAGACATTCAGATGCAGGAGGCCCAGTGTTCCCCAATGCAAAAAGGTTTCCACAGCACATTATAGTCCAACTGTCTAAAGTCAATAACAGAGAGAAAATTCTAAAACACTAAGAGAAAAGTATCCAGTCACCTACAGAGAGGCCTCCCCCCACCACCATCAGACTAACAGCAGACTTCTCAGCAGAAACCTTATAGGCCAGGATATAATAGGAAAATAAGTGCTGAAAGAAAGAAAATGTCACCCAAAGATACTACATCCAACAAAATTATCCTTCATAAACGAAGAAGAAATAGAATCTTTCCCAGACAAGCAAATACTGAGAATTCATCACCACTAGACCTGCCTTAACAGAAATGCTCAAGGGAGTCCTAAACCTGGCAGTGAAAGAACAATAGTTACTACCATGAAAACACCTGAAAATATAAAACTCACTGGTAAAGCAAATACACAAATGAGAAAGAGAAAATAATCAAATGGTAGTACCACAGAAAATCAGCACACAACAAGGACAACCAAGACAAAAAGGAACAAAGAATAATACACAAAATAACCTGAAAACAACAATACAACAGAAACAAATCTTCACATATCAATAAAATTGAATATAAATGGGTTAAATTCTCCACTTAATAGACACAGACTAGCTGAATGGGTAAAAAAACATGATCCAACTATATGTTGCCTATAAGAAATGTATTTTACCTGTGAGGACACATACAGATTGAAAATAAAAGATATTCCACACAAATGGAAACCAAAAGCAAGCAAGAGTAGCTATAATAATTATATCGGATAAAATATCTTTTTTTTTTTTTTTTTTTGAGACAGAGTCTTGCTCTGTTGCCCAGGTTGGAGTGCAGTGGCATGATCTCAGCCCCCTGCAACCTCCGCCTCCCAGGTTCATGCTATCCTCCTGCCTCAGCCTCCCGAGTAGCTGGGACTACAGGCGCCTGCCACCATGCCTGGCTAATTTTTTGTATTTTTAGTAGAAACACAGTTTCACTGTTAGCAAGGATGGTTTTGATCTCCTGACCTCATGATCCACCCACCTCGGCCTCCCAAAGTGCTGGGATTACAGGCTCGAGCCACCGCGCCCGGCACGGATAAAATATCTTTAAGTCAAAAAAAGTTTAAAAAAAGACAAAAAAGGTAATCATATAATGATAAAGAGATCATTACAGCAAGAGAATATAACAATTCAAAATAATATATGAACCCAACACTGCAGTACCCAGATTTACAAAGCAAATACTCCTAGATACAAAGGAAGACTCCAATACAATAGTAACGGGGGACTTCAACACATCACTGTCAGCATTAGACAGATCATCTAGATAGAAAATAAAGAAACACTGGACTTATACTGGACTTCAGACCAAAGGACCTAACAGACACTTTCAGAACATTTTATCCAACAACTGCAGAATACACATTCTTCTCATCAGCACATGGAACATGTGACTGACCATGTTAGGCCACAAAACTAGTCTCAACAAATTTTTAAAACTTGAAATCACAGTGTATTCCACAATGGGATGAAACTAGAAATCAATACCAAAAGGAACTTTGAACACTATACAAATACACAAAAATTAAACAATATGCTCATGAACGACCACTAGATCAATGAAGAAATTAGATGGAAATAAAAAAAATTCTTGAAACAAATGAAAGTGGAGGCCAGGCATGGTGGCTTACGCCTGTAATCCTAGCACTTTGGGAGGCCGAAGCGGGCAGATCACTTGAGGTCAGGAGTTCAAGACCAGTCTGGCCAACATGGTGAAACCCCATCTCTACTAAAAAAAAAAAAAATACAAAAATTATCCAGGTGTGATGGCACGCATCTGTAGTCCCAGCTGCTCGGGAGGCTGAGGCAGGAGAATCTCTTGAGCCTGGGAGGCAAAGGTTGCAATAAGCCGAGATCGTGCCACTGCACTCAAGCCTGGGCAACAGAGCTAGACTCTGTCTCAAAGAAGAAAAAAAAAAAAAAGAAGAAAGTAGAAACACAACATACCAAAACCTGGGGACACAGCAAAAGCAATGCTAAAAAAGAGGTTTATAGCAATAAACACAAATAAATATTTTAAATAAACACTATAGTGATACACACCTCAAGGTACTAAAAAAAGCAAAAACAAACTAAACCTCATGCTAGCAGAAGAAATAATAAAGATCACAGCAGAACTAAACAAAATACAGAGACTTAAAAAAATGCAAAGGATCTATGGAATGAAAAATCAGTTCTCTGAAAAGATAAACTGCTAACTAGACTAACTAAGAAGAAAGGAGATCCAAACAAAATCAGAAATAAAAAAGGGGACATTACAACTGATATCACAGAAATACCGAAAATCACCAGAGACTATTATGAACTATATGCAACAAACTGAAAAACCTAGAGGGAATGGATACAGTCCTGGAAATATACAACCTGCCAAAATCAAACCAGAAAGTAACAGAAAATCTGAATAGACCAATTCAGTAATAAAAAGTCTCCTAACAAAGAAAAGCTGGGGACCAGATGGACTCACTGCAGAATTCTACCAAAGCATTACCACAAAGAAGTACAAAGAATTACAAATTAGTACAAAGAAGAACTAACACCAATCTTCTTGCAACTACTCCAAAAAATTGAAGAGGAGGGGATTCTCCCTAACCCATTCTACAAAGCCAGCATCACCCTGATTCCACAACCAGAGAAGGACACAACAAAAAAAGAAAACTATAGGCCAACATCCCTGATGAAAAGATGTAAAAATCCTCAACAAAATATTAGCAAACTGAATCCAATGGCACATCGAAAAGATAATACAACATGATCAAATGGAATTTATACCAGGGATGCAAGCATGGTTCAAAATATGCAAGTCAATAAACGTCATACATCACATAAACAGAATGAAGGACAAAAACCATATAATAATTTCAACACAAGCAGAAAACACATTTGACTAACAACTGATAATCAAATTCAGTAACGTTGCAGATACAAAGTCAAAATACAAAAATCAGTAGCATTTTTACACACCAATAATGAAACAGCTGAAAAAGAAATCAAGGCAATCTCATTTACAATAGCTATCAAAACAAACAACAACAACAACAACAAACAACTAGGAATAACTTTAACCAAGGAGGTGAAAGATCTCTACAAAGAAAACTACAAAACGCTGATGGAAGAAACTGAAGCAGACACAAACAAATGGAAAAACCTCCCATGCTCATAGATCAGAAGAATTAATGTCATTACAGTGACCAAGCTGCCCAAAGCAGTCTACAGACTCAATGTAATCCCCATCAAAATATCAATGTCATTTTTCACAGAAATAGAAAAAACAATCCATAAACATGTATGGAAACAAAAAAGAGCCTGAATAGCCAAAGCAATCCTGAGCAAATAGAACAAAGCTGGAGGAATCACTTCAAAATATATTACAGGGACTGAGAGAGCACAGTGTTGGTATAAAAACAGACACAGAGACCAATGAAACAGAACAGAGAACCCAGAAATAAATCTGCATATTTACAGCCAAATGATCTTTGATAAAGCCACCAACATACATACACTGAGGGACGAATACCATCTTCAATAAATGGTGCTGGGAAGACTGGATAACCATATGCAGAAGAATGAAACTGGATCCCTATTTCTCACCACATATAAAAGTCAACTCAAAATGAATTAAAGACTTAAATGTGAGACTCAAAATTATAAAACTAGTAAAAAAAAAAAAGCACATGGAAAACTCTTTAGGACATTGGTCTAGGCAAAGATTTTAGAGCTAAGACCTCAAATGCACAGGAAACAAAAAAGTAGACAAATGGGGCTATCAAACTATAAAACTCCTCCATAGCAAAAAGAATCAAGAGGGTAAAGAGACAACCCTCGAATGAGAGAAAATATTTGCAAATTACTCATCTGACAAGGGACTAATATCCAGAATATACAAGAAATTCAAGTACCTCAACAGTGAAGAAAACTCCAAATAATCCCATTAAAAAATGGGCAAAGGACTTGGAAGACATTTCTCAAAAAAGATACAAATGGCTAATATATGAAAAAATTCTCGACATCACTAATCATCAGGGAAAGGTATCAAAATCACAATGAGATAGCATCTCACCCCGGTTAGAATGGCTATTATCACAAAGACAAAAAATAACAGTTACTGGCGAGGGTGTGGAGAAAAGGGAACCTCTTTTACACTGTTAGTGGGAATGTAAATTAGTACAACTGCTATGGAAAAGTTTGGAGATTTCTCAGAAAATTAAAAATAGAATACCATCCAGCAATCCCACTACCAAGTATCCATCCAAAAGAAAGGAAATCAGTACATCAAAGGGATACCTGCACTTACAAGTTTATTGTAGCTCTGTTCCCGACAGCAAAGATATGGAATCAACCTAAATGCCCATCAACGGATGAATGGATAAAGAAAATGTGGTGCATATATACACTAGAGTACTATTCAGCCATACAAAGGAATGAAATCATGTCATTTGCAGCAACATGGATTTCATTTGCAGCAACATGGATGTCATTTGCAGCAACATGGATGGAATTAGTGAAGTCAGGCACAGAAAGACAAAGACAGCATGTTCTCTCACTCATATGTGGAAGCTAAGAAACTTAAATCTCATGGACATAGAGACTAGAATGACAGATACCAGAGAATGGGAAGGGGATTGGTGGGGGAGAGTGGGGAAGCAATGGATGTGGATACAAACATAGGGTTAGATGAAGTAAGTTCTAATGTTTGATAGCAGATTAAGGTGACTATACTTAGCAACAGTATTATGTATATTTCAAAGTAACTAGAAGAGATGACTTGAAATGATACCAACATATAAAAATAACACTTAAGGTGATGGATACCCCAATTACCCTCACTTGATCATTACACATTATTTGCATGTAACAAACTCACATGTACCTCATAAATATGCAAATGATTATATAGTGAAAAAAGGGGAAAATCATCATAATAAACTCATGGGTTTCAACATCTTTGATGGATTTCAAACCACGGCAATTTATTCTGTTCTTGAAGCTCACATTGTCCCATCTTTGGTCAATACAAAACTGCTCCAAATTGTCTCCTAACACCTTTCGGTAAGATCTTATATTAGTCTTTGATAGCTTCCCTGAAATCTGGAATTTTAAGATATTCCAAGCTCAAACATTTCCTGCCCCAGACCTGGAATCATCTTCTTCTATGAAATCTTGGTTTTCTTTTTGTAGAAAACATTTTAAGATCATAACCTGGAAGGTGGGAATGATAACTGCTATTTTAGTCATTCCTTTTAGTTATTTGTATAATTTAATTCAGAAATAATTTCACACTCACAAGAAGTTAGAGAAATAAATACTGAACACTATATATCTGTAACCCAGATTTATCCAGTTAATGTTTTACCTCCTTGCTTTATAACTTGTTCTCTTTCTATATATATGTATATATATTACATATCTTTTTCTAAAGTATATGAGTGTAAATTAAATGCATCATGGCCCTAAACCATATATATTTTAGTATTTCCTAAGACACAAGAATATTCTCTTCTGTCACCACAGTAATCAACTTCATAAATTTACACTGATATGACACCAATCTACTGTCCATTTCCTTGTTAAATGATCTAATAACGTCCTTTATAATCATTTTTCCCCTCCAGTACAGGATCCAGTCTAGGAGCAGGTATTGCCTTTAATTACCATCTCTGCGGATAATCTGGCATATTTCTACTGCCTTTATTGGTTTCTTACGAAAATTCCCATTTCTTAATCTTTCATGACACAAAACTGGCTTTATTTTTTTTAAAAAAGAGCATTTCTCATGATGATGCATTCTCAGCTGTAATACTAAAAAAGTGATGTTATATCCCTTTTAGGTATCACATCTGGAGGCAGATATGGCCATATCTCCTTCCTTTGATGATGTAAATGGAGTTCACACAGTCTAGGTGCTGCTGGATTTCTCTACCATATAATCACTGGTTTGTTTTTCCTCCACCCACCCTTTCTGATGTGAAAAGGGTATGTAAAAACCCTGCTTCTCAGTAAAAATCCACCCCCCCAAGTTTATCAGCCATTAGTCATTATTGTCTAATCATGTTTATCATGATGGGTATAAAATGATCAGTGGGAGGGGCAGGAACTGACTAGGAAGGGGCATCAAGGAACTTTCAGGAGTGATGGGAAATTTTTTTTTCTTTTTTTGAGACAGAGCATCACTCTTGTTGCCCAGGCTGGAGTGTAATGGTGCGAACTCAGCTTACTGCAACTTCTGCCTCCCAGGTTTAAGTGATTCTCCTGCCTCAGCCTCCTGAGTAGCTGGGACTACAGGCACGCACCACCACGCCCAGCTAAGTTTTTGTACCTTTAATAGAGATGGGGTTTCATCATGTTGCCCAGGCTAGTCTTGAACTCCTGACCTCAGGTGATCCACCCACCTCAGCCTCCCAGAGTCCTGGGATTACAGGCGTGAGCCACCGTGCCCGGCCTTGGAAATATTCTGTATCTTGATGGTGTTGGATTATACAGGTGGAGGCATTTCAAAAACTCATATATCTCATATATACATTATATTTAAGAATTACATCACAACCATGAATATTGCAAAAAAATTTAAACTCTAATGAAATGCATGCTTAAGTACTTAGGAATGTCTTCAACTTATAAAACATATCAAAAAATAATATGGATTGATGGATAGATATGTGATAGTGTAATAAAGGAAACAGAGCAAAAGATTAACAGCTGTTAAATGTAGTTAGTGGGTACAGGATGTTCATTATACAATTCTTTGAGCTTTGCTACATGTTTGAATATTTTCATAATAATGTATGGGGATTTTTAAAAAAGTACTGTAAGTGGTTATGTTATAAAAAGCACAAATTGTAAGTGGGTAATTTGGGATAAATTTTCCTATGGAATCATATTTGGATTTCGAAAGTATTGAGGATCTAAGGTTGTGGACAGAGAATTTAAGATGGAAGATCATTAGTGGCTAAAAGGTGGTTCTGGTGATGACGAAAACATTGATGTCAAAATAAGAGAACAGTGTTTACAAAATCATTTCAGGACAGAGTAGGGGGAAAAATTAGTATTTCTACATTAATACGTATGTTATCTCAAATGTATATATTTGAATACTTTTTTTTTTTTTTTTTAAAGATAGTCTGGCTCTGTCAGCCAGGCTGGAATGCAGTGGCACGACCTCAGCTCCTTGCAACCTCCGCCTCCTGGGCTCAAGACATTCTCCCACCTCAGCCTCCCAAGTAGCTGGTACTACAGACGCACGCCACCATGCCTGGCTAATTTTTGTATTTTTTGTAGAGATGGGGTTTCACCATGTTGCCCAGGCTGGTCTCGAACTCCTGGGCTCAAGTGATCTGTCCGCCTCGACTTCCCAAAAGTGCTGGGATTACAGGCATAAGTCACTGTGCCTGGCCAAATTAATACTTTAAATAGATGACTATTCTATCCCTATATTGTTTATTTATTCAAATAGTTCACAAGCCTTTTGTCTTTTTAAAAATCTTTATTTCCATCTGTTGTCTCTCTTAATTACTGAAGAGGTGTTTTTTTTGGAGGCAGGAGCTTGCTCTAATGCCCAGGCTAGTCTCAAACTCCTGGGTTCAGCTCCTGGAATAGCTGGAATTGCAGGCACATGCCACCATGCCCAGCCCACAAGACTTTTTAATTTTTTAATTCTTACTGGAGGAAAATGTAGATTATCTTATCTTTTGGTATATACCGTATATAGAAGATACTTAACCATATCATTAGAAAAATGTACAAACACAATGGCTACACAAGATACATAAACTTTAAAAATTATTTCTCTGCCCATTTTGGGGGCATTTAAGTCATTCTAAATTTTCAGTATTATAAGCACTAATATGTTAACAGCTTTACACACATATATATAGTCAGCACTTCTGGTTATATCTCTGCAGCACTTCTAGTTATATCTTTTTTAATTTTTCACACTTATTAACAAATTGTTTTCCAGAAAGCACTCTCAACAACAGTGTATGGTGCCAGCTTCACTCCAAGCTCACCAACATCCAAATACTATTATTTTAAAAATGTTTACCAATTTTATCGGGCAGTTTTTATTCAAGCACTTCTGTATGTTAATTACTGTGTTAAACTGAAGACTGTTCTGCAGTTTTCTAGTTATAGTCTTCCCTTCTCAAAGTATCAAGATTTTGCTGGCTTAAAAAAAAAAGCCGCAGCTGTTTCTACTTTTATACCATTAGACCATTTTAACAGTATGGCAACCTGAGTGTGCCTGCACCTACCCCTCTCTCTGTCTTCCAATCTTTCTCCTTTCATATCCCTCTTTCAGTCTGTGTTTCTGTCTGCTCTGTGTTTATCATTTTTAATTTTTTTTTGGTAAGATCTATATACAGTATTCTGTTAAAGTCTGAAAAAAATTTTATAACTTTTGTGGTTCTATCCATTTTCTTACTCATCAGTGATGTTTATGGATTTCCACTCACTTTTCCTTAATTAGATTTGCTAGATGTTCTAGTTAATCTTGTCAGAAAAGCAACTCCTGGTTTCATTCTGCTATATTGTCTAGAAATATTAGGACATTTGTTTCTTTATATAATACTTAGAAAACGTGCTTTCCAGTCATTATTATCTTGCTTTTCTCTGTGGATCTGCTTTTACTTTCTCTTCTTGATTTCTTAAGTTCACTTATTTTCATTCTTACCTAGTTTAATGAAGATAACTATGAACTTTTACTGAACACAGAACAACTCTGGTCTCGTCACGTAAGTACTAATGGTTACGTATACAATGTCTACAACTGAGACTTTCTACTTAATAAGAAACTGCATGTGCTGAAAAAACTTAAAGTTTCCAACTAGTATTCAGTATTCTGTTTCTGGTTAATTTTATCTTGTATTTCTAACAACTTTTGCTTTATATATTTTGACAGTGTTATCTAGTGTTTAAGGCAGTATACTTTTCTTATTTTTTTTCCCCACAACAAAAGCTACATTTAATTAAGAAGGCAATACACTTTTATCTTTGCTTTGTTCATATGCTTTTATTACCACAAAATTATCTTTTGTCATGCACTATTTCCTGACTTCAATTCTTTGTCTAACGTCAATACTGAAATTCTTACTTTGTCTTCAAAAGCATTTTTTTTGGTTTTGGGTTTTTTTTTGTATTTTTCATAGAGACGGGGTAAAAAACAATATTAGCCGGCATGGTGGCATGCGCCTGTAGTCCCAGCTACTCGGGGGAGGCTGAGGCAGGAGAATGGCATGAACCCGGGAGGCGGAGCTTGCAGTGAGCCGAGATCACGCCACTGCACTCCAGCCAGGGCGACAGAGCGAGACTCCACCTCAAAAAAAAAAAAGAGAGAGAGGTGGGGTTTCACCATGTTGGCCAGGCTGGTCTTGAACTCTCGGCCTCAAGTGATCTGGCCCACATTGGCCTCCCAAAGCGCTGGGATTACAGGTGTGAGCCACCACGCCCAACCCTGAGTTTACTATACTTTTATTATCACCTCTCAAATGTTGTTGTTGGTTTTAATTTTGTATTTAAATTTCAGATAATTAAATTTTTTCATTTTTCCCTTTTCAAGTATGATCTGATATTTACATTCAATTTGACAATATTTACCACAGTTATTTAATCATCTTGTCTGTAATCAGTGCTCACTGCCAAAAGTTTTTATTCCATGACTTCATTTTCTTTTGTTTATAATTTGGCAGCATCTCTTAATCAGTTGGAGTATATTTACAATTTTTGTTCAACAAGTAAAATGTTATATTCAGAAGGTGTGTTCTTTCAATTGCCTTTCCATGTGAAATATAATTTAACTATATTACATGAAAATAAAGGGTAGAACTTTCTGCCTCAAAACTATAAATGATCCATTGCCTTCTGGCAATGGCTGACATTAAATGAGTGAAGTATGGTTTTTATTCCCTCATGTGTAATATAAAAGTAGCATTACCTAATTGCTTATAGGAATTCTTTAAGATTTTACGAGGAAACAGCCATTTGTAAAACTGATGAAACTCTTTTTCACTGAATTTTGCCTGAAATATGGTAAACCCCTTTTATATAAAGACGACTTTCTTCAACACAGTAAATGTTTTTTTGTTATCTTTAAAAAAAAATTGTGTTTAAAAAAAAAAAAAAGAAAGAAATTGTCCTTCCCTGCAACAATGATCAGAATTCAACCATCTAAATCACAAAAGTAAAATCACAGAGATGACTCGTTAACACCAGGACACCGGAAAAAGACATGAAGTGTTTGGTTAGTAGCTCTGTAATTTATAATAGAATGAAAAGAAGTCAGAGTAGCAGTGGTGGTAGCTCTGCATGGGGAGAGGTTCTGCAGCAGGCTTAAAAGTAATAATGAATAGTTCAGCAATTTATAGAAAACAGAAATGGGGCAATGGCATTATGACTTCATTCACACAGGGTATATGTAGCAAACACCTAGGTTACTAACTTCATCATTCTTAGCTAGTTAGCTAAGCATTATTCTAGCTAGCCAGCATTATTCTAAAGTATTCAAACATTTTGTATATTACAAATGAATCCAGAATGTTCTATCAAATATCATGTCAAACGAACAGATGAATGTAGATTATCTGAAACAAACCTGTGTAACTTTCATCATCATCAGATAAAGGCACCTCTCTTTTTAGTAGCAACTCCAACTCCTCTGTTTCTGCTACATCCACTGGACGCTCCCCATGTTTATTAGCTTGAAATGGATTTCCACCGTGACGAAGTAACAGCTTTACTATCTGCAACAATAAAAAGCAGGAAGACTTAGTCCCTTCACAGATTGTTATCACTGCACCCATTCTCTTGATAATACTCATAGTATCCTTCTGAGTGTTACCTCATTTACTCTGCATCCATTCCTCACCATCTACTCTAAATCGTTATTCTCTTCAAGATCCATTTTCACTGACACTCCCCTATCTGATAACCTCAACTACTACAAAAAAATTTCCTCCTTAAAATTTAAACTGGGTTATTTTAGCAATTAATCTCATCATTTTTTCATCCTGTTCCATCATAAAGTCAAATATTTATTGAGAACCTATAATATCTACACTTCCGAGTTCTGCTAATAAACCCATGAACAAGAATAACAAGTTCCCTGGCCTCTTGAAATGTGTGTCTTAGAAAAAGTTTCAAAGAAGTATTTCCCTTCTGCTTTAGGCTAATATCACTGTCAATGCTCTTAATCTTACTCCATTTCCCATAGCCCAGGAATTTTAAGTATCATTAACTCCAAAGCTTAAACTTCAAGACCCTTCACTTTCATGGGTCCTTTACAGAAGGATGCTGTATCTAATGTTGTAGTCATCACTTTGAAAGGCCTTCTCTCCTTCTCTAACGAATTACGTAAGCTTCAAGTTCCACATAACCAGGTTCTGCTCTGTTAGTTATTACTTGTTTTTTCTTCATATCCTCTTCCTTTCATAGTTTTAACCTCTTTTTGGTTGGCTCCTTTTTAGAAGCCAATCTTTCCACAGTTCATATTTCTTGCACCTTAAAAAAATAATGGTATTAAAGAAATGAAACACGGACAAAACAAGGAAACTTTGCTGAAACCTATATCGTCCTACCCTAGCTAACCTTTCTTCTTCACTGTCCATCTCCTGAAAAGACATCTGCCCTTGCAGCTGTTACTTATTGGCCCTTCACTCTTTCACCTACAACTCTGCTACCATCAATCTTATGGAATGGCCCTTTTAAGACCTGAAAAGATCTAAACCAATGATGGTTTCCCTATGACTCTGTCCTTGATATACTCTCTCATGTTCTAATATATATCATCTCTTTGGAGAACTTATCCACTCTGAATGTGATGACAATTATGCGATCCATCCATTCATTCTCTTGTCTGCTTTCTCTCTCAGCCCTTTTGAGCTCCAAACCCAAACATTCAAATACTCACTGGACACATCCAACTGATTCTATGTGTATTTTAATACAAAAGCATAAAACCAACAGGACCCAAATGGAGTTCACTAAACCTGTACTATTATCTTTTATCTATTTCCATTCTCAGTAACTGGCACCAAAATTTTCCCAGTCACTGAAGCCTTGAAGCCAGAATTTGGGAGTCATCGTTAATTCTTTTTCACTCACACACATCAAAGAGGCAGCCAGGTGTTATTGATTCTGCCTCCTTACCATCTCTTCTTGTTTTGATATTTTGTGCATTTCCATTAACACTGGTGTGTTCTATCATACATAAGCCTATACCACATTCATTAACACATTTCCCCCCTTGGACTATAAGCTTCATATAAAATCAAGTCTCTATTCATCTCTGTATTTCGAGGACATAACTATGGTGTTTTCTGGTACTTAGAAAACATATCACACCTTAAAAAATACTTAAATGAATAACATGAAACAGATGAATATTAACTGCATTTACCATCAAAGGAACAATTTAAAACAAGATGCTGAAATTAGAAATTTGTAACAAATTATTTAAGAATGATTCACAATGAATAAAGAAAAAAACTTTTCTAGATTACTGCAGAAAATCTGAAATGTAATAATGTATAAAGAAAACAACTTACTCATGATACCAACTATTAACTGTTTAATTTTTATCAAATTACACATGCTTACGATTTTAAAAGATCAACTAGGTTTCCAAGTCTGCTGGTGAAGAACAGTTGTCCCTGATACTTATCTCCATATTCCAGTAATCTACCCAGGGTGAGAGAGGAGCAATTACTGGGCTGTGTAAGACTGGGGAGAGGATGTGAGAGCTAAAAAACCTTTGATCTAATAGTCGTTTCCATATCTTAAGAAGCACTTCCAGAGGTCATTGGTACTATCGATTCCTAAGCTTTTTTTTTTTTTTCTTTTCTTTCTAGGATTCTGTGTTGTATGGCTCTGGTTTCAATTTTCTTGTCTCTTTTAAATCAGAGGTGGGCAAATTATGACCTACGGGCCAACCTGGTCTGCCAGCTAAGAATAGTTTTTATATTTTTAAAGGACTGTTGAAGGAGAAGAGGAGAGGGAGGAGGCAAGAGGAGGTGAAGGAGGGAGTATGTGGCCTGCAAAGCCTAAAATATTTACTATTTGGCCCTTTATTGAAAAAAATTGTCAAACCCTGTTCTACATCAGTAACTGCTCATTTCTCCAATTTCTATCTTCCAAAATATTTGTTTCTTCTGTTCTTTGCCCTTGTGGGTCTATCCTTTGAAACTGCCCCTTACTGTCATTTTAGGGATTTGAGAAAGTAACTGAAATAAAAATCTTCTAGTCATTATAAATAATACTGTAGTGGATATCTTTATGAGCTGAAATTTTTCCAATTTTAGGCTTATTTCCTTAGACTAGAGCCCTAGAATGAGAAAACAGAATAAAGAATTTTGATATTGCTGAAAGCTTTCTATCCCCATCAGGAATACATCAATAAATACTTATTACATGACTATACAGAATCAGGTACAGCTGGTTCATTCACATATTACAAACACCCTAAATCAAATAATCAAGATTTTACAGCTCATCCTCAAATGCAAATAATTGTTCTTAAAGTTGCTTAAAACATAACAGTCAATAAATTAGAAGTAGGTAAAAATGATGACAAAAGATGATACGTATCTAAAATAGAACTAGAAATAAGGCTAGTATTAAAATGTGTATTATGGTGAGGTGCCACCGGTGGCTAATGCCCATAATCCCAACGCTTTGGGAGCCTGAGGCAGGAGGATCGCTTGAGCTCATGAGTTCAAGACCAGCCTGAACAACACAGGGTCTCTACAAAAAAAATTAAAAATTAGCCTAGCATGGTGTGCGTGCCTGTAGTCCAGCTACTTGGGAAGCTAAAGCAGGAGGATCACTTGAGCCCACGAGGTTGAGGCTGCAGTAATCTGTGATTGCACCACTACACTCTAGTGTGGGTGATACAGCAAGATGCTGTCTCAAAAAAAAGAAAAAAAAAAAAAGAAAAAAGAAGTGTTTTAGGAATTACTATACATTTACAAACAAGTCAAAAATTAGGTTCTTAGTAAGCTATGTTAATCCTCTCTATAATAATTTAGATCTGGCTACAGAACCGTTATATTTCTGCTTTTCCCATCTTAAAAAAATGCTTTATGGATGGCTGAAGTTGTCATGACTATTACTGAAAGAAAGAAATCTAATTATTTGGGAGTGGCTCAGAATACACATTAGGGATATACAGAAATGAATTTTTGGTGGCTCTCATTCTTCCTCCTAACGCACAAGTAAAAGGAACAAGGAGAAAATAGCTCTCAATAGCTCTTCAATGGTGACTCCTACTATCCTAGGCATGTTGGTAGGAGGAAAAGCAAAGGTCCCTCCCTCTGGGAAGAGACTGGAAATAGTGTGAGTCCTTGTAAGTACATGAGCTCAAAAGGTCAGCTTCTGGAAATATTCTGCAGCTATGTGCATATTTAGAAACTTGTGTTCACAGAAACCATGTCTTAGTCACAGGCATAATTCTTTAAAATTACACTTAGAAATCGGGAAACCTTTATTATCATATTCAAAGGAAAATCATTCATTCTTGGTAAACTATCAATAATATTTTTTAAAAGGGCACTATTTAAAATATCAAAGCCAGAAAGTAAGTCAGTTTCCGATAAATTCAAAGGAAAGGGCAATGTACCCTACATGTTGTCAGGCCTGATGGATTAAGTTTTTGTCATTCTGCCTATCCTCAGTCAGTTATCCATTCATCTACCTATCCATCTATCTACAAGTGCATCCATGATGGATATACTGAACATTTCTAGGTGACAAGCAGTTCCAGAGTAAATAACAGAAAACAACATAAAATGCCAGTATGCATGGTAGTACTTGCAGTCTAGTGCAGGAAACATGACACTAGACAAGAATATCAGTAAAAAATAAGGTAGTAAAATGCTATGATATAGGTTTGTACAAATTGCCAAAGGAGCACAGAGAAAAGAGTAGACCACTGGTAGGCAAGAATCAGTTTTAAAAAATTATAGGCTACATTTTTCTTCATTCAAAATAAGACTTCTTTGCTGAGAAACATGGAAAAATGCCTTATAGAAATGTAATTGAGAAAAATAGCATTTTTAATTTCTGAATTTTAGGTGTATTTGACTGCACCCACAAAGGCAGCTTTTTAATCTTTTACCCCTGATACTTCTAGACCATCTTAAATTTCAATGTGCATTTACATGTAGTGTCTTTTTTTCCTTTGAAATATCAATTTTAGATAGGTATTATTTATCATATAATTTAAAGATGAGGAAACGGAGGTTCCGAGGAGGGAAGTAACCTGTTCAAGATTACACAGCTAGTAAACTGGCCAGGCCAGAACTGCACTTGTATCTATCTTTACTCCAAATTCTATTTTTGTCTCAACTAAAGTAAAATGCCCTTCAAAAGATAGGCAATTCAACACTGTACAATTTTTACTATATATAAAGACTGCTTTAACACATCCAATTGTCTTATAAAGAATGCCTTGAAATAAAAATTTTGCCAAATTATTTAATCAACTGTCAAATTAAAAGGGTTTTATGAAAAGAAAATGCTAAATCTGACTATGAACTAATACTTAGTAGAAAAAAGGGAAAACAAAATATAGATGAGTTGTTCAAGCAATGAGTGGAATATGACACAGATCATATGACTAAGAAGTGAATGAAATTACTTTGGGTTGAATTTATATTTTGCAAATGTGTATTATTGATTTTTTTCTATCATACTTACATCTCTGTGCCCACTACTAGCAGAATCATGGAGTGGAGTGTCATCATCTAATCCTTGTGTGTTAACATCTGCTCCAGCTGCTATAAGTATCTTAGCAACATCGTAATATCCAACATTGCAAGCTTCATGCAGTGGTGTCCAACCTAAAGTTAGATTATTAATTTAACATGATTCACTTGCGCTACTTCAAAATATATGCTTTTCATATACATACCAATGTGTGACATATAAATTCTAAAACTGCACATCGTGCAAAAAAAAAGGAGTGATGAAGAAGCTACTAAAAATAAATAAGAACAATATCAATTTACTGAAGGTTCATTCAAGATAATATTACAGTTGACCCTTGAACAAGGTGAAGGTTAGGGGTGTTAACCCCCATGCAGTCAAAAATCCACATATAACTTTTGACTCCCCAAAACTTTACTAATAGCCTACTGTTAACTGGAAGCCTTACCAGTAACATGAACAGTTTGACTAACACATACTTTGTGTATGTATTATATACTGTACTCTTACAATAAAGCTAGAGAAAAATTGTTATTTAACAAAATCGTAAGAAAAATCTATTATTCATTAAGTAGAAGTGGATCATCAAAAAGGTCATCATCATCTTCACGGTGAGTAGGCTGAAGAGAAGGGAGAAGGGGTTGGTCTTGCTGTCTCAGAGGTGGCAGAGGGAGAAGAGGTAAAAGTAAAGGTGGGAGAGGCAGGCATATTTGGTGTAACTTCACAAAAATACATTGTAAATTTGTGTCTCACTTTTTTGCTTTTTCATTTCTCTAAAAATGTTTTAATACAGTGCCACCCTCCTTCTTCCACTGTTTGCTTTAGTTTCAGTGCCTGGATCATACAAGGATTGGTGTTTAAAAAAAAAAAAAAAAAGTAAAAGCAGCCTTAAATTATTGGAACCCTCTAAGGTCAATCTGTTTTCTGGCATGGCTTCTTCTGTCTTCTTCCTCATCACTTGAAACTGTTTTGGAAGCATTCAACTCCATCAAGTCACCTATTAATACCTCTGATGTGGTATCTACTAGCTCCTCAATTTCTCCAAGATCCATATTTTGAAACTTTTCACCCGCTACCTTTTTTGACATATCCACAATCTCTTTCATGATTTCCTTGACTGGTTCTGTGGTAAATCCTGTGACGTCATGACAACATCTGGACACAGTTTTCTCCAGGAGGAGAGAGCTTTCACAGCTTTTTCTTTAACAATGACAGCATCTTCAATGGTGTAATCCTTCCAGACTTTCATGACATTCTATCGGAGTTCTCTTCTACAGCGTTGACAATCCTTTCCCTGGAGTACCGTGTGTAATGAGCTTTAAAGTTCCTTATGACCCTCTAATTAGAGGCTGGTTTAGAAACACCATGTTTGTACACCACTTTAATGCCTTTGGTGTCGAAATCAATTGGTTCTGGGAGGCCAGAGGACACTAAAAGACAGCCTCCTTCCTGGCAAAGTACTTCCTGACTTCAGGAAGAAATTGATGACATCAATCCAGAAAAGAGTTCTCATTGTCCAGGCCTTCTTGTTATACAACCAAAAGACTGGCAGCTGGGTTTACCTTTTCCCTTCAGGGTTCAGGGGGCAGTCCTGATCATAAACCCAACTGTATTTACATAAAACAGGAGAGTTAGCTAATCCCTTCCTGCCCTAAATCTTGGTGCTTGCTTCTCTTCCTTACTAATAAATGTCCTTTGTGGATTTTTCTTTTTCCCAGAATAGGGTACTTTTGTCCACATTAAAAAACTGTTCAGGCAGATTTTCTTTTTTCCTCACTGATTTTCTTAATGGTATCTGGGAATTTATTTGCTGCCTATCAGTGGACTGAAGCCACTTCTCCTGTTATCTTGACATTTTTTTAAACGAAACCTTGTTCTAAAATTATTAAACCATCCTTTGCTGGCGTTAAATTCCCCAGCTTTAGATCCCTGATCTTCCTTAAAATTGTTGTATAATGACTTCATGTTTTCTTCAATCTAATCTATAGGTACGCCTTTTTTATAGCAATCTTGCATTCGCATAAAAGCTGCATGAGATAAAAGAATGTTTTACAAAAAAGTGCAACGTTTTCAAACCCACTAGCATAGCTCCATCAATGGCTTCACAAATTTCCTTTCCTTTTTTCCACTGGTCCTTATGCTGGATTCGTTCATCTTCAAATGGCAGGTAACCACAGCTGCAGACCTCAATTTATAGTACATTATCAAGCAATTCAATTTTTTCTTTTAATGTCGTAACTCTTCTGTTTCTTAGGAGCACTTCTAGTATCACTAGGAGCACTTAAAATGGGTCCCCTGGTATTATTCAAGGCTTACAGTATTCTACTAAACACGATGAAAAATATGCAAGAATCACACATTTCACTGTGGCATGCAACTTACTGGAGAGACGAACTGCTTATGTGGAGATGATTTGTGTCAGTCACATGGTGTTTTAAGCAGATAGTCCCAATATTTGAGCTCACCACAATGGTAACAGGAGGTAGCTATGCAATTATTACAGGAGTATAATATGTACTACAGTAAATTTTATGCAGCTATGATTTAATACTGCATCTTTATGTTTGTTTACATTTCTCCTGATTCTGAATGGTGCTATGTATAGCCTATGTCTGTATGCATATGTTTTAACTTTTTAGAACAGATTTGTGTATATTTTATGGTAGTAAGTGATAGAACAGACTAGTATGTAGGTATCTTTTATGCACTTATAATGTATTTAATTTTTTCCTATTTTCACTATTTCTAGGCTATGCAGTTCATCTATGAGTTTTTCCAAATTGTTCCAAATCTCAAAAAAAATTTCAAATATATTTACTGAAAAAAATCCACATATAAGTAGACCTACACAGTTCAAGGGTCAACAGTATTTCCACTGTGCTAAATTATTTGACAAAAGTATTAAATATTTAAGCTTTCCAATAAATATAAGCTTGATATAATTTTTAATAATCATTTAAACTATGAAAAAGAATTTTAAAGAGGCAAAATATTAGTAAGCTTGATTAGAGTCTTTCAGTAAACAAAAATCCTGATGTCTTAAGGGCTTTATTCTGTTGATACAATATTTTCTGGACTTAATACTTATTTTAACTAAAATAAACTTAATTACTTTTGTAATTAAAAAGTTACATGTTCACAAAAGAAATATTAGATAACTTAAAAATACAAAGAAAATAAACACTGTCCATAATCTCACCACCCAGAAATAATAATTTGAAGAATCCAACATAATATCTACTAGCTCTCCCACATATTTATAAAACTTAGATGAATAACAACCTGCTTCCTCTACTTACTAAAGTGAAAATAATTCCCTATGTCATTATACTTTTCTACAACATAGTATTGTACTAATCAAATATACCATAATTTCCTTCAACGAGTTCCTATTACTAAGGATACAGATTGTTGCTAGTTTTTAATTAGAAACAATGCTGTAACAAGTATCCTTACAACTAAATCTTCATGTACATCCATGATTAACTATTTAAAATAAATCCTTGAGAGTGGAATTGTCAGATGAAAGAAATATTTTTTAGGTTTCTGATAAATAATGTCAAGTTTTCCTCTAGAATAAATGCCATGCATTTTAAGTCTCACTCTTTAAGGTAGATACTGTATATCACACCATTCCCCACTCACAGCAAATAAAGACATAAATTCCAGGTGTATTATAATAGGGCTACATGTAAAAACAAAACAGAAACCAAATTTGAAAAACAGAAAATATAGGAATAGTTTTATGATACAGAGAAAGACAAGGCCTTCTTAAATAAAATACCAAACCAAGAACCCATAAAGCTCAATTGATATGATACATAAAAGATGAAAACTGTAGTACAATAAACACTGTAATGAGAGTGTATTCAACCTAAGCCACAGACTGTGAAAATCTTTACATATTTGATAGAGAAAATCTAGACTAAATAAAGGCTCTTGTAGATTAAAAACAGGACTAAACCAAAAGAAAATGAGCAAAGGAGTGGATCTAACAATTCATAAAATACACATAAGTTTATAATAAACATAAGAAATGTTTACCATCACTACTGATCATGAAAATCCAAATTAAGATTTTTTTCATTCTTCAGATTGTTAATAATTAAAAGTTGATAATATCCAGTTTTACTGAAGATATGAGGAAAATGGCTCTTTTATATACTCTTGATGGTAGTATGAATTGATACAGAATTTTGGGGGGGGCAATTTCCATTATTTCAAAAATCTAAAACATGTATCTCCATTGATTTAGCAATTTCACTTCTACTGAAATACTTCCATAAATATACACAAAGATGTTTCTATATAGGTATTTACTACAGTGTTGCCTACGGAATGCTATACCAGAAAATATTATGCAGCTATTAAAAATTAATGGAGTAGGCCTACCTATATATACTGTAAGAATATATAGAAATATCTGTAAGACATTAAGGCAGGTTGCAGAACTACAGATTGATACAGATGGAATGATTTCACTTTAAAAAGCCAATATATAAGTAAGTATTTGCTTTATACATATATAATAAAAATGAACTGAATGAGTAACCTCCTAAGCGTTAACCATAGTTCTATGGAAGAGAAAGAACCTGTGTGGGAGGGAGGGTAGGGTTGTGCAGTATGTGAAATTAAAGAAAATTTTTGAATTGTTCCCTACATACTTTTACTGTTGAATTATTTACAGCAAGAATGTACTGGTATGCTACTTGAATAATGAAAATGAAAGTAATAACACCACACTCTTACAGTCCTCATGGTTCAAGTTAATAAATGTTCTTAAAATACTTATGAATGAATCAACTACTTTGAAAACATATAACTCAAATTCATCTAGGGCAAAACCTAACTTGGATAAAGAACTATACAGCAAGTAATATGTCAACTAAAGTATAAGTTTAGTATATAAAAATATGAGTAATTATTGACATGGAATTGTAGTAGAAATCAGGGGTTTTATGTACGAACTCCAAAAGTTTTGTAATAAAGAGTATTTTTAGAACTCTTTCATTTCAGCAAAATGAATAAAAGAATGTAGATTAAATTGTAACCAGGATCTGTTTAAATTTTAGTGCCTGAATAGTAGGTATTGAATTACTAGTCTTACCTGCAAAATCTTTCACATTCACATTTGCCCCTAAACTTATTAATTCTTTAACTTGTTTCACATCTCCTCGAATAGCAGCCATGTGTAAAGGAGTTTCACCACGTTCATTTCTTTTATTAACTTTATCTTTCTGTCGAGATGAAGAACTGGGAGTTTTCTTTTGGGCAGGCGTTGTTTGTGATGGATGATTTGGTGTGGAATCTGTAAGAAAGAAGAAAGTTAGCAGAAGTTCTAGGCTAAATATTCTGTATACTTATTTAAATGTTTTTATTGGTAATATGCTAATCTCCTGAAACACAAGGAATGCCTTCTCACCCTAACAACCTAAACCTTGACTTGGATGATCCGTTAATGACCCAAATACACAGAGATCTTCCCTTCAGGGTTATCAAATATCATTAGCCAATTAAAAAAAATGTTTTGTCAATTCATAAAATTGGTTTAAAATGATAAAGTATCAAATACGTACTCTAAAATGTTTCCTTAATGAATGATGTGATGAACTATGAAACATTTTTCCTAGGTATGTTATGCTATTATTCTAAGACCTAGAGGAAGTGAAATTGAAGGCTGGAGTCCACACTTCTGACTCAGACAAAGCATTGGAGTTCTTCTGTTCTTATATTATGTGCAAATCAAGGTCATAACGATTTTACTATGAAAATGAAAGAGAAGAGCTACAAAAAATAAGGGTAGTCTGGAAAAGGGCCTTTAAAAACTGCTTTGCCTTGATTCTCATATTTTGATATTTGTTCTAGTTTCTATATTTAAAAAAAAAAAGTTAAATTAGATGATGCCCAAAGTCTCCTCTCCAATTTCAAAACTACAAAAAAACAAAAACTGGTTTCTTAATTAAGGATTCAAGACATATATACAGTGTTAATTAATTCTGAAAATTTACAACTATATAAAAGGAACTGCTCTAAGAGAAAAGAAATATATGGAAAATAATTTTTACCAGTTTAAAACCTGACACGATTAGAGCTCTAAGGCAATACCATCCTTTCCTCAATAAAAAAAAAAAGTGTAAGGTTCATCTTTTGGATTTTTTTTTTTTTTGAGACAGAGTCTCACTCTGTTGCCCAGGCTGGAGCGTGGTAGTTTGATCTAGGCTCACTGCAACCTCTACCTCCCGGGTTCAAGAAATGAAATTCTTCCACCTCAGCCTCCCGAGTGGCTGGATTACGGGCGTGTGCCACCATGCCCGGCTGATTTTTGTATTTTTTAGTAGAGACAGGGTTTCACCATGTTGGCCAGGCTGGTCTCAAACTCCTGGCCTCAAGTGATCTGCCTGCCTCAGCCTCCCAAAGTGCTGGGATTACAGGCTCGAGCTACCATGCCCGGCCCTACCTTTTGGATTTTAAAGTACATTGTCTCGGTAATAGTTTCCTACAGAAGTTTTTCTAGAAATTTACACTCCCAAAGAAAAGGGCCTTATCTATCTTACTCATCACTGCTTAGAAGACTTCTCATATACCACAGCGGTATTCAAGAAATATTTGTTGAATGAATAAATTTTAATGTAATCCTTATAGTCAAATTATTTGTGAAGAGAATTTGCTTGCTGAATTTCTTAAAATCTAAAGACTTATCTAATGAATAAAACAACCACAAACTCCAAGTATATCTGTATGATGGCAAACTGCTTGATATTTCAAAAGTTTTCCATTCTAATTCTATACATATTAATAGAGAGTTGACTAAGAATCACCCTTAAAAAGACCAACTGCAGAACAGTATTATAGTGTACTCCTATTTATACTAAAAAAGAAAAAAAAATTAACCCATAACAAAAGATACGTATTTGTAAGTTTATGCCTAGAAAAGCTACATAAATAAAGATAAGAAACTGTTAACAGTGGTCACCTCTTGAGGGGAGGTGATTGGAGATGAAAGACTTTTACTTTTTGTCTGTTGGTCTTTTAATTTACTTTAAGGACAAAGGTTCACGCTATTTTAAAAAATCAGTTTTAATAAATGTCTTTCCATTTAAAATATTAAATCAGACTTAAAGTCAAAGTCAAAATTTTACAGAAACAGTCAAAGTTTTTACATGGCAAAATGACTTTAATTTGGTCACAGACTTTCCCATGTTGGAGGTGGAAAAGGTAGGAGTGAGTAACCACAACGTACTCTATTTTTAAAAGCAGGAAGCCCTAAAACATTTTTTTAGCAGTGACAGATATTAGATACGCTCATGCTTTGAAATTATAATATTTAGAAACTCTTAAGAATTTAACCATGTCATCCCGTTTTTTAAAAAGAGGCAATACAGGAAAAACTCACTGAAAAATTATCTTTTTCAATGCATTTCAACATGGACTGTTACGTAACCCAGAGTCTTACATAAAATTGCTTTGAATTCAGGGCCAAAAGAAATTTTCTCCAGACAAAAGTGATTTACTTTCTTGAATCAGTCAATGAGAACTATGTAACTCAAAAATTTTCTTTTGTACTTTTAGCTGCCAGGATGTGAATAGTAATAACTATCTCAGGCCAGTTGCCTGGATTTTATCTACCTTTTTAGCTCCCTTTTATAAATTACCATGTTGTTTGGTTTGTTCCCTTTTTGTTTTTGTCCTGCTGGTAAGTCATCATCAATTATTTTTGGAGAACACAGTATATAAATAAACATACATACATGTGGCACAACACCTTAGCTGGAAATGTGACATGAAATATAAAATGACTGTTAATATACTGCTGACATTTTTCCTTATAAAAAAATTTAGATCTTAATAAAACATGGATTACACATGGTGTAAAGAGCCCTACTCTTGTATAGCTTCTACTTTAGCAGAGGATACAGATGATAAACTGTCACACAAATAATCATAAAATTACCACTGACTTACAAGTAATTCTGATTAAATCCAAGAAAGAATAAAAATTAAAAGTAGTTAAAATAATTGTTAAGACGAGACTACAGTTGCCTGAGGAAAACTAGGGATACACATTAACTCAATGATGGTAGGTATCACCTGGACTGTTGTCTCTTGCTGTCATCTGCATAAGAAGTGCCATCTGTTTTCGCTCAGAGAGTGGATAACCAAAAAGAATGCTAACTGGTGTGGATTTCTTATTTCCAGCTTCCTTTTTTGTCTTCTTCTTTTCTGGACCTTCTTTCTCTGGAATTATTAACAAATATGTAAGAATTTGAAACAAATCCAAGTACTCAAAAGCAAGTTTAAGATGAATTTTTTGATAGATGCTGTACATATATATGAGAAATGTGTACAATATATGAACTAGTAGTAGCCAGACAAAAGCACAATGGGTTTTATATTATATAAACAATTTTCTTCCTGACTGCTTTGAAAAAAATATATTCTTAATTCCACTGTTTTCAGAAAATTAGTAATACTTGGGAAATTTATTACTAGTAAAATTTTACCTTAATGACTTGTTCTAGTAAAATTTAATTCCTTGATAACAGTGCAGACATTCTTTAGTATTACATCTTTGAAACCTCTTTTATTCACTATAATTTTATTTGTAATTGCTGATAAGCCTATATAGCAATGCTCCTTCAAATTACTTCCTTAATTCCAGCAATGATTTATACAAACTTCCAACGAGCTAAATATTTAAGACAAGTCTTATCACACAGAACAACTATCGAAAAAAAGTACCAAATCATTTTATTCCAGTCATAGGATAGCTGAACATGAAATGACATTAGTCAAAGCCAAGAATGCGCAAATTAAAGATTCTGTGTGGCTATGGGTTAACAGATCTTGCAAAGATCCAAAAATTTTCAAGGACCTTTTCAAAGAGATCTGACCCATCATCAAGTTAGCTTTCAGATTTAACTATCTGGGAAACCCATTAGCAACGCAGCCTGCGTTCCCCATTAAGTGTCAGCAAATTCAGACTGAACTGAATTCTATAAGCAAGAGATACAGATGTTTGTCTTTTCTGTAAGACTTCTCTGGGAGTTAAGGCAGGTGCTCTGTGCAACCAAATGCAGAGGTCTGGCTATTACCTGTCCATCTATTTCTTGGGAAACCCTATACAAATATCTGGAATGTACTGATCCAGGTTTGAGGGTACCTGCAAAGAGGAGCTGCAAAAATAAATAAGTAAAATAAAGAATATTCAAAAATAGCAAAAATGGGAAAAGGAAAGGCTTAGTAGTCAAAATAGTGTCTTTTTTCAAGCAGATATGAAGAGCAGCTAAAATACTCTAAAAGAAAAGCATGTTTTAATCTAGCAAGTTTAGAAAACTAATTAAAACCTGATATTATTAGCAGGCATAAGAAATTAATAATTCTTCCAGTGTGCCACTTAATCAGGATACTCTGTCACCTTTATGGCTGAGAAAAATCAGAGCTCCTAATTTTAAAAACTCTGCTGTCCACAAATCTTTCAAAATTAAACATTTCCTAAAAAGTCCATTTTCTTGAATATTTGGTTTTGCATAAAAACAAAATTTCAAGACTTATTTAAATCAACTTTATTTTTTTCCAGTATAATCTTTTCATATTTATTATTTCATTATCATTAATGATCCAATTTAGCATAAATCCAATCTTAGCACAGTACTTTTCCTAACTTACGCTGCATTATAAAGCCCTAAACAGATTTTTGGAGAAGCCAATTTTTTCCTGAAGCATATATGGATTTTTTCTCCTAATTTTCTGCATATCTTGGTTCTCTAGTATTTAATAAGCAACTACAAGTGTTGTTGTTTTAATAGTTTTCCATTTGAATAACAAATCTTTAACTATAATGAATGTATTTCTCTCCTAAAATAAATATATTTAACATTGTGAAAATTTTATAGAAAATAGAAAAGATGTTTCAAAGACAAGAAATAAAATCTAGTAATTAGAGGAAACAAAAAATACTTAGCATCTATCCTCAAAATATTTTCTAAATATTGGGGAAAATTTTGCATTTTTGTTTGTAAAACAACTGCCTTTTTTGTTTTGACTGCATTTTAACACAAGGTTTTAAAAAAGCCAGTCTAACATGATAAAGTAATACATACTCAGGCAACAGTAAAAAGATACTTATATATGCATCATTAGAATGCCATGCTGCCAAATAAAGATGTAATTATTTTGGAAAGAAAGAAACAAATTGGATATATTCCAAATATTTAAAACAAAATTCGAATCAGATGCTAGCATCCAATATAAACTCTATTTTCTTTCAGTTACCATAGTCATATGTCTGAGTTCATATTCTGCATGAGACAGCAAAGTAAGAAAACAGCAGCCGGTGTAAGGCAGCTAGGATAGAGACAACTACACTGTGTGTTAAAACTGTGTTAGACTAGTATGTCCCAAAGTATGCGTTTTCAAGTTAAAAGCAGTCAACAAGACTATCTGGGATTTGTCCTGTAAAGAATTTGTTTCCTCTGACCCATCATAAGTAAAAAAATGATAATATATTATATATCTTATAAAGAGTTAGCTACTTCTCTTGTCAGGAAGGTGATTAAATAATACTTAAAAAGTTAGCTACTTCTCAAGATTCAGTACCTGCAAAATGTATTTACTTGCCCTAATAATAGACAAGAACTTTGAAGTTTAAATGTAAGTATACTGACAAATGTGTTCATTTAGCATAGTCTACTATAAACTTAAGTTCCATTCAGACAGCCTAGGGATTTTTTAAGAAAATATACAAGAGATTCACTTAAAGACTATTCAAAGCAAACAGAGAAATGGACTTTTCAACGCTCCAACATTCTTTCAAGGTTTAGAGGATCTTCAGATATACAAAGATGTTCCAGTTTTATAATGCTGAAAATTAATGCTTTCTTTTTAGGTCTTGCCAGAATAAATAGAAAGCTCAACATCTTCACATCCCAATTAAGTGTTAAGTACTTATTAAGGAGAAGAGACAAAATTGTTTTTCTTAGGGAACTTGGTTCATAAACCTATTAGTGTCTCAAAAATTAAAGAATACAACATCTTCCCACAAAGTAGTCACTATAAGAATCAAACAATGGAATCACAACTCAAATATAGATGAACATAATTAAGTCAATCCTGTTTGCAATGTACATACTTCAATTCTGAAAAAAAAATTTGCCATTACTCTCTGGTTCTAAAATATCTACGTGAATCTCCAATTGAATGTCTGCATCTTTTGATTTCCGGCAATGATACTCAGATTATGGATGGCTTCATATACATACAGCTCTTTCAGGGGCACTTTGGGTACTTAGAAGTCACCTTTTAGAAAAGCATGCCTAATTCCACAGTAACTGACTGTAAATATGCCCCACCCCCTCAATTTTGGTAACCAGGCACTACTGACTTATCAGCTCAATTAAAACTTTTGGGATAATTTTAAGAATTATTATTTGGTTCTTCCACTGCCCCTAACCCAACCCCACAAATGTATAAAATAAATAAAAAGTGTATAAAACAGGTTTACTTTAGTTTTTATAACTAAATGTCATATGCTGAAAACTAGACACTTAGACACCCAGGGACTAAAAAAAAATCATATTTTTATTTAAGCTCAGAGATAACAATGTTAGCCAATTTAAAAAAAGACAATCAAAAACATTTAACTAATTAGCTGTCACATACTAGAGAACACATTTACTCTTTATTTTAAGAGGACACAGTACTTGTATATCCTCTTGTATTCTATCTGGAGCAATTACTGACCATTAACATAAAATAACAGGTGCCATAGCTTAATAGAGAGGTTGCAACACAGTGGTAATGGCATTTCTCTAGGTAACCTGGTATTTTAATTCAGTTATAGTTAAATTTAACCTAGGCAACAAAGTCAATAACGGCTAATGAATTCAATGGAAAAAAATTGTATTAAATGTGTTTTTTAAAAAACATCACATGACTAAACGGTAAGATGACACTGTCTATTGAAATCAGTACACTTGGTATACCTTGTGAAGGGTATACAACGAAACACTTGGGGATCTTCCCATAGGAGTCACTACACTATGCACCACCAGGGGTTGACTTTCACATTGTTTTCTGCGTGAATGGTGTTCCCCACATTGTGCTGTAAAAAACTGGAGTGGAGGTATATGGCAGTCCTGCTACAAGGTTCACACATAGCTTGTGTTAGATATGATACACTGAGTACCTAGGAGCAAAAATGGGAAAATGTGGTGTCACCCACGTAGTTCATTTATTTAACCAAAGATATCTATATGCTGGTTTGAAAGTAAGTTACTTATAGTACAATAATTAATTGTAAATGTGACAGAAACCACTGGCTAAACAGGAACACCTGATAATCTAATTACCTGAGTATGTCCTGTAAGAAGATATAAGTCTCTCCCCCCAATTTTCACTTGTATGTCCTGGATCTGAATCTACAGAATGAGAAGAGACAGGAGAAGAGAAAAAAGCACACGGAGGGAAATGCAGAATTCAACAAACCAACATTTTTCAAAAGACCACCAGTTAATAAGCTATTATTGTTTTGCCAAAAGATTATTTTTAAAGTAAAGCCAAAATTATATTTAAAACACAGGTTTGGTCAACACCTAATATTTCAAATTTTTCAACAAAAATATCTTAAAGTTGGGAAATTCAACCATGCAGTTTCAATAACAGGTATTACTGATGTTATATATTAAAACACACTATCTTTTTTGAGGCTATATATTTTTTCAACTTCTGAATAACAGTAAAAGAGCCAGTACTCTATCGCTGGTTTTCTGTTTAGAACTTGTCTTACACTTTTTGTTCTATGAGTGCCAACTCGACTCTGGAGACAGTAAAACACTTTGGACTGCAACATCATCCTACACCACAGACCTTTCCACAAATTATATACACTTCAAATGGTATAAATTACTACAGTGATTACTACTGAAGACCGTCTGGAAAGAAAGTAACCTAAATCAAAACAAAGTTTATCAGTTAAGAACATGGAATTCTGGCCGGGCACAGTGGCTCACGCCTGTAATCCCAGCACTTCGGGAGGCCAAGGTGGGTGGATTACCTGAGGTCAGAAGTTCAAGACCAGTCTGGCCAACATGATGAAACCCCATCCCTACTAAAAATACAAAAATTAGACAGGTGTGGTGGCATATGCCTGTAATCCCACCTACTTGGGAGGCTGAGGCCAGAGAATCACTTGAACCCAGGTGGCCGGGGTTGCGGTAAGCTGAGATCATGCCATTGTACTCCAGCCTGGGTGACAGAGTGAGACTCTGCATTTAAAAAATAATAATAATAATATATATACACACACACACATATATATATATGGAATTCTGCCTAACAATTCATGACAGAGAAATATGAATATGGACAATTGACTTTGGCAATATGGCCAGAGCAGACATTTTTACTTATAAATATATTTTGACTTATAAATGCCATTTCAACTCACAATATTATTGTGTTCTTCATATCCTTAACTGTCAAACTTTTTTCCAGGATCACTGTTACACAGTATTCATGATTTCATTTAGGTATAAGTAACCAAGTGTTCAAAAAAAACAACTTAGAGAACAAGTAACCCCTAAGCATCGTATTTGAAAATTTTACAGATAAGCCTAAAAGTTTAGTGACGAGAAGGTTCACTCAACTGAAAGAGGAATCATCAATAACATTTAGACCAACTCTAAAGTAAACAGGTAAATGGGCTGAATGGTAAAACTTTCAATGAACACATATTTCAAAATGGAATACATTAAATTAGCAACCACAAAAATTTCATGAAAAATAATATTTGACAAAGACAAACAAAAAAATTTAAATAACCACCATAGATTGCAAAGCAAACCAGCAAACATTAAATTGTGCCAATTGGATTAAATGAATTATTGAAAGCAGATATTATTTTAATAGATTAAACCACAGTGAATAAACTAAGCTTTCAATTATATTAATGTAGTTTACCAGTTTATCCAAATCATCCTTTGGAAGTAAGCAACCACTCTGACCCCACACACTCTTTGGCTTTTACTCAAACAGGTATGTTTCTATTGGGGGCATCTGAATAGTCTATAAAGCTTTAACTCAGGAACTGGAAAATTAAAGCTTCTATTAACATTTCCCTGTCCCCTTCCTCAACTACTTCCTTTTATGCTGTACTGAGACTAGGCTGTATGAGACTACCACTGTTTATGAGATTGAGATTGATGCAAAACACTGAGTGCTAAGCAGAGCCATTCTCTCTCCCACATATGTTCCTTGTAGCGAGGCAAAACAAGTGACACTTGTATTTTAAAACCAATCTTTTTAAGTTAATACTTTGCTTGGGTTGCAAGGAAATAAGAGAAAAATACCAAAAATAATTTTAAAAGCCTGTACTGTATGTTTGAAATTTTTATAATGAAATATCAGGAAGGGGGCAGAAGTAAATCTATCATGAATAACTGCCATGAAAAAATCACCAAAGGTGATTATTCTTACTAAGCAAAGCACTAATTTTATCTATTTTAATATAGTTCCCAGAAAAATTATATCTATCTGTTTTGTTTTTAAAAGAAGCTCCTCTCCTCAAATTTGACTGAGTCACATTATAATATGGTAAACCCTTAAATGGCATCTAAAGTCTTAGGAAAATAGAACTAAGGCTGGCTGGCAGAGATTTTGTTAATAAAATTTCAACATATTCTACAGCTGCCTCTGTAGACTTTGTGAACACATCATACTGTGTTCTCTGAATTTTCTCATAACACATTATCTTTTTAAAATGCCAAAAAAGGCTGGGCGCGGTTGCTCACGCCTGTAATCCCAGCACTGGGAGGCTGAGGTGGGTGGATCAATTGAGGTCAGGAGTTTGAGACCAGCTTGGCCTACATGGTGAAACCCCATCTCTACTAAAAATACAAAAATTAGCTGGGTGTGGTGGCACACGCCTGTAATCCCAGCTATTGAGGAGGCTGAGACAGGAGAACTGCTTGAACCCAGGAGGCAGAGGTTGCAGTGAGCCGAGACTGTGCCACTGCACTCCAGCCTGGGTGAAAGAGCGACACTCTGTATCACCTTAAAAAAAAAAAAAGCGAAAAAAACTAGTAAACTATTTGCTTACTAATAATGCTAAGAGGAAACAATTATTCAAAGAAAAAAAGTGAAAGATATTCAATCTTTCTGATTATTTAAACATGCAAACTAAAATGACAAAGGACTACTGGTTTATCTCTACAGAACATCAGATTTATCAACCTAAAGAAAAACATGTCCCCCAATGCTATTTGAACTTAAAGAACATTCATATACTGCTGGAGGCTTTCTAACTAGGTATAATTATTTTGGAGAAACATGAAGAATCACAGAAATGTTTAACCCTTATAACACTGTAACCCTACTCTTGGGAACGAATAAAGAAATAACTCAGGGTATGACAAACATCACAATCTGCAAAGATGTCTTAATGGCATTTTTCATAACAAAAGAATTGTAAATTAAGTTTGAGGGCCAAGAAGAGACTCTCTCACATGTAGCCTCAAGACAGCTGTTTAACACTTTCACATTAAGAGATTTTGGCTTTCCCTTGGACACCGTTAAGACTAGGAAAGAAATTAAGTATGATTTTGTGACTGATAATGCAGGAATAAAGTTCACTTAGGTGGAAACTTTATTAATTATTAAAGATAACAAAAGTTATCAGTTACTGATTACACTTTATATATGGGGGCAGATATTATACGATACCTATACAATATTCATTCTCCTTTTCTTACCAGGAATACCCCAGTTTTGATCAGGGAAACAATATGCCCGGCTAAAAGTATGATTTTTCAGACTCCGCTGCAACTAGAATAGGCTAACTAATCAGATGCAGAAACAAAAAGGCCAAATCTCACCAGGAAAAAGACACTTTTGTCCTTGGTCTTTTCCCTCCTACTTTCTACCCAGGAAGAAGCAATAATCTTGTGATTATAAGGCAAAATGATTAAAGACAAAGCCCATGTATGAGCTAAGAGTGGCAGAGCATTAAGATGAAAAGAGATCAGTGCCTGATGGCATTACTGAACTGCTATGCCAACCCTGTACTGCCTATACCTGGCCTTCTTACTGCATTAAATTGTAAAATTCCTATGTATTTAAACCAGTGTTAGTTTTTGGTTATGTTTAATTTAGTTTTAAAAGCTAAATTTACATGCTATGTCACTTGAAGGTCACAATTCTCTGAAACTGATACTATTATATGTACTTTTACAGATAAGGAAGCTGGGACTTACAAAGAAGTCTAATTACTGGGCCAGTGCTCGTAGGGGGCTTAGGGTCAACACTAGTCAGATTCCAAAATCTTCAACAGTAAACACTGCCATGATTTACCTCTGTTACAACTATAAAATTTATCCTGTCAATTCTAGAGTAGGAGAGAATAAAAGGAAAAGGTAAAAATTAGTGATAAAGCAAGCTGATGTAGGTGTAAGAAATATCTTTTAGATAAGCAGTTGCTTTTTGCTTCCATAGGTTCAATGGGTCACTGTATACATTGGCTTAATATTCCACAGGACAAAATTTATGGGAATTCTTTGACAGAGTAAAATAATATGTTGGTGATTTGTTTAAATAAATTAATTCAGAATAAATATAGTACTACGATAGAGCTACAAGGACCCACTGGCCTGATTTCAAATTATGTTGTAATTCATTCCCTAATTTCTCCTGTCTAGCCAAGCAATTACTTTTCTAGAAAGTGTTTTCTTTTTTAAAAAAATTAGTAAGTATTAAATAATTGAGAATTTAGAAAGTTTAAGACACACTACGATATCTCGCAAAATGAAGGCTAGGAATCTCTCATTCAGTAGACAGCATTACTGCTGATTTGGGGTGCCAGTAGGCTTTCCTTGGACAATGCTATGAATACCTCTTTTAAAAAGTAGTGACTTTATAAAAGTAACATATGACCATTATCTCAAGAATTCAAGCCATACAAAAAGGACCAAGAAGGAAGTAATAAATACCCCACATCCAAGAAATAAAGTGTTAACCTCTGGCAAGCATCATTCCCAGCATCCCTCTAAACACATAAAACAACAAAGGAACTAGCAGAGACAGTAATAAATTTATGTAAGAACAAGAAAATAACATACATATGCTGTTTTGAAATAAAAGGCTTAAAGATTATTTTAATCCAACATTAAAAAAAACTAAAGGCATTGCTTCTTTATAAAAGACACTGTCTACTATAAAATATAAACAAAAATATAAAGGAATTTTAAATACAGGAACATTAAAAAGTTTATATAATCATTTTAAGAAACTATATACTTGTTTAGATAATATCAGTTAATCCCTTGCTAGAGATAAGATGATATGCTTTCTCCTTATTCCCTACCCTTTTTTCTGTTATTTCCTTACGTCAAGGTTTATAACATTTATATTTTGTTCTGTACCCAAAACACATCCAACAGGTACAGTTCCTACAGTGAAAAAAGTCTTAGTCTTAATCTTTCCATGTGTTAATATACATCATGTGTGCACGTATATACACACAGTAAATGTAAATACACAAATTACAATTTTAATGCAAATAGCACATACTGTTTCATAATCTAATTTTTTACTTCCAATATCATGATCACCTTCCCATATTACGTATTATTCTACAGCTGGAGTACAGTGGCATGATCACAGCTCACTGTAGCCTCGACCTACCAGGCCAAGCAATACTCATGCATCAGCATCCCGAGTAGCTGGGATTACAGGCACACACCACTAAGCCTGACTCATTTTTTAATTTTCTTATAGATATAGGGTCTCACTCTGCTGGCCAATCTGGTCTCAAACTCCTGGCCTCAAGTGATCCTCCTGCCTTGGCCTTCCAAAGTGCTGGGATTTCAGGTGTGAGCCACCATGCCCAGCCTTACTACATTATTTTTAAGGGTGAAAAATCTATTTCTTCATTGAATTTATCATAATTTAACAAATCCTATATTACTCAACACAATTTTCCTGATTTTTTTGCTATTATAAAGAAAGCTGAGATAAACATTCTTAAAGATAAATGCTCTCATCAGTAATTATTAGAGGCCAGGCATGTTGGCTCACTCCTGTAATCCCAGCACTTTGGGAGGCTGAGGCTGGCAGATCACTTGAGGTCGGGAGTTAACAGCCTGGCCAACATGGTGAAACTCCGTCTCTACTAAAAATATGAAAATTAGCCAGGCATCGTGGCAGGCGCCTGTAATCCCAGCTACTCGGAAGGCTGAGGCGGGAGAATCACTTGAACCCAGGAAGCAGAGGTTGCAGTGAGCTGAGATGGCACCACTGCACTCCAGCCTGGGCGACAGAGTGACTCTGTCTCAAAATAATAATAGTTATCATTATTATAATAAATGCCCAAAGAAAAAATTAGTCAGATGTTAAGAAACAACTTTTTATATACACTGTCCTATTTACCTTAAACAAAGTATTTCTATAATTTAGACCCACTAAAGCAAATTCCTATGTCCAACCCATAACCACTGGGTGATTCAGACCAAAAACAATTTTGTCATTCACCATAAATTGTATTTCTTGATTACTATTGATGTATTTTTTTCATGTATTTCTTTCCAAACTATAATTGTTCTGAACCACTTGTATTTTCTGGTCCATTTTCCCATTTTTGAGTTTCCTTTTCACACTTAGAAGATCTTTAAATACTACATATATTAAGGGTTTTGATATATGCTGTAAATGTTTCTCCCCTCTGTATCTTTATCTTCACAGTTTCAGCTAATAGTTTAAAATACAGAATACTACATAAAAAAGATCAATGTCAGATATGAAGTCTGATGCTGTATCTTTCATATGGGAAATATCACTTAATGGTACTGAATTCTACTTTTTAAAAAAAAATTATATAAAAGACACTTGAATCGTAAATAACACATTTTGTACTGGGACTAGGGAAATCCTCCTTAATGTTTTCACTGTGTTGTGATATGTTAAACCAAAGACGTCATCTATTACTAAAATTTATAAATAAAGCCTACCAAAAATATAAATACAATTGACCTTGAACCACCTGATTTTGAACTGCACAGATCCACTTACACAGGAATTTTCTTCTGCCTCCCTGCATCCCTGAGACAGCAAAATCAACCCCTCCTCTTCCTCAGTCTACTCAATGTGAAGACAATGAGGATGAAGATCTTTATAATGATACATTTCCATTTAATGAATAGTAAATATATTTTCTGTTCTTTATGATTTTCTTAAGTAACATTTTTTTCTCTAGCTTAAAGAGTACAGTATATAATAATATAACACGTCATCTCAGGTAACAGTAAAGAAAAAAATAACGTAACACACAAAAGATGTGTTAATTGACTGTTTATGTTATTGGTAAGGCTTTGGTCAAAAGCAGGCTATTAGTAGTTAAGTACTTGGGAAGTCAAAAGATACACAGATTTGACTGTGTGAAGGGGGAAAAAGGGGGTTGGCGCCCCTAGTCCCCACACCATTCGAGGGTCAATTGTGTTTTAAATCCATCAAAATTTTGTTTGGTGACAACATGTTAACTTTTCAAAAGGAAGAATAAGTGTTATGAAACAGTCTTATAGAGAGCTGCGATATCCCAACTAAAGTCCAACGGTAGAAAAAATCTAAGGGGGAAAAGTGTATATAACCCAATTTTAGACATATGAATTAGGTTACATTTATTCAATGCCTAAATTTCTTACCTTCCTAAGTAACATTTTCTCCTTAATTTTATTCTAAATAAAAGAAAAATAATCCATCTGATCTAATGACAAAGGCTCTCATGAAAAGATTATCTTGAAACTTTATTCCTTAAAAATATTAATATTTTTTGAATTTATCAAAATCCATTTTTCGAACAGCTATCAGAAATATACTCTCATTGGAAAACAAAACCCGAGTAATGTAATTTAAAAATGACTAGCAAAGAAACTTTTAACAATATGCGAGAAGAGTTCAATCTGAAATAGCTATCCCAAAGGCACATAAGCACCCTCTTCTCAGGTAAGCGATCCAGTAATTAGCTTGAGAGTATCACTTAGGATGCTTCGGGGGGAAAAAAAAAAGATTCTGAATCTCTCAAAGAAACCAGTGTAGCTTAAAATGAAAAAGCACATGATTTCGTAATCACTGCAAGACAGAGCAATCTTCAAAGTTTAAAAATGTCATGAGTGTTTAAGAACAATTTTTAATTCACACAACAGCAGTGGCAAAATACACAAAAGGAGACCTGGCTACCAAAAGCATACACTACATGATTTTCTAAAGCTATGTTAGCATAGAATGTTTCAAAAATCTTTATGAGTATTTTCAGTTTCCAGAGTCAAGATCATTTCTGAACTGACAATTAAAATGACTAGAAAGATATAGGCAGAATATAATCTATGTACGTAAACTCAGAATGGAATACTTTCTCTGAGGCTAAAACATTTTTAAGAACAGTTCATTATTAATATTTCATGCAATGACTAAAACTACAGTAAATACATACATTCAAGTTTATATTAGTTTCAAAAATCGGTTAGTTCAGGGCTAAAACACAACCTAGTAATTTATTAGATAGCAATAAAAAGAATCTCATCCGTTATGAATAACTGGGATTGGCTGATTTCAAGTATCAATTTCTGGTATATAGGAGTTTTGGGAAACAAAAATTCTATGAAAAGCACTGAGGCAGTTAGCCTCAGTGTGTGTGTGTGTGTGTGTGTGTGTGTGTGTGTAAAAATTCTATGAAAAGCACTGAGGCAGTTAGCCTCAATGTGTGTGTGTGTGTGTGTGTGTGTGTGTGTGTGTGTGTGTGTTTGCATGTTTCTAATTTATTTCTGAATCTAAAGTGCCTAAACTTCTTTGGGGTGTGACCATATGTTCACAAAAGCTCAACAACTTTTTCTCAAATCTGCATATCCCAATGCTTCCTTATCACTGAGTAATTTTTATTCATTTGAATGCTCCTCCCAAAATTAATTTCTTGATAAAGAAATTCACAATAAACATTCAAAGAGTAAGGAATAAAGAAAATTGTTTTTATCTCTGGTTAGAAATCACACTTGGCATGATAGATGGAATTCCTACCCCAAAATGATAAATCTGAAATAGTGAAATACAAATATTTCTCTATAAACTGGGGTGTCAAGAGGAGTGGTGTACAAGAAACAAAAATCAGAATTAAAGAATGGGCAAGATTTTACCAGAGAACAGCAAATTATTCTACCTGTGTCTGAATCTCGTTCTTCATTTCTTGATGGGCTAATAGTAAAAGGAAGTTTACGTTTCATGGATGATTTCTCTTTCATCTCCTTGCTCACATCACTTCGTTCAATTTTTGGAGTTTTGCTGTAGGATGCAATCTTGTCTTTACTCTATTAAAAAGTCAAATAGAGTAAAGTTATATCAATATTAGCTAAGCAATACAGTATAGAAACCCCTAAGGAAAATTTCAAACATACACAAAAAGAGATAGTATTACCTATCACTGTATTCAATGTACTCAAGACCCAGCTTCAACAAGTACATTTTTTCCTGTTTCATATTTCCCTACTCTTATTTAATAACATAATTTTATATTTATTTTTAAATATTTTACGTTCAGGGGTACCTGTGCAGGTTTGTTATGTAAGTAAATTGCATATCACTGGGGTTTGGTGTAAAGATTATTTCATTACCCAGGTAATAAGCATAGTACCTGATAGGCAGTTTTTTGATCCTCTCCCTCCTCCCACCCTCCACCCTCAAGTAAGCCCCAGTGTCTGCTGTTCCCTTCATGTCCATGTGTACTCAATGTTTAGCTCCCACTTATGAGATCATGTGGTATTTGGTGGTTTTCTATTCCTGCATTAGTTCACTTAGGATTATGGCCTCCAGCTCCATCCATGTTGCTGTGCAAAAAACATGATCTCATTCTTTTTAATGGCTGCATAGTGTTCCATGGTGTGTATATACCACATTTTCTTTATCCAGTCTACTGTTGATGCGCATTTAGGTTAATTCCATGTATTTGCTACTGTGAGTAGTGCTGCAATGAACATAGGCATGTATGTGTCTTTTTAATAGGACAATTTATATTCTTTTGGGTAAACAAAAATGGGATTGCTGGGTTGAATGGTACTTCTAATAACAATTTTAAAACAACAGTAAAACAAAATATTTTGAATAGAACCATTATATCTAGATGTAGCGCCAATGAATATGTAAATTTTAAAAAGCAATTCTGAATTGAATCAAACTGATGGTATTTTATTTAAAAAATAAAATTGGCTGGGTGTGGTGGCTCATGCCTGTTAATCCCGGCACTGTGGGAGGCCACAGCATGGGTATCACCTGAGGTCAGGAGTTTGAGACCAGCCTGGCCAATATGGTGAAATCCTGTCTCTACAAAAATACAAAAAATTAGCCAGGTGTGGTGGCAGGTGCCTATAATCCTAACTACTCAGGAGGCTGAGGCAGGAGAATCACTTGAATCTGGGAGGCAGGGGCTTCAGTGAGCTGAGATCATACCGTTGCACTCCAGCCTGGGCAACAAGAGCAAAACTCTGTCTCAATAAATAAATAAATAAATAAATAAATAAATAAATAAATAAATAAAATTATCTATATCAGTAGTTCTCAAATGGCTTCCTGACTAGCAGTATCAGCATCACCTAGAAACTTACTAGAAATGCAAAATCTCAGGCATCATCTCAGACCTACTGAATCAGAATCTCTGGGGCTAGGGCTTAATGATCTGTTTTAATAGTCCTGCCACATAATTTTGATGCATAGTAAAGTTTGAGAACCACTATTATTTACCAATAAAGAAGAAAATATGTAAGGATCACAGGAACCAAAGAATAATCTATCCAGGCCAGTAGATTACAACCCTATTTCTTAAATCAGAAAACCAGAAATGGATTTATAATTCATTTTAGAAAAAGAATGACATACCAAACAAAAATACTAAGTACTCGCCCAATCAGGTGAAGTGACCTATAGGTATTATAAAGTTCACTCCTATAATCAAAACATCCAAATTGATACAGCACATCTAAAACTGGGGTATGACAACTCCTTTGTGAGAAATGTGCTTCATACTGAGAACTAAGCCACACTGCCTTAGCAGGAGATCTTAAAAGAACATTCCCCAAGCTATGATAATAAGTGATAATTTATCATGATTGTAGAAACTCTCAAAAGCAAATGAAAAGTAGATTCAGACTATAAAAGATACCAGTTTTCAACCCAAGATGAAAAATAAAGGAGGGATGAGGAGGAAAAAGGGGCATAACAAATTAATGTCATTTTTTTTAAAGTAGCAATAAAACCAAAAGATGACTCTAAAAGAGCAAATAAATTAACAAACCTTTGGTGAACTTAATAATGAAAAACAGAGAAAAGATAAAAACAACCAAACAAACAAAAAAAAACCACTGAGATTGAGCCTGAATACAACTAGAGAGGGAATATTAAAAAGTTATGAAAGAATGCTGTTGGCTGGGCATGGTGGCTCATGCCTGTAATCCTAGCACTTTGGGAGGCAGAGGTGGGTGGATCACTTAAGCCTAGGAGTTTGAGACCAGCCTGGGCCACACAGGGGGACCCTGACCTTGTTTCTGTAAAAAAATTTAAAAATTAGCCAGGCATGGTGGCATGCGCCTGTGTTCCTAGCTACTTGGGAGGCTGAGGCAGGAGGACTGCTTGAGCTGGGAGGATTGAGGCTATAGTGAGCCATGTTCTTCGCCACTGTGCTCCAGGCTGGACAACAGAGTGAGATCCTGTATCCAAAAAAAAAAAAAAAAAAATGCTGTACTCAATTTTATACTATTAAAAAACTTACAGCCTGTAAAAATGGGTAATTTCCTTGGAATATATGGATTACTAAAAACTAGCTCATGACAGGATGACAGGAAGGGAAAACCAGAACAGACCAATTACCACAGAAAACAGTAAATCAGGCTGGGTGCAGTGGCTAAAATCTGTAATCCCAATGCTCTGGGAGGCTGAGGCGGATGGATCACTTGAGGACAGGAGTTTGAAACCATCCTGGGCAACGTGGTGAGACCTCATCGCCATAAAAAATTTTTAAAAACTAGCTGGGCGCAATGGCACACACCTGTAGTCCCAGCTACTCGGGAGGCTGAGGCAGAAGGCTGCAGTGACCTATAATCATGCCACTGCATTCCAGGCTGGGTGACAGAGCAGAGCAAGACCCTGTCTCTAAAAAAAAAGGAGGAAAAAAAAAGATAAATCCATAGTGAAATGTATGTTTAAAAAGGCACCTACTCCACAAGATTTTACAATAGAGTTTTAACCAAAAAAACAAAAATTCAAGAAGCAGGTATTTCCCATGTCTTATAAATACCAGAGCACAGAAAGATTAGAAGTTACCCAATTCATTTTAGAAGTCTAAAATGAAATTGATACCAAAAAACAGCACAAGATACAAAATTATAGACAAAAATCCACTTATGAACTTAAATGCAAAAGTCCTAAACAGACTATCAAGCCAAATTCAATTCTTAGAATATATTATAATCAAGCAGGGCTCATCTAGAGAATGCAAGGACAGTTCACTGATAGAAAACCTCTTAATTCATTGTATCAAAAGATTAAAGAAAACCCTATGATGGCAAGAACAAAGTGACAAGAATAACATCTACATTCATTCTTGATCAATTTCCAAGCTTTCAACTAACATCCTCGAGCTATTTTTTCACTTCTGCCAATGGAGCTTCAAAAACAAGGTGTTTTGCTTATAAGGTTACTTAAAATGTAGGTTTTATTATATGGTGAGACCAACAAATCAGGATATTACTGCTATGGAAAAGATTGTTACTCACAGTTCCAAGGGGTGGGGAGCATGCCATGCCACATCATGCCACTCCAGACCACACAGGGAAGTACCAGGGTGGTTGGTCAAGAGGTAAAAGAAGAAAGGTGAAATGTGAGCAAGAGCCTTTACTGTAGTTTCTACAGGAAAAAAAGTGTGAAGCAGGGTAAGCAGGCTTGGGATTGGCTACCTTGAATAATTTCAGTGGGTTCTGGGGTATGGGAGCTGTTTCTCTAATTGGTGCCTGGTTCTGGGGTGATTAGGACAGATGGCCAGTGGCCCAGAGTGTGAGAGCCCAACAAAGTTGGGGGTTTGGATGTGGGGTCTAGATAGGTCGGTCTGAGAGTGAAAGATTTGCTCACAGTGAGTTTATTATCTCTAGGAACTGGCTAGCCCTGGAAGATACAGTCTCTCAATGCTCAGCAAGGCCTCAGAAGTCAAAGCAACAGAAATACAGAAAACAAAAAGGCACAGCTAATACACAGGTTAACCAACAAAACTCCAGTAACTTGCCTCAGAAAATGAATCATTGTTACGAATAAAAGATTTAAGAATCATTTAAAAATCCCTTCTCCCTTGCAGCTACATAAGATACAGGTCTGTGCCACAAAATGAGTTAAAAAAAAAACCTATGTGATATTAAGTTGAAAGAAAACAGCAAAAGAGTATATGGAATATGTTCTCCTGTGCAATACGGTGATGTGTAACTATCATAACTGCTAACTACTTGTTATGTCATCTATAAAACTGTCCTTCAAGGCGTATTTGAACAAAGGGTTTCTTTTCTTTCAAAAGAAATGTTTTTGATAGACTTGAAATTTCTGTATTACCAAAGAGTAGAAATACTCTATCAAATTCACGAGAGGCTCATTAGCACATCCTAGGCCCATAACTCTGTTAGGTTTATTATCTTAAAATATTTCTAGAGTCTTTTTCATTTAACATTATTTTCCCAATAACTGGCAACAGCCATCACACGTAATAATGAAAGCATCAATGGTAAGAATGATCTTCTATTAATTCTGCTATTAAACAATGTATTGATAGCCTTTGTCATCTCAGTAAGATAGAAAAAATGGTAAAAGAAGTATCCAGAAAACAAGAATATATATACACACGTGCAAATATATAAACAGAAAACTCGGGAACAATATCAAGGCATACCTTGGAGATATGGCAGATTCAGTTCCAGACCACCACGATAAAGCAATTATAATGACAAAACAAGTCACACAAATTTTTTGGTTTCCCAGTACAAAAATCATGTTTACACTATGATGTAGTCTAGTAAGTGTGCAATACTATCATGTCTAAAATACATATATACCTACTTTAATTTTAAAGTACTAAATATACTAAAATATGCTAAAGATTGCATGGGCCATCGGTGAGTTGTAATCTCTTTGCTGGTGGAGGGTCTTGCCTTAGGTTGATGGCTGTTTGCTGATCAGGACAATTTTTGATGGTTGGGGTGGCTATTACAATTTCTTAAGACAACAATGAAGTTTGCCATGTGAATTGACTTTCTCTCACAAGAGATCTCTCTGGAGCATGCAATGCTGTTGATAGCACTTACCCACAGAACTTCTTTTCAAATTGGAGTCAATCTTATTTAACTCTGCTGCTGTTTTATCAACGAAGTTTATGTAATATACTAAATTATTTGCTGTCATTTCAACAATGTTTCTAGCATCTTCACCAAGAGTAGATTCCATCTCAAGAAATACTTTATTTGCTCATCCATAAGAAAGATGAGCTATTTTTCTCTTCTGCCAATGAAATGGAGCTTCAAACCAAGTGTTTTGCTTATAAGGTTGTTTTAAAAGTAGGTTTCAAGTTTGATCATGAGATTTCAGCAATTCAGTCACATCTTCAGGCTCCACTTGATTCTCATTCTCTTGCGTTTTCCAATCCCATCTACAGTTAGTTCCTCCACTAAAGTCTTGACCCTCTCAGTCATCCATGAGTGTTAGAATCAACTTTTCCAAACTCTGGTTAATATTGGTATTTTGACTTCCTCTCATGAATCACAAATGTTTTTAATGGCATCTAAAATGGTGAATCCTTTCAAGATGGTTTTCAATTTTTTTGCCCAAATCCATCAGAGGAATCACTCTCTATGGCAGCTACAGCCTTACAAAGCATACTTCTTTAATAAGACTTGTTTAAAAAGTTAAAATTATTCCTTGACCTATGGGCTGCAGAATGGACTGCATGTCAGCAGCCATGAAAACAACATTATTCTCTTTGTATGTCTCTGTCAGAGCTCTTGGGTGACAGCTCACTGACATGTTGTCAATGAGCAGTAATATTTTGAAAATAATCCTTTTTTCTTAGTAAGTCTCAACAGTAGGCTTAATCTATTCAGGAAACCATGCTGTGAACAGATGTGCTGTCATTAGGCACTGTTTTTCCATTGATAAGGTACAGGCAGAGTAAATTTCACGTAATTCTTATGGGTCTTGGCGTTTTTGCAATGGAAAAAGAGCACTGGCTTTAACTTAATAGTTGTCAGCTGCATTTGTCCCTAACAAGACAGTGAGCCTGTCCTCTGAAGCTTTGAAGCCAGGGATTGACTTCTCCTCTCTAGCTTTCAAAGTCCTACATGGTATCTTTTTCCAATAGAAGGCTATTTCATCTATACTGAAATCTGTAGTTTAGTGTAGCCATCTTCATCAAAGATCATAGCTAGATCTTCTGGATAACTTGCTGTAGCTTCCACATTAGCACTTGGTGCTTCACCTTGCACTTTTATGTTATGGAGACAGCTTCTTTCCTTAAACCTCATGAACCAACTTATGCTAGCTTCAGACTTTTCTTCTGCAGCTTCCAAACCTCTCTCAGCCTTCACAGAATTGAGGAGAGGGCCTTGATCTGGATTGAACTTTGGTTTAAGGGGATGTTGTAGCTGGTTTGATCTTCTATCCAGACCACTCCAAACTTCCTCCATATCAGCAATAAGACTGTTTTGCTTTCTTATGGTGTGTTCACTTTAACAGCACTTTTAGTGTTCTTCAAGAACTTTTCCTTGGCATTCCTCTCTTGGTTAACTGGCACAAGAGGCCTAGCTTTTGACCTCTCTCAGCCTTTGACATACCTTCCTCACTAAGCTTAATCATTTAGAGCTTTTGACTTAAAATGAGAGACATTCCACTCTTCACTTGAATACTTAGAGACCACTGAAACACAACAATTTCAAAATTGTTGTTTTAGGAAATAGGAAGGCCCAAGGAGGGGCGGAGTTGGGAGAGAAGCCAGTAAGTGGAGCAGTAGAACACATACAACATTAAGCTTGCCATCTTTTCTGCATACAGTGTGGTGCCCACAAAACAACTACAACAGTAACAAAGATCACTAATCATCATCATGATAATGAAAAAGTTGGAAATATGAAAATTATCAAGATGTGACATAGAGACAAGTGAGTACATGCTGTTGGAAAAATGTTGCCAATGAACTTGCTCAACACAGGGTTGCCACTAACCTTCAATTTGTAAAAAGCACAATTATCTGCAAAGCACAATAAAGTGAAGTGCAATAAAATGAGGTATGCCTGTAAACCAAAATGTTAATAGCTATCTGTAGGTGGTGCCATTACAGCTGTGTTGGGACATAATTCTCCATGTCTCTCTTGCATTTTTGCACATGTTGCGAGCAGACACACTAATTTCCTTTGTCCTGGACTATCTTTTCATGGGTATTTGTATGATAAACAGCCTCGAAAGACAGAGGTAGTGTCTCCCTCTAAAGCTAAGGACATACCTGTTTGCTGTCCAGTGTAATAATGTCTCCTTCTAGGGAAAAGTTCAGGCAGACTTACTGCCCATCATAAAAGATTTGGGGTTCCTACCCTGTAATACAACCCACTGCATATGCAGTTGTCATCTGCCCATCACTGCATCCCCCTTGTGAGAAGCGAGGCTCAGGGAACAGGCACAAACAATGATACTCTGGCTACTGCTATTGCTGAATAGCAAATATTCCTTCATCACTGACCTAGGAATTGTGTCTTCTGCCAGCATCCATGAAGCTAATTAGCTTACAAGTAGGGTAAAATCTCAGAACCTTCACAGTTGTTGACAAGGTAATAGGTAATTTCTATTTTCATTATTCTTATATGTATTTTCTAATTTTTTACAACAAACATGTATTATAATACTTGGATAATAAAAGAAAAAATTCTCAATAGTCACTTGGAGAGGAAATAATGAATGTCTGAACTACACTGATGACGAAAAGGATATAACAGAACTATTCAGATGGTTAAAATAATTAATATCCCCTCTCTCACATTTTATGAATTTAACCAGGTTTTAGACTATCTTAACAGAGTTTATAAAAGATTCTGCTTTGCAAATTTTAAATACTGATTTATAGCTAAAAGAGTAGTGGAGACATTTCTAAACTAAACTAGAATCAATGGGGGGAAAAGACCACAGATGAGCAGTGAAAGGTGTGAACATTCTTGTCAAAATCCTAACTATTTTAATATTTAATGAGAGGACTTTACATAAAAATTAAATTGCTATAAAATACAATTACTTAAGTTATGCTCTACTTAAATGAATTTAAGGAGTGAAATTTTGGTTTAGGTTATTTTATTAATTTAGGACCTCATAACAGCAATATTCTGTCATATTAAACTGTAAATGGGGTCTCTACTTACGTAAGAGAACTGTTAAAAAAAAATTAAAAATGAATAGAGACAGCAGGGTCCTGCTCTCTTGCCAGGCTGGAACGCAGTGGCACAAGCATAGCTCACTGTAGCTTAAAGCAATCCTTCTACTTCAGCCTCCCCAGTAGCTAGGAATACAGCTGTGTATCAACACATCCAGCTAATTTTTTTTTTTTGGTAGAGACGGGGGTCTTGCCCAGGCTGGTCTTGAACTCCTGGCCTCAAGCAATTCTCCTGCCTTGGTCTCCCCAAAGCACACATTATAGGCATGAGCCACCATGCCCAGCCTCATTTCTAAAAATGTTATGGGGAAAAACAACTTAGCAGAACCCAGAAGTTGACTTCAATGCCACTCACTATGAAAAGACAATCGGCCAGGCGCAGTGGCTCACGCCTGTAATCCCAGCACTTTGGGAGGCTGAGGTGGGCGGATCACGAGGTCAGGAGATTGAGACCATTCGAGACCATCCTGGCTAACACGGTGAAACCCCGTCTCTACTAAAAATACAAAAAATTAGCCAGGTGCGGTGGCGGGCACCTGTAGTCCCAGCTACTCGGGAGGCTGAGGCAGGAGAATGGCGTGAACCCAGGAGGTGGAGCTTGCAGTGAGCTGAGATCGCGCCACTCCACTCCGGCCCGGGGAAAAAGAGCGAGACTCCGTCAAAAAAAAAAAAAAAAAAAAGACAATCAAAGAAATACACATTGCAAATATACACATGAATGATGGTCATGCCTTCTACCCCCTACCCCAACTTCTTCACTTTGTCTTAAAAAGGAGCAGCAACATGGTCTATACCTAGCATCTTTGGAATAAAAACTACAGCCCTTCCTCTCAAGGTAAAATAAGGGGTTAAATATTCACTGAAAGACTGAGGAAAATACTTCTAACAACAGCTTTTGACATCAAACTGCTCTGAAATCCCAAAGCATGGCAATTTAAGTACAGCGCATGTTGCCTTAGATGAGCTTCTGATCCTTACCCAAACTACTGATCTTGAAAAACATACAGTTAAACAGAGACTGAGAATAAATACATCCCTTTATGTAAGCCAAAAATTTGTTAACTAGAGGAATGTAATAGTTTGTATTCATTCTTGCCATTTATTTTATAAATCCAATGATTAACAAGTATTCTTAACTTACCTAGGGAATGTTTTAAACAGAAATATGTTAGTGAAGTATTTGGTTTTTGCTATTGTTGCTACACTTTTAAGAAATCACACTTTTTCGCGCCACTGCACTCCAGCCTGGGCGACAGAGCGAGACTCCGTCTCAAAAAAAAAAAAAAAAAAAAATCACACTTTTAGGAGGGCAATATTCAGGCACTACTTATTTCGTGACAACTTTCAAAAGATACATGAAAAGTACATAGGAACAATTAAAGCTTCATTCAGTTTAGCCTCATAAATTCAAATCCAAAAAGTGGCATCAAGCAGCCCAGATGAATTTCCACAAATATAATCTTCACTATACTTAAACATGCAGAAATAAAAGTTATAATGCTTTCTTCAAATCTAACATTGCATTCTGTCCCCACATCTCCACGCAAACTACTTTCATCAAGGTCATTTAAAATGTTTCAATGGCCTCATCTTTCCTCTTAACCTCTGTTGCATTTGGCAGTGCAGACTCTCTCTTCCCTTTAGCCATTCTCTGTGGAACCTCCCTTGGTTCTCTCTCTGTCCTCCTCTTTCCTTGTCTCTTTACTCCTCCTAAAATATTTGAATTCCTCAGGGTCTATCCTCCTCCATTCTTGTGCCACTTTATACACTCTTTGTACACTCTTCTCCATACTTTCTACATATCCTCATATATTTATTTCCAATCCAGACTTGTTTTGAGTTCTTACACTCATATGCAACTGCCTACTAAACATTTCTACTTGAATGTTCCCAGGGCCAACTCAGTTCAGCAAGTACAAAGCAAACTTATTCAAAACAACCTGTTCTTTCTCTTGAATTTCCTTTCAGGAAATGGCCCAATCATTAACCTAGTAATGGAAACAAACCTCAGAATGGACCCAGACTATTTTTTCTTCACACACAAGTTTAATTCATTCAACAGCTTTTCGATCTGCCAACTTCTCTTCATCCCAAAAGCCACTGCCCACACTGCCTCCTACTTATATTTTATCAAATAGCATTCTGACTGGTTCTTTCTATGACCCTTCCCTCCTGACTCACTGACTACAGAATAAGTTCCAAGATCCTTTGCAAGGCACACAAGGCTATAATGAACTGCTCCTTGTCTAGTGCTAGACTCACCTCCTATCCTCCATCCTTCATAGGCTACATCCCAACTGAAGTTTGTTTTTCATTTGCTGTTTCTTTCGCTTATACTACCCTTTACTTTCACTTTCCTTCTGGTCAAATACGGATTCATCCTTGAGAACCCAGATTAAGTACCTAATTCTACTATTAGGCTATCGCTGAACCTGTTAAGTAGCATTCTCTCCTTTTTTCCTCCCATCACTCAGTAGTTTCATTAATGAGCTTATTACACTGGTATAGCAGTTCTCAAATTATAGTCCGTGAGATCAACTGAGGAGATCTGCAACGTCAGTATCTTCATAATAACATTTAAGATGTTATTTTTATCTTTCTCATTCTCTCAAGAGTATATATTGGGGTGAAACTTCTAAAATTGATTGTGGTTGTGACCATACAACTCTGTAAATATAAAAACAACTGAATTGTATACTTTAAATGTATGGCATGCGAATTATATCTCAATAAAGCTACTTATTAAAAATGGCAACATCGGCCAGGGTGTGGTGGCTCACACTTGTAATCCCAGCACTTTGGGAGGCTGAGGCAGGTGGCTCACTTGAGGCCAGGAGTTTCAGACTAGACTGGGCGACATGATGAAACCCTATCTCTGGGCATAGTGGTGTGCACCTGCGGTCTCAGCTACTCAGGAGGCTGAGGTGGAAGGATTGCTTGAGCCTGGGAGGTCAAGGCTGCAGTGAGCTGAGATCACACCACTGCACTCTCCAGCCTGGGTAAGAGAGCAAAATTCTGTCTCAAAAAGGAAAAAAAAATGGCCATATCAAGATATTCCTACCTAGATCAAAAAAAGACTGACAGAAACCATGGCTGAAGACTTGCCTTATAGTAAGTACTAAGGAAAATTCTTACACCAGATAGTAACTTAAATCCATAGGAAGAAATTAAGAACACCAAAATCAGTAAATTTGTAGGGAAATCTGAAACTACATAAACATTGATTTCTCTTATTTCTTTAAAAGATAACATTTTGTATCAAACAATTATAACATTCTTTTGTTGGGTTAATCACATATCTAGATGTAATCGATGTTATATAAATAACACAAAGGAAGAAAATGGAGCTATATTGAAGCAAAGCTGCTATATTTTACTGGAATTGTGTCAATATCAACCTGTAAGTAGACTGTGATCAATTAGGATGTGTATTACAATCTCCAGGATCAACATCTAAGATAATACATCAAAAAACAGTTTAAAAAAATTAGAGAAATTAAAATTGTACACTGAAAAATATTTAAAACCAAAAATGGCAACATAAAAGAGGTAACAAAAAAGACATGAAATATACAATAAAGAGCAAAACTGCACATATAAATTATCATCAGATATAAGTCATAGCAATAATTACATTAAATGTAAGTGGACTAAGTACTGTAATCAAGAAGAGTTTGCCAGTGTAATCGGGGAAAAAAGGGGGGCGAGAAGTAAAGGTAATCAAACAAAAAAAGAAATATCCGGACTGGAAAAGAAGTAAAATTATCTTTATTCACAGATAATATGATTCCATATGTAGAAAGTCCTAAGGAATTACAAATTGTTAGAACTAATAATTGAGTAAGATCACAGGATACAAAGATAACTACATCAAAAATCAATTATATTTCTGTACTAGCAATAAAGAGCCCAAAATAAAATTATCCATAGTAGCACTGAGAGAATAAGATACTTACAAATAATTTAACAATAGAATGCAACACTTTTACACTGAAAACTACAAAGCACTACTGAGACAAATTGAAGATCTAAGTAAATGAAGAGCTATTCCATGTTCATGGATTGGAAGACAATATTAAGATGGCAATACAACTCAAAGTGATCTACACATTCAATGAAAAAATTCAATAAAATTCCCTCAAAATCCTAGCAGGTACTTTTGTAGAAACTGACAAGCTGATCCTAAAATTTATATGAAATCATGAAGGACTCAAAACGATTCTGAAAAGAATACAGTTTGAAAACTTACACTTCCTGATTTTGAAAGCAGATATGGGGTTGCCTGGAGGGTTTAGGGTTGCAGTGGAGACTGACTACAAATGGGCAACAAAGACCTTTCCACAATGATGGCAATGTTCTAAAACCTTATTGTGATGATGGTTGCGCAACTCCGTTAGTTAAAAATGTCTGGAAACACCTCAGACATCTTTCCGTAAGAAAATGGCTTTTAAAAAGACTTTAAAAAGTAAACAGAAAAAAAATTCAAAGACAATGTATAAAACCAGAGATAAGGAGAGACTAGGGATAGCAAGACCAGTTAGGAGACAATTGCAGGAGTCCAAACGAAGGTTCTGAGGGTCTAAATTAAGTAGGAATGAAAAAGGATAGATATAAAAAGACAGAATTACAGGTCATTGACAATGACTAATAATAAAAATTTTTCCCTCTCTCAATATTTCTTAATTGCACAATCTTAGTAATTGTGTTTTACTTAGTAGTTGTGTGTTCACCTTAAGGAATGATAAACAATCACTTCCCCAGGAATCCAATTTATTTCTAAAGGGCATAAATGGTTTGGATTTATCTGGCATCCATATTGGTTTTTATCTTACGAGAAATCACTAAAAATACTTAATTGGGAGTCTTTTTCCCAGTTCAAAAAGTCAACAAATCTTTAGTATAATCATATACCTTTCTTCCATATGGTTTCTCTACCATATTGCTGTCACTGTCAGAATTTTCACTCTGAATTGGTTTTGTGAACCCAGATTTGGGCATTTTACAGCTGTTCAGCTAGCTTCTTCTTTTATCAGTCTTCTCATCCTGGATCTGTAAAGAATAGATATATAAGGGTTATTTGAATATATATACAATAGGTTACGCACCACAATTAGTCCAATTTGTTTTCTCTCTGTTTTCATAAGATACCTTATTTTCTCAAAGAGGCTATCCTAAGCTAAAGTAAGTTTTCACCTTATTTTAGCTTCTGGTTCTCTAAAAGAAAAGAGAATTACTTTAATAAATTTCTTCCTGTATTCTCGAGACAAGTAACATCTCCAGTTTTGGGTATCCAGAAGCAGTGAAAGTGGAAGCAGTGACAAAACGTTTCTCTTTTCAGTAGGAATCCATAATGGGAGCTCCTAATCGATGCCCTTGTAGTTTTGTGTTGGTTTGGAAGTCATTTCTGAAGACCCAACCAAGAACCTGTTAGGTTTGATCAGTAATTTTACAACACCTAATTCCCTACATTAAATCCTTCCCATTTAAAATCCCTAGAGTAGTTTATTTTCTTTACTGAACATCCTCAGCCATTTAGTCACTTTATCAAACTACTCACTGATATACTTCTATTGTACTGTAATCACCACTGTATACATTATTTTATTTCCAATTTGTTCAGCCTTCTCTTTCCTATTCTACAAGCATAATAGGTCAAACATTCTCCTAAGAGCTTATGATTATGACAAGTTTATGCCTGAACGATCCAGAAAAAATTCCAAGGGGTTTTACATGTTAAAGAGGAACCTATGAGGCTACACCTATGTTGCTGTCAGATAATCTATTACCTACATGTGGCAATTTAAAATTAATTAAAATGAAATTAAACTAGCCACTGTACTATACAGCACAGATACACATTTAAGTAATAACAGAAAGGTCTACTGCACAGCACTGGGCTAGATTGAGGCTGCTGGCCAAGGGGAGTATTACTTGGGCTACAACAAGAAGCAGAATGACCGACAAGATTACTTTGAACTCTTTCATGCTATAAATCTCCTACAGATGGATATCATAGATCTAAGTTAGCTGTCATTCTAGTATCTATGTAAATTATTAAAACTCAGACACCTTGAACAGAGTATTAGTAAAATCTGCTGTCCCGTTGGTGCTTTAAAATTTCTTTTGTTTTGATAGAAACGAAACCAAAAATCCCTTAAATAAACTGAGCTAATTTGTAAATTATCAAAACCATATTAATCTGGAAATAATTAAATCAGAATACATTACAACACAAAAAACTACCAAAGAAAAATGGTTCAAATCTTTCATTTTATAGAGGAGGAAACAAATTTGAAGAAATTAAGAAACTTTTTTGACATTACACTCAAGAAGCAGAACTTACCTTGGGGCCATTCAACCATTTCATTAACGTATAAACAATAATTTAAACATAGCACTGTCCTCAAAGCTAGCCACTGGTAAAGCTTATGGAGTTAAAGTTATGAGCCACATAAAAACAAAAAGACTGGCTCAAAAGCAAAACTGAGCTATACAATACATATAAACATCAGCCTAAGTGAGACTATGAAGATAAAACAATGTCTCCTTTGTAGATGAAGCAAAGCAAGTTGTTAGTGAACTAAAGGAGTGTCAAATATTTTTTGAGAAAATTCTACAGGGCAATATTATATTAAATAGATTCTATGTAAGGAAAAGCTTACACCATTTTTCAATAACTATTTAGAAAAATGCCAGCAGTAACAATAAAAATCACAATTGGATTCCAAAAATATTCCTTCAATCAACTAATATTAAGCATTTAATACTGAGTTAGCTTCTGGGTGCAAGATGTATACTGTAATCCCTAAAGCAATCACTATATAATAACTATACAAAAAGTAACACAAATCACACTAGGTAAATTAAAATGGAATATTAAAAAATGTACAAATAATCCAATGAAAGGCAGGAAAAGAAAAATTGAACAATGAAAAACAGAAAGAACAAAATTATAAAATGATATAGACCTAAGCCCAAATATTAATAATAATATAAAACACAAATGGCTTAAACACACCAAAAGACAGAGAATGCCAGAAAGTGGGAAAAAAACCAACAAGAAGTTTGCTTCAAATATAATAATAGGTAGGTTAAAATAAAAGAATGGAAAAAGAACCCATGGAAGTACTTGAGTTTCCAAGTGCTTAGAAAGAAAGCAAGCTTGAGTGGCTATATTAACAACATCGACAAAACAGACTTCAGAACGAAGAGGGACATTATATACTACATATTGATAAAGGGGTCAATACACTAAGACAACACACCAATCTGACATATGTATGCAACCAACAACAGAGCTTCAAAATACATGAAACAAAAACGGCCAACTGATAGACAAAATAGATAAATTCATAACTACAGCTGGAGGCTTCAACTATTATACTTTTTATTGACATAACATCAGCAAGGATTATATAAGAACAGAAAAACGCCGTTAATCAGTTGGTTCTAATTGATGTTTACAGAAATATCTGCTCAACAACAGAATACTCTTTCAAGAGCACACAGAATACTCCCCAAGATAGGCCACATTCTGTGTCATAAAACAAACTTTAACAAATTTAATTAAAACCATACAAAGTTTGCTCGTAGACAATAAAGAAATTAAACCAGGCCAAGTATGGGAGCTCACACCTGTAATCCCAGCACTTTGGGAGGCCAAGGTGGGCAGACAGCTTGAGCCTAAAAGTTCAAGACCAGCCTGAGGACAACATGGCGAAACACCACTTCTACTAAAAATACAAAAATTAGCTGGGCATGGTGGTCCGTGCAGGTGGTCCCAGCTACTCAGGAGGCTGAGGTGGGAGGATTGCTTGAGCCCAGGAGGTCGAGGCTGCAGTGAGCCATGATCACGCCACTGCACTCCAGTCTGGGTGACAGAATGAGGCCCTGCCCCTGCCCCCCTCAAAAAAATCAAACTATGTAATTTAGTGTATTAATTCAAACCATAAAAATATATGACCATCTCAACAGGTAAGATAAAATGTGTTAGCTAACATTCAATACCCATTAATAATAAACAACTCTCAGCAAACCAGAATTAGAAGGGAACGTGAATGCTTTCTCTTCTAAGATCAACAATGAGGCGTGGATGTTGGGTTCTCTTTTACCATTCCTATTCAACACTGTACTACTTACTGGTGGTCCTACGTAAGTTCAATAAGGCAAGAAAAAAAAGGCATACAACTTGGAAAGTGGTAAAACAGGCCTTATTTCCAGATACCATGATAATCTATGTAGACAAGCAAAGATATCTACAAAGAAGCTATTAGAACTAATACATGTGTATAGGAAGGACATAGAATACATGGTCAATATATAAAAATTATTTCTACATATTAGCAATAAGCAATTAGAAATTAAAATTAAAAATACAACCTACAACAACATCAGAAGTACTAAATTCTTAGGGATAATATAACAAAATATGTGTAAGAATACATGGTGAATATGTGAAAAAATTTTTCTACATACTAGCAATAAGCAATCAGAAATTAAAATTTAAAATATAACCTATGATAGCATCAAAACCACTAAATTCTCAGGGATAAATATAACAAAAGTATATAAGACTGTACAATGACAAATACAAAAACACTTTGGAAAGAAGTGAAAAAAGATCTAAATATATGGAAAGATATGCCATGCTCATGAATCAGAAGATGCAATGTCGTTAAAATGTCAGTCTCTCCAAATTGCTCTATAAATTCAAGGCAATCCTAGTCAAATTTCCAGGATCTATTTTTTTGTTTTTTATGGAAACTGACAAATTGTTTCTATAATGTATATGAAAATGTTAAGAACCTAGAAAAGTCCAAATAATGTTGGGAAAAAATTAATTGGTAGACTCACATTACCTGACTTCCATAGTTACTAACAAAGATACAGTAAGCAAGACAGTGTTTACTAATGTAAAGACAGACTTATAGATTAACGGAACAGAACGGAAAGTCCAGAAACAGATCTACACATATACATCCAATCCAACCGATTTTCAACAAATCTGTCAATGTAATTCACTGGGAAAAGGATATATTCCTTTCAATAAACGGTCTTGGAAAAACTGTATATCCAAATGCAAAAAACGAGAGAGAGAGAGAGAGAGAGAATCTTGATCCTTACCTCACTCCACAGAGAAAAATTAGCCTCAAAATGCATCATAAACCTAAATTTATGAGCTAAAACTACACCACTTCTAGCAGAAAACAAGAGTATTTTAGTGGCCTTGGATTAGACAAAGATTTCTTAAATAGGTAATGAAAAGCAGAAATTATGAAAGCAAAAAATGGATAAATTAGACTTCACAAAAACTTCTGCTCTTTAAATTACCCTGTTAAGGTGTTAAGAAAATGAAAAGCCAGCCATGCTGGCAGAAAATACTTGCAAATCACATCTTTATAAAGGACTTCTATCCAGATTATATAATTCTAAAGGACTTATATCCAGAACATATAAATAACTCTTATGAATCAATAAGATAAACAACCCAATTTAAAAGTGAGTAAAAGATTTTAACAGTTCAGCAAATAACATATAATGAATGGCAAATAAGCACAGGAAAAGATGCGCAACCTCATTAGTCACCAGGAAAATTAATAATGAGATGTTCTCACTCATATGTGAGAGCTAAAAAAAGTTGATCTCACGAAGGTAGAGAGAATGACAGATACCAGAGGCTAGGAAGGGTACGTGTGGAGGGTGGGGGATGAAGGGAGGTTGATTAAAGGGTAGAAACATAAATAGAAGAAATAAGTTCTAATGTTTGACAGCACAGTAGGGTGACTATAATTAACAACAATAGGTCATATATTTCAAAATAGCTAGTAGACAGCTATTTGGGAACATTCTGAAATGTTCCCAAAGCAGAATTGACAAATACTCAGTGATGAATATCCTAAATAATCTGACTCGATCATTACATGTTCTATGCACAGAACAAAACATCAGATGTATCCCCTAAATATGTACAAATATTATGGGTCAATTAAACGATTAATTTTAAAATAAAAAAATGAGATGTCACCCACCAGAATGGTTAAAATTAAAGACTAAGAAGACTAAATGTTGGTGAGAAACTGGAACTCTCATATGTGGCTGGAGGGAGAGAGGGGACGGGCAATGATGCATAGCGGTACGGCCACTTGCTGAATGAGAATACTTGGTGTTATCTTCATACGGCTAAGAAGAGTCCTTCACATTCCTCCATTCTCCGTGTAACAATCTTGGTGGCTATTACACTGCTTGCACTTCAATTTCCATGCCCTAAGGGCTGCACAGAGTATATTAATACTTGTTCAGGGCTACTTTCCTGTTTAAGCCAACCAGCTGCAAGCTCTACTGTAGACTTTGTTATCCAATGGCTAAATGATGCAGTTTATAGATTCTATTCTGCCTTCGAAGATGTTTCTTCCCTTAAAATTAGTATGTTCTTGCTCCTTACAGACCAAACAGTCTATGTATCGAACAGCAACTGACTTCCAGGATTAACATTCTCTAAATGTATGCTATAAGACAGTTTTCCACTCTAATTTACAGCAGTAAAATATATCTTCTTCTAAAACAAAATAACCCAGTATTCTCTTGGTGTCTTTTTTTTTAAATGGCATAACTACTTGGGATCACTCAAGGGATACTAAAAATATATTGTTTAACACCACTGCTATTTCTAAATAATTTTATTTATAATGAAGGCAAAACATTCTAGTTGCTATTCTGAGGTACCAAGATACGTACATCAAAAACTCTAGTGTAAACTAAACATCATTTGGGTAAAGAAGATGTACAGATGCCTTTTTTCTTTCTTTTTTTTTAAGTATAAGCACCTTAAGAACCGAGTTTGGGCTGGGCACAGAGGTTCACACTGGTAATCCCAGCACTTTGGGAGGCTGAGGCAGACAGACTGCTTGAGCTCAGGAGTTTAAGAGCAGTCTGGGCAACATGGTGAAACCCCGCCTCTACAAAAAATTAAAAAATTAGCTGGCCATGGTGGTATGTGCCTGTAGTCCCAGCTACTGGGGAGGCTGAGGTGGGAAGACTCCTTGAGCCTGGGAAGCAGAGGTTGCAGTAAGGTGAGGTCGCACACTGCACTCTGGCCTGGGCAACAGAGCTACTCCAACCTGAGTGACAGAGCCAGACCCAGTCTCAAAAAAAAAATAGAACAGTGTTTTGTCTGTTTTCCAACTCATTCAAAATTATAACCAAAACTAAAATTTTCTATCATTCAAAGATATTAGGCAAACAAAAATGTTCACCTATCTGTGACTCCTCACAGATAATCAATGTCATTATCTTAGCAATGTCACTAAACTAACGCTAAGTTATAGTAACAAGACCAGCAGAATCAAAAAACACAACTCAAGACAACAGCAATGATACACAGATAAACATCCTTCTTGAAAGCTGAGGTGACTGCAATACAACAAGTCTTGTCTGACAGACTTCTTAGTACAATAACTAAATTGACTGTTCAGGAAACAAAGAGTTTTTTTTGGTTCATAAATTGTCCTTTATCCTAAGGCTAACAATTTGGAGAAAATTTTATCTTAGCAGAGAGTACAAAATCACCTATAGGATGAGGCTGAACTTTGTCAAAAAGAGGTTTTGGCTGAATGTGGTGGCTCACACCTGTAATTCTAGCACTTTGGGAGGCCAAGGCAGGCAGACTGCCTGAGCTCAGGAGTTCAAGACCAGCCTGGGCAACATGGTGAAACCCCATCTCTACTAAAATACAAAAAATTAGCTGGGCATGGTGGCACCTGCCTATAATCCCAGCTACTCAAGAGGCTAAGGCTTGAGAACTGCTTGAACCAGCAAGGCAGAATTTGCAGTGAGCCGAGATAGTGCCACTGCACTCCAGCCTGCATGACAGAGACTGTCTCAAAAAAAAAAAAAAAAAAAAAAAAAAAAGAGGAGCCTTTGAAAAACTGATCAAGTGATCAAGAAGGAAAGAAGCCTTGGGACCATTTCTGTGGACGAAAAACTACTGAACACTGACAAAAGGAGGGAGAATCAGGGAGAAAATCCAATAACAGAGAAAGACAACTCAGACTATTTAGAAGATAGGGCTGAGAGAAAAAAACACCTCTAGTTGCCAATGTGGCCTAGAGGACTATGGGGAACAGAAATAATAGAATTTGCATATCTGAATGCTACAAACATGGAGACTGCACATGTATAATACAAGTGAATATCTACAGAAGTATTCCAACTACAGAAAGTCTATTTTGAGATCACTTTAGAGTCTGGCAGCATTTAGTGAGTTCCAGGCCCTCAGAATCAATGCTTTAAATGCTTTGGTCATACAAAAAATTAGGCAGGAGTGGTGACGCACGCCTGTATTCCCAGCTACTCTGGAGGCTTAGGCAGGAGAGTTGCTTGAATCTGGGTGGTGGAGGTTGCAGTGAGTCGAGATCACACCACTGCACTCCAGCCCGGGCAACAAAGCAAGACTCTGTCTCAGGAATGAACAAATTAAATAAATAAATAAATAAATAAATAAATGCTTTGGTCTGTTTGCTCTAGTCACTATCTTCCAACTTAAGTCTGACTTGAATATTCTTCATAGCAGTTTCACAAAGCACTGGGATTATTCCTCAGTTTCCACCTGTAAGACAAGAAGGGGGCAGGAGGGGCCAAGATAGCCGATTAGAAACAAGATGGCTCTCATAGAGAAGAATGACAACAGCAAGTGAATTCAGCACCTTCAAATGAAATGTCCAGGTTCTCACACTGGGACTGATTAGGAGGATGGCATGACCCACAGACAACAAAAAAAGCAGGGTGTGGCAATGGCCCACCCAGGAGCACTGGGGAGCCAAAGGAACCCCCACCCCCAGCCAAGGGAAGCAGTGAGTGATTGTGTAACCCCACTCAGGAAACCACACTTCTCCTACGGATCTTTGCAACCATGGATCAGGAGATCCCCTCATGAACCCAGGCCACCAGGGCCTTACTTAGGTCCAACATACAGAGCTGTGCGGAGTCTTGGCAGAGCAGTTGCTCAGGCTCACACGTAAACCCAGGAGTTTTACAGACTCCACCCTTGGGAATCCCAACAAGGTGAGAAATCCATCCGTATCCTCCCCTAGGAAGAGGGCTGAATCCTGGGAACCAAGCAGTGTCATTCTGCGGGCCTCACTTCCATGGCACCTCAACCCACTGGCTTTGAATTCTAGCCAGCCAGTGCAACAGGCTAGAGACTGCCTAAAATGGATGAGTTTTCAGGGGGAGGGGCGGCTGCCATTTCTGCAGTTCAGTTGACCCAGCTGTTCTAGCCTGCTCCCAAGAATCCAGGTGGTCCTGATGAGGAGGAGTCCCTCACAGGGCAGCACAGCTGCTGTGCCAGATCGTGGCCAGACTGCTCTTTTAAGTGGGACCCCAATCCATCCCTCCTCACTGGGTGGGGCCTCCCTGAGGGAATTTCAGCAACTCCAGCCAAGGTTATATGAACAGTACTCTGATCTCTCCCTGGGACAAGCCCCTAGGGGGAGGAGTGCCCAATGTCTCTGCGGTTCAGTTGACTAAGCCTTTCTTCTTCTTATTATTTTTTTATACTTTAAGTTTTAGGGTACACGAATGACTCAGCCTTTCTAAGCGGGCTGGCTCTGGAGAGTCCAGGCAGTCTGGGCAAGGAACGGTTACCCCCAATTCAGCACACCTGATCTACCAAAAAGCAACCAGACTGCATCTTTAAGCAGGTCCCTGATCCTGTCCCTCCTGATTGGGTGAGACCTCCTAACGGGGATCTCCAGACACCTTCTACAGCAGCATCCAGGCTGGCAACAGGTCAGTACTGCCCCCCCTACCCCCCCCCCACCACCCCACCGGGATGGAGCTCCCAAGGGAAGGAGCAGACTGCCATCTTAGCTGTTTCACAGCCTTCACTGGTGATATACCTACAGGTAAAGGAAAGACCAAGACAACTAGGGTCTGCAGCAATCCCCCAGCAAACTACAGCAGCCCTATGGAAAAGTGCACTGACTGTTAAAAGAAAAACAGAAAACAACAACAAGAGTATCAACAAAAAAGACACCACAAAAACCCCATTTAAAGGTCAGCAACTGGCCAGGCGTGGTGGCTCATGCCTGTAATCTCAGACTTTGGGAGGCCGAGGAGGGCGGATCACCTGAGATCAGAAGTTTGAGACCAGCCTGGCCAACATTGTGAAGCCCCATCTCTACTAAAAATACAAAAATTAGCCAGGCATGGTGGCAGGCGCCTGTAATCCCAGCTACTCTGGAGGCTGAGGCATGAGAATGGCTTGAACCCGGGAGGCGGAGGTTGCAGTGAGCCAAGATTGTGCCACTGCACTCCAGCCTGGGTGATAGAGCTAAACTCAGTCTCAAAAAAAAAAAAAAAAAAAATCAGCAACCTCAGCTGGGCAGAGTGGCTCACGCCTATAATCCCAGCACTTTAGGAGACTGAAATGGGCAGATCACGAGGTTGAGGTTGCAGTAAGCTGGGATTGTGCCACTGTACTCTAGCCTGGGCAACAGGGCGAGACTCTGTCTCAAAAAACAAAAACAAAAAAACAAAAAACAAAAAAAAAAGATCAGCAACCTCAAAAATCAAAGGTAGATAAGCCCACAAAGATGAGAAATAATGCAAAAAACGCTGAAAACTCAAAAAGCCAGAGTGCCTCTTCTCTAAATTACCACAACACCTCTTCAGCAAGGGGACAGAACTGGGCTGAGGCTGAGATGGCTGAACTGATAGAAGTAGGCTTCAGAAGGTGGGTGATAATGAACTTGGCTGAGCTAAAGGAGCATGTTGCAACCCAATGCAAAGAAGCTAAGAATCATGATAAAATGGAGGAGCTTCTAAGCAGTATAGCCAGTTTAGAGAGGAGCATAACTGACCTGATGGAGCTGAGAAACACAAGATGAGAAATTCACAATGCAACCACAAGTATCAATAGCAGAATAGACCAAGCAGAGAAAAGAATCTCAGGGCTTGAAAACTGTCTTTCTGAAATAAGATAGGCAAACAAGAATAGAGAAAAAAGAATGAAAAGGAATGATCAAAACCTCGAGAAATATGGGACTATGTAAAAAGACCAAACCTATGACTGATTGGGGTGCCTGAAAGACAGGAGAAGAATGGAATCAAATTAGAAAACATACTTCAGGATATCATCCAGGAGAACTTCTCCAACCTAGCAAGAAGGGCCAACATTCAAATTCAGGAAATCCAGAGAACCCCAGTAAGATGATCAATCCCAAGAAACATAATCATCAGATTCTCCAAGATCAAAATGAAAGAAAAAATGTTAAGGGCAGCCAGAGAGAAAGGCCAGGCCACCTACAAAGGGAAACACATCAGACTAACAGCAGACCTCTCAGTGGAAACCCTACTAGCCAAAAAAGATTGGGGACCAATATTCAACATTCGTTTTTTTTTTTTTTTGAGGTGGAGCTTCATTTCACTCTTCCTGCCCAGGATAGAGTACAATGGTGCGATCCCAGCTCATTGCAACCTCCACCTCCCGGGTTCAAGTGATTCTCCTGCCTCAGCCTCCCAAGTAGCCAGGATTACAGGTGTATGCCACCACACCCAGCCGATTTTTGTATTTTTAGTAGAGATGGGGTTTTGCCATGTTGGCTAGGCTGGTCTCGAACTCCTGACTTCAGGTATCTACCCACCTCAGCCTCCAAAAGTGATGGGATTACAGACGTGAGCCACCGCACCTGGCCTCAACATTCTTAAAGAATTTCCAACCCAGAATTTCATATCCAGCCAAACTAAGCTTAATAAGCAAAGGAGAAATAAGATTCTTTTCAAACAAGCAAATGCTGAGGGTATTCATCATTGTCTTGAAAGAGCTCCCAAAAGAAGCACTAAATATGGAAAGGAAAAACTTTCCTTTCCGCTGCCAGCCACTACAAAACACACTGAAGTACACAGACGAGTGACACTATAAAGCAACCACATAAACAAGTCTAACAAATAACCAGCTAGCATCATGATGACAGGATCAAATTCACACATAACAATATTCACCTTAAATGTAAATGAGCTAAATGCCCCAATTAAAAGACACAGAATGGCAAAATGTATAGAGTCAAGACCCATCAGTACGCTGTCTTCAAGAAATCCATTTCATGCTTGGAGGAGCCAAGATGGCCGAATAGGAACAGCTCCAGTCTACAGCTCCCAGCATCAGCGACGCAGAAGACGGGTGATTTCTGCATTTCCAACTGAGCTTTGAAGACAGTAGTGGTTCTCCCAGCACACAGCTTGAGATCTGACAACGGGCAGACTGCCTCCTCAAGTGGGTCCTTGACCCCCGAGTAGCCTAACTGGGAGGCACCCCCAGTAGGGGCGGACTGACACCTCACACGGCCGGGTACTCCTCTGAGACCAAACTTCCAGAGGAACAATCAGGCAGCAGCATTTGCGGTTCACCAACATCTGCGCTTCTGCAGCCACTGCTACTGAAACCCAGGCAAACAGGGTCTGGAGTGGACCTCTAGCAAACTCCAACAGACCTGCAGCTGAGGGTCCTGTCTGTTAGAAGGAAAACTAACAAACAGAAAGGACATCCACACCAAAAACCCATCTGTACGTCACCATCATCAAAGACCAAAGGTAGATAAAACCACAAAGATGGGAAAAAAACAGAGCAGAAAAACTGGAAACTCTAAAAATCAGAGCGCCTCTCCTCCTCCAAAGGAACGCAGCTCCTCACCAGCAATGGAACAAAGCTGGAGGGAGAATGACTTTGAAAAGTTGAGAGAAGGCTTCAGAAGATCAAACTACTCCGAGCTACAAGAGGAAATTCAAACCAATGGCAAAGAAGTTAAAAGCTTTGAAAAAAAAATTGACGAATGGATAACTAGAATAACCAATGCAGAGAAGTCCTTAAAGGACCTGATGGAGCTGAAAACCAAGGCACCAGAGCTACATGACGAATGCAGAAGTCTCAGCAGCCGATGCGATCAACTGGAAGAAAGGGTATAAGTGACGGAAGATCAAATGAATGAAATGAAGCAAGAAGTTTAGAGAAAAAAGAATAAAAAGAAACAAACAAAACCTCCAAGAAATATGGGACTTTGTGAAAAGACCAAATCTACATCTGACTGGTTTACCTGAAAGTGACGGGGAGAATGGAACCAAGTTGGAAAACACTCTGCAGGATATTATCCAGGAGAACTTCCCCAATCTAGCAAGGCAGGCCAACATTCAAATTCAGGAAATACAGAGAATGCCACAAAGATACTCCTCGAGAAGAGCAACTCCAAGACACATAATTGTCAGAATCACCAAAGTTGAAATGAAGGAAAAAATGTTAAGGGCAGCCAGAGAGAAAGGTGGGGTTACCCACAAAGGCAAGCCCATCAGACTAACAGCTGATCTCTCGGCAGAAACTCTACAAGCCGGAAGAGAGTGGGGACCAATATTCAACATTCTTAAAGAAAATAATTTTCAACCCAGAATTTCATATCCGGCCAAACTAAGCTTCATAAGTGAAGGAGAAATAAAATACTTTACAGACAAGCAAATGCTGAGAGATTTTGTCACTACCAGGCCTGCCCTAAAAGAGCTCCTGAAGGAAGCACTAAACATGGAAAGGAACAACTGGTACCAGCCACTGCAAAAACATGCCAAATTGTAAAGACCATCAATGCTAGGAAGAAACTGCATCAACTAACGAGCAAAATAACCAGCTAACATCATAATGACAGGATCAAATTCATACGTAACAATATTAACTTTAAATGTAAATGGGCCAAATGCTCCAATTAAAAGACACAGACTGGCAAATTGGATAAAGAGTCAAGACCTATCAGTGTGCTGTATTCAGGAAACCCATCTCACATGCAGAGAAACACATAGGCTCAAAATAAAGGGATGGAGGAAGATCTACCAAGCAAATGGAAAACAAAAAAAGGCAGGGGTTGCAATCCTAGTCTCGGATAAAACAGACTTGAAACCAACAAAGATCAAAAGAGACAAAGAAGGCCATTACAGAATGGTAAAGCGATCAATTCAACAAGAAGAGATAACTATCCTAAATATATATGCACCCAATACAGAAGAACCCAGATTCATAAAGCAAGTCCTTAGTGACCTACAAAGAGACTTAAACTCCCACACAATAATGGGAGACTTTAACACCCCACTTTCAACATTAGACAGATCAACGAGACAGAAAGTTAACAAGGATACCCAGGAACTGAACTCAGCTCTGCACCAAGTGGACCTCATAGACATCTACAGAACTCTCCACCCCAAATCAACAGCATATACATTCTTTTCAGCACCACACCTACTCCAAAATTGACCACATAGTTGGAAGTAAAGCACTCCTCAGCAAATGTAAAAGAACAGAAATTATAACAAACTGTCTCTCAGACCACAGTGCAATCAAACTAGAACTCAGGATTAAGAAACTCACTCAAAACCACTCAGCTACATGGAAACTGAACAACCTGCTCCTGAATGACTACTGGGTAAATAATGAAACGAAGGCAGAAATAACGATGTTCTTTGAAACCAACGAGAACAAAGACACAACATACCAGAATCTCTGGGACACATTCAAAGCAGTGTGTAGAGGGAAATCTATAGCACTAAATGCCCACAAGAGAAAGCAGGAAAGATCTAAAATTGACACCCTAACATCACAATTAAAAGAACTAGAGAAGCAAGAGCAAACACATTCAAAAGGTAGCAGAAGGCAAGAAATAACTAAGATCAGAGCAGAACTGAAGGAAATAGAGACACAAAAAACCCTTCAAAAAATTAATGAATCCAGGAGCTGGTTTTCTGAAAAGATCAACAAAATTGATAGACCACTAGCAAGACTAATAAAGAAGAAAAGAGAAAAGAATCAAATAGACGCAATAAAAAATGACAAAGGGGATACCACCACCGATCCCACAGAAATACAAACTACTATCAGAGAATACTATAAACACCACTATACAAATAAACTAGAAAATCAAGAAGAAATGGATGAATTCCTCGACACATACATCCTCCCAAGACTAAATCAGGAAGAAGTTGAATCTCTGAATAGACCAATAACAGGCTCTGAAATTGAGGCAATAATCAATAGCTTACCAATGAAAAAAAGTCCAGGACCAGATGGATTCACAGCCGAATTCTACCAGAGGTACAAGGAGGAGCTGATACCAATCCTTCTGAAATTATTCCAATCAATAGAAAAAGAGGGAATCCTCCCTAACTCATTTTATGAGGCCAGCATCATCCTGATACCAAAGCCTGGCAGAGACACAACAAAAAAAAGAGAATTTTAGACCAATATCTTTGATGAACACTGATGCAAAAATCCTCGATAAATTACTGGCAAACCGAATCCAGCAGCACATCAAGAAGCTTATCCACCATGATCAAGTGGGCTTCATCCCTGGGATGCAAGGCTGGTTCAACATATGCAAATCAATAAATGTAAGCCAGCATATAAACAGAACCAAAGACAAAAACCACATGATTATCTCAATAGAGGCAGAAAAGGCCTTTGACAAAATTCAACAACCCTTCATGCTAAAAACTCTCAATAAATTAGGTATTGATGGGACGTATCTCAAAACAATAAGAGCTATGTATGACAAACCCACAGCCAATATCATACTGAATGGGCAAAAACTGGAAGCATTCCCTTTGGAAACTGGCACAAGACAGAGATGCCCTCCCTCACCACTCCTATTCAACACAGTGTTGGAAGTTGTGGCCAGGACAATCAGGCAGGAGAAGGAAATAAAGGGTATTCAATTAGGAAAAGAGGAAGTCAAATTGTCCCTGTTTGCAGATGACATGATTGTGTATCTAGAAAACCCCATCGTCTCAGCCCAAAATCTCCTCAAGCTGATAAGCAACTTCAGCAAAGTCTCAGGATACAAAATCAATGTACAAAAATCACAAGCATTCTTAAACACCAATAACAAACAAACAGAGAGCCAAATCATGAGTGAACTCCCATTCACAATTGCTTCAAAGAGAATAAAATACCTAGGAATCCAACTTACAAGGGATGTGAAGGACTTCTTCAAGGAGAACTACAAACCACTGCTCAATGAAATAAAAGAGGATACAAACAAATGGAAGAACATTCCATGCTCATGGGTAGGAAGAATCAATATCATGACAACGGCCATACTGCCCAAGGTAATTTATAGATTCAATGCCATCCCCATCAAGCTACCAATGACTTTCTTCACAGAATTGGAAAAAACTACTTTAAAGTTCATATGGAACCAAAAAAGAGCCCGCATTGCCAAGTCAATCCTAAGCCTAAAGAACAAAGCTGGAGGTATCACACTGCCTGACTTCAAACTATACTACAAGGCTACAGTAACCAAAACAGCATGGTACTGGTACCAAAACAGAGATATAGACCAATGGAACAGAACAGAGCCCTCAGAAATAATGCCGCATATTTACAACTATCTGATCTTTGACAAACCTGAGAAAAACAAGCAATGGGGAAAGGATTCCCTATTTAATAAATGGTGCTGGGAAAACTGGCTAGCCATATGTAGGAAGCTGAAACTGGATCCCTTCCTTACACCTATACAAAAATTAATTCAAGATGGATTAAAGACTTACATGTTAGACCTAAAACCATAAAAACCCTAGAAGAAAAGCTAGGCAATACCATTCAGGACACAGGCATGGGCAAGGACTTCATGACTAAAACACCAAAAGCAATGGCAACAAAAGCCAAAATTGACAAATGGGATCTAATTAAACTAAAGAGCTTCTGCACAGCAAAAGAAACTACCATCAGAGTGAACAGGCAACCTACAGAATGGGAGAAAATTTTTGCAACCTACTCATCTGACAAAGGGCTAATATCCAGAATCTACAATGAACTCAAACAAATTTACAAGAAAAAAACAACCCCATCAACAAGTGGGTGAAGGATATGAACAGACACTTCTCAAAAGAAGACATTTATGCAGCCAAAAAACACATGAAAAAATGCTCATCATCACTGGCCATCAGAGAAATGCAAATCAAAACCACAATGAGATACCATCTCACACCAGTCAGAATGGCAATCATTAAAAAGTCAGGAAACAACAGGTGCTGGAGAGAATGTGGAGAAACAGGAACACTTTTACACTGTTGGTGGGACTGTAAACTAGTTCAACCATTGTGGAAGTCAGTGTGGCGATTCCTCAGGGATCTAGAATTAGAAATACCATTTGACCCAGCCATCCCATTACTGGGTATATACCCAAAGGATTACAAATCATGCTGCTATAAAGACACATGCACACGTATGTTTATTGCGGCACTATTCACAACAGCAAAGACTTGGAACCAACCTAAATGTCCAACAATGATAGACTGGATTAAGAAAATGTGGCACATATACACCATGGAATACTATGCAGCCATAAAAAATGATGAGTTCATGTCCTTTGTAGGGACATGGATGAAACTGGAAACCATCATTCTCAGCAAACTATCGCAAGGACAAAAAACCAAACAGTGCATGTTCTCACTCATAGGTGGTAATTGAACAATGAGAACACTTGGACACAGGAAGGGGAACATCACACACCAGGGACTGTTGTGGGGTGGGGGGAGGGGGGGAGGGATAGCATTAGGAGATATACCTAATGCTAAATGATGAGTTAATGGATGCAGCACACCAACATGGCACATGTATACATACGTAAAAAACCTGCATGTTGTCCACATGTACCCTAAAACTTAAAGTAGAATAATAATAAAATAAAAAAATAAAAATAAATAAAAAAAGGAGGGAAATTCTGACACATGTCATGTACAGCATGGAAGAACACTGAAGACATTATGCCAAGTGAAATAACCCAGTCACAAAAGGACAAATACTATATGATTCCACTTGTGTGAAGTACTTAGAATAGCCAAATTCATAGATATAAATTAGGATGGTGGTTGCCAGGGGCTCAGGGAGAGGGAATGCAGAGTCAGTGTTCAATTGGTATGAAGTTTCAGCTTGGGATGACGAAAACATTCTGATGAAGAACAGTGGTGATGGTTGCATGACAATGTGAATGTACTTAATGCTACTGAACTGTACACTCAAACACAGCTAAAGTGCCAAATTCTATGTTATGTATATTTTACCACAATAAAAAAGGCATTGCCCCCCGCCAAAAAAAGAAATCCATTTCACATGCAAAGACACACATAGGCTCAAAATAAAGGGATGGTGGAAAACTTACCAAGCAATGGAAAACAGAAAAAAGCAGGAGTCGCAATCCTAGTTTCTGACAAAACAGACTTGAAAACAACAAAGATCAAAAAAAGACAAACGACATCACGTAATGGTAAAAGGTTCAGTTCAACGAGAAGAGCTAACTATCCTAAGTACATATGCAACCAATACAGGAGCACCTAGATTCATAAAGCAAGTTCTTAAAGACCTACAAAGAGACTTAGACTCACACATAATAATAGTGGGAGACTTTAACACCCCACTGACAATATTAGACAAATCATAGAGACAGAAAATTAACAAAGATACTCAGGACCTAAATTCAGCTCTGGATCAAGCAGACCTGACAGATATCTACAGAACGCTCCACTCAAAAACAACAGATTATATATTCTTCTCATTGCCACATGGCACTTACTCTAAATTTGATTACATAATCACAATTATTAATAAAACACTCCTGAGCAAATGCAAAACGACTGAAATTACAACAAACTCTCTTAGAACACAGCACAATCAAATCAGAACTCAAGACGAAGAAATTCACTCAAAACCACATAACTACATGTAAACTGAACAACCTGCTCCTGAATGACTCCTGGGTGAATAAAATTAAGGCAGAAATCAAGAAGTTCTTGGAAACGAATGCAAAGAGACAACGTACTAGAATCTCTGGGATGCAGCTAAAACGGTGTTAAGAAGGAAATCTATAGCACTAAATGCCCACATCAAAAAGCTAGGAAGATACCAAATTAACAACCTAATGTCACAACTAAAAGAATTAGAGAACCAAGAGCAAACAAACACCAAAGCTAGCAGAAGACAAGAAATAACCAAGATCAGAGCTGAACTGAAGGAGACAGACACACAAAAAAATCAAGTTGGTTTCACCCCTGGCATGCAAGGTTGGTTCAACATACACAAATCAATAAATGTAATTCATCACATACACAGAACTAAAGACAGACACCACATGATTATCTCAACAGATGCAGAAAAGGCCTTCAGAAAATTCAACATCCCTTCATGTTAAAAACTCTCAATAAACTAGGGACTGAAGGAACATACCACAAAATAATAACAGCCATATATGACAAACCCACAGCTATTATCATATTAAATGGCAAAAGCTGGAAGCATTTCCCTTGAAAACCAGCACAAGACAAAGATGCACTGTCTCACCATTTCTCACAGTATTGGAAGTTCTGGCCAGGGTAATCAGGCAAGAGAAAGAAATAAAGGCATTCCAATAGGAAGAGAGAAAGTCAAATTACCTTTGTTTGCAGAAGACATGATCCTATATCTAGAAAATCACATTGTCTCGGCCCGAAAGCGTCTTAAGCTGATAAGCAACTTCAGCAAAATCTCAGGATACAAAATCAATGTGCAATAATCACTACCATTCCTATACAGCAACAACAGGCAAGCAGAGCGCAAATCATGAATGAATTCCCATTCATAATTGCTACAAAGAGAATAAAATACCTAGGAATACAACAAGGGAGGTGAAGGACCTCTTCAAGGAGAAGTACAAATCACTGGTCAAGGAAATAAGAGAGGACACAAACAAACGGAAAAACATTCCATGCTCATGGACAGGAAGAATCAATATTGTGAAAATGGCTATACTGCCCAAAGTAATTTATAGATTCAATGCTATTCCCATTAAACTACCATTGACGTTCTTCACAGAATTAGAAAAAAAACTACTTTAAAATTCATATGGTACCAAAAAAGAGCCCGTATAGCCAAGACAATCCTAAGGAAAAAGAACAAAGCTAGAGGCATCATGTTACCAGACTACAGGGCTACAGCAACCAAAACAGCAAGGTACTGGTACAAAAACAGACACACAGACCAATGGAACAAAACAGAGAACTCAGAAATAAGATGGCACACCCACAATCATCTGACCTTTGACAAACCTGACGAAAACAAGCAATGAAGAAAGGATTCCCTATTTAATAAATGGTGTTAGGAGAGCTGGGTAGCCATATGCAAAAAAATTGAAACTGGATCCCTTCCTTACAATTTATACAAAAATTATCTCAAGATGGATTAAAGACTTCAATGTAAAACCCAAAACTATAAAAATCCTAGAAGAAAATCTAGGCAATACCATTCCAGACACAGGCACAGGCAAAGATTTCACAATGAAAACGCCAAAAACAATTGCAACAAAAGCAAAAATTGACAAATGGGATCTAATTAAACTAAGGAGCTTCTGCACAGCAAAAGAAACTATCATCAGAGTGAACAGACAACCTACAGAATTGGAGAAAATTTTTGCAATCTGTGCATCTGACAAACATTTAATATCCAGAGTCTACAAGGAACTTAAATTTATAAGAAAAAAACAACCAACCCCATTAAAAAGTGGGCAAAGAACATGAACAGACACTTTTCGAGAAAAGAATTCATGCAGCCAACAAACATGAAAAAAAACTCAATATCACTGATTAGAGAAATGCAAATCAAAACCACAATGAGATACCATCTCATGCCAGTCAGAATGGCGATTATTAAAAAGTCCAGAAACAGACGCTGGCGAGGTTGTGGAGAAAAAGAAATGCTTTTACACTGTTAGTGGGAGTGTTAGGAATTAGTTCAACTATTGTGGAAGACAGCGTGGCGATTCCTCAAAGATCTAGAGGCAGAAATACCATTTGACCCAGCCATCTCATTACTAGGTATATACCCAAAGGAATATAAATCATTCTATTACAAAGATACATGCATGTGTATCTTCACTGCACCACTCTTCACAATAGCAAAGACATGGAATCAACCCCAATGCCCATCAATGATAGACTGGATAAAGAAAATGTGGTAAACATACACCACAGAATACTATGCAGCCATAAAAAGGAAAGAGATCATGTCCTTTGCAGAGACATGGATGGAGCTGGAAGCTGTTATCATCCTCAGCAAACTAACACAGGAAAAGAAAACCAAACACCACATGTTCTCACTTATAAGTGTGAGCTCAACGATGAGAACACATGGACATATTGGGGTGGGGGGGGACAAACACACTGGGGCCTTTAGGAGGGAGGGGTTGGGGGAGGGATAGCATCAGGAAGAATAGCTAATGGATGCTAGGCTTAATACCAAGGTGATGGGTTGATCTGTGCAGCAAACCACCACGGCATATGTTTACCTAGGTAACAAACCTGCACATACTGCACATGTACCCCATAACTTAAAAGCTGAAGGAAAAAAAATTGGCTGGGTGTGGTGGCATGCCCCTGTAGTCACAGCTACTCAGGAGGCTAGAGCAGGAGGATGGCTTGCACCCAGGAGTTTAAAGCTGCAGTGAGCTATGATTGTGTCACTGCACTCCAGCCTGGCAACAGAGTGAGACCCTGTCTCTAAAAAACGTTATAAATAAATAAATAATGTAGGTAAATGTTCTCACTGCAACAAAATATATGAGAGATAATGAATGTGTTAATTAGCTTGGTATAATCATTCCATATATATATATTTTATATATATATACACACACACACACATCAACATATCACATAGTACCCCGTAACTATACACAATTCTTTTTTCTATTAAAAATAAAAAGAGGTCAGGTGCAGTGGCTCACACCTGTAATCCCAGCACTTTGGAAGGCCGAGGCGGGCGGATCACAAGGTCAGCAGATCGAGACCATCCTGGTCTAACTCGGTGAAACCCCGTCTCTACTAAAAATACAAAAAATTAGCCAGGCGTGGTGGCGGGCGCCTGTGGTCCCAGCTACTCAGGAGGCTGAGGCAGGAGAATGGTGTGAACCTGGGAGGCGGAGCTTGCAGTGAGCCGAGATCGCGCCACTGCACTCCAGCCTGGGTGACAGAGCGAGACTCTGTCTCAAAAAAATAATAAAAATAAATAAATAAAATAAAATAAAAACAGAAATAGAGAAAAAAAAGGACAAAAAGGGATCAAAGTTAAAGTCTGTCTACAAATCTTTCACAACTAAGTTTTCAGATATACTTAGTTTTACCATGGCTACATACTGGGCAATAAGTACTCACTCTTTAAGAGCTCAGTTTTACTAAGGTATTGGAGGTCATGGAGAAGGATAGCTTCCCTCTGACTGAACTAAGGTAAGCAGGAGTTTTTAAAAAATTTAAGGAAAACAACAACAACAACAACACACACACACACAGGCCAAGGCAAGAGGATTGCTTGAGCCCAGGAGTTCAAAACTAGCCTAAGCAACATAGTGAGACCTCATCTCTACAAAAACAAAAAACAAAAACTAGGGGAAACCAAGGAGAACAAAATACACCAAAACTGAGTGATGGATGAATACTGACTACAGATTAAATTTACCTGAAATCTAAACACAAATGCAACAGGCTGACAGTTTATAAAATGATTTCTTTCATTTCAACCCTATCTAAACTGACTTTTAAAGACGATCAAATTGTGTTGGCACTGTTTTTAGCTTTGATTAGGTGCTCCTTGATTCATATTAACTGCTTCTAGAACATTACAATTTACTCTCAAATTTAATAAGCTGTTCTTTTAGGCTCATAACACTTGATAACGCAAACTTCCCTGGTTACCAGAAGCAAGAAGAATACTTTTTAAAAAAGATACAGATCCCTAGCTTCATTTTCAGAGCTACTGAATCGGAGTATCTGAGTAGAGTGATAAAAAAACACTTTTTAGAAAGCTCCATCAGTGCTTGCCAGGGGACTGGGAAAATATGGAGTGACTGCTTAATGGTTACAAGGGTTTCCTTTGGGCGATGACAAGTGTTCTGGAATCAGGCAGTGGCAATAGCTGCACATCACTGTGAATATACTAAAAAAACCACTGGATTATATACTTAAAATAGTTTAAGCTGGGCACAGGAGTTCATGCCTATAATCCTAGCACTTTGGAAGCCCAAGGTAGGAGGATCACTTGAGGCCAGGAGTTTGAGACCAGACTGAGCTGGTGAGAACCCATCTCTAAAAAAATTGTTTTTTAATTAGCCAGGTGCCTCAGCACAGTCTGTGGTCCCAGCTACTCAGAAGGCTGAAGTGGGAGGATCACCTGAGTCCACGTAGCTGAGGTTGCACTGAGCTGTGATCACACCTCAGCCTCCCAAGTAGCTGGGACCACAGACCCATGCCACCACACCCAGCTAATATTTTGTATTTTTGGTAGAGACACGGTTTTACCATGTTGCCCAGGCTGGTCTCAAACTCCTGAGCTCAAGTGATCTGCCCACCTCGGACTCCCAAAGTGCGGGGATTACAGGCATGAGCCACCGGGCAAGAGTAACAAATATTTTAAAATGAGCTGCGTGTGGTGGTGGACATCTGTAGTCCCAGCTACTTGGGAGGCTGAGGCAGGAGGATCACTTGAGCCCAGGAGTTTGAGGCTGTGGTAAGCTATGGTCATGACATTGTACCCTAGCCTGGGTGACAGAGCAAGACTCTGTCTCAAATAATTAAAAAAAAAAAATCTGAAACTACTATACATGTATAAAGAAAATGAACAATTAAATATTAATAAATGGATGGTGAAGGGCCAGGCGCAGTGGCTCACGCCTGTAATCCCAGCACTTTGGGAGGCCGAGGCGGGTGGATCACGAGGTCAGGAGATCGAGACCATCCTGGCTAACACGGCGAAACCCTGTCTCTACTAAAAATACAAAAAAAAAAAAATTTAGCCAGGCGTGGTGGCAGGCGCCTGTAGTCCCAGCTACTCGGGAGGCTGAGGCAGGAGAATGGCAGGAACCCGGGAGGCAGAGATTCCAGTGAGCCGAGATTGCGCCACTGCACCCCAGCCTGGGCGACAGAGCAAGACTCCATCTCAAAAAATGAAAATAAAAAAGTAAAAAAATAAATGGATGGCGAATAGAAGCCAGATTTCTTGCTGTTGGGGTGGTAGGTTACAGACAGACAAGTCAGAAGGTGGCTAGAATGTGGTAATGGATTACAGCTGGAAATATGAATATAAACTCTTGTTTACTTTAATACAGACACAAACTTACATATAGAATTATAGATATGTATATAGAATTAGTAATATACACATATATTTCCTTACTATGTCAGCTGGAGAGAATCCACAAGCCGCAACAGCCCAGTAGCAAGAAGCACACCTAAAATGCAGATCTTGGTTATTAACCTTTCTCAGTAAAAGGAGAAATGGCTGATCCTAGGCCAAGGCAGGAAACAAAAGATGAGTCTGGATAATCTTGCACTCCCAGAAAGGAAGTACTCAATAAGTATACATAAATAATAGTGATATGTCAAAGGCATACAGGTGCAAAGTGAAAGGGGTCCCAACAGACAATGCCAGAAAAAAATTGAAAAACAGAATATAGTAGTATTGGATTATAACCCAAGGTATCAACATCTACAAGTCCACACTGATTAGTAAAGTGAATAAATGAGAGACATTGAGTAAGTCTTCCATTAAGAACTAAATGAGAGAGAATGAGTAAGTCTTCCATGAAGAACTGCAGATAGTTTATGCAGACATCTCCTCTCTAGGAGGAAGAGCATGTAAGTGTGGCCTGGGTAGAGTGACTTTCTTCCAAAGAATACAGCATGGAAAGAGGAGAAAAAAAGAGTAACTGTGCTGTAGAGAAACCTGACAAATACTATTATCAGCCAGGTGATCAAGGTTAATGCTAATAGTGCTAAGTCATGTTGATAGTATGTACCCTTGATAAGATGTGATAAAAATGACATTTTACCTCTGTGATCCTCTTCCTCAAAGCCATAACCCCAGCCTAATCATGAGAAAAACTTAAGACAAATTCTAATAGTGGAGCATCCTACACTTACCTCACTGTACTCCTTAACACTGTCAAGTTCATCAAAAACAAGGGAAGTCTCAGAAACTGTCATGCCAAGAGAAGGCTAAGGAGACATGATAACTAAATGTAATGCGGTATCCTGGATGGGACCTTGGAACAGAAAAAGGACATTCAAAAAACTAGGGCAATCTGAATAAAGTATGAACTTTAGTTAACAATCATTTATTAATATTGGTTTTTTATTTGGGACATATGTATCATCCCAATGTAAGATGTTAATAGAGGCAACTGGTATAAAGGTACACAGGAAACCTCTGTACTATCTTCACAGTTTTTCTGTACATCTAAAACCACTCTACTAAAGCAAGAAGTTTATTTTAAAAAGTTTCTCAGGTAACTCTGATGGTTTGGAAGCCATTAAGCAACGACTCCATCCTCTTCAGAGAAAACATCTACATCTCTAGTTACTTTACCTCATATTGACTTTGTGTCACTCACAGCCTTTATCTCTACCTCAAATCCTGCCCCCATCCTGGTTTCACGTCTATATCCCATCTCAGTTTGACCACTTAAGTTCTTTGACTTCTCATGATTAAAAACCTTTTCTACTCCACTTAAGCCACTTACTTTATTTTTGTTTTTCAGAATTTTTGTTAATATCTTTGGTCATTTTTCTGCTGTGGCAATCATTTTCCTATCGATTTGTAAGAGGAAAACCGATGCTGTCATTTTTGTTGCATATTTTTTAGAACTGTGATTAAATATACATAACATACTGAGGCAAAAGAATCGCTTGAACCAGGGAGGCAGAGGTTGCAGTGAGTCGAGATCATGCCACTGCACTCCAGCCTGGGAGACAGAGCAAGACTCCATCTCAAAAAAAAAAAAAAAAATACATATATATATATATACACACACACACACACACACACACACACACACACACCCACACACACCATAAAATTTACCATTTTAACTATATTTAAATACAGATGGTCCTCAGCTTACAATGGTTCGACTTACAATATTTGGACTTTATAAATGGTGCAAAAGTCATACGTACTCACTAGAAACAGTACTTTGATTTTTGAATTTTTATCTTTTCCTAGGCTATTGGTATGTGGTAGTATACTCTCTTGTGATGCTGGGCAGCTCCCAGTCAGCCACACGATGACAGGGGTAAACAACCACGAGATGATCAACACTTTATTATAAAATAGGCTTCATGTTATTTTGTTCAACCGTAGGCTACTGTAAGTATGCTGAGTACATTTACAGAGGCTAGTCTAAGCTATGATGTTCAGTAGACTAGGTGTATTAATGCATTTTTAACTTAATAGTATTTTCAACTATTGTTTAGTTGGGATGTAACGCCATCCTAATTCTAGAAGCACGGTTCAGAGTTCTGTGGCACTGAGTAACATCCACACTGTCATGCAATCATCACTACCATCTATCTCTAGAACTTGATCATCTTCTGTAACTGAAACCCATTTAACAAGAAAACTCATTTCCCACTTTTCCCAGCTCCTGGTAATCACCATTCTTTCTATCTCCATGAACCTACTCTAGGCACTTCGTGCAAGTGCAATCATATGATATTTTTCCTTTTGTGTGACTAGATTATTTCACTTAGCATACTGACTTCAAAGTTCTGACACATGCTGTAGCATGTGTCACAATTTTTTTTCAATGCTCTCTACACAGCCAATACTTTCCTTTTTAAAGCTGAGTAATATTCCATTTACGTATATACCACATTTTGCTGAGTGGATATTGGGCTGTTTCTACCTTCTGGCTATTGTGAATAATGCTGCTATAAACATGGGTAAACAATGCAAATATATTTTTGATGCCTGTAGTTTTCTTGATAAATCCTTCCTTTGCTTTTAGATATAAAGCTTCTCTAGCCAAAGATCAGAATACATTCAATCTTATTTCAACTACTTTTGATGTTTAACTCTTTTCATCCACTTACCTATAATGCCAATTTTTATTTTTAAACCACACTCTTACTCCTTTATATGTTAATAACTAAATCTCTTTTCAGGCTTTCTAGTCTGTTCCACCAATACTCTGTCTTTCCATTCTTGTATCAATACTGTACTGTTTTTATTGTACAGCTTTCTAATACTAATTTTACTCCCTCCTCACCGTTTTTCTTTTTCAAAATTATCTTAATTCTCACCAAATGAATTTCAGAATTAATTATGACAAGGTAAAAATGTTGGCATCTGGGACAAAAAAAATATAAAAATTAAACCATATAAGTATTAGGGGAAAAATCCTTGGATAGAGAAAGCCTTTCCAAAATGTGACATAAAAGTCAAAAGTCTTTTTCTTTTTTTTTTTTTTTTTTGAGACAGAGTCTCACTCTGTTGCCCAGGCTGGAGTGCAGTGGCGTGATCTTGACTCACCACAACCTCCACCTCCCCAGTTCAAGCGGCGATTCTCCTGCCTTAGCCTCTCAAGTAGCTGGGATTACAAGCATGCAATACCATGCACAGCTAATTTTTGCATTTTTAGTAGAGATTCGGTTTCATCATGTTGGCCAGGCTGCTTTGGAATTCCTGGCCTCAAGCGATCCGCCCACCTCAGCCTAAATAAAAATTTAAAATTTCTACAATGTAAACATCATAAACAGAAATCAGAAAACAAGTGAAAACATTTGCAACACATATGAAAAAGAATAATCCAAGAGGTATAACAAATCAGTGAAAAACAGAAAAATTACAAAAAAAATCAGAAGACATGAACAAAGAACAAAAAACACAAAAGTAAACATACAGAAGTATGCAAACTCATTCACAGTTTTGAAACTATAAAATAATGACATGACTTCTCACTTAAAAGTCTGACCAAGATTAAAACTGTTGGCAAGGGTTTGGGAAAACCAGCATTTTAATCCACTGCTGATGGGGATAAAAATTGGGATATATTCTCCTTGGAGAGGTATTTGGCAGAAACCATAAAAATTTAAACGCACAGTCTTCTCTTCTAGTAATTCTACTTCTGGGATTATCCTACAGGTGTACTTACACAAATATGTAAAGATAATATAAAAAGACATTCAAGGAAGTGTTACTAGTATGCCCAAAACACTGGAGGGGAAATCTACATATCCATTTATACCTGGTTAAACAAATTATGGCGCATTTTTATCCTGAAAATTATCTTCAAGCATTTATCCTTTGTGTTACAAACAACCCAATTATACTCTTTTAGTTACTTAAAAATGTACAATTAAATTATTTTTGACTATAGTCACTCTGCTGTGACAGCAAATACTAGGTCTTATTGATTCTTTCTACTTTTTGTACCCATTAACCCTCCCCACTTCTCCAAGAAGCAACTTTCTTATTTTTTAATCTCTTCTTTTCTGAAGAACTTGTAAATATTAGGGGTGCCTCAGCATTTTAGGCTAGGTCTATTTTTATTCACTAAGCCATGGTACCTAAATGTGTGAAGTTAGAAAACCTAATCCAGTCTCATGGCTTTGAATACCACTAATAAGCCACTGATTTCCAACTCTGTATTTCTAGTCCTAGACCTTCTCTAAAACTCCAGATTTGTGTATGTAAATACCCACTTGACATCTTCACATGGATATCTAATAGGCATAACCAAACCAAAAAGGACTACAGAGAACTCTTTTCTGTTAATCTTCTCTATTCCAATAAATGCCACCAACATCCATCCATCACTTAAGCCAGAAATTCAGAAATGCTGATTCCATCTCTAAAATATACCACAAATTAAATTCATGTCTTCCCATCTCACTTGCTACCATCCTAATCCAAGCCACCATCATCTCTTGAATAGACTATTGCAAACACTTCCCAAATATCTTCCTGCTTACATTCTTGTCACCACCTCCACCTTATACACACCCCCATCTTCTACAGGCAGTAGCCAGAGTGTGTGTTGTTGTTGTTTTTTAAGAGACGAGTTTCACTATGTTGCCCAGGCTGGCCTTAAGCTCCTGGGCTCAAGCGATCTGCCCACCTCGGTCGCCCAAGCAGCTAGGAGTACAGGTGTGTGCTTCTGCACCTGACTTGGAGTAATCATTCATTCATTCATTTATTGAGACAGGATCTCGTTCTGTAGCTCAGACTGGAGTGCAGTGGCATGATCATGGTGCACTGCAGTCTCAAGTGATCAATCCTCCCACCTGAGCCTCCCAAGTAGCTGAGACTGCAGGCACATGTTACCACATCCATCTAATTTTTGTATTTTTTGTAGAGACAGGGTTTTGCCATGTTGCCAAGACTGGTCTTGAACTGCTGGGCTCAAGTCATCCTCCTGCCTCGGCCTCCCAAAGTGCTGGGGGATTACAGGCTTGAATCACTGTGCCCAGCCGCAGAGTAATCTTTTAAAACTAAAAATCAAATTATATCACCGCCCTGCTTGAACTTTTTCATTGGTTTCCCATTCAAACTAAGCTATGTGTATACAAAGCAGAATTAATGGAAAAGACACATGAAGAATTTTCAAAACATTTAAAATCCTCTTAGAGCTAGAAGACTGATAACATGCAGAACTAAGTAGTTACAAAAAAGAACCAATACAGAGTATGAACATACATGGGTTGAAATAAAGAACTCTTCAGATTAGGTATATAATAGATAAGCCAAAGAATGAATTAGTGAGCTAGAAGAACAAGTAGAGAAGACAGTCCCAGAAGACATCAGGAAGGGATTAGAAAAAAACAAAATATTAAAAGTTAAGAGACATACAGAAACTAGAAGTGACAAAATCCATACAACAGAATTCCTGTAAAGAAAAGAAAATGAAGAAAACAAAGTACTTGAAAAAAATGACCAATAATTTTTCCATAAAGAGAAGAAAATGGAGAAAACAAAATATTTGAAAAAATGACCAGTAATTTCCCCCAAATAAGAAAAGGTGAAAGAACTCAGATTAAATTGTCTGGAATACATCCTGGGACACACAGTAGGCTCCTGACAAATTCAATATTTGATAAATGAGTAAGTAAACATGAATCCAAGGGCCAAACCAGGAAAATGAACTATACACAGACACATTACAACGAAACTGAAAAAGACAAAGGATTTCAAAATGTTCTAGAGAGGAAAAGAAATCAAACTGCCAACAGAACTTCCCCCAAAGTAACATCAGAGATAAGAAAACAATGTAGTAATATTCTCAAAATGTTAAGGGGAAACTATTTAAAACCAAAATCATTACTCAAACTAAGCTATTGGTGATACTAAGCTATCAGCTATACCTGAGGGTTAACGAAAAATATTTTCAGACATCAAATGGCTTTAGAAGGACATGTAAATACCCTGTTTGAAAATCTGCTTTTGAGTAGGCACTCAAATAATAGAAATAAATCTATGGGCTGGGTACAGTGGCTCACGCCTGTAATTCCAACACTTTGGAAGGCTGAGGTAGGAGGACTGCTTGAGGTCAGGAGTTGGAGACCAGCCTGGGCAACATAGTGAGACCCGTCTCTACAGAAAAATTTTTTAAAAAAGAAATACATGAGGACATTATGTAACATATGGGAGTAAGAGTGAGTTTATAATCTAATAAGTCTATTTCATACAAAAAGAAAAAGGACAAATATGTAAAAGAATACCCCTATCAATCAACAAGGCTTTTGGGAAAGGGTAGGGGTCAAGGAGAGGGAAAAAGCCCACAGGAAAGTGAGAAAGCATTTAAAGGACTTATCTGGCTTAGAGGGAAAATATACATTAAAATTAAAAAACTGTAGAAAATGAATAGAAATATAGGTCTCAATAAATCAAATGGATGCCTTTGAAAACAAATGAACATTCAATCTATGTGACAGAAGGCAGAAAAAAATTTTTTTAAGTGTGGTAAATAGAATGTAGATAACTTCCAATATATATATATTACTACAATAAATGAAACTCACTAATCAAGAGTCTGTAAAAGTGGATAAACAGAATCCAGCAATATACTTTAAAAAAAAAAGCAGACCACTAAAGAAGACCAAAAACGGTGAAAATAAAAAGACAGGAAGAAGATATACCTGGAAATATAAACCCAGGCTGGTAGATGGCCTGTTTTTTAAGGACCTATTTATGAATAATTGAGAGTCCTCCTGGTCTGGACTTTTACTCAAAGAGCCCAGTCTTGGCTTTCTGCCATTCCTGGGCCAATGGATTCCACTACTACATTAAAGCTCACACACTAAAGGTATCTTTTTATTTTCCCTATAGGATAAAGCTTCAACTTCTGTTCTCTGTTATGACTGTGTTCTTTTTCATTTCAGGCACCTGCAGATTCCCCTTTCTTTAAGTGTTTTATTTTTATCTAGCTTTTCCATATTTGAAAAAGAAGGGGGCATCTCCAGTCTACCCTTTTGTCCAGAAGTCCCTAAAACATGTACTTTAGATTAAATACAACTGAGAGCAAAGTCCAAATTATTTTTTTCTTTTTGTTTTTTAAGTATTGAGACCAGGTCTTGCTTTGTTGCCTAGGCTAGCCACAAACTCATGGCCTCAAGTAATCCTCCTGCTTCGGCCTCTCAAAAGTGCTGGGATGACAGGCATGAACCAATGCACCTGGCCTAAATTACTTAATTTCATCATCTATATTATGAAATGATAAAGTTCAATAAAAAGGCTATGAGAAGTAACTAAAATTATACCTTAGCACAGACCCCAGTGCATATAAAATATTCAAATTTACCACCCACTTTGTATTCTATCTAGAGAAAGTAAAGAGAGAACTCTGAGCAAGGAATGCAAGTTCCTAACTTTATTTCAGTTCCAGCTTCCACTGAGCTGCAGCCGCTTTCAGGGCAAAAACGCTTTCTTCGAAATTGATTTGAGAAAAAAAGACAACTAGCAAAGGACCATATCACAGTACACAATTTTGAATGGTCCTTAAGGGTCATTCAGTTAGGAAAGTGACCATCACTTTTTATGTAGTGTGATCTGGGAGCGTGAGGTCCAAGATTCTATTCTGAGATCTACCAAAGACTTTTTGGTTGACCTTCATCAGTTCTCAGTATTTCTGTTTCTTCTTGAAAGTAAAATTAAATTAGATGACATTTAAGATCCTCTCGTTCCAAAATTCTGCTTCTTAAATAAGAGGTTTAGAATGATTTCACTCCAAATTCTAGTATTTTTTCTATGAATGCAAAATGATAAATTATTAGATGTTTTCTGCTGTTTTCCTCACATGCAAAAAATAAACCATTAGACATAAACACTAAGTAATTCCTACTTAAACCGAACAAGCAGCTTAATTCCCTCACATTTTTAAAGTGGTTTTGAAAAAAATACTGGAAAAAGCCTCGAAACAAATAGTTGTGCTTCTGAGATATTAACTGGACTTCCCTCCCTGCCTTAGCTATTTAAGCCATTCAAGTGAGAATTCAGTCTATAAAAAGGGAACATGCTCTCTTTATCATATTTTCCTAAAGTAATAGTTAATTTTCACCACAATGTTTTCTGGCAGTTATTCCATAACATTTTCCCACAAAAAGCTCATGGTTGCATTCCAGATCAAGAAATTAGCATCATTTTTTTTTTAATCACAAAATTGGCTGGGCGCGATGGCTTACACCTGTAATCCCAGCACTTTGGGAGGCCAAGGCAGGTGGATCACGAGGTCAAGAGATCGAGACCATCCTGGCTAATATGGTGAAACCCTGTCTCTACTGAAAATACAAAAAATTAGCCAGGTGTGGTGGCAGGTGCCTGTAGTCCCAGCTACTCGGGAGGCTGAGGCAGGAGAATGGCCTGAACCTGGGAGGCGGACCTTGCAGTGAGCCGAAATCACACCACTGCACTCTAGCCTGGGCAACAGGGCGAGACTCCGTCTCAAAAAATAATAATAAAAAATAAAAATAAATTTTAAAAAAAATCACAAAATCACAAAATTTAACCACCAACAGCATGCAAAAGATGAAGAAAAAAGTACAGGCATCTACAATCTTTTACAATAAACTGTCCTCAACAATGTCCTTAAAACAATGTTCTTAAAAGTCCTTAAGGAATTTTTATGGTCTATTTTATAAAGTTCTCTAAAGTTTTAACTTTAGAATGGAAATGTACTGCTTTTATCAGCAAAAAAAATTCTTTTAAAATAATAACATAGATCCATTTCTACTTGGTTTCCTCTGGAGTCCTACAGCGTTCTGGGTAGAACTCAAGAGGAAGTAATACATGAGATGGCAGGTAACGGAGTGCTTCAGACAGTGGTAGACGAAACGAGATAAAAGGTACTTACATATTTTCTAACTCTAAATCCAGAATAGGGAAAGAAGCAAAAGATTTAGGACACAAGCTCAATCCAGTAAACAAAGGATTCATTTTTTATTGGTGCTGCTAAATATTATACCTTTCGGGAAACTGAGCCTGACAAAGAATTCAGAAGACTATACAAAATAAATACATTACAGGCCAGGCACGATGGTTCACTCCTGTATTCCCAGCACTTTGTGAGGCCGAGGCGAGATCACCTGAGGTCAGGAGGTCGAGACCAGCCTGGCCAACATGGTGAAACCCCGTCTCTACCAAAAATACAAAAATTAGCCGGGCGTGGTGGGCGCATGCCTGTAGTCCCAGCTACTCAGGAGGCTGAAGCAGCAGAATGGCTTGAACCCAGGAGGTGGAGGTTGCAGTGAGTCCAGATTGCACCACTATACTCCAGCCTGGGTGACAGAGTGAGACTCCGTCTCAAAAAAAAAAAAAAATAAAATTTAATAAATAAATAAATAAATCATTACAAATAGTCGGTTTGCTTTAGCTATATGTCTATTATTACTTTCAAAATTCCACAAAGGTAAACCTACAGGATAGAGTTCTATTTAGATAGTCCAATTGCCTGAAATAATAAACAACCGGTATCTACTAATCCTAGCCAAATCTAGGTAAAATACATTAGAAGGAAATTAGGAAAGTAAAAAATAAGCACTATAAAACTTGGGTTCTAATTGTAACTTGAAATTTCTAGTAAACTCTTTGGCTTTCAGTTTCCTCATTTTAAAATGATGTTCATTCCAATTCTAAAATTCTACTATTCTTTATCTCCCCCAACCATCGCTTTCCTTAATATAGATATCATGAAAAGTATGTTCAATAAACACTAGTCTAAATGAACTAATTCTCCTTAAAATGTCAAGAAAAATGAATTAAGTCTGTGATGTTAACTTATTTAAGTGTGGGTATTTCCTTTAGCTATCATATCCTAGTTTGCTCATGCAATTATTCTATCACTTAGCATTTATTAAACACTTACATGTCACATAATGGAACTAAGATGAACAAAACACAATCCTAGCCTGAAGGGAACTGACAGTTTTTAACAGAAAAAAGACAATTTAGTTACCATGCAGAATAATAAATGCTATGTAAGCAAGCACCCAATTTGGGTGCATGCGTACGGAGGTAGGGGTAGGGAATTTCAAGAAGAGGGAACACTAAAATAGAGTGTTGAGGATGACTCTGAGGCAGGTAGATATAGATGGGGCTGGTGTGGGAGGAGGATAAGCATATGCACAGGTGTACACACATGCCCACACACAAAAGCAGACCACAATGAAGGAACAGCAAAAAACTGAAGCAGAGTGGGACAGAAAATGAGGCTGAAGCAGGAAGGGATCTCATCATGAAGCCCCTTGTCATTGTGTAGTCTGTTCTTTATGGTAACAAAAAAGGCTTCTAAAAAAGTAGTGACATAATTCGAGTAGTGTGTTCAGAAAGGTGCCCTTGGTGAAACTCTGGAAGATGGACTTAAGAGGAATTACCTAAGACACAAGGAGACCACTTAAAGCACAATGACCAGATTGTGGCGGGGGGAGGATCACAGGGGACAGGGGTGGAAGAGTAAACAAGAACAAGAAGCCTAGAATGAAACCTAAGTTCTGGCTCCAGCAATAAATAAGTAAAATTGCTTTGGAAATAATTTAAGCAATTAGCATTTATCTGTTGTATTTATCTTCTAATAGTAATAAATAAACACCTCAAATTTTTAAAAAATAAAATTTTCATTACTTCATTAAATATTTACAAGACTTTAAAGAGATGTTTTTGACAACATGAAACATCTGATTGTAAAGGATCACATTCTAACAATACATTTAGAGTTTGTAAATAAATATGGGCAGTTATATTTACAATTATCTATTTGCCTAGGGTATCTTATACATACATACATACGTGTGTGTGTATATATATATATTTTTCCCTCCCTCCAGAATTGTTAAGGTAGGTATATAAAATATTCATCTGCAATTGAGAGGGTTGGCACAGATGACTTCTAAAGGTCTGAGATTTTTTAAATGAGTTGCTGAGTTTACTGACCTTCTGGCCCTAACAGGTTCTAAATTGCTGCAACTTCCATAAACCAGTAGAGGGCTGCAACAGCTCAGAGAAAATGGTTAGCCAGCTTTACTTGCATTTCTGGCACTGGGAGCAGAAAATACTACCAATGTTGAAAAGTAGAATCTAATAGCCACTGTATTCACTTCACTGTCAATAGGGAAAAAGTTTACAGGTTCTAAAAGGATTCTAAAACCCTGAAAACTAGAAAAATTCATAATTAAGAATTCTGCCATCTCCTTTCTCTTCTAGCAAAATGGTAAACTGTTTGAAGGCCAAGTAAAATTTCACAGAGTAAGTACAGTGAAAAAGCCAATCAAAATGAGTTGGCAATTCACCACTTCCTTTTAGACCTATTGCTCCACACAACTGATCTTCCTAAAATAATTATTTTGTTTGGTTCCTCTCAAATCTATACTTTATTAGTTTTGTTCTGCATACAGTGAAATGTTGAAGTTTAGCTTTCACTAGATTTCTAGGTACATTTCTACTACATACATAAATCTTATTTTCAACTCCTCTAGTCACACTGCTCTCACTACTATATACGATGTGCAACAGACTTAAGATGGAAGAGGTCAGGCTTCACTGAATAGGTCACAGTTGAGATGAACAATGAATAAATAAAAGGATTTAAATAGGTCTAGAGAAAAAGGAAAGTTCATCATGCTATTTTTTGTACCTTTTAAATTATCTAAAATATTCTAAATAAATTTTTTTGTATTTTATTTTTGCCCCCTCTGCAGCCCCCCACAAAAGATAGGCTATTGCAGCCAATCTTTGCAACATATTATAACAATTATAAATAAGGCTGGTGCTAATCTTAAGTATTGCTCACAGCTTAACCCCCAAAAGTGCCCTATCTCACTTTTACTGCTTTCTATAAAAATGACAGGCACGTACTTTAGCCTTAAATGAAAGGATTTTTAACTACTTAAATAATCGATATAGTTTTAACAGTGGTACATAAGATAAGTGAGATTGGGATAGGTCATTAAGAAACCAGAATAGTTTACAATAATCACTGCTTCTGCAATATAAGCCTGAGATCCTAAAAAAAAACTACGTCCAAATTCTTGATGCAGTTGTGGAGAGCTGCAAGTTGTGTCCCTACAAGACAGCAATCCAAGTAATAAATAAAGTATTTCTAACTTACATACAACATCATTTCCACCCTGATCCAATAATATGACGGGTAATAACACTGCTCAAATTACAGATTAAAATTGTCACTTCCATGACTATACCAGGACTGAATTGTTTAGGCCTTTTAGTCTTGAACTGCTACGTTTTTCTTTATCCTGCTCACTCTCCAACACAAACCTACCTCTTATAATATACACTAGATTTCAGAACAACTGTATATTCCAGGGCATTCAAAGGAAAACACACTTTAAACTGGTTTAATGTAGCAGTATATGTCACTGGTAGCTCTTCTGACCAAAGTCACTTAGAATTATAAACTGTTTTCCCTGCCAAAGCATGTTGATGAGAAGGAGAAATATGGTAATGAGGGACCAGAACAGAGTAATTTCACTGTATTCTAATAGCTGAAAGAAAGTAATGTGAAAAGGCTGGTACTCTGAAAACTCCAACATCAATGCAAAAGAATAAGCGTGTATTTGGTTGGTTTTTAATTTTTTTTTATTTTTATGGAGATGGAGTCTCACTATGTTGGCCAGGCTACTTTCAAACTCCTGGCCTCAAGCAATCCTCTCACCTCTGCCTCCCACAGTGATGGGATTGCAGGTGTGTGCCACTGTGCCCAGCCAAAACTCTTTTGTAGATGGAGTCTCACTATTTTGGCCCAGGCTGGGCTCAAACTCATGTTCCTCCCACCTCAACCTCCTGGAGTAGCTGGAATTACAGGCATGTGCCACTGTGCCAGGCTTGGTTTTATTTTTAAAATAGAACACTTTCTGACATATAACCACACAAATGTTTTTGAATCGGGGGAAAAAAAGGCAAATGTCACTGATGGTGCAAATGTTAAGCAGGTTTACTAAAGGAATTACATTATAAAAAATAACCCCTAAAAAAGAAATTAAGGACTCTAAGAATCTAAGAGTTCTACAGCAAAAACTGAACCTACATTTCAGTGATTCTTGGCCTTTTTGAAGAGACCTATTTCAGTGCCTAAAACACACAGGTCCTTTTCCCTGAACTCATATTCACCAAAAAATCTACAACTTCAAAATATACACAGAACCTCTTCCTAATTATGCATCTTGGTTTTAGGTAATTACCTCTTCTTGCTAGATTTTAAGTTGCCCATAAACAGAGAATGCCTTCTTCAGATATGTGCTTACAATTGGGGTCTAAACCCTTAAGAACCTTTCTAAATAGTTACCTCCTATTTAAATTCTATACTTCTAGAATTACTTTCTAAGAAAATGTGTATTATATCATTTCCCACCTTGGAAATTAATTTTTATTAAGCCCCTCATCCTAGTAATTGTGGCTGTTCTCAACTGCTACCCACTTTTAGTCCCAGTTCATCCTCTTATGCCAGTCAGACCACCCTCTTGCCACTGGCACTGAGGTGATTCTCATTCATTCAATAAACATATGCTAACCATTTACAACGTGATGGAATAGAGAACAAGACAGAATGATTCGTGTCTTTACATGGCTTACCATGTTCCTTTCCACAGCAACTAGAAAGCAATTTGGATGATTAAGGAATAATACTATCCTCCTATGTGATTATGTGTGTATTTTGTTTCCTGAGTGTGAATTCTTAAAAAGACACATACTATAATATTGCCTTCACTTGTATCTTCCCGAATCCCTGCCTCAACAATGCTAGATGTAATGCTGTACCTAGAGACATTCCTCTAAAAACTGTTAATTATGTAAATGTTTAAAACTTCACTACATCCAGAGTCTGGCATGGTGGCATATGCCTGCAATCCCAGCTACAAGACAGGCTGGGACAGGAGGATTCCTTGAGCCCAGAAGTTTGAGGCTGTAGTGAGCTAGGATGACACCACTGCACTCCAGCCTGGGCAACAGAGCAAGAACCCATACCTAAAAATAAAACTAACAAAAACTTCATTATATCTATGATACTTGTTCATTGTGGTAAAACTGGAAAATTCAGAAATAAAAAGATAAAAATTTCAAATACTTTCAAATTCAAGAACCCATTACATTTTCAGACTGAATACTTCATGACTTTTCACTTTTTACTCCTTGTAAAAGTCCATAATCATAATTATTGATATATTAGTATGATACACATATTAATATGTATACATATTTATTACATAATGTATGTATTACATACATACAAATACATACATAATTAATATGATATGCAAATTACATATTTTCCCCTAAAGTTTCTAAATTTATCATTTTATCTTTTCTTTTAATATCATCATCTTTGAAGGTGCAGTTTTGAAAGGAAGCAATATAGTCACCATCACTTACTAGATATGTATAACTTTAAATGATTTAACTTGAACCTTAGGTGCAAAATGGGAATAAGATAAACCTCGTTAAGATTTTTGCAAGTATATGTGGAGAACCTATAATCAACTATGGAGTAGTTGTAATTATACCTCTGCCAGTCTATTAGCACTTCATAATGAATACGACTCAAGTGTGAGACTACATGTTTCCCCTTATGCTCAAAAGATTCTGTTTTCTGCTACTCCCACCCTAACATCTGAGTATACAAAAGCTATAGGGAGGGGAAATTCTTAGACTAGGAGTGTGAATGGAATAATAAAAGAGCATAAAGAGTAATCACCCCAATAAGGTAGTAGTACTTTGGACAGAGCCTATTCTTCTGGGGTTTTTGAAGGGACAATGGTGCTATAAAATAATATTTGTAACATATAGAAGATTAATAATCACTAATATATAAAGATTATGCAAAAGGAGGTTGGAGAATTAATAACCTTTTTATTATAATCTTTAAACAATAGCATACAATAATTGCATGCTGTAAAACCCTAACAAAAATGTTAAAATATTATTTAAATTATTGATTGCTACTCCTGGAAGTTTTGAGTAAGAAAAAAAGAGAAAAATGGCCACAGGATATGATGTGTCAAGTCACAGTAGAGAAAATGCAAATGATTATTTCCTCATGCATTAGCTAATGTAAAATGAAAGTGGTAATATAATTTTTAAGTTTAATAACACAAATATAGGTATGTAAGTATCTATGTAAGTATAGATTAATTTTCAATGGGGCTTTCCAAGAAAGAGCACTAGTGCCTGAAGGAAGAGGAAGAGCTTCAAAGGGTGAAAAAGGACAAAGGAAAGAATGAGTAAGCCAATCTGCTGTCAACCATTCTTGCTTACTTTCAATAACATGAGGACAAATAGAAACACACTAAAGAGGGCGGTGGTGGTGGTGGTGTTTGGTCATATTCAACTGCAGCTTAAAGAGAATGCTCCGCAGAGAGTGGTGGCTCACGCCTGTAATCCCAGCACTTTGGGAGGCCAAGGTGGGTGGATCACGAGGTCAGGAGTTCAAAACCAGCTTAGCCAACATAGTGAAACCCCATCTCTACTAAAAATGCAAAAAATTAGCCAGGCGTGGTGGCAAGCGCCTGTAATCCCAGCTCCTCGGGGAGCTGGGGCAGGAGAATCGCTTGAAACCAGGAGGCGGAGGTTGCAGTACGCCAAGATCATGCCTTTACACTCCAGCCTGGGCAACAGTGTGAAACTCCGTCTTAAAAACAAAACAAAACAAAAAGAATGCTCTTCACTCCTGAGATGTTTTTACAAATCCTGGAAGATAAGCGTAATTTCTGAAGGCTCAATAACCACTACTGGATGATCACGTCAACTATAAATATATTAGTGAATTGGACTGATCTTAATCAAGAAAAAATTTCTCAAAGTAACAGACTTAACATTTTTATAACTTATAAATTTCAACTTAAGTTCTTGAGTAAAAAAGACCCAGTTAGAGATATTCTGGCAACAACTTTTTGAAGTGTTTTCTTAACTCGATATTTAAGATATCTACACTTACATGTAACATACATGAAAGTATCTAATAGTATCTAGCGTACAGAAGCTCAATAGAAGTTCTTTTCCTTGATTACCAAGTAACTTCCAAGTAGTGAGAATTAAACTCTGGTAGAAAGGATTTATTTTAACTCAGAGGTTCCAAGACTACTATAGAACACTGGAATGCAAGCCAAGGCTTTATTCCTAGTTACAATATTCTTGTGCAAATTATGGTAGGAAATGTGTTATGAAATTTTAATTTTCTTATCTAATTGTCTTTATCATCATTAACCATTACAACTAATTTTTTTTTTTGGAGGCAGTATCACTCTGTCTCCCAGGCTGGAGTGCAGTGGCTCAATTTTGGCTCACTGCAACCTCCACCTCCTGGGTTCAAGCAATTCTCCTGCCTCAGCCTCCCAAGTAGCTGGGATTACAGGGGTGCGCCACCACGCCCAGCTAATTTTTTGTATTCTTTAGTAGAGAGGGGGTTTCACCATGTTAGTCAGGCTGGTCTCAAACTCCTGACCTCAGGTGATCTGCCAGCCTCAGCCTCCCAAAGAGCAGAGATTACAGGAGTGACCTACTGCACCTGGCCCATTACTACTAATTATTAAAGCTGTATAAGGAATGTTTTTAATGTTTACCTCTACTCTGTTTCAGAACGGGTAAACAGAATAGAAAGTTGTGTACAATATGAATTTGGTGGGAGAAAATAGAAGTGCATGTCTCTCCTTTCTCTTCCTTTAGGTTTGCTAATGCTTCTCTTTCATAAGTGAGTTTCAAAGGAATCTAACATTACTCCAGATACTTTTAACCTGGATTCAATCCATGGCTCAGTATCATCAGATTAGCTGACAATCCTTGTTCTGCTACTGAGCTGTGAGGTTCAAAAGAGAATCAGATGTAAAAAGCACTGTGTGAACTACAAAGCACTGTAATTTTTAAGTTACTATTTTTCTTTTGAGAGTCAATATAGCTATTTCTAGGCAGAAAAGAGAGCCACAAATGGTTTTTGTTCTCTATTAGAAGTCAGAATGCTGACAAAACTCCTATGTAGGAGTAACAATCTGAAATCTGAGAAGCTATAGAGTTCTATTGTAACTCTTTGCTATTGTTACAATAAGAGACTATATAGCAAGGTAAGGTGGCTAAGACCTGTAATCCCAGCTACTAGGGAGGGTGAAGCAGGAGGACTGTTTGAGGTCAGGAGTTCAAGACCAAGACCAGTCTGAGCAACATAGTGAAACAAAACAAAAACAAACAAACAAAAAACCCACTATTTATTTTAAAAGGTTAACAATTCCCCAATCTATGCATATTATTAGAGATTAATCTTAATTGTCAAAATAAGATAGTTAACAGACATAAGGTAGTTAAAAATGTACTTATTGCTAACATTTGTGTTATTTTTTCCCAGTTATGGCCTGAGTACACACTGAAAACCAGAAAGGTAAACTATTACATATTTTGAAACAATTTTAGCCCAATAAACAGATGTTAAGGAATTGGCCAAAGATGACACAATTTTTAAATTTTTAGAATTTTTTTTAAAGCCAAAGAAAAAGAAATGACTTCCACCCTGTAACTTTCAGCTTCATAATCTACCTCCTTTAAGTTGGAAGCATCTCCATGTTACAACTGAATTTTCTAAGGACTTATGTTTGAATTTAAGTTTCTTACAATTTTGGAGGATCGCACTAATCAGAAAACCTGGTCTTGGATACTGTTTTCTAAGCTGGACAAACTCAGCAGATTTTCTATTGCTGGCTCTATTCCCTTATGAAAATCCTAAATGAGTTTGGTTAGCTTTTTCTTCAGTCACTGTGATGAAAGAATGTCTCTTTAGAAGCATGATATCAATAGCAAAGTGGAATTTGCTAGGATAGCCTCATATTATATGAACAACCATGGCCCTTTCTGTATCTGGTAAGAATAATGTGCTCTGACAACTAATATAAAACCACCACCACCACCACCACAGCAACAAGTATATCAGCATCTCATAAAAAGGGTTGCTGGCCTATGTTCTATGATTCCCATAAGGTACTTCTTTTCTTTTTTGACCACCCAGAAGGTAGAATAGCTGGCCCCCAAACATTTTTCATGAAATCTGAAATTTAAGAATCCCCGCCTTCAAACTCTTCGAAAACCAACACTCTTAATTAGAGGCAGAGCAATGGTTAATAAAACAGGATAATGAAATCTATTATTTAGTATGTAAAATCTATCCATCACATAACTCTTCACAGCCTCAGTTTCCTCTCCGTTTTACAAGGTTATTATGAAAATTACCTGAAATGTTTCACTTAAAACACAAATTTGCATATTCTAAGTGTTCAGCAAATATTATCTATGATTATTAGTACCTTTATTTTCAAGACTATAAAAACTCCGATAATCTATGTAATACTACAATACTGAGGTTGGTTTCCAGGATTATCAATTGAAAGCACTAAGAGGTTTCAAACTTAACAGCAAAGGCAAACAAAAACTGTTTTAACATTTCTGAATATTTCAGATATACCAGATAACACGAACTATTCAAAGCTGAGTTTTTAAAGGAAATCATCTCCTCCTTTTGCGTACCTGAAAACTAGCAAGAGTCAAATAAATTAACATTGCTACTAAGATTACTTTCACTATTACTTTTAAAAAGCCACTGTCTGTTACAGAAACAGATTATGAATGCATGAGTATACATGAGAATATTTTCAAAGGCTAAAGAAACTTCATATTCTCCAGGGAAAGTCAGACTAATAACTGCAATATTTAAAATGTTCATAAGCAGCTTAACTAAGGTTAGAACTAAGTGGGGATCAGAAAATGTATCTACAGGAGTTATCTGTAAAACAGCAGAAGATGAAAACAATAAAGGTAGGGCTACGCAAAAATCCAGGGATCTAAACACCTTGTTACACTTTAAGAATTGTATTTTCTTTAAAAATAACATCACCACGTTGTATAGAAGTTTACAGTGTACAATGTGCTTTCTAAAGCATTCTCATTTGTTCCACATGAAAACATTAAATTATGCAGGAAAATTACTTTTGCAGGTTAAGAAGACAAGGCTATTATTTTTGTATTTTTAAAGTTGCAGCTGATAGAAGGCAAGGTTCTGAAAGTTAATGCGATATGTCAAAAACCACTGTTAGGAAGTGAGGAAGTGATAAATCAAGAATTTAAACCCAGGCCTTCTCACTTATATTTCAATGTTCTTTCCACAACTCCGTAAAACTTCTAAAGAAAGAGGCAAATTAGCATCTTCACAGAAAGAAACCTCTCGGCCAAACCACAGACTAGTTTTTAACTAGCTGCAGACTAGCTTTAAGTCTTTTCACCTTATTTTCTCATGTGTAAAAATAAAGGAAATGAATAAAGAAAATCAGAGGTCCCTTCCTGTCCCAAGGATAAATCTCAACACTGCACCCTTTACAAGGCACAGGCATCTTACAAATACATGTTTTTAGCAACAAATTCCAAGTCAGAAAGCAGTGTCAATAGCTCTTAAGCAACCTACAGCAATTATTAGACAAATTCTTCACGCCCATCTGATACACGTTACTTTAACATAACTAAGTCTATATACAGAGAGCAGTAGAAACCTCTTATGAACTATGATGGAAATGATTGCATTAACCATCCTCTTTTTGGACTGAAATAATGCTCCTAAAACGTAAGAATGGTTTAAAGAAAAGTTTACGTGTCAGCTAATAGCAAGAAATCAAAATGATATTTTAAAAATCACTTATTTTTTTTTAAGAATAAAAATCTCTTCTCCAACGAAGTGTTTTCCAAATATCCTACCATTTCTCCAATCTACTTCAAAAGAGTATCAGTCATGGTTTTCAACTTCTATAGGGGAAAAAGTAATATCGACAGCTTGATAAAAGCATCTTCCTTTTAAACTCATTCTACCAGCTGGACACTAGTCTGCAAATAAAATTCAGGCTTTTTTCCCCCTTGGGTATTAACAAACCAGTGTAAGTCTGCACAATGTATTTTCAGCTAAATTCTTTCCTCGTCTGAATATTTTTGTTCTCTTCACTCCTCCTCAAATATTCTTCATGGAATACACACCCAGAGATTTCCACTTTCCCAGTTCTGCGTAGTTCATAAAACTATTCCGATAACTAATTCTTACCAACTACTATGAAAATTATGAGATTATGAAAACTATACAAGATTAAGAACATTAAAAGTATCCTACATAAGTACACTTAACACTCATTTTCCTTCCATTTTAACACCTCATCTGTCTCTAAAACACATAACGAGTTAAACTTGACCTTAGCCAAGATGCCTGTAGAGCTTCAGAAATTTATTCAGTGCCTGTATCAAATATAAAAGATCCTTAAGTAGTAAAACTTTTCTCCCCTTGTCTATAATCTCCAGGGGTAAACATTTCAAATTTTTAAAGGCTCCTGCTTTTAACCCAAATTAAAGATTTTTCTCAACAAGACTGTTAATATAACGACTTCATCTTACACGGTGGACACTATCCTCATTTTGCTTTTAAGCCACTTGGCACCAATAGAGCATATGTTCTGCCAGTTCTGAGCTAATCTCCAGGAAAGGCTTTGTATAACGATTAAAGAAACTCAGATCAGTGCCCAAGATTTTTAACGGCCTACTTGAGCATATGTTTTTTTGTTTGTTTGTTTGTTTGTTTTGGTATGTTTTTGCGACGGAGTTTCGCTCTTGTGGCCCAGGCTGGAGTGCAGTGGCACGATCTCGGCTCACTGCAACCTCTGCCGCCCGGGTTCAAGCGATTCCCCTGCCTCGGCTTCCCAAGTAGCTGGGATTACAGACATGCGCCACCACGCCTGGCTAATTTTGTATATTTAGTAGAGACGGGGGTTTCACTATATTGGTCAGGCTGGTCTCGAACTCCTGACCTCAGGTGATCTACCCACGTCGGCCTCCCAAAGTGCTGGGATTATAGGCATGAGCCACCGCGCCCGGCTGTGCATATGTTTTTAATACACAGTTAATTTACGATAAAATAGCTATTTCACTAGCCTTTCTTTATAATTTACATAAACCATTCTAAAATGAAAACGAAATACATGACTGCAGATGCAGGCTCATTTCAACTTTAGGATTAGAGGTAATTCCGAACCATTACATACACAGCACTGGATCTGCAACACACTTCACCTTAGTTCGCAGTTTAACCACGGGTGTCCAGTGGAAATTACAATCCCGGTGACTACACTGCTTTAAATGTTTCCTAAGGTTTCAACGAGTGCAACAGTAACTTCCTATCCCAGACAGCGTCTTACTGTTATTACTAAAACAGCTGTCAGCTAAGCTTCGCATACCTCTTTGTACAACCGTTTATTCAACGCTTTGGGATCTGTAAGGATGCGTCACTCCACATCACTCCTCAAAACGAGATCTAAGAACCTGACGTGCTCCAGGGGTCTTGAAGCATCACAAGTGGGTACTTGAAAAACGATGACGGGAACTGCCTGTCCAATGCGGCAAGGTTATTTTACACTGGCATTTAAGACAGAACTGTAGAGTGGCTGCTCTTTCCCCGGACACTACTAAAGCAGCAATTTCCCCTTCTTGATTTCATCCACCTCTCCCAGGACCCGGGTACCTCCGACGCTCCCGGCCCGAGCGGCCGCGGCAGACTCCCCGGCGTCGGCGCACGCTCGGCGGCTGGCGGCGGGAACGCGCGGCGGGCCGGGCGCGCCCCCGCCCCCGCGGGTCCGACCGCCGCACGCCAGCGGCGCCCTCTCGGCCGCGCACACTCACACTCGCACGCACACGCTCCTCCGGCCCCGCCATGTTCCGGGAGGCGGCGGCAGCCCAGCCCCGCCAGCCGCGGTGAGGGGCGCCCGCGACGAGGCCAGCTCGCGGCCCTCCGCCCGGCCCCCGCCCCGCCCCGCGCAGCGCCCCCGCCCAGTTGGCGGCTCCCACCTGCGCCGCGGCTCCTCGCGACGCCGGGAGGGGCGGCGGCGGGCGGGGCCCCGGCGGACCCGCGCCGGGGGGCACTAACGGCCTGTCACTGTCAGGCGAGCTACGGCTCGGGCCAGGCTGGGCGGGCGGCGCGTCGGGACCGGGGGGGGCGGGCAGGGCGCGTCCCCTACCTTGCTCTGGGGAGGGGGAACGGGAGCAGCGCAGAACTGAGGGGATCTCCTCCCTGGCGCCGGGGACAAGCTCGAAACCGCGCCCCTCCTTCCTCCTTTCCTGTCGCCACGCCCCCCTCACCCGTACGGACCCGAGGCAAGGCCGGCGCAGGAGGCTTCACCCCCGGAACGAGTGCTTCGGCGTAGCCGTCGCTGTCGTTGTCTTCGTCGCCGCTGCAGCCGCCTGTAAAGCCGCCGGAGCCGGGCTTGAAAACATCTCCGGTCTCGGTCCGTCTCTCACCACAGCCTCCTCGCTCCCAGGACAGCGTCGCCCCGCGATTGGCTGCGACGCGAGCACGTGACACCCGCGGACACGTGACTACCGCGGGCACGGGACGGGCGGCGTGACCGCCCCGCCCCCCGGCGCCCGCCCCTCCTGCTGCTCAGCCAGGCTCCGCGAGCCGCAGGGCGGGGAAGCGGGACGTACCAAGCGGCAGGCGGCGGAGGGGTGCGGGCCGGAACTCCGCCCTTCGTGCTGGTCGGTCTCCACGCCCCACTCGGACTAGTGTCACCGCCTCCCCGCCGCAGACACTATCCGACAAAGGAGGGGGAATCAAAGGCTGGGCGAAGAGGCAGGGCAGGCGCCGGTGACGCTGCTGGGCAAGCGGGCTCTGCAGTAGCATTTGTGGCGACCGTGGCAGTGGCTGTGACTGGAAGCTTCTGGAAATGGCGGCGATGAGGACCCCCACATAGGGTATTCACCTGTTATTTTTACACGGGGTGGGTGGACGAGCGTGATCCAACTCAGGCAAAATGACGCTGCGACCGCAGCCCGAGGACTAGGCGAAGTTCCCCCGCTAAGCCGGCGGCGGCCGTCTGGCCCCGCACCAGGCCGGAGAAGCTGCACCTACGCCCAGAGCCCGCGGCCCCCCGCCTCAGGTGGGGCCCTGGGCCCCGCCCCGAAAGCGCGGTAGCGTGCACCTGCCCTGGCACCAGGGGGTCTAGAGCGCGTCCCCTCCCAGCCACGCCTTCCAGTGGCCTTTTTAAAGAGGAATTCAGTGCACCCTCCCACACGTAGTGTTGGGGATTTGAGAGGGAGCTGCTCAGGTACTAGGAAGGGTGCCGGAGGAAAATTGACCGTCGCAGCGTGGCAGCAGCGTGTACTCACTCCCTTCTGGGCGCGTTATTTACGTAGAGGTTAATCTGCAACAACAGCGTCTGTTTATGACTTAGTGCATGCAGTTACAAGTTTATGTTACACTGTCCTTTAACGTCTTGATGAACTGAGGGTTCAGGTGTGATCACAGCAGATGAAGTGACATTCAGACCTGACAGGGACGGCGAGGTCCCATCAAATTACTATGTAAAGCATAAACCTGCATTAAAGATCAGGAGTTTTTCCTTTCCTGGGTTCCTGATTTCTCCCACCTACAAATCTTTAGGGTCAACAAGACTAGAAAAAGAGCACCTTATGGCTAGAGGTGGAATAGTGTTACATTTAACTTGGTTATTTATGATGTGAAATACAAAGAAAAAAACAGTCGCCTATGAGAAAGTCAGGAGAGCTCCAGGGTAGGACATTTTCATTGTTACTTTTTTGTGCCACTTGGAAAATTAACTGTTGTTTACCTTCTCTCAATTAAAAAAAAAATCTTAAAGACATACTTAAAAATAATCGTTATAGCCGAGCGCAGTGGCTCACGCCTGTAATCCCAGCAATTTGGGAGGCTCAGGCGGGCAGATGGCTTGAGCCCAGGAGTTTGAGACCAGCCAGGCAACATAGTAAGACCCTGTCTCTAAAAAAATATATGAAAATTAACCAGGCTGGTGGCGCCTGCCTGTGCTCCCAGCTGCTCAGGAGGCTGAGGCCAGGGTATTGCAGTGAACCAAGATCACACCACTGCACTCCAGCCTGGGGACACAGCCTGTCTCAAAAAAAAAAAGCATAATTACTAGTGAATAGTCTGTTTCAAGTACAGGTGACTTTGAGAAATCGAGGATTAGATTAATATAAATTATTCATGCATTAAAGCTGGCTAATGCAAAACTAATGTACTACAGCTAATTTCTTAAATACACAAAAGGGTTTATCCTTTTTTCTAAGTTGTAATATCCATACCACTGCAGAGTACATAATCATACTTCCAATCCCTTCACCCAATTATTTTTTGTATACTTGCAGTGTCAGAATAGCTAAGGATAATGTCAAGTGTTTTGGACCTTTCTTTTTTAAAAATGGTAATGCTTAAGCCGGGCGTGGTGGCTCACGCCTGTAATGCTTGCAGTGAGCCGAGATCCCACCACTGCACTCCAGCTTGGGAGACAGCGAGACTCCGTCTCAAAAAAAAAAAAAAAAAAAAAAAGGCTTCTAGAGACAACTACCATATCCTCCTTAAACCTACAGTGTGCTTGAGGTCTTACCAGTTGGAAATACAGTAACAATTATGTGTTTTAAATAATGTTTAAAGGGAGCACTGACAAAGTTTATAGAAAGATCATGTTAACTTAAAACTTGGCTGTGGCTAAAGATGGGAAAGCAAAACATTTGTAATTTAACCAAATTTTTACTTCACAGTAACCTGATCTTGATAAAAGCGATCTGGAAATTGAAAATGGGTGACACTAGAGTAACTGTTAACTAGATTATATAATGATGTCTTCACAGCCATAGATAGAAGACTTTAAAATGGTCCTCTGTCATTATGACATAATACTTAGAGCTGCAAGTTGCTACGGTTAGCATGAGGATGTACACAGAGCAGAATAAACAAATAAGTTTACGTAGATTGGAAGTCCATATTTTATTTCTCTAGTGACATATTTACAGTTCAATATAAATTAAAGGCCTGCTTGTACACCAAATCCAGGTCCCTTGGGTGGTTCAGTCAAAGAGGTAAGACCTCCAGCTGGCTCACAAGAGAAGCGTCCACTCCTGAAATGAAAAGTAATATTAAACTATTAATGATTAACATTTGTAAATTTTTACTTAAATTGTAATGGTTACCTCACAAGAGCCCAGTTAAGTAACTATTTTTACCCTAAGAACTAGCATAGATTATTTAATTCAAACATTTCAACTGATGCAAGATTTTCTCTTCCTAAATTTAAATATGGAAAAACATCAGACTTCACCATAAACATAAAAAATACAAAAGTAGCCCTAATAATAGTTCCTATTTACTGAGCAGTATGCATACACTAGCTCATTGAATCCTTACGATGCCACAAGACAAGTGATACTGGCTTTATTTTACAGTTAGAGAAACCAAATTTGGGAGATTCAGCATCTACCCAAGAATCAAAGCAAAGAACTACGGCAAAAATACCCAACCCCAGAGAACATTTTTAAAAACCATGTTTTAATAAACTAGAGCACTGTATTTCTTTTTAGAGTTGAATTTTATTTAGATCAAGATCCACAGTCACAGTGAATAGAGGGAATACACACACTTATACATTGTATTTGGAAATAGAAACTGGATTCCTTGAGGAAATATGATTTGGGACAATGTCCCTTAGAAGCAGCGAAGTCAAAATCAGTTTGTATTTATGTATTATAAAGACTATATTAGTAGTAGTAATTTTCTGAAAAAAGTTTCCAAACCAGGATGGCCATAGCAGCCACAAAAGGAAGCAAACAAGAACAAGTCCTGATGGAGCAATTTATGAAGACAGGCAGCATAGAGGGAGAAGAACCTGTCTGTCAACCCCACACACGCTTTCCCAGGTAATTGCTCACCTCTGCCCTGTCTGACCTCTGTTTCTAGAGCCCAGCTCAGACTTACTGTATGTCACCCCTCCACCACTATTCCCTGGCTTTGCTAATTTACCTGTTCCTGCCACAGATTTACCTAAAGAAAGAACTTGTTCAGTTTATATCTTTTCAACCCCCTCTGGCTTTGCCCTTCACATTGTGTCATCAATCCTTTAAGTCTGTTCTTTAGAGCCCTAGGGAATCATTTTTTATTGGAGCCAGGAAAGTGACACCACATAATATAAGATCTTTCAAGATGTCACAGCATATAATACAAGTTACTAAGTAATGAACAATTATCTACAAAGTCAGAACTTAGTTAATATCTTTGGATTATAGGTCTTGTTCACTACAAAAACAGATAAAAAAGCAGTCATTGTATACTGTAAGAGCCTGAAACTTGTAGAGTAAGCAGCAAAATGATACTTAACTTTAAAAAAAAGACAACAGTATTATATTTTGCAATTTTTAAATTTATTTATTATTTTTGAGACAGGGTCCCACTTTGTCACCCAGGCTGGGATGCAGTGATGCAATAATGGCTCACTGCAGTCTTAACCTCCCAGGCTCAGGTGCTTCTGTCACCTCAGCCTCCCACGTAGCTGGGACTACAGGTGTGCGTCACCATGCCTGGCTAATTTTTGTATTTTTCGTAGAGACAAGACCTCACCATGTTGCCCTGGCTGGTCTTGAATTTGTGGGCTCAAACAATCTGTCCGCCTCAACCTCCCAAAGTGCTGGGATTACAGGTGAGCCACTGTGCCCGGCCTGTAATTTTTTATGTTGCCTATTGATAGGCACCACTGCTGCTCTTTAAATGTCAATGAAATTATTTTGGAGAAACTTTCTTCACCTTTACTAGGTTTCTTCTTACGGTTTAAGCTCAGCTACCTCTTCTTTTCTGCCTAAAACTTTTCTCTTGATCAAATATCAGAATGGAATATGATTTAAAAGTTTCATTTTAGACGTCTCCTGAAAGCTGAGCATTTGTTATCTTAAAGCCTCTTACCAGTTTGGATAGATATGGATCTTCCAAAATTAATGAGCTCCTTAATATCGACACTGTTTATCAACATAAAGGATCAATTTAGGAAGATTATAAAAACTGAAGTTTCCGGAACAATAAATGGGAGAATTAATCGTAAGTACTTCCTGAGTTCTTCACAGGATTATAGAATTTTATATATGGAAGTAATTTTAAAAATAATCTGGTCTAGAGTTTCCTAAAGTTTGTTCCATAAAATTACAATCCCATGGCATTGTATAGAAAAACGGGAGTCCCAGTGATCCAGTATGTCTGGCTGTAAACCTCCCTTCCTCGCCATTCACACAGTGTACCTTAAAATACTACAAAGGCTACAAAAATCCTCCAATAAAGCCTATAATTTTGTTTAATCTACTAAAAATGTAACCCCCCCTTTCATCTGTAAACATGCCTCAGAACACTCAAGAGGCAGTGAGCTAGCCCTATCCACTCACCTGACAGCCACAATTTACACTAGTGTTTTTCACTTACTAAACAAAAAATGATTTTCCTGATATCTCATGCTTAAAATGCCATCTAATAATTACATCTTCACTAAAATTTAAAAAGTATGGTTCGTCAGTCATTCCAACACTATACGTATGTGTACCATTTTAACTTATTTGCTTTCTAGAAAACTTGGCCTTTCTGTAAACTTTCATGGCTTAAAGTACTTTACATAGACAAATTACTTTATAAAAGTTTAGTGCTTTTTACTATTGCTGAGATATATCCAGCACTGTCCCTACTTTTAGTATAAAAAACCAAAAGTGATGTTATTGTCTAGAGTCATCTACCAACCGCATTGGAACTGTAGCCTAGCTCTAAATATGAAGAATTAAAGTTGGATTTAAAATGAGTTATAAACTAATCCATACTAAAAAATTTCTACCTATTAGTAACCTGAAAACAAGTTTAGAATTTTTCAGTACTTTAAATTCACTGAAAATAAGAACAATCTCAGCACAAAAATATTTAGTAATGTCAAGATTAAGAGACTACAGCTGACCCTGAACAACACAGGTTTGAACTGCATGGGTTCACTTGTACATGGATTTTCTTCAGCCTCTGCCACCTCTGAGACAGCAAGGCCAACCCCTCCTCTTCCTCAGCCTATACAACATGAAAATGATAAGACTTGTACTATGATCCACTTAATGAAGAGTAAATATATTTTCATTATGATTTTAATAACATTTTCTTTTCTCTAGATTATGGTAAGAATACAGTCAGTATATAATACAGACAACATGCAAAATATGTGCTGACTATGTTATTTGTTAAGGCCTTCAGACAACTGCAGGCTATGAGTAAAGTTTTGGAGGAGTCAAAAGTTACACACAGATCTTCAACTGCATGAGCAATCAATGTCCCTAACGCCCATGGTGTTCAAGAGTCAACTGTATTATCTTACCACTGCTTTAATATTTTCAGTGGTCATTCACCAACGATAATACAAAAGCAGTTTTGAACCACATATAGACATCAGTCTTTTACTAATTTTGGCCAGGGTAAGACCTGGCAGTGGTACTCAGGAATCAGTTACTATTGAACCAGTTTAATTCCTCTCGGTTTTTCATTACAGAGACGCACAATTAGTACCTCTTTCAAAGAGCAGAGATATTTATTATTAAAATACCAATAAAAAAGAATTAGACAGCTTTGGTTAATTTAGAATAACTATAACTATATTATGGTTATTGCTATCCCAGTCTCTGTCATTATCCTATATATCCAAGATATTGGGTAAGTAAAGTGAAAAGTTCTTGTTTTCATATGCTGACAAGACATTCTAGTATTGCTATGTCCAAATACAAGCTTTATATAATACAGCATTGGTGGATGCTTGCAATTATTGAAACCTAAGTAGACTTTTGTCTGCTTTTTAAATAAGAGGTAGTAAGTAAAAAAAGAGATTCGGACACGAATAATTTTGAAGTATTTGGCTCAAATCCAGAACACTGTCAAGAAAATCTCAGCGAAAAACTATTCATGATTACTGATAAGTAACATCCCTATTATTATCAGATGTTGTTGAAAATGCTTAACTGAGTACTTAGTTCCTGCTTATTGTTAAAATACAATGTTATAGTACCTCATATTACAAATAACAGATTTTAATTTCACCCCGATAATGTCATCCAGATTTATAACTTTAAATACTACCCTTAGTAACTGATGAATCCCCAATTTGTGTTTCCAGCCCTAACCTATTCCCTATATTCCAGGTTCGTATCTACCTATCAGCATCATACCATGGATGTCTTAACAGGCATCTCAAACTTACTATGTCTAAAACAAAATTTGACTTTTCTTCCCCAAACTTGCCCTACCACAAATCTTCTCTATTTTCGGTAAAGGAACCTCAGAGATGCTCAAGCCAAAAAGCTGAAAATCACTCATAAATCCTTAGTCCCACATATCTACTAAATTCTAATCTCCACATAGCAACTATGGCAGTATTTTAAGATTGCTCATTCCATTCCCTACTGAAAACATTCCAACAGTTTTTATTATATTTAAGATTCAGCCCAGATTACTTATCTGGGCCCTTATCTCCTCTGACCCCTTCCACTGCTTTCTTGCTTGAGCACCTCACTGCAGCCATACTGTTACCTTACTTTTCTTCCAGGACCCTGATACATCCTCTTTCCCCTCCCTGGAACATTGTTCCTTCAGCTCTTTACATGGTTCCCTCTAGCTCTTCATTCAGGTCATGGCTCAAATGTTACCACCTCTAAGCGGCCTCTCCTCACTAAATTTACTCCCTATCTATCCCCTAACACCTGCTACATTTTATTGTGTAGCCTTTTTATCACTCACATATTACACTAGTCATCTGTCTCCATCACTAGAAGATATATGAGAACTTTATCTTGTTCATAATTGTATTCATAACCTAAAATAATGCCTGACACACAGCAGGCACTCAAAAAAATTTGTGAAAAAAATTACTGTTGAGTATTTAATGTAATGTGACATAACAAAGTAGACAAAGCAGGTATCAATTTGTGTGGCAGGAGAGTAATACTAGATTAATATGAACCATAGATCCCACAGTTCACAAGAAGCAAAGCAGAAGATTCTAAACGCCAAAGTGGCCGGGCGTGGTGGCTCAAGCCTGTAATCCCAGCACTTTGGGAGGCCAAGGCAGGCAGATCACTTGAGGTCAGGAGTTCGAGACCACCCTGGCCAACATGGTAAAACCCCGTCTCTACTAAAAATACAAAAATTAGCTGGGCATGGTGGTGGCACGTTCTTATAGTCCCAGCTGCTCGGGAGACTGAGGCAGGAGAATCGCTTGAGCCTGGGAGGCAGAAGTTGCAGTGAGTCGAGATCACACCACTGCACTATAGCCTAAGTGACAGAGCAAGACTCCATCTCGGGTGAGGGGAGGAGTGGGGGGGAGGAAGCCCAACACCAAAGTTATGACTATAGAATTCAAAACATCTAATCAGAAGAGAGGGGCCATCTAAAGAACCCAAGTGGATTTCACAAGGAAATCTGCACTTGAGATATTCTTTAGAGTACCCAAAAGGTGAAAGAAGTTATGGGCTGAAGTACAAACCTAAGAATAGCATGAATTTATTTTAAAATACCTGAATCCTAAAAAGCAGATGAAGCTTGTGGAAAATATTATGAAATTTGTACTTTTTGGGGGGACAGTGTCTATTTAAAGCAAGAATAAGTAAGGGATAGGAGCACTAGCTAAGAAAGATACTGTAATGATAGATGACTAAAGGTTTTACTTCAGTTGCCTCCATAAAGGAGAATGATTTTTCACCAGGGAAATGATTTACCTCCTAAAAAAAGGGGTATACCCAAGAAAGTGAGGAATTAGGAAGAAAATGCCAACACTCTTTAAGCAAATTCAATTCTATAGGCTCAGGTTGTTAAGAACAGTATACGTTTCTTAGAAAAGAAAGTAATGGTCAACAGGGGCCAGCTAGCATTTACTAAACTTAAGTTATCCTGAACTGACCTCATTTTCTCATTAAGTAGGGTATTATTAGTAGTTTTAGAGAGCAAACTCTAGAACCACTCATACCCTCTTAGTAATTCTACTTCAGGGAATTGTTATTTATAATAAAGCTTAAGAAAAATATTTTAAAACGGGAGTAAGAGCACATCACAGCTGTTTTAAAACATTAGAATACCGTATGGACATCAAAAACTCCAAATGTGCTGAGGGAAGAAAAAATTTATATACATAAACAAAAAATTTGAGGGATTATGACTAAAACCATGAGAACATTTGCTAGTATTAAGAGAGAATTTTGAGTGATTGAACACATACATGGAATAAGGGTTTGTTTAAAAGTGAAAATCCAAGTTCATAACTGAAAGGAAAGTAATTAATGTAACACAGGTATGGGACGGGAGCAACCTGGATAAATAGTGAACAGAAAAAGATCTAGGTATTATGAAGTGCAGTTAATTGTGTAATGTCTCTGAAGTAGGAGTTGATATAATTAGGCACAATTATTACAAGCATAATGTCTGGAACAAAGGAGGCAGTCCCACAATGCTCTGTGCTGCTCAGTATGTATCTCAAAATACCATGATTAGGCCGGGCACAGTGGCTCATGCCTGTAATCCCAGCACTTTGGGAGTCTGAAGCGGGCAGATCACGAGGTCAGGAGATCGGAGACCATCCTGGCTAATACAGTGAAACCCCGTCACTACTAAAAATACAAAAAATTAGCCGGGCGTGGTGGCTGGCACCTGTAATCCCAGCTACTCGGGAGGCTGAGACAGGGGAATCACTTCTACCTGGGAGGTGGAGCTTGCACTGAGCTGAGATTGTGCCACTGCGCCACTGTACTCCAGACTGGGTGACGGAGTGAGACTCCGTCTCAAAATATAAATAAATAAAAAAGACAAAAAACCATGATTAGTTTAAGCATCACATTAAAGCATTAAATAGTCACTAGCCAACTAGAAAACCCACAGAGGGAGACCAAAGCTATGTCATATGAGAAAAACAATGAAACAATTGTGGATATTCCATCTGAGAAAAAGATAAGGGGAAGACAGGGTAGCTATTTCAAGTAATTGAAGAGCTGTCATTTGGAAGAGGTACTAAAATTATCTTTTGTTGATTCAAAGGGCAGAATTGGATTTTTAGGTAGAAATTAGAGGGAGATGGTCTTTGGGTCAATCTTCTATCAGTATGAACTTTTAAATAATGGAATAGATTTCTATTTGTAGTAAAATTTCCTTCTCTATAAATATTCAGGTATCGGATGATTATCAGACAGGGTTTTAGAAAAAAAATTATTCTTGCTCTAGATGAGATTCATATAGATAATACTATCCAAAGCTCCTACCAATTCCTATGAACTTAAGGTATAAAATTTTTTAAATCAAGTTTATCTGAAAGATTAATTTAGGTGAGCCACTAAAACTTCCTATATATAAATAAAGCATACCTTGGCCCTGGTTTTGGGATTTTGCCAGCCTTGAGCTCATCAATAATTTCTTCAATATCCTTAGCTGTCAAATCCTCCTGGAAAAAAAATTAACAATAGTCATATTTAAATTACTTTCTTTTATATCGATATATTTATAGAGACAAGGTCTCACTATGTTGCCCAGGCTGGTCTCCAACTCCTGGGCTTAAGCAATCCTCCTACCTCAGCCTCCCAAAGTGCTGGGATTACAGGTATGAACCACCACGCATGGCACAAAATTACTTTCTACGGCTGAAATCTGTAAATCCCTAATGCCAGTGATTTTATTGTCTGTCTCAGCTCACAAGATAGTTACCAAGGCATCAACAATTAAGTAACTCCTATATATAGTACACACTGCTAAATATAATATGCAACAAGAGCCTGCAGCTGAAGAGGCAATACAGAATATTGCTCTGAATTGAAACATATTTGCATTTGAGTTCTGGCTCTATCACTTACTAGCTAGTAATCTTGGACAAGTTACCCAGCCTCCCCAAGTTTGTTTGTTTATTTGTAAACCTAATTCAGCACGTTTTTGAGGATTAATGAGAAAATATATAAAGTAGAACAGTGTCAACGTACATACTAAATAAATGCTGTATTACTGAAGAAACAGTAAGGTACAAAGTAGCTGTAGTAACTTGTTAAGTAGATGCCTAGTATCTATCCCTAAAGATCTAACTACTGCTAACTGAAAGAATACCTATCTCAAACAAACCCATCTACAGGCTACTATATTTAGACTTAACAATGCTTCACACAAAGCCTTGACTGTCTAATTCCTATTTAAATCAAGAAATAAGTACCCAGACGCCAAATTCTCAAGGAAAACCAAAGAAAGAAAGTGGAACATCAAGCAAACTTTGCTTCAGAGTTTCAAAGCTTAGAGGGGCAAGGGACCCAGCCAGCCCCAGAGAGTCTAACAAGAGACCATGTAAGCTACACAAAGTTAAGGTCCCCAAAAGCTTTAACCTCATTATAAGAGTAAACTGTCCCTCAAAGAAAACTGCTAGTCTGGAACCTTTCACACCGGAGGAACAGAGGCCTAGGGTATAAGGAGAGGGGCTTTTCTGGGGCCAGCAGTACTGCCAGGAGCAGGAGAGAAACAAAGCAAATCCCTTCTTAAAAGAAAATCTACCTTAAGTACAGTCCCTCCAAAATTTCCATAAACAAATTTCTAAGAAATATGAGCTAACAAGGTATCTTGAATGAAAACGGTGATATAATTAGGGTAGCAAGCAATTTTTAAAGAAATAACTAGAAAACGCCATATATATGGATATTAAGAACATTTTTAGAAACTTACAGGTCAAAGAAATCAAAATGAAAAACAAAAAAAAAACAGAAACGCTCAATCAAAAACAAAAAAGACTGCAAAACTTGTGAGATCCAGCTGCAGTACTTAGAGGTATGATACCATCTCTATAAAATTTTTTTAAAAAGCCATACAACATATTAGTATAGCTGCATACATATATAGACACAATTTATGATAATGGTTATCTCTGGGGATAAAAGGAAGAGAAAAAGATTTGGGATGGAGTATTTCACCTGTATCTGTAGCTTATTTCTACAAATGATGATGATGATGATAGTATCTGAAGTAAAATGTGGCAAAATATTACTCTCAGTTAAGTCCTGATAGTTGGCTACACTAGGATTATTTTCTGTATTAATATCCAAATTATTAAATTTTTCATAATCTAAAGTTTTAAAATTTGTCTTCTGAAGTTAAATGCAAAAATGTTTAAAGAATTTTTTAAAACCTGGATATTTATGGTAACCATTTCTTCTAAATGAGTAATTCAGAAACCAACATCTAAGGACACAAAATCAAATATTTAAAATGTTTTAAATATGACATCATACAACTTTAACTTGTATTACCTGAAATACTCACATAGTAATTGTCATTTATTTGAACCATTGGTGCGTTCACACAGGCCCCTAAACATTCCACTTCTATAAGAGTGAAAAGTTTGTCAGGTGTAGTCTCCCCAACCTTTATTCCTAAAAATACAAATAAACACTCTAAGGACCAGGTTATATTTTAATAGTCATTTGGTTTAAAAAAAAAAAAAAGAATTTTTATAGAGGTATATTAAAAGTTTAAGACTATTAAGTTTTTTAAAAAGAGGCCAGGCGCGGTGGCTCACGCCTGTAATCCCAGCACTTTGGGAGGCTGGGGTGGGCAGATCACGAGGTCAGGAGATCTAGACCATCCTGGCTAACATGGTGAAACCCCGTCTCTACTAAAAATACAAAAAATTAGCCAGGTGTGGTGGCGGGCACCTGTAGTGCCACCTACTCGGGAGGCTGAGGCAGGAGAGTGGCGTGAACCCAGGAGGCGGAGCTTGCAGTGAGCCGAGATTGCGCCACTGCACTCCAGCCTGGGCAACAGAGCAAGACTCCATCTCCAAAAAAAAAAAAAAAAAAGTTTTTTAAAAAGAAAAAAATCCTAGGCCAGGTGGAGTGGCTCCGTCCTATAATCCCAGCACCTTGGGAGGCCGTGGTGCGAGGATGGCTTGAGCCCAGGAATTTGAGACCAGTCTGGGCAACATAGGGAGACACAGCTCTACAAAAAAATTAAAAATTTTTTTACAGTAGTAAAAATTTTTTACAGTAGTCATGATTGTGCTACTGTACTCCAGCCTGGGTGACAGAGCAAGACTCTCTCAAAAAAAAAAAACAAAAAAAAAACTCTATGTAATTTTAACATTCAAGGAAGTTTTTAGTGGACTTGTTCCTTTAAAAGCAATCAAATTTCAGAGGACTTATCACCAGTGTTTACTGTTATACAGCAGTGCATCAGGCTGTATTATTTTCATTTTGATTGTAATAATTAAACTACTAAAATCACAGTCACATTATCAGATTTGGCAAAGACTCAGAAAACTCCTAACGTCAAAGATTATCAAGGGATGTGAAGAAAATGGGTAGTCTCATACATTTAGGGAAGGCATTTGGGAAAAATACGGTAAAGTCTGACCCTACAATTCTACTTCTTGTAAACTATCTCAGCATACAACAGGACAAGTACGCAAAGATGTGTGTGTACATCAAAGTAACTGTTTGTAAAAGAAAAATGAGGCAGGCCAAGCATGGTGGCTCACACCTGTGATCCCAGCACTTGGGAGGCCAAGGTAGGAGGATTGCTTGAGGCCAGGATTTCACAACCACCAGCCTGGGCAACATAGCAAGACCCCTCTCTACAAAAACAAACAAAAATCAATTAGCTGGGCTTGGCAGCATGCACCCATAGCTACAGCTACTTGGAAGGGTGAGGCAGAAGATCACTTGAGCCCAGGAATTGGAGGCTGCAGTGAGCCATGATCCAGCCACTGCATTCCAGCCTGGTGACAAAGTGAGACCTCAACTCAAAAAAACAGAAAAAAAAAATGAGGCAGACATATATATTGTGCTGTAGAAATACAGCCAAAATAAAGTCTAAAAAGCAAGCATACATGTAGTACATTTATATATTTAATAATTAAAATGATATAAAATCTACAACTAATATATCCAATTGTTATCAGGATTTATACCTTGATGGTGTTGGGGGTGGGGGGGTTTGAGCCAACTTCAGCTGTTTTATATATTTCAATACCACCCAGCTATTTTTACAACATGCACATATTATATTCAATAACAAAATATTACTTCATTTGACATATATAGTTAGAAGTGTAGCAATGGCAGTTTTGTAGGGGAAAATGCCCATTTACTTTTAAAATGCTAATTTACTTTTCAAATGCTACTGTAATAACATCTGTTTCAAATTTCCCTTCCCAAAGCATTCTTACTATGCTTGTATCTTATTTGTTCCATGACTTCTTTAGAAGAATATAAAGACAATAATGGGTCACTTTTTAATATACCACATGCTGTCATAGAATAGTAAGTGAAACAATTTTCTAAGTGAAACAATCTTCTAAACAACGAATATTTTATAACTTCTACAAGCATTTCAAACATACTGATTAAAAAAGAAAAAATTAAAAACTCAGCTTTAACACTAAGAACTGAGGAAGAATACCAAATAGGAAGAAATAAAGATGTGGAAACACAGTAACACAAAATATTACTAGGTAAGTACAGATCCAATAAGATGGCAGAAGTTGGAAATTTTAGATAGAAATGTACCAAATCTAGAGAGACAATTCTACTTTTTATCAGTGTTACAAATATCATGTATTCCCTACCAAGCTTTTTCTGAATGGCCTCCAGTATGCTGTCAGAGTTTCGAAGCATGCAGGGTGTAGTAGTGCAGACCTGAATGTGATACTTTCCAACTGGCTTTCGATTATACATTGTATAAAAAGTTGCTACTTCATATACTCTCATTGGAGGTACTTGTAAAACTTCTGCAACCTAAAATATTAGGACATTTAAAAATAAGATAATTACAGTGTTAGTAATGGAGCTTTAATTATGTTGTACAAAGTATAATTTCAATATTGTCTCAATTTGGTAAAAACAGAAAAGTTCTTCAAGAGCAGAAAACATACTTGTCTTGGATAACTGGGAGATATAAACTCTTCAATTTTTGCAGACAATGTACTTACACTTAAACCATACAGAGCCCGAAAGTTAATGGAGTTAACAGCACTTCCTCCTTCTACCCTACTTCTCACCTCTGTAAAAGGATATTCTTTTTCTCTAAATCTTTAAGTATTTCACTATTAAGAATTTCTACTTTGATCATGTCAACTCACATTTTATAATCTGTCTAAATGGCAAAAAATTGATGGCCAAACCCCAATAAAAGAAGCAATTAGATTTTTTAAACTCTCACCAATTTTTTCCAAACAGCCTACATACAAATGGTACAGCAACAGAAAAAAAGGTTGAAAATCAAAGCTCACTATTGGCCCATATTTTAAATATGTAAACTCAAAATTTTATATCTCTACATATATGTATACACATATTATCATACACAATCACACACTCCTCTCCCAGAATCCAGCACACTACTTCTATTTCATATCACAATACTCTTTTGAAAGTTGAATCATATAGTCTAGTACTTTCTAACCCTTCACGTCAAGACATTAATAGAAAACAATTGTTTTGACATTCTGGTGTTCAGGACTAAGGGGATCACTAACTCAGCATCTTTTCTTAGGGCAAGTCTGTTAGGGAAAACGAGGATTTCTAGCTGTTTGCCAGGGCTGGTCCTTGTCTATCGTGATTTATAATTCTGTCTACAACTTTCTAGGTGACCTATTATCATTAAGACTTACTATCTGGCATTCTTAAAAATTATAGATATATCCATATTCTAATATAAAAGAAGAGCGGGCATTTCAGACAAGTATGTTAACTTTCTCATATTAGGAATTCTAAAGGAAATATATTCTCAAAAGACATCTAATCATGGCTCACTTGTGACAGATAAAGTAATTGTGCTATTTCATTCGGCAGTTCTGAATCAAGGACGTATCCCTGAATCTGGGGAGCTCTCTATCAAAATATACATGCTGGAACCCTACCAAAGGAATAATAAATCTGGAATGAGGCTCTGACTGTCTAATTAGGAAAAGACTCCTTCCTGGAATTCTGCACATCTCCCTACACCTTAGTGACGGTTAAATAAATAATTATTAAGCTTCTGGATATTTTTTGTTGTAAGGTTAGGTGTTTCATGGGTTGGGGGGAGGGGCAGTAACATTAAAATAAAAGTCCCAAATGTAAAGTGCAAAGAATCTTGAGTCTATTCCCTATACCCTACACTTCCTGCCTTTCCCCCACACAAATCCAACCCTAAATATAATAGGACAATATATAAATACATATTTTTTAAGAGATAGGGTCTCACCATCTTGCCCAGGCTGGTCTTAAGCTCAAGCAATCCTCCCACATCAACATCCTGAGTACCTGGGTCTACAGGCATGCACCACCATGCCTGTCTTATTTTTTAAATGTTTTCACTTTCAGTTTCTTATTTATTTTTATTTTGCTCTGCTAACGTGCCACTCAGCAAGATTTCCAACAGGCTTACCATTACTAAAAATATGATTTTTTCAAAATAATAACATTATAATTAGAAACATATACCTAAATCATTATAAAGTTGGCTATTTTAATTTAAAAAAATGTTAAGTAACTTCCCAAGAAATACATAATTTATCGAAGAAATAACCACCTATGTTTACTCAGGATAGTAACTCACTAAACTTGCTTTATAATATTTTTCATAGGGAAAAACCAGTGTTATAGTACTATACAATGCAAATAAAATAAAATATCAATAAACTAAATCTAAAATTTGCATTTAGGATTCTATTAGATAAATTGAGGACATTCCTATTCTCTCAGAAAGATGATTGTCTAGCCTAAGAGTTATAACCAAATTAAGTTTAGAAAGTGGTAAGAATGAAGTACAACAAAATCTCTGTTATAGTCAGTCAAGTAGAAAATGCACTGATTTAGAAATGAATTCAGTCCTAGCACTACCGCTCAGAAATCATAACTTAATAATTAGAAGAGGTCTACCTGGTTCAAAACTTTCATTGCCAATGAGGAAGTTCAGAGAAAAATCAGGTGTCTTAGTTCTAAGTCAAAAATATTTTCCATTATATAACACAGCTTAATGGTTATGTGATTCTCATCAGAATCAAATAGTATGTGGTTTGTGTATGGCACTTTATAAATGATATGCTGTAATACATCACCACACAAATGTAGTTATTTGTATTAACAGGATACGAATAAACTTGAAATTTGTATTACTGCTCAAAACTATTAGGAAAAATGAATATTATATGAATAGAGTAACTTTGAATAAAATGGGTCATCCATAGCATTTCTATAGGTCGTTGATTCCAAAGTAGCATAATCAAATTGTATAAATATCACCTATTATACAGATTTTTCTTACAGCCTACAGCCAAAGATGTAAAATATTAAAAATTTTCATACTAGTGAGCAGATCTTCTTTTCTGTAATTCTAGTGTTTAAATATTACATTAATTTTCAGAATATCTTGACACTAAGTTATACACATTTGGAATCTTTTATCTTTGACCATTTCCTTCAAAAGGAAAAAAAAAAACACATACCCTCTTTCACCATAATGCCTTCCTTATTTCCTGCAAGGTTAGAAATCACCTCTATGCATTAAGGGAATGAACAAAAACACAAAGACAATTCAAGGAAACATACAAATGGCTAAAGGGCTCCAAAATCCTAGATTCTGACACTGGAGATGATCAGAGTAATTTCTATAAAAGGAAATTATCATACACAATCTCTTCTCTTTTAGAACTAAGGCAAAAATGAATCCAGTACCTTGTTCATAGCAGAGATGGGCAACCACCCATTCTGCCTTTGGGCTAAATCCAGGACTGGAAGAACAGCTGCTGCTTTATGGCCTTCTGGATAGTTTTTTACAATTGCCTCTATCCTCTGTATAAAAGAAAGAACATCATTTTATACATCTAGAAAATATTACCTATTTGGTAAATTAATTATAATGTTAATTTAGCCATACCTTATAGTTTTCTGGTGTGAAATCAAATGGAGTATCAGGGTTATTCTCAGGAGTATCTCTGTGCTACACAACAAAAACAGTTTTTCAGACTTATCCAAATTCTCTCAAGTGTGAATGACACTGTACATTACTATACTATTACTTATTGTTTAATCTCTCCATTTTAATTCCAACATGATATATACCACCCTATCCTTCCATCAAAAAGAATGTCTAAACACACATTTGATAAGTATGATTACCAAAGTAAAGTTAGCAGAATTTAAAAATTTACAAAGGACCATTTAAAGAATAAGAGAAGTACCTTTAGGACCAAAAAAACCCAAACAACAAAAAGTGTTATCCAGCTTCATTAGAGAGTAAGATCTTCTGATAGAATTACCAAAACATTACCAATTATTGGAAGCCTTTATGAAATTAAAACACAAAATTTTAAATGTGAACATATGTGTATTTTCCCAAAAGCAAGGTTATCAGATTGTCAAAGGGATCTGGGATCCAAAAGGGTTAAGACCCATTACTTTAGGAGGGTACAAAAGGACCATCTTAAAAAAAAAAAAAAAAAAAAAAAAACAGCACCATCTCTTTCCCACGTTTTCCATAATAGCCAACAGCAAGAAGCTTTATCTCTTCTTAAAAGAGCAGAAGCAGGCCCTCTTCAAAAACTGACAAGAAATGGCATGTCAACAGGAAATCAAATGAGTCACACTGAGATTAACACTTACGATCAATTAATGTTATGTATGTGTGGTGAATACAGAAATGAATCTCTTGATATGTTAACTCTCGGAGTTCTGCTTTTTAAAGGACATAAGCCAAAAGAGGAAAGAAAACAGACACTCTGGACAATGATCTCAAATATGTGGCCAATTTGATGCTTGATATATAGCAGGAAGCTACTTCTTACACCACTAACTCTAAATCATCACACAAGTCCACTATATTGCCTTTATACTAGATTAATCCCTGAAAACAGCACCTTGTCAGAAAAGGGAGATATAATATCTTATCCTTTCCAAATTGTGCAACTAATCTGGGGAGTTCACAGACTTCTATTTATAGTTAAAACTCCGGAAACTAAAAATATAAAGACCAGCTGCTAATCTAGTTACTACATTACTAAAATCCATGAGTTTCAAACTAGTGTCATTTTGGGATTCAACAAGTTACAATCTCCAAACTCTCAGTAAGCCAACATGACTGAGAACCCAAAGTGTGATGAGAATCAGGTTAGGGCTCACACAGTAATTTCACTGGAAATAAATTCTTATTCCCAGAGTTTTCCTGATACTAATTTAAACTCATGAGGTTCAACTGGAACCAACATCTTTTGAAATGTAGTAAATTCAATTAGCTGTATGTAAATTCTCACGATGACCATCATATATCAAAGACAATGGTATTTAAGATATTTTGGATTTTTACAATGGATTTACCCCAATTTCCAAGTCTTTTCTTTCCAAAGAAATCTAAGTAATTACTTACCACAAATAAAGCTCCTCCAGCTCCATTTTGCATAACTGTCTTATGCAAATTCCTTACATGTCTTCCCTAAAATTTAAAATTTTAAGAAAGTTTAGTAAATCATAGCCTTAAAAAATTTTTCATAAAGAAATACTTTAGGATTCATAATTTACAACAATGGAATCAACTTATAAAAGATCTTAAGAAATATGGTATTCTACCCTATCCATCTCTATTTCAGGAGAGTTATTTTACAAATGGAGATTCAAAGCCAAGATTCACCCACCTAACATCACACACACGAGTCAATAGGAGAACCAGGACAACCCAGATCTGCTGACTTGTGTACCTTCCTGCCACGCTCTGCTGGCATGCATTTGGAGAATTAATGTACTATTAACTTCTTGACTTTCACTTTTGTCTGAATCAACTTGGATGCCAGCTTTCACTTAGTGTGAACCTTCATAAACATGTTTTCATTCTGTACAAATGAGTCATATACTCTGTACAAATGAGTCAACTGTATCCTCCTTCCTTTTCAATCCTTTACTAAATTAGTTCTGAAACTCCAGCCGTAAAAAGTAGTTTCTGGCCGGGTGTGGTGGTTCATGCCTGTAATCCCAGCACTTTGGGAGGCTAAGGCAAGGAGATCACGAGGTCAAGAGATCGAGACCATCCTGGCCAACATGGTAAAACCCCATCTCTACTAAGAACACAAAAATTAGCTGGGCGTGGTGGCGCACGCTGGTAGTCCCAGCTACTCGGGAGGCTTAGGCAGGAGAATCGCCTGAACCTGGGAGGCAGAGGTTGCAGTGAGCCGAGATCGCGCCACCGCACTCCAGCCTGAGCAGCAGAGCAAGGCTCCGTCTCAAAAAAAAAAAAAAAAGTAGTTTCAGAAAGCTATTTATGATGCTATGCGGACTGACAATGTTCAGTTGCTTTGGAAGGAATCTGATTATTCTCTCAGCTGCATTTCATTTCTCTTTGCCCTCTTGCTCCTACCCTCCACTCCTACCCTGTCCCCCGCCCCCAAGTATTTCAACTACTGTTCTGGATTCCTCCAATTTCTGAGTTCTACTAACCACAGACGGCAGAACACTGGCTGGGTTAAACCAAGCATGGAACTAGCAAAGAGTTGGACAATTCAAAGGCAAACATAGAAGAAAGTAAACGGAGTAATATAACACAATAGTATATTTAACTTTACCCTAGGTCCAAATGATATTTCAGTTGAAGAAATATTAATAAATAAGTTTACATGGAACATCTGCTTTAATTAACAAGAAAAGACTAAGGTACAGGATGTGAGACACACGTACAAAAGATGGGAGTGATAAATATCAATTTCAGGATAATTGGAAGGCAGGGAGGGATACAGTCAGAGGTGCACAAGGGGGCTTTGATTGTGTTGGTTTTGTTTTGAAAAATTAACTGAAACTAAAATTTAGAAGACAGTCACTGTCATCTTAGCTCAGAAAATTTTTTTAATCGAGTAACAATTTTTGAGTAACATCAGTGAGTTACTTAACTAAATTCTGAGAGAAAAGACTGTATACTTATAATAAAAGGATTAATTTTAAGAGTAGGGAAAGTATTCAGTCTTCTCCTAATTTCTGAACACTAACATTTTCTGTTTATTGGCTTTTTATCCACTCCTTGCAGGCTGTCCTCAGGGCTCAGTTCACACTCCTATCTTCTTTTCTCTATAAAGCCTTTGCCTCTGAGAACTCATCCATTAACTTGACAGTGATGAGTCTTAAATCTTACACACATTTGATGACAAGAGGCTAATAGCCTGAAGAGATCATAAATGCACTTAAAAAATGAGTAAAGATCATGAACAAAAGTTTCACAGAATTCAAACTGCTTACTAGTAACTAAAAACATACAACTTAAAATAACATTACTAGTTATCAAACTACCAAGTATCTTTTTTCTTTTAAGATAGCATTCCATTCTGTTGAGCATATAGAGAAACAAGCACACTTAAAAATTCATATAGCCTTTTAGAAAGCAAATTACCATGATATATGGAAAGCCTAAATAAGTGTCTTTTTTTTTTTTTGGAGACGGAGTTTCGCTCTTGTTGCCCAGGCTGGAGTTCAATGGCATGATCTCGGCTCACCACAACCTCTGCCTCCCGGGTTCAAGCGATTCTCCTACCTCAGCCTCCCAAGTAGCTGAGATTACAGGCATGTGCCACTACGTCTGGATAATTTTTTGTATTTTTAGTAGAGACGGGGTTTCTCCATGTTGGTCAGGCTGGTCTTGAACTCTCGATGTCAAGTGATCTGCCCGCCTCAGCTCCCCAAAGTGGTGGAATTACAGGCGTAAGCCACTGCGCCTGGCCCCAAGTGTCCATTTTTTAATTTAGTAATTCTAACCTAGGTATTTTTCCTGCAGTACAAAATGAGGATAAAGCTTTACATGAAAACATGTTGTTCCTATTATGTTTATTGCAGCAAAAACACAACCTAAAAACCCAATCTGAGCAGGTTTTAACTAAATACTAATAATTCTGACACTAGAACGTTATGTAGCTAACAAAAATATGTCGTAAAAATAATCATGTAGAAACTGGAATCAGGGTTAAACAAAACAAAAAAAACAAAAATGCATAAATTATCATCCCAATTACATTAAATACAGACACTGATTAAAAGACTAGAAGGCCATAAATAATTAAAAGTGCTTATCTCTTATTACGATGTTAATGAAATAAGGGACTCTTATTTTACATTTTTTATATTTTTCTCTATTTTCCAAATTTCCTATTAGCATGGATTAACTGGCCAAAAAAATCCTACTTAAAATAAAACACTCAGCAGGTATAAGAAAAACTTATCTCTATTGTAAAACCTATTTCTCCTTCTAACCTCCTTGTATATCAAATTAAATACCACCAAATGTCTAAATTAAAATAGCTTCCATTTTGGATTAATATTTGATCCCTTTCTCATTAATCCAGGATCTGTCATGTACTTTTACTTAAAATAAAAATATAGAGATAATCTTGAAAATTATTCTTTAGGCTTATGTTGCTACATATTGGAAAATCTATTCTGAGGCATTCTCTTGCTGACTTGTAAAGCTCTGGATACGCACATGAGTTCACAGACATATTTCTAAAAGTGGTTTGAAGTCCAAATCGTTGAAGACAGACTACTGATTGAGAAGGGTCAGGATAAAGTAGCTAAACTCTAGGAAAAAAACAGACTTTCAGATTTTTTGTAGTTGTTGAGGCCTTGGGTTTAGATTACCATTCTGCCACTTACTAACATCTGACCTAGAACAACTCACTTAATTTTTTTTTAAGCCTCAATTTCTGTACCTATAAAACAGGGTTATCTTCTTATTGGACTATTTTGAGATTTAAGTAAAGTTTCTCTGAAAGTACTATATAACCTGTAAAGCATTATCACCTGCTTAACTGACACAAGGATAAAACATTTAATAACTAAAAAAAAAAAAAAAAAAAAGATCCAAACAACTGCATTTTAAAACTACACCTATTTTTAAAAAATTGTGCTGTTAGTTGACTTTATCAAAGAGTTACTGTCAAACACAACATACTGCCAATATTCTTGCATTTGCACATAATTATTTTTTCTTTATATCCATATGTATAATGCTTATACTTTTTCTAGTAAAATTATAATGTATTTGATGGTTAAAAAACCATCTACTTCTCCACTGAAATTAATTCATAAATTTCTCTTTTAGTTAAAGAAAGTGGGGAAGGAGGAAGAAATAGGCTGGTAGAAAGATTTCCATGGGTCTTAGGTTTGTGCATTTGGTGAGCAGCAGCACTGAACAGCTTTTGTTTAAGACCATCTTTTCTATTATTTTTGTATAAAATACCTTCTCCTGGGGCAAAAGTTGAGTGAGTTTTCTTACAGACAGGGTTTCCCAAGCTCAAGGTCCCTTAGCAGTGATGCACAGCACTCACCTAGGCTGTTCCATGTCACTCCCATTGTAGCAGGACAAGCCACAGACAAAACCCCTCAGACACTGAGAAGGAAGGGCTTTATTCAGCCGGGAGCTTCGGCAAGACTCTTGTCTCCAACAACCGAGCTCCCCAAGTGAGCAATTCCTGTCCCTTTTAGGGGCTCACAACTCTAAGGGGGTCTGTTTGGGAGGGTCGTGATCGATTGAGCAAGCAGGGGGTAGAATGGAACAGAACAGGACAGGGATTTTCACAGTGCTTTTCTATACAATGTCTGTAATCTATAAATAACCAATTAGGTCAGGGGTTGATCTTTACCAGGCCCAGGGTGTGGCACCGGGCTATCTGCTTGTGGATTTCATTTCTGCCTTTTAGTTTTTACTTCTTCTTTTTTTGGAGGCAGAAATTGGGCATAAGACAATATGAGGGGTGGTCTCCTCCCTTACCGTGAGATATGAATGTCAAAGGGAACTGACATGAAGTTCATGCTGCCTACTGACCCAGGATGCTGCCTCCTGCCAGCATCCATGAAACTGAGGCAGGTTAACTTGTTAGCTTACAAATGGGGTAAAATTTCAGATCTGTCAAAGTTCTTAAGAAAGTCAATAAAATCTAGAAATGTGCCAGTTTCCATTTTTTACTGCTTTTTCTATCAAAATATCTCAACAGAGACATCATAAAAGAAACCAGTAACAGCTGCTGTCTCTAAGGAGAGGAATCAAGATCTGGAGTGGGAAGAAAATTTAGTCTTTACTGCCAGGCAGAATATTAAACACTTTCCATGAAATACATCTCTTAATGCTCTCAAGAAGCATTAAATACCTATCAAGTACCTATGTACCTATGAAGTACATACTGTTATTATTCTGTTTTTACAAATGAGGAAACAGGCTCTGGAGCTGAGCTTTTAACTGTTTTGTTGTATTGTCTCTCCATATGTAGAGTATTTATGGAATATTAGATAACAGTGATACATCCCACTTTCAGAGGTGTTAGAATGTGGAAAGTTAGAAGGTGGGATGTATCATGGGTTAACATATATAATATATGCAACATATATTTTTTATCATAATACATATTCTTGTATCCCTACTCTGTACTGTTATGTATATATACTATAATATGTAGCCTTGCTTACTGTTTGAATTTTTTGCCATTATATGTATTACATTTAAACTTTTAAAAACCAATGAAGGGCCGGGTACAGTGGCTCATGCCTGTAATCCCAGCACTTTGGGAGGCCAAGGCAAGCGTATCACTTGAGGTCAGGAGTTCAAGACCAGCCTGGCCAACGTGGTGAAACTGCATCTCTACCAAAAAATACAAAAATTGGCCGGGTGTGGTGGCGCACACCTGTAGTCCCAGCTACTCAGGAGGCTGAGGTGGGAGAATCGCCTGAACCTGGGAGGTGAAGGTTGCAGTGAGCTGAGATCACACCACTGCACTCCAGTCTGGGTGACAAAGTGAGACCCTGTCTCAAAACAAAAACAAACAAAAAAACCCAATGAAGTCTTTAGTTCTTTCCCTGTCTTACTATCACCACTATTTCAGACATTATTTCATGTCTGTGCATTACTGTAAGTCTTCTGGCTGATCCCTTTTTCTCAATCCAAAACATCCTGTCTAATATCACCAAACTAATTTTAAAAGTACCATCCTTCTGGCCAGGCGCAGTGGCTCACGTCTGTAAACCCAGCACTTTGGGAGGCCAAGGTGGGCAGATCACAAAGTCAGGAGTTCGAGATCAGCCTGGCCAATATGGTGAAACCCCATCTCTACTAAAAATACAAAAATTCACCGCGTGTGGTGGCGCACACCTGTAGTCCCAGCTACTTGGGAGGCTGAGACAGGAGAATTGCTTGAACCCAGGAGGTGGAGGTTGCAGTGAGCTGAGATCGAGCCACTGCATTCCTGCCTGGGCGACAGAGCGAGATTCTCTATCAAAAAAAAAAAAAAAAAAACCCTTCTGATGCTGAGTGTGGTGTAAAAGATGACCAACACCAAACACGTTCTAGTATATGAAATGTCAATTTCATCATTTCTAATAAACACATTTTCCACATTCTAGCACCTCTGAAGGTGGGATGTATCACTGTTATCTAATATTCCATAAATATCCTATGTATGGAGAGACAATATAGCAAAATGGCTAAAAGCTCAGCTCTAGAGCCTGTTTCCTCATTTATAAAAACAGAAAAATAACGGCATGTACTTCATAGGGTTCTTGAGAGCATTAAAAGATGTACTTCAGGCCGGGCACAGTAGCTCATGCCTGTAATCCCATCACTTTAGGAGGCTGAGGCGGACGGATCACCTGAGGTCATGAGTTCGAGACCAGCCTAGCCAACATGATGAGACCCCATCCCTACTAAAAATACAAAAATTAGCTGGGCGTGGTGGCACGTGCCTGTAATCCCAGCTAACCAGGAGGCTGAGGCAGGAGAATCGCTTGAACTCAGGATGCAGAGGTTGCAGTGAGCCCAGCTCGTGCCACAGCACTCCAGCCTGGGCAACAGAGTGAGACTCTGTCTCGGGGGGAAAAAAAAAAGATGTACTTCATGTAAAGTGCTTAATATTCTGCTTGGCAGATGGTAAGTACTGTATTAGTGTTGGCTATCATTAGCTATTATTATTAGAAGTACTATGTGTCAGGCACTAAGCTTTTTACACATTATTTAATTCTTAAAGTTTCCTGCAAGGTGGGTATTATTCCCAGAAATTTAAATGAGTTATGAAAACTTCTCAAGGTTAGGTCACATCACTAATTATTGGCAGAAATTATGTTAGATCCTAGGGCCAGATGATTACAAAGGCCATGACCTTATTATTAGCCACCTGACTGTTTGATGACATCAAAGCTTTAAAAGAACATAGTAGGTCTAAGAAACCAAGGAGTTTAAGGAAGAAAATCAGGCCTCCATATATACAGGCAGGCAGATAAGAAATGAAAAGCCCTGCCTCCTTGGCTTACAATGCTCCTGTTAAGAGAGAAAGATGCAAGTTATTTAATCTTTTTTTAATCCTTGCCACCCTTCTCTTCTATTCCTGCAAAAAACCTGAACGTATACACACTAGCATAACATTTGAGCAACTTAATTTCAAAGTCCGAAGTCGACCTCTTCAAAGTTGTATAAGAAGGGCTGAGATAATGTTTATAAAATAAAAGAAGCTGGCCAGACACGGTGGCTCACACCCATAATCCCAGAACTTTGGAAAGCCAAGCCCCATAGATCGCTTGAAGCCAGGGGTTTGATATCAGCGTGGGCAACATGGTGAAACCCTGTCTCTACAAAAAATACAAAAGTTAGCCAGGCATGGTGGCACATGCCTGTAGTCCCAGCCACTTGAGAGGCTGAGGTGGGAGCATCGCTTGCGCCCAAGAGGTTGAGGTTGCAGCGAGCCATGATCATGCACTGCACCCAAGCCTGGGAGACAGAGTGAGACCCTGTCTCAAAAAAGTAGTAAGTAAACAAACAATAAAGAAAGAAACAAACTAAATAGTGAAGATAAACTGATAAATCTTAGCTCTCGGTTTTTTTCAACTGGCATAAACTGTTATTCATCCCTATCAAGTTACAGGTGGCCTGAAAATGGCTTTGAAAATTGTTTTTTTGGTGTGTTTAAAGAATATCACCTATTTTACATTCATTGTAATGTCTACGTCAGACACTTTCAATAAAGGAATAAAACATTAAAAGTTCTCATTAACATCTTTACACTACTTACTGGGCCATTTCAATTTTGTTTCACTTTGAAATAAAGAGGCATTCCAGGACCAGGCTTAAAACTGGAAAAAACAACCTAGCTAGGCTGGAATGATTCAAAGAATAAGCTGAGTTCCCACCCACCCCCTTCTTTGAGTACAGTCTAGTCTTTTCTCTAGAATCTAGCTTCTCATTAGACTCTGAAATGTCTATACCTCAAGAAATTCCAATTGAGTCCAATTGAAAATCCAAGTAACTTCCTTTTTTTAAGAAGAAAAGCATGCAACCAAGTAACTTTTTTAAGTAAATAAGATCATAACCTAATATACAGCTCAAAATTAACAGTGGGTTTGAATTCTAGCTTATTTTTTTTTCAGTGTTTCAGAAGGAAAAGAAAAGATTTAAGCAGGCCAAAACAGTGACTGCCTTTTCGTTGGAGTCAAGTAAACTTGAGTGCCTCTGTGTTAAGCTCTTCTACATACTTTTTTTCGTCGATTCCTAAAAAATCTGTAGTGAGTCATTATTTCCATTTTACATTTAGAGAAACTCAGGCTCAAAGACAGTAACTTGCCCCATACCGCACAATTAGTGACAGACCTGGATTTTGAGCCCAGGCTCTTTCAATCTAAGGGCCCTGTGCTCTTTCTACCAGCCTTTCCCTTTTACTGTCACTGGCAATACCAATAGCTCAAAATGACAAAAATTAAAGTTTTATATTCTCCCCAATAGGATTCCTTAATTGTCTTTTCATGGGCTCTACTCTTTTTCTGAATTTCTTCTGTTGTTCAAACAATACTACCATCCAACGAAGCTCACTTTTCAGTTCTATCAGACATTTGCATTATAAATGCATCCAGCTAAGAGAAGTTAATAAGAGACTAAGAAGCTGTAAGACAAAACTGACAGAAGCAGTAATCTAATTAGTCAGAAAGACAAGACTAAGGTCAGGCAATTCAAAAACCCTTCTTTTTTCCTTTATTAGAGGCCAACTAAGGCAAGGAATATACCTTTTAGATGATCCCTAATATTTACAGATTAAATCCACCAAGATATCTATTTGCCTGTGCAAGAGTCACAGTGCACACATGAAACATCTCTAGTGAATCCAAAGTGGTCTGAGGTCCCTCCGTGCCTTCCTCTCACTGTTCACAACATCTGCTGACTTGTTACCTACAGCCTCCCCTATTGCCAGCTCAAGCAAGAAAACTGAAACCTCCTAAAAAAGTCAGGGTCTGCAATACATTCATTCAGACTAGGTAATTTTACATTTAAAAAAAATCCTTGAGGCTGGGTGCAGTGGCTCATGCCTGTAATCCCAGCACTTTGAGAGCCGAGGCAGGTGGATCACTGGAGGTCAGGAGTTTGAGACCAGCCTAGCCAACATGGTGAAACCCCATCTCTACTAAAAGTACAAAAATTAGCCGGGTGTGGTGGCACGCACCTTTAATCCCAGCTACTTGGGAGGCTGAGGCAGGAGAATCGCTTGAACCCGGGAGGCAGAGGTTGCAGTGAGCCAAAATCACGCCACTGAACTCCAGCCTGGGCAACAGAGTAAGACTCTGTCTCAAAAAAAAAAAAAAAAAAATTCCATGAAAAACAAAAGTTTTTCAGTGCATTTTATTTTAACAAAGTTGATGCTGGGTTAATAATTGTGAAATCTATTTCAAGGATAATCATAAATACAAATGCTTACTCTATGTCAGATCTCATGCTATAAACTACAAATCTACACTATAATCCATTTATTCCTCTCAGCAAGCCTACCAAGTAGGTATTATTATCTTGTTTTACAGGTGAGAAAATTAAGGCTCAAAGAAGGGGGAAAAACTTTCCCTAGCTCACACAGCTAAATAAATGAAATGCCACATACAGATTTTCCTGACTTCAGTACATGCCTTAACCACTAAAATTTAAGTTTTGCTGTATTTTCAGATAGAAATAGGAGGACTTTTACAAACATCCTCCAAATAAAGTTCCATCAGTAATTTACCTAAAAATGTTAATTCAGGTTAAAATGTAAGTAATTTTTACCATACTATGAGAGAATTAACAAATGTAATTTGGCTAAATTTTATATTATAGAAAAGCTGCATGAAGAGCCCAGGTATTACAGGCACTGTGCATTACAGATTAAGATAACAGCATTAATGATTCCAGCCATCTTGACCATATATTAAAGAAAACATTCTTTAGATATCTAAAATCCCACATGGATATAAGCAACAACCAATTGTTCTAAGGACAAGAATAATTTATAGAAATGAAATGCCCATCCAGTGGACCCGGGGTTCAGTCTCACCTCATGCACTTCAGTGTCTTTGTATATGTAGCTAGCTATACCTACAGCATTATCTCAACTTACACCTTCCACTCATCCATCATGACCAAGGTTAACCTCCTCCTCTTACCCCTTTAAAGCCCCTAAACCTCCATCTCCTACCCCTTTAAAGCCCCTAAACCTCCATCTCTTTTCCCTAAGCAAAGTGAAATCATTTCCCTAGTCTGCTTACACTGGTACACCTTTTATTATTAGAGTGCCTATTAAATTTAAATCTTCACCATACATAGTGATTTCCCTTAGCAACTTCAATTGTTTGAGCAACTTCAGAAAGGTAGATTAAAAACAAAACAAAACAGGACTTGCGAATAAACCCAGCCCTTACTACTGTGTGATCTTGGGCATTTATTTGTCCAGCAATCTTCATATATCTCACACATAAAATGGGGTAACACCTAGCAAAATATCCGACAGATAAAGCCACCTTCCCCCTAACCAAAATGTGTGTAAACTGTCTTTGATGTTTTGTAATGAAAGACATTTCCTACAACTGATTTATAACATGCTTCCTGAACTGATTCAAAAACTAGTGACAAGGTTCCTCATTGGAAAATCAGACTGACTGTCACTCAATAGGTTATACAGCATGGGCAACAGACCTGTAATTTATTACTCAATGTTCTGAGCACTAAGGTACTAAACAGTGCCCAAAGAGAAAGGAAAGTCAACTTTTTATTACTTTGAAATGGAAACTGAGTTCAAGTCTCTAATAAAAAGATCCGAGTCTGCAGTTTGCAATAGTGGCCTACTGAACCTCACTGCATAAACTAAAGTTTGTTCATTCTCTCTCTCCTTAAACTGCTAATTTATGGCTATGGCAGGCAGAATAATGGTCTCTCAAAGATAACCACATCCTAATCCTGGAAACCTGTGAGTATTAGTTTACACAACAAAAGAGAATTAAGGCTGCTAATCAGCCGACCTTAAAATAGGGAGATTATCCTGGATTATCTAGGTGGGCCCAATGTCATCAATCACAGGGTTCTTACCAAGAGGCAAGGAAGGATATGTGATGAATGCCAGGAGGGTCGAAGTGATGTGATATAAGAACTAGACTTGCCTTTGCTGGCTTTGGAGATGAAAGAAGGGGCCAAGAGCAGCCTCTAGAAGCTGGAAAAGCCAAGAAAAGACATTCACCTCTAGAGCCTCCAAAAAGGAATGAAGCTCGGGCTACACTTTAATTTTAGCCCACTGAGACCTGTGTCACTTTTAACCTACAGAACTGTAAGGTTAAAAATATAATGTTTTATGCCACAAAGTTTTGTGGAAATTTGTTACAGCAGGAATAAAAAACTAAATGTTTTGGGGTGTTTTTCCTACATTAACTTCTTTAGAGTCCTTTGAGTCACAATGGAGATACACTGGGACATTACAAAATCAAGTTTAAGAATCTCTAATGGAATGGGGAAAACATTTCATTGTACAAAACTTAAAATTTGGAAGGAAAAGTACCACCACACAAGATGGCATACTTCTAGTATGGCTAAGTAGACACTGTCAGGGCAAACCACTGAATAATAACTATAAACTCTGGACAAAATATTTTATAAAAACAAAAGCTTTCTGAAGGCACTGGGGAACAACCAAACAGGCAGACACAGAAGGGGAGTCTACATTCATAAAAAACCAATGAGGTTTTTGTTTTTTCTTCACATCTTTTAGCCTGAAGGCAGGCCTCAGTGAGAGTTTGGAACAACAGACATGGTAAAGTGGGAAATCCTAGAAAAGGAAGAGCCAGAAAGGGGGAGGGAGCCCTATACATTCTGTATATAAATTCTACGGAAATCTCTGGCTGAACCCTGAACCATGCATGTACATGCTGCAGACTCCAAGGAGCCTAGCTAAAAGAACGGAACCAATATTTGATCTGCTGCCCACAAGGGATATGGATAGCAACAACAAAACACACTATTTGGAGGAATAAAACAGGATCTAGAGCCTCTACAACGTATCATTCACAAAATTCAGCATACAATCCAAAATTGTTCAACATATGGGAAACAAACAAAAAAGGAAAACACATTTTCAAGAAAAAAATCAACTAAGATTACCAGACACAAACTTCAGGACAGCTATAATCATGCCTAAAGACATAAAGGAAAATATCCTCGATGAATGAAAAAATACACAATACAGATGGGTCGCTGACTTACAATTGCCTGTCTTGCAAATTCCCAACTTTACAACTGTATGAAAATGATAAGTATTCAGCATGCTCCTCGATTAAGTCCAGATAACCCCACTGTAAACTGAAATTTACATACTTTCAATTTACAATGGGTTTAATCAGGATGTCATCTCATTGTAAGTAAAGGAGCATCTGTAATTGAAAATGCCACCACAACCCTCTCACCTTCGAAACTACAATAGCAGCTTGGGAATGAGGCAGTGATAAGTTCTAAAGTGGCATCAACATTACAGAAAAACCATGGGCAATTACTGAAGAAGGGAATAAACTTATTCTGATTATCTATTACTCCATAATTTATAACTTTTAGTCAATTACTACAATCACCTATGAGGTATTATCTCAGTTTACAGAAAAGAAAAATGAGGCTCAAAGAGATTAAGATGGCTCAAGATCACACAAACTAATACTTAATTCTAGCCATATTTTAAGCAATGATGAGCTGAAAAGCCTCGTCAAGAGAATGGCAGCTAGCAAAGCAGAAATTAGATTAGGCAATTTCTTTGAAAGCGTAAATAATCTTTAAAGGTTTCTCATTTAGGAAAGGAACTTAGGTAGACTTTTCTTGTACTTTTCTTGATACTTGCTAGGTTTAATGTGAAATCTCACTACTTGTGAAAGGTTAGAAGGGCCTGGTTGTATAAGTAATAGAACATCCTCACAATGGAATGCTATGTAGCATTAAAATGACAGTATAGAAATGTCTACTGATAAGGAAAGCTGTTCAGAATACATTACAAAAGAGCAGGCTACCAAACAGTATAAATACCTTTCCATTTTTGTAGAAACAAATTGTCTGTAAGGTCTGTTATGTGTAGACATCAAAATGTTAACAATGGTAATTTCCAGGTTGACAAGACAATGGATGATTTTTATTTTTTGAGCTTACTCTACTTGCTAGTCTCAGTATTGTTTTTTCTACACACGTATGACGTGTGTAATAAAAATTAAACTTATTCATCAACTCAAATATTTATTGTGTACATAGTGCATATCAGGTACTATTTGTTTAAAAAAGGGGGGAGGGTGGAAGGGGGAGGGAGAAGGGGAGACGGATGGAGAGAGAGAAGGAAGGAAGGAGGGAGGGAGAGAAAGAGAGTTCCAGAAACATTAAACCTGGATTACAATGGTCCTCCACTACCTCAAGTTGTTCTTTTTCATTAAAACTGCTTTTCAATTTATACTTCTAGCCCCTTTGCCTCAAAAACAAAAGAAACAAAATCTACAAGCACTCTAATTTCTTTTCTTTCTACCATGTCTGATCCTCATCATCTTTCACCTAGCATTCTGCAAGAGCCTCTTATCTACTTAGTCTCCCTGTTTCTGGGTCCAAATCAAACCCATTCCACCCTCAGTCCTATCCAGTGACCTATCCAAAACAGAAACCACATCTTATTCCTCTACTTTAAAACCTTTCACTGACTCCTGACGGCCTCTAAAATCAAATTCTTTAGTATGGCACGCCAGGAGCTCCAATATCTGGCCCCTGTCTCTCCCTTATTTCATTTGGGAACACACCTTACCTCCAACAGCAGAGGGTGGCTTCTCATACATACCGATCTTTTTCTTGCCAACAAGACTTTAAGTTGTCCTTTCCACCTAGAATACCCTCGGACCCCATGCCCAATCTGTTAGTATTACCTTCAGGAAAAATCTTATGCACCTTGAAACCACATTGGATGACCCTATTCATCTCTCTAACACTGTACTTTTACATTGTCTCAACCTTAAAGTTCCTCTTACATGAGACTATCAATTCCAAAAGAACGGGAACTGTCTAAATCTTTTCCTTATCTGTAATATGAGGAAAAAGTAATACCAGCCTCAAAAATGAGATGTGGAATGTAGATATTTAACTCGGTGCTTGGCATACAGAAAACAGTTATCAAATGACTATCATTATTATCCACACTGTTAACTAGAGCTCAGCAGTGCATGACGTACAGTAAGACTTCAAATGTTTATTGAAAGACTGAACTCTGCAAAAAGGAATATTCCCATTTTACAACTGAAGAAACTGAGGAAGATTAACAGCACAAAGTCATAGAGCCACAAAAGGCAGTTAAGCTAACATCCAAACTCGAGTCTAACTCTAAAGCCCTGAATTCATTCTCAATGAATATACACTAGCTCCCTCTTGCTGAGAACTGACTTAACCTATTTCACTCTTAGAAAACAAACAAAACTAAGGCTTCTTTCCAGTATTACTTGTGTAACAGGCCCTGTTGTTATAATCGACATTTCTGGAAATCTGCATTTTTAGATTAACGTGAAGGAGTGTTTCAACTTCTCTGCAATTCAATTTCCTTGCCTACCATGAGATGTACTTGGATCTCAAAAAGATCATTTAATCTCTAAAATCCTGTGGTTCTTTAATTGGGTGCTGTTATTTGCGGCGCCGTTCTTTCAGAGTTAGTTTGATACCGTTTATTTAGCCAGCATTTCCGATATGCAAAGCACAACTGCAGTAAATCAAACATTGGCCACCCTTTTCCAGCCCTAATGAAGTTCTCCCTAAGCCTTCACGAAGCAAGCCAGAGCTCTCCAGTATGCTGCAACCTAAAAGCATCGAGGTCACTAGGCTTGAAACGAGAGGTGCCTCCTTCGGAGCGACGGTCTTCGAAACTGATCTGGCCAGAGCAGGCCTAGATTCTGCGCTACAGCAAAACAGCAAAAACAAACAAACATATATATATATATCACCAAGCAGCCCCTCTTTTCTGTCCTCCTCGACCAAACTAGGAGTACACTTCCCAGTATGGCAACCCTCCCTCGGGGCTTCTCACGGTGGGGCTGCAGCGGCCTCCCTAAGAGGGCTAAGGCCGCAGTGTCCTTGCCGCCGCCTGCAGGCCCGTGCAGAGCCCAGGGCTCTCCTGCGCCCAAAACTAAGGGAGACACGGAGAGCAAGAGAAGGGCGGCGGCAGCGCCGGGCTCAGCTTGAGCCTCCTTACCCAGTGGGCGGTGAGGCCAGCCGCCCGGGCCCGGAGCGCCGCGGAGAAGAACATGGCGGGCCACACTGTTCACCTTCCCCAGCCGCGCCAGGCGAGAATCCCGAGCGCGCCCAGGGCGCACAGCGTGCGCGCTCCCGACCCCAGGCCTAGGCGACCCGGACGGCACGCCGCTCCCTTCGCCGAGGGGCGGGGGCTGACGGGAGGGAGCGAGGGCGCGCGGGGGCTGCTGGGGCCCTGTGGGCGGAGACTTCCCGGGGGAGGGGCGGGGACCAGTCCGTGCTCGGAAAGGGAGGTGTCCTACGGGCCGCTGCAGGGGTCCCGGCCTTGAAAAGAAGCGTCCCGGAGCTGCACCTTGGGCTCCTGGGTAACGAAGCGCCCGCCTGGATTTATAGGGGTGAGCTTCCCTCATGGAGAGCCTTGTGAGGATTAGCCACCTCCTCTTATATTGCTGTTAGTTAAAAATAAAGTCGGGTTGCAACCCACTATAAATCTTATTCTACATGTTACGAATTCAAGACACAGAGGGCTGCTATCCAGTGTGCTAGCCATAGACACCAAATGTCTTGGTTCCCAATCTTTTGCATTAGAGATATGTGCGACATATTTAGGGGTTAAATGGTATGATGTCTGGAATTTGCTTGAGAATAGTGGGGAGCGGGAGGTGAAAAATAAAGCAAGTTGGCCGTTAAGTAAGGCCATAGAAGCTGCATGGTCGTTCTTATTTACTATTCTCGGTACTTTTGTACATATTAGATATTTTCCATAATAAAGCTGAAAAAAAAACCCACTTCCTTCTTCATGTTTGTTTGGTTATCTCTGGAAATTCCAACAAGTATTTATTCAGTAACAGCTCTAATGTGCACAGCACTATTTCCTGGTGTGGACTTCCTCTTGATTTTTTACGTCACTGCCTTCTTTTCTGGAGTGTCACGTCCTGTACCCACCCCCTTCCTTTTGCCCATTTTCTTTGCTATAATAAACTTGTGAATAATTTCTAGAACATTCACAGCAGCACAGGGATTTTAAAAATTTATCCCTCATTAGTTTAAAAACTCAGAAATATTCCATTGCAACCCCTATGAATCATATTTCGCAAATCACAGAATTCAAGACACAGAGGACTGCTGCCCAGTGAGCTAGAAATAGATACCAAATGCCTTGGTTCCCACTCCTTTGCCTTATATTTTATGTTAGTTTGCCTCTCCTAAATTAGCTTCAGTATTTCCCTTTAAAAGGAAAAGACAGTCTGGCCCTTAATGTAAATGTATTTTGTTATAAAGTTACCTAAATACTTATACACCTGGCCGGGCGCGTGGCTCACGCCTGTAATCCCAGCACTTTGGGAGGCTGAGGTGGGCAGATCACGAGGTCAGGAGATCGAGACCATCCTGGCTAATACGGTGAAACCCCGTCTCTACTGAAAATACAAGACATTAGCCGGGCATGGTGGCAGGCGCCTGTAGTCCCAGCTACTCGGGAGGCTGAGGCAGGGGAATGGCGTGAACCCGGGAGGCGGAGCTTGCAGTGAGCCGAGATCGCGCCACTGCACTCCAGCCTGGGCGACGGAGCGAGACTCCGTCTCAAAAATAAAAAATAAAAAATAAAAATACTTATACACCTAACACTATTGTGCACATACTTACTGTTCTTATACAACTAAAGCCAAAACATGTCACAAATACTTGATGGATGAGATAGACATTATATGGATTCTTTTTGAATCTGTAATGCATGCTTTTACTGGATTTTATTAGGGCATTCTCTGACTCCCAATCCAGATTAGTCCTCAAGATACCGTCCCAAAATATGCCTGCCCGCACTTTCACTACTACATTTACGACCAGATTATAACCTCCATGGATGGAGAAACCTGCCCTTCCTATATTGTTTGGTTCAGCAACTTGCACTATACTTGGCAAGTAGAAGGCATTCAATAAATATTTGTTGTCTGAATGAAAATCTTGCCCATAGTGCAAATATTCTGCCTACCTAAAAGGGTTAGAATTATGCTCATTTCTATTTGTCTTAGGTCAGAATTATGCTTGTTTCTATGTGTATCGGTGAGAGTGCTTTTCGCTACAAGTAACAGGAGTTCTAACAAGTAGATTAAAGGATACTGGGTTCATTTTCTCACATGAAAAACAATTCCAGAGGTAGAGTAGCTCCAAGGTTAGTTAATTCAACCTTGCTCAAGGATGTCTTCAAAATGTTTAGTGGCTTCCATCTTTTTACTCCAACATACTCAGCCGTGACTCCTATTATAGACACAAGATATCTGCAGCAGTTCCAAGTATCATGTACAAATGACAACATTCCAAAGAAGAAAAAGAACTCTTACCTCTAAAGTGTCCCAGATGTTCCTCCAGCAGCCTTCTTGTCTCATTGGCTTACAAGACATAGTGGTTAAGAGGGAATACTCTAGAATCAGACTACGGGGGTTCAGCTGCTGCTTTCTAGCTGCGTGACTTTAGGCAAGTTAGTCTCTCTGGGCTTTGGTTTAATAATGGTACCTTCCTCATGGCTTTATTAGGAGAATGTGAAAGGAAAATAAATCTCGGGACCCCCAAATCACTAAGCCAAGGGAAAAGACAAGCTGGGAACTATGTCAGGTAAACCTACCTCCCATTTTTTTCCTAAATAAGATAGCTACAAAGATAAAAAGCTACATACCTCCCTCACAATTTGCCCACAAGAAAATTCCTTACGGACAAAGTACAGACAGATCTCGATGTCATCCCTCTGAGGCTTGCGTGAGACAAGAGCATATCTGATTGCTTTCTCTGCCCTATTGTTCATGTAAAAATGCAAATGCACTGAGCCAGACTAAATTTTGTATTCAGTGGAGGGCTGATCAAGGACTCAAAAGAATGCAACCTTCTGTCTCTTATCTACTTAGGATTTGGAAGCTCTCCCTCAAGTTGTCTCGCCTTACCGAAGTGAACAGATGTACATCTTACACATATTGATTGATGTCTCATGTCTCCCTAAAATGTATAAAAGCAAGATGTACCCCAACCACCTTGGGCACAGGTCGGCAGGACCTCCTGAGGCTATGTCAGGGTGCGTCCTTAAGCTTGGCAAAATAAACTTTCTAAATTGATTGAGAACTATCTCTTTTGGTTTACAAGAATGAAATTGAAGTGGCATCACCGTCTGGAGTAAATATCCAGGGTTCAGCATCTCCTGCCAAGAGGATTAAGGAAAGGGACACATGTGGGTGGGTTAAGGAGCGGAAAGTTTAATAGCCAGAAGAAAGGGGAGAGGAGAGCAGCTCCTTGTAAGACGTCTGAAAAAAGGGACATGGGCGGACCACAGCAGATTTTATAAGCAGGTTTGAGGAGGCAGTGTCTGATTTATGTAGGGCTCACAGATTGGTTTGACCAGGTGTAACGTTTATGTAGCAAGGGGAAGGCTGGTCTCCCAACCCTAATCTTATTATACAAATGGGCTTTCCACTTGGGCAGTGCCATCTAGTCTGCTCCTTACTGTACACGTTGCTGGCAAAAAGAGAAGATGGGGCCGCCACTTTGAACATGCCTCATCCCAGGTAGTATATTCCTATGGGCACAACTGCCAGAATTCACCTGTGCAAGCTCCTAGTTTGCTTGTCTGTCTGCAGCTCGATTTTACAGGCTGCTCTTTGTTAGAAAAGAAAATGATTGGCGGCTGCTTTTTATTAAAAGGGAAACCTTACTGAGGACTCCCATACCCTCACTATCTGCCTAAGCAATTTCTTCTTAACTCCTGTATCGAAATGAGTTGATACCTTTTAAAGTTCTTTAAAAAGTACCTAGCACAGAGTAAATGCTTAGTAAGTGTTAGCCTTCATCATCATCATCACCATCATCAGAATAGAACATTACAATATTAAGATAATTAAGCCACTAATCAGAAAGGAGAATGGAAGGGCTAGTTTGGGGCCCATTAGCTCCTGAACAAAATAGCTCTGCCAGCAAGGAAGGGGCTGAAGAAGTAAATCTAGGTAGGCAACTAACGGGATCATCCACAGTAGACCACCGTCTTTTTGAGTTCATGACCTATAGAGAAAGTGTATATCCCACTGGTGCCTGACACTAATCAAGGACTTACCAGGTGCCCCCAATTTCTATTACCTAGGAACAGAACCAAAAAGTGCAAAGAGTAATGTTTAAAACATTAAGGATGTGTGCTAAGGGAGTGTCTAACCTGTTAACACCTTCTTGAAGATGTTACAGAAAGTAAGATGCTTTTAGTTCAATTCAACTTTATTTCAATTCAACTGCCAGTAAGTGTGGCACCACACTGTTCACCAAGTCAAAAGACTTGTTAATGTCCAGCATGACTTTGGCTTATCCTTAGCCCAAATATTTATTAAGTGAGAATGTCAGAATGGATATCTTTTACACCCAGTAACGTAAGTTAATTTCTGGAGCCACTCCACTTATAAAGTAGCCTCATGTGCAATCAACTATTCTCAGAGTCCTTAGGATAGAATTGTGGGGGCTGTTTGGAAAATTCCTCTTCTTCCTCCCACTATCAAAGTCATTATTTCTGGACACAGACCAGCATGGACATCGATGATTTCAAGTTACTGACCTAACCCTACAAGCTTGATTGAAATTGGCTTGATTATGTAATGAACCCATAGTGAACATCATGGCTGCCTGGTTTGATATATTCCACTATTCTAAGTTGGCACTAGTACCATAAGCCCAGGGAAATTGGCCCTAACTATAGTGGTCAAGCCATTAAATAAAGAATGTGTGGGTGTTGGGGGTGGGGAGTGAGGGACTGGAGGCTGGGGGAGCTAGAATAAAGTCTACAGGGATGACCAAATGTGGGAACTTTGACTCTCTCATTCTTGATTTCTTAGCCATTTAAACCATCACACATAGGCACTATCAAGGACGTGGTGTAATGAAAATCATGAGCTTTGTAATTGGATTTGAATTCTGACCTCGTCACTTACTCGCCTTTGTGAAGCTTTGGTTCTCAGTTTCTGAAAGTATAATTAGAACATTAAATCATTCAGTTTATGGAAAATGATGAACATGGTGCCTGGTACACAGTAAGAGTTCAGAAAAGCTTTGGGTTTTTGTTTTTGTTTTTTGTTTTTTTTTCAGTATCTAACAACTTGTCTGCTCCATCTATGGAACACTTTAGTCAGGCTTTCTAAATTGTGATTAACTCCTAAGTCACATCCTACTTATTAAAGCAGCCACAGGTAGATCGTGCACTCTGGCTCTCAGCATGCCCTCACATAACAATACTGACGTGCCTGCCTTGCTGGGTTTTCTAATGAAAAATGTGAGCTGCAGGCCCAGTCCTGCTTTGCAGGGAAAGGGAGCCAGTTGGTATAAAGTCAAAACTCAATGGAAGGGAAAAATGGGATAAGGTTACTGCTGGGTGAGAGACAGAGAGAGAGAGAAGTATTTCCAGCAGGAAATTGGAGCATGTAAAGAAGAATGATCCGGTCACATTGGTAAACTGAAGTGTTAGACCCATTTCACATTGAGGTGAGGGGGGACGTGAGGTTAGCGAGTGAGTTCTGCATGATTCTTTCAGATTCTTCTCAAGTTATTCTTGCATATTCGAGACCAAAAGGGAAAATGAAAATCAAAACAGCCAGTAACTTAATTACATAGACTTCAAGAACAGATTGTTTTAAAAAAATAATATAAGCAGAACGTCACCTAAGCCATTATCAGATTCACATCGCTCGTTACTTCCCCAACATGGGACTGATCCTAGCAGCTTCTGCAGCTGAAGTGAAATTTTCTATCAGAATTTGATCCATGCTTCCCTAGCAAGTAGTCAAAGTAATTAAACAACAATGAATGTAATTCTTGCCTGATAGATTTGCAAATTGCTGATCACTGTTGTTGGTAATGTGTGGAGCTACATGCTCTCATTGGTGATGGTAGGAGTGTGATAAGATCAGCCTCTGGAGAGGGTAATTTGGCAATATGTGTTCGGTTTCTTAATATGAATTTATCCTAAGGAAGTAACTGAAAAAGTATACAAAAATGTTTATCATGGTGTTATTTGTAATACTGAAAACCTGGAAGCTATATAAATGACATCGGTAGAGAATTTATTAAATAACAGTACAGCCATACAATGGGATATTGCTCTGCAGATTTAAAAATAATAATGAAAATATTTATTGTAAAGAAAAGATGCCCATAATGTGTGGCAACTTAATAAAAAAAAGATTACAAAACATCACATATAACATTACTACATTTTCTGTATATGCATAGGAAAAAATATGGAAAGGTAAAATGTTAATGAGAGTTCTCTCTGAGTGATGGCATTAAAGGTAATTTTCATTTTTTTCTTTATGCTTTTTGTATTGCCTGATTTTATTTCAATTAACACATGCTACTTTATGGTAAGAAAAAACAAAGCTATGTTCATTTTGAGAAATAGTCTAATAAAGGAAAAATAAAAGTGAAAAATTGAATAATTCTCTTTTATATTCATTTCTTTTTAGTGGATATAAACCTCTTTAGAGTATACTTCTTTTGATTGCTATTAATTTTTATTCGGGTTTGAATTTAGGGTATTGAGGAGTGTGGGCTGAGAAGAGGGAAATGGGCCAGTTCTTAGACTCTTCGGGCAGTTTTCATTCTAGACAGAAGAAATAGCTCTGGACTCCCTCCCTCAGGCTGCTTCTTAAAATCCCTGTAAATATTTGAATTCATGTCTTCCTTGACCAGTTACAAAAATATTCATGTAAAGTTTCTTTAAATAGTCAATTTTCTTGCACGTTAAAATATTCCTTGACTAAGAAAAATCATATTGCATCTCAGTGGTTCATTTGCTGTGTATGCTTGTGTGGTGAGATGTAAATAGTCTAAGCTGTATAATGAAAGAGTGGTCGGAGCAGGATGAAACTGGTCAGAAAAGACTTTCATTTATTCATTTACTATGCAAATATATGTTCAGCTCCTCTTATATGCCAGGCACTAGGGCACTGGAGATACAAAGGCAAAAGACATAGCCCTTCCTGGGAAGACCTTACATGCTGGCAGGGAAAAGATTATAATACGAGTGTATGTGCAACATGAATTGGGAACTTAGAGAGGAAGGAATCCCAAAGTCTTACTGGGGATGTCAGATGTCACAGGGCGTGTAACACTTGAAGGTTACACAGGAATTTGCCATAAATAGGGTTTCTTGGAGGTATGTTTTCACCTGAAAGAAATGAAAGATAAGCATTGCTATAGAGCAGTTAGAAGGTCAAGGTGGCACATAACAAACCTAAACAGATTCTGATAATAAAGGTTAGAGGAGTCGTTGTTCCCCTTCTTCCTCTGGGGCCCACTTCCTGCCAGGTCATTTCAGTGCATAGTAACAGAGGCACATGATGTTGGTGCGGAGGCTTTCATCGTCCTTCGTGGATGCTTTTGGCAGGGCCTTGCATACTATGTGTGTGAATTGTTGCGTGCTAATGGCAAGATGACATACGACAGAACTTTCAAGCCAGATAATAAGGGGCTTTGCTATGAGAGCAGTGGAATGACAGGAACTATTGTGTGGATTCTGAGATAGCCTGACTTGGTGGGTCCTGGTATCAACATTTTAGAGAAGGAAAGACTAGAAAACATCTTGTCCAATCTCCTCATTTTATAGGTTAAAAAATAAAAAGTTACTGAGAATGCCAAGATCTTAGCAACCACCTTCTTCATGAATAAATTATTGAGTGTGATAGTTTTGTGTAGTGGTGCTCTATAAACCTTAATGGGAAGATTCATTTTGCTCATCTGGCTGGCAGAGAAGTCCTGCTTAGTTACCTAGCTCTAGCTCATGTGTTTCTTATGTTTATATAGTCAAAGGTCAAAAGCTGACTAAGAACAGACGAGTTCTTTCCTTTTGCATCATTTTTCAACTTTTCAAAGGGCTTAAAATAAACTATCATTTTCCACTATTTACTTAAGGGATTTGTTTTGCAGTATCCGTAGTTCTTGGTAACCTCCCCCCGCACCCCACCACTACCACCCCATTGTACTTATGAAGTGCACAATCTGATTCTTACTCATCTATCAACATCTAAGGAATGCTAGTGTTAATATGTATGGTTTAAGTCACCCAAAACGGAATAAGAATGTTGAATTGGCCAGTAATGTTTGTGACTTTCCACAAATATCTTACATGTATAGAATCAGGAAATCACTCCTCCTAAGACAGAGATGATAGACAAATTTATCAAAGGAAAGAGAGTCTGCCCTTACTTTCTCAGGGACCATACCTACAGCAGGGTGTGAAAGGCTGGCTTCTAAGATAACCATAGCAGGCCAATTTGACTTTGTGTAAGCATGTGACGCAGGGGAATGGAAAGTGGTAGGGCTAGCATCATTTAATAAACATGTACAGTGGTTACAGAAATTCCAAGTTTAGCTAAAGGCCTCCAGCAACAAGTGTCATGGTGTATCTAAATAAGAAGAGTCATGAAACGCAATATGAAATTATCTATTAAAAATATTGGCCAGGCATGGTGGCTCGTGCCTGTAATCCCAGTATTTTGGGAAGCTGAAGTGGGAGGATCACTTGAGGCCAGGAATTTACCATCAGCCTAGGCAACATTGTGAGACTCCGTCTCTACAAAAAATTTAAAAATTATCCAGGCATGATGGCATATGCCTGTAGTCCCAGCTACTTGGGAGGCTGAGGTGGGAGGATTGCTTGATCCCAGGAGTTTGAGGCTGCAGTGAGCTATGATCATGCCACTGCTCTCCATCTTGGGCAACAGAAATGAAAGCCTGTGTCAAAAAAAAAAAAAAATCAGTTTACTCCAACTGAGGCTTAATCGGGTTATGCAAGTAGGCTATCTTTGTGAATATTGATTTTGCTTAAAAATAAGAGAACCACTCAGAAAATCTTTGTCATTTTTATGGAATTTCCCAGGAAAACAGTACATATATGTACTGAAAGAAAGCTGGAAACGAAAGAGAGAAGGAGAAAGAAAGAGAGGTGGGAAGGAGGAGAAAGAAGAAGAAGGAGAGAAAGAGAGAGGAAAAGAAGGAAGAAGAGAAAGAATGAATGAGGGTAAGTATTTTAGTTTGAAACCAAGGAGTAATTTCTCTTAATAAATGAACTTCCTTTTCTTTTTTTTTAAACAATTTTGCATGTTTAAAAATATTTATTTTTTTCCTTCACTTTTTTTTTTGTCAATTATACTTTTTTTTTAATACTTTAAGCTCTAGGGTACATGTGCACAACGTGCAGGTTTGTTACATATGTATACATGTGCCATGTTGGTGTGCTGCACCCATTAACTCGTCATTTACATTAGGTATTTCTCCTAATGCTATCCCTCCCCCCTCCCCCCATCTCACAACAGGCCCCGGTGTGTGATGTTCCCCACCCTGTGTCCAAGTGTTCTCATTGTTCAATTTCCACCTATGAGTGAGAACATGAGGTGTTTGGTTTTCTGTCCTTGCGATAGTTTGCCCAGAATGATGGTTTCCAGCTTCATCCACGTCCTTACAAAGGACATGAACTCATCCATTTTTATGGCTGCATAGTATTCCATGGTGTATATGTGCCACATTTTCTTAATCCAGTCTATCATTGTTGGACATTTGGGTTGGTTCCAAGTCTTTGCTAATGTGAATAGTGCTGCAATAAACATACAAGTGCATGTGTCTTTATAGCAGCATGATTTATAATCCTTTGGGTATATACCCAGTAATGGGATGGCTGGGTCAAATGGTATTTCTAGTTCTAGATCCTTGAGGAATCGCCACACTGTCTTCCACAATGGTTGAACTAGTGAACTTCCTGTTCTAACCAGCATTTCATCTGAGGTAAATGCTAAAACAATGGACACATTCTTAAACCCACTGCAGTCCCAGACTTGTAGGAGCTTACAAAATTTTATAGCTGTCCTTGTGTAGTGAGGACAATTTTACACAAATTTTCAGAGGAATTTCCTCTTCTGCTGAACTTTGACTCTGAATCTCTGTGGACACTACTCCCCAGAGCATATGCAGTTCCTAAATGCCTGCTGGTTGACCTCACTAGATAAACCTAGATTCACATTCTATTTGCACAATGTCTGGGCTCTAAAGGCTCATCCGACCGTCCTGGCAAGTGCAGATTTTACTGGATACAGTTTCTGTTTGTCCACATTATAGGTTTTCTCAGATTTGCATTTTGAAAAGTATTATTGAAAAATGAAGATAGGCAGGGCCAACAGGGGGAAAGCCTTGTTGACATTCATTTAATCAAGTATTCCTGAAATAGGCTGGGCGCGGTGGCTCACGCTTGTAATCCCAGCACTTTGGGAGGCCAAGGCGGGTGGATCACAAGGTCAGGAGATCGACACCAGCCTGGCCAATAGGGTGAGACCCCGTCTCTACTAAAAATACAAAAATTAGCCAGGTGTGGTGGCACACATCTATAATCCCAGCTACTCAGGAGGCTGAGGCAGGAGAATCGCTTGAACCTGGGAGGTGGAGGTTGCAGTGAGCCAAGATCATGCCACTGCACTCCAGCCTGGGCGACAGAGGGTGACTCTATCTGAAAAAAAAAAAAAAAATCTTGCAATAGTAAATTTCCTCTTTTTATGACCACTTTCTAAATTTCATAATATTTTGTTAAACGTGTACCCTGGGACATGGGATAAGAGGGATAGATTTTGTCATTCACTAGACCATTCCTCAATCCCTTTAATGTTTTCCAAGTTTCTTTCATGTGTCAGGGAAGGGTACACTGAGTATTGAAGATGTCAAGATATTGGATATAGTCTTGCCCTCACGGAGCTCACAGTCTAGTTATTAGTACATGACTGGGTTCATAGTGGACTTGTCTGCTAAAGAATATGAAATTTATAACGAGGCACAGTGGCTCACACCTGTAATCCCAAGACTTTGGGAGGCAGAGGTGGGTGGATCACAAGGTCAGGAGATCAAGACCATCCTGGCTAACATGGTGAAACCCTGTCTCTACTAAAAATACAAAAAAAAAAAAAACAAAATTAGCCGGGTGTGGTGGTGGGCACCTGTAGTCTCAGCTACTCGGGAGGCTGAGGCGGGAGAATGGCATGAACCCAGGAGGTGGAGCTTGCAGTGAGCTGAGATCGCACCACTGCACTCCAGCCTGGGTGACAAAGAGAGACTCCGTCTCAAAAAAAAAAAAAAAAAAAAAAAAAAAAGAAATTTATAACCCCAAACTCTCCTATTCATGGTCTGCCCCCTCTGAAATCTGATATTTGTGTTGCTACAGAGCAATCTTTCAACTTGTTTTGTTGTCTTGGGAATAATACGCATTCAAAATAACAAATATTATTCAGCACCTATTATAGCCAGGCGGTAAGAACACATGATAGGCAGACTTATAAGATGGGTTGTGGTAGAATTTTAATGATGTAAATATGAAGAGAGCACATGAGGTCAGTGTATCACTTCTATGTCTGAGTAAGCAAGGATAGCTCTGAGAGGCCACGCTTTCCACTAGAATCAGAACTTGCTTTGAATACAGATAGAAGATAATGATGTTCTCAGAAACATGATTGATCAAAGAACCCTATCATATCCTTTCTTACGTTACTTCCTCTTACCAGCCGACCACTTTTGCTGAAGATGATGCTTTTCAGACAGAAGTCAGAGAAAACTGTGTGACTTAGGCATCATCACCAGGGATGTTAAGCAGGCTGGCCCATTGCAAGAGCCATGGAGTGTACGTGAGTGTGTGTGCATGCATGTGTTCCAGAGAGGTGGGGTGCAGGGGGTGGGATGGAGAGGTCTTCAGGGTGTCAGGTCATGTTTTCCCTCCTGGAGAATTGGCATTACATCCAGGGTGATGAGAAGAGAGGTTCAAATAATTCCTGCCTAAGGTTTGATGGGTCCTAGAGACGGTGTGAGTTAAAGGGTGAGGACGAAGAAAATAGCCTGACAATGAGAAGAGAAAGGCTGGAAAAGCTGTGGAGTAGAAAGGGTCCAAAGCCAGATTTCAGTGCTGAGGCACTAAACATGCCAAGACCCATGCACCTGGGGCAATAATGACCTCCTGGGCCAGAGTAATATTCACAATGCTGAACTCCTGGTAAGGTTCGGGTGCTAACAAGTTAAGACGGATGCTGGCCAGTATGCCAGTGTTTTCAGCCCTGACTCCAGGGGTCTGCCAGATAGCACCAGGAGTACATATCTGTTGGTGTCCCAGATAGTAATTGCTACATAGAATCTGCTGAATGTTCTATTTCCAGGACTCACACGTATGAGGCTAACTTTGTATTAGGCCTGTTAGAAAAGAGAGGAGGTTACAAAAAACACAGGAGCTTTCTGGGAAATGTGGCTATTTAAATCACAACACTTGCATCAAATGTCCTTAAACTGACCAAGAAATCTAGGAGACAAAATTCTTAAGCTGTACATTTCTCAAACAAACAAACAAATAAAACAAAACAAAAACGACTTTCCATATCTTTGGTCTGACAGATAATATTTTTTAATGATGTAGGCTTCCCAACAGTTTTTAGAATACTGACAAATAAAAGAGTGGCTAACAACTATAAATCAACACAGAGCTCGATTTCCTTCGGCAAAGCTGGAGGAAGGCTTAAGTCATTCCACAAGCCCCATTTCTGTCAGGCAAGGTCCAGTGAAGTCCCAAGGAAGTGACTATGGTTTTGTTGTGGCCTCTTAACCTCCTAAACCCTCCCAGCTCTTAAATGGCAAAAGCCAACATGGTGAAACCCCATCTCTACTAAAAATACAAAAAATTAGCCAGGTGTGGTGGCGGGCGCCTATAGTCCCAGATACTCGGGAGGCTGAGGCAGGAGAATGGCGTGAACCCGGGAGGTGGAGCTTGCAGTGAGCCGAGATCGCGCCACTGCACTCCAGCCTGGGCGACAGAGCGAGACTCCGTCTCAAAAAAAAAAAAAGAAAAGTCAAAAAATATGGGTCACTTTTACTGCTGCAACTGGCTCCAGCTCTAGCCACTCAAACCAAGCCTGCAAGGGGCCTAGTAACACTGGGGAAGTGCAAGTGTTTATTTTTAAGTAAACAACTTTTTTTTTCTGGTTTAATCAAAAAGCCTTTTATAAGGTTTTGTTTTAAACTATATGCAAATATTGTAATCTCTGAAGAATTTAGCAAAGATTTATTTTTTTCTATTTCCAGTCTCTTGACAGACACAGCCTTGCGTAAAAGAAAGCTGATTCTAAGAGCACACAAATCAGCAAACACATTTTAGTGCATAAATTCGACTGTGGAGTTGTACCTTGGTTTCCTAGTTTCTGCTTAAAAAATAATAAAAAGCAGAGTTAGGTGCAGTTTTCAGTAGATAGCCTCCACTGTGTGAACCAAGTCAGATTTCAATTCTTCATCTGAAGGTACTGATTGATGTCGTCAGACGCTTTCCCTGACGTAGATCCCCAATCCAAGGGCCAGCAGGTGAGACAGAAGCAGAGATGGAAGAAACACCTTCAAAAATTCTTTTTAGAAAATACACCCTTTTGGCCAGGTGCAGTGCCTGTAATCCCAGCATTTTGGGAGGCTGAGGTGGGGGGATCACTTGAGCCCAGGGGTTCAAGACCATCCTGGGCAACATAGCGAGATCCTGTCTCTACAAAAAAAAAAAAAAAAAAGGTAGCCAGCCACAGTGGTGCATGCCTGTGGTCCCAGCTACTTGGGAGGCTGGGGCGGGAGGATTGCTTGAGCCTGGGAGGTGGAGGTTGCAGTGATCCATGATCATGCCACTGCACTCTAGCCTGGATGACAGAGGGAGGCCCTGTCTGAAAGAAAGAAAGAAAGAAAGAAGGAAGGAAGGAAGGAAGGAAGGAAGGAAGGAAGGAAGGAAGGAAGGAAGGAAAGAAGAAAAGAAGAGAGAGAGAGAGAAAGAAAGAAAGAAAGAAAGAAAGAAAGAAAAAGAAAGAAAGAAAGAAACACCCTTTCATCATAACACGTGTTGTTCACGCTGAGAGATGCTGTGTGCTTTGTATGTTTGTTTAAAGAAGTTATCTTCTGGGAAGTGCTATGGTTTGAATGTTACCCTTCCAAAATTCATCTTGAAACATAATTCAGATTATGGTTGTATTAAGACTCAGGGTTTTTGGATGTGAGATGTGATAAAGTCATGAGGGCTTCCCCATCAAGATATAGATTCATGCCTTATAAAAGGGGTGGAAGGTACTAGCTTAGGCCCTTTTGCCTCCTATCCATTCCGTTATGTGAGGACACAGTGTTTGTCCACTCTGGAGGATGCAGCAACAAGGCGCCATTGTGGAAGTGGAGACTGGACCTTCAGCAGACACTGAATATGTTGGCACCTTGATCTCGAACTTCCCAGCCTCCAGGACTATGAGAGTAAGTTTCTGTTCTTTACGAATTACCCAGTCTGTGGTATTTTGTTACAGCAGCAGGAACAGACTAAGACAAGGGGATACTTTCAGACCAACTTGACTAATCTGTGTCCAATCTGAGTTTTTCTTCAAAATGCTTTCAACTTCTCTCAATGTGATCTTCCTCAGGCTGAAAGCTGTTTTTTTGCTCCAGTGCGATCAGTGACTATTTTCAGGGTGTCTGTGAGTGAGCTTCATGCTGGGCATCAAGTAATGTTTTTTGCATGTCATGACTGTAAATGGAAATTGAAGTTAGAGCCCTGCTCTATCCCCATGCTTACTAGTGTACAGTTGCACCCACAGGCCCTGCAGGTCCTCCTCCTGCAGCTCCGGAGCTCTGCAGCTCGGTGGTCAGAGGGCAGAGAGGAGGCTTGTCAGGATCTATGGGGAACAGCAGCAAGAGTCTAAACACACCACTGTTATTTTTTGCAATATGCTTTCACTTATTTATTTATTTATTTTTGAGACAGAGTCTTACTCTGTTGCCCAGGCTGGAATGCAGTGGCACAGTCTTGGCTCACTGCAACCTCTACCTCACAGGTTCAAGTGATTCTCCTGCCTCGGCCTCCCTAGTAGCTGGGATTACAGGCACGCACCACCACTCCCAGCTAATTATTGTATTTTTAGTAGAGATGGGGTTTCACCATGTTGGCCAGGCTGGTCTTGAACTCCTGACCTCAGGTGATCCACCTGCCTCGGCCTCCCAAAGTGCTGGGATTACAGGCGTGAATCACCATCCCCAGCTGCTTTTATTTTTTTTAAATAAAAGTGACATAATATTCAGATCAGGTCCATTTTGCTACCTTTTTAAATTACTTTCCTCCACTTTTCTCCCTAGAGACAATAACTAATAGTTTCCTTTAGTATATGATTCTCTTTATTATTTTCTATGTATCCATTATCAATATATATGGTGTTTTTACAATTAAAACAATTTTATCACACTATGGAAATATTTTTGCAACCTGCTTTTTTTTCTTCTCAATGATTTTTTTGGTGATCTTTGTTAATAACATCAGTACCTAGAGACCTGGTTCATGTTTTAAACTGCTGGGGATTTTTTGTTTGCTTTTTCTTGCTCTGTTGCCCAGGCTGGAGTACAGTGGCACAATCATAGCTCACCGCTGCCTTGAACTCCTGCGCCCAAGGGATCCTCCCACCTCAGCCTCCCAAGTAGCTGGGGCTACAGGTGCACACCACCACATCCAGCATCAACTGCTGATTCAATGTTCTTGGGAATTTTCACTTTATTTTTCATTTCCCTATTGATAGACTTGTAGATTGTTTCCAACTTTCTATAGATGTCATCTGTGCAAATATTTGCAAGTTTCTATAGAAAAAGATTTTCTGGGTCATAACATACATTTTTGTTAGGTATCAGTAATTCAATATCAAAATGGCTGTACTAGTTTTCACTCCCACTACTAGAATATGTAAGTTCCTATTTTCTACATCCTTTTCAACATCTCATATTGTCTGGATAAATATTGTAGATAATCAGATGTACATACCATGGTATCTCATTTTAATTTTTTTCTCTAATTACAGTGAGGCTGAGCACACTTTTGTGATTTTGGTGATTTTGTTTTCCTTTTCCGCTTCCTGTTCACATTTTTGCCCATTAAACAAAATTTTTTTTGCTTATTAAACAAAATTTTTTTGCTTATTAATGTTTCCCTTGTAACTAATACTTTGTTATACATGTTATACCTTTTCTTGGTTCTGTGGCTTGTATTGTAACTTCAATTTTAAATTAAGTTTTTAATTTTAGTGTCATCTCTAAAATACAAGCAAATTTATAAATCTTTCCCTTTATAGGCCAGGTGTGGTGGATCAGGCCTATAATCCCAGCACTTTGGGAGGCCAAGGAGGGCAAATCACTTGAGCTCAGGATTTGAGACCACCCTGAGCACCATGGTAAAACCCTGTCTCTACCAAAAATACAAAAAAAAAAAAAAGCCAGGCATGGTGGTGCATGTCTGTGGTTCCAGCTGCTTGGGAGGCTGAGGCAAGAGGATCACTTGAGCCCAGGTAGCAGAGGTTGCAGTGAGCTGACACACTGTGAGACCCTGTCTCAAAAAAGAACTTTTCCTTTATGATTCATGTCTTTTCTGTGTTAAGAAAATTTGCTTAAACTAGTCACAATAACAAAGACATGGAATCAACTGACATACCTATCAACAGTGTATTGTGTAAAGAAAATATGGTACATATATACCATGGAATACTATGCAGCCATAAAAAAGAATGAAATCTCGTTATTTGAAGCAACATGGATACAGCTGGTCATTATCCTAAGTGAATTCATGCAGGAACAGAAAACAAGATACCACATGTTCTCACAAATAGGAGCTAAACATTGGGTACACATGAACATAAAGATGGGAAGGAACAGTAGACACTGAGGACTACTTGATATGGGAGAGAGGGAGGGGGGTCGAGGGCTCAAAAGCTACCTATTTGGTACTATGCTCACTACCCGGGTAATGCGATGATTCATACTATCATGCAATACACTCATATAATGAACCTGCACATGTACCCCTTAATCTAAAATAAAATTTGAAATTGGCTGGGTGTGGTGGCTCACACCTGTAATCCCAGCACTTTGGAGGCAGAGGTGGGGAGATCGCTTGAGTCCAGGAATTCGAGACCACCCTGGGCAACATAGGGACACCCTGTTTCAACAAAAAATAGTAATAATAAAATACCCAGGCCTGGTAGCTCACCACACGCCTAGTCCCAGCTACTCCAGAAAGTAAGGTGGAAGGATTGCGTGGGCCCATGAGGTAGCGGCTGCAGTGAGCTGTGATTGTGCCTCTGCAATCTAGCCTCAGTGACAGAGTGACACCTTGTCTTAAAAGAAGACGTTTTGCTTCATTCAAGGTCATGAAGATAATCTTATAATAATATAAAGTGTTCGTTTTATATATTTTCTACAGTTCTATCTGTAACTTACCTGTGAATAGTGTCCGTTATGGATCTAATATTATTTATTTAAGTATAGGAAGCCAATTTTTTCTATGCAGTTATTTTTACAATGGAAATATCTTTAATGGGTCTTTCTGATGATAGAAGTAATGATCATTGTTAAAATTCAAATAATAATTGGATGGGCATGGTGGCACACACCTGTAATCCCAGCACTTTGGGAGGCCGAGGCTGATGGATTGCTTGAGCTCAGGAGTTTGAGACCAACCTGGCCAACATTGCAAAACCCTGTCTCTACTAAAAATACAAAAATTAGCAGGGCGTGGCTGTGCATGCCTGTAGTTCCAGCTACTCAGGAGGCTGAAGCAGGAGAATCGCTTAAACCCAGGAGGTGGAGGTTGCAGTGAGCTGAGATCACACCACTGCACTTCAGCCTGGGCAACAGAGCAAGACTCTGTCTCAGAAAAAAAAATATATACACACACACACACACACACACACACACACACACACACACACACACAGACACGCACACACACACACACGCACATATATACATACATACATACATATATATATATATATATATATATATATATATATATATGTATGTATGTAGAGAGAGAGAGAGAGAGAAATATATTAAAAATCACCGGAGGCCAGGCATGGTGGCTCACGCCTGTAATCCCAGCACACTTTGGGAGGCCAAGGCAGGCAGATTACGAGGTCAGGAGATCGAGAAGATCCTGGCTAACACTGTGAAACCCCATCTCTACTAAAAATACAAAAAAATTAGCCGGGCATGGTGGCACGTGCCTGTAGTCCCAGCTACTCAGGAGGCTGAGGCAAGAGAATCACTTGAACCCGGGAAGTGGAGGTTGCAGTGAGCTGAGATCACGCCACTGCACTCCAGCCTGGGCAAGAGAGACAGAGCCAGAGCCAGAGACACCCGGAATTACAGGCGTGAGCCACCTCTCCTGGCCACAAGTTTTCTTTCTTTCTTTTCTTTTCTTTTTTTTTTTTTTTGAGACGGAGTCTCGCTCTTGTTGCCCAGGCTGGAGTGCAGTGGCACGATCTTGGCTCACCGCAACCTCTGCCTCCAGGGTTCAAGCAATTATCCTGCTTCAGCTTCCTGAGTAGCTGGGATTACAGGCATGCACCACCATGCCTGGCTAATTTTTGTATTTTTACTAGAGACGGGGTTTCTGCATGTCAGTCAGGCTGGTCTCGAACTCCCAACCTCAGGTGATCTGCCAGCCTCGGCCTCCCAAAGTGCTGGGATTACAGGCATGAGCCACTGTGCCCGGCCCCACAAGTTCTTTTAGTATCACATCTAGTATGCCAGGTACATCTCACTAAATGTTTTCAAATTAAGACCATCAGTATATCCTCTTACAAATAAATTATTTTAAATTTTGTCATAGAAGTATGCAAGGAAAAACAACCAGTTCTTAGAAAAGCATGATATAACTTACTTTCCTAGAATGTGAAACGGGAAATACACGAATTACTCTAATTTGGAGGTTCTACGGAAGGAAGTCATTTATTGCATGTTGCCATCATTGAGAAACAGATGATTATCTTTCTCCTGCACATGAATACCATCTTTCAGTATGTTAATACTTGCCATTCTTCATGAACTTCATAGTTAAATTCTTCCATGTGTACATTAAAATATATTTGATCTGTGAATTAAAAAAATTATCAATACCACACATAGACTACATTTATCAGCCCTTAAGATGAGAGTCCTTTTGTTTTCTGCCCCTAGGTCCACTTTGATGTCAAATGAACACTGATGGGGTTATTCAGTTTTTATGTAGACATCCTACAATAGATACAGTATGGGTTTTTGCAAATATATTGAGTCATTACTCATTTCTCTTCCAAGGTAGTTTAAAATGCTTTAAATGATTATTCAGTATAGAGTTCAGTTATAAATTGTGGTACTGTATGAAGAGATTTGGAAGAGCTATATAAGGATTAAATCCTTCACCTCAAATATAGTGATATAGAGAAGCTAAAAAATAAGATACATGTCTTATAATTTTGCCTTGTCTCAGTTCTGTGTCTTCCCCTTTTGACACAACCTAAAACCAAATTGCCAAGAAAAGGAAACAACTACCAAAAAGCACAGCTGGTGCGTTAGTGGGACTGAATTCACGGCACCAGTCACTCATGAATTTGTGTAGACACAGGTGGATCTGAAGGACTTCTCTTCAAGGCACATGCAGTTTAGCCAGGCACTGACCAGCTCCAAATTCTCCTTGACCACTTGCTACCTGAATACTCAAGGCCCACTTGCTGCTCAATCCAAAATTCACTCAGGCCACTAGACTGTTCTACTACCTTAACATGTTAAGTTTGGAAAGCTGTTTTCCTCGAGAACACTCCCAAGGAGAAGAGCAAATACTGCTCATATGTGTTTCTGAAACAACTTCAAGCGGCTTTTAGCAGGCAAAAATTTTCCATCGTGTGGGTGTTTTTGGTGCCATCTGAGAGATACTGTGGTTTTCAACCAGCTTGGTGCTATTACTACAATCACTTTACCTGACCTCTTTCTTTAAACAGGCATAAGACAAGGCTGAGCTCATACTTTCAGGAAAGCCACTCTGCCACCTAAGCAGAACTAACACTGTTAGAAGAGCATGCAAATTGTAATTTAAAAAAATCCATAGGCCAGCAGTTTCTTTTAACCACAGTGGCTTTTCTCCCCCTCCTGCTCATTCTGCTGATATAGCAGCATTGGTGTGCATGGCAAAGCTTTAGCTTTCTGCTCTAATTTGCTGTTCCTCTGATGAGAATTGTGCATTTGAGGATGCTTTGTTTCGTGTGTGTTAAGTGTTGCACATCCAGCTGGATTTTAAGTTTCTGAAGGCATGGACCCCCTCCCTTTTATCCGTCTCTTCTATAGGACCCAATATGGTATTCTATTGTAGGTGCTCAATTATTGTATGTTGAATGAATGTATGATTGAATCAGTGTGTGACTGAACAGATATTTCCAGTCTCCCATTTTATAAACTCAACAGTGCAAACTGGATGGGATTAATTTTAATCAGAAAGAAAGGTGTATGGCAATGCAGAAATAAAATGATGGTGAGAATAAGAAATAAAGATGAGATAAATATAAGAAATATATTTATATATTATAATCAGTTTAATGAGAAATAAAGATGAGAATAAGAAACAGACTAAGGGAGGAGCTAAAGAGTTCACTAATTCCACAGTAAAGGTGGTTTAGATGTGTAGATGACTGAATCTATGCAGTGGAGTATATATATATGTGTGTGTGTGTATACATATAATATGTATATAGATTTAAATACGTATGTATTTATGCGCCAGCATGGGCAACATGTCTCTACCAAAAATACAAATTAGCCAGTCATAGTGACACGTGCCTGTGGTCCCAGTTACTCGGAAGGCTGAGGTGGGAGGATTGCTTGAACCCAAGAGGTGGTGGTTGCAGTGAGCCAAGATTGCATCACTGCACTCCAGCCTGGGTGACAGAGTTGAGACCCTGTCTCAAAAATAAATGAATAAAATAAATAAATAAATATGTATTCATGTAATTATCTGTATACTTTATATATTATATACATATCTACAATGCATGATATATGATGTATGTATATGCATATATATTATATATGTGTATATATGTACGTGTTTGTGTGTATAGATGTGTATATGTGCATACACACACACACACACACACACACACACACATATATATACTTTAAAGAATTTATACCAAAGTTCCTCTTAGAGAACTGTCTTTGTCTGGAAAAATGCCTTGATTAGCCACTTGTGGGTGGAAAGACCCTGGGGCCACTGGATGAAAGAATATAAGATAGCAAAGTTATAGCTAAACCACTCCACATCTAAACATCAACAATAATTTGTGAGTGGGAGTAGAACAGTCAAGAGAAGAGAGGGAGCCGGGCGCGGTGGCTCATGCCTGTTATCCCAGCACTTTGGGAGGCCAAGGCAGGCGGATCACTTGAGGTCAGGAGTTCGAAACCAGCCTGGCCACCATGGCGAAATCCCGTCTCTACTAAAAATATTTAAAAAATTAGCTGGGCATGGTGGCACATGCCTGTAATCCCAGCTACTCAGGAGACTGAGGCAGGAGAATTGCTTGAACCCAGGAGGTGGAGGCTGCAGTGAGCCTAGCTCGCACCACTGCACTCCAGCCTGGGTCAAAGAGTGTAACTTCCAGAAACTGGTCTCAAAAAAAAAATTAAATTAAAAAAATTAATTAAAAAAAAAGAGAGGAGAGGGGAGAAAAATTAAAGATACAGATATGGGATTGTACAAGCCTTTGCCTTGGGAAAGTGGTTTGGGATAAATCAAAGAAAAGAGGTTGAGTTCCAGAACGAGATTGTCCCAGAGCAGAAAAGGATGACAACAGCAGAAGTAGACACCAAGAGAGGCGTGCATTCAGCAAGAGCAGGATTGTGGAACTGGAAGTGAACATGTGTCTGCAAAACCTCAGGAATTAACATAAACCCAGGGAAATAATTAGACCCCTCACAGAGCTTGGGAAGAAGCCTCAAGCAAATTTTAATTAAATCTTAAAAGGTACTCTTATCGGCCGGGCACAGTGGCTCACACCTGTAATCCCAGCACTTTGGGAGGCCGAGGCGTGTGGATCACCTGAGGGCAGGAGTTCGAGACCAGCCTGGTCAACATGGTGAAACCCCGTCTCTACTAAAAATACAAAAATTAGCCAGGCGTGGTGGCAGGCGCCTGTAATCCCAGCTACTCGGGAGGCTGAGACTGGAGAATCGCTTGAACCCAGGAGGCGGAGGTTGCAGTGAGCTGAGATCATGCCATCACACTGCAGGCTGGGGGACAGAGCGAGACTTTGTCTCAAAAAAAAAAAAAAGGTTGCTCTTATCTCAATTTATGTCTCAGAGTTCCTTAAATCCAGATTTAGGGCAAGTAATTTGGAAACCCTCTCTTCCTTCCAACCGATAAGTTTCTAATACTATCTTCTTAAAGCCCAGAGTTACAAAACAAACAAAAGCAATAAAATGAACAAATAAACAAAGCCCACATCCTCTTTCAGGGGTTGTTAGCGATGGATATTTGACCTGGGAAGACATCACAAGCAACCACAGTCCTGATTCCAGTGCCAAATCTGAGCAGGCCCAGCACTCCACACAGAACGTCCCTGATTCAAACTGGTGCCCAACAGGCCTTTCCTCAGTAGCATGGCCAGGTTAGGGCACCAAAGGGTTAAACTGTGACAATGTGGCAGGTTGGTAAAAATGTTCATAACCTGGTATTGAAATCTTTTCACCTTTTTCTCTGGGGCTATTTTAGTTAATACATGAAAATGCCAGGGTAATTGTTACACTTCTCTGATGCAGATGGTTATTGTTCCTGTTTTACAAGTAAGAGAACTTTAACATAAGCTTGCTCAGCATGCCCAGAGCAGGATTCTGAGTGAGGAATTATGATTTCCTAGGCTGGGCTTGGTTCACTGGACACCATTGTCCTCTACAAAGGGTTTATTGTGAAACGTTTACAAAAGCACTTTTAGGAGGAGTTCAATGTCTATTTCTATCTTGGTGAAAATGTGGGTGAATCTGTGTGAGTGGTGGTAGAGTCCCCTTGCAGAAGGGAGAAGGGAATGAACACTGGCTGTGTTCTTACCGTGAGCCCGGGACCAGAGCTCTTTCCTTACGCTCTCTGCACTTTCTGAAAGATAAAGCAGCAGTGACAAACTCTGGGTCGATGTAATATTCTATAACTTAATAGGACACGTGCAAGATACGCATTTGTCAAAAAGCATCAGGCAGGGTGCAGTGGCTCACCCCTGAAATCCTAGCTTTAGTAGGCGGAGGTGGGAGGATCACTTCAGCCCAGGAGTTTGAGACCAGCTTGGGCAACATAGGGAGAATCTGTTTCTACAAAAAATAAAAAAATTAGCTGGGCGTGGTGGCATGTGCCAGTAGTCCCAGCTACTTGGGATGCTGAGGTAGGAGGATCACTTGAGCCTAGGAGGTCAAGGCTGCAGTGAACCATGAGGCACCACTATGCCTGGGTGACAGGGTGAGACCCTGCCTGTAGAAAGAAAGAAAGGGCCGGACATGGTGGCTCACACCTATAATCCCAGCACTTTGGGAGGCTGAGGCAGGCAGATTATGAGGTCAAGTAATCGAGACCATCCTGGCCTATATGGTGAAACCCCATCTCTACTGAAAATACAAAAATTAGCCTAGCGTGGTGGCGCGCGCCTGTAGTCCCAGCTACTCAGGAGGCTGAGGCAGAAGAATTGCTTGAACCCGGGAGGAGGAGGTTGCAGTGAGCTGAGATCACACCACTGCACTCCAGCCTGATGACAGAGTGAGACTCTGTCTCAAAAAAAAAAAAAAAAAAAAAAAAAAAAAAGAAAGAGCATCAAACGGCACAGTTAAGATTTGTGCAGTTTGCTCTTTTTAAATTTTACCCTAAAGGAAAAAGAACTATCAGCTGAGGGCAGTGGCAGTGCCTGTAGTTCCAGCTACTGAGCCTGAGACAGGAGGATTGCTTGGGGAGTAGTTCAAGTCCAGCCTGGGCAACATAGTGAGACCACATCTCCTAAAAGAAAAAGAAAAAGAACCATAAACAGATATTGAATTCTAGTTAATTATATGGATGCTGAAGTGTTTCATTGTGAAATATTATGTTTAAAACTAACTTTGAAATGCATCCAAAAATTAAGATGGATTGATGGACGGTGAGAGGGATGGTTAGATGGATAGAAACGTGATCAAGCAGGTATAATAAAACATTGCTTGTGGAATCCAGGTGATAGACACCTGGGTGCTTATTGTGTAATGCATTCAACTTTTATGTTTGAAAAATTTCCTAATTAAATATTAGGAAAATAGGCTGGGTGTGGTGGCTCATGCCTGTAATCTCAGCACTTTGGGAAGCCGAAGCGGGTGGATTGCCTGAGGTCAGGAGTTGGAGACCAGCCTGACTAACATGGTGAAACCCCGTCTCTACTAAAAATACAAAAAAAACCAGCTGGGCGGCCGGGTGCAGTGGCTCATGCCTGTAATCCCAGCATTTTGGGAGGCCACAGCGGGTGGATCACCTGAGGTCGGGAGTTCAAGACCAGCCTGACCAACATGGAGAAACCCCATCTTTACTAAAAATACAAAATTAGCCAGGTTTGGTGGCACATACCTGTAATCCCAGCTTCTCGGGAGGCCGAGTCAGGGGAATTGCTTGAAACTGGGAGGCGGAAGTTGCAGTGAGCCAAGATGGCACCACTGCACTCCAACCTGGGCAACAGAGCGAGACTCTGTCTCAAAATAAATAATAAATAAATAAATATTAGGAAAATAAAAATGGTACTGATAGTTCCTACTTATCTGGCTGCCACAAAATGTGGGTAAAAGGTCCTCTTGAAAATAAACCAGCTACTCACGGTTGAAATTTCTATAAAGGTATCTTTTCCTTTCTCATGTGCAGTGCTCTCCTCTTTGAACTGCTGTTGAGTGCTTTGCATGCTTTACTCATGAGTAGTGGTCCCAGCTACATTGGGCACTGCTGGCCACTTCCCCCTTATGGAACTTTCTCTTCTCTTGACTCGTTAGACACCACACTCTCCTGGTTCTTCTCCTACCTCTCCGGTAGGTCCTGCCCCAGCTCTTTAACTACTTCCTTCTCCTTTGCCTTTTTTTTTTTTTTTTTTTTTTTTTGTCAGATAGGGTCTCACTTTGTTGCCCAGGCTGAAGTGCAGTGGCGTGATCACAGCTCACTGCAGCCTCGTCCTCCCCTGGCTCAGGTGATCCTCCCACATCAGCCTCTCGAGTAGCTGGGGCTACATGTGTGTGCCATGATGCTTGGCTAATTTTTGTATTTTTAGTAGAGATAAGGTTTCACCATGTTGCCCAGGCTAATCTTGAACTCCTGGGCTCAAGCGATCTTCCCACCTTGGCCTCCCAAAGTGCTGGGATTACAGGTATGACCATGGTGCCAGCAGCCTTTATCTATTTTTAAGAGTAGAAGTTTCTCTGGGCTTGGTTCTGGGTCTTCCTTTCTTTTCATTGTACTCTTTTTCCCGAGATGGTCTCATCAGTTTTCATGAATTTTAGTACCACCTCCCAAAGCAATCAGCTCCAGCATAAGGCTCTCTTTTCAACAACACTCTTACATTCAAGTGCCTCCCTGACATCTCCACTTGAATGTCTCCTAGGCGGCTTGCCCCTAATAAGTCTACGTCTAAGCTCCTGATGATGCCACCTCCCCAGTCACCAAAGCTGTTCCCCTCCTGTTCTGCATCTTCATGAGTGACAAACCCACGCGCTCTTTATCAAGCCACACCTTGGAGGCATGTCCTTCTCCCTCACTCCCCTCACCCCATCCAACACCAAGTCTAGATGTTTCCCTTTCCTGTCACCGCCTCAGCCACTGCCCTAGTGCCGTCACCACCATCTGTCCCTAGAGCATGGCAGGGGCCTCTGCACTGATTTCCCACGCGGACTCCCACTCCATTCTAACCCAATAGAAACTGCCAATGCCATCTTTTAAAAAAATAGGTCTGATTATGTCTCTTCCCTACTTATAACTCAGCAATGGCTTGCCACTGATCTTAGGATAACCACAGAGTACTTAAGATGGGGAGCAAGGCCTCTCTTGCCTGGTCTCTGGCCACACACTCCTTTGCATCGTCTGCTCTGCCCACATGAGCTTTCTTTCAATTCTTCCAACAAACTAAGCATTTTCCTACCTCAGGGCCTTGGTATAGAGGAGTTCCTGTTCTTGAAACCGTTCCTGAAATCTTTCCTTGTAAATCCCTACTCATCATTTGGTCTCAGCTTAAATAATATTTTTATTATTATTATTTTTAGATGAAATCTCACTCTGTCACCCAGGCTGTCGCAGTGGCGTCATCTCGGCTCACTGCAACCTCCGCCTCCCGGGTTCAAGAGATTCTCCTGCTTCAGCCTCCCAAGTAGCTGGGATTACAGGCGTGCACCACTACGCCTGGCTAATTTTTGTATTTTTAGTAGAGATGGGGTTTCACCATGTTGGCCAGGCTGGCTTCAAACTGCTGACCTCAGGCAATCCACCTGCCTCAGCCTCCCAAAGTGCTGAGATTATAGGTGTAAGCCACGAGACGAGCCTAAATGATACTTTTTGAGAAAAACTTCCTGACACACCCCTCCTCCATCCTAATTATGTCTCTTTCCTGCTAGTGTCTCTCATAAAGCCTCTTCTTTTGTTTCCCCGTAGAATTAGTAATTATGTGTCTTTGTGCTTTTTTATGTAATGTCTCTCTCCTGCTAGACTCCAAACTCCACGTAGGCAGGGAGCCTGTCTGCTGCTCTCAACTTTGGACTCAGCATCGAACATAGTCCCTGGTGCTTAGAAGATGCTCAACAAATACTTCACAATTGAATGAACACATGGCTATGCTGTCATAGAATTTGAAAGGTAATGGACAATGTGATAAATGAATATGGCATTAGGATTTAGCATGGGCTGGAAGCAGAGGCTCAAACCTATAATCCCAGCACTTTGGGAGGCTGAGGCGGGCAGATCACTTGAGCCCAGGAGTTCGAGACCAGCTTGGGCAATATGGTGAAACCCAGTCTCTACAAAAAATACACAAAAATTAGCTGGGCGTGGTGGTGCTACCTGGGAGGCTGAGGTGAGAGGCTTGCTTGAGCCTTGGAGGTCCAGGCTGCAGTGAAACATGATTGTGCAACTGCACTCTAGCCTGGGCAACAGAGTGAAAGCCAGTCTCAAAAAAAAAAAAAAAAAAAAAAAAAAGATTCAGCATGAATAAGACCTATATTGCCATGCTCCCAGAGCTGTTATGAAGAACCCATTCCACATTGGGAGTGAGAGCATTACGGGTGCTCACAGTCTGTTCTGGGTTACTCTTGTCCTTCTGTGCTCCTCTTCACGCCCTCCAGCTCATTCCCCACGTGCAGATGAAGAAAAAGCAACAAAGAGCATCTAGTACATTGAATGCCTGGTAAAAAGGCATCCTCTTCCTCATCAACATGTATGGAGCATTCATGGGTACAGGCTTCAGGCCCACAGAAATGAAAGGCAAATAGCTTGAGTCGGAATCAATGATTAGTTCTTCCCCGGCTCTGTGACTGCGTAGATGTATGGTCTTACATGGAGAAGTTTGTATCTTAGAGTCTCTATAGATGCCCCACCCATTTCATACATCTATTAGGAATACGAAAGGTGCAGAGGTAAGTGAGAATGCTTCTTATGCTATAAACCTGTGAACCACCACATGGATGTGAGTTACTGTGTGGTGTAAAGAATAACAAAAAATATTAGATATACTGGTTTTGCTGTTTTTAACAACTGAAAGTGCTACTATTAGGTGTCTTACTAATTGTATTCACAGTAAGAATAATGAGCAACTTGATCTTTCTACTTTGAGAAGAATGCTTAATTATAGATAAGAATAGGTAGAAGTGACCTAAATTCAAAAATATTTCCAAAATCAGCAATTCATGGTCAAGATGAACTTAGCACTTAAATTATGTGACTCATTAGTAATAACTTTCTAGGTTGTGCCATACTAAAATTCATGTTTTTCTCTCATAGTTATGTATTATTCTATAACAAAACACTTTTATTTTTCTGTTTGTAAAAGTAATATGTATTCATAAAGATTCAGATGATATAAAAATGTCATAAATTAGCAAGAGAAAATCATTTATAAATGTCTTCTCTTTAGCTACTTCAAAAAATATTATAAAATAAGTAAAACTTCTAAGTTAATATAAAGAAATTTTATGAACAAGCGTTACCTGTGGGGATTTTAATCTCTCATACATGTGGTTATTTCAAAAGAATATGATCACATTGCATAAAATGTACATTTTTGTTTATGATACATTTCTAACTTATCAACTATTAGTTCTTGCAGGGAAAATGTCTTGCCAATATGTACTTGAGAAGACCATCCTTTTCAGTTGAACAACAAGAACCAAAATGTTAATCAAATATGTCCAGTGACTTTACAATTTGCAGAGCAACTGAGAAATATAGAAATTGGGCTGGGCATGGTGGCTCACGCCTGTAATCCCAGCACTTTGGGAGGCCGAAGCGGGCAGATCACGAGGTCAAGAGATTGAGACCATCCTGGCCAACATGGTGAAATCCCATCTCTACTAAAAATACAAAAATTAGCTGGGTGTGGTGGCACGTGCCTGTAGTCCCAGCTACTTGGGAGGCTGAGGAAGGAGGATCACTTGAACCCGGGAGGCAGAGGTTGCAGTGAGCCAAGATCGTGCCACTGCACTCCAGCTTGGGCGACAGAGTGAGACTCTGTCTCAAAATAAAAATAAAAATAAAAATAAAAGAAATATGAAAATCGTTAGTAATGGGAATGATGTGAGGAACTCAGTATTTTTAAGCTGTTAGATGGTAGGGGGCGAGAGATAAAACCTTCACGGCATATGCTTACCTTGTAGATCATTAATAAATACAGGCAACACTATGGCTCTGACTTTACACAGCAACAGTTCATCTACATTGCCACAAGGAAGTAGCCAGGGATATTACTAATTTTAAATACCAGCCCGTCAGCAAGAATGAAGCTGAAATTCAGGGCTGTTCCAAGAAAGGGCAGAAACATGCCAGGAGCGCTGAGTAAACTTTCAGTCTGAATCCATGTGAATTACTGGGGAGTCCTGGATTTCGAAATTCTTTTGCGGTTCACACCACCCACGTGTCAGTAAACAGGCTAAGGCTAAGGCTACTCCTGTTCTATATTGCCACCTAGTGGATAATGATACCCGCGTTCCTTCGTGCATTTGCTTCAGAGAGACTTGCCCTAGTTAGCAAACCAGCTGATGAATATTATTTGAGACACAAATGAACTAACCTTTGAGTTTGTTTCCTTTGGACTTTGAGATGTCTGTTTACTGAAGCGAATGTGGCATTTCATCATCTTCGATCAGCCTGTAGGAAAAAATAAGCAGCATTTATAAATGGCATCTCTTCAAGAATTAAAAATGCATAAAGGTGGTAATATTTCCACTGAGTAGCCGTCAGTAATTAAGTTTTTAAATTTCTCTTTTTCTCCTTCTCTGTCTTTCCTATTTACTTTTGAACCTTTAATTACTATACTGTGTCATTTCAGGCAAAACAATGCTAGACCCAGGCTTCAGGTTCCATTGTTGTAGAAACAACGTATTAGTGGATCCTGATATCAATATGAGCAGCATCAAAAAAAGGAAAGATCTATTTTATTTGTTTATTTATTTATTTGAGACGCAGTCTTGCTCTGTCACTCAGGCTGGAGTGCAGTGGCTCGATCTCGGCTCACTGCAAACTCCGCTTCCTGAGTTCAAGTGATTATCCTGTCTCAGCCTCCTGAGTAGCTGAGACTACAGGCACGCACCACCACACCTGGCTAATTTTTGTATTTGCAGTAGAGACGGGGTTTCAGCATGTTGGCCAGGCTGGTCTCGATCTCCTGACCTCGTGATCCGCCCACCTTGGCCTCCCAAAGTGTTGGGATTACAGGCGTGGGCCACTGAGCCCAGCCTAATTTTTGTATTTTCAGTAGAGACAGGGTTTTGCCATGTTGGCCAGGCTGGTCTCAAACTCTTGACCTCAGGTGATCCGCCCGCCTCGGCCTCCCGAAGTGCTGGGATTACAGGTGTGAGTCACCACACCCGGCCAGATCTATTTGAAATGATTTGAAGAGGCCAGGCGTGATGGCTCACACCTGTAATCCCATCACTTTGGGAGGCCGAGGCGGGTGGACCACCTGAGGTCAGGGGTTCGAGACCAGCCTGGCCAACATGTCGAAACCCTGTCTCTAGTAAAAATAGAAAAATTAGCTGGGCGTGGTGGTGTATGCCTGGAATCCCAGCTCCTTGGGAGGCTGAGGCAGGAGAATCGCTTGAACTTGGGAGATGGAGGGTGCAGTGAGCCCAGATCACACCATGGCACTCCAGCCTGGGTGACTGAGTGAGACCGTGTCTCAACAAATAAATTAATTAATTAATTAAATAAAAAATGATTTGAAGAACCTCTTTACTGTTTTCCACTGTATGGTCCCACTTACCGGAGATATCTAAAATAGTCAAACTCATGGAAGCCAGGAGTACAATGGTGATTGCTACTGGGGAAGGCTGGGGAAGGGGGAATGGGGAGTTGTTCAAGGGGATACAATTTCAGTTATTAAAGATGAATAAGTTCTAGAGATCTGCTGTGCAACATTGTGCCTATAGTTTACAACATTGTATTGTACACTTAACCTGTGAAGAGGATGGAGCTCATGTTACGTTTTTACCACTTTTTTTTTTTTAAAGATAATTAAGGAAGACTATGAACAAAAATAAAAAAAGAGAAAGATTAGACTAGAATCTAAAATGTCAGAAGGGGCTGGGCATGGTGGCTCATGCCTGTAATCCCAGCACTTTGAGAGGCTAAGGTGGGTGGATCACTTGAAATCAGCAGTTCGAGACCAACCTGGCCAACTTGCTGAAACCCTGTCTCTACTAAAAATACAAAAATTAGCTGGGTGTGGTAGTGCATGTCTGTAATTCAGCTACTAGGGAGGTTGAGGTGGGAGGATCACTTGAACCTAGGAGGCGGAGGCTGCAGTGAGACAAGATTGCACCACTGCACTCCAGCTGGGTGACAGAGTGAGACTCCGTCTCAAAAATAAATAAAATAAAATAAAATAGAACAAAATGTCAGAGTGCTTCTCACAGGTAGAGTAAGTGTTGCTCTGTGAAACTTCTGTTGCACACATGTGTATTTGTGTATACTGAGGCATGATGTAAAGGGCTTTTCTTTCTGTAGGTCAAGTTCAAAAATGTTTAGAAGCTTCTGTTCTATTGTTCTAAAAAATCAAACTAAAGCTAAAATCCTCCTTGTATTTCAAATGAATTAGGTTTTCTTGTATATAAACAGGTTTTTATATATAGAATGATATATTCTATATATATATTCTAGATATAGAATATATCATATATATATATTTCCTTTTTTTTTTTTTTTTTTGAGACAGAGTACTGCTCTCTCACCCAGGCTGGAGTGCAGTGGCACTATCTCAGTTCACTGAAGCTTCTGCCTCCCAGGTTTAAGTGATTCTCCTGCCTCAACCTCCTGAGTAGCTGGGACTACAGGTGCCCGCCACCACGCCTGGCTAATTTTTGTATTTTGAGTGTTGGTCAGGCTGGTCTCGAACTCCTGACCTCGGGTGATCCACCCGCCTCGGCCTCCCAAAGTGCTGGGATTACAGCGAGCCACCATGCCTGGCCAGTTTCTAAATATTTCTTTCCTTTCTTTTTTTTTTTTGAGATGGAGTTTTGCTCTTGTTGCCCAGGCTGGAGTGCAATGGTGTGATCTCAGCTCACTGCAACCTCCGCCTCCCAGGTTCAAGCAATTCTCCTGCCTCAGCCTCCTGAGTAGCTGGGATTACAGGCATGCATAACCACACCTGGCTAATTTTTGTATTTTTAGTAGAGACGGGGTTTCTCCATGTTGGTCAGGCTGGACTTGAACTCCCGACCTCAGGTGATCCACCCACCGTGGCCTCCCAAAGTGCTGGGATTACAGGTGTGAGCCACCGCGCCTGCCCATATTTCTTTAAAAGGCTGTTAAAATGCCCAAGGTAGTAAATGGGATGGAATTTGAGGCACATAAATGGGAACTCTATGCTCGCCAGTCCAGTCTATTCTTTTCTCTTTGATGCTGGGGTAACATATGACTGATCTCTGGAAGTTCCATCATGATGACGCAAAGCCATTCAAGCAAGACAATCCTAGTTTTGAATTTCAATGCAGAAACTTGCTAGCTGAGCTTCAGCATCCTAATCTGAAAATGAGAAGCCAATAGGTGATGTGCCCACCTCATGGTAGGTGCTCAACATAAGTAGCTATTAGAAATAGCACGAGTTGCCAGGTGCCACGGCTCATGCCTGTCATCTCAGCACTTTGGGAGGCTGAGGTGGGAGAATCACTTGAGCCCAGGAGTTTGACACCAGCCTGCACAACATAGGGAGACGCTGTCTCTACAAAAAATAAAAATTAGCCGGGCACAGTGGCTCACGCCTGTAGTCCCAGCTACTCAGGAGGCTGAGGTGGGACGTCAAGGCTGCAGTGACTGATGATTGCACCACTGCACTCCGGCCTGGGCCACAGAGTGAGATCCTGTCTCAAAAAAAAACAAACAGAAAGAAATAATATAAATCACTAATTCACAGATACCATTTAAATAGTTGCAGGAGCCTTCATTGCCCTAGATTTCTATATCTTAGAACTGTAAATATCCCTAAACAATTTAAAGCCTACAGCTGAGCCTGAACCCCAACAAGGACTTTTTTTGTTTTTGGGGCAGTCTGGCGAGACCCTTAACTCTATTCTCTTACTCTGTTTACAACTATGTTATTTATTACCAATCTCAGTGGAACTGCTTTCCTTCCTTGTGTAGAGCCTTACATATTTCACAGAGCACACGGGTCCCTGGTAATTTTCCTTCTCGAAGCAGGGCACCCTCCTGCTGCCCAAATATCAGGACAGTGTTCTGCGTGAGTGGGACGGGCCTGGAGAGGAGTGACGGCCTTCCCTTCCACGCGGTCTCTCTCCTCAGTCGTCCCTCTCTGCTTCCTCCTTCCTTCGCCCACCTGCTGCAGCTTATCCCAGAGGAAGTGGAACTGACAAACCATTGCTAAAAATACCCCCAGCTTGCCTCCTCAAGGGGGTGTCCCGTGAGGAAATGAGAAAATGAACGAGCAGTCTATAAGACCAACGAGGGCTACAGAAACACCAGAGGCTGTTTTTATGTTATGGATCCACTTCCAGTAACATTAGGGGCAGGGACTTGGTGAGGCAACCATGGCCTGCCCCTTACCAGCTGTGTGGCCTCAGGCAAATCATCAAACCTTTTGAAGCCTGGGTTAATTCATTTGTAAACTGGAAAATAATACCTACCATTCACAGCGTTCTTTAAGAATCAAAGCACACAGGCACTGTAGTGGAGACCTTGAAAACATCCTACCTACTATAAGTGATCCATAAATACCAATGGTTGAGTTTAAAAAATTTTTAAATTATTTTATTTATTTTTTTTAGGGAAGGTCTTGCTCTGTCCCTCAGGCTAGAGTGCTGTGGTGTGATCATAGTTCACTACAGCCTCGAACTCCTGCCTCAAGCCATCCCTCCGCCTCGGCCTCACAAAGCGCTAGGATTATAGGCACAAGTCACCGTGCCGGTCCCAAAGGTTGCTATACTCATATCTCCTCAGATTTTTTTGCCTTCGAAGGACCAGAAAAGTGGTGCTCAAGTTAAAGTTAAAAAGTTGAAGTTGGCCGGGTGTGGTGGCTCACGCCTGTAATCCCAGCACTTTGGGAGGCTGAGGTGGGTAGATCTCCTGAGGTCAGGAGTTTGGGACCAACCTAGCTAACATGGTGAAACCCTGTCTCTACTAAAAATACAAAAAATAGCCAGGTGTGGTGGCACACGCCTGTAATCTCAGCTACTCAGGAGGCTGAATCAGGATAATAGCTTGAACCCGGGAGGCGGAGGTTGCAGTGGGCTGAGATAGTGCCACCGTACTCCAGCCTGGGCAACAAGAACAAAACTCCATCTCAAAACAAAACAAAACAAAACAAAAAAAGTTAGTTTCCCTTAAGTTATAGTTAAAATGTTATGCCCTTTAACACCCGTGAGTTGTGGGGCAAATGGATGAAAGGCAAGAAATTTGGGGCAGAGGAGCCTTCTTGGTACAGACTCTCATATCACATCGTGTAAATTGCAGTGACATTGCACTGTATTGGGTGACTTTCCGTACTTGAAATTTGGCTTCACAGTGGCCAGTGTCACGATGAGCTCCATGATGGTCTAGTATTCCATTTTAAGTTAACAATGTTTTCAAAGCACAGAGGTTGCTTACCACTTTATGAGTCTCACTGGAATACTGTCTGCTCATCTGCTGGAAATCACCTTCTCCCTTAGTTTATGTCCTTCTGAGTCATAGAAGGCAGGCAGACCTCAGGTGCAAAAGGCATTGATGGTAAAGGTGTGGGAGGAGGAGGGACATAAGAGACTGGAGGAGAAAGGCAAGGCGTGGGAGAGACAGTGGAGAGCTGGAAGAGGAACTTTCTTATTGTGTTTTTAGGGGAAATGTTTCATCAAAGGCTGCTGTGCCTACCACTCCTAATGGATGAGATGATTTTAGGTGGTAAACAGTTGAACATATGAAATTTCAGAACAAAAAATGAAAAAAGATGAAAATAAAATAAATTTAAAAAAGAAATAAAATGTCAGGTCATGCGTGGTGGCTCACACCTGTAATCCCAGCACTTTGGGAGGCCGAGGCAGGTGGATTGCTTGAGTTGAGGAGTTTGAGACCGGTCTGGGCAAGGCGGCAAAACCATGAGAACAGATTGGGGTTGGGTTGGGCTCAGTTTCTGACATAATCGTTCAGGATTGGAAGGCATGTGAGGCAAAGGTCCTTAGGAGTAAACTTGTCTAATAAACGAGCTCTTTGCCCAGGTAAGCAAACTGCCTGCCCAAATACATTGATTTGCAGGAATTTTCTGAAGCAAATTGCCAAGTTACATATTGGCTTACAGTCTTATTTTCCTGGGCGAGTGTTTCCTGGAAAAAAAGCTGTGTCATATTGACATTGATGGACTCAGTGCTTATAATTATTTGTTTAGTTAATGTGTGTTTGAAAATATATAACTAGGCCGGGTAAGGTGGCTCACACCTGTAATCCCAGCACTTTGGGAGGCCAAGGTGGGCAGATCACCTGAGGTCTGGAGTTCCAAGACCAGCCTGGCCAACATGGTGAAACCTCGTCTCTACCAAAAATACAAAAATTATCCATGTGTGGTGGTGCACGCCTGTAATCCCAGCTACTTGGGAGACTGAGGCACAAGAATCACTTGAACCCAGGAGGCGGAGGTTTGCACTCCAGCCTAGGCAACAGAGTGAGACTCTGTCTCAAAAAAAAAAAAAAAAAAAGGAAAGAAAGAAAGAAAAGAAAATATATAACTAGTGACATTTTGAGGTGGATGATTCAAATAAAATAAAAAACTAAACAAAAAATAAAAAAAAAAGTAAATATATAACTAGCATATCCAACCACTGATCTTGAAGGTAATATTATTTAGGGCAACACTGAAGAATATTGGGTTTAAAGTTAAAAACTAAGTGATTTAAAGAAAAATACATTAAATAACTAATAGTACGGATGATACTTATTTATCTATGACAAAAATTGTGACCACTATAAATGAAAGACTGAAATGTGAAAAGCACGGCTCAACACTGTCAGAATATCTCGGTAGGGTCTAGGCTAGAGGACAGCCCTAGCACAGGGGAAGGTGTGTAACTCATAGGTGAATCATCAGAAAGAACCAGGGGAAGAGAGTGGGGTTGCAGAGCTGGTCACCTGATCTGGGAGGGACATGAACACCCACTGGGTTTGGTGTCATTTCTGTTGTGCAAATGAACTGAGAATTAGAAAAGTCCCCCTGGCTGGAAACAGAGTTTGTAGTGGACCTACTTGGGTCTAAAGCTTTCAAATAGGAAGTAACAGTTGGGTTGGAAGATCCCATGAAAGGCGGTTGGGTTCCCCAAGAGAGGCACCTGCCATCGCGGTCACCAGGCCCCACTGAGAACAGGCCAGGTGCCAACTGAACAGCATAGTGAAGAGGGGCTGAAATTCATTTAAGGTCAAGCCAGCCTATATGGCTTGGTGAGGAATATTTTGGACAAACTGAGAAGGACAGAAGGCAAAGGCAAGGGCAGCTTCTGGTTTTCTAGGAGTCTGAGCCAAAGAAACTTCCAGGGTGGAGCTGGTATAGGGAAAAGGTAACATCCAAATCAATGCAGGCCAAGGTTAGCTTGAATCCAAGAAGAGGAACCTTTGGGACCAGACAGGGTAGGGCCTTAGGTAGAAACCCCAGCAACCAGGGCAGAATTCTGAGCAACTGCTGTTCTCAGGTGGCTGCTGAGACCAAATAAAGCTTGGTCCTGAGTCAGCGGCTGATGTAGTAAAAAGGGAGCAAGCACGGATGTGGGTTCTGAAAGTTGCTAAGAATCTCACTACCGGGAATCACCTGGGGGCCTAAACCTTAGGTAGCTTTACCAGCATTCTATTCCAGCCAAATCCTAGAGTAAAACCTAGAGAATCCTGAAAGAAGACATTCTAAAAGTAACCGTAGGCCAGGCGCCATGGCTTATGCTCATAATCCCAACACTTAGGGAGGCCGAGGCGGGAGGGTTGCTTGAGCCCAGGAGTTCAAGGCTGCAGTGAGCCAGTGAGCTTGGGAGATAGAGCGATACCTTGTCTCAAAAAAAAAAAAAAAAAAAGTAATCCTAGCCCTAGTACCTTTCCTTCAAGACAAGGACAAAATATTGTTGATATTCTGCAAATCCACGATTTCTAGTGGTTCTTGTAACAGCTGCAGTGTTACTCACTGCCTTGTTAACTCCTTGTTAGCTCCCCCGACCAGTGTTGCACGTTGCACTGTGGCTGGAGCATGGCTGCATGGTCAGACTGTTTAGGTACACATGAATGTTCCATCATTCAGTACTCAGAGCACCTCAGACAAGTCACTTACCCTCACTGAGGCTGAGATTTTTGCATTTGTACCTACTTCGTGGAGGTACTGTGAAGTGGGAGTGACAGAATTTATGTAGAATGCTCAGCACATGGTGAGCACGTCATAAATATTAGCTGTTAGCTCTTACTTTATTTATTCATTTATTTATTTTAATCTTTTTTTTCTTTCTAGCTCTCATTTTAATAAAGCTTTAAGGGGATTTTTGATTTGGGATTTTTACTTCCCCTGGACCTGGAGGAAGAGAAAGGAAGGTCAATGAGAGCGTGATGACGGTGCAGAGGCACCTAGGCAAAGCTCTGTGGCCTTTGGGAAAAGACACTACTTGGCTCAGGGCATTAAATACATGTGTGACCTTAATTCTTCTGTCAAAACAACAACAACAAAATCCCCAAACTATGAAAAGCCACAGACTTCTAGGAATAGAAGACAAAAGGAGGAAGGAGGAGGAGGAGGAAGATACCAAGGGGAAAATGATGTGAAAAGCTGATTTTGTAGCCCTGAGCATATAGGAAAAGCCTCCATGGTGATGACTTCTTTGAATAAATGTTGCTTAAAGAAAAAGAAGGCACCAGAAAGAGCAGAAAACAACTGGGTGAATGAAAGAAGAATGTCATGCAGAGGAGAGGTATGTGCAAATGCAGATATTCCATGAAAAGCTATAGCTTTTTTTTTTTTTTTTTTCTTTAGGGAGTTTCACTCTTGTTGCCCAGGCTGGAGTGCCATGGCATGATCTCAGCTCACTGCAACCTCCACCTCCCAGGTTCAAGCGATTCTCCTGTGTCAGCCTCCTGAGTAGGTAGGATTACAGGCACCCACCACCATGACTGGCTAATTTTTGTATTTTTAGTAGAGACAGGGCTTCACCATGTTAGCCAGGCTGGTCCCAAACTCCTGACCTCAGGAGATCTACCCACCTCAGCCTCCCAAAAGTGCTGGGATTATAGGCGTGTGCCACCACACCTGGCTAATTTTGTCTTTTTAGTAGAGACAGCGTTTCATCATGTTGTTCAGGCTGGTCTCGAACTCCTGACCTCAGGTGATCCACCCACCTTGGGCTCCCAAGGTGCTGGGATTACAGGCGCGAGCCACCGCCTGTATAGATTTTATGTGAGTATAATTGTAATTTTGTGAAACATGTATCTACATTCATAATAATTAGAAGAAAATTTAGAATAATTAAAATAAATTGTTCGGTAAATATTTAAAGATACTTAATCACCTAAAAAGTATAAAACAGCCTATAATCCCAGCACTTTGGGAGGCCGAAGAAGGTGGATTGTTTGAGTTCAGGAGTTTGATACCTGCCTGGGCAACATGGCAAAACCGAATCCCTAGAAAAAAAAATACAGAAAATTAGTCAGGTGTGGTGGCGTGCCTGTGATCCCAGCTACTCAGGAAACTGAGGTGGGAGGATCGCTTGAGCCCAGGAGGTTGAGACTACAGTGAGCTGTGGTTGTGCCACTGCACTCCAGCCTGGGCAACAGAGCAAGACCCTGTCTCAAAAACAACAACAACAACAACAACTGTTTAAACAAAAAAAGACAAAACTGTGTTCCCATAGGAACGTTGTTTTTGTTGAGTCCCAGGCTATAACTTTTTTTACAATTTTATTTTATTTACTTATTTATTTAGGATACAGAGTTTTACTGTCAGAGGCTGGAGTGCAGTGGCACAATCTCAGCTCACAGCAACCTCTGCCTCCCGGGTTCAAGGAATTCTCCTGTCTCAGCCTTCCGAATAGCTGGAGTTACAGGCACCCGCCACTACGCCTGGCTAATTTTTGTGTTTTCAGTAGAGACAGGGTTTCACCATGTTTGCCAGGCTAGTCTTGAGCTGCCGACCTCAGGTTATCTGCCCATCTCGGCCTCCCAAAGTGCTGGGATTACAGGTGTGAGCCACAGCGCCTGGCCCGAGGCTATTATTTTTGATAAGAAAATGTTTTGTGATTTTGCATTTGCCTAGGAAGGCAATGACTGACACATCTGACACATTTATAATCACAAATTAAAACAAAAGCACCAGAACTCCCCAGGTCAGATAGGATGCTGGGTATGCCAAATTGGAGCATGCAGGATGTCAGACGACTTCTCTGAGGGCACTTATATTTCCTTATTTCTTTATTCGCATCTGGTTCTCCTTTGTTACTCTGTAATGCCCTATACTTCTCCAAATACAGCACTTACCCACTGTATTATAAGTACCTGTTGATTTGTCTCTCTCTCCCCCTTGAACTGCAATTGAAAAAAGTAAATGATAAATATGAGTAGAATTAATGAATTCAACAACAATTTATTAGATACCTAGTGTATGACAGACAGCTTTTAGGCATTGGGGTTTGGAGCACAGTGGCAAATAGAATCCCTGACTTCATGGAGTTTTTATTGTAGTCAGAGGAAACAGATCATAACAAGGAAATAGACATCTTCACTACCTCAGATAGTGATAAGTGCTATGGATAAAAATAACACAGGGGGCTGGGCATGGTGGCTCACGCCTGTAATCCCAGCACTTTGGGAGGCCTAGGTGGGAAGATTACTTGAGCTCAGGAGTTCGAGACCAGCCTGGGCAACATGGCGAAACCCCATCTCTACTAAAAATACAAAAATTAGCCAGGCACGGTGGTGGGCGCTTGTAATCCCAGCTACTAAGAAGCCTGAGGTGGGAGAATCGCTTGAACCCGGGAGGTGGAGGTTGTAGTGAGCCAAGATTGCATCATTGTACTCCAGCCTGGGCGACAGAGTGAGACTCTGTCTCAAAACAAACAAACAAATAAAGCAATGGGGAATGCTGGGGTAGGGGAGCCCTGAAGAAGCAGCAGGAATAAGCCCCGTGGACAGCTGGTGGAGGGGGCATCCGGGCGGAGGGAGGGGTTGTGCATATGCCAAGGGCCAGGCATGGGCATTTGTGTTCCAGGTATTGGGGGGTGGGGCATGGGGAGGCCGTGAGAGGACAGTAATCAGATCAAAGAGATGTAGGACCTTGCACGTCACTACAAGGAGTTAGCTTTCTTCTCTTCTTCCTCCTCCTCCTCCTCCTCCTCCTTCTTCTTTCTTTGGCTAAAGCTGTCCTCCCCTCAGCCTCTTGAGTAGCTGGGACTACAAGTGTTCACCACCACACCTGGCTGGCCTTCTATTCTGAATGAGTTAGGAGTCAATGGGAGGTTTTGAGTAGGAAGAGATATGATGTGGTTTTCCATTTGGAAAGGACCCTGTGGCTGCTGAATTGAGAATGGTGTGAGAAAGTAAAGACTGAAGCAGAAAAACAGTTTGGAGGCTACTGCAACAATCCAGGCAAGAAGTGATGGTGGCTTCATCATGGAGGAAGGGAGCCACTCAGGTTCTGGATAGCCTGGGAGGTTGAGCAAGCCATGAAATGGGAGAGAAAAAGAGGAATCAAGCCTGATTCCGAGACTGCTGGCAGGAGCGCCTGGAAGGATGATGGTTACCTTCTCTATGGAGGGGAAGGTATGGGAGAAGACAGCATGGTGTGTGAAGAAGTCCAGAAGTTTGGTTTTGGACATATTAAGTTTCAGTTGCTTAGTAGATATATCTTTCTTATTTATGTTGAATTCTCCATCCAACTTAGAGGGTAGACAGGGTTTCTTTTTCAGTATTACAATCTAACAGGAACTGAGAACTTACAGAACAGACCAGTAGGAACTGAAACAGTAGAAGGGTTGGGGAAGAGGGTTTTGAGTGTTTTTGTTTAAATATAAGGAGACAAATTTACATCCCACAATCCGTTTTCCTTCAGCAACTAGTAGTACTTTTCTCGCAGTCTTTAACAGCTAGCCAGGGCCACTAGCTCTCAGTGTTGTACTCCCTTGGACTAGGTAATTCTGAAGGAAAGATCAGAATAATGAGAAGTATGTGGGTCCTATTGGGAAAGGCAGCCCACCATGGACCCTGAAGGTCCCTGCCTGTTCTTGCTGAGTGTGCTGGATTTTTTTTTTTTTTTTTTTTTGAGACGGAGTCTCACTCACTCTGTCGCTCAGGCTGGAGTGCAGTGGCGTGATCTCAACTCACTGCAACCTCCGTTTTCTGGGTTCAAGCTATTCTCTTGCCTCAGCCTCCCGAGTAGCTGGGATTACAGGCATCCACCACCACGCCTGACTAATTTTTGTATTTTTAGTGGAGACATGTTGGCCAGGCTAGTTTTGAAACCCTGACCTCAGGTGATCCGCCCTCGTTGGCCTCCCAAAGTGCTGGCATTACAGGTGTGAGCCACTGCGTCCAGCCGAGTGTACTGGATTTTAAGACTGATCTGTCTCCTGATACTGAATGGTTTCTCTGGTTAGTCACACAGGCAATTAAGCAGGTCAAAGTGGAGAAAGACTGGCTTATTTGCTGCTTGCTCAAGGGCTGGGCCCTTAGCCCTGGGTTCCTCTCCTGTAATGCAACCCACTGCATGCGCAGGTATCATCTAGGACTATCATGTCATCCCTGTGTTGTGTATGGGGAAGGGAACTAGTGCAAATATGCTCATGTTGTTTGCTGTGCTGTGCTGTTAGTAATAAAATCCTTTGTCTCTGACCCAAGAGTCTTATGTCTTCTGCCAGCATCAATGAAACAGTTAACAGTGTAAGTTGGAGAAAGTTCCAGAGCTTTTACAGTTCTTGACAGGCCTCATCTCTCTCAAAGGAGTCTAAAGCTCCATCTGGGATTAAGGGGTAGCTTGGGGTGAAACATGATGGGGATCTGGCCAGATGCCCCAGGTCCAGCTAGGAAGGAATCCATTTTCTCTTGGGGACTTTGGTACTGAATGAAATATTTGGAGATGGGAGCAAAATGAAGGAAACAGATTATATGAAGTTTAAGGGATTAGGCTAATTTCCAATTTGTTGATACTCCTTGATTCAACATATAGTGGTAAACATGAGTCCTTTTGTAATCCCTTAGGCTTAAGTAGAAGATGGGGACAGGTGGAAAGTGCATTTTTAGAGTAAAGGTAGCAGATAATGATTGCTGAAACAAAAGAAATCCAAGTCCACTTTTGCCTAGGGAGGGACAGTTGGCCAGGCCACAAAAAAAAAAAAAAAAAAAAAAAAAAGAAAGAAAGAAAGAAAGAAAAAGAGCAGGGCCTGAATTTTTACAAAGAAAATCAGTTCGCCATTTCCTTTTAAGAAATTTTAGCCTGGCTAGACCACTGGTGTGCTGACTCTCCTCATTCACATTAATTACTATGGAGACCACCTCCCTTCTGTGTGGTGCTGATGCCCAGTGAGGGACCATCCAGCAGATGCCTATGGAAGTGCTGGGGGAAGTACAAGGCCTAGAAGAGTTTATTTATTGTCTATGGGAACACCAGAAGGAGATATCATTTCAGTAAGCATCACCTTTTAAAAATGGACAGTACTGGCTGGGCGCGGTGGCTCAGGCCTGTAATCCCAGCACTTTGGGAGGCCGAGGCGGGTGGATCACGAGGTCAGGAGATCGAGACCATCCTGGCTAAAACCGTGAAACCCTGTATCTACTAAAAACACACACACACACACACACACACACACACACACACACACACACACACTCACAAATTAGCCGGGCTTGGTGGTGGGTGCCTGTGGTCCCAGCTACTCAGCAGGCTGAGGCAGGAGAATGGCGCGAACCCGGGAGGCGGAGCTTGCAGTGAGCGGAGATCGCACCACTGCACTCCAGCCTGGGTGGCTGAGCAAGACTCCGTCTCAAAAAAAGAAAAAAAAAAGGACAGTTCTAATTTAGAAACGTGCTAAATACCTGAAGATCTGCAAATTTATTATTATTATCATTATCATTATTATTATTATTTTGAGACAGAGTCTTGCTCTGTTGCCCAGGCTGGAGTGCAGTGGTGCAATCTCGGCTCACTGCAACTTCTGCCTCCCAGGTTCAAGGGATTCTCCTGCCTCAGCCTCCCGAGTAGCTGAGATCACAGGCACGTGCCATCACACCTGGCTAATTTTTGTATTTTTAGCAGAGATAGGGTTTCACTGTCTTGGTCAGGCTGGTCTCGAACTCCTCAGCTCAAGCAATCTGCTCGCCTCGGCCTCCCAAAGTGCTGGGATTACAGGTGTGAGCCACCACACCTGGCCCCAAATTTATTGTTTATACTATATGCGGTGTAATCCTTCTTCCTTCTATTGGAGCCCATCTTTTTTGAGTTGATATCAATGATGAAAAAGGGAGAGAGTGCATGATGGCGCTTGTCTGGAACCATTGACACAAAAAGCACACGGATTAATCAATACTGCAGCAATAGGCTTGAGTGAGATACAGGGAAATCTCATTTTCCCACCAGTGATTTCATCAGTGGTTTATCCTGTGGCCCCTCTAGCTTCTTCAGCCCTCTGGCTTGCCAAGTCTGTTCCTAGAGGGATGAGGAGAGGGTTAGTTTGACACACTGTGACAAATGTTACATAAGTACCTGATGTTGATAGACATACTCTGTCTTTCCCTTGCCCCCTTAAGAAAGTAGAAGGGTCCCTGTGGCTCATGCCTGTAATCCCAGCACTTTGGGATGCTGAGGTGAGAAGATCACTTACGCCTGGGAGTTTGAGACCTGGGCAACAAAGTAAGATCCCATCTGCGGAAAAAAAAAAAAATTAGCCTGGCCTGGCATGGTGGTGCACGCCTGTGGTCCCAGCTCCTTGAGAGGCTGAAGTGGGAGGATTGCTTGAGACAGGAGGTTGAGGCTGCAGTAAGCCCTGATCATGCCACTGTACTCCAGCCTGGGTAACAGAGCAAGAACCTGTCTCAAAAAGAAAGTAGGAAATACTTAATTCCAATATTTTTTATCCCTTTGAACTACACTGCCATCCCCAATAGGAAAAGATAAGAAAATGGAAAGATGATGAAATTGAAAGATGCCAGAAGCCATTTTGATAAGAAGTAGGAAGCTCTGTACTTCTATACATATATAATACTCTTATTTCACAGAGTGTATTGGCTGAATTTTTAAAAATCTTTATCTTCCCCCATACAAAATAGCCTGTCTTATTTTAATGTGCAAAATTTCTTATTACTCCTCTTACTCACTGTTCCAAGCATTTCTATAAAAGGACAAACATGATATCTCAAACTGAAGTCTACATCACTGACTTCCAAATTAGATTCTCATTATTTCTATCCTCTTCTGCTCTCATGTCTTACAACAAAAAATGCATTAATTGCAGACAGTCTCTGAATCAGGCTCCTGCAATAGGGTTGGTGAATTAATGGAAGTTTCCGCATCATTTAAAAAACGAAGAGCACTAGTACAAATTCATTGTTTCTACAGCAGGGATTTTTGTGGGTAATCATTATCTGCCTGAGTCCAAAGACAGAGATATAATTACATTCTTCTCCGGGGAATGGTCTGTTGAGAAAAACACTTCCAGCTTTGTTGCTGAGAAGCAGCATTAGGGCTGGAAAAAAAAAAGAAAGAAAGAAATACCGATTATCATGTGTTCTGGAAGGGAGGGACTGATGGTCTGAGAAGGAGGCATGTACACTGCAGGTTTTTGAGTAGAGAAATGTTTCCTCTAGGTCCTGAGCTTTTTCTATGCATTCCAGACCATCCCTAGGTTGTGATACTGGGTAACCAAACAGGCCTATTTTTCAGGGTACCCGAACAGCCACGTATCAGCTCTCCAACTATAGGGTTGTCACTGTGCTGTCCACTACAGGACATAGGAACTTCCCACATCAGCCATGTGTTGTTTCCCATACAATGGGTGGGTTTGGTAGCTTGGTGAATGACAGTCCAATGACCAGAACCAAAGAGGATTGTTAACAAGGGGATTTTCTTACTTGCAACAGATAAGAACACCTGGTCCCAAAGCAGTACCTCCCGGGACTGGGAGCTGGATCTAGTTTTTATAAGCAAAGGGTAATGAGGCATGATCTCACTGGATCCTGCCATGGGGTGACGCCACAGCTAGATCTGATTGGATCCTGGATCCTGCCATGGGGTAACGCCACAGCTAGATTTGATTGGATCCTGGATCCTGCCATGGGGTGACGCCACAGCTAGATCTGATTGGATCCTGGATCCTGCCATGTGGTGTCCACTTCTTAATCCAGTCCCCTGCCCTCAGCCTGAGCACTTAGGTTCCCCCTGTGATTCTTGGTTCATCTGGGCATGCCCAGGTCACGTGACCCAAGGGTCCAGGGCAACTGAAAAACAACCCACAACTTTGTTACATAAAAGATGAATCAGATGGGTCTGGTGCTATAATGTGACTATGGAACCTGAAATATGGCTACTTTGAATTGGAATGTGTTGTAAATGTAAAATACATTTTGGATTTCTAAGACTTAGTACAAAAAATATATATAAACCATCTCATTAATTTTTACATTGATTACATGTTGAAATCAGAATATTTTGGATATATTTGGCTAAATAAAATATATAATTAAAATGAGCTTCACCCATGTCTTTTTGCTTTTAAAACTGTGGCTACTATAATTTTTTATTTTTTTGGGGGGACAGTCTCACTCTGTTGCCCAGGAGTGCAGTGGCACAATCTCAGTTCATTGCAACCTCCACCTCCTGGATTTGAGCGATTCTCCTGCCTTGGCTTCCTGAGTAGCTGGGACTACAGATGCTCACCCTCACGGCTGGCTAAGTTTTGTATTTTTAGTGGAGACAGGGTTTCGCCATGTTGGCCAGGCTGGTCTTGAACTCCTGACCTCGAGTGATCCCCCTGCCCTGGCCTCCCAAAGTGCTGGGGTTACAGGCATGAGCCACTGCGCCTGGCCTGGAAAATTTTAAGTTAAATGTATTTCTGTGGGAAAGCACTGCTCTAGAAATTCAGAACAATAGAATAATTGCATGTCAGGGAGAAGGAAAACAAGAAAAAAATAAGTATGCTGACTTTTCTTCCTCTTCTGGGTCCTGAGGGAATTAGAGAAGAAAAATATATCTTATATCTTAGAATTTTCGAGCTAGCAAAGCCATTAGAAATGACTGAGTCTGATACTTCTCAAAGCAGAGAACCTATCAGCTTCTGAAAATAATTCATAGATGGGGAGGAGTCCTCAGAACTCAGCTTGAGAAGCTATGGTGGCATCCAGCGAACTTACTTTGTAGATGAGGAAACCAAGACTCAGGGAGTCTAAGTGGCATAAGGGCAGCCTGCTAGTCAGTGGAGACCTACGACTAGAAACCAGGTCCTCCCTTCGCCCGCTCTCCTCTCTGGTACCCTATGAAAATGTTTACTTATTTATCTTCTTAATAAGAATAACAAATAACAAAAATTTCGTGCTTTTATTTTTAAAAACATATCAGTACTGCGCATATAGAAAAGTGATATTATCCAAATAAATGTCAAGTTCAGTTCACTTCCTTTCACTCAACTGCCATGACACTTCCATATTTCCCTTTTATTCCAAATATCTTAAGATCCCCTTCGGGGCTTTATATTCTATTTTCTGCCACCCTGATGAGCCTTAAAAAAACCTCATTTGGATAGCTGCTTCTCTGGATCTAGACAGGATTTGAGGGGATTATATTTCCTTTCCAGATTCTTCTCCTTTTCAAATTAATGTTTCCTCTTTAAAATATATACCCTCAACCTATTCAAAGTCTTTTCTTCAGGATGGCTGTTAATAAAACGTGTCTTGTAACAACAGTGTCTATGGCCTCCCTGCAGCCAACTCAGCTCACTGAGAGGCGGCCCTCTATAGTACACTCTGATAAACTTCTTTAGTTTCCTTCTATTGTAGTACCATATTTCCTTAAAAAAAAATCAGCCGGGCGCAGAGGCTCACGCCTGTAATCCCAGCACTTTGAGAGGCCGAGGCGGGCAGATGACCTGAGGTCAGGAGTTCGAGACCAGCCTGGCCAACATGGCAAAACCCTATCTCTACCAAAAATACGAAAATTAGCCGGGCGTGGTGGCGGGTGACTGTACACCCAGCTACTCAGGAGGCTGAGGCAGGAGAATTGCTTGATCCCAGGAAGGGGAGGTTGCAGTGAGCTGAGATTGTGCCACCGCACTCCAGTCTAGGTGACACAGCAAGACTCTGTTCTCACAAGAAAAAAAAAAAAAAAAAGAAAAGAAAAAGAAAGAACATTCCAGGAATGCTCCAATTGTGTTTTTGCTGTACTTTTTGTCTTGCTTGGTGTAGATGAAGCCCTGTAGTGGATACCTGGCAGGCTTTGCCATAGTGTTTCCTTGGTCTAAGGAAGTTCAGCCTTGCACTCAAGTTCTTCACCCCTGGGGCAATTGTGAAATTGACTTTAGTAATTAAAAGTTCTCTTTTATCTTTGTTTACTCTGAATGCTTTAGAATCATTAAATACAAATATTAGAACTGTCAGTGCTCTTTAAGATAATCTACTTAGCCCACCAGTACTTTCTCTTTCTGTCTACAATTGAAAGAAAAATGAGATTTTGGAGTCTCTGTGATTACTTTGCAGAAGAAAGCTATTATGAAGAAATAGTCTAAGGAACTAACTCATGCCAGGTAAGTCAGTGTTTCTGTTCATTTGGTGATGACTAATATTGGCATTCATCTGGCTGTTGTTAAGTGTAACGATTTAAAATTATTATATTGTGTAACCAAAAGATGGCAGTACTCCCTCTTCCTGTTTGGTTTTAGGACAAAATGGAAAGGTCATTTTGTTCTTACTACATTTTTCCCTTTACTCACCACAAAATGAAAATAATGAGTAAAAGTCACATAAGCAAATAAATAAAATATATTCCCAACCTCTTTAGTACAACCCTAATTACTTGATATAGCCATATCTATGCAAAAGAATGCAAGTCATTTTCTTTTCTTTTCTTCACTTGGTTTACTTTTCTAACAGTAGATGTTTGCTTCTATTTGGAACATTTAAAACGATGGCACCAGAAACCTCCATGATCCTTCTCAAAGGAGAGAGAACATGTCAGTTTCACTGAATGGTAGTTCATGTCCATACATGCCAAGAGAATATTGGACAAAAGCAAAATGCAGCAATAGTGATAGTTTATTTTCTGGTCATTACATTTCCCAAAATTATTACTCCACTCACCCTACCCCATCTTTTCTGAGGCATCTATATTGATTTATCCTTCAAATTCCAGCAATATTTTTATTTTATTTATTTATTTTCTTGTGAGATAGGCCACTAGACAAGTAATATTCTATCTAGAATATTACAGTTACACCTAGACCAAAGCTCTGTTTAAATAGAAAACCATACAATTTGGCATTGCAAATAAATAATTTGGCACCTGATGGCACTGAACTCCCTCAAAAATAATTATTCTAATTCATTCTCTTTCAGGTGGCTACATACAAAGCAAAGTTGTGGACATCTGTGTTGACACATTGTATGTTGTAGTCAGATGGGCTTGAATTCCTGCCTAGACCTTGCTAGGCACTGTGATTTGGAGCGAGATGTGCAACTTTGGGCAAGTTTCTGCCTAAGAAAAACGAGGATAAAATATCTAATTCTCAGGCTTGTTTTGAGAATAAGGTGAAAAGATATCTATACTGTGCCTAGCAAACAGTAGGCACTCAGTCAACCTAAGCCTACTTCTTTCCTATTAAGAAGACAAACATGTACATCCACTATTACTGTCAGCTGCTCAATAGAAGAAAATAAATAGGCTATATGTCTATAAATATTCTGTTCCTTTAGGAACAAATATTTAATTGGTTTACATGTTCCACATGGACTATTGTTGAAATCATTCATTCAGCAACTTCTATAGCAGTAACTAACATTTACTGTGTGCCAGGGCCTTTCTAAATGTCTTTACACATATTAACTCCTTTTCCTCGCAGCATCACCAAGAAAAGATGCTATCATCCCTATTTTACAGCAGGAGACTTGGAGTCACAGAGCCGTTAAGTCACTTGTCTGAGGTCACACAGCTAGATGAAAATCCTAGGATTCAAATCCAAGCAGACTGCCTCTGGAGTCTGGGTTCATAACCATTATGCCATTGCACATCTCTGAAACCACCTTTGCAAAAGTTATAATAGTGAGAATACTATGGCAGTGAAAGAGATCTGACTTAACCAACTCCATCTTGCCTGTAACCTCCATTCCTGGGTGTGGGCCAAGCTAACTTTGGGAGAAATCTATCCTTAAAGCAAGGATGATAATATCCCTCCCCAAATTAAACTGCCTTAGTAAAACTAATGAAAGGCCACAAGGTTAGGGTTATGAGAAGAATCTGAGTTCTGCAAAGATGTAGGTATAGTTAAAGAATAACCAGTCATTGTTCTGGTGGTCACAAGATTTGTAACTTCTCCAATTACTCCTATAAATAACCTCTACTATTGTAGAACCTAATATTGGCCTTTGGAGATATCTTTTCAGACTTTAGCTTTTCTGATGACCAAGATGACTCCATTTGGACTTATGACTCAATGGGTCCTGTGGCCCCCACCCAGAAGCAGACTCAGGGCATGAGGACCATTTTCCACATCCCTATGATTGCATCCCCAACCATCAGCAGCACCCATTCCCTAGCCCCCTGCCCACCAAACTATCTTGAAAAAACCCTAGCCTCTGAATGTTTGGAGAGGCTGATTTGAATAATAATAAAATTCTGCTCTCCTGTTTAGCTGGCCCTATGTATCTTGAACCCTTTCTCTATTGCAATTCCCTTGTCTTGATACATTGGTTTTATCTGGGCAGCAAGTGAGAAGAACCTGTTGGGCAGCTATAGCACCAGTTTCCCTGCTGAAAAAGAAGAGGAAAAGTACATTGAAAGGATGTTTTTTTCTCCTGATGTTTGGAGAATATGAGGGACCTTTACTGTTGAGATGTTAACTCAGCAGAGAAAAAGGGGGAGTGGACAAACAAGAATGTATCTAAAAATGGTGAGGGCAGCAAAGAATTATGTCAGAACTGTTGGGAATCCCAGTACTAGGAGATCTTCCATCCTGTGGCTGTGAGTTACCGTGGATATTTCTCTTTGTTCATTAAGACATTGTAGGGACATTTAGTATTCTTCAGAAGCCTCAGCTCTCCATTTTGCCATGGCAGTTATTAGTTCCATTAAAAGGTGAAGGCTTTCAGAGTGAATGAATTCTCCTTCCCTTACAGCCAGGGAATGAGCTTCTCAGGTATAAGATAATATGGCATTGTTCCATATTCCATTCCCAACCCTGAGCTAAAGCTAGTGAAGGTGGTAGACTTTCAAGGTCATTTAGACCCAAAACATTCACTGGGGCCCTAGTTTGCATAGTCACAGGTCATCGCTCTACCCCTTTTATTACTAACTTGTGGATATGAAGCCCACCATGTTTCACCATATTCTGCCACTGCCATCCAAAATCCCAATTTTCCTGGTCTTCCAGTCCCTCCTTCTCCCAGCCCCTACTGCTGTGCTTCCCCTTGTTGTCAACCTCCTGTCTTACACTTTCCAAAGTGTTTGCTGGACTTCCTATTCCACTGTAAAATCATCCTAGCCTGCCATTTGCCTTTTAGCATTAAAAAAATTGAAAAATGTTACTTAGTCAAATGTACTGAGTTATTTTCTCAGTCTTTCCTCCCATTGTTTTTATGGTTAAGAAGTTAGTAAACCACTTTTAAAACCTCATCACCCATCTTATAGAATAGTTTTCCCCACAATAGGTAGCTTGGGTGGTTTTAAGAGCCAATAGACACCAGAGTTGTGAAATTTGCAATTCATATTTAAATTTGACACTTAGGCACTTAAGTAGGTTTTAATATTTATATAGTAGGTCTAAATATTCATATAGCCTGGTTTACATATTATATAGCAGGTCTAAATATTCATATTTAACGAGAGCAAAACTCCATCTCAAAAAAAAAATCAGATATTGTGAGACTTACTCACTACCACGAGAACAGTATGGGGGGAATTGCCCTCATGATTCAATTCTCTCCCACTGGGTCCCTCCCACAACATGTGGGAATTATGGGAGCTACAATTCAAGATATTTGGGTGGGGACACAGCCATACCATATCATTCCATCCCTGGCCCCTCCCAAATCTCATGTCCTCACATCTGAAAACCAATCATGCCTTCCCAACAGTCCCCCAAAGTCTTTTTTTTTTTTTTTTTTTTTTTGAGACGGAGTCTCGCTGTGTCTCCCAGGTTGGAGTGCAGTGGCGCGATCTCGGCTCACTGCAAGCTCCGCCTCCCAGGTTCATGCCATTCTCCTGCCTCAGCCTCCCAAGTAGCTGGGACTACAGGCGCCCGCCAACACGCCCGGCTAATTTTTTGTATTTTTAGTAGAAACGGGGTTTCACCGTGTTAGCCAAGATGGTCTCGATCTCCTGACCTCGTGATCCGCCCGTCTCGGCCTCCCAAAGTGCTAGGATTACAGGCGTGAGCCACCGCGCCCGGCCTCCCCCAAAGTCTTAACTCATTTTAGCATTAATTCAAAAGTCCACAGTCCAAAATCTCATCTGAGACAAGGCAAGTCCCTTCTGCCCATGAACCTGTAAAATCAAAAGCAAGTTAGTTACTTCCTAGATACAATGGGAGTGCAGGCATCGATAAATACACCCATACTGAATGGGAGAAATTGGCCAAAATGAAGGTGCTAAAGGCCCCATGCAAGTCTGAAATCCAGTGGGGCAGTCAAATCTTAAAGCTCTAAAATGATCTCCTTTGAATTCATGGCTCACATCCAGGTCACACTGATGCAAGAGGTGGGTTTCCATAGTCTTAGGCAGCTCCATCTCTGCAGTTATGCAGGGTACGGCCTCCCTCCCAGCTGCTTTCACAGGCTGGTGTTGAGTGTCTGTGGCTTTTCCAGGCACATAGTGCAAGTTATTGGTGGATCTATTATTCTGGGGTCTGGAGGATGGTGGCCCTCTCCTCACAGCTCCATTAGGCAGTGCTTCAGTGGGGACTCTGTGTGGGGGCTTCAACCCCACTTTTCCCTTCTGCACTGCCCTAACAGAGGTTCTCCTTGAGAGCCCCACCCCTGCAGCAAACTTCTGCCTGGACATCCAGGCATTTCCATAAATCCTCTGAAATCTAGGCAGAGGTTCCCAAACCTCCATTCTTGACTTCTACGCACCTGCAGGCTCAACACCACATGGAAGCTGCCAAGGCTTGGGGATTATACCCTCTGAAGCCATGGCCCAAGCTGTACATTGGCCTCTTTTAGCCAAGGTCAGAGCAGCTGGGATGCAGGGCACAAAGTCCCTAGGCTGCACACAGCAGGGAGGCCCTGAACCTGGCCCCAGAAAACATTTTTTCCTCCTAGGCCTCTGGGTCTGTGATGGGGGCACTGCCTCAAAGGTCTCTGACATGCCCTGGAGATATTTTCCCCATTATCCTGGAGATTAACATTTGGCTTCTTGTTACTTATGCAAATTTCTGCAGCTGGCTTGAATTTTTCCTCAGAAAATAGGAATTTGCATCATCAGGGTGCAATTTTCAAACTTTTATGCTCTGTTTCCCTTTTAAAACTGAATGCTTTTAGCAGCACCCACATCACCTCTTGAATGCTTTGCTGCTTAGAAATTTCCTCTGCTAGATACCATAAATCATCTCCCTCAAGTTCAAAGTTCCACAAATCTCTAGAGCAGGGGCAAAATGCTGCCAGTCTCTTTGCTAAAACATAGCAAGAGTCAGCTTTACTCCAGTTCCCAACAAGTTCCTCATCTCTATCTGAGACCACCTCAGCCTGGATTTCATTGTCCATATCATTATCAGAATTTTGGTCAAAGCCATTCAGCCAGTCTCTAGGAAGTTCCAAACTTTCCCACATTTTTTTGTCTTCTTCTGAGCCCTTCAAACTGTTCCAACTTCTGTCTGTTATCCAGTTCCAAAATTGCTTCCACATTTTTGGGTACCTTTATAGCAGCGCCCCACTCTACTGGTACTAATTTACTGTATTACTCCATGTTCACGCTGCTGGTAAAGACATACCCAAGATGGGTAATTTATAAAGAAAAAGAATTTTAATGGACTCAGAAGAGTTCCACATGGCTGGGAGGCCTCACAATCATGGTGGAAGGCAAAGGGCACATCTTACATGGTTGCCAATGAAAGCAAATGAGAGCCAAGCAAAAGGGGAAACCCTTTATATAAACATCAGATCTCGTGAGACTTATTCACCACCAAGAGAACAGTATGAAGGAAACTGCCCCCATGATTTAATTATCTCCCACCACGTCCCTTCCAAACACTTGGGAATTATGGGAGCTACAATTCAAGATGAGATTTGGGTGGGGACACAGCCCAACGATATCACTTATCATAAATGCTCTTCTGGAAACTTGCCATTTCCTCATCAAGAGGTGGAATGTGTCACTACTGGAAGACAATTCTCCATGGGTCCCTCACATTTCTGAATGTCTTGTGAGCATAAGTATTGGTGGCTTTTCTTCTGGATTATCTTTTCAAGGATCTTGGAAGATAGCACAGAGGGCAGGGTTGTTTGCTGTCCAGTATAATAAAGATAATGCCTCACCCTGGGGCAAAGGTCAAATAGCTTTGCTTGCAGTTTAGGGTTCCTCAGATGTGATGTAAACCCACTGTGGGCATAACATCTATTTGGGTCCATGCAAGTTGCCCCTGTGGGACTTGGTGGGCAAGGGGAACTGACACAAACCTGAAGCTCCAGCTTCCTGTTATGCTATGAGTAATAAAGTCCTTTTTCTCTGACTCAGGAGTCTCGTGTCTTCTGCTGGCACCCATGAAATAGTAACAGGCTAACTTGTTAACTTGTACAATCAGTGCAAAATCTCAGACTCTTCCCACTTCTTGCAGTTCTGGTGATGAAAATATGATTCAGAAAGAGTCATGGCTTTCTGGAAGGGGAATGAAAAAGGTCCCTGGTTAGGATAGGTGACATGAGAATAATTCCTGGGATTTGATTGTGAATGCTCTTGCCCAAGTGGTAGTGGGTAGGCAGTAAGATCTCCCACTTCTTAGCTCTTAATGAATGGTTTAGAGGCTATATGGCAAGAATTGAAACAAGTACCTTCCAAATGGTGCTTTAGTTGTTGCTCACTCTCCTCCAGGCAGGAGGAAGTGCTGGGTCACATACACCTTTCTAAGTGCACTGGGGAACTTAGGTGATGGGGTGGAGGGTAGTTAGTCAAACTTTTACGGCCGTGTTGAATACAGATACCAAGGTGATTATCATATCCAGTTCTGTAGGGGGAGGGGCATAAGTATTCACCTGATGGGGTTTGGGCAGGCTTCTCACTGGAAAAAGAAACCTAACAGGAACTTGTGGATGGTGCACTTTGTACCAAGTCAGTGTACTGTTGTTGGATCCAATTTGAGCTGAATTCTTTTCAGTGTCCCCGTGCACTCAGATAGACCATACGGTTTGTGCATCTACCAGGTAAAAGGTGTTGGGAAACCTGCAGACTTTTGAGGTCCTACAATCCTAGTGACCTCTTTGAGCTACAAGTCTCTGTGACTGACCGATTTTGCCAATTCAAATTTCTTGCAAGGAGAATCAAAGGGAGACTAACCCTGAAGAGTCAGAAGAGCTCCATAATTTCCTGTGGGGTCAACTGAGGCCTCTATCGCAAATAAATTGTAACTGGACTTCTCTGTCTGCCCAATCCTGCTTCCTCTTCCTTCTTACAAATGGTGTTCTCCAACAACCTCCAACGTAAAAATCTCAGCCTCAGGATGTGGCTTCAGCAGAGGAGGGTGGGAGGGGTTGCGAGGTTGTAGGAGTGGTGAGATGAGAGATCAGAGGAAACTGGACCTTTAGCATCAGGTGCATAACTGCAGTGTCTAAGCTCCTACCCATCGTTCTTTACTGCTTCCATTCTCCAAATACTGGCCTTAGTTTCAATAACTGGGGAACAATACCTTCAGATTACAAACTTGAAGGAATCTCTGCCCAGGATTATATTTTAAGACACAAAAGGCCTGGCATTATTAGTCATTGGCTCATTGCCTGATAAATCACTATCTTCTACATGGCAGAATGGGGAGGAGAACTGAGCTAAATTTTCAACTTTGTTGAGTAAAGAGTTGGTTGTGGATAGAGAGGAACAGAGAGGAAGTCATACTGAAGTTTCATGAAATTGAAATCAATGTTTTAGAAGCATTTTGGATGCAACTTTAATGAGGGAGATGCCAACGAGGGCAAAATAACCATGCGGCTGCTCTCCTTCACAGCGGGTGGCTGATCTTCCCTTGAGAGCCATCTAGCGATCATGTAGCTATGCCAGCAGGGGTAGCCCTTCACAGCAGACTCCAAATAACAACACACTCCTCTGAATCTCATGCATTTCATTTTTAACATAGTGTTTTGTTTTGTTTTTTGAGACAGAATCTCGCTTTGTTGCCCAGGCTGGAATGCAGTGGCGCAATCTCGGCTCACTGAAACCTCCGCCTCTCAGATTCAAGTGATTATCCTGCCTTGGCCTCCTGAGTAGCTGGGATTACAGGCACGTGCCACCGAGTCTGGCTACCTTTTTTTGTATTTTTAGTAGAGATGGCCAACCATGTTGGCCAGGCTGGTCTCGAACTCCTGACTTCAAGTGTTCTGCCTGCCTCGGTCTCCCACAGTGCTAGGATTACAGGTGTGAGCCACTATGCCCGGCCTTAACATAGTGTTTTGAAATAAGCTTTTGAAGTAAAATATTCAGGGCTGGTAGCCTTAAAGCCCTTTCTTGTATCCTTTCTACATATGTAAAACCAATACTTCAATACTTGCAATTTGCATAGAATTTTTAAAAGAGGGCTTTATGTAGCTGTGGCCAAATAATTAGGTGAACATTACTTTGTCACAAATATTGAAAAGCTGCTTAACTGCTGGCACAATTGTGAAATTGGATTTCTATTGGGACTTCAATGAAAAGACATCAATTTGTTTATTACAGTGTTACATATCTTATTTCTCCCCTCATTATTAATACTTTTTCAATAAATTTTTTTAGCTAACTATTTTGCTTGAATAAATTATCTCAAGTCAGAAAGTGGGAGAAATTGAAATGATGCTACATCAATGCAATTTGCTATCTGGGTCTTGTTTGGATAGGCAGATCCATAGTGAAGGTGCCTTTAACTTTTCTAGTAGCGGACAATAGTAGTAATGCAGTAATTACCATTCACTGAGGACTTACTCTGTTTCAGGTACTTTGCTAAGTACTTTTATATAAAAATTTAGTTTAATCCTCAATTTAACTTTATTAGGTTGGTGTTAAATTTCCATTTTACACATGCAAATATAGCAGATACAGCATCTTCGCTAGGGTGATGTGAAAACGTTTATGTAACACAATATCTACCTAGTTTATGATCAGAGCTGCATTTGTTTTCATTTTCTCTGGTGAGGAAGCAACCTACAGAGGTTTGACATTTTAAGCAACAGATCTTTGAAGAGGGTGGATGTATTTAGGGTTCAGATTGATGTTTCTCTCTAACTATAGGTATGTGAGATGCTCATTTCTTTGAACTAGAATTTAAAGTGAATACAAGTCAGCAGACATTTATTTAGCACCCAGAGTTCCAGGCATGGGGCATACAATCTCAGGATGGTGCTTTACCCTAAACCTTTTAGCTCTCACCCTCCTGATGGCCCATCCAGCCCCAGCCAGAAGTAACCACGAATCTACTTTCCGTCCCTATAGATTTGCTGAATCTGGACATTTATATAAATGGAATTATACAATATGTGCTATTTTGTGTCTGGCTTTCTTCACTTAGCATAATGTTTTCAAGGTTGGTCCATGTCATAGTGTATCAACATTTCATCCTTTTTTATGGCAGACAGTTATGGCTATACTACATTTTGTTTATTCATTTGTCTGTCGTTGGACATTTGGGTTTCAATCTTTTGGCTGAATAGTGTTTTTAAAAACATTTATGTACCAGTGCTTGTGTAGACGTATGTTTTCATTTGTCTTGGGTATCTATCTAGGAGTGGACTTGCTGGATCATATGCTAACTCTATCTTTAATTTTTTTTTTTCTTTTTGAGACAGAGCCCTACTCTGTTGCCCATACTGGAGGGCAGTGGGAGGATCTCAGTTCACTGAAGCCTCCACCCCCTAGGCTCAAGTGATCCTCTCACCTCAGCCTCCTAAGTAGCTGGTACTAAAGGTGTGTGCCACCACGCCCAGCTAATTTTTGTATTTTTTGTAGAGATGGGGTCTTACCATGTTGCCCAGGCTGGTCTCAAAATCCTGGGGTCAAGGGATCCACCGGGCTCAGCCTCCTAGAGTTCTAGGATTACAGGTGGGAGCCACCACGCCTGGCTCTTTAATTTTTTGAGGAACTGCCAAACTGTCTTCCACAATGGCTGCACCATTTTACATTTTCACCAGCAACATGTGAGGGTTCTAATTTCTCTATATCCTTGCCAACATTTGTTATTTCCTTTTTCTTTCTTTTTTTTTTTTTTTTGAGACGGAGTCTCACTCTGTTGCCCAGGCTGGAGTGCAGTAGCGCGATCTTGGCTCACTGCAAGCTCCGCCTCCTGGGTTCACGCCATTCTCCTGCCTCAGCCTCCCAAGTAGCTGCGACTACAGGCACCTGCCACCACGCCTAGCTAACTTTTTTGTATTTTTAGTAGAGACAGGGTTTCTCTGTGTTAGCCAGGATGGTCTCGATCTCCTGACCTTGTGATCCGCCTGCCTCGGCCTCCCAAAGTGTTGGGATTACAGGCGTGAGACACCATGCCTGGCCAACATTTGTCATTTTCCGTTTTTAAATTCTAGCCATCCTAGTTGGTGTGAAGTGGCATCTCATGGTTTTGATTTGCATTTCTCTTATGGCAAATGATGTTGAACATCTTTTCATGGGCTTTGCACATTTTTAAATCAGGATTTTTGTTTTGTTTTGTTTTGCAGTTGAGTTGTAGGAGTTCTGATATATTCTGGATACTAACTCCTCATAAGATAGATAATTTACCAGTGTTTTCTCTCTTTCCATGCGTTGTCTCTTCAGTCTGTTGTGTCCTTGGATGCACAGAAGTTTTAAATTTTGATGTAGTTTAATATATCTATTTTTGTTGTTGTTGTTGCTCTTGTCTATGTTTTTGGCAGGAAAGTATTGTCAAATCCAATGTCATGAAAATTTTCCCTATGTTTTCTTCTAAGAATTTTACAGTTTTAGGTCTTAAATTTAGGTCTTGAGTCCATTTTGAATTAATTTTTCTATATGACATGAGGTAAGGGTCCAACTTCATTCTTTTGCATATAGATATCCAGTTATTCCCAAGATTATTTGTTGACATACAATTCTTTCCCCCACTGAATAATCTTGGCACCTTTGTTAAAATTCAATTGACCACTGATGTATGGGTTTACTTCTGAACTCTCTATTCTATTTCATTGGTCTATATGTCTATCTTTGTGCCAGTACCACACCATCTTGGTTATCATTGCTTTGTAGTAAGTTTTGAAATCAGGAAGTGTGTCTTCCAACTTTGTTCTTCTTCAAGGTTGTTTTGGCTAGTTGGGGTCCCTTGCATATCATATGAGTTTGATGTATTCTTATTTTCCCCTGCAGTGACATTTCTACTGGTCCAATTTGATTAAGAGAGCTCTTTGCCAGAGCCACAAGGATACTGTTCTTTTAATTCACACTCATGTGCTACGGTCATTCTGCAAATACAGCACCCAAGCCTAAGTCACCTCCCTCAGGACCTTCAAGAAAGAGTCCTTTATGTTCTTTCTTGCTGACATTCATCATTTGGAATGCCTTCAACCTATTAGAGCTGTTCTAACATTGAACTCAAAAGAGAAAGGCCCAGAACCTTTCCTCCCAGGAGACTCCATAGTCTCTATGCAAATGTATCCACTGCCACCCCAGTGTCCAACTTGTTAGATAAGTTGGTCTAATGAAAAGGTATAGAAGTCACCAAAGTGATTTTGTCTATAATAGTAAACATTTTCTCTAGAGTGACTTACAGCCTTCACCTCTAAGAGGAGATACAGGCTGGGTGTGGTGGCTTACGCCCGTAATCCCAGTACTTCAGGAGGCGAAGGCAGGTGGATCACGAGGTCAAGGGATCGAGACCGTCCTGGCCAACATGGTGAAACCCCGTCTGTACTAAAAATACAAAAATTAGGTGGGCATGGGGGTGCGCGCCTGTAGTCCCAGCTATTCGGGAGGCTGAGGCAGGAGAATCGCTTGAACCTGGGAGGCAGAGGTTGCAGTGAGCCAAGATTGCCCTCCAGCCTGGCAACAGAGTGAGACTCCATCTCAAAAAAAAAATAATAATAATAAAAAAATAAAAATAAATAAATAGATAAATAAATGAGATACAACTAGCATCATTTGTAAAATTGGCTGTGTCAGCACCTTGCTACACAGGAGTGAGTCTTCCCATTCCAGAGCAAAGCATAACTTTTGTTTTAAGTCCTTCATTAAAGAGGAACTTTAATAGGATTCCTCCAGCTGTGTGCTAGAGCAGTGGTCCCCAACCTTTTTGGCACCAGGGACTGGTTTTATGGAAGACAATTTTTTCCATGGATGGGGGTTGGGGGATGGTTTCAGAATGATTCAAGTGCATTACATTTATTGTGCATTTTATTTGTATTATTATTACATTGTAGTACATAATGAAATAATTATACAACTCACCATAATGTAGAATCAGTGGGAGTCCTGAGCTTGTTTTCCTGCAATTAGGCAGTCCCATCTGGGGGTGATGGGAGGCAGTGACAGATCATCAAGCATTAGATTCTCATAAGGAGCATGCAACCTAGATCCCTCAAATGCACAGTTCACAATAGGGTTTGTGCTTCTATGAGAATCTAATGCTGCCACTGATCTTATGACTGGAGGCTGGGCTCAGGTGGTAATGCAAGCAATGGGGAGTGGCTGGAAATACAGATGAAGCCTCACTCACTCGTTTTGCCCTCTGCTCATCTCCTGCTGTGCAGCCCAGTTCCTAACAGGCCACGGACCACTACTAGTTCGTGGCCTGGGGTTAGGGACCCCTGTGCTAGAGGAAGGAAGAAGAGAGGGTGGGAGGCAGTTGTGATTCCATGAGGGGGCAGAATGGCCGCCTCCCCAGGTCTCTTACTAAGGATCTCAGATTTCACAGAATCTTGGGGGTGTTTAGTGGCAGGCAACCTTAGGAATCACCCCATCCATATTATTTCCATGTGACACTTTTCACAAACATGTGCTTCCTTTTGAGAGGCTGGGGACTTTTTGTGGAGCTGAAACTGTGTCTCCCTATAAGCCATGTTCGATTGTCTAGACAACACAGACCAGGGCAAGGGAAGGTAGGCTTAGTGAGGACAACAGCTAGTACCTAATGAGTGCTTATTAATGCTAAGCACCGTGCTATGCATTTTAAATAGTTTTTTCTTCTAATGCAACAAAATCTTACCAGTAAGTCCAGTACTACGATTATTGTCTGGATTTTACAGCAGAAGCTGTTTCCAAAAGTCACTAATAAGTTGTGGCACTTGTCTTCACCTCCATGAAGTCTCTGTGATGGTGGCTAGAGTTCCTGCTCTTACCCCAAGGGATGCTGTCCCTTAGGACACTGGGACGCTCATATTGCTCCTGGGATAGGTGTCCAAAAGGAGGAGGAAAGGACCTGAAACTTTTTTGCTTCCTCTCCCAGTTTTGCCTGGGACTTGATCTGAGGTTGTGGCAGCCTTTGGATTTCCTGATTTACCAAATATCAAAAGGTGAGGATTAAAGATAAATTAAATCCCCAGGTGAATGGAGTGAGTAGCTTCATAGACTTGAAATTTCAGAGCTCTAGTGAGTAGAACCATCTTCATGCTGAAGTTCCTTTTGGTCCTGGTGATATTGATATTTGTGCTGAGGTCTGCACCAATGCAACAAAGATTTTTAAAGTCTCAGGTGAGGTTGAGCACAGTGGCTCACACCTGCAATTCAAGCACTTTGGGAGTCCGAGGCAGGTGGATCACTTGAGTCCCGGAGTTTGAGACCAGCCTGGGCAAGGGGACAAAACCCCGTGTCTATGAAACATACAAAAATTTGCTGGGCAAGGTGGTGCATTGCCTGTGGTCCCAGCTACTCAGAAGGCTGAGGTGGGAGGATTGCTTGCACCTGGGAGGTTGAAGCGGCAGTGGGCCATAATCATACTACTGCACTCCAGCCTGGGTGACAGTGAGATCTTGTCTCAAAAAAAAAAAAAAAGTCTCAGGTGAAATATCCGGATAGGGAGGTAAAAACAGCTGTTGTTCCAAGACAGTCTAAGCTGTGCTATTTGCCAGGCATGATTTTCTGTATGCGTGTTGTCTGCCCTTTCCCGATAGATGTATTTGAATCCTTGCCCCTTTCTCTGTTTGTGTTACTTTTCTTCCCTGTGATGTTTCTCTATAACTGGTCTTTGTTGTTTGTTTGTTTGTTTTTTTGTTTTTGAGACGGAGTCTTGCTCTGTCGCCCAGGCTGGAGTGCAGTGGCGCAATCTCGGCTCACTGCCAACCTCTGCCTCCCGGGTTCAAGTGATTCTTCTGCCTCAGCCTCCCAAGTAGCTGGGATTACAGGCGTGTGCCACCACGCCTGGCTAATTTCTGTATTTTTACCAGAGACAGCGTTTCACCATGTTGGCCAGGTTGGTCTCGAACACCTGACCTCGGGTGATCCACCCACCTTGGCCTCCCAAAGTGCTGGGATTACAGACGTGAGCCACCGCACCCAGCCCCTCTATAACTGGTCTTAATATAAAAACAAAACATATTTTAATTTATATAATCATTTACTATGTATATTTCTTGCTATTAATATAAAAGGCAGGCAAGTAGAAGATTTTAAACTTTTTCTTTTAAAAATAAAACTTCTTTTTAAAAAGAAGCAGAAAAACAAAACCAGGTGGCTTGTAACTTTTTCTCTTTCTCTTCCTGTGGATTAATAATTGTTGATTTTAAAAAAAGTTCTCCAGCCCTACTTTAAGAGACAATTAGGCCTAAGTTGTTTTCTTCTTTCACGTCATACCTGAGAGAAGCACTGAGGGGGAGATTGTTAGTACCTGTTAATTAGTCTCAATATTTAGAATAATACTTTTTTTGTTGTTTTTTTCAGACGGAGTCTTGCTCTGTTGCCCAGGCTGGAGTGCAGTGGCGCGATCTTGGCTCACTGCAAACTCCACCTCCCGGGTTTAGGCGATTCTCCTGCCTCAGCCCCCCGAGCAGCTGGGATTACAGACACTTGCCACCTTGCCCAGCTAATTTTTGTATTTTTGTTAGAGAGGGGGTTTCACCATGTTGGCTAGGCTGGTCTTGAACTCTTGACCTCAAGTGTTCCACCCGCCTCGGCCTTCCAAAGTGCTGGGATTACAGGCGTTAGCCTCTGTGCCCGGAAGAATAATTCTTAAACAGAATATCTGAAAACAAAACCCCCAGATAGTGAAAAAGCTTTTAAATATACAAACTTGAGGAGTCTACAATTCTACTTGATTAAGAGAAAAAAATAACCATTAAAAAAAATTTAGGAACATGCATTATTCGATTTTATTAATACAATTAATAGCTGTCCTATCTGATTTAGCTCCTACATAGAATAAGTTATATATTTTTTTCTGAGTGTTTCACTACTCAGCATTCACTATTGAGACTTTTCCTATTGAATTTGGAATAAAAAGTCTAGAACATTTGGATGTACACAAATGTTGTTTCCAAGTACTTCGAAGTGTATCCTACTCTGTTTTCTGTCTCTGTCGTTTAAAAAAAATTATGTTTATTTTACTGTGGTAAGAACACCTAATATGAGAGCTGCCATTTTAATAGTTTTTTTTTCTTTTTTTGAGACAGAGTCTCGCTCTGTCGCCAGGCTGGAGTGCAGTGGCGCGATCTTGGCTCACTGCAACCTCTGCCTCCCGGGTTCAAGTGATTCTGCCGCAGCCTCCCAAGTAGCTGGGACTACAGGCACCCAACACCACGCCCAGCTAATTTTTGTATTTTTAGTAGAGATGGGGTTTCACCATGTTGGCCAGGATGATCTCGATCTCTTGACCTCGTGATCCACCCACCTCAGCCTCCCAAAGTGCTGGGATTACAGGCGTGAGCTACCACGCCTGGCCAGTTTTTTCTTTTACTGTGGTGTCTGTCTCATTTTGGCATCAAGATAATGCTGGCTTCATAAAATGAGTTTGGAAGTGTTTTCTATTGTCCATCATTTTGTTGTTAACCTTTCTAATTTAGTATATACAAGAAGAACAATGCAAAAAATCGTACTGATGCTGAAAGTTACTAAGTAAAACCTGCTAAAATGGCACCTGGGTACTGTTGCCATGGGGACAGGCTAGGAGAGGAATGAATGTAGCTTGAATTCTTAGAAAGACAATATTGAGTTGCTCTTCAGTAAACTTGTGATGAAAATACCTTAAATGTGGGCACTTGGTTGCTATTTTTTAACAAAAACAAACAAAAAGTGGCAGCAGCATTAACAAGGACAAAGAACATCACCAAAATCCTAAATCAAATAACTTCAGCTCAGTTGACCTTTGATTTGTGTGCACTTGTTCCTTATGATAATTACCTAAGTTCTTCTGCAAAGCAGTGAGCCTGGGGGCCATGACATCTAACGTGGTTGCAAATTAAACCCTCACTCCCAACCCAGCCTCCTCAGCTTCTGTCTCTGAAGAAAATACGGGATTTACCTAACATCTCTTCAAATAGTGTATATTGAACTGGAAGACAAAAAAGGAATTTTGCATGTTAAGCTGCAGCTGGCATAAGAAACACATTCATTCTATCAGAAAATTGGGTAATCTGGATTATAGTCCTGGCTTTGGCACTGCCATTGGCATAGCAATGTATTTGTGTGTGTGTGTGTGTGTGTGTGTGTGGCGGGGCGGGGGGGCAATTTATAAGTATCTGCAGTTCTCAGCCTCCACCTTCCAAGGAGGAAGGGTGCTTTGTACAGACTGGAGTTGTATTATGCATATCCCTGAAAGGATGAAGTTGAGAGAGTTGGATGGAGCTGAAAATGCCAAAACAATTTACATTTGAAAGAAACAAATACAATATTCCTCAGAGAGGACCGGTTCTGAACAGATGAAAGGAGGAATAAAAAAAGAAACCAAACCAAATGAAGCTGATTTGGAGAGATGGAAAAGTATAGGGAAGAAAGGACTTTTTTTCTTTTTCTTTTCTTTTCTTTTCTTTTTTTTTTTTAAAGACAGGGGCTTGCTCTGTTGCCCAAGCTGGAGTGCAGTGGCATGATCTTGGCTCATTGCAACCTCCGCCTTCTGGGCTCAAGTGATCCTTCCACCTCAGCCTCCTGAGTACCTGGGATTACAGGCGCAGGCCACTAGGCCCGGCTAATTTTTGCATTTTTATAGGACAGGGTTTCGTCATGTTGCCCAGGCTGGTCTCAAACTCCTGGGCTCAAACATTCACCCGCCTTGGCCTCTGAAAGTGCTGGGATTACAGGCATGAGCCACTGCTCCTGGTGGAGAATTTCTTTAAGTTTACATACAGTGGAATGCACCCATTATAAATGTACTATCTGATGAGTTTTGACAATCGTACTGTTAAAATCATGGGAGGCCACTATTTTAGTCTGAACTCCTGTGCTAGGCCCCAACAGACCAGACCAAACCAAAATAGAGTCACTTATGCTAAATGCCACATAATCAAACTGAAACTTCAAGGAAGCAAGCAGATAGATCCCCAAACAGACCAGTTTTTCCTGAGAACAGGAGATTCCAGTCTACCTGAGTCAGCATAATAAGGCAGTCTCTCTGCTTTAACCTTTAGAAAAAAAGTAATGTGATATTAATCAGTGCTATTGTTCTGTTTCCTTGTTTTCATCTTACAAACCCCAGTGTTCTTCCTTAGCTCGGTGGGAGCTCTCATCCTATTTTGTAGAACGGAGGCTGTCCCAATTCACAAGTTTTGAACAAAGCTAAACAGCTTTATAACCAAATTTGTTATAATTTTGTCTGTTGACAGTATACAGCTATGTAATTACTACTGTGACTAAGATGAGCATTTCTGTCACTTCACAAAAGTTCCCTTCTGCCCAGTCTTCTTTCTGTCACTAAAGGTTAGATTTGTCTTTTCTCATTTCATATTAATAGAATCACACAGTATGTACTATTTTGTGGCTTCTTTTGCTCATTGTAATATTTTTGAGATTCATCTGTGTATCAGTAATTTGGTCCTTTTCATTGCTGATGTGTTTATTGCAGGGATATATACAACTTGTTTATCTATTCATCTACTGATAAACATTTGAGTTGTTTTCTGTTTGGGACTATTATGGCTAACGCTATGATCATTAGTATACAGATTCTTGGACATCAATTTTTATTTCTCTTAAAGAAAATACTTAAAACTGCAATAGGGCTGGGCGTGGTGGCTCACGCCTGTAATCTCAGCACTTTAGGAGGCTGAGGCGGGTGATCACCTGAGGTCAGGAGTTCAAGACCAGTCTGTCCAACAAGATGAAACCCCGTCTCTACTAAAAATACAAAAAATTACCCAGGCATGGTGGTGGGCGCCTGTAGTGCCAGCTACTTGGTAGGCTGAGGCAGGAGAATTGCTTGAACCAGGGAGGCGGAGGTTGCAGTGAGCTGAGATTGCGCCACTGCTCTCCAGCCTGGGTAATAAGAGTGAAACTCCATCTCAAAAAAACAAAACAAAACAATACTGCAATAGCTAGGTTACATGGTAAGTGTATGTTTGACTTTATAAGAAATTGCCAAGCTATTTTCCTGAGTGGTTATACTGCTTTGCATACTCCCCAGCAATGTATAAAAGTTTTGATTGCCTTAAAGCCTCTTCAATACTTGGTATTTTCAAGCTTCTTTTTATTGTTCTTGTTTTGTGAGAGGGAGTCTCGCTCTGCTGCCCAGGCTGGAGGGCAGTGTCGTGATCTTGGCTCACTGCAACCTCCGCCTCCTGGGTTTAAGCGATTCTCCTGCCTCAGCCTCCCAAGTAGCTGGGACTACAGGTGCGCACCACCACGCCTGGCTAATTTTTGTATTTTTAGTAGAGACAGGGTTTCACCATTTTGGCCAGGTTGGTCTCAAACTCCTGACCTCAAGTGATCTGCCCGCCTTGACCTCCCAAAGTGCTGGAATTACAGGTATAAGCTACCGCGCCCGGCCCTCAAGCTTCTAATTTTAGACATTCCAGTGGGTGTATAGAGGTATCTCCTGTGGTTTCAATTTGCTTTCCCTAAGGATTAATGACTTTGTGCACCACTGCCTGTGCTTATTTGATATTTGTATAGCTTCTTTGTTGAAATGTTTTTTTTTACCCATTTTAAATTGGGTTATTTATTATTTTATTATTAAGTTGTAAGAATTATTCATATATTTTCAATATTAGTCTGTCAGATACTGCAAATATTTCCTCTCAGTCTATGGCTGGCTTTTGCATTTTCTTATTTGTGTTTCTTAAAGAGCAGAAAAGTTTAATTTTGAAGTCTATTTGTCATTTTTTTCTTTAATGATCTATGTTTTGGTGTCTTTTTGTTTATTGCAGGGACAGAATCTCACTCTGTCGGTCAGGCTGGAGTGCAGTGGTGCAATCACTGCTTACTGCAGCCTTGACTTCCTGGGCTCAAGCCATTCTCCCATCTCAGCCTCCCAAGTAGCTGGAACTACAGGTGCATGCCACCATGCCAGGCTAATTTTTATATTTTTTGTAGAGACATTGACCAGGCTGGTCTCAATCTTCTGGGCTCAAGTGATCCACCACCCACCTCGGCCTCCCAAAGTGTTGGAATTACAGGCGTGAGCCACTGCTCCTGGCCGGTATCTTAAAAAATCTTTCCCTTTGGGAGGCCGAGGCGGGCGGATCACGAGGTCAGGAGATCGAGACCATCCCGGCTAAAACGGTGAAACCCCGTCTCTACTAAAAATACAAAAAATTAGCCGGGCGTAGTGGCGGGCGCCTGTAGTCCCAGCTACTCGGGAGGCTGAGGCAGGAGAATGGCGTGAACCCGGGAGGCGGAGCTTGCAGTGAGCCGAGATCCCGCCACTGCACTCCAGCCTGGGCGACAGAGCGAGACTCCGTCTCAAAAAAAAAAAAAAAAAAAAAAAAAAAAAAAAAAAAATCTTTCCCTACCCCAAGATTGCAAAGATTTTCTCATCTTTTTTTCCTAGAAGTTTCATTCATGTCAGGTTCATTAGACTGTATGGTATGAGGTAAAAATCAAGGTTCATTTTTATCCTAATATATTCCCAGTTGTTTAAAGAACATTTGTTTAAAAGTCTATTCTTTCCCCGTTAAATTACCTTGGCACCTTTAAAAAAGTTCAATTAATCACACACACACACACATATATATATATATATATATATATACACACATATATATATGTGCATCTACTTTTAGTGTATTAAAATGCAACTGATTTTTGAGTGTTGATTTTGTATTCTACAGCTTCAGTAAATTTGTTTATTAGTTCTAACAGAGTTTTTTTTAGATTTTTTTTTTTTGAACAGGGTCTCACTCTGTTGCCCAGGCTGGAGTATAATGGCAAGATCATAGCTCACTGCAGCCTTGAGCTCCCAGGCTCAAGTGATCCTCCCACCTCAGCCTCCCAAGTAGTTGAGACTGTAGGCACATGCCACCATGGCCAGCTAATTTTTAAAAAAATATATAGAAATGAGGTCTTTCTATATTTCCCAGGCTGGTCTCAAACTCCTGGGCTCAAGTGAACTTCCCACCTTGGCCTCCTAAAGTGCTGAGATTATAGGTGTAAGCCACTGCACCTGGACTTTTTAGACATTTTAGGGTTTTCTACATATGTCATCAGCAGACAGGGATAATTTTATCATTTTCCAGTTTCTATGCCTTTTATTTTTTAAATTAAACTTATTTTAATTGACAAATTAAAATTGTACATATTTATCATGTGCAACATGATTTTTGAATTATGTATATATTGCAGAATAGGTAAATCAAGCTAATTAACATGTATTACCTCACCTACTTATCCTTTTTGTGGTGAGAAAACTTGAAATCTACTCTTTTAGCACTTTTCAAGAATAAAATACACTGTTATTAGTTAGAGTCACCATGTTGTACAATAGAGCTCTTGAACTTATTCCTCATATGTAACTGGCCAACATCTCAAACCTCTACTGCTCTATTTCTTTTTCTTGTCTAATTTCTCTGGCTAGAACTTCCAGTACTATCTTGAATAGTAGCGATGATAGTGGGCATCTTTGCCTTATTCCTGGTCTTAGATGAGCATGTGATTGAGCATATTAATCACTTGGAAGGCATTACAAATTCTATGAGATTCTCCTCTTGATATTTGCTTTTTAGCAAGTCATTACATTGTAGACAGTCCCTTCAAATGTCTTACGTGGAAGCTCAGTTGCACAGTTAAAAGGTTTTTGAAAGATGTAAATTTCCTTTATACTTGCATTGAGGTCTACCACATACTGCTGGGACTGTAGTTTGAACTTGAATAATATATCCAGTACAAAATTGTGTCAGGATGAAGATCTCACTTCTTATTTTAGCTTTTGTTAGCACTAGAAGTAGATAAAGCAGACTGACATTACTTATGATTCAAACATTAGTTGTGGTCAAAATGACTGTCTTAGTCTATTTGTGCTGCCATAACAAAATATCATAGAGTGGGTAATGTATAAAGAAGAGAAATTTGACTGGGTGCAGTGGCTCACGCCTGTAATCTCAGCACCTTGGGAGGCTGAGGCAGGTGGATTACCTGAGGTCAGGAGTCAAGACCAGCCTGGCTAACATGGTGAAACCCCATCTCTACTAAAAATACAAAAATTAGCCAGGCATGGTGGTGGGTGCCTGTAATCCTAGCTATTCAGGAGGCTGAGGCAGGAGAATCGCTTGAACCCGGGAGGCAGAGGTTGCACTGAGCCAAGATTGCACCACTGCACTCCAGCCTGGGTGATGCGAGCGAAACTCTGTCTCAAAAAAAAAAAAAAAAAAAAAAAAAGATAAATTTATTTCTTACGCTTCTGAAGGCTAAGTCCAAAATTAAGGAACCAGCATTTGGTGCCTGGTGAGGCCTGCTGTCTGCCTCCAAGATGGTGCCTTGTTGCTGTGCTCTCACCTGGTGGAAGGGCAAAAAGGGATTAAGCTGATTCCCTCAGCCCTTTTATAAGGCAATACTCTATTTATGATGGTGGAGCCCTCATGACTTAATCACTTTCCCAAAGGCCCCACCTCTTAATAACATTATAATGGGGATTGCATTTCAATATGAATTTGGGAGGAGACACAAACGTTCAAACAGTAGCAGTCCACCCCGGGCCCTTTAAATTCGTGTTTTTCTCATATTCAAAATATATTCATTCCACCCCAATAGCCCCCAAAAGTCTTAATCATTCTAGTATCTACTTTAAAATCTAAGTCAAAAGTCTCATCTAAATATCATCTAAATCAGATATGGATAAGACTCAGGGTGAAACTCAAAATATGACTCATTTTGAGAAAAATTTATCTCTAACTGTGAGCTTGTGAAATCAAACAAGTTATATACTTCCAAAATAGAATAATGGGACAGGCATGGCGTAGACATTCCCATTCTTAAAGGGGAGAAAAAGGCAAGAAACAAGGGGTAATAAATCCCAAGTTAGTCCGGAACCCAGTGAGGCAAACAACATTATATCTTGAGGCTCGAGAATAATCTCTGACTCCACATCTTAGCTTCCAGACGCACTGGAGTGGGGATTGGGTCCCCATTCCCCCAGGAGACCCCACTACCATGGCTTTGCTGGATGAAGCCCACACTGCAGCTCTCAGGAATTGGAGTTGGATACTTATGGCTCTTCCTGGCTGGCACTGCCCGCTGGCTGGCACTGCAGGCTCTACAGGTTTGGGGCTTTTAGGGGTGGCTGTCTTGCATGGCCTCACTAAGCATTGCCCTATTGGGGGCTCCCTGCAGTGGTCTTGACCCTGTAGCTCTGCTGGGCATGGCCGTAGTGGGGACTCTCTGCCACACCCTGCCTTGTGGCAGTTCAGAGCTTTGAGACTGAGGTTGTGAGGCACCCTTTGAAATCTAGGTGGAGGTAGCCATGCTTCCACTGTTCTTGCATTCTGCATGCCTGGAGAGTTAGCCCCACATGTATGCCACCAAGGTTTACATACTGTGCCTTCCGGATTGTTGACCCAAGTTGCATCTTGGCCCCCTGAGCCACAGCTGGGGTGGTCAAGGAGTACTGCACCAGAATTCAGGGAACCGAAGCTTGGGGTGCCCCTGGGCAGTGAGCCCCAAAGTCCCATGGGTGCCCTGGGATCTCCTTTGAAACGTTCTTCCCTCAAGGCCCTAGCACTCCGGGCCTGTGACGAGAGTGGCAGCCTCAAAGATCTCTGAAGTGCCTTTGGAGTCATTCTCCCATTGTCTTGATGAGTAGCATCTGGCTTCCTTCTGTCCATACTAATCTCCTTAGCAAGGGTGTTCGGTCACACCCTTGACGTTCTTGCTCAAACACACTTTTTCATTTTTAACAACACGGCTAGGCTGAGAATTTTCCTTATCTTCAACCAGGCTTGAGTGCAGTGGCACAATCTCGGTTCAACTGCAGCCTTGATCTCCCAGTCTTGAGTGATCCTCCCACCTCAGTCTCCCAAGTAGCTGGGACTACATGTATGCACCACCATGCCCAGCTAATTTTTGTCTATTTTTTGTAGAGATGAGGTCTCATTATGTTGCCTAAGCCGGTCTCAAACTCCTGGGCTTGAGTGATCCTTCTGCCTTGGCCTCCCAAAGTGCTGGGATTATAGACATGAGCCACTGCACCCAGCCCTTTGCTCCCCTTTTGATATAAATTCCATCTTTAATTCATTTTTCTCTTTCTGAATTTCATTATAAACAGTCAAGAGAAGCCATGCAGCACCCTGAAACACTTTGCTTAGAGATTTTTTCTATCGAATATCCTAGTTCATCACTCCTAAGTTCTGATTTCCACAAAGTACTAACACGGACACAATTCACAACACGGACACAAGATCTTATTGGAAGCTGGAGGAAAGGCCATCTTTGCTACAAACTAGCAAAGGATTTCCGCCAAGTTCCTTTGCTAGTTTGTAGCAAAGATGGCCTTTCCTCCAGCTTCCAAAAAGATCTTCCTTATTTTCATTTAAGTTCTCATTAGAACGGACTTTACTGTTCACATCTCTACCAGCATTCTGATTGCAACCACTTAGATAATCTCTAAGAAGACCGAGGCTCTCTACAGCGTTCCTCTTCTTCTGAGCCCTCGCCAGAACTGCCTTTAATGCTCCATTCATGGCCATCTAGGGTGTTTCTAGCATGCAGCTCAAAACTGATCCAGCCTCTACCCATTACCCAGATCCAAAACTGCTTCCACATTTTTAGGTGTTTGTTATAGCACCACCTCATTTTCAGCACTAAAATCTGCATTCGTTAGGGTTCTCCAGAGACCAGAACCAATAGGATATAGATGTAGATACAAATATATAAAAGGAGATTTATTGGGGGAATTGGCTTATGAGATTATGGAGGCTGAGAAGTCGAACGATAGGCAACATGCAACCTGGAGAACCAAGGAAGCTGGTAGCATGGCCCAATCCAGGTCAGAAGGCCTCAGGACTAAGGAAGCTGATGTGTAATTCTCAGTCCAAATCCAAAGGCCTGAGAAGCAGGGGCGCTGCTGATGCAAGTCCTGGAATCCAAAGGCTGGAGAACCTGGAGTTCTGATGTCCAAGGGCAGAAGTGTGTCCTAGCTCCAGAATAGAGAGACAGAGAGAGAGAGAGAGAGAGCACAAGAGAGTGCACAAATTTCCTTTTCCTCTGCCTTTTTGTTCTATCTAGGCCCTCAGCCGATTGGATGTTGCCTGGTCATATTGGATGAGAGCAGATCTTCCTTATTCAGTCCACTGATTCAAATGCCAACCTCTTCTGGAAACACCTTCACAGACATACCCAGAAAAAATGCTTTATAAGCTATCTGGGTATTCCTTAACCCACTTAAAAGGTTGACAACTAAAATTAACCATTAAAATGACTTTACCATAGTGTAACATTTGCATTGAAGTGCTGTTTTGCCTTGTAATTTTAGCTTAACTTAATGAAGACACATCGTCAAATCTGCAGCAAAAACTAATTTTCTTGTTTTGAGACAGAGTCTCACTCTGTCACCCTGGCTGGGGTGCAGTTGCACAAACCTGGTTCACTGCAGCCTTGATCTCCCTCGCTCAAGTGATCCTCCTGCCTCAGCCCCACAAATAGCTGGGAATACAGGCAAATGCCACCATGCAACCATGCCTGGCTAATTTTTATGTATCTATATCTATATCTATCTATATATATTTTTTGTAGAGACAGGGTTTTGCCATGTTGCCCAGGCTGGTCTCTCTAACTCCTGAGCTCAAGCAATCCACCTGCGTCAGCCTCCCAAAGTGCTGGGATTACAGGCATGAGCCACTGCACCTGGCCAACAAAAAGTAATTTCTAAATCCATTCAGTATATAATAATGATAGGGACAGGAGGCAGGGAAATTCTGGGCAGAATTCTGGGCAGAATAATGATAGCAACAGGAGGCAGGGAAATTCTGGGCCCTTGCTAGGGCCCCACCCTCAAGGCGAAGAGCCTAAAACTGTGGCCCAAAACGAGGACTTTCATCCCTGTTTTCCCGCTCTAATGTTGCCTTTTCCAAAACCACCCTTGGGTCACCCCATCCCCTATCCTGTGCCCATAAAAACCTGAGAACTCAGCCAGCAGAGAGGAGAAGCAGCTGGACGTCAGAGACTACAGTTGGACATCAGAGAGAAGTGTCTTGACTTCAGAGGGACAGTTTGACAGCGTAGCTTCAGAGAGGAGTCTGGCCAGGGATGGCTGGACTCCAGGGGAAATCCGCCTTCCAGTTTTGTCCCCTTTTCAGCTCCCCTTCCCACTGAGAGTCACTTTCATGGGCAATAAAATCCCCCACATTTACTATCTCCAATTCGTTCACACGACCTCTTCCTCCTTGATGCCAGACAAGAACTCGGGTACAAAAGGTTGTCACATTGACCCTCCACTGAGCTGTAAACAGTTAAGCTGTCCTCACATGGCAAAACTGAAAGGGCACCGTAGTACTCCTTCTGGGGCTTCAGGGGTCGCGGGGTAGATGCTCCCACAGGGCCCACAAGGAGTGCTGCTCTGCTCCTGCTGGCACCCAAAGTACTCACCCCGGCTCCTGCAGCCACTCACCTGCACTCCCCCTCCAGTGAGCAGTGGAACACAGCGGGACCCAGTGAGTGGAGTCCACCCTTGCCGGCACCAAAGTGACCAGCTAGTTCTAGCACCCATGCATTCCAGTTCCCGCCCACGAAGGGGTCAGGGAAATATCCTGCTTCAATAACAGTAGTTGAAAGTGATTCTTCTCATTCAGAAAACATTCAGTCAGGCTGGGCGTGGTGGCTCACACCTGTAATCCCAGCACTTTGGGAGGCCAAGGTGGGCAGATCATGAGGTCAGGAGTTCGAGACCAGCCTGGCCAACATGGCGAAACCCCGTCCCTACTAAAAATACAAAAATTAGCCAGGCTTGGTGGCAGGCACCTGTAATCCCAGCTACTTGGGAGGCTGAGGCAGGAAAATCGCTTGAACCCGGGTGGTGGAGGTTGTTATGTCATCTAGCTGCTGTGTAGTAGGGAAAGTTACAGATTGCAATGAATCTAGATCATTTTAGGAGTATTGCCATCTTATTAATAAGTCTTCTGGTTGGCTGTGGTGGCTTGTGCCTGCAATCCTAGCACTTTGGGAGGCCTAGGCAAGAGAATCGCTTGATGTCAGAAGTTTAAGACGAGACTGAACAATACAGTGAGAGAATCCATCTCTACAAAAAGTAAAAAATTAGCAGGGTGTGGTGTTGCATGCCTGTGGTTATTGCTAGTTGGGAGGTGGGAGGATCACTTGAGCCTGAAAGTTGGAGGTTGCAGTGAGCTATGACAGCCTGGGTGATAGAGCAAGGCTTTGTTTCCAAAAAAAGAGAAAAGAAATATTTTCCAATCCATTAATATGGGTTATCTTTACAAGTGCTTAGGCCTTCATTAATTTCTTTAATCAATGTTTTGTAGTTTTCAGAGTACAAATCTTACATCTCTATGGTAAATTGATATCTGAATATTTTATTCTTCTTGATGTTATTGTAAATGGAATTGTTTTCTTAATTGCCTTTCATGTTGTTCATTGCTAGCATATGCAAATATAACATTTTTGTATGTTGATCTCATATCCTGCCATTTTGCTGAATTTATTACTTATAATACTGTTTTAAAATAATTTTTAGGATTTTCAATATATAAAATCATTTCATCTGCAAATAGAGATCATTTACTTCTTCCTTTCCAATCTGGAAAGGAAGATTGTCTCACCTAATTGCAGTGGCTATAATTTCCAGACTATAATTCAATAGTGTTGAATAGAAGTGGCAAAAGTGGGCATCTTTGTCTTGTTCCTAATCTTAGGAGAAAACTTTCAGTTTTTCACCATTATTATTCATTTTTGAGTGAAATGTTCCTAAGTTCTATGAACTTTTCTAGGAAATTACTGAACCTTGGAGGAGGTCATGGGAACTCCTGATTTGTAGCTAGCAGTCAGAAATACAGATGCAGTGTGGGACTTGCAATTGGTGTCTGATGTGGGGAAAGTCTTATGGGACTGAGCCCTTTAACTTGTGAGATCTGATGCTAACTCCGGGTATATAGTATCAGAATTTGATTGAATTGTAGGACACCCAGTGGGTGTCTGCAGATAATCGAAGAACTGCTTGGTGTAGAAAAACCATACACATACTTATCCACATTTGGTATGAGGAGAAAAATAGTTTTTTCTTACAAGTCCATACCCACTCTCACTTTGTCTCCTATCGCAAAGATTGACAACTCTCTCTTGCTGTCCTGAAGATGGGAGGCAAATAATAGGTCCATTGCTCCACAGGTTCCCCCTTTTTCAAAGTAGTTCACTGTACTTAGAGCACTTGGGACTTCTGCAGTTGAATGATTAATGGACAAGTGTCTTAAACTCTAGTGTCTTTAGCCTGGTATTATGATTTTCATTTATGCAAGACAAATTCATCCTCCAATCATATGAAGAATGCCCCATATGAAGAAAAAATTTCATTAAAATCTTAAACCACTTCATTGAAAATTAATATGTTATCAATAAACAGAGGGTCCTAATTTTTATAGAATGGGAAATGGCCATGGTCTAGTACAGTTACCCTTTAGCAGAGGTCTAGGTACTCAAGGAACAGTTCTTGATCTCTGAAGAATTAGAAAAAAACATGTACAAATTTCACAGAAATTCTCAAGTTTGCCTTATAAAATTGACTTTATAAAAGCAGCAATCCAGTGCTGGTCAGAAGGTCACCATTTCTCTCTTCAGAGCCTCAGTTTTGTGTGTGTGTGTGTGTGTGTGTGTGTGTGTGTGTGTATTTTTTGTAGAGATGGGATCACACTATGTTGCCCAGGCTGATCCTGAATTCCTGGACTCAAGCCATCTTCCAGTCTTGGCCTCCCAAAGTTTTGGGATTATAGGCATGAGCCACCATGCCCTAGAGCCTCAGTTTTAACTCACACATCTAAAGCTGGAAATGTATTGATGACTAAACATGATAGGCCGTGCCAGAAGTTAATATGGAAATATGCTTAAAATATGGACCCTATCAAGAGAGAAAAGCATTCAAGGAGAAGAGAGTAGTGCAGCCAAGTACTCTGTGTGGACCATGATCAGGAGATCTGGGAATTGAAATATTACTGATCTTTGCAAGCATAAGGGGCACTGGTGGAAGCATGAGGAATATTATGGAGGGATAAATGTGAGGGAGGATGTAGATTAAAGTGTTTGAAAAATCTGGATTAAATATTAAGAGAGATGGGGTACAGATGGACAGGGCACAGGATTTTTTTTTTTTTTTTTTTTTTTGAGACAGAGTCTCGCTCTGTCACCCAGGTTGGAGTGCAGTGGCATGATCTTGGCTTACTGCAACCTCAGCCTCCTGGGTTCAAGCGATTCTCCCTGCCTCAGCCTCTCAAGTAGTTGGGATTACAGGCATCTGCCACCTAATGCCTGGCTAATTTTTGTATTTTTAGTACAGTTGGGGTTTCGCCATGTTGCTCAGGCTGGTCTCAAACTCCTGACCTCAGGTGATCCGCCCGCCTTGGTCTCTCAAAGTGCTGGGATTACAGGGGTGAGCCACCAGCCCGGCCCAGGGCACAGGATTAAGGGATATTTCTGGGACAAGGGAACTTGTTTACAAGCTGAATAGATAAATTAGTGGTCAAGGAGAGTTGACAATCTGAGAGCAAGGGAACAGTTGTTGGAAAAACATCTTGGAGGGGTTGGAAAAATAGACTAGTGCCTGAGTTTAGGAAATTGCCTTTATTGAGGAAGGACACTTCATCCTCCAAGACTCAGGGGAAGTTCAGGTGGAAATAGATATGCTGTGAATATATGACAAGAAAGCTGTGAAATAATTGTATCTTTTTGGGGGAGGGCTCGTCTACTTCTTTTTCTTGTATTCTTTTCTTCCTCTATTCTAGTTTTTACTTTGTCTACTGTTTCATTTAATTTTTCTTGCACAGTGTACTGGTAACTGAAGATAACCACAGAAAGATTTTTTTCCTCCTGCCTGTAAGTCTAATAATTTTAGAATGTCTATGACTTGTCATTTTCTCTATTTTCCCAAGAGAAGCTTTCATAAAAGGGAAAGAGGGAGCAGATCTATTTCACTGGCATCTCGCTTTTCTCTTTGAGGGCGGAGGGATGATGTTGTGTGCTGGCAGTAAGCACAGGGACTAGGGACTTGATGATTGGGGAAGATTTGGAATAAGTGGTGAGGAGGATGGGAAAGGAAATTGGCCAAAGCCAGGTAAAAGGGCTGAGAAATAGCCATAGAGGGTTGGGGTCTAACTTGGAGTTTCACAAATCTGCCCAGTTGTGCAGCTTTCTTTAGCCAGTTGGATATAGAAGTCTATGTTGTTGCATTCCAGTGGCCTAATGAGTAACATGCTTAAAGTCAAAAAAATAAGGCAAAGGAAGGCCAAAATACTACCTTCATTATGGATAAAACTGATAGTTGAAGATGTGGCTTATATAATCAAGTGGACTTCCAAATACTGATCCCTAGAATTAGACTCACCCATCAGCCATAGGCATTGCTGGGGCACCTCAGGGCCCCCACTCCCCACTCCCCCTCTGTAACAGGGAGGGTGTGGGGAGCAGGGGCCACATGGATCCAAGAGAAAGATGCCCCATGGTCATGAGAGTCTTCTCCCCAGGACCATAAAGATAGAAAGGACTCATCAGTGTGCAGTCACTGATCCTTTGTTCACAATACCTAAAGAAATGCCTCCTCTCCTGTTTTAGAAGTACCTGGCATTAAGTGCTCCATTCTATTAAAAGACACAGAAAATTAAAGTGCACCCTTTTAAACCAATACACATGCCCCATGAAGGATGTCTTTGAAATGTGGATGACAAATGGTTCCAGGCACCTGTTTGTTTGACCAAGGCTTAGCTGATCACAGATGCCTCTTCGGGCTCCAGGGTGATTCACCACCTAATTCTGCCATAAAACTACCCTTATAAGCTTTCTAGAGTTGGAGGCTACCCAGCAATGAATCAATGGGCTGAGATGCCTTATTGTCATCAGAAGTGTTCAAGCACTGGATGAACAACCCACTGTTTTAGATGTTACAAAGGAGATTCCTATGAGCACAAGAGCTTTAGAACCATAACCACCAACGAATTTTAAAATTCCAACACCCTATGGTTTAAAGGAACTGTAGTTTTTGTGAATTGAAGCATAAAGCTCATATCATAATCTCTCATCATGATGTACGCTGCTAATGCTTTCATGAACAGTCCATGGAGCAAAATGATAAAGTCTGTTCATGAATTTACTGGTTAATCTAGCATATGCAATCTAGTTAGTGTGGGCAGTCAGATGAAGAAAAATGATTATGATGAAAAGACCCCAGGGAAAGGATTTTTCTGCTTGAATAGATCAATGTTAAAATTAAATTACTTCCACTGGGAAAAGCATATCAAATTCAAGATGGAAGGAACTGCACACTAAGAAATGGTGACTAGCCCCAGCATAACGTTTCTTCAATTTTTTAAAAACCACAATCCAAAATACACTTAATATCATGATGCAGCACGCGTGTGTGTGCACATACACACACTTCTAACTATAACAAAAGTTTCACAAAACAACACTTACCCTTATTATGGGCAATGCATTCTGACATCTTCTATTATATTTGGGTTTTTAATAATTAATTCTGTTATTGAAGCATAGCAAATAGGCAGAAAAGTACATGATTATAAGTGTAGATCTTGATAAATTTTCACACAATAAACACATCTATGCAACCTATATTTTATTCCACTTCTTTTTATTTTTTATTGTAAAATATTTATATCATAAAAAGAACCATGTTAATTTTTAAGTGTATGCTTCTGTGCATTAATTACACTCACACTGCTGTGCAGCCATCACCACTATCCATCTCCAGCACATTTTTTATCTTCCTAATCCAAAACTCCATACCTATTAAACAGTAATTCCCTATCTCCCCTCCTTTGCCTCTGGTAACCTCCATTCTACTTCTGCATCTGAGCTTAACTACTCTAGGTACCTCATATAAGAGGAATCATATTTGTCCTTTAGTGACTGGCTTCTTTCATTTGGCATAATGTCCTCAAGGTTCTCCATGTTATAGCATGTGTCCAAATTTCTTTCCTTTTTAAGGCTGAGTAATATTCCACTGGATGCACACATAATCTAGATAGATAGATAGATAATAACATTTTGTTTATCCTTTCATTCATCGATGGACATTGCATTGCTTCCACTTTCTGGCTATTATGAATAATGTTGCTATGAACATGAGTGTACAAATATGATTTTTAAAAATACCAGCCGCCCCGTCCGGGAGGGAGGTGGGGGGATCAGCCCCCAGCCCGGCCAGCCGACCCGTCCGGGAGGTGAGGGGCGCCTCTGCCGGGCCGCCCCTACTGGGAAGTGAGGAGCCCGTCTGCCCGGCCACCACCCCGTCTGGGAGGTGTACCCAGCAGCTCATTGAGAACGGGCCATGATGACAATGGCGGTTTTGTGGAGTAGAAAGGGGGGAAAGGTGGGGAAAAGATTGAGAAATCGGATGGTTGCCGTGTCTGTGTAGAGAGAGGTAGACATGGGAGACTTTTCATTTTGCTCTGTACTAAGAAAAATTCTTATCCTGTTGATCTGTGACCTTACCCCCAACCCTGTGCTCTCTGAAACATGTGCTGTGTCCACTCAGGGTTAAATGGATTAAGGGCGGTGCAAGATGTGCTTTGTTAAACAGATGCTTGAAGGCAGCATGCTCGTTAAGAGTCATCACCACTCCCTAATCTCAAGTACCCAGGGACACAAACACTGCGGAAGGCTGCAGGGTCCTCTGCCTAGGAAAACCAGAGACCTTTGTTCACTTGTTTATCTGCTGACCTTCCCTCCACTATTGTCCTATGATCCTGCCAAATCCCCCTCTGCGAGAAACACCCAAGAATGAACAATAAAAAAAAAAAAAAAAAAATTCAGGCCAGGTGCAGTGGCTCATGCCTGTAATCCCAGCACTTTGGAGGACTGAGGTGGGCGGATCACCTGAGGTCAGGAGTTCGAGACCAGCCTGGCCAACATGGTGAAACCCTGTCTTTACTAAAAATACAAAAAAAACTGGCTGAGTATGGCGCACACCTATATTCCCAGCTACTCCGGAGGCTGAAGCACGAGAATTGCTTGAAGCTGGGAGGTGGAGGTTGCAGTGAGCTAAGATCACCCCACTGCACTCCAGCCTGGGTGACAGAGTGAGGTTCCATCTCTAAATAAATAAATAAATAAATAAATAAATGCTACAACAACAACAACAACAAAAAGAAAAAATAAAATAAAAAAATAAAAATACTAGTTGCAACACATTAAATTGATTTTCTTGATGTTGAAAACTCTGGTATACTAGTTCAAAAATGGAAATCAAACATATTTTTTCCTTTGAGCCTGATTAAGCTAAACAGGCCACTTTCAGACTCTTCATTTTCCTGATTTTTTGAACTCAGAAGAGCCTTAATGTGTGTCAGAAGGGATGCTGTAGGAGTGGATTTCCTTCCCTTTTGGAAGCTGCCCAGCAGTGAAACGCAATGCCTCACAGTGGGTGGGGGCGGGGGTGGGGACCCCTTCACCTAGCCACCCTCTGACACACACTCAGCCTTCCGTTGTCTCTTTGTGAAAGTGAGATAGTTTGGTAAGTCAGCCAGGTTTTGGGCGTGCTCAGGGTTGAGGTATGGATCCATAGTTCCTACACTCCCTGCTAAACAAGATGAGCTGAATTGGACTTGCTCAGAAAATTTCTGACAGTCCACAGGCTACTCTGAAAGTTATTTACCTGCTGTGACTAACATACTGTATATCTTTTCAAATAAGTTTTGTGAAGAGAAACTACTTCCCTGAGGCATGGGTTTTCTATTGCTGCATAATAAAGCACCTCAAAACTTTCAACAACAGCAGGCCTCTGGGTTGATGACTGGGCTGGGCTTGGCTCGGGGTTCCTGCTGTCTGGCCTGGGGTCACTTCCATGTCATCCACAGGCTCCAGTGGGGCTGGATGGTCCATGACGGCCTTCCCACTTGTGCTGGCTGCTGGCTCTCTGACTCTCTGGCTCTGTCATCCTGGTGGAGGCACCCAGGCTTCTCATGGAGGACTCAGGGTTCAGAAGGAGACAGAGGGAGCCGCAAGGCCTTTTCTCGAGGCTCCAGCATGGAGGTCCTATAATATCACTTTCTCCACATTCTATTAGCCAAAGCCAGTCACTAGCCAGCCCAGATTCCAGGAGTCAGGAAGTCAACTTAACCTTTGATTAATGGGTACAAATATATACGAGAGAGAAGATATAAGACCTGATGTTTGATAGATCAGTAGGGTGACTATAGTTAACATTAATTGATTATATATTTCCAAATAGCTTGAAGAGAATAATTTGAATGTTCTTAGCGTCAAGAAAAGAAAATTATTTAGAGTGATGGATATTGGCCGGGCGCAGTGGCTCACATCCATAATCCCAGCACTCTGGGAGGCCAAGGCAGGTGGATTGCTTGAGCCTAGGAGTTTGAGACCAGCCTGGGCAACATGGTGAAACCCTTTCTCTACAAGAAATACAAAAAATTAGCCAGGTGTGGTGGTGCAAGCCTGTAGTCCCAGCTACTGGGGAGGCTGAAGTGGGAGGGTCGCTTGAGCCTGAGAGGTCCAGGCTGCAATGAGCCTAAGCATGCCACCACACTCCAGCCTGGGCGACAGAGAGAGACCCTGTTTCAAAAAAAAAAAAAAGTGATGGATATCCCAATTACCTGATTTGATTATATGAATGTATCAAATTATCACATGTACTCTGAAAATATGTACATCTAACATGTGTCAATAAAAATAAATGTGTAAATAAATAAACTTGACCTCTTGATGATAGGAGCGACAAAGTCACAGTGAACCGGAGCACACACAGAGACGGGACTGTAGCCATCTTTGCCAGAGTCTACCACTCTCCACCACAATCTACCAACAATCTATAACATCCTATTATTGCTTCTTTTTTCTTTCCTGCAAATAAGCTCATGCAAATCTTGCTTCTAAAGAGTAGGGTTTTGACCCAACATCCTTACTTCTGATAATTTACTTACAGATCTACCTGCACAACACAAAATGATATATGTACAAGATTACCCACTGTAGCACACTTCATAATTAAAAACAACCCACGTATCCATTAATAGAGGGCTGCCTAAATAAACTGTGGTACACCAACAGGAGAGGACATTGTACAACTATAAAAGAAAAAAAGAGGCCCTTGCGTATTGACACAAAAACCCTAGGATATATTGTTCACTGACAAAAATCAAAGTGCTGAGCAATATCCACTGTATCCCAAAAGTCTTACTGCAGTTCGAAACTTTTATAACGTTAGAAGTACAAGTACTATAAACACAGAAGAAACATGATTTGAAAACTTAATTGTATACATTTCTTTCTTTTTTAGATTAATCATGCCATATGATTATTATTTTAATTAATTTTTGAGACGGAGTCTCACTCTGACACCCAGGGTGGAGTGCAGTGGTGCAATCTTGGCTCACTGCAACCTCCGCCTGCCGGGTTCAAGTGATTCTCCTGCCTCAGCCTCCCGAGTAGCTGGGATTAGAGGCACGAGCCACCATGCCTGGCTAATTTTTGTATTTTTAGTAGAGAAGGGGTTTTGCCATGTTGGCCAGGCTGGTCTCAAACTCCTGACCTCAGGTGATCCACCCTGCCTTGGCCTCCCGAAGTGTTGGGATTACAGGCTTGAGCCACCGCGCCTGGCCCATATTATATTTACTTACTTACAAAGATCTAACATGTCACCCAGAGACCATTTCATCCACTGGTCTGTTTGGCCACCAGTCTCTTGTCTGTCTCTTCAGCAATGGTGAGGCGCATTACCTTTCCTTGGGGAAGAGAAATCCAGGGTTTGTTGATGTTGCTGTTGGCATCTTTCCCATGAACCACATCAAAAGAACCAGGGTGCCTCTCTCTGTTGGTGATCACACCAATTCTTCCCAGGTTAGCACCTCCAGTCACCATACACAGGTTCTCAGTGTTGAACTTGATGAAACCAGTAATCTTGCCATTCTCCAAATCAACCTGAATGGTGTCATTCACCTTGATGAGGGGATCAGGGTAGCAGATGGTATGAGCATCATGAGTCAGCAGATGAGGGATTCCTTTTGTGTCCACAAATATTTTTCTCACTTTGCACAACCTGTACTTGGCCTCCTCAGGTGCAATACGATGTACAGCAAAGGGAGCCTTGGTGTCACAGATCAGATGGAAATTCTCTCCCGTCTTGTCAGTGCTCATGACGTCCATGAATCCAGCAGGGTAGGTTACATTAGTTCAGACCTTGCCATTGATCTTAATGAAACTGTGCATGCAAATCTTCTTTACTTCATCTCATGTCCGACATTCTTAAGTCTGTTCTTTATGAAAAGATGAGGGAGAGACACTCTCTTAGCTTGTGGGGATGGGTGGATCGATGAGGAGCAAACACGCGGGTCAATTTATCCAGCATCAAATGCTATGGAGCTGCTGCCCATTTCAGATGCTTCTTGGGACCACAACCATGACAGCATTAGGCATGGAAAGAGCTTTTTATTTTATTTTATTTTATTGTTTTTTGAGACAGGGTCTCACTCTGTTTCCCAGGCTGGAGTGCAGTAGTGCCACCACCGCTCACTGCAGCCTCAACTTCCTGGGCTGAAGCGACCCTCCTACCTCAGTCTCTGAAGTAGCTGGGACCACAGGCATGTACTACCACACCTGGCTAATTTTCTTTTTTTTGGGTAGAGACAGGTTTTTGTCATGTTGCTAGGCTGGTCTCAAACTCCTGAGCTCAAACAATCCACCTACCTCAGTCCCCCAAAGGGCTGGGATTACAGGCATGAGCCAACATGCTCAGCCTTGTATACATTTCTTATTCACTTATTTAGTCTTGTGAACTTGGAATAATAAATTTTAAACTTAATGTTTTTGTTTCACTATTGTTTTCTATCTTCGATCAGAGATACTGAAACAAAAAATAAAATGTACTATTTAAAATTCACAAAACTAAATAAGTGTAAAAGAGATTTATATAATACAACTTCCAAGTGATGTTGTTTGTAGCATTTATAATTCTGAAGTTATTCATGCCTAAAGTTCCGCCAAGGCTTTTGGGTTACCCTATACAGGGTATGCTAACTTTCATTTAAGAAAAAAGTGGATTCCATATCTTTGCTATTGTGAACAGTGGAAATATGGTACATACACACCGTGGAGTACTATGCAGCCATAAAAAGAAAGAGATCGTGTCTTTTTGGGAACATGGATGGAACTGGAAGCCATTATCTTTAGCAAACTAATGCAGAAACAGAAAACCAAATACTATGTATTCCCATGTATAAGTGGGAGCTAAATAATGAGAACACGTGGACACAAAGAGGGGAACAACACACACTGGGGCCTACTTGAAGGCAGAGGGTGGAAGGAGGGAAAGGATCAGAAAAAATAACTACTGGGTATTAGGCTTAGTACCTGGGTGATGAAATAATCTGTACAACAAACCCCCATATCATGAGTTTACCTATATAACAAACCTGCACATGCATCCCTGAACCTAAAATAACAGTTTTAAAAAAAGAAAAAGGTGGAAATAGTTGTGTTCATTTCCTGTGGTTTCTGTAACAAACTACTATTAATTTAGTGGTTTAAAATAGCACACATTTATTCACTGCTAGTTCTGGAGGTCAGAAGTCTAAGGAACACTGCCTTCCTGGAGGCTCTAGGAAACAATCCATTTCCTTGCCTTGTTAGCTTCTTGAGGCTGCATGCATTCCTTGGTTCATGGCCCCTTCCTCCATCTTCAAAACCAACAGTATAGCATCTTCCAAGCTCTCTTTTTTTCGGACTCTGACCCTTCTGCCTCCCCCTTAGAAGGTCACCTGTGGTTACATTGGGCCCACTGGGGTCATCCAGAATAATCTCCAATCTCAAGATCCTCAGTTCAATCACATCTGCAAAGTCCTTATTCCACATAAAGTAACAAATTAATAGGTTCTGGGGATTAGCACATGGACATTTTTGGGAGGCCATTATTCTGACAACCACAGAAGTATATTAATTTTTGTTTATATTTGCATAATGATACACTGGAAGGATGTATTAAAAAGCAGTAAAAGTGGTTGCTTATGGGGGCAGAGAGGAATGAGAACAGCATGGAAGTGAGAATTCTTAATGTATATCATTTTATGAGGATTTGATATCTGAATATATGAGTGAATTATCTATTCAAAAATAAAATGAATAGTAAGTAGGGCCTGTTTAGTTTCAGGTATCTCTAGCTAGGGACACTTAGATTTTTATAAATTCAGATGTCATGGACATAACACTAAAATGGCTGAATTGATCCTATAGATTCGGAACCACATGAGTTTACTTACATGCAATGAACTATACATTCTACACACAGCAAGTTCTGGAATCTGTCTTCAGTTCCTTCTCACGAAGGAAATGTGAAGTCAGTGTGACTAACCAGTGGCTCCGGTTCACCCTGGGACATCTTAGTATGGTTCAGGCTGCCCAGCTCTTCCTGTGGGCACGGTGTTCCCTGACTTCAGGATTTTAGGATAAGCTGCAGCCAGGTCGTGGTCTTTGCTGTGCACTCACTTACGCTGGGGTGATTTGCATTTTCAGCCTCTCCCTGTCAAATGAACTGCACTGGGCCAGGTTTCAGGAACTCTGCGCCCACCTCACTGAGATAGGGGGAGGGAGGATAGGTCCTCGTGTCCTTAAAGCACTTTAGTCCCTGAGGCTGCTGCTTGGTGTTTGTGTGTGAGCCAGCTCTGACTCACCAAATCGAGAAGAAAAAACTTCCACCGAGGACAATGTGCCAAGGAAATGTGCTCAGGCCCACGCGGCAGTGAGTCCAGCAGTTGGGACGGAACCTGAGAGGAGGCAGTTGGGGAAATAAACAGAGCGCCAACTCAACAGTCAGCGCCCCTGTGCATCGCAGCGCAACCTGCGATGGGAGAGGTTTCTCTGCCTTCGTGGCCGCTTCCTTAACAGATTCATGATTGGCAGGTGGCCTGCGAGCTCTCACATGCGTGCGGTGGGCGCCCCAGGGACTGCCCCTCCTTTGGCAGGAGCCTGGTTTGTGTTTATTTTTGGTTGTGCCAGAGGGAAACTGCACTTTGAGGAAGAAAAACAATTGCTGGTTGTTTAGGAGGAGCAGTCTAATCCGAGACGGCCTTGTCTTCTGCAGAAAACAAGCGGGGCGCAAATCAACCCAGGCGCAGCCAAGGGGCCGCGGTCGCGCTGAGTCACAGCCCGCTCAGAGCTCAGCGTGACTCAGGGCTGGCCGCCTCCCTGAGGCATCTGTGAGTGATCCCAGCCGCAGGAGGCGGCATCTCTTTCGTCTACGGCTCCTCCAGACTCATTTCCTTCCTCTGGAGGTTCAGGTGTCCCTGTGGGGCGTGGTTGGGGGTACGAGGCACCTCTGCGTGCAGTTCCCAGAGAGCGCCCACCCGGCAGGGCCCTGGGCCTCACGGCCTGGCTGAGGGGCTAGGCCTGCCTGGCCCCGCCTCCGCCACAGGCTGTGCCCTCAGACCTTGCCAGCATCTTTCCAACACACCCATTAGTCTCAAGGTCAAGTCGGGTGAGAGGGCCTGGAGGGATTATAACAATAGAAATGTAAGACAAAGTAGCAAATGTAAGAAGCCACGTGCCTCCTTTCTGCCTGCAGTAGAATTTCACAAAGCCCCAGACCCCTGGCAACTTGCAGCTCTGGGGAAAGACGCTTTGAGGACAAAACAGGCTACAGCACACGACCCCCAACTCTCTTGCCTGAGTCACTATATTCCTTAAAACATAAATGAGGCCAGGAGCAGTGGCTCACGCCTGTAATCCCAGCACTTTGGGACTCCGAGGCCGGATGATTACTTGAGCCCACGAGTTTAAGACCAATCAGCCTGGGTGACAAAGTGAGATCCCTGCTCCAATCTCTATGAAAAATTAGCCAGCCACGGTGGCCCATACCTGTGGTTCCAGCTACTCGGGAGGCTGAGGCAAGAGGATCGCTTGAGCCCAGGAGGTTGAGGCTGCAGTGAGATATGTTTGTGCCACCGCACTCCAGCCTGGGCAACAGAGCAAGACTGTCTCAAAAAAAAAAAAAAAGAAAAAAAAAAAAAAAAAGATAAACGGCCCCAGTCCTTGCCTTTTCCTATACATAAGATCATGTTTGGCAAGTTAGTGATTATGCCTATGTAATCTATAACCAGGTGCACTTTACGCCCAGTGTAACTTCTGAGCAAGTTTGATGAGATTTTGCAGATACTAAACCTCCACACCTGTATATAAGCATAGAGCTGAAACACGGTGTAGTCTCATGGAACCTCTCTAGAGGTCTGCTTCTGGGCTGTAGGCCTCAGTGAGACTTCTGAATAAAACTAACTTTAATTCTTTAAAAGCTTGATCTTTTTTCCTTCAGTCGACAGAAGTAATTGTAGCGTTTAGTGATCAACTCCTGCAGGCCCAAAACAATTATGTTAAATTATAATTCTTACCAACCACTCTCCCTTCTCCCCTCCTAAGGAGATGTGATTCTCTGCGGGGTTACACACCCAGCCTCTCTTGGAGGTGGGTGGGAAGGGGTCATTCCAATGAGAAATGTGTATGATAAAGGGAGAGCCAGAGCTGGAGCCAGGTAACGAAAGTTAAAAGGTGAGCAGCTCTGGTTTAGTGTGAGAAAGGATGCGAAGGGAGGGTTTTGAGGTACTGGAGGGACCAGAGGGAAATTTGAGCAGCTGTACTGGAGGGTGGGGCTTTGGGGAAAAGTCATATCAAAATGAGAGTTTTAGGAAAGTTTTCCATGTGGTTAGTGGGGCAAATTCCTCTCTCTTTGCATGGTTCAAAAACACTTCCAATTGCTTGGAATCTGGCTTGTGTTATTTATTTATTTTTATACTTTTTAGAATTTAGAGATGAGATCTCACTATGTTGTACAGGCTGGTCTCAAACTCCTGGGCTCAAGCAATCTTCCTGCCTTGGCCTCCCAAAGTGCTGGGATTACAGGCATGAGCCACCCCTCTCAGCCTGATGTTTATTTATCTATTTAGAGATGGGGGTCTTGATCTGTCACCCAGGCTGGAGTGCGGTGGCGTGATCACAGCTCACTGCAGCCTCGAACTCCTTCCCTTAAGTGATCCTCCCACCTTGGCCTCCCAAAGTGCTGGGCTTACAGGCATGAGCCACCCCTCTCAGCCTGTTATTTATTTATCTATTTAGAGATGGGGGTCTTGATCTGTCACCCAGGCTGGAGTGCGGTGGCGTGATCACAGCTCACTGCAGCCTCGAACTCCTTCCCTTAAGTGATCCTCCCACCTTGGCCTCCCAAAGTGCTGGGATTACAGGCATGAGCCACCGCGCCCGATCAAATCTGGCTTGTGTTTATATGCACATCTGTAACACACAGACTGGCCCAGGGAGGCCATCAGCCCAGTGGAGTGTATGGTGACCCAGGCTCCCCAGCCCACAGCACTAATGTACTGGGCTGGCGGGAGGTGGGCAATCCCAGAGCACCAAGGTGAGGGGCGAGGGCTGTGAGGTGGGAAGGAGGGAACACAGATAAGAGGTGGTGTAAGAAAAAGCTGGTGACCATCTCACAAGGACATGAACCTCTGGAGAGGCTGCATGGAGCCATTGCTCTTGGAATGGCGCAAGAAGCCATGGGAAGCTTGAATGAGCCATTTATCTGTCAGCTTCTCCCATCTCCCAACTCTCACTGGTCCATGTTCCTTCCTTGGGGTGTTATCTCCCCCATGTTTCTGAGTGTGTTACTCTGTGTTCCTCTGGGCAGCCCCCCGGGGCAGTCAAAGCCCGTGGGGGTCTGCTTGACTCCCACCTGGGTGCTGGGGCTGTAGCTACAGAGGACGTAATGGTGGTCATGTTCCTCTGCCAGGGGAGGCTGAGTGCTGGGTGGTGGTGTGGCAACTGCACCTGCTCCTGGAATAAGCAGCAGAGGCACAGACATCAGGTGGGGACAAGCAGATCTCAGAGGTGCACCTGCTGGTATGGTGCAGTACTTTTATGCTAATGGACAACGGGATATCTTCCTTAGGAAATTGTATTTGTATTTGTTGGGAAATTACTACCATATACTGATTTTTGGTAGTACAAGATATGTTGCTTCCATATGCCAGGAAACTGTCACGATAAATACACATGACATGCCTACAATGTGAAAAGTCCCCTTAGGTGTAATGTCCTTGTGCAGTATTCAACAATGTACAACTGTCCATGGCCTTGAACTGGCCTCATGGGCCCAGTATAAGAGTAGGCTGCCATAGAAAGGTCTCTCCACAAAGTTCATTCACATTTCAATGGAGAGTTGACTTGTTGAAACTGAACACAAAGCTCTTCAGGTTTGCCCCAGAATTCTGGAAGGTGAATCTCCAAGTGGGAATAGATAATGAATGAATGAATAAAATAGTCCAGTCACAGAGATGCCTTCTTTTTCTCATTCCTCTCTATCACCCAAGAACAAAGTAAAGAATTGTTTCCTAGTGTTCCCTGGACGCATGAAACTTGACAACAATGCGGCAAGGTGGTAGGCCTTATTTTTCATGTTTTTTTTTTGTTTGTTTTGTTTTTTTTGTTCTTGAGACAGGGTCTCCCTCTGTCACCCAAGCTGGAGTGCAGTGGTGCGATCTCGGCTCACTGCAACTTCCACCTTCCAGGTTCAAGTGATTCTCCTGCCTCAGCCTCCCAAGTAGCTGGGATTACAGGTGTCTGCCATCATGCCTGGCTAATTTTTGTATTTTTGTAGAGATGAGGTTTCACCATGTTGGCCAGGCTGGTCTTTAACTCCTGACCTCAGGTAATCCTCCTGTCTCGGCCTCCCAAATTGCTGGGATTACAGTCGTGAGCCACCTCGCCCGGTGTAGGTATTATTTTCCATGTTTTTTTTTTTTTTTTTTGTGAGACAGGGTCTTGCTCTGTCACCCAGGGTGGAGTGCAGTGGAGCCATCACAGCTCACTGCAGCCTAGACCTCCTGGACTCAAGTGATCCTCCCACTTCAGCCTCCCAGGTAGCTGGGACTACAGGTGTGCACCACCATGTTGGCTAATTTATGTATTTTTTTTTTTGTAGAGACAGGTTTTGCCATGTTTCCCACTCTGGTCTTGAATTTCTCAGTTCAAGCAATTTACTTGCCTCAGCCTCCCAAAGTGCTAAGATTACAGGCGTGAGCCGCTGTGCCTGGCCATTTTTCATGATTTTACACATGAGGAAACTGAGGCCCAGAAATGTTAATCTGGCAAGTGTGTGATCGTAGCCAAGATCAGAAAAGGCAGGTCTTCTGATCTGAATTCAAGTAGTGTGAGTTACACTAAATCAACTTTTCTCTTGATAAAACAGCTAAAAGCTCAGTCACTTACCCTGGATCATTCATATCATCTCTATAGTGTCATCTCCCTACTTAAAGGCCATCTTAGCAATCATTATGTCAGATTGTCAAGATTCCCTAGTTTTCACTCATTCATTCATTCCTTCATTCCTTTATTCACTTCATATGTGCTATGGTTTGGATACGGTTTGTTTGGCCCCACCAAATCTCATGTTGAAATTTAATCCCCAGTGGAGGTGGGGCCTGGTGGAAGGTGTTTGGATTGTGGGGGAGGATCCCTCATGGATGGGTTGGTGCCTGTCTGGTGGGAGTGAGCGAGCTCTCACTCTTAATTCCCAAGATAATCGGTTGTTGAAAAGAGCCTGGCACCTTCTCCTCTCTGTCTGTCTGTCTCTCTTTCTCTCGCTTCTTCTCTCACCATGTCGTCTGTACATGCCAGCTTGCCTTTGCCTTCCACCATGTGTGGAAGCAGCCTGAAGCCTCACTAGAAGCAGATGCTGGCACTATGTTTTCTGTACAGCCTGCAGGACCATGAGACAAATAAACCTCTTTTCTTTATGAATTACCCAGCTTCAGGTATTTTTTTAAATAGCAACACAAATGGACTAAGACAAGTATTTACTGAATTTCTGCTACTATGTGCCAGACTCTGTTCTCTAGATAAGTAAATAAATATGATTTTCATTGCTTTTATGACAGAAATAATGTGGAAATCATGTAGGCAATTCTTCTTAGCCAATGAGAGAAAGAATAGACTCATAAGATTACAGTGGAAGTACTCCATCGGTGGTCCCGTTTCCATCAGTTTTCTAGGTTGGAGAGAGGCAGAAGACATGAATTTTCTGGAAATGTTATAGAGACAGAGGCAATAGACAGAGACAGGACAGGAAGCTTAATGAGGGTCTTAAAAAAACCAGAACAGGCCAGGTGCGGTGGCTCACGCCTGTAATCCCAGCACTTTGGGAGGCTGAGGCGGGCGGATCATGAGGTCAGGAGTTTGAGACCAGCTTGACCAACGTGGTGAAACCCTGTCTCTACTAAAAATACAAAAATTAGCCAGGCGTGGTGGTGTGTGCCTGTAATCCCAGCTACTCAGGAGGCTGAGGCAGAATTGCTTGAACCTAGGAGGTGGAGGTTGCAGTGAGCCGAGATTGCGCCACTGCACTCCAGCCTGGGCAACAGAGTGAGACTCTGTCTCAAAAAAAACACAAAAAACAAAAAACAAAACACAAAACAAAACAAAACAAAACCCAACCTAGGACAGAATGACACAGCGTGTACAAAAAGGAACTGATATGCCAACTGTTGATCCAGTCTTTCCCCTGGATCAATAATTGGTGCTTTTGTATCCCTGCCCCACCCCCTGACTGCCATCTCCTATAATCTGTGAACCTGGTCCTGTCCTGCCTCTGCTTTGATCCCTCTGTCTGCTGTAGCCTTTAGGAAAAGCCTGGACAAAATCCAGACTCCCTAGAATGGCACACAAGGTCTTTTATAATCTGACCATTCTCTACTTCTCCATTGCATCTCTTGCTCCCCCATCACGGCCTTCTTCATTCCCTCCATCTGGCACGTGTCATTTCTCCCAACATGCAATGTTTCTTGCTCCTGTGACACCCTCTGGAAGCTCCAACACCCACTCCCACCACAGCCCTGCCTTCCCAGCTGTATGTGCGTGTTTATGCATTTGTCACACTCGATGGGGAGTTCCTCACAGGTAGCTAACTCTCCTTCGGTCCCCATAGCACAGTGGTTTTCAATCTGTGCTCCCAGGAGCTGAGGGAGGGGCTTTCTCTCCCGCTATCCTCCCCCTGCCATCTCCCTCACTTCACCTCAATGGGCTCCACCTTTATCATTTGTATATTGAAATTCAGTGTAATATTTCATTTTTTAAAAAGAGTCCCCTGATTCAAAAATATAAATTTAAAAATCATTTGGCCCCTAGCAGGCACTCAATAAACATCTGTCACTTATGAGGTTGGCTTAGGTTAGTGTGGACAGAACACGGGGGCAGCCTTGGGTGGTTTGTGGAGGGCGCATCTACTGGAGGCGAGGCAGGGTTGTCCACTTTTCTTCACTGCAAGCCATGTGGAGCTTACAACGAGTGCAGAGAAATTTTACTTCTGGGGACTCTTCTTTTTTAAACGTGCTATGACTTTCTTTCTTTAATAAATATCCTTTGGCTCAAAGTTGAGGACAGAGATCAGGAGGCAACTCTTCAGCACCAATAGGGAAAGAGTAGACATAAAAATACCGTGATGGAGGAATCTCAATGTGTTCCCAGGAGTTCTGGAAGTACAAGGTAGCCCCCCTCCCTCCCTCCCCACCAAATGAGGGGATTTTGGAATCAGTTAGGTGAGCGTTAGCTCTCAGGTTGGGAGTATCTGTTCAATTCTTGGATCTGTAATTATTCCTGGGTCCAGAAGAAAAAAGATACAAAGTAGTCAAAATAAAATAGACTCTTAATGGATCCATGACTGTTAATAGCCAGGGTGACTCTGTGATTTTTCCATGCCAGAGACCTGTTCCATCAAGTCCGTGTTAAACGCAGGAAGAAAGACAGTATTAACTTCGAAACCCTGGGACACGAAACTACCTCAATTTATAAGTTGAAAAAATGTATTTATCTCTCTTTCTTATGTCAAAAAGAACTTAAGGTGGCTTACTGAGATCCAAGAGTACAGCGAGGAGGAATAAAATTAAAGTGGAAGAGAAAAGGAAAGGAAAAACAAGAATGAAGATATTAAATGAAGCTTGCAGTTAATTTTAAAAAGTGCACAGATAGGCCATAATGCTGATACTTCATTTTTCTTTCTCTGCTAGACGAGAGAAACCTGATAAATTTGCACAGGGACAGATGCTCAGGGGAAAGGAAAGAGCTCTGCCTTGCACTTGTACAGAAAGGAAACAAGGCAGCAGAGGCAAGACCAATGGAGAGTACGGCAGCAAGACAGAAAGGGGCAGAAGGCGACAGAACATGCACGCTGGGGACATGGAAATTTCTAGAAAGAAGGCGCAAGCAGGCACGATTTCGGCCAATCCTAGTTGGTCTGCTGTGGTAGTGGGATGACTTACTGGATATGAAAGATTGGAGGAAAAGACACCAAAATGGTCTTGTCTGACCTCAATACCACCCTATATTTTTATTTTACTGTATGGTTTATAGAATGTTTCACACATATTCTTATTACAGACTTGATTTTTCACATTTAAGTAGCCAACACTACAAAATATTGTCAAGCCTTTTTTTTTTTTTTTTTTTTTTTTTTTGGCTGGGCAGCTTTATTGTAGGCATGCATATTATTTGTAATAAGGTTCATGAATTATTGAAGGGTAGGGGGGTGCAGTGTGGTCTCTTAGAAAAGGCATTGTTTTGGAGTCTGAAGAACCTGGATTTAAAATTTAGCTCTTCAACTTGATAGATGAGTATGAGTGACTTTAATTTATCTAGAAAATGAAGATGTAACCCACATATCTCTTATCCAGGATATGCTTCATAAATGCTAGCTATTGCTGAAAATGGTTTATAATATCCCCATTACTTACTTTTTTTTTTTTAGACAGAGTTTCACTCTTGTTGCCCAGGTTGGAGTGCAATGGCACGATCTCGGCTCACTGCAACCTCTGCCTCCCAGGTTCAAGCGATTCTCCTGCCTTAGCCTCTTGACTAGCTGGGATTACAGGCGTGCGCTATCACACCAGCTAATTTTTTGTATTTTCTTAGTAGAGACAGGGTTTCGCCTTGTTGGTCAGGCTGGTCTTGAACACCTGACCTCAGGTGATCTGCCCACTTTGGTCTCTCAAAGTGCTGGGATTACAGGCATGAGCCACCATGCCCCGCCCCCCGTTACTTCTTTTTAGGACCCAAGGTTGGGGACCATTAGTCTATGTGCAGTCGTGCCTTGTTATCTGTGGGGGACTGGTTCCAGGAACTGTTGGTATAATGCCTACGTGACATAGCTGAATTTCTCCTTTGCTCTAACTCTGCTTATCTTTAAGAAACAGGACACCGGCGATAAAAAGTTCCCTTTGTAACCAGACCAGCTGAGACCAGTTACAAAGCCTACCCCAGGTATCCGACCAGATGACTTCAAAAAGACCTCAGGCTTCATTATAATCTAATTTCCATGCTAAATGACACTTCCACCAGTGTCATGACGGTTGCCAGTCCCCGTGACAATGACCAGAAGGAGCCATAAAAGGACAAAAACAAGGGAGCCCCTCATTCCAAGAAGTGTACCGCCCAGTTCCAGAAAAGACATGGATATTCCTCCTCTTGCTTTTAATGTCCAGCCATCATTAAGGAAACCCTATATGATAACCCCCTCACCCCTCACTAATTGAGAAGTTGATTTGTGAGCCAAGCTCCCGCTTCTCAATTCCATGGCCATCGAATAAAGCCTGCACCACTTGACACTCACTTTCGGTGTTGTGTATTGGTTTCACTGCACCAAACAGGGAAAGACCCCATTTTTGTGGGGGACCAGCTCTGTTGGTAACAGAACCCCCACCGTGAATATCAAAATCTGAGAATCTGAGGATGCTCAAGTCCCTGATATAAAGTAGTATAGCATTTACATGGAACCTATGCACACCTTCCATGCACTTTAAATTATCTTTGGATGACTTATAATACCTAGCATAATGTAAAGGCTTTGTAGAGAGTTGTTGTACTTTATTGTTTAGGCGATAATGATGAGCACAAAACGCCTGCATGTGTTCAGTACAGACACAACCAACAAGTTTTTTTTTTTTTTTAAATACTTTCAGTCTATGGTTGGTGGAATCCACAAATGGGGACCCCACCGGCATGGAGGGCTGACTGTATTTCCTCCTGTACAGACAAGCTACTTCTAGCTGGTGGAGAGGAAATTATTCACTCATAGTGATGTGGTCTAATTTAGTTCTCAAGTTTTTTGACCATGACCTACAATAGGAAATGCATTTACGTTGCTACCCTGTACACACATACTTACCTATAACTGAAAAGAAAAAGTCCTGAAACAGAGTTTTTTTCCATTCTTTTTGTTTGTTTGTTGTTTTTTTTTATTATACTTTAAGTTCTAGGGTACAAGTGCACAATGTGCAGGTTAGTTGCATATGTATACATGTGCCATGCTGGTGTGCTGCACCCATTAACTTGTCATTTACATTAGGTATTTCTCCTAATGCTACCCTTCCCCCTTCCCCCACCCCATGACAGTCCCTGGTGTGTGATGTTCCCCACCCTGTGTCCAAGTGTTCTCATTGTTCAATTCCCACCTATGAGTGAGAACATGGTGGTGTTTGGTTTTCTGTCCTTGCGATAGTTTGCCCAGAATGATGGTTTCCAGCTTCATCCATGTCCCTACAAAGGACATGAACTCATCCTTTTTTATGGCTGCATAGTATTCCATGGTGTATATGTGCCACATTTTCTTAATCCAGTCTATCATTGATGGACATTTGGGTTGGTTCCAAGTCTTTGCTATTGTGAATAGTGCTGCAATAAACGTACGTGTGCATGTGTCTTTATACCAGCATGATTTATAATCCTTTGGGTATATACCCAGTAATGAGATGTCTGGGTCAAATGGTATTTCTAGTTCTAGATCCTTGAGGAATCGCCACACTGTCTTCCACAATGGTTGAACTAGTTTATAGTCCCACGAACAGTGTAAAAGCATTTCTGGCCAGGCACGGTGGCTCACGCCTGTAATTCCAGCACTTTGGGAGGCCAAGGCGGGCAGATCACGAGGTCAGGAGATCGAGACCGTCCTGGCTAACACAGTGAAACCCTGTCTCTACTAAAAATACAAAAAATTAGCCAGATGTGGTTGCAGGTGCCTGTAGTCCCAGCTACTGAGAAGGCTGAGGCAGGAGAATGGCTTGAACCTGGGAGCCGGAGCTTGCAGTGAGCCAAGATCTGCACCACTGCGCTCCAGCCTGGGCGACAGAGTGAGACTCCATCTCAAAAAAAAAAAAAAAAAAAAAAAAAAAAAAAGCGTTGCTATTTCTCCACATCCTCTCCAGCACCTGTTGTTTCCTGACTTTTTAATGATCGCCATTCTAACAGGTGTGAGATGGTATCTCATTGTGGTTTTGATTTGCATTTCTCTGATGGCCAGTGATGATGAGCATTTTTTCATGTGTCTTTTGGCTGCATAAATGTCTTCTTTTGAGAAGTGTCTATTCATATCATTTGCCCACTTTTTGACGGGGTTGTTTGATTTTTTCTTGTAAATTTGTTTAAGTTCTTTGTAGATTCTGGCTGGATATTAGCCCTTTGTCAGATGGGTAGATTGTAAAAATTTTCTCCCATTCTGTAGGTTGCCTGTTCACTCTGATAATAGTTTCTTTTGTGGTGCAGAAGCTCTTTTTTTTTTTTTTTCCATTCTATTTAATGAAAAATGGCTGGTCAAGACTCACTAAATTAATTTCATGACCTACTAGTGGATCTCAGTCTACAGCTTGAAAAATACCTGGTCTAAGCCAGGTGCAGTGGTGTGTGCCTGTAATCCCAGCTGCTACTGGGAGGCTAAGGTGGGAGGATTGCTTGAACCCAGGAGTTTGAGGCTATAGTGCACCATAATCACTCCTGTGAGTAGCCACTGCACTCTAGCCTGGGCAACACAGTGAGAACCCATCTCTGAAAATAAATAATTAATAAATAAAAATTTTAAATAAATTAAACTGAAAACAAAAAGAAACAAAAAACCCACTGATCTAAATAGCCTTGTTCTGTAAATATGTGTGGTGTATATGGATTTAGTTCCATCACAACTTTCAGACCAAGAGTTAATGAGTTATTTCATTTTTAAAAATCAAAGTAAATTAACCCCCAAGTGCCCACTCTCTAGAGATTATTTAAAAAAATATTGGTCAGCATTGTGGTTCTTTCCTGTCACCTTCTTGGGGTCCTGCACCAGTCACAGGGTCTCATGCAACCTGGAATTTTGGGGATGGCCTTTAGTTCTTGGATCTGATTTCTTTTCTTTTTAAGAGACAGGGCCTCCCTCTGTTGCCCATGCTGGAGTGCAGTGGCATGGTCATAGCCCACTGCAGCCTTGAACTCCTGGGTTCAAACAGTCCTCCCACTTCAGCCTCCTGAGCAGCTGGGACTCCATGCCATCATGCCTGGTTAATTTTTAGATTCTGTTGTAGAGACGGGGGTCTCACTATGTTGTCCAGGCTGGTCTTGAGCTCCTGCCCTCAAGCAATCCTCCTGCCTCAGCCTCCCAAAGCTCTAGGATTATAGGTGTGTGCCTGGATGGATCTGGTTTATTGTGGGTTTTAAGAGATAGAGGACAACACTACTCCCATAACAAGCTGGCCCAGACAGGCTTGCTGAGGTGGGACCCAGACCCAGGACACAGCCCCCTAGGTGTAGCATGCAGGCCAGTCCCTGAGATACTGCCCCCACATGGGGTCTGCAGTGCAGCAGGTCCCTCCTTTCCTGGGATTCACTCCTTACTCCCTTCCAGAAATAGGAGAATTTTCTTCTAAGCTACTCTTATTTGCCAAGCAAGTGTGAGAGCATCTTCCCTATCCGGACTATGACTCACTGCTTCTTATCTCTGTCCTGCAGCCCTGGAAGCCCCAGGTCTCCTGGGATCCAATCCTTATATGCCTTGAATGCCCATAGCCAGGGAATAGATGGTTCATGGGCCCATTGTTCCACCTGAATGTGCCATGGAAAGCACAGTCAGCACCCCTGGCTGCTCTCCATAACCAGAGTGGAGAAAAAGGGATCACTGGCGGGCATGGTGGCTCATGCCTGTAATCCCAGCACTTTGGGAGGCTGAGGCAGGCGGATCACTTGAGGTCAGGAGTTCGAGACAAGCCTGGACAACATGGTGAAACCCTGTCTCTATTAAGAAAAATTACAAAAATTAGCCAGGCATGGTGGTGCGTGCCTGTAATCCCAGCTACTCTAGAGACTGAGGCAGGAGAATTGCTTGAATCCAGGAGGTGGAAATTGCAGTGAGCCAAGATGGTGCCACTGCACTCCAGCCTGGGTGACAGAGTGAGACTCTGTCTCAAAAAAAAGAGATCACTGAATGGAGTCACATTCGACCTCACTGCAGAGAACATGCAAATTTTCCTCCATCCATGTGGAATTAACTATGTTTAGTTTTGATCTCATGTGCTTGACAAAAAGCAAAAAGCAATGCTGCTTTCTAAGGCGTGAGCTTAAGGAGTAAATAGATGTAGTGATTTTTCCCCCATCTCTGTATTTATATTTTTAAGGGAGTTGAGAATGAAAAAATTTTCCTTCAACCCTTTCCTCTGTTCTCCAGATCTCTCTTGCCCACTGCTTATACCTAAGAGGCCCATTCTGGAGGTGTGCACGGGAGCATGATGGCAGTACCACCTTCCCCAGAATCCACAAGGGGTTTTGGGATGCATAGACCAATATACAAAATATGTACTCATGTGAGAATTGGGAGCTTACTGATTGGCCACCAGGTTGCCCTAGGCCTAAGCTACAGATAACGTAAAATCAAGATAGACTTGGATGGTGAAAATGGTGACAATGAAGTGTTTAGCTTTCTATGCCTTCTGTACTTTATATTTATAGTTTATAAAGTGGGAATTTCTTGCCCTAATTCTTCTTTTTTTCTTTCTTTCTCTCTGTTTTTTTTTTTTTTTTTTTTTTTTTTTTGAGAAAGAATCTTGCTCTGTTGCCCAGGCTGGAGTGCAGTGGCGTAAGCTTGGCTCACTGCAACCTCTGCCTCTTGGGTTCAAGTGATTCTCCTGCCTCAGCCTCCAGAGTAGTTGGAATTACAGGCATGTGCCACCATGCCTGTCTAATTTTTGTAGTTTTAATAGAGATGGTGGTCTCACCATGTTGGCCAGGCTGGTCTTGAACTCCTGACCTCAAGTGATCCACCCGCCTTGGCCCAGAGTGCTGGGATTATAGGCATGAGCTTCTCTTTTCTTTATATGAATTCTATTATTGCAATCATTTATGCCTTTATCTAAATTAATATACCGGGAAAATTCTACTAAAGTTATGTTCTTTTATGCTTTTATAATGATGCCTTGTGTATATCTTTATTGATGTAATTATAATACAATTGTGTTAAATCTATCAATCAATGAGCGGGTATGTGCCAACTTAATTTCATAATCAAATTGCTTAAAACCAATAATAATAACAATAAATCTTATAAGCAGAGAGAGGTAAAAGGCATATTACATACATAATAATAAAGACAATAATGACAGGCAACTAGTTTTTCATCCGTAAAAACTACAAGCCAGAGTTGGAGCACCATCTAACGGATTTTGTAAATGGAATTTGAGAGTCTCTGTATTTTAGTAGACAAATATAATCCATTTACATTTATATTGCTTACTGATATGTTGAGTTTTTTTGCTATCATTTATTCTGGGTTTCTCATTTACCATGTTTCCCCACAACCCCTCCCTGACTTTCATTGACTTGATTGGGTTTTTCATTATTTTCCTTTACCTACCTGTATTAGTCTGTTCTCACACTGCTAATAAAGACATACCTGAGTCTGGGTTATTTATAAAGGAAAGAGGTTTAATGGACTCACAGTTCCACATGGCTTCTGGAGGACCTCACAATCATGGCAGAAGACCAAGGTAGAGCAAAGGGATGTTTTACACGGTGGCAGGCAAAGAGAGCTTGTGCAGGGGAACTCCCCTTTATAAAACCATCAGATCTCCTGAGACTTATTCACTACCATGAGAACAGCATGGGAAAGACCCGCCCCCATGATCCAGTTACCTCCCACTTGGTCCTTCCCATGACACAGGAATTATGGCAACTACAATTCACGATGAGATTTGGTTGAGGACACAGCCAAACCATATCACTGCCCACATTATCAAATTAACAAATTATCTATTTGATGTTCTCAATTTTTAACACAGATATTTACTTAGATTTTAAGGTCACTTAATATTTCCGTTCTTCACCTTAACAATAGAAAGACCTTAGAATTCTTCAAAATCGACCTTCTATCTCCTGTGTTATCATTTTCTGGTACTTTAATTCTTGTTTTTACCCCTGACCGTCACCTCATTTTTCAGTACTATTATTATTTATAGCAAACACTCATTTAGATTTACCAGTGTATTTACCACATGCTTCTTGTATACCACTCAAATTAATTCTTCCTATAGTATATTTTAAATCAGTTGTTTCAGGTAAGTCGGAATAGTAAACTTGCTTGTCTGAAAACACTTTTATTTTGCTTTCACTCTTGAATGACAGTGTAATTGGGTCTAGAATTCTAGAGAGACAGTTATTGTTTTTCTCAGAACTTTGAAATATTATTTCACTGTTGTTTGATTTCTGTTGTTGAAAAGTCTTCTCTAGTATAATTGCCATTCTTTGAAAAATAACCTGGTAGTTTTTAAGGCTTTTTTTTGTTTGTTTTTGTTGATTTGCTCTTTCATTACAATGTGTTTAGATGTGATTTTGTTTTTATTTTTCTTGCTCAGGTCCTGATAGGTTTCTTTAATCTGAAGACAATTTCCTTCTCCCATTCAGGAAAATTTTCAGGCTTTACATTTATCTCCCTCGCGCTCTCTTTTTTTTCCCTCAACCTCCTGGGCTCAAGTGATCCTCCTACCTCAGCCACTCTAGTAGCTGGTTCTACAAGCACGTGTCACCATGCCTGGCTAATTTAAAAAAAAATTTTAGTAAAGGTAAAGTCTTGCTGTGTTGTCCAGACTGTTCTCAAACTCCCAGTCTCAAACAGTCCTCCTGCCTTGGCCTTCAAAGTGTGGGATTATAGGCATGAGATGCCGCACCCAGCCAAGCCTGTACATATAAAACCCTTCCTTGCCCCTTCTAGGTTCTTCTGGTGTTTCCTTTTGTAATTGTTAATATCCATATTTTGGTATTTCTCATTCTATCTTTCATGTATCTTTGCCTTTCTTTGGTATTTTCATCTAGATGCTACAGACTCTTTTTTAGATTTGTATTTCAATTCACTAAGTTTCTATTCAGCTGGGTCTAGTATACTGTTTTCCCATTCATTGCATTTTTAATTTCAGTAACTGTATTTTTTATTTTCACAATTTATATTCAATTTTCTTTAAAAAACATATTCCTTTCTCATATTACTCTGTACTTATAATTTCTATACCTTCTTTCATGTCTAAATATTTTAAAGAAACATTTTATAATATGTTTTAGCTTATTCTATTACCTGTAGTTTTGGGGAGTGCAAATTTCCCTGTTCATTATTCCTTGTGACTTTCCCTTTCTTCGTGAAGTCTAGAAATTTTTCTTGTGAATTTACCTTCAGTGAGGGTACCTAGGCTGCCATGTATTCTAGGATGTCTTAGTTTGCTAGGGCTGTTATAACAAAATACCATGGAATGGTGGCTTAAGCAAAAGACATTTCTTTTCCTTTTTTTGGAAGAGTCTCACTTTGTCACCCAGGCTGAGTGCAGTGGCGTGATCATAGCTCACTGCAACCTCGAACTCCAGGGCTCAAGTGATTTTCCCACCTCAGCCTACCCAGTAGCTGAAACTACAGGCACACACCACCCCACCTAGCTAATTATTTGTATTTTTAGTAGAGACGGGGTTTCGCCATGTTGTCCAGGCTGGTCTGGAACTCCTGAGCTCAAGTGATCTGCCTGCCTTGTCCTCCCAAAGTGCTGGGATTACAGGTGTAATTATAATTAATAAAAGACGTTTATTTTCTCACAGTTATGGAGGATTGGAAGCCCAAGATCAAGGTGCTTGGTTGCTTTCTCCTGAGGCCTCTGTCCTTGGCTTGCAGAGGGCTGCCTTTTTGCTACGTGTTTACATGGCTTTTCTTCTGTGTGCGTACATCCCTGGTATTTCTTCCCTTATAAGGACACCAGTCATTATGATCTCATTTAACCTGAATTTCCTTCATAAAAGCCCTGCCTCTAAATACAGTCATCTTGGGGGTTAAGGCTTCAACATATGAAGTTTGAGGGGACACAAATCAGTTCATAACAGGGGTAAAGAAATATCTCTATAGGACAGTTTTGCATGTGCCTCTGCTGTGTTTCTAGTGGTTTCACCCATTCCAGAAGAATTTTATATTAATTTCTGATCTTGGGGGTTTTCTCACCATACCCAACTTATAAATTCAGATCTCACACCTCCATTTTGATTTATGGCGGGTGGCTCTTTTTTCCAGGGACCAGAGTAGACAGCAATCTTCTCGTTCTTCCTCAGGCAAGTGGGAAGAGTTTTTCAACTCATAGGTTCATGAAAGGAATGGAATCTGAGACTCAACGTTATGCAAGAGCCTCCCTTCCCATGGCCCTGAGCCTAACTCTCCTGTCTCAGTCCACGTGTTAAAACTCCAACTCCCAGCCAGTAAGACCTTCATCTGGGGATGGTCCCCTGTGGGCCATGCTGCTGCAGCTCTTAATTGCCTCTCTGGCTTTGCTCTCTTTTTTATTTTGGATCCGTTTCCTAAAACTTGTAAGCTGGGCTCTGCATTTCAATCTATTTTTAGGGGGTTCTATTTTATCTTGAATGTTTATGTGTTTAGAGAAAGATGGTGTGAGAGGGCAGTAAATCTCTTTCATGTCTATATAATTCACTATATTAACCAAAATTCATGCTGGAAAGCTTGTCTGTCTTCAGTGGTCCCAGGCAGCGGCGGACAGCAGTCTTTCAGTGTCAAAGCTCATGTCCTCTATGGGACATCCCACTATTTTCCTGCTTCCTGAGAGACATCTTTAAATCTTAGTTTATACAGCAGAAATTATTGCTGGATGCACAATTAGGTTCTTCATGGCTATAATGTTACTTTCTATCCCCTAGTCCTCCTTGGAGGATTTATCAGGTTCTTTTCTGCTCTTGCCTTCCCTGGATAAATGTTTTTTTTTTTTTTTTACATCAATTATCTTAAAACGACAAACTCAACAAAAATAACTGGCACCAGGGGAAAAAATTTTGTTTTCTCTATGGCCATTAAAATGTGGCTGGTCATGTTCCTGGGGAAAAAAAGCGTGAAAAAGACACCAAAACCTGGGCGTCCTGCCTGAGATGTTTTTGTAGGTCAGAGTCCTGAAATCTTTAGGTTAAGCATAGCTCCAGTGGGCACGGCAACAGTCACTGCTAGCAAGACTCCTCAAGCTCACATTTCCTTTCTTTTCCACTAGATTCTCAGGGAGGCCTCCCGGGAGCTCTATGCTGACAGCACCAATGAGCTGATCGTGATGGAAAAGCAGCCCCCGATGGGGTTCGCATAATAGAGACTTCACAATGCATAAAGCAATAACAATAATTACAAAATGGGGGAAAATGCAAAGAGCTAATGGATTTTTGAGCTCTATTTTTTTTTTTTTCCTTGAGACGGAGTTTCGCTCTTGTTGCCCAGGCTGGAGTGCAATGGCGCGATCTTGGCTCACGGCAACCTCCGCCCCCCGGGTTCAAGCGATTCTCCTGCCTCAGCCTCCCGAGTAGCTGGGACTTATAGGCATGCACCACCATGCCCGGCTAATTTTATATTTTTAGTAGAGATGAGGTTTCGCCATGTTGGCCAGGCTACTCTCAAACTCCTGACCTCAAGTGATCCACCTGCCTCGGCTTCCCAAAGTGCTGGGACTACAGGCATGAGTCACCGCATCTGGCCTCTCTATTTTCAACAATACAGGTAGAATTATGTTTTTAGAAATTTGATTCTGTGCAATTTAAAGGTCTCCTGCTGATTTCAACATTTGGGGTTTCCTGTAGTTGTTCTGTCTAATCAATTCCTTCTGAAGAAAAAAAATAAAAGATGACATTTCCCCCTCTGCAAATTACTTAACCTGGAAAGGTTTCCCTTAGAAGCTAAGAAATGTTCTATTACTTAATTACTTACCATGACAAACATCCTTTCCTTCAAATGGAAATCTATTGGACAATAACTGCTTTAAAGGCATCCTAATCGTAGCTAAAAGTGACAAAAATGCTGCAGATGAACTTAAATATGAACATAGACTGTGCTTTTATGACATTCTGGATGCTTAAGTTTTATTCTTAGGTCAGCTGTTTGCACAAAAGAACTGGAGAGAGTGAGTGTTCCCCATTGTCCTGAATCTCTAAATTGACCTGTGCTGTTCCACCACCCTGCCACAGAATGACGATAAGATTAATGAGTGCTTTTGATGACAAGGATAGATGGCAAAAGTCCTAGCTCTATCTCAGATCTCCTGTGTTACCTTACTTACCCTCTCCAAGTTTATTTGCTTGTCTGTAAAGAGTCTGACAAAAAAATATGAGGCAACCACATTCCAATCCAAAGCGCTAATGGTAGAAAAAAAAAAATCAGCACCAAACAAGATTAAAGAGGCAGAATTCACTGGGGGCTGAAAGCACCCAACGTCAACAGAGGCAGAGGAGCCATCCCAGTGGATTAGTGGCTGTGAGGTTTAGGGGGCTAGTCACTAATCCGGGATTCTAGAAACTAGGGCTGCAACTAAAAGATAATACATGTTTTGCTCTATACTAGTTAAAATGCTTTTAAGCAGCACAAATATAGAGGCATCTGCAAAATGAGGGCATCCAACCATCTGTTACCATTCCTGATCACCTGAACACAACCTTCCTCTCAGCTCCCTTGAAGCTAGGCAGTCCTGCAGGCTGCAAAAAGAGGAAAGGCTGGGGGAAAGAAGAGATCAAAGAAGAGATGGTTTCTAGAGTGGTCTGGATACATTTGTGCACATACAATAAATATTTTTGGTAACTTCTGTATGAGACAAATTAATACTGTGCTTCATTTTCCTGGAAGAAGGAGGACAAATATGGTATTGGTCTGGATATACTTTATCTACCTTTACCCAAATGTCACTTACTCCTTTATTGATCTACTCATCTATCCATTCAATCAATATTTATTGAACACATTATATGCCATGTTCCATTCTAGGTGCTGGGGAGGCAGATACAGATGTAAAAGATACTCAAATAAAATGCTGTGAAGAAAAAAAAACAAGATAAAGGGGATAGTAAGTGACAGGGGAGATATCGCAGGGTAAGGAAGTGATTTTATTTGAAGAAATGTAATATAGATAATGGATTTGCATAGTAGCTGATAGGGAAAGACTTTGTGTTTTTAAATAACACTCAACTTTTTGTGTTTTTATTCCAATAATCATTCTATAAAAGAACCAGTTTCCCCTATGAAAAAACATAATAAATTATTTTTAAGAGTAATACATTTATGTGTAGAGGTATATAGATATTATATCAATTACAAGTTGAGGAATTAATTTCCAGGATGTCACAGGTTAAGTATTCTAGAAAAAGATGCTAGGTTGAAATTTGATGGGCACCGTGTTTGTTAGAGATCGACACCTATGGAAAGGAGACGAAGGAAGCAGGGTTTCTTTAGGGGAGTGGTCGAACTACAATGCAGCTCAGCAATGCTACCCTGTGGAGAGCTCGGGAGTGTCAATGGCTTGCCAGAGCAGGACCATGGTGGGCTGAAATGGCTGGACCTTTATACCCTACAACAATTGATCAATGGATATGGGTCACAGGAAGAGCATACTCTTGGGCAAGGCAGCTCTCTGCAACTGAGGCAAGAGACAGCTGCCACAAATCTTCCTTGAAAGGGTTGCAGGCAGTACATCTTCATGTCCCCCACATAAGGATATCTATGTGGCAAGCTAGGAGAAATACTTGCAACATAGTAACAGGTAGATATAAGATGTTAAAAGCCAAATAGACCTTAGGAATCAAGGAATGAAAAAAATTAACACTACAATTTAATATATATATATACACACACACACAGCATTTGATTGAGAGTCACAAAACAGATAATAAATATATGAAAAACGTTCAACCTCATTGAACTTTAAAACTATATAAATCAGAGTAATAAGATACCATTTTCTATCAGAAAGAATAAAGAATATCAGAAAGAATAAATTAAAAATGTAGCACTTAACAAGAGGAAGGACTGAGAACATGAGCACTCTTATGCAACTCTTCGTGGGAGTGTAAATTGGCATAACATTTCAGGAAGGCAATTTTGCAATCTGTATGAAAAGTCTTAAACTACACATGCCTGATAAGCCAGCTGTATTAGTTATCTATTACTGTGTAACAAATTAACCAAAGCTTAATTGCTTAAAACATAAGCATGTATTATTTCACAGTTTCTGTGGAATTTGAGAATAGCTTAGCTGGGTTGTCCTAGCTGAGGGTTTCTCATGAGGTTGCAGTTGAGCAGTCAGCTGGGGCTGCAGTCATCTGAAGGCTTGACAGGGGCAGGAGATCTACTTCATGATGGTGCACTCATGGCTATTAGCAAAGGGCCTCAGTTCCTCAGTTCCTCGATGGCTATTGGTGGGAGGATGCTGTTTTGGGCCCCTCCATAGGGCCACTTGAGTGTCATTGAGACATGGCAGCTGACTTCCTTTAGACAAGTGATCAAAGAGCAAACTGGAAGTCACAATGTCTTTTATGACCTACCCTCAGAAGTCATGTTCTGTCAGGCTGGGCCTGGTGGCTCATATCTGTAATCCCAGGACTTTGGGAGGCTGGAGTGGCAGGATCACTTGAGTCCAGGAGTCAAGACCATCCTGGTCAACACTGTGAAACTCCTGTTTCTACAGAAAATACAAAAATTGTCTGGATATGGTGGTGTGTGCCTGTAATCCCAGCTGCTTGGGAGGCTGAGGTGAGAGGATCGCTTGAGCCCAGGAGGTTGAAGCCGAGTGAGCTGTGCTTGCACCATGGCACTCCAGTCTGGGCCACAGAGTGAGACCCTGTCTCAAAAAAAGAAAGAAAGAAAGAAAGAAAGAAAGAAAGAAAGAAAGAAGTCATGCTCTATCATTTATGCCACATTCTATTCCTTAGTAATGAGTCACCGGGTGACTCACTCAAGCGGAGGGGAATTAGCTCCACAGAAGGGAGGGGTGTCAAAGAATTATTGAAAACCCCTCTGTTTGCCCACTGACCCAAAATTATTTATATTCCCTTCCACATACAAAAATACACTCACCCTATCCTAAGACTTCTCAAAATCTCATTTCTAAACAGCATGCAGTCAAAATAGGACATTGATATCTTAATTCATTCCAGGTGCAGATGAGGCTCCTCAGTGATGGTGAAGGAAATACAGCTTCTCCAGCATAGTTGTTCTTGGTCTGAGGACATGTGATGTACCGAGCCAAGCTCTATTTCTGGTAATTTATTCTGTCAAAGCATAATTTTCAAAAAGTTAAAAACATGACTCTCATACAAATATACAATTAGCACATGTCAAATATTTGTTCATTAATGAGAGATTCAGTAAGGTGGTAAAACTGGTTGGGAAAGCATTTTGAGGAACTGGGCATTTATAGGAATTTTTTTTTTTTTAACTGAGACGGGGTTTCATCATGTTGCCCAGGTTGGTCTTGAACTCCTGAGCTCAAGTGATCCACCTGCTTCGGCCTCCCAAAATGCTGGGTTATAGTAATATTTTTAAAAGAATGTTCAAATAGGCCAGGTGTGGTGGCTCACGCCTGTAATGCCCGCACTTTGGGAGGCCAAAGAAGGTGGATCACTTGAGCTCAGGAGTTCGAGACTAGCTTGGGCAACATGGCGAGACCCTGTCTCTATTTATAAAATTATTTCTTTAAAGAAATAAAGAAAAATTTTTTAAAAAAGGATGTTTAAATAACATTGCTAGGTTATATACACAATTGCATCATATGGTGCAGGACAATGGGACCATAACCTTTGTAATAAGATCTTCTACTGGATGGAAATATGTAAGTCCACAGAGAACTCCATAGTGTCTGAGTTATATTCAAATAGTAAATACTAAAGGCAAACACAGGGACGCTCTGTTAGAGAATTAAATAATCTTCAGTGGGCTTTTTAGACAATGCTCCAGCATGTTGTTGAAAGGACATGCACACTCCCTATTAATTTCCTTATAATAAAACAATTTTAGGGAAATTATTTTGCTGACACACATTAATTCAGTGTTTAAGGATGTTCATCGTAGTGCTCTTTGCAAAGCATAGTCTGGAAACTGGCACCTAGGAAAAGGAGACTTTTTCTAGTGTGCTAGCTCGAGTCCTTACCATCTTTACTCCCTGGAACCCTTTCATCTAACCATCTAGTCTCACCAAGCTATTTTCTTATTTTTGCTTCTATCATTTCTATGAAAAGGAAGTGGATATGGGCTGAATGGTGAGCACTTTTGTTCTTTAGATTTTCTTTCGAAGGTCTTCTTTCAACCCTGAAGAAGCGTGGATACTTTTGGATATTATCCCATCCATACCTGAGAGAGTTGCTCTCACCGTTTTTTAGAGAAAGAAAGGCTAAGATGTATTTATTCTGTAAAGATGTATTTATTCTGTAACTATGTGTTAACTCAACTTGACGTTGGTCACCTTATAAGTGTTGGAGATACAAAGATGACTAAGAAGGTCTCAAGTCCAATACCAGGAAGACTAATGATAGCAACACACACAATGACTCACATTCTTGCCACCAAAGTGTGGTTCCTGGACCAGCAGCATGGATGTCACCTGGGACATGGGAGCTTGCTAGACATGCAGAATTACTGGACTTGTTCCAAATATACTGAATCAGAATCTTCATTTTTAATAAGATCCCAGGTGATTTGTATACACATTTGCTATAGTTTGGATCTGTGTCCCACCCAAATCTCATGTCAAAATGTAATCCCCAATCTTGGAGGTGGGGCCTGGTGGGAAGTGATTGGATCTTAGGGGTGGATATCTCTGTTTAGTGCTGTTTCTGTTCTCATAATAATGAGTGAGTTCTCACAAGATCTGGTTGTTTAAAAGCGTGTGGCACCTCCCCACTCTCTCTCTTCCTCCTGTTCCAGCCACGTAAAACATGCCTGCTTCCCTTTCACCTTCTGCCATAATTGTAGGTTTCCTGAGGTCTCGCCTGATGCTGAGCAGATGCTGCCATGCTTCCTGTACAGCCTGCAGAACTTTCAGCCAATTAAACCTCTTTTCTTTATAAATTACCCAGTCTTAGGTATGTCATTACAGCAGCGTGAGAATGGACTAATACAACATTCAAATTTGAAAAGCCCTGTTAGTCCATTCTGAACCTACTTGTGTTTTCTACTTATCACCTCTTATTTAAAGTGCAGACATGAATCCACTTGTTTTTCAATAGCTGGCTTGCAGAGCCCCCACCACCACTGGTCTACAATTTTAAAGCTTATATTTTGACATGGTAGTACTAGAATGTCTTACCAGCATATGAAAATAAGAACTTTCCCTCTCCTTTCCCAAGTTAGTTTCTTGGACCTATAGAATACACAGAGAGACTGGGAAGAGAGCAGTAACCAAAATGTAGTAACAGTTATTCTCTTAAGCTTAATTTCCTACAAAGTCTTTTATTAAAGGGTGGTTAATTTAAAAAAAATACATTTATTTTTAATAGACTTTATTTTATAGAGAAGTTTTAGGTTCGCAGCAAAATTGAGAGGATGGTACAGAGATTTCCCATACACTGCTACCCCACACACCCACAGCCTCCCCACTTGTCAACATACCCTACTAGAATGGTACATTTGCTACAATTGATGAAACTATATCGAGATATCATTACTCAAAGTTGATACTTTACACTACGCTTCACTCTTGGTGTTAAACATTCTATGGGTTTGGACAATTATATAATGACACGTATCCACCATTACAGTCTCATAGGGAATATTTTCACTGTCCTAAACATCCTCTGTGCCCCACCTGTTCATCCTTCCCTCCCTGCTAACCCCTGGCAACCTCTGATTCTTTTTCTGTCTCCACAGTTTTGCCTTTTCCAGAATATCATATAGTTGGAACCATAGCGTATGTAGATGTTCAGATTGTCTTCCTTCACATACTAATATGCATTTAAAGTTCCTCCATATCTTTTCATGGCTTGATAGCTCATTTCTTTTTAGCAATAAATAATATTCCATTGTCTAGATGTAACACAGTTTATCCATTCACCTAAGGACATGCTGTTTGCATCCAGGTTTTGGCAATTATGAGTAAAGCTGCTATAAATGTCTGCATGCAGGTTTTTGTGTGGTTATGTTGTCAACTCCTTTGGGTAAACACCAAGGAGTGCAATTGCTGGATTTTATGGTGAGGGTATGTTTAAGTTTTTTTTTTTCTTTGTTTGTTTTTGATATGGAGTCTCACTCTGTTGCCCAGGCTGGAGTGCAGTGGCATGATCTCGTCTCACTGCAACCTCCGCCTCCCGAGTTCAAGTGATTCTCCTGCCTCAGCCTCCGAAGTAGCTGGGACTACAGGCACGTGCCACCATGCCAGCTGATTTTTGTATTTTTAGTAGAATAAAAAATTTTAAATGGGTTTCACCATGTTGCCCAGGCTGGTCTTGAACTCCTGACTTCAGGTGATCCACCCGTCTCGGCCTCCCAAAGTGCTGGGATTAAAGGCATGAGCCACTGCACCCAGCTGAGTATGTTTAGATTTGTAAGAAACTGCCAAACTCTCTTCTAAAGTGGCGGTACCATTTTGTATTCCCCACCAGCCATGGATGAGAATTCCTGTTGCTCCACATCCTCACCAGCATTTGGTGTTGTCAGCGTTTTGGATTTTAGCCTTTCTAATAGGTGTGCAGTGGATTAATTCTTTTTTATTAAGTCTTTTTTCTTTTCTTTTTTTAGAGACAGGTCTCTCTGTGTTGCCCAGGTTGGCCTCAAACTCCTGAGCTCAAGCTGTTCTCCTGCCTTGGCCTCCCAAAGTGCTGGGATTACAAGTATAAGCCAATGTACCCGGCCTAATTAAATTTTTATGAAGCTCTCTGCTCACATATTTGAAAGAGGTGCTAATTGGAGTCTTTGAATAATGAAGAACTGAAAAAATTAAACTGTTTTAATAGTAACCGATTTCTGAGTACTACCAGCAGGTCTACCCTGGCCAAAATTAGGAAAAGATTCATTTTCCTATGTGGTTCAAAACTGCTTTTTTATTATTTTGGTGAAGTAACAGTTAAAAAAGCAAAATATTAAACCAGATGATAAGAAAATACAATTTCTGGCTGGGTGTGGTGGCTCACCCCTGTAATCCCAGCACTTTGGGAGACTGAGGTGGGTGGATCACCTGAGGTCAGGAGTTCGTGACCAGCCTGGCCAACATGGCAAAACCCCATCTCTACTAAAAATACAAAAATTAACGGGGCATGGTGGCACATGCCTGTAATCCCAGCTACTTGGGAGGCTGAGGCAGGAGAATCACTTGAACCCAGGAGGCTGAGGTTGCAGTGAGCATAGATTGTGCCTGCACTCCAGCCTGGGTGACAGAGCAAGACTCTGTCTTAAAAAAAAGAAATACAATTTCTTAATTTCGACATCAATAAACAAGTATTTGTGTGCCGAGAGTGGTATTTTAAGTTAAGGTACTAAAATGAGTCTAAAGCTGCTTACCAAACGACCAATTAACAGACAGAAGTTGCTTTTGGAACAGATTAGCTAAATGAGTTTTAAATCTAATTTGAATCTTCATATTTAGTTTCATAAAGATAGCTTAAATTTGGTAGAATTATTGGGGTATGGGTATGTATCTGAAACATAAAAAACAGAAGGCACAGTTCCAGGGTGGTTGTTGAATTCTAGGCAACGTGAGTCTTCCTGAAGCAGGGTGGGGTGGAAGCAGACACAGGAGAAGACTTCTCAGAGGCGACAAAACTGACTGGGTCTTGAAGGATGAAGAGGATCCTGTTTTCTTTCTAATCCATCACAGAGAGTAGGAGGTACAATCTGGGATTTGGGATTTTTGGTCTCTTACTGACCTCCACATTGAACATGAAAATGTTGCTTGTAGAACTTTAAAAGCATCTCTGGTATGTCTCTAAAAAACACAAAACTGCTTTAGGATTTTTTTTTTCCCTAAATAGGGCAGATCTGCAAAGATGGAAAGAAGAGGAAATACTAAAAATAACTTTCCCCAATTAGTGAGAGCCGAACACATATGGTAAGATGGGAATAGTTTTAGATGGCCCAAAGTAACACGGTGATGCAAAATGAACTCCCCAGGCAGAGGGAATAATTAGAAACAGCCACAAAAATTTACTCAAGATGTGATGAGAACAACAGCTGAATATGATATTCAGGGGATGTGGAGACCCTGAAGAGGTGAGTATGGTCTTGCAGCTTTTTGGAACCTGGAGAAATTGAGGAACTGGCTCTGAAAACATTCCTGCCTATTCTTTCCCATGAAGGTTCCTTCTTGGGAAGTCAGACATTCTGGATCTTTTACTAGAAATTCTAAGGGGTATGAGATCAGAGTCGCACATTTCATGAAACCCACAGGCAAGTGGCTGGGCCGCTCCTTCTCTGCTGGCAGGGATTTTGTGTTTCCTCCGGCATGCGGGAAGAGCCACCTGTGGCCTGTGGCCTGTGGCCTGATGCGACGGTACAGGACTGCCGAGATCGGGCTGCGAGCCTCAGCACTCTGGGCTCTGGCCCAGCTGGCCAGCTGGCCACCCTGCCCCGGACACGTGGGCTGCCGCTCAGCCAGCAGGACAGGTGCTTGCTGCCAGGGCCACCTCCCCCGGCAGGGAGGGTCACCAGTGACGATGACAGGCCTGATCTGACCTAAGGGCGGCTCCTCCATGCTGTGCCACGTTCCCTTTTGTCACTGACTGGCTTGCATGTCCTTTGGTGACCTCGGATATTCATGTTTCTCTCTCCTCTTTCCTATACCCCTTGCAGACATTCAGCCGGTGTGCGCCCCATGAGAGCAGCGGTGGGGAAGACCCTGTGCTGCTCCGTCCGGGTCAGTAGCTGGTGCCCTGAGCTCCCGAGGGCTCCAAGCTGCTGGGCACCTCTCCAGGTGTCTGACCATCTGCCTGACCGGCCTGTGTCCCACGCCCACGGTCATTCTTATTGTGAATTTTTCTGTCTACACCTGTTATTTCTTTCCTTTCTTTACACCCACCAATCTTTATTTTCCTATCTAATCACCCCAAACTCTGCTTTCGGGCATCCCATTTATCCCACGCTTTCCTCACACAACCTCTGGGCCAGGACTCCTTTCTCTCAGAGTCCTGGGCCTCGCTCTTCACTTTTCCCACACTGACGCGATGGTCTTGCTTTCCTCTGCACGTCCTGGCAGCGACCTGCGAGTGCTCAGTCCCCTGCTGAGGAACCTCATGCAGGATGGTGCTCATAGCTGAAGGTGGAGAACCCAGGGCAGCCTGTCACTTACAACACAGCCAGACTCCCAAGAGTCAGCAAACCTGGCCTGGTGCGGTGACTCATGCCTGTAATCCCAGCCCTTTGGGAAGCCAAGGTGGGCGGATCACCTGAGGTCGGGAGTTCGAGACCAGTCTGGTAAACATGGTGAAACTCTGTCTGTACTAAAAAAAAAATACAAAAATTAGCAGGGCATGGTGGTGGAGGACTGTAATCCCAGCACTTTTACAGTACTGGGCGTGGGTGGTGGACGCCTGTAATCCTCAGCCTCCTAGCACCTGTAATCCTGGGAGGCTGAGGCAGGAGAATCACTTGAACCTAGGAGGTGGAGGGTGCAGTGAGCTGAGATTGCACCACTGTACTCCAGCATGGACGACAGAGCCAGACTACGTCTCAAAAAAAAAAAAAAAAAAAAGAGGAAGAGTCAGCAAACCAGGGACATTTTTTTCCTTGATGCCTCTACTCAGCCTGCTCCAGGATGGAGCCAACAGAACTCTTTGCTCCCTGCCTGCTGATCACTTTCCCCAAAATATGTGAACCAAGACACTGTTCCCAGGTGGTCCTGCCACCAGTCTGGCTGCAGCTCTCTCTTCCCCTCTTCCTCTCTCAGTGGTCAATCCCATTTCTGCCTTTGTTATATACAGCACCATTAGTTGACAGTCCTCCTCCTATAAGAGCAGATTTGAATGCAAATAACTACAATTCCCTGGGCTATTCTCTGACACTGGGGATCCTTAGATATACCTTGGGAGACACCAACTCAGAACGACTGAAATAGAACAAAAAATTGAAGCAGTTGCAATTTCACAACCTGGATGAGTGAATTGAGTAACCACCTCAAGCGAGAATCTGTGTGTGCACACACAACACAGCAGAGGACGATGCCCCTCGTAGAGTTGCAGTCTGTGGTTTAGAGAAACAGAAAATATAATCTGAAGGAAGGAGTCGAAAATGGCATTAGGAGACAGAAACAAAGAGGAGGGAGATGACACTTTGGCTGGGGAAATCAAGGGATGCTGGATGAAAGGAGGGTCATAGGCCTGGGGAAGAGGCCAATTGGGTTCAAATCCCAGCTTTGCCATGGACCAGCTCCAGGACCTCACTGTGCCTCGGTGCCCTTAACCACGTAGTGGAGGTAATCATACCTACCTCAGAAGATTGCTGTGAGAATTACATGAGAAAACACTCATAAAGCCCCCAGCACACGGCAAGTGTGGATTAAATGGAAGCTGTTGCTTCGCAAGTTTCATGGAGACCACATTTGATCTGGATATGGACATGTGCACAGGGAGGGTCCATGGCAGTATCAGGGACTCCCACAGGAAAGGGCTCTCAAAGGAGTAACAATCCCCTTCTTTTGTGCTGAGGAGGCTTAACGGTGCCAATCCTTAGTGGTACCAATTTTCAAAAACTTCTCTTTAAATGTAATAGGCCTTGGAATCAACTGCTAAAGAAAGCCACTAATTAAAAAAAAGGTAGGGCACACAGGCTTCCATTGTGGGAAGGACTATCCAAGTCTCATGGTCTAAAGGTACCCACCTGTAAGTGGGCAAACTACATTCAGGGGAAGTCTGGACAGACTTGCTCGGAGAGGGCATTTCTCCCCAAGGTGGCTAGGTGGCGATAGAAGCACGCTAAAGCAGCGACGATGTACCAATCCTGAGTCGGCCCTGCAGCTCTCAGGCTCCTGGTAGCAGGCATCCCCCACCCCACACACAGCCCACCAGCACCCCACATATCCCCACCGCCTTCCTCTCCTCTCATCCTGCCTTTCTGTCTTCAAATATTTCCTGAAAGACTAATATATCTCAGGCAAATACATGCACTAAGATGCAGAAATGTATGAAAAATTCTATAGAAATACCAAGCTTTACATTTAATATGAATGTTACGTTGTCACGTTTGAGAAATGCATATCTGTTAAGAAGTCTCATTAACACCCTAAAAGATCCCCTTAAAGCTTTTACCTACCAAACGCTGTTCAAAGTTGTTGGGACTATACTTGGTTTAAGAAAACACAACAAAACGTTTAACAGTAAGTATGGAAAGAGGACAGCTTTGCCAAAACACAGTCTTGAGTTCAACTCCTAGCTGCAATACCAACAGCAGTATGACCTCAGACAAGCTATCTGATCTCTCTGAGCCTCAGATTCTACAACTATAAAAGGTGATAGATCATTGCACGTATACGGATATGACATTTAGTAGGTGCCTGACAGACTGGAGTTTCTTGCACTGTGCTCTCTAGAGTAGGAAAAGCTCAGCATGTTGCTACCTGGGTAGAGAAAAGAGGGAAGTGTCTGAGCCAATGAGTAGAGACACTCTCTCTGCAGGCTCACCTGGGGAGAAACTGAGGGACTAAATGCACACAGCTCTGCACACATCAAACATCAGTTAAGCACCCCGAGCACTTGAAACTTTGGGGGAAAAGATAAAGGTAGTCTAAAATGTGCTTATTACCAAGCAAGAAGAGTTCAATCCAAGATTTTTCTTGAGTGCTTAATCTGGGTGAGGCCCAGGCCAGGCAAGAGAAGGATTATCACAAGCTGAGTGGGAAACTGTCCAGGTGGCGAAGCTTTGTGAGCAATGGTGTGATGCCTGGGCAAAGACAGAGTGGGGGCAGAGAGAGAGGAAATAGAATCGAGTCAGGAGAACTGTTCCCTTGTGTGCATGCCGTTATTAGTCATTTTTGTCAGCTGGTTTCTGGGTAATTGATGGCACAGGCTCAGAGTTGGTTGACGTGCACCGAGGGGGCACTCCTAGGGGAATCTGGGTCTGGATTGAGCCGCAGTGAATTTGACATGTAGTAAAGTACTCAGGAAATGCAGGTGCTCCAGAAGACCTCAGAAAGGGTTCATTTTAAGATTGTGAAGTTTGCTGTTAGAACAGAGCTGTGATGTGTAAGAATAAACTTGGACTTGTCCAGAGAGGGTTATTTCTCCCCAAGGTGGGCTCAGGACGCTTTGCTTGAGGGAAGGTCCAGTGTCACTATCTGTCACCCATGGGACTTTAGACAGGTAACTCATGACTTATAAAGCAGGGCTTGTGGTGGACAGAGTCCTAGGCCTTTCACCTGGTATACACGCCCTGGATAACCGCCTGCCGTGAGGGTGATGGGACCTGTGAATATGGTGGGACATCACAGCCATGATTATCTTTCATTGTATGGCCAAGGTGAAGGGATTCTGCCATTAGAGTATCCAATGAGTTGGTTCTGAGTTAATGAAGGGGAGGTTATCCTGGGTGGACCTGGCCTAGTCAGGTGAGTCTTTGAAAGAGGGTCCAGAAGTCACAGACAAATGGGAGTCAGGAATATTCTCCTGATGGCACTTATTTATTTATTTATTTAGAGATGGGGTCTCACTATGTTGCCCAGGCTGCTCTCAAACTCCTGATCTCAAACGACCCTTCTCCCTCAGCCTCCCAAAGTACTAGGACTGAAGAAGCAAACTGCCTTGCTGTGGAGAAAACCACACAGCAGAGAATGATAGGCAGCCTCTAGGAGCTTAGAGCAGCCCCAGCTGACAACCAGCAAGAAAGCAGGAACCTCAGTCCTATACCCGTCGGGAACGTTGGCTGCCATTGTAGCGGGGGCAAGCCATCTCTGGAGCCAGCCACTAGTGGGCTTGGACGAAGACTTCAGTGACATGAGATGAGATGAGATTACAGCCCAGCTGACACCTTGCTGGTGTCTCAGCCTTAAGAGACACTGAGCAAGGGACCCAGCTGAGCCATGCTGGACTCCTTGACCCATGGAAACCGTGAGATAATAAACGGGTCCTGTTTTAAGCCACCAGGTTTGTGATGATTTGTTACATAGCAATAGAAGGCTAAGACAGGACCTGTACTGCCTACTTTGCAGAGTTGTTTGAAGATTAGGAAAAAAGTATGTAAAGTACCTGGCACGTAGAAGACTACTAATAAATGGTAGCTTTAAGTCACGCAGTCCATAATGATCCAATTCCTTTTTTAGAGGGAATGTAAATTTCTTCCTTTTTTTTCTTTCTCGAGACAGAGTCTTGCACTGTCGCCCAGGCTGGAGTGCAGTGGCGTGATCATGGCTCACTGCAGCCTTTACCTCCCTGGCTCAAGTGATCCTCCCATCTCAGCTTCCCGAGTAGCTGGGACCACAGCATGCACTGCCATGCCTGGCTAATTTATGTATTTTCAGTAGAGACGAGGTTTCTCCATGTTGCTCAGGCTGGTCTTGAACTCCTGGGCTCAAGCAATCCTCCCATTTTGGTCTCCCAAAGTGCTGGGATTACAGGTGTGAGCTACCGCACATGGCCAAATCTTTTCTTTTCAGAATGAATCTTGTGAAATGCTGAGAATTGTTGAGAGGACTGAATGAGATCATATGTCTAACATGCTCTAGTGTGGAGTCTAGCACACAGTCAACAGTAGGTAAATAGTAATGATGAGGATGATGTTTGTAGTGGTTTTTATCCTGGTAAAAATGAGGCATGTATTGTAATAGACGTAGATCTTTTTTTTCCCCCTTAAAACCACTTTTGCCTTGCTTTACAAGTAGCATCTCTTGCAGAAGTTCCAGAGACTGTTACAGAATTATCCACTGTCTGAATAGAAATGAACCTTGGATATAATCTGGCCTAACTTCGCTTTTCAAATGAAAAAACAGTGAGTCTGAAGTCAGCTTGTTTGATGCCACAAAACAAATTAATAGCAGAATCAGGATTAGAATTTAGGTATCTTGATGTCAAGGCCACTTCTGCAGAACCATATACAGTTGTCCCCTGGTATCTGTGGGGGATTGGTTCCAGGGTGCCTGAGGATAACAAAATCCCTATGTAAAATAGCACAGTATTTGCCTGTAACCTATACAATTCTTTAGTGTACTTAAATCAAAATCATCTCTAGATTACTTACAATACCAAATACAATGTAAATGCTATGTAAATAGTTGTAGGCCGGGCACGGTGGCTCATGCCTGTAATCCCACCACTTTGGGAGGCTGAGGCGGGTGGATCACGAGGTCAGGAGATCGAGACCATCCTGGCTAACACGGTGAAACCCCGTCTCTACTAAAAAAAAAATACAAAAAATTAGCCGGGCATGGTGGCGGGCGCCTGTAGTCCCAGCTACTCAGGTGGCTGAGGCAGGAGAATGGCGTGTACCCGGGAGGTGGAGCTTGCAGTGAGCCGAGATCATGCTACTGCACTCCAGCCTGGGTGACAGAGCGAGACTCCGTCTCAAAAAAAAAAAAAAAAAAAAAAAAAAGTTGTTGTATTGTTTAGGGGAAAACGATAAGGAAAAAAGTCTATATATCACAACCATCTATTTTTTTAGAATATTTTTGATGCACCGTTGGTTGAATCTACAGATGTGGAATGCAGTTCTGGAAAGCCAATTGTATTTATTTCTCTTCCGAAATGTTTTCTCTATTTAAGACTCAGTGCCATCTCAACTCATAAAGTATCAGCATTCCCTTGTAAAACTCACCCTGCACACAATTTATCAGTCATGAACATTTTTTTCCAGCTACCTCTCTTGAAGTATTTATTATTGAGAGTAATTCATTCCATTAATGTTGATTGAGAGCCGACTTTGTGCTACATTTGGAATCAATCTTGTTAAACTGCAGCCCCAAATCACTCCAAAATTAGATACCAAATTTATTGCAAGCCCTTGGGCCACAACGACCCTATAAAGGAGGTCTGCTGTGACTAGTATTTTTACAGATGAGGAAATTGAGACATAAGGAGATTCAGGGGCTTGCCTGGGCTGGTCCAACAACTAAGAAGACATGGAGTTGGGATTTGTACACGGAGCTGACTAGCTGCCACTTTCAGCTTCTTTCCACTTTTAATTAGACTGCTTCCCAGAAGCTGATTAGGCTAAAATTTTATAATAATAAGGAGGACAGGTCTAGACTCCCCTCCCTTCAGGCCCATCACTAGTAGCTCTACTGGATCTGGACTCATGTTGCCTCCTTGGTCCTAAGGGCCAACAGCACAAAAGCTCACAGCACTAAAGATGCGTGATGAAGGAGCTGAACTTTGCCTTCAAGAAAATGTCTTTCTTTGGGGCTTATCCTCTTGTTGGGAGAAGTCTCAGTATCTGCTTCTTCCCCTTCCCCTTGCAGCTTTGTTTTTATTTTTTATTTTATTTTTTAGAGAGAAGATCTTGCTCTGTCACCCCGGCTGAAGTGCAGTGGTGTGAACATAGCTCACTGCAGCCTAGAACTCTTGGGCTCAAGTGATCCTCCTGCCTCAGCCTCCCAAATAGCTGGGACTACAGGTGTTTGCCACCACGCTGGCTAAATTTTTTTTTTTTGTAGAGACAGGGACTTGCTACATTGCCCAGGCTGGTCTTAAACTCCTGGCCTCAAGTGATCCTCCTGCCTTGGCCTCTCAAAGTGTTGGGATTACAGGTGTGAGACACCACACTGGCCTCCCTTGCAGAATTTAAGAGAGAAATCTGAACTCCCCCTGTCATTGGTTGCTTTGGTTGAAGCTCCTTGAGATTGTCTGAGATTGTCTCCACAGTGGTCCTAGCTGCCATCTCAGCCTCTCTCTCAATTAGATATTGAAATACTTCCCCAGAGTTTTTAGCTCCCTTCTAACCAGAATTCTCCTTTTTCCTTGGCAGGCATCTCAGAAACTGTCAGGCAGCAGCTGGAGTCTCTGCAATGGTCTCCCCACCCCTCAGGAATAACCCTGCCTCTCTGCAGATGGCCTCTCAGACCTGCCTTCACAGGAGGGAGGCCTACGTTAGGTAACCATGCCCTAGCTTCAAGGTGGGGTTAAGCTTCAGGGTTCAGGTGTCTGTAGTGAGAGCAGGAAACAAGTGCCAAGGGAAATGCCACTGAAGAATGGAGGGGAATCTTCCAGCCCCAGGGGCTCATAGACCACTCCCTCCTGCCATAGGCACTGTCCTCTGAACGCGGCTCCCAGGGGAAGGGCCCTTCCTGTGAGTCCTGGGTTTATGGACCTGGACAAGTAGGAACAGGAGCAGAGCAAGCCTGAGAATGATTGAAATGCTGCCGTTCTGTCCAGCAGAGCAGAAAACTTGCGCTTGGGGAACTGAACTTTGAGAAATGCAAAGTGCCTGGGTGTTCCAGGATGAGCACATTGGAGCTTAGGTCCCTTCGTTCCTGGTAGTGGGAGAAAGCAGCAGATGGTTCAGCCTGGAGGCAAAGAAAGAGCCCAACAATTACGGGGAAGCTCAAGGTCAGCACAGGGTTAAGGCCAGAATCTAACCACAGATGCATATGATTTCAGCTTTCCACATGCATTTGTGTTGAAAGTAACTGTTGGAAAATTGTAGTCTGCTCATTCCAATAGTTCTTTTAAAACCATCCACATGTTGTTCTTAGTAAAGTCTGTGTCTGAAAACCCCTGTAAGGCTCATCACGCTGAAATGCCACCAAGTACGTCCGTAGGCTGAATTGTACATAGCATGTGAGGGCGCTGTTGCCATCTGTAAAACACAACATTCATTTTAAAATGTCACTTGTCGATCACATCAGTACACTCCGGCCTGGGCAACAGAGTGAGACTCTGACTCAAAAGAAAAAAAAATGTCACTTGACAATAAGGATTTTTAAAATGAATGATACAGGCACTGTTAATGAGACCTATGAAGTTTTCTAATGTTACAATGGCATCTCATACTTGAAAAGGTGGGGAACCGTTGCCTTAAAGATCTAGCTGAGGCCGGGCGCAGTGGCTCATGCCTGTAATCCAGCACTTTGGGAAGTCAAGGTAAGTGGATTACTTGAGATCAGGAGTTCGAGACCAGCCTGACCAACATGGCGAAACCCCGTCTCTACTAAAAATACAAAAATTAGCCAGGTTTGCTGGTGGGCACCTGTAATCCCAGCTACTCAGGAGGCTGAGGCAGGAGAATCGTTTGAACCCAGGAGATGGTAGTTGCAGTGGGCTGAGATCACACCACTGCACTACAGTCTGGACGACAGAATGAGACTCTGTCTCAAAACAGAAACAAAAACAAGTCTAGCTGAGGAGGTTCCTGGAACCAGGTAGAACTGCCACTCAGCCACCTTCATCATTAAGCTACTGTACAGACAAGGGAAGCTACCCTTTGAGTCTGCATCTGTTTATCATGTTCCCTAGTACCTGGTACTGCCCCAGGAGAGGTTTCTCATGGGGCACCTGATATATCTGGTCCCCCTCCCAGGCCTAGGAATTACCAAGGCAAACTATAAAAAACATAATTTTTTTAGACTGGATTTATAAGATTTATTATACAAGCACATAGAAAGTCCTCTATGGTACTTATGAGAAGCAAACAGCCAGTAAAAAGCAACAAAAGCCACATTAACAGTGAGCCTAAGTAGCTATTGGAACAAAAATCAATGCTAGCCTGCCTGGGTGCGGTGGCTCACGCCTGTAATCCCAGCACTTTTGGAGGCTGAGGCAGGCGGATCACTTGAGGCCAGGGGTTCGAGACCACCCTGGCTAACATGGTGAAACCCCGTCTCTACTACAAATACAAAAATTAACCAGGTGTGGCGGTGCATGCCTGTAATCCCAGCTACTCGAGAGGCTGAGGCACAAGAATCGCTTGAACCCGGGTGGCAGAGGTTACAGTGAGCCGAATCGCACCAACTGCACTCCAGTCTGGGTGACAGAGTGAGACTCTGTCTCAAAAAACAAAAACAAAGTAATGCTAGCCTGAATTGATGGGGGTATGAGGGGGTTCTGTAAGGCATAAACTGGTCTGGGCAAGAGATAGTTGGGGCCACTGATGAATTGTTTGCTTTCTACTACTGCCGACGAAGCATGGATGATTAGTTCCTTATTATTTCTGCTCCTAGGCTGTCTCCAAGGCAAGCTGTTTCTCCTACTCTCTGTACAGTCCATGAGACTAAGCAGGCACTTGACCTTAACTGAGGTTCCCTCAGTTCTGTCCTGTTCCTTTTAGTCTGGGTCCATTGGGTAGACGTGGCCTGTTCAAACAAACCATTAATGAGCACATCTCCGGCAGGGCATTTGGAAATAAAGTCAGAAAGCCAGCGAATGGTTTGGCCTTTTCTTCCCATCTTTCCATCCCCTGCTGGGATTCACCTCCTCCTCTTGCCCTGGGGCCTCCTGTGCTCTTTCTTCTTCTCAGCCTGGTTTTACCCTCCTCCAACCGCTGTTGTTGCAAGTAAATGAACTGGAGTGGAATCTTTGTTTTCTATCTCAAGGGTATTTGCTTTGAAAACCTTTTCTCTTGCTGTGGATCAAAATATCCTTTGCTCCTTGTTAAAGTAGATTTAGGCTCAGTGGCTCTGGTGGAAGAGGTTGTTTAAACTCCGTAAACCACACAATTACCAACTTTCTTTTTCTCTGTGTACAGTGGTCCAATGGACAAAACTCGGGTGAGTAACAGTGACGGTGGTGACTCTGTGGGTGTTCATCTGAATCAGGTGCTGTACTGAGCACTTTGTCCCATTATGGCTGTGGCCCTGAGGCGGGTATTCATTTCCTATTATGGAAAAGGAAAGGAGGCCTAGTGAGGTTAAGTATCGTGCTCGAGATGACTCCAGAATTGAAAATTCCAACTGTCCCACCCTGAACTTCTAATTCCCTTCAGGTGATCCTCTTCTTTTCTGAGTAGCATTGATCACGTCTCCTTTCTTCTTTAACTTCCTTGTTGATTAGTTTATTGCATGCAGTCAGTCTCTCTGCCTCTTCCATGTTCCCCAGCGAGAATCCACCTGCTCTACAGGGGCAGGGATTTTTGTCGGCTCACTGGGGTATCTCAAAGGCATAGATTACACACACAGTAGGCACTGAACAAACATTTGTTAAATGAATAAACAAAAGTAGCCAAGGTAAGATTTTGCACTTTAGCACCAACTTAGATAAAATAAGTAAAAATAACCTAAAATAATCAAAAGGGTCAGAATCTAGTTTTGAGCACAGAGTTTGAGGACAGCCACTCATGAAGCACAGATTCCAAAGAATGGGAGTGAGTGTTCCAAAGTATAGAAGTTTGGGATCATTTATATGGTCAAAGTTTAGGGAAGCTTAATAGAATTTCACTATCTTTCTATGTAAGGCTTATTGCATAGTTACAATAATCCGATTTGGCAAGGTAATTTTTTTTTCTTTTTGGGAAAGGTATATTTAACATTCCACAGTGCAGATGTAATAGTCAGGGGTCTTTTGCACCACTTGGTCTGAGTTGGGTACAAGATAATAAAGGTGGCAGTTAATCTATAATGAAGAACAGTGATTAGAAGCAGGGGAGGTCTGGTCTCTGTTCTCTCTTAGTCATTTACAGAACAAGAACAATGAAGAAGAGAGTTCCTCTATAATCTAAGAAACAGAAATTGCAAGCACATACTATGTGACTCAGGTCACAGTCGTATCTCTCTCAAAGCTTAAAGTTTTTTAAAAGCTTTTACATTTTATTTATTTTCAAAGCTGTCACCAAAAGCCCTCAAAGCCCTCAATTTTTCTTTTCTTTCTCTCTCTCTCTTTCTTTCTTTTTTTAAAGAAAGAAAGATATTCAATTTACTTCTTCTGTATCCTGTCAGAAAATAGTGTTTGGAGATTCTATGCAGTTGAAGCAACCCATGTGGCCTTCCTCTGAATGAAGTCACCAAGCAGCTTTGGATTTCCTTCCACCCACCTTACATGGAGGTGTTTTCCATTGCTTATGGCCACAGATAACCATACTCATTACAAGAGTTAAGCTTGGCCAGCAAGGTGGCTCATACCTGTAATCCCAGTGCTTTGGGAGTCCCAGGCAGGGTGATCGCTTGAGCCCAGGAGTTCAAGATCATCCTGGGCAACGTGGCAAAACCCATAGACAAGAAGAGTTGAGCTTCTTGAGTGTCACTGTGGAATGCGTTGGTGCCACCTAGGGAATCACATTGTAATTTTCAAGACCCACTTATGGGCATTTCTCCTTTTTAGCACTGGATTTTTCCACACTGCCACTGGCTTTATGTATGCTTCTGCTCCCAGTCCCAGTCACGTTTGTAAACAATCTCTCACCTCTTCTCCAGACCTCCCTGCCAACTGCCTTCCAAAATGAACCTGACTCTGTGGTTTGAACACATTTATCTGCCTGCACGTCCTGTGCTATTTTTCTGTCTGCGCCTTCTATAGGGTTGTTCTAGAATTATTTTTCTCTGTATGTGGGAGTCTATGTCTGCTTCAATGCTGTCTTACATAATTATTCCCTCTAGTCATAGAGTTCTCTACTCATATAGTTAGCTTCAAAAAAATTCCACATATAGTCTCCCATACAACTCTCCCACCGCCCATGGGGTTGGGCAGGTCAGGTACAATTATTGAGCTATTTTACAAATGATAGCCTGAGATGCAGGAGAGTTAAGTGTATTTCCTAAGGTAACAATGCGAGGAAGAGGCAGAACGGGGGCCAGAACTCAGTTCTGCAGAGGCCAGGCTCCAGGCCCTTCCCACTACACTGCTGCAGCTCCTCATGGCCCCTCGGCCATGCTCCTTGTGCAGTGGCATGCACCGTCAGGTGCTTAGTAAATGCTTTGCAAAGCAGGTGTTTCCTGAAGCTGAAGTAATGGTCCATGTGAACGGTATAAAAACAATCAAGCTAAGGAACAAAAATATGATCCAAGGCAATCAGAGAGGCTTAAGGGCATCATGTGAGATGTAAGGAATAAATAGATAGTAGATCAGGTGGAGAGCAGATCATTCTGATGGTGAAAGGACAGGGACGGGTTGAGTGAGGCAAAAAAGCCTTACACGGGAAGAGTGATTTTCACTTTCAAATAAATTATCTCCTTTATTCCTCAGACCAAACTTGTGAGTAGATGTTAGCAGAGTCTCTGTTTAATTTATAAAGATTTTGCATATCTTTATACATTTTTATAAAGAGTTTAGTACTTTTTTCTCCCTCCAACACCACTCAACTAATTAGAAAGGCCCGTATTCAAAGCAGCCCCTCTGACTCTAAAGGCTGAATACTTTCACTCTAGGGCAGGACATAGATTGTTTTGTCCCCCAAGAATGCTAAGTAAGCCTGGGTCCTCATGTTAGATCTGTGTTGTTCTTCTATAGCAAAAATGGCTATCTTCTTGGTTTCTCCTTTTTTACAGTAGGTTCTAGAGGGGCTGGAGGGACTTGGTAGTACACATTACAGATATGAGTTCAAATCTCTGCTCTGCCACTAACCAGCTGTGGCAGCCGTGAGAATTCAAGGAAGTTATTTCCTTTCTCTGTGCCTCAGTTTTGTCACCTGTAAAATGGGGATAATCATGTGTCCAACACACAGTATTATTTGCAAGCCAAAAGTAAAATTCTAAGTGCCCCCCAACCAAATGAATGGACCCCTCCTCTTGGCCAAAGGCTTTCTAAAGTAAACCTGAAACAGGCCATGATGAGAAGGGGGGTCAGACACTCCTCATTACACCTTCTTCCCTTTGGAATTCAGGCATAGCTGACCAACAGCATTAACATTAACAGAGACATTGAGACTGCCAAAACAGACTCTTTGTAGCAATAAGATACCAACATGACAGATAGTAGGCCCTGATAGAAATCAAAGTATTTTACCCCAAAATACATTTCTTTGACATATTTTGAAATGGCCTTGCAAAGCTGTCTCTGGGGAAAATCTACATTCAGTAGAGGATCTCTTTCCCTTTCTAAGTCTTTTTCCTGACCCAGGAGAGAATTCACTAAGAGTCCAGCACCTTTTTAAGGCTGACAATAAACATTTACAACCTACTCCCTCTGAAGCCTGCTACCTGGAGGCTTCATCTACATAACAAGAACCTTGGTTTCCACAACACTTCTCTTAACCCAGACCCTCCCTTCTGTTGATTACAGGTCTTTAGATAAACTCAACCAATTGCCAATAAGAAAATAAGGAATCTACCTAAGACCTGGATGCCCCCACCTTTGAGTTGTCCCACCTTTTTGGGTTGAACCAATGTACATCTTACATATATTGATTGATATCTTATACCTCCCTAAAATGTGTAAAACCAAGCAGTTGGCCACACCCGGCCACCTTGGGCACATGTTCTCAGGATCTCCTGAGGATCAAATGAGATGTATATAAAGTGCTCAGCACAGAGTTTAACATCTAGAAAACCAACAATGAATATCCACTGTTGTCATTGTGTTGTATAATAAAGAATGTGTCTAGTTTTTGTTTTAGGTTCCGGGAACATGGCGTCTGAATCCGAGTGATAAGAGTATCTGTTATTCATGGTGGGCCCTTGGACCACAGCAGAGTTTATGCTAACAAGGTGACTCAGGATGGGGCCAGTCTTGTGGAAAAGCCAGTCCTGTGATTAGAGAGTTGGGGCTTTGAGTCACTTAATACAGGCCCAACCTCCTGACCCCTGGAGAGGGATGCTAGAGATGGAGTTCTATAACATGGTCAATGATTCAGTCAGTCACACCTACCAAATGAAACCCATTCAAAGCTCCAGACACCTGATGATCCCCCTGGGTGTTGGTAAACACATCAGTGTGCCAGGAGGGTAATGTGCTCTGATGCTGTGGGAAGAGGGCATGGCAGCTGTGCATTCAGGACCCTCCAGACCTCATCCTGGGCATCTATTTATATGCTGGTCCTGACTCGTATCCTTTATAATAAAACTGTAATCCTAAGTACAGCACTTTGAGTCATTCTAGTGAATTATTGAAACTGAAGGAGTCATGCAAACCCCGAATTTGTGGCCAGTTGGTCAGAAGTGCAGGTAGCTTTGGGACCCCCAAACTTGAGACTGATTCTGCAGTAAGGGGTGACTTTTTTTTTTTTTTTTTTGACAGGATCTCTGCTCTGTTGCCCAGGCTGGAGTGCAGTGACAAGATCATAGTCACTGCAGCTTCCAACTCCTAGGCTCAGGCAATCCCCCTGCTGCAGCCTCCTGGGCTGCTGAGACTACAGGTGTGAGCCACCAAACCCAGCTAATTTTTTAATTTTTATTTTTGTAGAGATAGGGTCTCGCTATGTTGCGCAGGCTGGTCTTGAACACCTATGCTCAAGTGATCCTCTTACCTCAGCCTCCTGAGTAGCTGGGACCACAGATATGTGCCACCATGCTTGGGTAATTAAAACAATTTTTTTTTCAGAGATGGGGTCTCACTATGTTGCCGAGGCTGGTCTCAGACGCCTGGGCTCAAGCAATCCTCCTGCTCCAGCCTTCCAAAGTGCTGGGATTGCAGGCATGAGCCACTGCACCCGGCCAGTGAGGGCTGTCTTGACGGGGACTGTGCCCTCGGTCTGTGGCATCTGTGCTAACGCCAGGTGATTAGTGTGAGACTTGAACGGCAGTAGTACAGGTTTCTATCACTGGATGAGACAATGTCTGACTGGCAAGAGAAACTAGATGGTTACAGAAAAAGAAACACCCCCCAGAGGGCCAGGTCCTAGATTGTAGGGGGAGGAAAAACAGGCCATGTTTTAGTCAGAAACTCAAATTCCACAGAATCTAGTCCTCAGTCTTCTTTGGATGAAGAAAGAGGGTCTCTTCTTGGATGTTTCTAGGTGTGGAGATGGGAGAGTGGGACAGAGCAGGGATAAGGAACAATATTAGAACTGTATCCCAATTTAATTTCCCATTTTTATTTGAAAGTAATGTAATATTCTGAGGACACAGCAATTTTTTCTAGGATTAAAATAATCACTATGATATTATTATCTTATTTAAAAAATTTAAAAAATTCTTGTGAGTACATAATAGGTATATATATTTGTGGGAGTCATGAGATGTTTTGATGCAGGCATGCAATGTGTAATAATCACATCATGGAGAATGGAGTGTCCATCACCTCAAGCATTTATCTTTCGTGTTACAAACAATCCAATTACACTCTTTTCATTATTTTTAAATGTATAAGTAGGTTTTTGACTATAGTCACACTGTTGTGCAACCAAATAGTAGGCCTTCTTCATTCTTTTTATGTTTTTTGCACCCATTAACCATCCCCACTTCTCATCTACCTCCTACTATCTGTTCCAGCCTCTAGTAACCAATCTTCTACCCTCTATGTCCATAAGTTCAATTGTTTTGATTTTTAGATCCCACAAATAAGTGAGAACATGTGATGTTTGTTTTTCTGTGCCTGGCTTGTTTCACTTAACATAATGACCTCCAGTTCCATCCATGTTTTGCAAATGACAGGATCTCTTTTTTACGGCTGAATAGTACCCCATTATGGATAATATTATTAATAATAAATAATATTTATATATAACATATATAAATAATATTAATAATAATAATTTAAAAATTCCCAAGGTGGCTTATTTGAAAATTGAATGTATTTTGAACAATCTATATTTACCTGGGCATTGGGCATCCTTCTAGGCTCTCTCATCTCCAAAGCAGATTCTATTACCGAATGATGGTCTCCACTTCTTGGATCCCTTCCATATGCTCCTAGTTGTGCTGTATTTTCTGGTCGTGCTTCCTTTTAGAGGCCTTGCTTATTTCCTGAAGTTGACCTGGCTCTTACTGTGCAGGACGAGGCAGACACTGGGAAGCACGCTGTTCTCCCAGGGCTTATCCTCTTGCTTTGCTTATTTCTTCTTTTCACAGGGTTTCAAGTCTGCTCTCTGTAGCCTCCTGCCATCCTTGCAAGTTCCTACACATGGAAAAAGCCTTCTGCGGCTTCTGTGCCAAGTCTCCTGCTTTTCCTCAAGTTCTGCCTTAAGACACATATCTTTTCCGAAGTCTTTTATGGAGATTTTCTCACCAGAGTCTTCCTATGATTTGTAGCAACTAAGCAGTTGTTTTCTCTTTCAGATTCATCTTGGAGGATTAGCAGCAGCAAGAGCCTATGGAGGCAGGGAAGAAGCCTCTATCAAGTGGTGGTGTTTGCTTTTGCAGTTCTCTAATAAAAATGAAGTTTTCCATCTCTAACAAAATACCAATGACATTCTTCGCAGAAATAGAAAAAACAATTCTAAAATTTATATGGAACCCCAAAAGACCCAGAATCTCTAAAGCTATCCTAAGCAAAAGGAACAAAACTGGAGGAATGACATTACCTGACTTCAAATTATACTACAGAGCTATAGTAACCAAAACAGCATGGTACTGGCATAAAAACTGACACATAGACCAATGGAACAGAATAGAGAAACCAGAAACAAATCCACACATCTACAATAAACTCATTTTCAACAAAGGTGCCAAGAACATACACTAGGGAAGAGACAGTCTTCAATAAATGTTGCTGGGAAAACTGGATATCCATATGCAGAAGAATGAAACTAGACTCTTATCTCTCACCATATATAAAAATCAAAAAATGGATTAAAGACTTAAATCTAAGACCTCAAACTATGAAACTAATATAAAAAAACATTGGGGAAAATCTCCAGGGCATTGTTCTGGGCAAAGATTTCTTGAGTAATACCCCACAAGCACAGGAAACCAAAGCAAAAATGGACAAATGGGACCACATCAAGTTAAAAAGCTTCTGCACAGTGAAGGATACAATCAACAAAGTGAAGCGACAACCCACAGAATGGGAGGCAATATTTGCAAACTACCCATCTGACAGGGGACTAATAACCTGAATATATAAGGGTCTCAAACAACTCTAGGAAAATGTCTAATAATCTGATCAAAAATGGGCAAAAGACTTGAATAGACATTTCGCAAAAGAAGACACATGAATGACAAACAGGCATACGAAAATGTGCTTAACATCATTGATCATCAGAGAAATGCAAATCAAAACTCCAATGAGATAGCATCTCATCTCAGTTAAAATAGCTTATATCCAAAAGACAGATAATAACAAATGCTCTTCGGAATGTGGAGAAAAGGGTGGGAATGTAAATTAGTACAGCTACTGTGGAGAACAGTTTGGAGGTTCCTCAAAAAACTAAAAATAGAGCTGCTATATGATCCAGCAATCCCACTGCTGGGTGTATTCCCAAAAGAAAGAAAATCAGTGTATCAAAGAGATATTGGCACTCCTATGTTTGTTACAGTACTGTTTACAATAGCCAAGATTTGGAAGCAACCTAAGTGTCCATCAACAGATGAATAGATAAAGAAAATGTGGTACATAAACATAATAGAGTACTATTCAGCCATAAAAAAGAATGAGATCCTGTCATTTGCAACGACATAGATAGAACTGGAGGTCTTTACGTTAAGTGAAATAAGGCAGGCACAGAAAGACAAATATCACATGTTCTCACTTATCTGTGGGATCTAAAAAAACAATTGAAGTCATGGAAATAGAGAATAGAAGGATGGTTACCAGAGGCTAGGAAGGGTAGGTGGGGGAGGTTGTGGAGGGGAGGTGGGGATGGTTAATGGGTACAAAAAAAAATAGAAAGAATGAATAAGACCTACTATTTGATAGCAAAAATAGGGTGACTATAGTCAATAATTACTTAATTGTACATTTTAAAATAACTTAAAGAGTATAATTTGATTATTTGTAACTCAAAGGATAAATGTTTGAGTGGATGGATACCCCATTCTCCATGATGTGCTTATTTCACCTCACATGCCTGTATCAAAACATCTCAGATAACCCATAAGTATATACACCTACTATGTACCCACAAAAATTTTAAAAATTAAATAAAAAATCACACACAAACACAAATGAGGTTTTCCTCGAAGACAATGATGTTGAGAACCGGCAACATGCACATTCTCATTCTAAGGCCAGTCCACATTCCCTGAGCCCCTGACGAGTTGTTTGGCCGTGAGGGGCAGGTGGGAGACACTTACCATGGAGAGGAGGTCAGCTGTGGTGATACCCAGCCTCCAGCCCTGAGGACAGATGCTTCAGTTCAGCCACAGAAAAACATCCTTAATCCTGAGGAGCAATCACACTCATTTGCGGTGTAACCGGAGCCTCTTCACATTAATTGTGAAACCCGTTTGAATCTGTTTGACAGCAGTACTTTGGTGGCAAAAATCAGAGCAAGGACCAATTCCCAAGGGACTTTACAGTTGTCTCCTCAGTCAAATACACCCTTCAGAATCCACCTTCATGGAGCAAAGCATTTTTCTTTCTATCCTGCATCCAGCCTTTCTCCTTTAACCTAGGGAAACCTGCTGAACACACCTTCGTGTGAGAGAAGCCGCTTTTCCGTGTCCAGTGGGCAATCAGCGTAGCTCTGCTGTTCCAGCTCTGGCTATCTTGACACAGTTTAAAAGCTGTTTCTGTGACCTCACGGGACCTCACTGAGCCTCAGTCCTCTCAGATGGGGGTGACATGATAGTACTTTCCTTAGAGAATTACTTGAGGGTTAAATGAGAGAATCCAAGTAAGCACTAAACATAGTGCCTGGCATATGTAAGCATTTTGTAAATGTCAGGGGGAAAAGGAAATAGCCATTAAAAAACAGAAATCCACTCGGGAAGCTGGGGCAGGATCTCTTGAGGCCAGGAGTTCGAGACCAGCCTGGGTAGCATAGCAAGACCCCTGTCTCCACAAAAATAAATAAATAAAATTAGCCGGGTATGGTGGCACACGCCTGTAGTCCCAGCTACTCAGGACGCTGAAGTGGGAGGATCGCTTGAGCCTAGAAGTTCCAGGTTGTCGTGAGCTATGATTGTGCCACTGCACTCCAGCCTGGGCCACAGAGTGAGACCTCATCTCTTAAAAACAAAACAAAACCAAAACAACAACCAGAACTCCCTAGAGTGGCTATTTGGCTTCTGTACCTGTTAGCAGTACACGAGGCTCTGTCGTTATCCACTGTGTCTTCAATTCTATTATGCCTGTCAGGAAATTCAGAGTGGGTGTGATGGCTGTCACCTGCCAATGAGGAGACCCAAGCAATGAGAACTCACAGATCTTCACCAGAGGGCACACAGCTAGTTAGTTGCAGGAAACCTCTCACCTAGCATCACCCACCTGAGACCATGGAACTCCACGCTCACTGGAGAGGTGAGGAACAGCAGCAGACAAGTGTGGACGGGCAGTAGAGTTGACTCTGCAGGCTTGGGTCATTCAAACCCTGCACATCTAAGAGAAAGGTCTGGCCTTTGCCTGGTTCCTGGGAGATAACCTCTAAGCCCTTGGAATATTCTGCCTGATAGGGGTGTCTTTGCTCATCTCAGGCCTTGGGCCACACTGGCTAGTCTAGCCTAACAGTGTTATCTATGGTGGGACCTTGGGCCACACTGTTCGGCCTCTGGAGAGGCTGAAATCCAAATAGCTAAGGTCAGTAACGACGCATTCATGCCTGAAAGCCTAACCCCAGCAAAATCCCTGGACACGGAGGCTTATGGAAGCTTCCCTGGTTGGCAATACTTTGTACATCTTGTCCACAAGATTCCTGGGGAATTGAGCACTGCCTGCATGACTCCACTGAGAGTAAAAACAGGGAGCTCAGCCATTCTCTGGGCTCCGGCCTGTGCATCTTTTTCCTCTGACAACAGTCTGTATCCTTTTACTGCAACAAACCATAACCACGAGCCCAGTGGCTCTTCTGAGTTCCAGGAGTCCTTCCAGTGGATCACAGAATTTGAGCTTTGTCTTGGGGACACCTGGCTAAGTGGGGAAGGAAGGATCTGCCCCCTCAGGATGGGGACAAAAGCTCTGGAATCTGTATGCTGCATTTCGGTTTGGGACCACCTGCCTCCTCCGTCGGCAGTGGGCTCCTCCCTTCCTCCCTCCCTTCCCCCTCCCTGTCGGGCCTAGGTTGTCCCAGTGTCAGGCCAGAAGCAGCCCTCTAGGGTGGCTTTCCTAAGAATCATCATTTTTCAAAAGGGCTAGGAAAGACAGGAAGCCTGCCTTTCTTGCAGCATATCTGGTTTCACTCAGGAAATGGACTAAATTGAATTTAGAGGACATATATTTGATTGTTGAGTCAAACTCTGACCCAGGTATTTATTGCAAACATGGTATTTATTTCCCTGCTCTTTGTTAGAGGCTGTGGGGGGAGAACTGGCTCTGACTGTACAGGCATAGAGAGGATTCAGAGGCTCTTACACCACTGGCATTTTGGCAACCCATACCAGGACGATGTGAGTACTAACCTGCAACCCCAAGCTGTGATATTTATATGGCATGACTGGTATTACTCCTGAGTAACATCTAAAAACACAAGCTAAGATATCTGTGTGATCTGAACCTCACCCAGCAATTTCCTTGGCTGGAACAAGGAGGGAAATGAGGAATGAGGAGAAGGAGGTTGGTGGGTAGAGGAGAATGAGGATTGGGCAGGGGTTGGAAGGGGATGGCAGGGAAGTAAGAAAGATGAAAGGGCCAGGAGTGGTGGGACCTGTAGTCCCAGCTACTCGGGAGGCTGAGGAAGAAGGTTTGCTTGAGCCTAAGAATTCGAGGCCAGCCTGGGCAATGTAGCAAGACCCCCATCTCAAAAAAAATGAAGAAAGAAAGGTGGAAGGGAGGGAAGGGGGAGGAAGCTGTGACCCATCCGGTGAGTTTGGAAAGTGGTTTCTCAACCAGTTTATTGATTTCAATTCACTTAGATGCTAAATAAAAGTGTTATGTTTTTGTTTTTGGACAAGTTTATTCTTTGGGGACACACTTTTCCCTTTTAAAATTCCATTTCCTTTTCAAAACACAAGATTTTTCCAGACAACGTTTGTTTTCATGGGATCCCAGCACTCTGGGGAGTCTCTCTCTTTCCTCCATCCAGCTGCCTCCTGCCCTTCCTTGGGCCTTGGCTTAGATGTCACCTTCTCTTTGGAGACCTGCCCCAACTCCAAGTCTTGGCTAGCTTGCCATCTGTGTTGGCTTTACAATGTGTCAGTGCGGCAAGGCAGAACTGCATTTTCCAGAATTCCCTTCCCTCGACATTTCCAGTCAGTGTCAGCACTGAAGAGATTCTTGCAAAAGGGAGGCAGCGGAGACAGAGCAGCAGCCATTCCCGGGACTGCCACAGGCAGTCTTGCACCCGCGGGCTCTCCTCCTGGGCATGAGGCCTGGGCTGGGCCTGCCATTCCACCCTGCCGGGGGCTTCCTTCAGCATCTCTGACTCTGGGGCCAGGCGTGTGTGTTTTGGTCCATGACAAAGAGCGCTGGCTCATGCCTGACACCCACATCAAGGACAGAAGCAGTAAGGTGGACGTGGACGCCAGTCCCTCCTTGTGGGCTCCAGTTCGTGCTGTGGGTTCCAGCATGTTCTACATCTCCCCAGTCTGCAGCTGTCTTTCCTTCCCCAACTGCCTGCCCCATGGACATTAGGCTGCAGCCTCAGACGTGAAGATAACAGCCTTACAGCGATCGCATAAGGCCAATCCCTGTCACAATTCTATTGAAACCTCTTTGTCTGTCTTTCCCTTTCTCTATCCATTCACCCACCCACCCACCTACCTACCTACCCCACCTACCCACCATCTCCTTATCTCCCAGGAGTTCTCCTTCCCTGAATGAACCATCCTAATTGCCGCCTGAGCTCTCCAAGCTTTCCTCATTTTAACCTTTACAACACCAGGCTTTGATTTCCTGTAATTCCCAAATGTTCCCCAAGCTCTTCAGCCTTCCCTTAGTATGACATTCTATGTACTTGTCTGAGGGCAGCACTTCATGAAGGCAGGAACTATCCTTGGCTTGTTCTCAGCATAGTCCCTGGGCTAACATAGTCCCAGTCCCTGGCATATAACAGACACTCAATAAATATTTGATGCATGAAACATTGAATAAGTTTTGTTTCTGTTGAATCCTTTTTCCCCCTGTTTGGTAGGAATTTCTTTTAATAGAATCTGGAAAATAGGCCCATTTCTTGTGCACACACAGGGTAAAAAAGGTCAATGTGCAGCAATAAGCCAGAAGTAAGCATCCGGTTCTGGAATCTTCTGGCAAACTAAAATGGTTTAAATCATTTTATTGTGCTGGAATCACATGCATAAATGATTCCCATGCTTTACCTTTGGTTAAGTGCACATGTGCACATACTGTTCTATCCATTTTGCTCTCTCCATTTTCTTTTTGAGACAGGGTCTTGCTCTGTTGCCCAGGCTTGAGTGCAGTGGTGCAATCACAGCTTACCGTAGCGTTGAACTCCTGGGCTCAAGCAATCCTGTCACCTCAGCCTCCTGAGTAGCTGGGACTAGAGTTGTGCACCACTATGCCTGGCTAATTTTTTCTTTCTTTTCTTTTTTTTTGTAGAGATGGGGTCTTACTATATTGCCCGGGCTGGTCTTCAATTCCTGGGCTCAAAAGATCTGCCCACCTCGGCCTCCCAAAGTGTTGAGATTACAGTATGAGCCACCGCACCCAGCCTGCTCGCTCCGTTTCTTAAGTGTGTTATAGAGGATGAGTCTAGCCTCATCCTGCTCATTCTGTTTCTTAAGTGTATTGTAGAGGATGAGTCTAGGTAGGCAAGTCAAAGTTTAGGTATCATGAGCCACTGAAGCCTGACTTCCCCCACTGTGTGGCCTCACTCAGGCCACTTGAGCTCTCAGTTTCCACCTCTACACAATTAGCAGGTAGAACTAGTAGATTTCTAATCCAGCTTAAGACTTCCTGGTTCTGCCCTCAGAAAATTTCTATTTATTTCTTCAGGCTGGTTTCTTCTACCTGCCGGCCTTGCAAAAGATCATCTCGTGACCACCTAGCAGAATAACATCATGTGAGAAAAATACTTTGTGTTCACAAATAAAAGAGGATATTTAAGGGAAAAATCTAAATTTCTGCCCTTGTGAGTTTTCTTTTTTTTAATTGCAGTAAAGTATACATACCATAAAAGTTATCATTTTAATCATTTTAAGTACACAGTTCAGTGGCATTAAGTATATCCAGATTATCATAGAACCAACACTATCATCCATCTCCAGAAATTTTTCTTCATCCCAAACACAAACTCTGCATCCATTAAACACTAACTCCCCATTCCCCCTCCCCCAGTCCTAACACCATCATCTACTTCCCATTCCTATGAATTCGACACTCTCAGGATCTGATATAAATGGAATCATAGAGTATTTTTCTTTTTATAACTGGCTTATTGCTCTTAGCATAATGTCTTCAAGGTTCAACTATGTTGTAACCTGTGTCTGAATTTCCTTCCTTTTTGAGGCCGAATCATATTCTCTTTTGTGGACACATAGTGTTCTGTTTATCCATCCATTCACCCATTGATAGACCCCTGAGCTGCTTCCGCCTTCTGGCTACTTTGAACAGAGCTGCTATGAACATGAGTGTGCAAATATCTGTTTGAGTTCCTGCTTTCAGTTCTCTTGGGTAAGTACTCAGAAGTCAGATTGCTGGATCATATGGTAATTCTATGTTTAATTTTTTAAGGAATTGCCATACCGTTTCCCACAGCAGCTAGACCAGTTTACATTCCTATCAATGATATATGAGGGCTCCCATTTCTTAATATTCTCACCAAAACTTGTTATTTTCTGTTTGCTTGATTTTTAGAGACAGCATCTCCCTCTGTCACCCAGGCTGGAGTACAGTGGTGTGATCATAGCTCACTGCAGCCTCGAACTCCTGGACTTAAGTAATCCTCCTACTTCAGCCTCCCAAGTAGGTGGAACTATAGGCACACACCACCATGCTCAGCTGATTTTTAATTTTTTTGTAGAGACAGGGCCTCGCTATGTTGCTCATGCTGGTCTCGAACTCCTGGCCACAAGCCATCCTCCTGCTTTAGCTTCCCAAAGTGCTGGGATTACAACTGTGAGCCACTGCATCCAGCGTCTGTTTTTTTGATTATGAACATCCCAATGTATATGAAGTGAGTTTTTTCTTTTTAAATTCTGTGATATTTCTACATTTCTAGAGACATGAGCAAAGCTGGGAAGTTAAGGTCAGGAAAGCCATGGCTCTCTGGAGTCCCAGCTGCCCATTGGAGAGGCTCACCTTGCATCCACTTGAGACTTTAGACTGGTTGTAGCTTCCAGTTTTCATCTTTGCTAGAACAACCTTCTTAGTCATTGTGTGAGCCATGGCAGCCGTTCATGCAGTAGATTCCGGATAAAAGATAGATGCTCTATTCTCAGAAAATGAATTTGAAAATCAAATTCATTTATGTTTATATTTCAGTAGAACCAATGGTATCAACCCCTCTGTTTCGGAGGCTCATGCTGGCCTTAATCCTCCTGCAAGGGTATATGATTTGCACAACCCATTCCTTTCTACATTCATTTCAAATTTAAATGAATATGCTGAATGCCTACTTTGAGCCAAGCACTATGCTAGATGCTGCTGTATATATTACCTCAAGGAATTCTTGCATTAAAGGATGGTTATTCTCATCTATACGAGAGGAGAATGAGATTCAAGTTTGCTGTTTCTCAGAATATGAGCGCCTACATCAGAATTCTTTGGGAAGTGTGTATTACAAATCGGGCACCAGGACCCCCTCAGATTTTCACAGGTGCCCCAGTAACTCTTGTGCACTTGGAAGTGTGAGAACTATGGCTCAACTGTTAAGTGGGGGCTGGACTGAAGCCCCGGTCCTTTCCTGAGCCTCTTCCCCTGAGGTGGGGTGCTGCTAGCAGCGCTTGATGGGATAAGGGGTTGTTGACAGATGCTCAGAAAAGCAGTCGCTCTGCAAGGGCAGGAGAGGACACCGTTGAGATGCTGCCACAGAGAAAACTGCATGGCGAGGGGGCTGGGATCAGAGCCGGGCAATCTGAGGGTGGTGGGGACATTGTAACTGCTGCTGCAGCCACAAAGTTTCATGGAAGAGCATTGATGGGTGGAGCTTGGGAGGGTGTTGGGGTGAGAGTTCAAGTAGGCAGTCTTGTTGCACTGTCAGCGGACCGTGGTGTCCCAGCCTGTACAGGTCCCTCTGGAGAGAAAGCTTCTCTTCCACAGGTTGTAACTTACCCTTCCTGGGCGAATGTTTGCGGATTTGTTTTCTTAATTCAGTGCCTCCCTAATACATAACACTCGGGGTACTTGTAGTGTGCACATGCCCTGCTGCTCAGTCAGGTAGATTTTTATAGGTTTCTGGGAAGGGTTAGACCCAAATAGGCTGGGCAATCCCCTGCCTAGCAACCCACACTCATGTACTAGGTGTAGCCCCTGAGTGCTGCATGCAGTTCTATGATTGGGTCTGAAAACAGGCCTGCAATTGATGATGGTGCCAGAGGGAGCTGGAATATCAATCATGTTCATTAACAGGAAGTTGGGATCCTAATTTTTAAAATACTCTTTATGGCGATAAAACATATATAACATAAAATTTACCATTTTGACCATTTTTAAGTGCACAGTTCAACGGCATTAAGAACATTTACGTTGTCATGTGACCATCACCACTAGCCATTTCTAGAATTTCTTCATCATCCCAAACTGAAACTTTGTGCTCATTAAACAATAGTTCCTATTCCTTTCTCCCGCTACCCACTGGTAACCACCATTCTACTGGCTGTCTCTATGTATCTGACTACTTGATGGACCTCCTGTAAGTGAAATCAAATAATAGTTGTCCTTTGGTGTCTGGCTTAATTCATTTAATATAAAGTCTTCAAAGTTCATCTATGTCATAGCATGTGTCACAATTTCATTCCTTCCTGAGGCTGAACAATATTCTGTTGCATGGCTAAATCACATTTTGTTTATCCATGTATCTATCAATGGGCATTTGGGTTGTTCCTACCTTTTGATTATTGTGAATAATGCTGCTATGAACATTGGTTTGCAAGTATCTGTTTGAGTTTTTGCTCTCTTTCTTTTTTTAAAAATTACTTATTTATTTATTACTATTTTTGAGATAGGGTCTCACTCTGTTGCCCAGGCTGGAGTGCAGTGGTAGGATCATAGCTCACTGTAGCCTTGAACTCCTGGGCTCAAATGACCCTCCCGCCTCAGCCTCCCAAGTAGCGGGGACTACAGGTGCATGCCACCATTCCAGGCTCCTGCTTTCAATTCTTCTTCTTCTTCTTCTTTTTTTTTTTGAAATGGAGTCTTGCTCTGTCTCCCAGGCTCATCCCAACTCAGGAATCACAGAAGCAGATTTTGAGTAATGAGCAGGATGTTGATTTGTGGAGAATAAGGGAAAAAGGAACTCCACATAGAAGAAATAGCAAAGCAAAGGGAAAGAGTCATAAAAGTGAATAGCACTGCCAGTAACCACAAGAAAGATGGTGTGGCCAGTGTAGGATTCACTGGTCAACATCATGAGAAAACCAACAAGGTGGTTTGGGACTAGGTCATGGAAAGTTTTGAACATGAAGCTAAGAAAATCTTAATATTTTAAATTAATAACCTGCACCTTTTATTTCCAAATTATATAGGAAAGTAGGGGATTTACTTATATTTAAACACAATTTAGCAACTGTAGAGTACATTGTCATTAAAGTTTAAGCCTGATGCTTTTTACTTGGGTAAAAATGATATTTAAATGACAGTAAGAAATTTTTAAAAACCTTTCTTATGTATTCATCTATCCATTGTGAGTCTGTGTGTGTGTGTGAGTGTGTGCGTGTGCGTGTGTGTGCGTGCATGTGTGTGCGTGTGTGTGGTGTGTGTGCAGTGTGTGTGTGTGTGGTGGACATGTGTGCAATTCCTGTGTGTGTGGGTGGGGACGGGGCATGTGTGCAATGTCTTTGTGTGTGGTATGTGTATGGTGTGTGTGTGTGGTGTGTGGTGTGTGTGTGTGGTGTGTGTATGGTGTGTGTGTGTGGTGTGTGGTGTGTGTGTGTGGTGTGTGTGTGTGGTGTGTGTGTGGTGTCTGTTTGTGTGGTATGTGTGGTGTCTGTGTGTGGTCTGGTGTGGGGTATGTGTCTGATATTTGTGTGTCTGTCTCTGTGAAGGGTATGTGTATGTGATGTGTGTGTGCTGTATGTGGGTTTGGTGTCTGTACATTCCTGTGTGTGGTGTATTGGGTGTGTGAGTGTTTGTGTGTGCGTGTGGCAGCTATGGGAAGGTGTCTCTCAGATCTCCAACTGCAGGGAGTGTGACTGAGCCGGTAGCCCAGATGCTGCGCCCTGAGATGCATTGCTGCATTCGCGCCAAGACCCTGCTTCCTGGACGGAGGGCTGCAGGACACTAAGGCAGCCTTCCCTTGCAGTCTGATGGGCAACCTTGGCTCAAGGATTGGGCAACAGCCTTGTTGAGCTCCTGAGCACTGCAGAGCAGCCTGGAGCTTCCGTCTAAACTTCCTCCCTCCCTTCTCCTTCACTCATGGCCCAGGCTTGCCTTGCAGCCTGATGGCTCTTCCTGTCTCCTCAGCTCCCTCCTCACTGCCTCTCACAGGCCTTTCCCCTAATGAATCTCTGGCACAATCAATCCTGTCATGGCATCTGCTTCTGGGAGGACCCAGAATAACACAGTGGGGACAGGAATGGGTTGAGAAAGCAGGCACGGAGCTGGGATGTGGAACTGGCCCACCCACCCTAGCAGGTGGAGAGGTTGTGTCCTGGCTGGGAGCTGGGTCATTTCGAGTCCCCGGCCTAAGGCTAGCGATTTGACCGTAGTGGCCTGGCAAATGTTCCGGGAGGGGACGATGTGGTGTGTGCCGTGATGCAGGCATTTTAACAATACGGGTGGAAAAATGCCTACAAAAAAAGGCAGAGTGGGCTGGATCTCACTAAGCTGTTTTGATGCACACAGAGGAAGGAGAGACAAGGGTCTGTTTATGCAGGGCCCTGTGACAGCTGACAAAGAGGCCTCCATCTCCTGCAGAGGAAGAACAGACACACAGCTGAGAGGCAGGCTGAGGACCTGATTGTTAGAATCATGGAGCTCCAGAGAGGTTGAAATGCTTGGCCAAGGCAGGTCTGTTACGCAAAGGTCAGGGCCCCTGTGGGGAAAACCTAGGATCCTAAATATGGGACAGGGCTGTGTAGGTCCTGGCTACCAGAATGCCTCTGAAGATCTGGACTGTACACCCTGCTCAATCCCATGGGCTTGTGGAGCTGGCCCACTCCTCCCTAGGAAGGCCTAGCGTTCCCACTAAGCTGGCAGATGCTTGCAGATTCCCCGCACCCACCAAGGCAGCAAGTGCCCCCTGAGGAGCCATGCCTCCTTTCCTCCTGACTTCAGGGATGTGTATTAGCAAAGACTTTCAGTGCTAGAAGAGAAGGTGGAGGAATGGAGTCTGATTGTGAGACCTGCTCCTGCGTTAGACAATGCTGGGAGCAATACTTTGCTACCTGCTCCATTAAATTCTTGCTCTTGGAAGATAACGCTGTGAACCAATTAAAGCAGCTTCTTACAAAAATGAACAGCCTGCTCATAAAGGCTCACTTCAAGACCCTCATCTCAGTGGGGCACAGTGACTCACGCCTGTAGTATCAGCACTTTGGGAGGCTGGGATGGGAGGACTATTTGAGGCCAGGAGTTCAAGACCAGCCTGGACAACATAGTGAGAACCCATCTCTACAAAAATAAAAACTAAAAAATTAGCTGGCTGTGGTGCCACACCTGTAATCCTAGCTACTCAGTAGACAGAGGCAGAAAGATAGCATGAGCCCAGGAGTTCGAGGCTGCAGTGGGCTATGATGGCACCATTGTATTCCAGCCTAGGTGAGAGAGTGAGACTCTGTTTCAAAACAAACCAAAACAAAAGACCCTCACCCTCTTGTGTTCACCTCTTCAAGACTATTATATCTTAATTTTGCCCAATCTCGTTTCTTGCCTTGCAAGACATGCCTTAAAATCATATAATCTGGGCCATAACACCCTCCAACACCCTTTCCTAATTTCTCTGTTTTGAGACACTTCTAAGACTGACACTGTAGTATTGTCCCTTACTGCTGTAGGTCTAATATACTTAGATTTGCTTGATCAACAGATTTTTCTGGTGGTCCCTTTGGACAAGCAATAATTAACACAAAATAGACATGGATCATAGTAATACAGAATAAAGGTAGCATACTAGACATTCTCACTCTAGTGCTGACCTGTTCTCCCTGTGGTGTGTCTGGCCTGAGTCAGTTCTGATTCACCCACTTTCTCAACAGGGAAAATGTAAGACACATTTAAGAAATGCATATCAGTCTGAGACCGGAATCTAATCCTGAAATATATAAATGAATGCTCTTTGCATTTCAAGTTTAAAGAAACGGTTTTTGCCTCACCCGAAGGAAGAAATAATGATTTTTTTCCTCCCGTAAGGGCTCTTGGTTAACTCTACCCTGTTTGTTTTACTTAAAATGTTACATACTTTGCATTTATTCAGTTGATTAAGATTTATCCTGCTTAGTTAATGACTAACTTTTGGCTGGCCTTTCTAGGTTCTGAAATAGTTGTCAGGTCTGTTTGCACGTATTAGAGACATGAAGAATGGTATCTAGTACACCTAGGCTATTTGGGCACTTAGAGGAAAGATCAGATTTTGACAGGAATGCCGCTGTTAACGGATCCAGACTTTGACCCTACTAACAAGAGGCTTCGTTGTTCAAATTGGTCATTTGGGAATTACCGTAATTACTCTGGCAAATGAAGGAAATAAACCTATCAAAAGACTTTATTTGTTGCTGTTATTTATGATTTTAAAATGTATTTCTATGGGTTTTAAAATATGTTCATGCTGGAATAGGCGTTAAAACAGACATAATAACTTTTCCCACATACTGTTCCTGTCTCAAATACAAATTCTGCACAAACATATGCAAATTATGCACAAATTCTACTCCCTGCTCTGTAAATACTCCCTAAAAATTGAGTACAAATCAAGGGTTCACAAATCTGGTTTTTGTTCCCCTTACTTTCCTTTATAATTTCTAGTCTCAGGCCAGGCATGGTGGCTCACGCCTGTAATCCCAGCACTTTGGGAGGCCGAGGCAAGAGGATCACTTTAGGCCAGGAGTTCAAGACCAGCCTGGGCAACATGGCGAAACCCCGTCTCTACCAAAAATACAAAAATTAGCAAGGTGTGGTGGTGTGCACCTGTAATCCCAGCTACTTGGGGGGCTGAGGCATGAGAATTGCTTGAGCCCGGGAGGCAGAGGTTGAAGTGAGCCGAGGTCACGCCATTGCACTCCAGCTTGGGCGACAGAGCGAGACTCTGTCTCAAAAAAAGAAAAAAATGTCTAGTCTTGTCATCATTTCTAATAAGAAACGTGTCCTGAGCATTTGCCATTCATTATCTGCTGACTCCATCCCAGAGAGTCTGTAATGTTGTTACCTGGTCCTAGCCCTCATTGCACATGAGATGGTAATTGTAGTTCAAAAGAGTAGGTGACCAGTGCCAGCTGAGTAGCCGGTCAATAAGGGTCTTAATGCTAATTGCTAACCCTTGAGCTTTGAATATTTGTCTCTTTCCTGCTGACCCAAGGCTTTCTGCCAAGTAGCTAATCAGTAAACATATGCTTAAATATACTCAAGGCGTTCCTATTATTAAAGCACTATTTTGATTGTGCTTTTGATTCCCTGATCAAAATTTTCCATTGACTACTGAGAAAAGTCCAAAGCACTTAAGCTGAAATGTCCAGCTTTCTAAAGTCAGATCTCTATTTACCTTTCCAACCTTATCTTCTGCTATTCTCCGGTGCACTCCAGAAATTCCAATCACAAAGAGCTACTCAGTACTCCCTGCGGTGCTGGCATTGCTCGGCCTAGCCCTCCGTTATCTCTTTCAATATTTCAGCACCATCCTCCCTCCCCTGAGAGGCCCGGTCAGGTGAAGTGTTTAGGAAGAACTAGCCTGCAATAAGGTGAGGACAGGGAAGGGGGTGGATCCTGCGCTTCAGTTGGGATGGGATAATTAACATAAAAATGCATCACTCTTGATCTTTCTCCACTTGTCTCATGCTCCTGTTTTCTTACTTTCAGTTAACATCTTTTTTTTTTTTTTTGAGATTGAGACAGTCTCACTCTGTCACCCAGGCTGGAGTGCAGTGGCACAATCTCAACTCAACCTCTACCTCCCAGTTTCAAGCTATCCTCGTGCCTCAGCCTCCTGAGTAGCTGGGATTACAGGCATGTGCCACCCCGCCCGGCTAATTTTTGTATTTTAAGTAGAGATGGGGTTTGTCCATGTTGGCCAGGGTAGTCTTGAACTCCTGGTCTCAAACTATCTGCCCACCTTGGCCTCCCAATGTGCTAGGATTACAAGTGTGAGCCATCACGCCCAGCCTGGTTAACATCTTTTTATCATGATTTTCACAAGGGTTGTGTAAGCATACCTTCAAAACTGATGGGGTGTGCTCAGGGAGAGTGCCTTCTCCTCTCACCTCCCTCCCTGCAGCACCTCCCTGCTGTGTTCAGCCTGCTGTGTCTCGGCTTATGGGTGGCCCACCGTTCTCAGTCCAAGCTCCTGCCCCCACTGGATTCCCATGGACTTCCTTTGTAACCAGTGGTATGGTAATGAGGTTCTTCACACATACAAATATTCTCTAAATATTTCGGTTCCTCCCTCATCTGTTCTTTGGGAGCTGGGATTCTGCTTTATAATCATCTGTGCCTCTTCATCTTCTAGCACAGGGCTTTGCCTGTGGCACATGGCACTGAATCCATCAAATAAAAACAACCAAAGAGCAAAATATTTTTGCAATCTGAAGAATATATTTACAATGAGAAACATCACTTGTAGCTGCCTGTGGTATATGGCAAACACTGTTGAAACAGAGCCACATATATGGATGGTCAAAATGCTTTCCTGTTTGTCACCCTGTCTGTCTCCATTTTTACCTAAGTTTGGAAGTAGGCAAGTGTCCACTTTGATCCCATTTCATCTGGGCAGTGGTAGAAGTAGCCTATAATTCATGCAGTAGGTTGTTTTGTCTGTATAGTGTCAAATAATTGATATCACTTGTTGTTGTTTTTAATTATTGAGTTGACTTCAGCAAACAGTAGTTTGGGTATCTCAAAACAGCTTGAATCTGACCAAAGAGAAAGAGTTACCGAAAAACAAAGAAATTTCATGTAGTGTATGAGGTTTTATCTTTGAGCAGGGAAGTTCTCAAGATTTCAAGGCAAAAGCACAGAAGAGTAGGTGTAGAAATGTCAGCAGTACCAAATTCTTATCCTCATTCTGACCCTGAAGCTCTTGGGTCTTCATGAGAGAAGTCTTTTCTTTTGTTGAGTCTCTTCTTTGCACAGGCAGTTGCTAGGAGGTCACTTTCTTCTGTCTCCTTTGCCCTCGAAAGGATGTTTTAGGAGGCCATGTCATGATGATCTGGTCCTCCTGAAGAACAGGTCAGGACAACATTAAATGATTTATTTGCTCCCTGAACCTGTGTTTGTTGCCTTCCAAGGCACTGGAAAACCAAAGACTGCCTTTCTGCTGCTCTGAGAAATTATTCTGTCTAGAATACTTGATCACACACCCAAACAGGTGCCAAATGGAAAATAGCATGCCAGATGTCAACCCAAGCAGCAGAAAGTTGGCCAGGACACTGTATCTCTGAATTTAAATGGTCTAAAACTTCACATTTATCCTGAATGGTCTTCTTATGCTGACTCTTTAGAGATCATAGAATCCTAGAGTGCTGAGCAAACAGATATCCTGCAGCTCATTGCATTCATCTTTCAGAAATCCAAACAGGTTAAATGATGTCTCCAGCAATTAATACCCAGTGGCAGATCCAGTTCTAGAAGAAACCTAGGGGAATCCAGGTGTTCTACCTGCAAACTGTGACCAAAAAAGTGATGTCTACTCATAATATACTTTGTGTTATTTCAGAGCCTAGGATGGCGACATTTCATTGCAGAAGCAATGACCCACTCCTAGTCAATTTCAGCAGATAACATGGAGACTTGAACAAGCTAAATCTGTTGCAGAAAAATAGATAGTATTTGTCAAGCACAGAAATGGGGGTGTTGAATATGCACTAAGTCAGACTCCAAATTTTTCACCCCAAACAGTTGGTTGAGAACACTCACATGTTTTATAGTCATGTATCCCAGAACTGTCTGTTACAGCAACACCTTTAGATTCCTCACAGGCCAGGTGTGGAGGCTCATGCCTGTAATCCCAGCACCTTGGGAGGCTGAGACAGGAGGATTGCTCCAGCCCAGGAGTTTGAGACCAACCTGGGTAACATAGCAAGACTCCCTCTCTACAAAAAATTTAAAAATTAGCCAAGCATGGTGGTGTTCACCTGCAGTCTCAGCTACTCAGGAGGTTGAGGTGGGAGGATCACTTGAGCCTGGGAGGTTGAGGCTGCAGTGAAGAGTGATCACACAAACAACAAAAACCACTCCTTGCCTATCTTTAAGAGATTAACTACATGAGCAGGCTTTCATGAGCAGTTGAATTTCTTCCCTGGATTCATTGTGAGCAAGCTCCTTGGAGTTTGGTGAGCCTTTTAACTGTAAACCAAAAAAAATAACTGAGGCAAGTCTCAATCATTTTTAGAGGTTTATTTTGCCAAGGTTGAAGACATGCCCGAGAGAAAAAAAAGGTACAGAAAACCACAGGAAACATCTGTGCTCCGTGATTTTTTCCCAAAGAGGGTCTGGGTACTTCAATATTCAAAGGGAAAAAGAGCAGGCAGTAGGTGAAAGAGGAAGGAGGAAAAGAAAGGGAAAGAGTAGATAAAAGAGGCAAACAGTTGCATTCCTTTGAGTCTTTTGATCAGTGAAGCCACTTTTTTCACGTGAAAGGAGGGAGGAGAGGAATAGTCAATTATGCATTTATCTTGTGCTCAGTTAATCTCCATTTTTACATAAGGTAAAATAAACATAGGAAGTAGAGGAAGCAGTTAGATATGCATTCCTCTCAGTTGAACAGAGGGATGATGGCTTTTAGTTCTTGGTTTTTGTTCTCTTTCTGTAGAAGATTAGCTTCTAATTTATTAATACATTGTAGGGTGAAATTCAACAGAACTGTCTTAGGGTAAAGATATTGGGGCTCACAAGAGATTTCCTTGTGAGGAAATTGTGAGGGAAGAATGTAGCCTTTTATCTTGTAGCTATCTATTTAGGAACAAAGTGGAAGGCAGGTTTGCCTGACCGAGTTCCCAGCTTAATGTTTCCCTTTGGCTTAGCGAGTTTGGGGTCCAGAGATTTTATTTTCCTTTCAGATGCCATAGGAAATGTAACAACTGTAGAAACGAGATTTCAGAGCTGGGCCTCTCAAGACCCATTTGACTACAAGGTCAGAGAGAGAATGCTGGTCCTCATAGGCCTGTCCTGAGTCGGCTCTGGACACCTGGAGGCCACAACTGCAAGAGTGAGGGTGAGGTCAGTGACCAGAAGGAAGGTGTCACTAGGGAAAGAGCATGGAACCCTCAATTCCAACAGTAACCCTCAATTCCAACTGTAACCCTTACCAGCCCTGTTATGAACTGGATGCTTGTGTCCTCTGGAAATTCATATCTTGAAATCCTAATCCCCAACGTGATGATCTTAGGAGGAGGATTTGGGGGTAAGTAGGTCATGAAGGTGGAGCCCTCACAAATGAGATTAACACCCTTGTAAGAAGAGACATGAGAACTTGCTCACTCTCAGCTCTTCACTTGTGAAAATGCAATGAGAAGGCATCAATTGCAAACCCAAAAGTGGCCTGGAAAGCCCAAGATCAAGATGTTGGAATATCTGGGATCTGGTGAGGGCTGCTTCCTGGCCATCCCTGGATGTTATTTCCTTAGGACCCTAGTCTATTAGTGGTACCCCAAGCCCTTCACTCGGGCACCCCAAGTAGCCTTGCCATCACCTGATCCTCAGTAAAACCCCTATCCCCAAAAGTTAGGTGTTAGAAAGGAAAGGTATCTGATTGAACGGGTTCACATTCAATAGCTATTAGCTTCAGAGTCCTCTGGGAAATATGCATGTTTTGAAAAAAAGGTGCTCAATAACCAAGATGAATCTCAAATCAGTTGAATTTCAGACAAGATAAAAAGTTCAAAAGGCAGCATTCAGAGAAGCCATCATGGGCCAGGAGTGATGGTTCACACTTATAATTCTAGGACTTTGGGAGGCCAACATGGGAGGTCTACTTGAGGCCAGGAGTTCAAGACCAGCCTGAGTAACATAAAGAGACCCCATCTCTATAAAAATTTAAAAATTTGGGCACAGTGGCTCACACCTGTAATCCCAGCACTTTGGGAGGCTGAGGCGGGCCCATCACGAGGTCAGGAGATCGAGACCATCCTGGCTAACACGGTGAAACCCCATCTGTACTAAAAATACAAAAAAATTAGCCAGGCGTGGTGGTGGGTGCCTGTAGTCCTAGCTACTCGGGAGGCTGAGTCGGGAGAATGGCCTGAACCGGGGAGGCAGAGCTTGCAGTGAGAGGAGATCTCGCCACTGCACTCCAGCCTGGGTGACAGAGCGAGACTCTGTCTCAAAACAAAACAAAAATTTAAAAATGTAAAAACAATTAGTCAGGCATGATGGTGCACACCTGTGATCCTAGCTGCCCAGGAGACTGAGTCAGGAAGATCACTTGAGCCCAAGAGTTCGAGGCTGCAGTGAGCTATGGTCATGCCATGGCTAGAGCTATGATCACTCCAGCCTGGGCAACAGAGCCAGACCCTATCTCAAAAAAGAAAAAAAAAAAAACCCCTACAAAAACAGAGGAACCATCATGACAGTTTCACTTGCGTCCATGTGAAGAGACCACCAAACAGGTTTTGTGTGAGCAACAAGGCTGTTTATTTCACCTGGGTGCAGGCGGGCTGAGTCCGAAAAGAGAGTCAGCAAAGGGAGATAGGGGTGGGGCCGTTTTATAGGATTTGGATAGGTAAAGGAAAATTACAGTCAAAAGGGGTTGTTCTCTGGCTGGCAGTGATGGGGGTCACAAGCTCAGTGGGGGAGCTTTTGAGCCAGGATGAGCCAGGAGAAGGAATTTCACAAGGTAATGTCATCAGTTAAGGCAGAAACGGGCCACTTTCACTTCTTTTGTGATTCTTCAGTTACTTCAGGCCATCTGGATGTATATGTGCAGGTCACAGGAGATATGATGGCTTAGCTTGGGCTCTGAGGCCTGACAGACAGCAGATCCAGTCCTGCCTCAGAGCCTAAAATATGTCATCAATCAGAATATTCTTGCTTTTCACATAGTCCTCTTTTTCTCATCCTTCTCTGAACACTGCATCACCCACCCCGCTTTGATTGCCAGGGCACAGTAGTTGCGCTCTGGCAGGTATAGTAAGAGGGTGCTTGCTGAGCCCTTTGATGGTAGGGGTCATATGAAATTTCTGGATTTGCGCGTCAGGGATTGTCCAGTCTGTCTTCCTCTGGGCAATCATTCCTCTGGGCAATCATTCTCCATCTTTTGGGAGAGAGATATTCCAAATGATGTAATTGCTTGAGTATGGGTGGTCAAAGTCTCAAACCTCACTTTTTCCATCCTGAGATATAGTGTCTTCAGATTTTGAGGGCAATTAATGTACTTTATATGCATCTATATCCACCACAAGGTCTAGAATTTAGTACAGGCTCAAGTAAGTGGATGAAATACTAAAATCTAATAGATATTACTAGTGCTTCTCTCCACCAGGCACATGAAAGACTACATGTCAAACCTCCCTGCCATTAAATGGGGTCATTTGAGTAGTCCTGGCCAATGGACTACAAGAAGTAATATGTGGCCCTGTTGGTCTGAACTATAGATGTGAGCTGTCTGTGCAGGCTCTTCTGTTGCCTAGGCCACTGGCCACATTACAGACAACAAAGCCTCATTTAGCCTGGGTTCCTGAGTGGCTATGTGGAGCAGACTACTCCCCAATACCTGCTCACCTGTGCTGGAGAAATATCATGAGCAAAAATTATACCTTTGTTGAAGGATTCCAGGTCCTGTTTGTTCTGCAGCATAACCTAGCCTGTTCTGACTAATACAGCCAATGGCCACTTAAAGGTAAAGGCAAAGAGGCTGCATATTTTGTAAAAATCATAAGTGCTCTTGAGGATATTTTGTTGTCTAAACTTTGGTTATTGTGAGACTTCACTCTGTGAGTCACGAAGGATCTAAAGTTTAACAGCCCCTTGGAAGAAAGTTACTCAATCTGCAGAGTCTTCCTGGTGTGAGCTGAAAGGCATGCTGCCCTGCAGTGATCGTGAGTCAGTTCCCTGGCTGCACCACCAGCTAGAAGAAGTCCAGATATCAAGGGGATATGCAGGACACTCTGACAACCGCTTCACGGCATCCTACTCACATCCTTGGAACCACATTCTCGATTGATCTGTGCATAAATGTTTGAAAAGCATTTTATTTCATTTTTTGGTTTTGAAATAAGGAGTTGACGTTTGCAGGAATGAGCACCATATGTGCCTTGTCATTTCTCCTCAGCAGGGCAAGGCCGTCCTACTGCATGATGCCGTCTACTTTAGCAACCTCCTGGGAAACCTTGTTTTTCATCCATGGACAGCATTTGGCCAGAGACCGCAAGCAGAAGGCATAGAGATGGGAAGAGTCCATTTTTTGGCAGTGTCTCCAAATTCACCTCACCAAAAATTCCAATTATTTTTGGTTTCTGCGTTGGCAATGAATTTTGCTAGGATGGGTACCATATGTTCTAGTGTTTCTGAAACCATTCCAGTTTTTACTATTTTACTTGTCTCTGTAATACAGCAAAATGCCCCAGAAATTTCAATATTTTAGTATACAAACTACATCTATCCAACAACTTTTCACTCTAGGAAGCAATACAAAAATTCATTTTGAGAGCCTGTGCCTCAGTGTTTTGTTGAAACTAACGCACTTCACCTTCACATACCACAAACTATATGATGATATGGTTTATTTCTTTCCCAGCAAATTCTGGTCAAAAGGGCAGCGTATCAAGTTACCTTAGTCTGGAGCATCCATTTTAGAATGTGATCTCCCTGGGTCACTTAGTGCTGTAATCTGTTCTTTAACAGAAAAGTATCTGCCCAGTTTACCATTAATTAGCATATTTTAAGAGTTTTATGAGATGAACATTTCAGGCGTGAAATATCACTTCGCCTCTGAGCAGCTGGGTCGGAAGTGTGTGCCACCTCTCATTTCTGCCCAGTGACTGGGTGTGTTCATGGTTTCAGGCTGATGGTCCCGTCCACTCCAGCACAATGCTTAGCCCAGGAAGAGTAGGCCATGGGGCTCAGTGCAGGGTCCAAAGTGCATAGTGAAGACCGACTGCTCATCACCATCCCCTAGGGTTCTGTCCCAAGTGTTGAAGTACTGTCATTAAAGATTCATCCTCAGGTTGAAAGCTTAAGCCCTGCGAAAAGCCAAGTGCCCCAGGGAACCCCTCATATTAAATCATGGACTGTGAACCCCTTGGTTTGAGTGCACTAACGAGCTCCTTCCCAAAGCACATCCTCTAAGAAGGAGCCCTGGAAAGAATGGAGCTGGGCCAAGGCAGGAGGGTTTTCCAGAGAAGAGTGGAGAAGGGCAGATGAGCAGGGCGGTGCAGGGGTGCAGCAGGATAGGACAGGGGCTTCCAGGTGGAGAGTTTGTGGTCCTGAAATGCAAGAGACTAAGGGAAAGGACCTTTGTTGAGCTCTTATTCCATGCCAGCGACTACACAAAATGGTTTCTATGTATTTTTATCTGCTTTGGTTTCCTCTGTCCCCTGGGAAGTTAAGTACATGTTTCCTTTGCAGGTGAAGACTGCACCAGTCAAGGTGGTTAAGTGACTTCCTGTATGGCAGATGCAACTGACAGCAGTAACTTAAGCACACCCTGAGAATGACCCTGTGGTCTAAGAAGAATGTGTGTCTGGGAGTGGCCAACCCAGAGACTCACTCCTTATCTATGAGGGACATCCGAACCCCTGGTCCATTCCTTGGAACACAGGTGTACAGGGGATTGAAGCCTTTGTTTTGGTTTAAACAGAGGTTGATAGATGGAGGGTGGGAAGTGAAAATTGCCATATAAACTGCATGCTTTTTCAAACAATAGCAGTTCTCATGTCTAGCCCCCCGTTCCTGGACTGCCCCGTATGTGGGTCCTCAATCAACAGTCTGGTCTACTAGCTCTGGATCTCTTCTTCAGCCTCTCGGACAGGGCACCATCCCTATTGGAATCAACAGGGGTCCAGCACAACACTTCCCCAGAATCATACAGCTGGGGTGTAATGGAGCCATGATCTGAACCCAAGTCTACTTCTAAAACACTTACTGTCCCACCAACTAAATTGGCCTGGGCCTCTAAGTCAACTCTAATAGAGTTGGGATGAGTTGCTTCTCACTAGACCTATTGCTTCTTTCTAGAACTTCTGTCCCTGAAGGGGCAGAAGGGAAGCATTACCAGGCACCTGGAATTGTGTTGGCCACTATCTTAGTCTGTTCCTGCTGCTATAACAAAATGCCTGAGGCTGGGTCATTTATAAAGAACAGAAACTTACATCTCACAGTTCTGGAGGCTGGAAGTCCAATGTTAAGGCACCAGCTGGTTCAGTATCTGGTGAGGGCTGTTCTCTGCTTCAGGTGGTAAACCTACCACCACGTTGAGGATTAGGTTCCAACACCTGCATTTTGGAGGGAGGGACACAGTCATTCACACCATAGCACCACCTTCACATATCCCATACAATCCTCACATCAACCCAGCAAAGCAAGGACTATTATCCTTATGTTTACTTATTGTATCCATTTTTTTATGCTGCATAACAAATTACCGTAAACTCAATGGCTTAAAACAACACACATTTATTATGTTTCTGTGGGGCAGGTGTCTGGGCACAGCCTAGCTGGGTCCTCAGCAAAACTGCAATCAGGGTCCTGACCAGGGCTGCGTTCTCATCTCGAGACTCCCATGGGTAAGGGTCTCCATCCAAACTCACCAAGGCTGTGGAAAGATGTAGACCTCAGGGTAGCTGGCTTCTTCAAATCTTTCAAACAGACCAAGTCTTATATAACTACATAATCCTGAGAGTCACACTGCATCACGTTGGTCATATTCTGTTGGTTAGGAGCAAGTCACAGGGGTCATGGGGCCACCTTAAAGTCTATGCAATACACATACGCACATGTGCAGAAACTTAACCTCAGCTAGATGCTCATTTCTTTCAGTGCAGTTAGATGTCATGACGGGATGGAGATGGCGTGATGCTGAGGAAACTTTGACTGTGGTGTTCCTTATGTGCATGTCCTTTTCCAAGGCCTGGGGAGGGGCCCGTGGGTGGACCTAAGTTTTGTCCCTGAAGCTTGTGCATATATGCAAAATAACAAACATAAAAACTGCTAGGGCCCCTCCCAGGGCTTACAGGTGACAGGCCTTACAGCTTAGGTTTCTTGGTAAATCTGCCCCCTGTGGACGTGTCATCACTATTATTCGAATTTCTCTGGGGTATCATTTAGTCTATTACAGGATCTGGAAAATAGCAATCATTCAAAAGACTGCACATCCCTAAGTCAGCAGCGGCACTCTCTCAGTGCGACCTCTTCTCCCGCAGTTTGCTTCCCGCACCTCCCCCCTCCTCTGCCACGCTGGCTCTTGGTGCCACCTGGTTGGGAGTGGTGCCGCGGCCTCTGTTTCTCCCACTCCCTCAGCCCTCACCTTTCTGTTTTCTTCTCAAACCAGCTAGGTGTTCACAGAACCAACTCCCAAGCTCATTTTTTCTTAGTGTTGTACCCATCTGGCAAAAACCCCATCCCAGATGAGACAAGAAGTATCATATATGTGTGTCTGTGTGTCCGTGTGTGGGGGTCTGTGTCTGTGTTTCTGTGTGTATGTGTGTTTGTGTGTCTGTGTTTCTGTGTGTCTGTGTCTGTGTGTGTGTGTGTGTGTGTGTGTGTGCATACTTTCTCTCTGCTCCAGGAGAGCCACACCCCAGCGCGCAGGTCCTGCCATGCTCAGGGGGTGTGATATTCCCCCCTCGCTGTGTCTGTGGCCCCCCTCGCCCTCTCACTCTCCAGAGGACCCATCGCGCTGTCCCTCTCCTGGCTCTCAGCTGCCCGCTCCTCCTCCTCCCTCTCAGCCGATGACTGAGCATCCCACTTCACAGAGAAAATAGAAGCTACCAGATGGCTGTGCCTGTCTTTCTCCTACCGTGTCTGCGAGCCCGCTTTCACCCTCCACATCCTTGCCTTCCTCTGGGGAGAAGTGGCTAACTCCACACCAGGCTCACTCTCCACCTGCGCTCTGGGCCTCCCTGCCCCACCCCTGCTGCCTTCTCGGAAATCTCACTGTATGGATTAGCCCTTTTCCCCTTTGAATGATCTATTTTATCTTTATATCTACCCCCTCCCCCCGCAAAGGACTTTCTCATCGGTTTTTAGACATCTGGAAACCAAACCAATCAGAGTCAAAGGAGAGGAAGGGAAATTGACTCTGAGTTGTCCCTCCACACCCCTCACCCCTGCAGCTCCGCCCTGTCTCTTTCCACCTCTACACAGCCAAGTTTCTGGAAACACTTGATAATAGGCACTGTCTTCGTTTTCTCACTTTATATTCATTCTTCAAGGACTCCACTTCTGTGATGCATTGGTTCAGCTTTGTTTAGGTGTCCTGTCATTACTAAATTCCGGAAAGGTTCGTTGTCTCTTTCAGCCTCATCTGACACTGCCAGCCTAACCACTCCCTCTTTCAAACACTGGCCTTCCTTGCCTTCTGAGGAAGATACTGTGGGCTGACTCATTCAGCATTCATTCTATTCCTGCTTTGCATACCTTCCTGGCAGTGGAGAGAAAGCTAAAAATGACATTTTCCATATTCCCTCTCCACTGTTTCCAGTTGAGGTTTCAATTCCACCCATCAGGCGCCCTCTCTGGGACTGTCATTTGAAACTGAGATGCTGGGCAGGGAGGCAGGGCTGGAGGCATCACTTTTTGCTGCTGTGCATCGCAGCAGGGCAGGAAGGTTCTCCAGCCAAGAGCAGGGATGTAGCTTCCAGATCGATGACTCCCTGATGATGGCAGAGGCAGCAGCTCCTCTGACACTTATTCCTGGAAGCTCAGCCTAGCCTCTGTGTCCTTGCTTTTCCCAACAATTCTATGAATTGCTAGTGACTTTAAATACATGTCTTTTATTTAAATTAGCTAGAGTGTATTCTGTTGTCTGAGACAGCATTGATCAAAGCAATGACCGTAACACAGCACTACCTTCCTCTTCTTGAGCCTCATGGCTCCTCCTCCTATTGGTGGCTTTCCGTCTGGCCATGTATTGAAGCAGTCCTCATGGCCCCGTCCTCACCTCCTTCCTTGTCTTCTTGTCTTTTCTCCTACGCTCGACATTCCTATCCATATTCATGCTGCAGTCAGCACTAGATAAAATGATGCAGGGATGCTACGTCCAGCCAAACCACCTTTCTGTAGGCCACTCAATTTGTGGCAATTTGTTAGGGCAGCAATGGAAAACTAATACACTGGTAGAAACTAAGTGTTTAAGAAACCAATGTATTGGTTTTCTATTGCTGCCCTAACAAATTGCCACTAATTTAGTAGTTTAAAACGATATCCATCGTTATCTCACAGTTTTGTAGGTTCAAAGGGTGGGTGCAGTGGGGCTCAGCTGGGTCCTCTGCCTAGAGTCTCACAAAGCTGAAATCAAGCTGTCAGCAGGGGAGCATTCCATTCGAGGCTCTGCGGGTGAATCTCTGCCAAGCTCACTCAGGTTGTTGGTAGCATTTGGTTCTTTGTGGCTGAAGGACTGAGGTCCCTGTTTCTTTACTGGCTGTCAGCCAGGGCCTTTCACAGCTCCTTAAGGCCATCTGCATTCCTTGTCACGTTGCCCTTTCCTTCTTCAAACCACCGATGGTGTATTGAGTCTTTCTCATGCTATGAATCTCTCTGGCTTCACCTTCTGCCTTTTTTTTTTGAAACGGAGTCTTCCCAGGCTGGAGTGCAGTGGCGCAATCTCAGCTCACAGCAAGCTCTGCCTCCTGGGTTCACGCCATTCTCCTGCTTCAGCCTCCCAAGTAGCTGGGACTACAGGTGCCTGCCACCACGCCTGGCTAATTTTTTGTATTTTTAATAGAGACAGGGTTTCACCATGTTGGCCAGGATGGTCTTGATCTCCTGACCTCATGATCTGCCCGCCTCGGCCTCCCAAAGTGCTGGGATTACAGGTGTGAGCCACCACGCCCAGCCTCCTTCTGCCTTTTTTTCTGATTGCAGTTGGAGAAATTTCTTTGCTTTTTTGTGTTTTTGCTTTCTTTTTTTTTGAGACAGAGTTTCACTCTGTCGCCCAGGCTGGAGTGCAGTGGTGCAATCTTGGCTCAGTGAAACCTCTGCCTCCTGGGTTCAAGGGATTCTTGTGCCTTAGCCTCCCAAGTAGCTGGGATTACAGGTGCCCAGCACCACAGTCAGCTAATTTCTGTATTTTTAGTACAGATGGGGTTTTGTCATGTTGGCCAGGCTGGTCTCGAGCTCCTGGCCTCAAGTGATCCTCCCGCCTTAGCCTCCCAAAGTGCTGGGATTACAGGTGTGAGTCATCGTGCCCTGCCTGTTTTTGCTTTCTTAATTCCTTTTTTTTTCTTTTTTTTGCAATTTTTTTATTGAGACAAAAACTCACATAACATAAAATGCATCATTTTAAAGTGTACAATCCCATGGATTTTAGTATATTCACAATGTCGTGCAACCGTCACCATTGTCTAATTCCAAATCATTTCTATCACTGCAAGAGGAAACCATGGAAACCGTAAGCAGTCACTTTTCCCCTCTGCCTGTTCCCTGGCAACCACTCATCTATTTTCCATCTCTTCGAGTTTGCCTATTTTGGACATTTCACTTGAATGGAATCATTCGCTATGTGACCTTCACTCTCTGGCCTCTTTCACTTAGCATAATGTTTTTAAGGTTCATCCCTGTTGCAGCATGAATCAGCACTCCCTTCTTTTTTATAACTGAATAATATTCCATTGTATGGATGTACCACAGTTTGTTGATTCATTCATCGGTTGATGGTTATTTGGGTTGTTTATATTTTTGGCTATTGTGAATAATGTGGCTATGAACATTCATGTGCAGATATTCGTGTGAACATACATTTTCAATTTTTTTGAGTATATATGTAGGAATTGAATTGCTGGGTGCTATGGTAACTTCATGTTCAACTTTTTGAGGAACTGCCAAACTGCTTAAACTGTTTTTAACAGTGGTTGCATCATTTTACATTCTTCCCAGCAATGTATGAGGGTTCCATTTCTCTACATTCTTGCCAACATTTATTATTTTCCTTTAAAAAAAATTACAGTCATCCTAGTGGCATCTCACTGTGGTAGTGAAGTGGTATCTCACTGTGGTTTTAATGTGCCTTTCTCTAGTGAGTAATAACATAAGCATCTTCTCATGTGCTTGCTGACCATTTGTGTAGCTTCTTTGGAGAAATGTCTATTCAAGGCTTTCACCCTATTTTTGAATGGATTTTTGTCTTTCTATTTCTGAGTTGCAAAAGTTCTTTGTATATTCAGGATACATAGTTTCCAGTAAGTGTTGTTCAATAATTCAATAATGAGCTATTATTGTAACCATAATAGGTTTGTTGCCTGATGCGCACAGCAAGTCAATATGCCAAGACATCAGTTTGCAGCAGAGGAAGAGGTTTAATTACAGAGCCACCTACTAAGGAGATGGGAAGGAACCTTAAATCCAACTCCATGAAGAGTTTTGGACTAGGGTTTTTAAGGGTTTGGAGTGGGACAAAATGTGGAGATTATTGATTGGCTGAAGAGTGCAGGGTGAAGTCATGGGACAAGGAGAGGAAGAAGCTGTGTTCTCTTGCTGATTCCATTCCTCCGTGGGGTCTTCACACTGGTTGGTGTCAGCTGTTTCACTGGAATTTGGGCTCTGAGAAACATCTTAAGCAATCCTTAAACGAAGACTTTATGATTCTAATGTCAGTGATCCTGTCTATAGGAACAATGGGGATGCAAATCAATTCCTAGGCAGTCTTAGGACATTAATGTCAGCAATCCTGTCTGTGGGAGCAATGGGGATGCCAGTGGTCAGTACCTAGTGCCGAGTGACTTTCAGCAGCAAGGAAGTGGGCCAGAGTGCAGCCTGATTAATGCTTAATTACAATTATATTTCTGTCTAGAACCCAGCGTGCAATCCTTGTGAACCTGTGAGGACAGTGTCATTATGTTGCAGTTGTTGCTAGTGTCTGGATAGAGACAAAATTCCTTAAGGGTGCCTATGAGACCCTGTGTGGCCTGGTCCCTTCCTCTCCCTCAGACTTCACCTGTCATTGTCCCCCATGCTCTGTGTGCCCCATCTGGGCTCATCTTCTTCCACGCCCTCATACACCCCATGACCTTGGCCTGGATTTTCCTTCTCTTTCCTCTTCTTCACCTGGTAAACTCTCAACACTCTTCAAATCTCAGTTTAAGTGCCACTTCCTCAGGATATCCTCTCTGTGCTCCCTGACTAGGCCAACTGCTTTAGGCACTCATGCACGGTGCGCGGCGCCTCATCACAGCTGCAATTTTACATTCGTTTGTGTAATTATTTAATGTACCAGTGTCTCCCTCGCTAGGCTGGAAACTCACCAAATACCTCTAGCCTCTAGCACAGTGACTGGCATTGAACTAGATTCACAGTAAATACTTGTTGACCAAATGTAAATTCTTGTAGAATCCAAAAGCATTAGGACACTAGATCAATCATTTAGTCTACCCCTGTCTCATGTGGAGATGAATGAAGACCACCCAAATGAGAATGAGCAAAGGCTCTTTAGTCAGAGCTCGCAAGGGAGTCGGCCACCATCACTTGCACTTTGGCAGAGATTCAAAGGCAGGCAGAGATTCAAAGGCAGGCAGAGAGGTGGAAAAGCTTTCTAGTAGAAAAAGGAAGGCTCGGCCAGGCGCAGTGGTTCCCGCCTATAATTCCAACACTTTGGGAGGCTGATACAGGTGGATCACTTGAGGCCAGGAGTTCGAGACCAGCCTGTCCAACATGGCAAAACCCTGTCTCTCCTAAAAGTATAAAAATTAGCTAAGTGTGATGGAGTGTGCCTGTAATCCCAGTTACTTGGGAGGCTGAGACACAAGAATTGCTTGAGGCTGGGAGGCGGAGGTTGCAATGAGCCAAGACTGCGCATTGCACTGCAGCCTAGGCAACATGTAAAAGGATGGCTTCAGATTGGAAGCTGTCATCACGGGGAAGCTGTAAGTGGCTCAGTAGGAGTAGGTCATCCCATGCGATTGGTTAGGGGTGCATATTTTACTTTCTCTGATTGTTCCTAAGTTGGAAGCAGGGACAAAAAGTAGGGAAGCTGCCAGTTAAGTATTAAGTCTTGAACATTTGGGGCCAATTGTTACAGGGTGATTGTCCAGCTTGGGTTGTTTGCTAGACAGAGTGATCCGACTTCCTCTAAGGGTGACTGGTAGATAGTAGGTTGGCTTCCTGAGCTGGTCACTGCAGATTGTGGGTCAGAGTTCTATTTTTATATGTGGTCTGGCTGTTGTCCATTTTTCTGTTCACTCTCTCACTCATATACACAGGAAAGAGGATACAGCAAGGATGTTAACAGACTTGTCCAAGTTCACACAGCTTGCTAAGAATGAGTCTGGGACCTCTGTCTAGTAATGTACACCTTATCCTGCCACCTCTTCCCACTCACCTGAAGGCAATCTGTGCCTAGGATGCAAATGACCAATTTCTGTCCTGCAACCTCTGAACCAAGGACCGAGAGTCTTTTACAGTACCCTTAAAATTGGCCGGGCACCATGGCTCACGCCTGTAATTAACTTTGAGAGGCCGAGGCGGGTAGATCCCTTGAGGTCATGAGTTTGAGACCAGACTAAGCAACATGGTGCAGATTTTGTCTCTACTAAAAATACAAAAATTAGCCAGGCGTGGTGGTGGGCGCTTGTAATCCTAGCTACTTGGGAGGCTGAGACAGGAGAATCCGTTGAACCCGGGAGGCGGAGGTTGCAGTGAGCCGAGTTTGTGCCATTGCACTCCAGCCTGGGTAACAAGAGTGAAACTCCACCTCAAGAAAAAAAAAATTGTGGATAAACTGTAAAATAAGAATCTTAAAGGTTGATAATGTGGTCCTACTCTTACGAAAAGCTTCACATGTTCCCTTGACAAGTGAGTTAGCCTTCCCCTTTCCCTGGTGTGGTGAGAGGGTGCGGCCCACTCATTCCAGTGCCCTGCTTCCCTTTCTTTAAGCATGTGAGACTCAAGCTAGCTGACACGCGGGGCCTGCTGGGCACGTACGCCCCTCTGGAAGGTAATTGTGCCAGACATGGGAATAGAGAACTATAATTTTTAGACCTGGGAAGGATCATTTTTAGCTTCAGGGAATTTCTCAAGGAAGCTCTTGTCTGGAATGTAGGCTGACCGAAAGATGAGTGTATTGGAAATCTGAGTCCCTGTGATTATCATCAGAGTACGAGTATCTCCTCGGTAGCCCCTGTGGCGTAGGCGTCCCCTGTATAAACCACATCACTGGCCCATCCTCGGGCTGTGTTATGGAGCTCAGTGGGGAGCAGTGAAGGCGTCGAGGGAGGAGGCCCTGCAGGACCCTCAAGGGTGTGCCCAGGACACAGCCAGGCCTCTGCTGGCAACATGGCAACATCAACCTGGTCTGGCTTGCACTAAGGCCCAGTGGAGACAAAACACCTCCAGAACTATTAATATTCTCATTTTAAAGTAAATATTCTTTTAAATTTTATTTTAAATTATAATTTAATTTATTATATACAAATATATAAATACAAACATACACAAATATACAATTTTAAAATAAATATTTTAAATAAAAATACTATCAGCTAATCTAAACATATTTAAATGAATTATGCTATCAAAAAGAAGTTTTCTAGCATAAGGAAAGAAGTTAGCAATATTGCAGGAGCGTTGATGTGTAGTTTTAGCCCGAGTAACAAAGAGAACAAAAGATAAAAGAAGCCAAATGCTGCTTTGCATGATAATGGGCCAGACGCTTAGACACGTGGGGGTAGACACTGTTTTTCTTAAACCATCTATTATGGAAAATTTTCAAAAGTGCACATTCTTCAGAATGTTTTAGAGCAAATCCTGTAAATCATGTCTTTTCACCTATAAATATTTCACTGCCTATCTTTTTAACAGATGAATACTTCTAAAAGGTAACAAAAATACCATTGTCACACTAAAAAAAAAATCAACAATAATTTCTTAATACCATCTAAACCTCAGGCAATGTTTATACTCTACAGATTGTCTCAAAACTGTTTTATCAGGGTTAGTTTGTTTGAATCATGCACCAAACAAGATCCATGTGTTGCATTTAGTTAATGTGTCAGTAGGCCCTTTTGAGCCAAGGAAAACGTTTTCTTACATTAGATTGACACCGAGGATGAAACTCAAATACCTCTGAGAGTCAGGCAGTAACTGTAAATGAGTGAAGTTAGTTTTTAAAAAAGTCTTTAATTACAGGCATGCTTTGCCTATTAAACACCTAGGAATACATTTCACTTCCAAAGAAATCTGAGGAAAACATTTTCTTATATTAGGTTGATACCAAGGATGGAAACTCAAATATCTCTGAGAGTCAGACAGTAACTGTAAATGAGTGAAGTGAGTTATAAAAAAATAGTCTAATTACAGGCATGCTTTGCATATTAAACATCTAGGAATACACTTCACTTCCAAACTCCCCATTTCATGTCTTGGTCTATTCTTTTTTCTTTTTCTTTTTTTTTGAGACAGAGTCTTGCTCTGTCACCCAGGCTGGAGTGCAGTGTCACAATCTCGGCTCACTGCAACCAACCCCCCACCCCCCTCCCCCGGGTTCAAGCAATTCTCCTGTCTCAGCCTCCCGAGTAGCTGGGACTACAGATGCATGCCACCATGCCAGGCTAATTTTTAAATTTTTAGTAGAGATGGGGTTTCACCATGTTGGCCAAGCTGGTCTCGAACTCCTGACCTCAGGTGATCCACTGCCTTGACCTCCCAAAGTGCTGGGATTATAGGCGTGAGCCACCGCACCTGGCCTATTTTTGGTTTTGAGTAAGATGAGGATGCAAGAATTATCTTATTTTCCTGATAATGCTGCTGATAGTTAAGAAGCACGAAGATGAGAACTGATCACTTGGGTGGGTGGACCGTCCCTGCTGTGGTGGAGCAGAGGCGTCCTCTTGGAAATATCTGTGCCCACGTCCATGTCTACTACCACAGCCTTCAGAAACGCTGGCCCCACGTGCCCAGGTCTTCTCGGTCTTCCAGAGAAGCTGAAAATCCAGATATTGAGGGGAGGGCTCCTGAATATAAACTCTGACAACTGATTAAAATGAAAAGTGATCTGGAAACGCCCACTTGGCATCTTCCAGCAATGTCTCCTATCAGCGGTCCCCGTGCCTGCTCTAGCAAAGTGGATTTTTCCAGCAGAAGTCCCTGTAGTGGGGAAAAGGTAATATCTTTTCCTTATCCATTGCAAGGCTCATGGCTGAGACTCCTATCATGAAAGACAGATTAACAAGAGAAAAGCATAACAAATGTTTTAATATAAGTTTTACATGACACAGGAGGCTTCCGAAACGAAGACCCAAAGACCCAGGGAAAACTGTTTCTATGGACAATCATGCAAAAGTGTGATTGGAGGACAGGAGGGCAGGGTCTGATGGTGACAAACTGGAGGGAGACCGGCAAGCCATGTTTGTTCTGACTCTTCTTGGCCTCAGAGTACAGGGGAGGCCCCTCTGGAATGAGGGTCTCACGACCTGCTTTCACGTGGAGGTAGGGCCGAGAATTCCTTTATGACCTGATTCAGTGGAGACAGGAGGGAGAAGAAAGTCAGAGTGGCCTTCCTGCTTCTGTGGAAATTCTGTGGCAACAGGTTAATTGCTTAAAATTATGATTATATCCAAAGAAGAAAAAAAGGTTTCTTTCTCTTTGAGGGCTAAACTCTGACCTTTTTCTTTTCTTTCCCAAATTTTTATCCAAGGAGCCTGGAGAGTCACACGCTGTAAACCATGAAGTGTCATTGGAGGGGTTTTTTTTTTTCACCCTATATCATGTGGCCCATTTTCCAACCTGACTCTGGTGTAACATCACATGACAGATAAAGAAGGAAACTGAAGTATTTTAACCCCCAGTGTTTTTTTTTTTTTTGCCATATCTTTCTTTTTTTTTTTTTTTTTTTTTGAGACGGAGTCTCCCTCTGTCGCCCAGGCTGGAGTGCAGTGGCGCGATCTTGACTCACTGCAAGCTCCGCCTCCTGGGTTCACACCATTCTCCTGCCTCAGCCTCCAGAGTATCTGGGACTAAAGGTGCCCGCCACCATGCCCCGTTAATTTTTTGTATTGTTAGTAGAGACGGGGTTTCACCGACTTTGCCATATCTTGAAGTAGTCGTGCAAAGTTGACTCTCGTGGGGAAAAGGTACATTCTGAAGAGAATCCCCTTTCTTTTCCAGGCCTTTTTCCTAATCCAGGAGAGAATCAACTCTGATAAGAAACATTTACAAGCTATTCCCTCTGAAGCCTGCTACTTGGAGACTTCCTCTGCATAATGGGAACCTTGATCTTCCCAACCTCTTACCTTAATCCAAACATTCCTTGTTTTTTTTTTTTTTTTTCTTGAGACGGAGTCTTGCTCTGACACCCAGGCTGGAGTGCAGTGGTGTGATCTTGTCTCACTGCAACCTCCGCCTCTCAGGTTCAAGCAATTCTCCTGCCTCAGCCTCCCAGGTAGCTGGGCTTATAGGTGCACGCCACCACGCCCAGCTATTTTTTCCAGAGGCGGGGTTTCACCATGTTGGCCTGGCTGGTCTTGAACTCCTGACTTCAAGTTATCCGCCCGCCTCATTCTCCCAAAGTGCTGGGATTACAGGCATGAGCCACTGCGCCCAGCCCAGACATTCCTTTCTATTGATTCTAGGTCTTTAAACAATAACTGAACTTTTTCAACCAATTGCCAATCAGAAAATCTCCGAATCTACCTACAACCTGGAAGCCTCTGCTTCAAGTTGTCCCACCTTTCAGACCAAACAAATGTGTATCTCACATGTGTTGATTGATGTCGTATGTCTCCCTAAAATGTATGAAAGTAAGCTGTAGCCAGGCCGTGTTGGGCATATATTCTCAGGATCTCCTGAGGGCTGTGTCATGGGCCATTGGCAACTCATATTTGGCTCAGAATAAATCTCTTCAAAATATATTAGAGCTTGGCTCTTTTCGTCAACATCTTTATACTCTCACAGCACAGTTCCCCCAAAGAAGTTCCACACCCTTGTTTCTTGAGGAGGCTAGTGTGGGGGCCAAGGGAAAACTATTCCTTCACCCTCTATATTAGTCCGTTCTTGCACAGCTCTAAGGAAATACCTGAGACTGGGTAGTTTATGAGAGGTTCAGTGGCTCACAGTTCTGCAGGCTGCATAGGAAGTATAGCAGCTTCTGCTTCTGGGGAGGCCTCAGGATGCTCACAGTCCTGGGGTAAGGCCAAGAGGAAGCAGCTGTCTTATATGATCAGAGCAGGACGAAGAGAGATGGGGGAGATGACACACGCTTTTAAGCAACCAGATCTCACGATAAGTCACTCTCTCACTATCATGAGAATAGCACCGAGGGGATGGTGCTAGCCCATTCCTGAGAACTCCAACCCCAGGATCCAATCACCTCCCACCAGGCCCCACGTCCAAAACTGGGGATTATAATTCAACGTGAGATTTGGTGGGACACAGATCTAAACTGTATCACCCTCTGAAGGGTCACCGAAAAATCAACTGACAAAAGCCAGATTTAGTCTTACAACAATCTCAAAGCAATGGCCAAATGGTTGATGCTTTCACACCATTGTCGACCTAAAGGGAAGAAGCTGAGGCAGAATTAATATAAGTAGAGAGTTTATTGGGGCCAGGCTTGAGGATTCCAACCTGGAAGCATAGATTCAAGTTGACCCGAATATACTCTCTGATGAGCAGCAGTTACAAGTGGATTTTTATTTTATTATATTTTATTTATTTATTTTTGAGATGAAGTCTCACTCTGTTACCCAGGCTGGGGTGCAGTGGTGTGATCTTAGCTCACTGCAACCTCCATCTCCCAGGTTCAAACGATTCTCCTGCCTCGGCCTCCTGAATAGCTGGGATTACAGGCATGCACTACCACTCCCGGCTAATTTTTGTATTTTTTAGTAGAGACGAGGTTTTACCATGTTGGCCAGGCTGGTCTGGAACTCCTGACCTCAGGTAATCTGTCTGCCTTGACCTCCCAAAGTGCTGGGATTACAGGCATGAGCCACCATGCCTGGCCACAGGTGGATTTTTATAGGCAAAAAAAAGGGGAACAGGCAGTGGGCAGATGCAAAGTTGTTGTCAGGAATTCTCATTGATTTACAGAAGTAACACTGATTAGTGATTGGCTATACATGGTTAAGCTATAGGATGTGGGTTTTAGTGTCTGGTACGATGTTATTAGGTTAATTTATAGCTACTTATGGCAGTAGCAAGCAGTTTCAAGAGATGATTACATAGCTCAGGCAGGGAGTAGGGTGTGACTGAGGTCTCATTTTAATGTCTCTCCAGGTGTGATAATTAAAAGGACTTGCATTCCTCAGATGAGTTCTTTTCTTTTCTCACCATCTTGAGGTTACAGAAAGAACAGTGGCTTGGATTGTGGCAAAACAGGTTATGGTGGTAAAACAAGTTTACGTGAGGGAGAGAAAAGGAGGCCTGGCTAATAAAGAGGGTCTTGTTTTGTAGATGAAACCTCACAGGTAGCAGACCCCAGAGAGGATAGATGGTAAATGTTTCTCTCAGGTTTTCAAAGGTGTCAGACTCTCAGTTAATCCTTCCTGGATCTGAACAAGGAAGAAAAAGAGAAAGCCTGGCTGCATAAATGCAGATTTTCTCTACAGATGCAAACCTCACCCACGAAAAACAGCTTTTCAGCTATTCTTGTATTTCTAGCCCTTCTGAATAGCCATATTGAAATATGTCAAAGAAATATATTTTGGGGTGACATAGTTTGGATTCCTTCACTAGGTGATTGTCCCAAAGCCGCACCCTGCTCCAGTCTGCCTCCACGTCCCCATGCTCCCAGGCTGCGCCTGCAGACCGCACCTCTCTCCAGGAGAACACTGTATCCTCCTTCCCCCGTCTTACTCTCTGAAGTCCTTGCCCTTTGTGAAATGAAATGATTCAAACTTAGAGCTGTTGGAACTTTAGATTCTTCTGAGCCTTGAGAGGAATGTGGCTATGTGGCCCGAGTCACGTGGCATGCAGCTGCAACATCTGCCTTTTTCTTCCCTGTAAAACACAAGACCCTCTTAGATCACTGCCCCTCCTCATGGAGTAATACATTAATCTTCCTTGGAATGTAGTGTAAACTAAAAATAAAATCCTAAGTCCCCCACCAACTGAACAGATGCCTTCTTGACAAAGGGGACCCCAGAAAAACCTTAAAAACTGAATTCCCAGCCACAGTGGGAAGGGAGGTTGGACACCTTTTCTTATACCCCCTCCTTCTGGAGTTTAGGCACAATAACTGACCAGTATTAGTGTTAAAATAGAGACCATACAACTGACAGAACAGACTCTGTGGCAATAAGATACCAAATCATAAACAAGACTAAGGCCATGCAAGGCAAGGGTTAAATCATATCTGCAAGCCATGAATCTTGCTAGGTAGCATTCTTATCTTAAAACATTACTTTCTGCTGACTCCAAGTTTTAGACAGAGCCTTACTCCTTCAACCAATTGCAAAATAAAGAATCTCTGAATCTACCTATAACCTGGAAGCCTCCACTTCAAGATATCCCACCTTTTCAGGCCAAACCAATGTGTACCTTCACTGATTTATGTGTTTGCCTGTAATTCCGGCCTCCCTAAAGTGTACAAAACAAAACTGTAACCGGACTTCCTTGGGCGCACTTTCTCAGGACCTCATGAGATTGTGTTTCTCTAAGCCTCAGTCATTCATATAGGCTCAGAATGAAACTCTTTAAAATAATTTAGAGTTTGACTTTTCTGTTAATAGTAGCAATCTGTAACCAAATTGCTGTAACATTGATATAGGAGTTAAGAGGAAATTACTTAGACAGATAGTGAGGTTACTGGAGTCCTCAGTAAGGTTTTCCTTTTTAATGAAAAGTAGCCCCTAAATCCTCTTCTAACAAAGAGCAGCCGGTAAAATTGAGCTGCAGACATAGACAACCAAACTGGAAGCTTGCACGGGTGAATGCTGGCAGGAAAAGCTACTTGGGATTAGGCATGTTCAAAATGGCGGCTCCATCTTCCCTTCGCCCTTTACCAGCCACTTGTACAGTAAGAAGCAGACAAGATGGTGCCAGTCAACTGGAAAGCCCATTTGCAATAATAAGATCAGGGTGGAGTGGCCAGCCTTCCCCATGCGCTGTTTATATATCACATCTGATGGAACCAATCTGTGGGTTCTACGTAAATCAGACACTGCCTCCTCAAGCCTGCCTGTAAAATCTAACGGACTCCCCCACCAGCCAGCCTTTTTCCTCTCAGGAGCCCCTCTCTCTCATTAGAGAGATCTGTTTTCCTTTTGAGAGGTGACAGCGTGCTGGCAGTCCTCAGAGCCCTCGCTTGCTCTCGGCACCTCCCCTGCCTGGGCTCCCACTTTGGTGGCATTTGAGGAGCCCTTCAGCCCCCCACTGCACTGTGGGAGCCCCTTTCTGGGCTGGCCAAGGCCGGAGCCCACTCCCTCAGCTTGCAGGGAGGTGTGGAGGGAGAGGCACGAGCGGGAACCGGGGCTGCGCGCCGCGCTTGTGGGCCAGCTGGAGTTCCGGGTGGGCGTGGGCTTGGTGGGCCCCACACTCGGAGCAGCCGGCCAGCCCTGCTAGCCCCGGGCTATGGGGGACTTAGCACCCTGGCCAGTGGCTGCGGAGGGTGTACTGAGTCCCCCAGCAGTGCCGGCCCACCGGCACTGTGCTTGATTTCTCGCCGGGCCTTAGCTGCCTTCCCGCGGGGCAGGGCTTGGGACCTGCAGCCCGCCATGCCTGAACCTCCCACCACCTCCGTGGGGTCCTGTGCCGCCCGAGCCTCCTCGACGAGCGCCACCCCCGCTCCACGGCGCCCAGTCCCATCGACCACCCAAGGGCTGAGGAATGCAAGTGCAGGGCGCAGGACTGGCAGGCAGCTCCACCTGCAGCCCTGGTGCGGGATCCACTAGGTGAAGCCAGCTGGGCTCCTGAGTCTGGTGGGGACGTGGAGAGTCTTTATATCTAGCTCAGGGATTGTAAATACACCAATCAGCACCCTGTGTTTAGCTCAAGGTTTGTGAGTGCACCAATCGACACTCTGTATCTAGCTGCTCTGGTGGGGCCTTGGAGAACCTTTATGTCTAGCTCAGGGATTGCAAATACACCAATCGGCACTCTGTATCTAACTAATCTGATGGGGACGTGGAGAACCTTTGTATCTAGCTCAGGGATTGTAAACGCACCAATCAGTGCCCTGACAAAACAGGCCTCTCGGCTCTACCAATCAGCAGGATGTGGGTGGGGCCAGATCAGAGAATAAAAGCAGGCTGCCCAAGTCAGCATTGGCAACCTGCTCTGGTCCTCTTCCACTCTGTGGAAGCTTTGTTCTTTCTCTCTTTGCAGTAAATCTTGCTACTGCTCACTCTTTCGGTCCACGCTGCTTTTATGAGCTGTAACACTCACAGCGAAAATCTGCCGCTTCACTTCTGAGCCCAGCGAGACCACGAGCCCACCAGGAGGAACGAACAACTCCAGACGTGCTGCCTTAAGAGCTGTAACACTCACCGCGAAGGTCTGCAGCTTCACTCCTGAGCCAGAGAGACCACGAACCCACCAGAAGGAAGAAACTCTGAACACCAGAAGGGACAGACTCCAGACACGCCACCTTAAGAGCTGTAACACTCACCGCGAGGGTCCACGGCTTCATTCTTGAAGTCAGTGAGACCAAGAACCCACCAATTCCGGGCACACTTTCTCTTTCTTTCTTTTGCCTATTAAACCTGTGCTCCTAAACTCCTCATCTGTGTTCATGTTCTAAATTTTCTTGGCACGAGATGACGAACTGGGGTATTTATCCCAGACAATGCGGCCGCTTCAACATGTGCACTGGTCTGCTATGGAAAATGTTGTAATCCTGCTAAAACTTCTCTGTCTCTGCCTACACAAGTGAAACCTGAACTTTTCCATTTTGGAAACATAACACCGCCTCTTTCGGAGTTGATGTCTCCTAGGTGGCCATCTTCCACTTTTGGGCTTGAATAAACACCATACTTAATCACATTTTCTGAACCTCATTATTTAAAGTTGACACTTTAAAGCCTTATCTTTCATCCAGCATTCACCTCTCCCATCTTTGTTTTCTTTTTTATTTTATTTGTTTATTATTTTTACCTCATCCTGGACTCCAAAGGCAACCCCTCCCATCTTTGAAGCCACCTTTGCAAAGATTATGACTCACAGAAGCCTGGCATGGCTGACTCCATCTTGCTGCTGGCCTCACAGGCTGGCTGTCTTCGCTCATTCCTGGACATAGGCCAAAGTAATCAGAGTAATTTAGTTTATAGTCTAACTTTGAAGCAAGGATGTTAATAGCTTCTCCCTAAAACTAACTTGCTCTTTGTTCAGGGACTGAAACCACTTTTGTAAAACTAATGAAAGGCCACAGGATTAAGATTATGGGAGCAGCCTGAATTCTGCTGAAGTGTAAGCATAGTTTCTATAATCCCTTACTGTTCAGGAGTCATGTGGCCAGGGGTCATAAGATCTGTGACTTCCCCAATTGCTCCTATAGATAACATCACTATTGTGGAACCTAAGAATGGTCTTTTGAGATGTTTTTCAGATTGACCCCACCTGGACCCAGGACTCATGATTCAGCCGGTTCTGTGGCCTCCTACCCAGAGGTGGATTCAGCACCCAAAGACTGTTTTGCACATCTCTATTATTACTGGTGGAGGGTGTCCAGGTTCTTGGCATCTTGAACAAAGAATTGGACAAAACACACAAACAAAGCAAGGAAAGAATGAAGCAACAAAAGCAGAGATTTATTGAAAATGAAAAATACACTCCACAGGGTGGGAGCGGGCCTGAGCATAGGAGCTCAAGAGCCTGGTTACGGAATTTTCTTGGGTTTAAATACCTTCTAGAGGTTCCTTTTGGTTACTTGGTGTATGCCCTATGTAAATGGAGAGGATATTTCCTGTCATAGCTGAAGTGTTTCCATTTGATTTAGTTCTAGGAAGTCAGCATGAATCAGCCTTGTGTTCCTTGCCTCCAGACCCTATTCTCCTGCCTCACAATGATTGCATCCCCAACCAATCTGCAGCACCCATTCCCTACTCCAATGCTACCAAACTATCCTTGAAAAACTCTAGCTTCTGAATCTGTGGGGAGACTGACTTGAGTTCTCCCATGTGGCTGGCCTCAAGTTAAACTCTTTCTTTGCTGCAATACCATGGACTCAGTGAACTGGCTTTGTCTGTGCAGTAGCAGGAAGAACCTGTTGGGTGACTACATCTTTTTTGTTTGTACTGGTCTTCCACACCAAAGAGAAGTCCCAGTATCCTGGTCTGGTCCATGTCCTGCAAATTCTGATGCCTTGGGTGTTTTAAGGATTTCAAAGGCTTATTTCTTAGCTCAAGAGACTGATGAGATCTATAACCTATTTGTAGTGTTTCTGTCTTTGGTTTCCTTACTTTGTAACAAAGAAATTTCTTTTCTCCAACCTTAGCTACTCAAAGTGTGTCCATCAACTGGTAGTATTGGCTGGCCTGACCTGGGAGCTTGTTACAAACACCAAGACTCAAACTTCATCCTAGACATGAAGATCCCAGGTGATCATATGCACATTGAAGCTTCAGAAAGTCTACTCTGAACAACCAGATGAGGCCAGGGATCGTGGCTCACGCCTGTAATTACAGCACTTTGGGAGGCCAGGGCGGGCAGACCACCCAAGGTCAGGAGTTTGAGACCATCCTGGCCAGCATGGTGAAACCCCATTGCCACAAAAAAACACAAAAGTTATCTGGGCATGGTGGCAGATGCCTGTAATCCCAGCTACTTGGGAGGCTGAGCAGGAGAATCGCTTTAATATGGGAGCTGGAGGTTGCAGTGAGCCAAGATCGTGCCACTGCACTCCAGCCTGGGCAAAAGAATGAGACTCTACTAAGAAAATAAAAATAAAAATAATACTCTGATGTTGAAACTTTTCTTTGAGTTAGTTCTTCATTCTCAAGTGACTTTAAACTGACCTTGATGGAGCAAACATTTAATTCTGACAAGCCTCAGTGTTTTGCCCTGATGTAGTTCGCAGAACACCATTCTGTATGATTCCGGTTCCATGGGATCTATTTTACAGTTCTGTAAATCACTGTAAATCACCCACCCACTCCGCAGTGTAGGATGCAAATCATGTCCCGTCTGCTGGAGGTTCAATTAACTTCCCTCCCACTGTGGGAAAATCAGTTTGCCTCAATTGGCATATCAATTTTCATACAACTGATCCATAAATTTGCTCTTTGGAGTTTCTTTTAAACGGGCTATAGTATTTGTCTGCTTCCCTCATGAGTAAAAGAAAATCTTTATCACGGGTTCATTTTTATATCTGTATGAGAGTCATGAATTTGCCTTTTTTGAAAATTACCATTTAACAGTGATGACTACCTTTCTTCTCTTAGGTTATAGAGCGGTGCCTCTACCTCAACACCACTGATGTTTTGAGACAGATAATTCTTTATGGTGAGGGCTATCCTCTGCATTGCAGGATGTTAGCAGCTTCCCTGGCCTCTACCCACTAGATGCTCCTAGCACTGCCTCCCACCAAATTATTCAGATATTGTTAAATATCCCCTCAAGGGCAAAATTACCCACCCACTCCCCAGGTTAGAACCACTGGTTTATAGTTAATAAACAAGACAACACGTGACACCACTATTGAACTAACAGACAAAATGCAGTTACAGAAATAGCACATTATTTTTTGATATTGAAGGAAATAAAAATATTGTACCCTAAAATACATTTGTTTGACGTATGTTGAGATGGCTGCCAGAGAGCCAGCCTGCAGAAGTAGCCCTGCAAAGCTGTCTTTTGTGGGGAAAATTTGCATCTACAGAGAATCTGCATAGAGGAAGCCAGGCTCTCCCTTGTCAGAATTCAGGAAAGACAAACTTAGAATTTGTCACTTTTAAAGGTCTAAAGAAACATTTAGCATCTATTCTTTCTGAGGGTTTCTACCTATGAGGTTTTATTTACATAACAAGACTCTCTTTGCTAGCCAACTCTCATTCCCCTCCCTCCCATAACTGGATTCATCACCGTAGCCTTATTTTGACCATGCTCTGAGCTCACATAGAAGCTTCTGCACCCCATTGGTGGGTTGGGTAATCACTCAGTGATGCTCCCCATATACACGTTGTTACATTTTGTATGCCTTTCCTCCAATTCATCTGACTTTTGTAAGTTGATTTTTCAGTGAATCTTCAGAAGTTTTCCTTCTGCCCCTATAATATTTTCCTAAAAATAGAGGAATGAGCAAATCTTCTGGGAATATCATGTTTCAGACATTATGAAAGGTCATGAGCAGGGGTAAAAACAAATAATACTGAAATCCAAAACACAAGCCAAGTGATGCCACCTTTTGGCAGAAGTCCTTGGCATAAGGGCAGTTTGGGAGATTGTAGCACCCTCAGGTCCTGAGGAACTGGCTGGGGGAGGCCATTGGTTGCCACATGAAGGTAAGTGTTTGCTTTGGGCTTAAATGGAATGAAAGAGGCTGTATGCCTGAGGTTGGTCCTGTGGGTGATATACCTGAGCTTCCCTGTCTCCAGCCGTTCCTACCCCAGGAGACCCCCCAGGACAATAGGTTGATTTAACGTACATTCATTCATTCATTCACTCATTTGCTCACTCATTCATCAACTGACACTTCACCAGGGACCAGGAGCTGTGTGTCTGAGTGAGGGGAAAAGTGAAATCACCTTTGCGAATATTATGACAGTGACAGATGTCTAGCATGGCTGACTCCATCTTGCTGCTGGCCTCACAGTCTATCCTTGCTCATTCCTGGGTGTGGGTCAGCTAACCATGGGAGAAATTTAGTTTATATTTTAACTTTGAAGTGGGGATGATAATAGCCTCTCTATAAAACTAACTCCCTCCTTGTTCAGGGACTGAAACCATCTTTGTAAAACCAGCAAAAGGCCACAAGATTAGGATTCTGGGAGGGACCTGAATCTGCCAAAATGTAGGCATAGTTTCTTCCTTCCTCCCTCCCTTCCTCCCTCCTTCTCTTTCTCTCTTTTTTCTTTCTTCCCTTTTTTCTTTTTCTTTTTTTTTTTCAGTCTCGCTCTATCACCCAGGCTGGAGTGCAGTGGCATTATCTCTACTCACTGCAACCTTTGCTTCCTGGGTTCAAGTGATTCTTGGGCCTCAGCCGCCAGAGTGGCTGGGATTATAGGCATGTGCCACCACTCCTGGGCCACACTGTGGCTCAAGCTGGAGTGCAGTGGTATGATCTTAGCTCGCTGAAACCTCTGCCTCCTGGTTTCAGCTGATCCTCCCACCTCAGCCTCCAGAGTACCTGGGACTACACACATGGGCCACCATGCCTGGTTAATTTTTCTATTTTCAGTAGAGATGGGTTTTTGCCATGTTGTCCAGGCTGGTCTCGAACTCCTGGGCTCAAGCAATCTGCTCACTTTGGCCTCTCAAATTGCTTGGGATTACAGGGGTGAGCCACCACACCTGGCTTGTAGGCATAGTTTCTATAATCCTAATCCCTTACTGCTCAAGAGTCATGTGGCACTTCCCCAATTGCTCCTGTAGATAACTTCACTATTATAAAACCTAAGATTGGTTTTTTGAGATGTTTTTCAGACTGAGCTCACTGAGACCCATGACTCATGACTCAACTGGTCCTGTGGCCTCATGCAGAAGTGGACTCAGCACATGAGGGCTGTTTTCCACACCCTTATGATTACATCCCCAACCAATCAGCAGCACCCATTCCCTAGTCCCCTGCCCACCAACTATCCTTGAAAAACTTTTCTCTTTGAGCCTTCGGGGAGACTCATTTGAGTGATAACTCCAGTTCTGTCATGTAGCCAGCCTCATGTAAATTAAACTATTTCTTTACTGCAATACCACAGTCTCAGTGAATTGGTTTCATCTGTGCAGCAGCCGGGAAGCACCATCACACGATTACAAAAGGGGTAGAGAGGCAGATATATGTTCCCTCTAGGGAGGATTCAGTCTACTGCTAGAAGAATAGGGATGTGGTCATCACAGCAATGATTATAGCATTTATTGAATGCTCTGTGCTCATTGTGTATGGCCCTTTAATAATGCTCAGCATAATTCTAAGAAATAGGAATGATTGCTCTGCTTTCCACATGAGGAAATTCAGGAGGGCTAAGTAACTTGTCCAAAATCACACAGCTTAGGACACAGTGGGGACTGGAATGCAAGCTGTGCTTGGTCCACTCTGCTAAATAACACTCCTTCCCCCACTCCACCCTATGCTAAGTGCTGTAATAGACACACAATCATTCCACCAGAGCAGAGAGCATGCAGGCTAAGAGAGGAGAGCTTCTTGAAGGAGATGACATTTGAATTGGGCCTTGAAACATGAGTGCTCATTCATCAAACATTTATGAGGCATCTTCATGGGCTCAAGGACCCTGCACTGTGAATTTAAAACTAGGCTGTAGGCCAGGTATGGCGGCTCATGCCTGTAACCCCAGCACTTTGGGAGGCCAATGCAGGTAGATCACCTGAGGTCAGGAGTTTGAGACCAGCCTGGCCAACATGGTGAAACCCCATCTCTACTAAAACTACAAAAATTAGCTGGGTGTGGTGGCATGTGTCTGTAATCCCAGCTACTCAGGAGGCTGAGGCAGGAAATTTGCTTGAACCTGGGAGGCGGAGGTTGCAGTGAGCCGAGATGGTGCCACTGTACTCCAGCCTGGGAAACAGGACGAGACTCTGTCTCAAAAAAGAAAAAAACAAAGAATAAAAAAAAAAATAAAACTAGGCTTTAGCTTTTTCAGATTTTTGCCATTTAAGAGTCTATTTCCTATCCTCTTCCATTTTATGTGTAAGTTGTATAACTCAAAGCTGGTTGTGGTGAGATGGGGTGCTATTGTGAATAATGCTGCAATAAACATTGATGCATAAGTCTTTGTGTAAATCCCTGCTTTCAGTTCTTTGAGTGTATATCCAAGAGTTGAATTTCTAGGTTATATATTAATTCTATGTTTATCTTTTTTTTAGTAACCACCAAACTGCTTTCCTCAGCAGCTGCATTGTTTTGTATTCCCACCAGTAATGCACTTGCGTTCCAATTTCTTTACATCCTGTCCAATATTTATTTTCTATTTTTAAAAATAATAGCCAATCTTATGGGTATGAACTGATATCTCATCATAGTTTTAATTTACATTTCCCTAATGACTAGCGATGTTGAACATCTTTTCATGTGCTTATTGATGTCTATTCAAGTCCTTTGCCTATTTTTTAATGGGGTTGCTTATTTTTTGTTGAGTTATAGGAGTGCTTTATATTTTCTGGATATTAATCCCTTATCAGACAGATGATTTGCAAATATTTTTCCTCATTCTGTGGGGTTTTTTATGCTTTCGATAGTATCCTTTGAACCACAAAAGTTTTAAATTTTGATGTAGTCCTATTTATTTATTTATTTATTTATTGAGAAGGAGTTTCACTCTTGTTGCCCAGGCTGGAGTGCAGTAGTGCGATCTTGGCTCACTGCAACCTCTGCCTCCCAGGTTCAAGTAATTCTCCTGCCTCAACCTCCTGAGTAGCTGGGACTACAGACAGCTGCCACCATGCCCACTAATTTTTTATTTTTTATTTGTATTTTTAGTAGAGACAGGGTTTCACCATGTTGGCTAGGCTGGTCTTGAACTCCTGACCTCAAGTGATCTGCCTGCCTCAGCCTCCCAAAATGCTGGGATTACAGGTGTGAACCACTGCACCCGGCCTATTTATTTTTCATAGACTGTGCTTTTGGTGTCATACCTGTGAAATCATTGCCAAATCTAATGTCATGAAGCTTTTCTCCAGTGTTCTATAGTTTTAGGTCGTACATTTAGACCTTTAATCCATTTTTAGTTAATTTCTGTTTACGTTGCAAGGTCCAAGTTCATTCTTTTGCATATGGATATTGTAGGGGAGGAAAAATGTATTTTTCTCTACCCATCTTAGGTTCTGCAGCTGGGGTCCTGCAAATAAGACTGGACAATGGCAGATTGACAGAGGACCAAACAGAAGTTCATTAACATGTGCATTGCACATGTACACATGGAAGTCCCCAGAGATGAATCACTCAGAAGAGAGGTTAGGTCGTGGGTTCATATATCTTCTTAGGCTAAAACAAAAGGGGCTTTGGGCTTCTGAGTGGGAGAGGCAAGTTATAGAAACAAGACCAGTGAAATTATCATTGTTTAGTAAGGTATGTTATACAGATTTAATTAAGTTGGTGCCATCTCCATTGATTAGAGTAAATGTCCTTTTCTTCCAGGTACAGGGGCTTGGAAATCATCTCTGCAAGTGGAAGTTTCCTTTAAAAAATAAAAGAAAAACTTGCACACTGTTTTTAGAGCTTTTCCTGTGTCTGTGTGTTCTCACTGGCCTTAGCTTGAGACAATCCATCTGCCAAAAAGGCATATTTGTGGTGGCATAGTGCCACACTAAAACCTAGTGCCCTTTAGTGTCCAGCTTTTCCAACACCATTTGTTGAAAACACTGTCCTTTGCCCATTTAATGATCCTGGCACCCTTGTCAAAAATCAATTGACCATATATGCATGGGTTTATTTTTGGGCTATCTATTCTATTCTGTTGGTCTATGTATCTGTCTTCTTGCCAGTACCATACCGTTTTGATTATTGTAGCTTTGTAGTAAGTTTTGAAATTAGGAAGTGTGACTTCTCTAACTTTGTTCTGCTTTTTCAAGATTGTTTTGGCTACTCGGGGTCTCTGAGATTCCATATGAATTTGGGGATGAGTGCCACTGCTGGTTTTAATGATGTAATTCCTAGGGTACTTTCTAGTATTCAAAAGTTCAGCTCTCGTTTGATGCTTTGAGTTCTCTCTACTAAATCATTGTCAGGGCTCAGAAAACGCAACCCCAAACTTCTTTGAACTGAAGATGATGGGGTGGGTCTCAGAAGCAAGAAGGTTACTCTGAACTTCCCCAACCTTTCTGTGTGACAGCTGGACATAAAGAAATTCTCTGATCTATCTTCCCTGGAAGGAGGTCATAAGACCCTTATGTGCAGGTGGCCTGCCCTATACCTGGAGGAAAAGTCAGTGAGGCCAAGAAGCACCTGAACAGACAGGCCTTGCTGAGTTCCCTCCAGTTTAGTACCATTAGGTCATACCTGCTTTTTGTACAATCACATTTCTATATGACTGTCCGTCCTTCATAACATCCAAGCATAAAAATACACTTTTCCCTGGTTCTTTGGGTCTTCCTTTCTGAAGGCTCCCATGTCATGTAAAACTCTGTTAAATAAATTTGTTACCTTTTCTCTTATTAGTCTATACTTTGCTATAGGGGTGTCAGCCATGATCCTTGCAATGGGTGAGGAACAGATCTTAGTTTTTCTCCTCCTCTACATTGTCTAACTAGAAGTAGACTTCTTTGCTTTGATTTCTCATCCTTTTGATTAACAAAGAAATTTTATATACCCCAAAGATTATAGTATACCCTCCTGACAAAGAGTCATTGTCTTCTCTGTATCTCCAGTGCCTAGAAGGGTTTTGTGGATTTTTTTTTTCAATTTAAAAATCAATTTATTTCTATTTACTAACATAAAACAAGCAGAAATTGACAGTTGAAAACATTATTTACAATAGCAACAAAAATATGAAATAGAGATAAATCTGATAACCATTTGAAAAATCGATACACTAAAAACTATAAAACATTAGTGACAGAAATTCTAAATAAATTGAGACATGTTGTGTTCATGGGTCACAAGACTCGCTATTGGTAAGATGTCAATTTTTTCTTTTTTTTGTTTAAGACAGAGTCTCACTCTGTCGCCCAAGCTGGAGTGCAATAGCATGATCCCGGCTCACTGCAACCTCCGCCTCCAGGGTCCAAACAATTCACCTGCCTCAGCCTCCCAAGCAGCCAGGACCACAGGCATGCGCCACCACGCCTGGCCAATTTTTTTCTGTTTTCAGTAGAGACGGCGTTTCACCATATTGGCCAGGCTGGTCTCAAACTCCTGACCTTGAGATCCACCCACCTTGGCCTCCCAAAGTACTGGGATTACAGGTGTGAGCCACCATGCCCGGCCAGTTTTTTCAAACTAATCTCAAGATTCAAGTTAATTCCAATCAAGATCCTAGCCTGTGTTTTTAAAGAAACAAGTAAGTTTAATTTCTATTTTTGAAGAAATATCATAAGTCAATCAGATTATGTTAGTACTCCAAATTTTAATTTTATTCTTCAAAGTTGTTTTGACTGTTCTGGGTTCTGTACATTTCCATATGAAATTCATATGATCTGATTCAAAGATTTACTATAAACTATAGTATTCAAGACAGTTTAGTATTGGCATAAAGATAAACTAATTAATAGAACATAATAAAGTTCAGAAATAGACATACACACATAAGAACAACAGATTTCATCAATGATGCAAAGGCAATTCTGTGGAGAAAGCATAGTCTTTTCAACTAATTATGCTAGAACAACTGGATATCCATATGAAAAAAAGGGAACTCAACTCATACCTCACACAAAAATTAACTCAAACTAATGTTTAACGATCACGACTGCCTCAGGGATAGTGAAGGCATGGAAGAGGAGTGAAGTGAGAGGTAGGAATTAATTACAAAGGAGCTCTAGGAAACTTCTACAAATACATGCACTAACTTCAACATAAGTGAGGTTGCGTTAATATTTACATGTCACAAACATACCATATTGTACCCTTTAAATATGTGTGTTTATACACTTTACATTTTGATAAAACTGTTTAAAAATAGACATTTGGGGTCAGGCATGGTGGCTCATCCCTGCAATCCCAGCACCCTGGGAGGCCGGGGGACACAGACTGCTTGAAGCCCAGGAGTTCAAGACCAGCCTGGACAACATGAAAAAACCCCGCCTCTACGACAAATGAAAATGCAATAATTAGACAGGCATGGTGGCGCATACCCGCAGTCCCAGCCACTCAGGAGGCTGAGGCAGGAGGACAGCTTGAGCCTGGGAGGTTGAGCCTGCCGTGTGCCGCGATTCCACCACTGCACTCCAGCCTGGGCGACAAGAGTGAGACACTGTCTCAATAAAAAAAAATTTAAAAATAAATAAAAATAGAGCTTTTGCAAAAAGGCAAGCATACTATTAAAATGATGCTACTTCTTATTAAAAGTAGATATTTTTAAATGTAAAGAAGATAATAAAAATGATGCTTGTATGGAAACTTTACTTGGTCATCAAACTCCAAGGATTCTGTTTTCAACATACTAAGAATGAATTAATTATACTGATAAAAAAATTTTACTTTATGTTCTAATACTTCTCAGTATTAATGGTTTAAGTAGTCAAAGGTATAAATAAGAGACCTCATTTAAAGATGCCTCTTTTTTGAATTTTTTTAATTTTATTATTATTATACTTTAAGTTTTAGGGTACATGTGCACAATGTGCAGGTTAGTTACATATGTATACATGTGCCATGCTGGTGTGCTGCACCCATGAACTCGTCATTTAGCATTAGGTATATCTCCTAATGCTATCCCTCCCCGCTCCCTCCACCCCACAACAGTCCCCAGAGTGTGATATTCCCCTTCCTGTGTCCATGTGTTCTCATTGTTCAATTCCCACCTATGAGTGAGAACATGCGGTGTTTGGTTTTTTGTCCTTGTGATAGTTTACTGAGAATGATGATTTCCAATTTCATCCATGTCCCTACAAAGGACATGAACTCATCCTTTTTTATGGCTGCATAGTATTCCATGGTGTATATGTGCCACATTTTCTTAATCCAGTCTATCGTTGTTGGACATTTGGGTTGGTTCCAAGTCTTTGCTATTGTGAATAATGCCGCAATAAACATACGTGTGCATGAGTCTTTATAGCAGCATGATTTATAGTCCTTTGGGTATATACCCAGTAATGGGATGGCTGGGTCAAATGGTATTTCTAGTTCTAGATCCCTGAGGAATTGCCACCCTGTCTTCCACAATGGTTGAACTAGTTTACAGTCCCACCAACAGTGTAAAAGTGTTCCTATTTCTCCACATCCTCTCCAGCACCTGTTGTTTCCTGACTTTTTAATGATTGCCATTCTAACTGGTGTGAGATGGTATCTCATTGTGGTTTTGATTTGCATTTCTCTGATGGCCAGGTTTTGTGGATTTTTTAAAAAACCTATTTTGAAAATATTTTTCTGATTTTTAAATAGAAAACTATATTATAATAATGAATAGGCTTTTAAAATGATTCCTCTTTGGTTCTGACTCAGTGATACAGTGATTCTCTGCCCAGATGTAGGCTGGCCAGAGACCGTACCAAGAGGAAAGCTGCCTTGAGGCCTTTCCCTCGGGTCCCAGCAACAGGCAAGGTTGTGCTTCTTGTGAATAGCTGGTTTGCTTTAGCCTCTGGAAGAAATAACTATCTTGCAGTATGGCATTTTTTCCCCCCTGTACCACGTGTGCAGAACTATCTGACATGCATTTACTTGTGTTATTTTCAACACAGCTTTTTTTTTTCTTTTTGAGGCAGTTTCACTGTCATCCAGGCTGGAGTGCTATAGCATGATCTTTGCTCACTGCAGCCTCAAATTCATGAGCTCAAGTGATCTTCCCACCTTAGCCTCCCCAGTACCTGGGACTACAGGCTCATGCCACCACACCCAGCTAAGTTTTTTTTTTGTTTGTTTGTTTAGAGACAGGGTCTTGCTATGTTGCCCAGGCTTGTCTTGAATTTCTGGCCTCAAATGATGCCCCCACCGTGGCCTCCCAAAGTGTTAGGATTACAGATGTGAACCACCATACCCAGCCCTCACTGTAGTTTTATTCTTTTCTTACGTATTGCTTTTCTGACATCAACTCTCTCAAATATTTATTTATCTTTAAATATTACATTTTTTTTTAGTAAGCTGACTCAAACCTTTATGGGCCACAGTGTTGGGGCTCAGAAAACAATACCCTAAAATATGGTGCTTTGGCATGGTGAACCAAGGTCTCTCTCTGAGCTTCCTCTGCCCACCTGTCTCCTGATCTTTCTTTACCAAAGCACTAGGAGGGGCTTTCTCTGAAGTTCCCTTCAAAGAACTTCTGATTAAGGGAAGTTCTTCCAGAAGAAAGGCAACGATCTTAAAACTCCTTCTCTAGAAATCACATCAAATATCCAGAAACAATTAACCACCAGAGAGAAGACTTAAAGTCATAACCATGCCCAGACAGACTTTTCATCTATTCTTCTGAGGACAGCTTTGAGAGATTACCTGGAGACTTTAGCTGCATAATGAGACAACCTTTGTTCCATGGTAGTTCTGCCCCATACCTTCCTGTAATTCACCACCACCTCCCACAACGCTCAGAAAAACTCTGTCCCAGGCCAATTGTAGGCCAATTGTCTATTATTGGGGCTCATTTATTTCCCCTAAAAATCATTTACTACCCCTCTAAATTGCCTACACCCCTGTCTCTCTCTCCCCTGTGAAGACGTGCCACTTAAGCCTCAGTCACCTGGGCCTTCTTTGAGTCTCATATTTTTTATGATTCTGTGCTTATTCACATGAATAAATTTCTATGCCTTTTCTCCTGTTAATCTGTCTACTGTCAGTTCATTTCAGCACCAAACTTCAGAAGGTGGAAACAAAGTTTTTCCTTTGCTGTTAAAATAGTTTATATGAATAGATTCTAAAACATACATTGAGTTGTCATCACTGTTGAAACTTGGTCTCACTTCTGCCCTCTAGGGCCACATCAAACCTGTTCAATCCTGTGTTGATTTGAAAGCTGGCTATATGTTAACCCTAAGCTTTTCCTGGGTGATTCCTGGTGAGTAAAAAAAAATTATTATTATTATTTTTGAGACTGGGTCTCACTCCGTTGCCCAGGCTGGGATACAGTGGCATGATCTTGGCTCACTGCAACCTTCACCTCTCAGGTTCAAGCAGTTCTCCTGCTTCAGTCTCCCTGTAGCAGGACAAGCCACAGACAAAACCCCTCAGACGCTGAGTTAAAGAAGGAAGGGCTTTATTCAGCTGGGAGCTTCGGCAAGACTCACGTCTCCAACAACCAAGCTCCCTGAGTGAGAAATTCCTGTCCCTTTTAAGAGCTCACAACTCTAAGGGGGTCTGCGTGAGAGGGCCATGATCGATTGAGCAAGCAGGGGGTATGTGACTGGGGGCTGCATGCACCAGTAATTAGAATGGAACAGAACAGGACAGGGATTTTCACAGTGCTTTTCTATACAATGTCTGTAATCTATAGATAACATAACCAATTAGGTCAGGGGTCTATCTTTAACTACCAGGCCCAGGGTGTGGCGCTGGGCTGTCTGCTTGTGGATTTCATTTCTGCCTTTTAGTTTTTACTTCTTCTTTCTTTGGAGGGAGAAATTGGGCATAAGACAATATGAGGGGTGGTCTCCTCCCTTATTCCCCCCCTTTGAGACTCTCACTCAATAGTGGGAGTTCTCAATTTCATTCTCACTGCCTATGTCTTCTTGCAAGACAGATCTATAATGATTCATATAGTACACTTGTGCTGAAGCATTTTGGTGAACTAAGGTAGCGATGAAGCTTCTTATCATTTGAAGAAGTACAGGTAGCAAACAAGGGAGCAGTAAGCAGGTTTCTATTACCATTATAACTCCTATTATAAGAGTTTTAAATCTTTTTAGCGCTGGGAACCATTTTCCAAACATGGCCCCAGGATCAAATCCGTGCCACACTTGCACGGGCACATGTGCCAGTTTTGTCATATTTCTAACTGTGTCTTCAACTACTTGCCCTTGATCATCTATGTGTAGACAGCCATTAGTAAGGTTAAATTTTCTACAGACCTCTCCTTCAGCTGCTAGCAAGTAGTCGAGAGCCAATCTATTTTGATAGATAGCATTTCTCATCTGAGTTTCTTGCTAGGCCAGAATAGTCAAGGCTCTGCTGGTCTTACTAGTGATTATTTCTAAGACAGCTTGTAACCATATGATTCAGTTAAGCACGTAAATGGGGGTCTGGTATCCCCATGAGCCATCTTGTGCCCAAGTACCAGGCCTATAATATTGTATGATTCTCTCGGGGGCCATTCATCATCTTTTTAATTTTTTATAGCTACGCTTCTCTTTTTGCGGGAAGCACAGACAGGGAAGCTCAGGAGTTCGCCTGTCTTTATGGGCAGTAGGAAGAAAGATGGTTTAATAGTGCCAATAACACAACTACCTGCCCACTGGTCAGGTAATTTGGTGTAAGCTCTATGCCCACATATCCAGTATAATCCAGTGGGGGCTGTCCAGTCCCAGTGGGACTCCAGGTGGGTTCACACGGTTTGCAACTTCAAGAATTTACTAAACGGATTTTTCTCAGTGTGGTTTGAACTCCGCTAGGTGGCTATTTTTGTAGTATTATTATACAGTTTTTGCCCAAGGCAACTGAGTCTTCCCACAGGAAGGGTGAAGTCCTTCCCTACTCTTGCTATACAATATTGTCTAATGATTGAGGCTTTTAGGACCTAGAAGTTATCAGGGTGACTCTTTTGAGCCAGGAATTCATCAGGAACTGGGTCTGTAGGTACTAATTCTTGGGCTTCCCATGGCCATTGATCTCCTATTACAGTTCTTCTATGCACATAACATGAAGTGACATTGAGAGACTGGGTTACGTGCTCAGCTAATTGCAAAAACAAATGTCTTGTTTTTCCTGGAATTTCTGGTACTGGCACGTTCAGTTTATCATAGAAGGTTTGAAATACTGGCTCAGGAGAGCATTTATAAACTTCTCCTCAAACCACAATATTTACTCGAGGATCTAGTCTAGCCCTTTTGATTCCTAGGGTTACATGCTCCCCTTTTTTCCAGCGAGGATCAAGGGGGTTGGTTATTACAAGTTCTAAGGGGTTACACTGACCACTGGTACAGGAAGGGCCACTTCTTCTTTTCTGAAGGTGGACAGGATCTTTTTATTTTTTTTCCAAGTAGCCTAAGTGACACAAGACCAGTATCCACATTCATTTCCACACAGTCCTAATTCATGACAAATGTACTTATTTTCTGCCATATAGCCTCTTTCCTAATTAAGAGAACCACATTCTATTTGTAATTTATTACTGTTAATGACAGCACAGGCATCAAACTTCAAGGTGACTTGTTTGGGCACCCTTTTTTCTTTTGTTTTGGCTAACACTTTACTTGTATCATTTATGAGCCCCCACTAGTCCTCAGTCCTTAATCTTATTTCAAAAACTGTGGTCATGGGAGGCTCAGATGGGTCATAACACACATCAGGTTGGTCATTTCCTGGGCTACATACCTTGCATAGAATAGCATTATACAAACAAGTTTTTTTTTTAAAGAGTCCCAGTACACTTACAATAATCATAAAATAATAGGACTGTAGCAACTTTTTGTCCTACCTCTGTGACTTGATGCATACACTGGGAACAGTCCTCAGTCTTAGGAAAGTCAGTTAAAGTCCTTACTGTACAAGTCTAAATTTTAAGGAAAATGAGTCCCACGATGAGTTTTCTCATGCTTCGGCCGTGTGTGGACCAGTCAGCTTCCAAGCGTGACTGGAGCAGAGCTTGTTGTCTTCTTCAGAGTCACTTTGCAGGGGCTGGCGCAGCTACTCCCATCCACGTACTGCTCACAGTCTACTGATGTTCAAGGATGGTTTCAGAGGTTGGCCTGCTAGAATAAACTGAGTCCAACACTTCTACACAGTTATGTTCAACTGGGCTCTCTGATACCGGGAGCAAGGTGGTAGGGTTTAGGGTGTTGCAAACTTCAGTGGTTATGCGGGGATTTTCACATAGCAAGCTTTGGTACTTGGTTAATCTAGCATTTGTTAACCAATGATGCCCTTTGGTAGTCATTAAAGTTACCACAGCATGGGGGGCCTTTATATTCAGGTTTTGCCCAAGGGTTAGTTTATCTGCTTCTTGTGCTAACAGGGCCATTGTTGCCAGGGCCCTTAGACATGGGGGCCAGCCTTGGGAAACACTGTCTAGTTGTTTTCAGAGATAGACCACTGGCCTTGGCCAGGGACCTACAGTCTGGGTTAAAACTCCAACTGCCATTTTTTCTCTTTCTGACACACAGGGTGTAAGGGGTTTTGTCAGGTCGGGTATCCCCAGGGCTGGGGCCAACATGAGTTTTTCTTTTAACTCATGAAAAGCTCGTTGCTGTTGGTTGTAATAGATGTAGTTCATCTACTTTACATTTTTGTTAACTGTCACCCACCAAAATATTGACTCAAATCTTGCAGCTATTTGATTTCAAGCTTTAAATTGATCTGGTATTCCCCGTGGGACTCCAATTACGTCTAAATGGACGTATAGTCGAAAGACCTATAAGGGGCTTCTCTCTCTTTCCAATGTCTTATTTTCCCTCCCTCTGGTTGATGAAATGCCAGGGTGAAAGGGATAGCCAATTGGACTAAAGTACAAGTGCCACTCCAGTTATTCAGCAGAGTGCCCAGTAAAGGTCCACCACAATACGACCTCACATCCGCTAGGGAATAAACAAGGGCTGACTGATTGATAAGCTCTTGAAAATTTTTAAGCTGACTGCATCCTTTCAGGGCTCCAAGAAATGCAAAGTTTCCTCCCTGTCATGACCCGCAGGGTGCCTGACTTTGGGATATAGCAGAGATAGCTTGGCACGACTTATTACTCCAGGCTGTAGAATCCTGGAAAAGAGCTACCATGCAGCCCACACCTGGTAGACTGGAGGACCACCTTAGTGGAAAGGGGACAATCTGGGCCTCTGGCCTGCCATGTGCACAAGCATAACAACTGCTTTTGTTTAACGTGCGGATGGCATATTTGATCCATTCCAACCAGGCGTTTGCATCTTGGTATGCTGTCTTAATTGCCAAAGTTTGTTTTAAGTTTTTAACTTCTATGATCCTCTAGTAAAATGAATGTATGTTTGGGAAATTACAGAAACTGGTTGGGGCAGTCCATCCTTGCTCTTTAGCAGTCCACAGAATGTTGGACCAACTATGGCATAAAAGCTCTACATTGGGCAACAAGACTCCTGGTTGACACTGGAGTCTTTATCAAAATTTCCCTGGATTAAATGGTCCTAATTTACTAATGCCCAGTCTGAGGAGAGTCAGGAGGGACAGAGGTACTTTTCTGAAGTAGAGAGCTGTCTTCGACTTGGCAGGTCCCCACAGGGTATAACAAGGCAAGTATTAAATGCAATAGTTTGAGGCGAAATTGACTTGGTTATGTTAATAACCAGATGGTCAGCAATAGAGCGAGGAAAGAAGAAAGAGTAATAGAATAGGTGAAAGAGAGAGATTTTTCTTAGCTTTAGTTTGGTAGGGTTTTCCCCTGGGACTGTGGCCCATGACTCTGGAGGGGGTGGCGCTTTGACTTAAGTGTGGTGAGTCCATCCTTTTTCCACTGTATGAACAGCAGTCTTGGTGGTTAGCAGCACAAGGTAGGGTCCTTCCTAGGCTGGCATGAGTTTTTCTTCTTTCCACCCTCTGATTAGAAGGTGATCTTCAGGCTGGTGCTGGTTTACTGGAAATTCTAGGGGTGGTACCTGTGCAAAAAGACTTTCAGTTTTGAGGGAAAGGAAAGTGGAAGATACACCAAGTATACAATTTCTAAGAAACTGACTTTTTGTTTTAAATGTGGGGACATCAACAGTGGACTTTATAGTCTTTGGTGCCTTCTTACTGAGAAATTTCCTTTAGCACCTATTTTTATTTGTTTTTAGACCAAAGAAAGCCAAACACCATTTTATATTTAATAATGCTTCTTGTATGACTTTTATACCAGATAAGCTAAATTTCATCTTTATATTAGTGTGCTATTAATGTTAAACTTAGTTTTAATAAAATTTTGTATACATATTTATTCAATATTTAATGTCAAACCATAAGGTAAGATTTTTATAGACTCTTTTTCACCTTTTATAATCTTTGTTAAAGAGCAGGTTAGTGCTTTAAGAAAAACCCATTGTGTTTTTACTTTAATGTCCAGTTCACATAAAAACTGATGATAGCTCTTTAACTTTAGCTAATAATAACACAGAATTCTTTTATAATTAACGTTTTAAAACTTGCTTAAACTTTCAAAACAAAAAAATTTTTTTAACCTTTTAATGTAGGTAAAATTTACATTCTTATGCCTTCTTATAATCCTTTTACCAAAGGTATATTTTACTTTTCTTATACACCTTGCACATAAACTGTTTTTTTTTTCAATAGTTTTACATTCAGGAGGCCTACTACTTTTAAATTATACAACATTTCTTGCATAAATTCTTTTTTTATAACATTTTTCTCTTTCGTGACTGTCACAGACAATTCTTTGACATGTCTCAACTTTCTGACTTATTACAAACATTTCTTTCTTTAAACAACCAGTTAATTTATTTCAGGACAAGAATTTACCATATAAAACTCTTTTTACATAAATTCTTCCCCAGCCTTTTTTTCCCTTTTTTTTTCGAAGATGATAACCATTCTTTTCCAAAGTGAACTTCTTTTATGCCTGTGGACTTGACTGTCTAAGGCCACAAGATTAGAAGTTACTATAGTACATGTTACACTGTTAACTTTTAGCAAACTTTACTTTTGTTGAACACCTTGTAAGTTTGGGATTTTAATTATCCTTTGCTATTAGTATGACCTTGTTTTGTCCAAATTAACTTAGAATTGGTACAGATGGCATTTTTTTTTTTTTCTTTCAATTACCTGGGAGGAAACATCAATCGTCCTGTCCTGAAGGGAGTTCCTCCTAGGTCTGGTCAGACTTTTGTATGGTAATTATGATTTGGATCCCCTATTAGGAAAGCTGCTGGGTTAAGGGAATTTTCAGTGGTTAATGTTAAGTCATCCTTTTTTTTTTTTTTTTTTTTTCCTTTGGATACTTCTGAACTGGTGAGGTGTGCTCACAATGAAAGTTCCTCTAAAAGTTATTTTTTTACTTTTTTCTGTTAGCAAAGCAGTTGCCGCTACAGACTGAATGCATTTGGGCCATCCGCGGGTTACTGGGTTAAGGATTTTTGATAGGAAGGCCTCAGTGCTTTCAGGATATGCCCTTGTTTACACTGACAACAAAGTGGTATTGGGGTGTTATAGGGTTATGGAGAATACCTTCTGCTATCAATTATAAGTTTTAAATTTACCTTGGCTTTTAAAGGAATAGGGTACACTGTTTTTTTTTCTTAAATACTTGTATATCTCTCTCTTTCTTTCTCTCTTTGATTTTCTGTCTCTTTCTCTCTTTGACTTTCCTTTTGCCTCTGTCCTTTTCTCTCTCTCTGCCTCTCTCTTTCTCTCTCTCTTTCCTTGACTCTCTCTCTGTCTCTCTGTCTCTTCCTCTTTCCCTCTCTGCTGGTCTTTCCTTGCCTCTGCCAGCTGCTTATCCTGCTGTTCTCTCAACCACTTTGGTGGGGGGGCTAAAACCAGCTGTAATGAAATGTCTATGTATGGGAACTGGTCTGGGTGCCCTGGCTTACAGGTTACCTTGTGCCACACCCTTGAAACAAGGGACCTGTCCAGGCTTCCTTCTGATGGCCAACCCACCTCTAATGCACATGCCAGTCTATCTTACACAAAGTTTTAAGTTTTCCTGGTGTCATAGTACTCCATAGTCTCCCTTAAATCCTTTCTTGAAATTTTTCAACATAGTTCATAGTGGGATGGGCTGACTTTGTGTCTGACCTATGCTTCTTTGAGACAAAACAACACACTCACACCACACACACACCACAAAACAAAGAACGGGTGAAAAGGGCACACACACTTTTACAGTTTACACCAAACCAGAATCAAAACCAAAATCGGAGTATCAAGAAATCCAAGCCAGGTCAAAACCAAAACCAAAGTATCAAGTAATCCAAGTCAAGTCAAAAACAAAAACCAAAGTGCTGGTACAGGCACGCCGTAGGTGATCAGGTCACCTTTCCACCCAAATGGAGTGGGCAAGTTCCAAAGACTAGTCTTACCAAGTTTTAGATGTCTGGACTCCAAGTGCCAGTTCCTTCCCGGTGTTCAGCCACTGCGTTGATCCTCCATGGGGGCCTGCCACGTGCTCCTCTGGCAAGGTGTTCCACTGGGGCAATTGCCTACCCAGGAGCGCTCTCAGGATCCATGTTGCTCAAGCTGGCCAGAGTCCCCCTCAGGGATGCTCCACAGGGCAGGCCTAAGCTGCCTAAGGGGCTGCCTTGACCATCTGTTAATCACCTCGCTTCCTGGTCAGGGAACCAAGAAATGTAGCAGGAGAAGCCACAGACAAAATCCCTCAGACACCGAGTTAAAGAAGGAAGGGCTTTATTCAGCTGGGAGCTTCGGCAAGACTCACGTTTCCAACAACCGAGCTCCCTGAGTGAGAAATTCCTGTCCCTTTTAAGGGCTCACAACTCTAAGGGGGTCCGTGTGGGAGGGTCATGATTGATTGAGCAAGCATGGGGTACGTGACTGGGGGCTGCATGCACCAATAATTAGAACAGAACAGAACAGGATAGGGATTTTCACAGTGCTTTTCTATACAATGTCTGTAATCTATAGATAACATAACCGATTAGGTCAGGGGTCTATCTTTAACTACCAGGCCCAGGGTGTGGCGCCGGGCTATCTGCTTGTGGATTTCATTTCTGCCTTTTAGTCTTTACTTCTTCTTTCTTTGGAGGCAGAAATTGGGGATAAGACAATATGAGGGGTGGTCTCCTCCCTTATTCTGAGTAGCTGGGATTACAGGCATGCACCACCATGCCCAGCTAATTTTTGCATTTCTAGTAGAGACAGGGTTTCACTTAAAATTTTTAGTGTATAAATAGGAAGGCTGAGTGTGGTGGCTGATGCCTATAATCCTAGCATTTGGGGAGACCAAGGCTGGAGGATCTCTTGAAACCAAGAGTTCGAGACTACCCTAGGCAAAATAGCTGGAACTCATCTCAATAAAAAAATTTAGCTGGATGTAGTGGCTCACACCTGTAGTCCCAGCTACTAGGGAGGCTAAGGAAGGAAGATCACTTGAGCCCAGGAGTTCAAGGCTGCAATGAGCTACGATTGTGGCACTGCATTCTAGTCTGGGAAACAGAACGAGACCTTAACTCTTAAAAAATAAAAAAAAAGAATGGGGAAAGTTGAACTTCTAAAAATAACCCCATATGGATATACTTGTCAGATCTGCTAAGTATTTCTACTCATAAGGGCGTAACTATCCTTTTTCTCACTCATACATATATTTAAACACTAAATTAGTCAATGCTACTAGGCCTGCCTTTTATTTCCCAGAATAGTGTTTGTTTGGAGAAAATCTAGAGGTATCTGACTTTTACAATAAAATGCAAAAACAAAGCATTCTTAAGCCACTCAGTGTTTTAAAAAAGAATGAAACAACCAAACACAACTGTGGTCTTTGGCTAACTTTCTAGAGAGAAGAAAACAAGCCATCTGCCGGTAACAGGCGGCTCTGGGGATGGCTGATCACAGGGCCGAATGAAATATTCGTAGTAATTAGTGGCAGCACCAAAATAGAAACTTCAGCAGTGCTTTTCCTGTTGTTATGGTGACAGCCCCCCAACAGCCCACCTCCCCGCAAAGACCCTGGCTTGGTGCATTCTGTGGCCTTCCATCTGGTGCCCTCCCATTGAATGCAGAGAAACTAAACTGACTGCTCATTTGTCCCCTCGAGGTTGTGTGTGTGTGCCGGGCTGCCAGGAGGAGGAGGGCGTGGACTGGAAGATTCCACAGGGCTGGGCCAAGGCTGTCCCCTGTGCTCAGCCAGAGCGACAGGAGAGCAGCTGATAGCCCAGGCTGCCAGACAGGTGCTGTCAAGGGGCCGAAAACTCACTGATGTCAGGAGACGGCACCCGGGTAATGATGAATGAGGCCTGGCCTGTGACAAACAGGCTCTTAACCTGCCGGTGTGGCAGGAGGAAGTGCTCCCTAGGGCTTCAAGTTACCTGAACAGCCCACACATTTGTCCCCTCTTGTTGAGCAATTTCCGTAGGTCCTTCAGAAGTTGTTAGGTGTCAACATTCTTGTTGCTCTGCTAAAAATCTAAGAATTTGGCCAAAAAGTCTGGTTTGCTCCTGCTCAAAGATTGAAGAAATAGAAATTGGGCTGCTTATTTTCCTTAGTCTTATTCATTTTGGAGCTCAATGTTTAAAACATTGATTTGAGCATCAATATTACATGCTGTTGTCAATGCCGTCTCTCTGGAGTCCCCAGGGACTGCAAATTGAGGAAACTGTTTAGGACGTAGCTTCTCTGTCAAGGCACCAGGAAGTATGGAGGTGGCACAAAAAAGTGCTTTGGAAAAAACGTGAGCTGCACTTAGGAAAAGGGTTTGATTTGCCATGGCATAAGTCTAAGTTTTTGGATATTTTATTCCCTTAATAAATCTTTCTTATATTTTGCTACCCTGTGGTCTGGAGTATTTGTGTAATGGATAGAGTTGATATAATTTGTCTGCTGCCCAGTGAGGCGATCTCATGACATTTCTGGGTAAAGGCTGCTGACAGGAAACACACATTTTCTTCTTTTTTTTTTTTTCTAGAGACAAGGTCTCATCCTGTCACCTAGCCTGGAGTGCAGTCATACAATCACAGCCTACTGCAGCCTCAAACTGAAGGGCCTAAGTGATCCTCCTACCTCCGCCTCCTAAGTAGCTGGGATTTCAGGTGTACACCATCACACCTGGCTAATGCTTTATTTTAATTAATTTTTGTAGAGCTGGGGTCTGGCTATGTTGCCCAGGCTGGTCTCAAACTCCTGGCCTCAAACAATCCTCCCACCTTGGCCTCCAAAACTGCTGGGATTACAAGCATGAGCCATTGTGCCTGGCCTTAGGAATATAGGCTTTCAAGTCACACCAGTCCCTATTTATATAAACCACAGCCTCAGGGTTTGCAAAGTAGGTGGCTGTCAGTTTTTCTTTCCCAGAGCCTACCTGGGGGTTGATAATCTGCACATAGGCTGGACACAGTCCTGTGAAACAGAATCATTTTGGGTAGCAATTTACTGGATTATAGACTGTTAGAGCTGGATGCTCTCAGGGGTTATCAAGTCACATTTGTCAGAAAAGCAAATGGGTCAGTGAACTGCTGCTTACAGGCAGAGCAGGGCTTGGGGTCCTAGCACCTCCCTCCATCCCAAAGCCCTCTATAGTCTAATTTAATTAGAGATGTTTGCACATGTGTAGTGTATGTGTGGAGGGGTGGAGGGTAGGTGTGTCGGGTGGACTAAAAAGAAAATAGATGTGGCAAATTCTGGTCTAGTAGGAAAGATGAGACACAGGAATATGTCCCAGCTGGAGAGTATTCTAAGGCTGATGAGAAGCACATGTGGTGTCATGTGGCCCTCTCCTTGGTGGGTCCCCTGTATCATGCTGAAGAAAAATAGTAACAGCCATAGGTTCTTAGTTGGAACAGACTTCAATTACAAAAGACAGAGTAACAAGAAAAAAAACCCAAAAGTTTATTCACATGTTTGTTTCAGATACACTTGGAGTCACTCAGAAATTGAGTAGTTCTCAAAGAAGTGGCTTTGATTTCAGCTTATATAGCATCCTCAACAAAGAACACTAAATTCGTTTAAAAGTGAAAGCAAGTTTGTTAGAGAAGTAAAGAAACAGAAGAATGCCTCCTCAATAGAACAGCAGTATGAACTGCCTGACTGAATATACTTATGGTTTTTGTTTTTATTATATGCTAAATAAGGGGTGGGCAATTCATGGGTTTTCCAGGAAAGGAGTAGGGAATTCCCAGAGCTGAGCGTTCCTCCCCCTTTTAGACTATATAGGGCAACTTCTGAACATTGCCATGGCATCTGTAAACTATCATGGTGCTTTTAGCATGCTAATGTGTTATAGGTAGTGTATAATGAGCAGTGAGGATGACCAGAGGTCACTTTTGTCACCCTCTTCATTTTGGTGCAATTTGGCCTGCTTCTTTTCTGCATTCTGTTTTGTCAGCAGAATCTGTATGACCTGTATCTTGTGATACCAGTCCTGCCAACCTCCTATCTCATCCTGTGACTAAGAATGCTTAACCTCCTATGAATACGGTGCAACGAGTCTTAGCTTTATTTTAACCAGCTTCTACTCAAGATGGAGTTCCTCTGGTTTGAACACCTCTAACATACTTCCCCCCTCCCTTTTAAAAGGGGACTCTCAATCCTAAGGGTTGCAGAGGGATGAAGATCCATCTTCTGTAACTTCTTCAGGCTGAATGGGGCAATGATATTCCCGCCTAACTATTGGGGTCTCTTATATCCAGGGTAGAGAGGAGCTCAGTCAGAAAGTGTTGGTATGCTGAGGGCCATTCATAACTCTGAGTTCTGACAAAAGGTGATATCTGGAAGATCAATGTGTTCAATTTAAGAAAACATTGAGTAAGCTTATCTTGCATTTCTAAACAAAGAGTATAACAGCAATATAGTCCACAACAGTAAGCAAAATAAGTAAGATGATCCCAAGTGAACTAAATAAGAAGGCTTTCCATTAACTGGGTAGTTGTTGGAACCAAGCTGATATGAGGTTGCTAGCTGATTCCAATACACGGCCAGAATTAGAATACTGATCCAGATTTTTGTGTTACACATCTCCCTTATTTCTTTTCAGCAACAGCTGGAGATCACTGGTTGGTTCACAGAAACAAAGTGGGTCAGCCTAAATTGCAGGAAAAAAATAAAAAACAATGGACAAGACCAGAATGTAACAACAGGTGTACCATAGTCTTTTTAAACAAATTTTCTCTCTCCAACCCCCATTTTTATTAAAAACAAATCATGGTAGACTGATTTGTTTGCAAGATAAGTTTTAACCTGACTACATTTGGCCTGATTATTTGTATAAAGTGCATCAAGAATAATTATTCACCATACAGGCCTTTTTAAAATTGGCTTTGATGGAACTTTGTTCTACAAGGAATCTCAGATTAGACCTCTCAAAGCCTTGAGCCCAGCCATGGGTTTGTACTTGCAAATAACTGCCTGAGGGGTAAATTCCTCACCTCTTGAGGTCCCAAGATAACTTGCAGCTCCTGGGCCTGTCAGAAAGTGACATTCTTTATTCTTCATCTACCGCAGGTCAGGAACCTTGGACAGAGACTGTGTAGACAAGGAATGAGGCTAGCTTTCCCTAGGGGCTTTCATTGGCTCTATAAGTCAACTTTGATTCCTTAAAGCAGTCTGTTTATATTTAAAAGAATACCATTCCAGCCAAGGCCCTGGTAAAATAACCAGTTTCTCCAATTGTGTCCTGTTACAAAGAAAACAGATTATTATTGCACTTACGTAAATAACTATATTGCCATAAGTTAAGAATACTCATGAATAGTTTTCAAATTCTGGAGAAATCAGGTAGAAGGAGATATGCTCCAAATTTTGCTCATAGGCATATACTCCACTCAATTGCCAAAAGCTGTAAATAGCAACCCCCAAAAAGTTTTCTTGACTCTGAAAAACAAAACAGAAAGGATCAACAGTATTTCAAGCAGGAAGTCATGAAAAAACTATTTCAATCTTTTACTAGTTCAGTCTATGCAATTAATTCCTCTTCTGTTTGACATTCATGAACACAGTAGTTTTCCAAGAGAGTCTTGGAAGTTATTTCTTCTCTATTTTCATGGCACACTTTCCAAAGTCATCAGAGATCTACATTCAAAGGCACTTGTCAGAGTCCTATAACTGATTATACACCACCATTTTTTTTTTTTTTTTTTGAGACAGAGTCTTGCTCTCTCACCCCGGCTGGAGTGCAGTGGCATGATCTTGACTCACTGCAAGCTCCACCTCCTGAGTCCATGCCATGCTCCTGCCTCAGCCTCCCAAGTAGCTGGACTACAGGCACCCACCACCATGCCTGGCTAATTTTTTTGTATTTTTAGTAGAGACAGGGTTTCACCATGTTAGCCAGGAAGGTCTCAATCTCCTGACCTTGTGATCAGCCCACCTCAGCCTTCCAAAGTGCTGGGATTATAAGTGTGAGCCACCATGCCCGGCCTACACCTCCTTTTAAAGAGGATCAAAACAAGACAAATATTGTCTGTGGATGACAAAAAGACTTAGGACAGCCATACTCAAAGACACAATTGACAAGGAAATTTGGTTACCTCTGTGGCACACAATAATCAACAAAACAATCATAATTATTCCTGACAATATATACTAAGTCATATCAGAATTATAGGAGCTTCCCATAATTTTGGAACACATACCAATAACACATCTATACAAATACAGCCCAAAGAAAGCCAAACACCATTTCATACCCAACAATGCTTCCTGTATGATTTTAATATACCAAATAAGTCAAATATATGTCATCTTTGGACTTTAGGCAACCCAATATCTAAAAGATCAATTAGATCAGAAAAAGACATAATTTATAATTTGATTTTGGGAAGTTTGTCAAATATCAAAGGTTCAAAACGCTTGATATTATAAAATAGAATCCCAGGTCACTGTAAGTCATTTATTTTGCTAAAATGATAATTTAAAGATTTTAAAAAGGCAAAAACATTTACTCATTGATAGAAGGAAGACTGAGCTTTCCAAACAATCTGTCTTTTTGCTTTCCACTCTTTTTCATGTAGTTTATTCAAAGAGGAAACAAAAATCTTTCATTATTTTCCTCATATTACAAAGAATCTTATTCAACAGAGAAAGCCAAAATTCACCTTTGCATTAGTGTACTATTGATGTCAAACCTAGTTCTTAATAAAATCTTATAGAAAAATCTATCTAATTTTTTTAAATTACTTTAAAAATGTATTTCAAAAGTTTTTGGGAACTGGTGGTGTTTGGTTGCATGGAAAAATTTTTTAGTGGTGATTTCTGAGATTCTGGTGCACTTGTCACCTGAGAAGTGTACACTGTACCCAATGTGTGTAGCCTTTTATCCCTCCCCCACTCCCACCCTTACCCTTGAGTCCCCAAAGTCCATTATATCATTCTTATGCCTTTGTGTCCTCATAGCTTAGCTCTCACTTATAAGTAAGAACATATGATGTTTGGTTTTCTATTCCTGAGTTCACTTAGAATAATCATCTCCAACTCTATCCAGGTTACTGAAAATAGCATTATTTCACTTCTTTTTATGGCTGAGTAGTATTCCATTCCATATATATTATATATATGGAATATATATATATATATACACCATATGTATGGAATATATAGATACACCATATATATAAAATAATATATATACCATTATATGTATAATGGTGTGTGTGTGTGTGTGTATATATATATACACACACCATATATATATAATGTGGTATATGGCTGATTAGTATTCATATATATACCACTCGTTTCTTTATCCTCTTGTTGGTTGATGGACGTTTAGGCTGGTTCCATACTTTTGCAATTGTGAATTGTGCTGCTATAAACATGCATGTACAAGTGTCTTTTTCATATAATGACTTCTTTTACTCTCAGTAGATACCCAGTTGTGGGGTTGCTGGGTCAAATGGTAGTTCTACTTTTAGTTCTTTAAGGAATTTCCATACTGTTTTCCATAGTGGTTGTACTAGATTACATTCCCACCAGCAGTGTATAAGTGTTCCCTTTTCACCACATCCATGCTAACATCTGTTATTTTTTTTATTTTTAAATTATGGCCATTCTTGCCAGGGTAAGGTGGTATCTCACTGTTGTTTTGATTTACATTTTCCTGATAATTAGTGATATTGAGCATTTTTTCTTTTTCTTTTTTTTTTAGACAGAGTCTCATTCTTTCTCCCAGGCTGGAGTGCAGTGGTGCAACCTCCACTCACTGCAACCTCTGCTTCCTCCTGGGTTCAAGCAATTCTCCTGCCTCAGCCTCCTGAGTAGCTGGGATTACAGGTGCATACCACCATGCCCGGCTAATTTTTGTATTATTAGTAGAGATGGGGTTTCACCATATTGGTCAGGCTGGTCTCAAACTCCTGTCCTCAGGTGATCCTCCCACCTCGGCCTCTCAAAGTGCTGGGATTACAGGCATGAGTCACCGCACCCAGCCTCACATTTTTTCATATGTTTGTTGGCCGTTTGTGTATCTTCTTTTGAGAATTGTCTATTCATGTCTTTTGCTCATTTTGATGGATTATTTGCTTTTTCTTTTGGATTTGTTTGAGTTCCCTGTAGATTCTGAATATTAGTCCTTTGTTAGATGCATAGTTTGTGAATATTTTCTCCCACTCTGTGGGTTATCTCTTCACTGATTATTTATTTTGCTGTAAAGAAGCTTTTCAGTTTAATTAGGTCTGAACTATTTATCTTTGTTTTTGTTGCATTTGTTTTTGAGTTCTTGGTCATGAGCTCTTTGCCTAAGCCGATGTCTAGAAGAGTTTTTCCAGCGTTATCATCTAGAATTTTTATGGTTTCAGGTCTTAGATTTTAGTCTTTTTTTTTTTTTTTTTTTTTTTTGAGACGGAGTCTCGCTCTGTCGCCCAGGCTGGAGTGCAGTGGCGGGATCTCGGCTCACTGCAAGCTCCGCCTCCCGGGTTCACGCCATTCTCCTGCCTCAGCCTCCCAAGTAGCTGGGACTACAGGCGCCCGCCACTACGCCCGGCTAATTTTTTGTATTTTTAGTAGAGACGGGGTTTCACCGTTTTAGCCGGGATGGTCTCGATCTCCTGACCTCGTGATCCGCCCGCCTCGGCCTCCCAAAGTGCTGGGATTACAGGCGTGAGCCACCGCGCCCGGCCTAGATTTTAGTCTTTGATCCATGTTGCATTGATTTTTGTGTAAGGTGAGAGATGAGAATCCAGCTTCATTCTTCTACATGTGGCTTGCCAATTACTCAGCACCATTTGATGAATAGGGCTCCTTTCCCTACTTCAGGTTTTTGTTTGCTTTATTGAAGATTAGTTGGCTGTAAATATTTGGCTTTATTTCTGGGTTCTCTATTCTCTTCCATAGGTCGATGTCTCTATTTTTATACCAGTACCATGCTGTTTTAGTTACTATAACCTTTTAGTATTGTTTGAAGTCAGGTAATGTGTTGCCTTGATTTGTTCTTTTTGCTTAGTCTTGCTTTGGCTATGTGGGCTCTTTTTTGGTTCCCTGTGAATTTTAGGATTGTTTTTTCTAGTTCCGATTATGGTATTTTTATGGGAATTGCATTGAATTTGTAGATTACTTTTGTCAGTATGGTCATTTTCATAATATTGATTCTACCCATCCCATGAGCATGGGATGTGTTTCCATTTGTTTGTGTCACCTATGACCTCTTCCAGCAGTGTTTTCTAGTTTTCCTTGTAAAGATCTTTCACCTCCTTGATTATGTATATTCTTAAGTTTTTTTTTTTTTTTTTTGCACCTGTAAAAGGGGTTGAGTTCTGGATTTGATTCTCAGCTTGGTCATTGTTAGTGTATATTGGTGTCACTGATTTGTGTACATTGATTTTGTATCATGAGACTTTGCTGACTTCATTTATCAGTTTGTATGAGTCTTTAGGGTTTTCTAGGTATACAATCATATCATCAGCAAAGAGTGACAGTTTGACTTCCTCTTTACTGATTTGGATGCCCTTTATTTTTTTCTCTTGTTGGATTTCTCTGGCTAGGACTTTCAGTACAATGTTGAATAGCTGGGGTGAAAGTGGGCATCTTTGTCTTGTTCCAGTTCTCATGGGAAATGCTTTCAACTTTTACCTGTTCAGTATCATATTGGTTGTGGGTTTGTCATAGATGGCTTTAATTACCTTGAGGTATGTCCCTCTATGCTGATTTTGCTGAAGGTTTTAATCATAAAGGGATACTAGAATTTTGTCAAATGCTTTTTCTGCATCTATTGAAACTTTCATATGATTTTTGTTTTTAATTCTGTTTATGTGATGTATCTCATTTATTGACTTGCATATGTTAAACCATCCCTGCATGTCTGGTGTGAAACCCAGTTGATCATGATATATTATCTTTTTGAGATTCCATTGCATTTGGTTAGCTAGCATTTTGTTGAGGATTTTAGCACCTATGTTCACCAAGAGTATTGATCTGTAGTTTTCTTTTTTTGTTATGTCCTTTCCCAGTTTTGGTATTAGGGTGATACTGGCTTCACAGAATGATTTAGGGAGGATTCCTTCTTTCTGTATCTTTTGGAATAGTTTCAGTAAGACTAGTACGAATTCTTCTTTGAATGCCTGACAGAGTTCAGCTGTGAATTCATTTGTGCCCTGGACTTTTTTTTGTTGGCAATTTTTAAATTACTGTTTCAATCTTGTTACTTGTTATTGGTCTGTTCAGAGTTTCTATTTCTTCCTGATTTAATCTAGGAGGGTTGTATATTTCCAAGAATTTATCCATCTCCTCTAGATTTTCTAGTTTGTGTGTATAAAGGTGTTCATAGCTTTGAATGATCTTTTGTATTTCTGTGGTATCGGTTGTAATATCTCCCATTTTGTTTCTAATTGAGTTTATTTGGATCTTCTCTTTTCTTTTCTTGGTTAATCTCACTAATGGTCTATCAATTTTGTTTATCTTTTCAAATAACCTGCTTTTGTTTCATTTATCTTTTGTATTATTTTTGTTTCAGCTTTATTTAGTTCTGCTCTGATCTTTGCTGTTTCTTTCCTTTTGTTGGGTTTGGGTTTGGTTTGTTCTTGTTTCTCTAGTTCCTTGAGGTGTGACATTAGGTTATCTATTTGTGCTCTTTCAGACTTTTTGATGTAGACATTTAATGCTGAGAACTTTCCTCTTAGCACCGCTTTTGCTGTATCCCAGAGGTTTTGATAAGTTGTGTCACTATTATTGTTCACTTCAAAGAATTTTAAAATTCCCATCTTGATTTTATTGTTGACCCAAAGATTATTCAGAAGCAGATTATTTAATTTCCATGTATTAGTATAGTTTTGAGGGTTCCTTTGGAATTAATTTCAAGTTTTGTTCCACTGGGGTCTGAGAGAGTACTTGATATAATTTCAGTTTTCTTAAATTTATTGAGACTTGTTTTGTGGCTCATCATATGGTCTATCTTGGAGAATGTCCCATGTGCTGATGAAAGGAATGTATATTCTGTAGTTGTTGGGTAGAATGTTCTGTAAATATCTGTTAAGCCCATTTGTTCTAGGGTATAGCTTAAGTCCATTTGCTCTCTGTTCATTTTATGTCTTGACAACCTGTCTAGTGCTCTCAGTGGAGTATTGAAGTCCCCCACTATTATTGTGTTGTCATCTATCTTATTTCTTAGGTCTAGTAATAATTGTTTTATAAATTTGGGAGCTTCAGAGTTAGCTGCATATGTTTTAGGATTGTGATATTTTCCTGTTGGTCTGATCCTTTTATCATTACATAATGTCCCTCTTTGCCTTTTTAACTATTGTTGCTTTAAAGTCTGTTTTGTCTGATACAAGAATAGCAACTACTGCTCGCTTTTGGCTTCCATTTGCATGGAATATCTTTTCCCACCCCTTTACCTTAAGTATATGTGTCTCCTTATGCATTAGGTGAGTCTCTTGAAGACAGTAGATACTTGGTTGGTGGATTTCTATCCATTCTGCCATTCTGTATCTTTTAAGTGGAGAATTTAGGTCATTTACATTCAATGTTAGTATTGAGATACGAGGTACTGTTTTATTCATCATGCTAGTTGTTGCCTGAATACCTGCTTTTTTTCCATTGTGTTATTGTTTTACAGGCCCTGTGAGATTTATGCTTTAAGGAGGTTCTATTTTGAGGTTTTGTTTCAAGATTTAGAACTCCTTTAGCATTTCTCATAGTGCTGGCTTGGTAGTGGCAAATTCTCTTAGCATTTGTTTGTCTGAAAAAGACTTTATCTCTCCTTCCATTATGAAGTTTAGTTTTGCTGGATACAAAATTCTGGCTGGCAATTGTTTTGTTTGAGGAGGCTAAAGATAGGACCCCATCCCTTCTGGCTTGTAGGATTTCTGCTGAGAAATCTGCTGTTAATCTGATAAGTTTTCCTTTATAGTTTACCTGATGCTTTTGTCTCACAGCTCTTAAGATTGTTTTCTTTGTCTTGACTTTAGATAACCTAATGACTATGTGCCTAGGTGATGATCTTTTTGTGATGAATTTCCCAGTTGTTCTTTGAGCTTCTTCTATTTGGATGTCTAGATCTCTAGTGAGACCAGGGAAGTTTTTCTTGATTATTTCCTCAAATAAATTTTCCAAACTTTTAGATTCCTTTTCTTCCTCAGGATTACCAATTATTCTTAGGTTTGGCCACTTAAAATAATCCCAAATTTCTTGGAGGCTTTGTTTATTAAAAAAATTTTTTTCTTTGTCTTCGTCTAATTGGGTTAATTCAAAAGTCTTGTCTTCGAATTCTGAAGCTCTTTCTTTTACTTGTTCCAGGCTATTATTGACACTTTCCAGTGCATTTTGTATTTCTCTAAGTGTGTCTTTCATTTCCAGAAGTTGTAATTGTTTTTTCTTTATGATATCTGTTTCTCTGGAGAATTTTTAATCCATTATACTGTATGTTTTAAAATTTCCTTAAGTTGGTTTTCACCTTTCTCTGGCCTCTCCTTCAGTAGCTTAATGATCAATCTTCTGAATTCTTTATCTGGCAATTCAGAGACTTCTTGGTTTGGATCCCTTGCTGGGGAGCCAGTGTGGTCTTTAGGGGATGTTGTAGAACCTTGTTTTGTCATATTACCAGAATGAATTTTCTGATTTCTTCTCATTTGTGTAGACTATTTCAGTGGAAAAATCTGGAACCCAAGGGCTGCTGTTCAGATTCGTTTGTCCACAGGGTATTCCACACCACCTTCCCCTAGGGATGGGGCTTCCTGAGAGCCAGACTGCAATGATTGTTATTGCTCTTCAGTATCTAGCCACCCAGTGGGGCTCCAGGCTCTGGGCTGGTGCTGAGGTGCTGCAAAGAGTCCTGTGATGTGATCCTTCTTTAGGTCTTCCTGCCATGGATACCAGCATCTGCTCTGGTGGAGGTGGCAGGGGAGTGAAGTAGACTCTGTGAAAGTCCTTGGTTGTAGATATGCTTAGTGTGCTGGCTTTCTTGAATGTAGGCTAGCAGTGAAGTTGTCATGTGGACAGACTCAGGACCCCTGGTTAGCCAAGATGTTGCAGGCAGTAGTATTAGCTGTTGTTTTCTCCTTCCTTGGAGCAGCGTTATTCTGTCATGAGTTGCTGTAATGGCCTGAGTTGGTTCACCTCCAGTCAGGAGGTGGCGCTTTTAAGAGAGCACCAGCTGCAGTAATAGTAGAGGATATAAGCTTGCCCTGAATTGACCACAGGAAGTGCTCTGGTTTCCCAGGTGATGGGTGGGGCCATAAATCTCCTAAGAGTTTATTTTTTTATGATTGGGCTATGGGGGCAGGTAGAGAAATACCATCAGATGGGGCAGGGTTGGGGGTTCTGAGCTCAGACTCTCCTTGGGCAGGGCTTGCCATGGCCACTGTGGTGGATGGGGGGTGGTTCTTGAGCCAATGGAGTTATGTTCCCAAGGGGGATTATGGCTGCCTCCCTCTCCAGGGAATGGGGGAAAGCTGGTAGCAATAGGCTTCACCCAGCTCCTACACAGCTGGCAAGGTCAGTCTTGCTCCTGCTATGCCCCACTAACAGCACCAAGTTTATCTCCAGGCAGCCTGCTTGCAGGACTCAGACCTTGCTCCTGGCTATAAGCTTCCCTGCTGAGAAAGCAAGCATTGCTTTCAGGGTTCTTTCCTCCCTGTCTACCCATACTGTCAGCTGTGGTTCCTGCGCTCCTTTCTGTAGTGGTTCCCATTCACCCCCCGGATTGTGCTCAAGCAAGTTTGCCCTGGTCAAAATTATTACAAAGTTCAGTTGGGAGCTTTTTTCATCCTGTGACCCCTCCCAGATTCTGCTGGCTGCCTTCCCCAAGGGCCCCTATGACATAGAGTCAGGGATGGCTTCCCTGGGCTAGAGCTGGAGAGTGGGAGTGCCTAGAAGGCTCCTCCTGCGACTGCTTCTACATTTATGTTTCACACTAAATCTGCTTCAGCTCTAGGTAAGGTTAAATCTTTCTCCTGTAATCTGGATTTTCGGATTCCCCAGTGGGGATGTGTGTTCAGAGGCAGGTTTTCCCCCTCTCATGCTTTGAGGACTCACAGTTTTTTATGTGTCTTTCAGAATTTGCAGCAGTGAGCTATTTATTTCAAAGGATCTGTGAATTCTTTCAGTTTTCCTAGTATGTTCCTGCAGTGATTCTTGCAGCAAAAGTCCACAGTGTGAGTCTCCACATGCTGTTTTGTCTGTTCCACAAATCTGTCTAATTTTAATCAGTTTGACCATAAGGCAAGATTCTCACAAACCTTTTATAACCCTTTACAATTTTCTGTGAAAGAGCAGATTAGTGTTTTATGATAACCCTGTTGTGCTTTTATTTCAATGTTCAATTTATGTAAAAACTAAGTAATACCCATTTAACTTTAACCAACATAAGAACAGTAAACTTTTAGAGAAGTTACAGGCAAGGAAAAAGACTTTGATTTTCTAGGGGTAGGAGCTTGGAAGAAGACAAATAAATGGCAGCCAAAGGTTGGTTAGTAAAGCATTCTTCATATATCATCTCCAGGCCAATAAGAGTCCAAAATTGTCTTCAGTGGTTAAATTTTGTTCTCTGCAGTAGAAGTGGTTGGTGGCCAGTACACCTTTTGTCTTTGTAAATCTATGTTTTGATTTTAGGCAAATAGAGGGAGAGCAGGAAGCTTTCCTGTAACTGCTTCTTCCTAACTGCCTTCAGCTCAGCAATCCTTCATACTTTGGGGTGGCATGTTCTGGTCTGCCCCAGTGTGGGGTCAGACTGCCTAGGTCCAAGTCTCCATTGCATCTCTCGCTAGCTCTGTGTCCCTGGGAAAATTACTTGACATTTTCTCACTTGTAAATTGGGATTCATAATCCTGAATCTTCTCTGGAGAGTAGTTTTGGAAATTTGATGAGGTGACACAGAAAGTCTGGGCACACTGCTTGGCGTGGAGTAAATATGCAGTAGATCAGTTATTCCCATCAATCAAGCAAATTCCTCATCACTCCTTCCTGCCTGGCTTTTGCTCATGATTTCTTAGACCTGAGGCTTCCTCTTCAGACTCTTGGTGGAGAAATGGCACGCCTCTCCCTGCCAAGCAGCTGTTCAGGTTCCAGTGGCAGATGGCCAGCATCTTCATGTCATTAGCATCTGACAGCCTTTGTGAACCGCAGTGGCCAAGGCCTGCCTTGACCAGTAAGGCCCAAAGCATCAAACCCAGGGCTCCATGTCAACTCCTGCATGATGGATGGGTCCTCCTGGGGAGGGAGAGGGCTCCCCCGGTGGCAGGGCCAATTCAAGTTTCTGAGAGTCTTGTTCTCTATGCTGCCAGCCTTCCTTCTGGAGGCCTCCCAGCCTTGAGCCTGTCTCATCTTTACCTGTCAAGAGAAATTGAGTCAACAAACATATATGAGCACCTACCACACGCCGAACCCTATGCTCAGCGCCAAAGACACAAAACCAAAACAATAGTCTGTCTTTGAGTTGCTCACAATCTAGTGAACGCGATGCCTAGACCGCAAGATAGTGAAGACAGTCAGTGATACAAATTGCGTGGAATTATCATAGACGGAATGGGCACTCCTGCCACATTTAGGGCTGACTCTACTTCCAGCACTGTTCTTGGGAGATCTTATGTCATTGAGTCCTCACCACGTGGCTCTGATGTAGGTACTAATATCCTCACTTTATGGATGGGGAAGCGGCAACCTGGGGGGATTAATGGCCTGATCAAGGTCACCCAGCCTGAATGATTGTAGTGGGAGTTGAAATTTATGCAGCACACTTAGATGTGCAACACCAACACACCTCTATTATTTCTGTCAGAGCTCATCTGGATCTGGGTGAGATTCTTGCTGATGGGACAAACTTAAATGTGTCCTTTAAATGTATCTCTACTTCTTCCAGCCTTTTGCAGTTTAAAACAGTCAATTTGAAATGCAACTCCCTACCTAGCCTCTTTCCTCCATCTTTCTCCTCCTTCCAAAGATGCATCTGAGTTTAAGGAAGAACTTACACTTCCTCCTGACATGTTTTTCTCTTTTGGCTCCAACTGACCCTGGTACTGAAGTGATGGTCTGTGGTCTCTGCTCTTATATGGGTGGCCTCACCTGATTTTTTTTGTGTGTTGTTGTTGTTGTTTTTGTTGTTGTTTTGAGACAGGGTCTGCTCTGTCACCCAGGTTGGTATGCAGTGGTGCAATCATTGCTGACTGCAGCCTTGAATTTCAGGACTCAAGCAATTCCCTTGCCTCAGCCTCCTAAGTAGCTGGGACTATATAGGTGCACGCCACCACATCTGGCTAATTTCTTAGTATTTTTTGTAGAGACAAGGTCTTGATATGCTGCTCAGGCTGTTCTTGAACTCCTGGACTCAAGCAATCTTCCTGCCTTGGCTTACCAAAGTGCTGGGATTACAGGTGTGAGTCATCGCACCTGGCCCCCACGTGATTCTTTTGGTAGCCGTGCAGGCCCTGGGCACTGATATATCTGAAGCTGATCTATAATAATTTGGGATCTGGTTTCTCAGCACAGAGTCTGGGGCTTTTATAACTCACCTGTCTGACTCTACCCCACCTCAGCTCTTGGGGAGCTGCAGGTCTTCCCAGCCTCAGCCCTGACCTCCATCTGACCCTAGTGGTGGGGACTGCCTTGCTCCTAGTCAGCTCACCCTTATGCATGAGCCCCATGGCAGGCTCCTCAGCAATCTGTGAGGCGCCCCCAAAAGTCAGTAAGACTATCTGGACCCCAAACTGTCTAGTTCAAGTCAGCCTGTAAGAGTAGTTTAAAAAACCCTTTTTATATCCCAAAGTCTGAATTACTTGATTGCTGTCTCACGACAGGCTCCAGAAAGTCAGCCTTGACTTTCTGGTTCAAAACAGATCAAGGACTGTTCTAGGCAGTACCTGCTCATTCTTTTTATTTGAGTGAAATCCCTCACGGCTGAGCTTCTTCAGTGGTGTAAAGCAAAGTGGTGAGTGATGATAGAAACATCAGGAGACACATCTAAGACACGGCTATCCCGTGGCATGCAGCAGAAGCTGCTGTGCCATTTGTGTGTATGTGCTATTCACCATGCCATAGCCCTCTCAGTATGCATGGCTGTTCTGGGAACACAGAGGAGACGTGGGGTGGTGAGCAGGGAGACACCAGGAAAAGGGAACTTCTAACTCTGACTTTTTCTTTTCTTGAGACAGGCTCTCGCTCTGTCACCCAGGCTGCAGTGCAGCGTTGCCATCATAACTCACTGTAACCTCAAACTCCTGGCACAGTGATAATCCCACCTCAGCCTCTCCAGTAGCTGAGAAAGGTGTATGCCACCGTGCCCAGCTAATTAAAAAAAAGATTTTTTTGTGTGTGTGTAGAGATGGGGGTTTCACTGTGCTGCCTGGACTGATCTTAAACTCCTGGCCTGAAGCAATCTTTCCACTTCAGCCTCCCAAAGTGCTGGGATTACAGGTTTGAGCCACCACACCCAGCCCTAGCTTGGTCTTATAGGTAAGGAGTTAAGCTAATTAATTATGAGTGGGATAGTGTTGGGAGTAAAGGAGGCAGCATGAGAAATAGAAATATGAGAGTACAGGACAATTTGTGGAATGACATCTGTTCATTCATTTATTTAACAAGTTTTTTTTCCAGAAAGCCATCATTGCTAGGCCTGGGGATGGATTATCCCAGTCATCTCAGCTTTAAACTTAATGAGTTTCTCCCTTTTCCTCCAGGGGGCCACTGGGCAACTCTGTGGATGGTGGTACAGTCATTGTTATGAGGACCACAGGAGTGGAGAGGGCATGGGGGAAATGATTATTTCCAATGTGGGCAAGCGGAATTTGTGATGCTAGTGGGCAACAAGACAGACATGCCTAGTACATTTCTGATGAAATTGGTCTGGATCTGTGTCTCAGTTGTCTATTTCTGGGTAACAAACCACCTCACAACTCAGTGGTCTAAAGCAAACAATGTCTTATTATCTCTCATGATTCTGACTGAGCTCAGCTGTGTGGTTCTTCTGTTTCATGTGAGGCCAGGGGCTTGCTTGGGCTGAAGAGGTCCAAGAGGATTAACCCACATGCAGCCTTGGAGGGAACAGCTGGAGCTCCACCGGGCCTCTTCTCCCTCCCTGTCTCTCTTTCTCTCCCACTCTCTCTCCCTCCAGTCTTGGGACTTCTCCATATGACTTTTCACATGGTAGTTAAAAGCTCCTAAAGGCATGTGATCCAAGAAATGAGAAGCAGATGCTGCCAAGCCTCTTAAGGTTGGGCCTGGAATTGGCATGGTAAGATTTCTACCACATTCTCTTGGTTGATGTGAGTCACAGGCCAGCTGGGATTCAGTGTGGGAGAGGACTCTCCAAGGCATGAATATCAGAAAGTGTGGTTCCCTGGAGGTCATCTTTGTAGGGTAGCTATATGTAATTAAACTTGAAAATAGTATTCTTCATTTTTTTTTTTTTTTGAGACTGAGTCTTGATGTGTTGCCAGGCTGGAGTGCAGTGGTGCAATCTCAGTTCACTGCAACCTCCGCCTCCAGGGTTCAAGTGATTCTCCTGCCTCAGCCTTCCGAGTAGCTGGGACTACAGGTGTGCACCACCATGCCCAGCTAATTTTTGTATTTTTAGTACAGACGGGGTTTCACCATGTTGGCCAGGATGATGTCAATCTCTTGACCTCATGATCTGCCTGTCTTGGCCTCCCAAACTGCTGGGATTACAGGAGTGAGCCACTGAACCTGGCCTCCTCATTCTTTGAATCCATCACCAAATATTTCAGAGCTTGTATCTCAGCTAAGCCTGTTAGTAAAGTTGCTTTGATTAGTTTAAGTATTCCCTGAACAGTCTCCTCATCTCTGTCTAGTCCATGGGCAACTCAAGTGAATTCCTGATGGTATAATTGCAAACAGATCTTTAACTTGGAACCAAAGTGAGGGAGTGTATTAGTCTGTCCTTGCACTGCTATAAATAAATACCTGAAACTGGATAATTTATAAAGAAAGGTTTAATTGGCTCATGGTTCTGCAGGCTGCATAGGAAGCATGGCTGGAGAGGCCTCAGGAAACTTACAATCATGGCGGAAGGCAAAGGTGAAGTAGGTGCATCTTACATGGCTGGAGGAGGAAGAGAGAAAAGGGGGGAGGTGCTATACAATTTTAAACAACCAGATCTTCTGAGAACTTACTTGCTATTACAAGACCAGCAAGGGGGAAATGTACCTCCATGATCCAGTCACCTCCCACCAGGCCCCTCCTCCAACACTGGGGATTACATTTCAACATGAGATTTGGGTGGGGAGACAAATCCAAACCATATCAGGGAGTGAATGTTCTCAGTCTGCAAATACATTCGTTATACTGTGATGAGGAGGGTAGACCGGGACCCTGTCAGGTCCTCAGAACCTTGGAGAGTGGCTGTCCCATTCAGCTCTACAAGATGATGGCTGAATTGCTAATTTTGGAGTGGAAAGAAGAACGCTTTCATGTTCAGTTACTATCTGTCACTGGAATTCTATCACAGACTTCAGTTTTGGGCTTTGTGGGTTTTTAGGGTCATCTGCAGATATGTATTGAAGTATTCAATAGCATAGGCAGAAAGTAACACAGTCTTCATATTATTAAATACATTGTATTATTAATATCATGCTTCTTTGAGAATTTGTAAAAGTGAGAATTTTGCTGTGTATTTCCCATGGTAAAGATAAAGTGAGATAAAAACTCTCAATACACTGCAATTATTACTCAAAAAATAAATAAACATGTACTGTGTAGGAGTTCTTGTCCTCTCTTGCATGTTTTTTAACTTCAGGTTTGAACCCTGAATCACATTTTCTTGCTACTTAGGAGGACCCATCAGCCAATTTAAGAATGATCCAATTTCTCTCAATTGGCAATATCTCTAGATATAACACATACCACGCAGTCTTTGAATTCCATGAACACAGAATCAATGCTGACCATTTTTCTGCTATACTGCCCCACATTTTTTTTCATCTATAAAATATGAGTTAAAATTTATCTTAAAATAATAGTTGGAATAAATGAGCAAGTGAAAAGCACTTTGAAAATATATAGCACAAAACAACTGCACCACTAGCTATTATTACTATTCCTCAAAATATGTAGTATTTCTAGTCCTGTTGTCTATACTTCTTTCACCTTTCTAAGAGGTGTTGGGAAATTTATTCTTAACACTGAGATTATTAAGGCACAGCTATTATTCCCCCTTCTTGTGGCAATAAAGGACATATTATTTCAGCTATAGCTAACTTATAAAAATGTTCAGTTACTCATGTCTTAGCCCGAGTGAACATACATTATTATGCTACATTCTTTACTATTTGTAAAATAGTTGTCAGCTACAAATGCATTATCCTACACATTGAAGTTAATGATGGAAAAATGCTGCTGTCACAGAAAATTGGATTGTGAAAGTAGATAAATGCTCAGGTGCTTATTTTTAAAATAGCAAGCATTCATCTTGTGATAGTATTGGCTTCCAGTAGCTTTATCTCCATTACATAAGTGCCAGGCAGGCAATTATTATCCTGGAAGAGTGTGAGGACTTGTTATTTCATCAGCACATAAAGAGTCTTCCTACTAGATGCCATATATGGTCTGAAGTCCTGGACTCCAATCCAACCTCTTCATTTAAACACTTTTAAATTTGTATATTTTAAAATATAAACAATGATCCAAAATTCAGACACTTCAAAAAGGCATATAATGAAACGTCCCCCTTCCCTCCTCTCCTCCAGCCACACAGGGCCCCACCTTGAAGTCAAATGATGTTAATGGTTTCTTGTGTATATCTGAGATATTTTGTGCATATATAGACATAGATCTGTATATCTATCTTCCTTATTGCCCCCTGTTATGGACTGAATTTGTATTCCCCAAATTCTTATGCTGAAGCCGTAATCCCCAGTATGTCCTGCATTTGGAGATAGGGCCTTTAAAGAGATACTTAAGGTAAAGTGAAGTCATTTGGGTGGGCCCTAGGCCAATATGGTGTCCTTATAAGAGGAGGAGATGAAGACAAACACATGCAGAGGGAAAACCACATGAAGATACAAAGAGAAGATGGCCGTCTGCAAGCCAAGACAAGGGGCTCCAGGAAAAACCAAACTTGCTGACACCCTGATCTTGGATTTCTAGCTTTCAGAGTTGAGAGAAAATTTCTGTTGTTTAAGCCACCCAGTCTGTAATATTTGTTATGGCAGCCCTAGCAGACTAATATGCCTCTGCTATTTTTTTTTAATTTTTAATTTTTACAAACTAGTAGCATACAATGCCCACTTTGCTGGACCCCTCTTTTTCACTTACTATATTTTTCACGAAGTACATAAAAGCTTCCCTCTTCATTTATTGTTATGGATATATGAATTATTTTTATTATATGGTTGTAGCATAACTATTTGACCATTCTCCTACTGATGAACATTTAGAATATTTCCGATATTTTACTACTAGAAACAATACTGTCATAAATAATTTGTATATGAATAATTTTACACACGAGCAAGCATACCCGTAGAATCAGTTTCTAAAACTAACACCACTGCGTATAAGGACATCTGCAGTAATATTTTGGGTTTAAAAAAATTTTTTTTAATTTTTTATTTTTTGAGACAGAATCTCATTCTGTTGCCCTGGCTGGAGTGCAGTGGTGCAATCTCAGCTCACAGCAACCTCTGCCTACCAGGTTCAAGCGATTCTCCTGCCTCAGCCTCCCAAGCAGCTGGGATTACAGGCGCCCGCAACCACGCTTGGTCATATATATATATATATATTTTTGTATTTTTAGTAGAGACGAGGTTTCATTATGTTAGACAGGTTGGTCTCGAACTCCTGACTCTGGTGATCCGCCCACCTCCGCCTCCCAAAGTGCTGGGATTGCAGGCATGAACCACTGCATCTGGCTTGCAGTAATATTTTGATAGTTATTGCCAAATTGCCCTTCCTGGAGGACATACAGACTTATACTTACACCAGAAAGAATGAGAGTGCCTACTTCCTACATCTTCCACACACAGTTTGTTATTGAACTTTTTGATTTTTACTAATCTGGTAAAAATTTTGCATGTCAGGAAGTATCATTTTGCAGTTTTCTCATTGTGGTGATGTTGAACATCTTTTTGTAAGTTTAAAAGACATTTATATCTCATTTTTTGATTAAGCTTCTTTTTCCACTGGGCTTTTCATCTTTTTGTATTGTAGATGTTCTTTTTTTTTTTTCTTTTATTTTTATTTTGAAACAGGGTCTTGCTCTGTCACCCAGCCTGGAGTGCAGTGAGGTGATCATAGCTCACTGCAGCCTTGACCTCCCTGGCTCAAGCAATCCTCCCATCTCAGCCTCCTGAGTAGCTAGAACTACAGGTGCACGCCATTATGCCTGGCCAATTTTAAAACAATTCTTTGTAGGGATGAGGTCTCACAATGTTGCCCACGTTAGTTTTGAACTCCTCGGCTCAAGTGATCCTCCTGCCTTGGCCTCCCAAAGTACTGATGTTCTTTATTTGTTAGAAAAATTAGTCATTTTCAGTGATATGAGTTGCAAACATTTCCCCCAGTTTGTACTGGTCTTTTTACATTACTTCTGAGGAGGCTGTGTAGAAAATTTTGAGTTTAATATTATCAACTTTATCAGTCCTTTTTAAAACAGTGCAATGGCCTCTGACAATAAGCACCCAGAGTGAGGATAAACTTCCTGGGGACCTCGGGACCCCTGAACTTGCTTGCAGCTGATGTCTGAAATGAGGCTCACTTCAGGCATCAGCTGCAAGTTCAGGGGTCCCCAGGCCACCTTCACTCCTGACCAACTGGTTACAAGTTCGGGGTTCCCACGATCCTCTCAAGTTTGATAATTCACTAGAATGACTAACAGAATTCAGGGAAGAGCTATATGATTTAAAAAATTACAGTTTTATTATCACAAAAAGATTACGAATAAGAACCAATCAAAAGAAGAGACAGATAGGTAGAGGTCTGGGAGGGTCCTAGATGGGAAGTTTCTGGTGTCCTCTCCCTGCAGAGATGGGATGCATCATCCTCCGAGCACATCGGTGTGTACAATATGCAGAGTACTGTCAACTAGGATACACACTTGAGCTTCAAGTTCAGAGTTTTTTTGGGTTTCATTATGTGTGCATGATTGATTGAAACACTAGTCACCCTCTGAACTCAGTCTCCAGTCACCCCTCTTCCCTCCCTGGAGATCAGGCTGATATCACTTGGCTCAAATTCCAACCCTCTAATGACATAATTGGTCTCTCTCTCAGTGGCCAGCCTCTGTCTCGAGTCATCTCTTAGAAACTGTCGAAGAGCCTCCTATGAGTCACCTTATTAGAATAAACTATGAGGGCATACCATGAATAACAAAGACATTCCTATCACCCAGGAAATTCCAAGAAGTTAGAGATTAACTCACAGGAACCAGGAACCAGGGACAAAGCCCAATAAATTCTTTATTACTCAGGATACAGATTCTGGATTTTGTTTCATACATAGAAAGCACTTCCTTTTCTAAGATTATTATAAAAACAAATTACCCCATGATTTCCTCTAGTACCTGAATGATTCAATTTTTTTCCAACATAAAAGTGTGATTATAGATTCAAATCGTTTTCTTTTTTTCTTTCTTTCTTTCTTTCTTTTTTTTTTTGAGACAGGGTCTTGCTCTGTTGCACAGGCTGGAATACAGTGGTGTTATCATAGTTGACTGTAGCATTGAGCTCCTGGGCTCGAGCAATCCTCCCATCTCTGCCTCCTGAGTAGCTGGAACTATAGGCATGTGCCACCATGCCTGGCTAATTAAAAAAAATTTTTTTTGTAGAGATGGGGTCTCCCTATGTTGCCCGGGCTGCAAATTGTTTTCTTGATAATTGTCCCCTAACCATTTGTTGAATAAACTATTTTTCTTCTACTGATTGAAATGCTAACCTTAGCCTATACTAAATTTCCGTATGTATATGGATCTATTTCTCAACTTTATAATGTGTTCAATTGCATTTTTAAATGTTTATACCACATTATTATAATTTTATAATTTATTATTTCAAATTAATATTAATAGTAAATTTCTTAAACTTCTAAAAAACTTTTTTTGGAAATAGATTTAAAATCAAATACCAATTAGAGGTGGTAAGACACAAATGTAGCTGTCAGAGGAGTAGACAGTATCCTATTGATCTGGTTTGTCAGCTGGTTAGCAGGTTAGCATAGGGATTGTTCCAATGAATTCACTTACTTTATTGCCAGAATTGAAGAAAACTTATAAAACTGTGCTGCATTTATTTGTGTTTTACAAGCAGTTATTCAGAATCAAATGGAAATTTTTCACTGCATTGGAAATAGCCTGGCCAAATCCTCAAATTCCACAGAAGCAGTTTAGGTGTTTGGTCTTCTCAATGGTCAGCTTTTGGATGAGTTGGGCACTTGTTTTCCTCAATGACCACCTCCTGTACATCTTGACCTGGAGACAAACTACTCAGTTTCTCCCAGCAGCATTAACTGGGCCTCACTCTGTTCTTGAACAAGATGAGTTCAAGTCAGCCAGTGCAACCAGATCCAGTGTAGACAGAATCTGGTTCTTTGATCATCAACCCTGGGAGGAACTATCATCTTCATACTAGTCTTTTCCTTCAGACTGGGCAAAGAACATTTGTGGAATAGACCACATATTTGTGGCTCTCACTGGTAAAAATGTAGCTTTGTAAGCTTGCCTGAGAACAGAGCATGAATGTCAGATCCTGGCTCAGCTGCACTGCCTAACTTGGGGAGTTTTAGAAGTTACGCATCAGCAAAAAAATGTCCTGATCTGACAGCTTTGAAGAGAGTAGTGGTTCTCCCTGCTTGGAGTTTGAGATCTGAGAACGGACAGACTGCCTCCTCAAGTGGGTCCCTGACCCCTGAGTAGCCTAACTGGGAGACACCTCCCAGCAGGGGCTGACTGACACCTCATACAGCCGGGTGCACCTCTGAGATGAAGCTTCCAGAGGAATGATCAGGCAACATCTGCTGTTCTGCAAAATTTACTGTTCTGCTGCCTCCGCTGGTGATACCCAGGCAAACAGGGTCTGGAGTGGACCTCCAGTAAACTCCAACGGACCTGCAGCTGAGGGTCCTGACTGTTAGAAGGAAAACTAACAAACAGAAAGGACATCCACACCAAAATCCCATCTGTACGTCACCACCATCAAAGACCAAAGGTAGATAAAATCACAAAGATGGGTAGAAACCAGAGCAGAAAAGCTGAAAATTCTAAAAATCAGAGCACCTCTTCTCCTCCAAAGGAACGCAGCTCCTCGCCAGCAATGGAACAAAGCTGGATGGAGGAAGACTTTGACGGGTAGAGAGAAGAAGGCTTCAGACGATCAGTAATAATAAACTTCTCCAAGCTAAAAGAGGATGTTCAAACCCATTGCAAAGAAGCTAAAAACATTGAAAAAAGATTAGATGAATGGCTAACTAGAATAACCAACGCAGAGAAGTCCTTAAATGACCTGATGGAGCTGAAAACCATGGCACGAGAACTACGTGACACATGCAAAAGCTTCAGTAGCCGGTTTGATCAAGTGGAAGAAAGGGTATCAGTGATTGAAGATCAAATGAATGAAATGAAGCAAGAAGAGACGTTTAGAGAAAAAAGAGTAAAAGGAAATGAACAAAGCCTCCAAGAATTATGAGACTATGTGAAAAGACCAAATCTACGTCTGATTGGTGTACTTGAAAGTGACAGGGAGAATGGAACCAAGTTGGAAAACACTCTTCAGGATATTATCCAGGAGAACTTCCCCAACCTAGCAAGGCAGGCCAACATTCAAATTTAGGAAATACAGAGAACGCCACAAAGATACTCCTCGAGAAGAGCAACTCCAAGACACATAATTGTCAGATTCACCAAAGTTGAAATGAAGGAAAAAATGTTAAGGGCAGCCAGAGAGAAAGGTCGGGTTACCCACAAAGGGAAGCCCATCAGACTAACAGGGAATCTCTCAGCAGAAACTCTATGAGTCAGAAGAGAGTGGGGGCCAATATTCAACATTCTTAAAGAAAAGAATTTTCAACCCAGAATTTCATATCCAGCCAAACTAAGCTTCATAAGTGAAGGAGAAATAAAATGCTTTACAGACAAACAAATGCTGAGAGATTTTGTCACCACTAGGCCTGCCTTACAAGAGCTCCTGAAGGAATCACTAAACATGGAAAGGAACAACTGGTACCAGCCACTGCAAAAACATGCCAAATTGTAAAGACCATCAATGCTAGGAAGAAACTGCAGCAACTAACAAGCAAAATAACCAGCTAACATCATAATGACAGGATCAAATTCACACATAACAATATTAACCTTAAATGTAAATGGGCTAAATTCTCCAATTAAAAGACACAGACTGGCAAATTGGATAACGAGTCAAGACCCATCAGTGTGCTGTATTCAGGAGACCCATCTCACATGCAGAGACACGTATAGGCTCAAAATAAAGGGATGGAGGAAGATCTACCAACCAAATGGAAAACAAAGGCAGGGGTTGCAATTCTAGTCTCTGATAAAACAGACTTTAAACCAACAAAAATCAAAAGAGACAAAGAAGGCCATTACATAATGATAAAGGGATCAATTCAACAAGAAGAGCTAACTATCCTAAATATATATGCACCCAATACAGGAGCACCCAGATTCATAAAGCAAGTCCTTAGAGACTGACAAAGTGACTTAGACTCTCACACAATAATAATGGGAGACTTTAACACCCCACTGTCAACATTACACAGATCAACGAGACAGAAAGTTAACAAGGATATCCAGGAATTGAACTCAGCTCTGCACCAAGTGGACCTAATAGACATCTACAGAACTCTCCACCCCAAATCAACAGAATATACATTCTTCTCAACACCACATCACACTTATTCTAAAATTGACCACATAGTTGGAAGTAAAGCACTCCTCAGCAAATGTAAAAGAACGGAAGTTATAACAAACTGCCTCTCAGACCACAGTGCAATCAAACTAGAACTCAGGATTAAGAAACTCAATCAAAACCACTCAACTACATGGAAACTGAACAACCTGCTCCTGAATGACTACTGGGTACATAACGAAATGAAGGCAGGAAAAAAGATGTTCTTTGAAACCAATGAGAACAAAGACACAACATACCAGAATCTCTGGGGCACATTTAAAGCAGTGTGTAGATGGAAATTTATAGTACTGAATGCCCACAAGAGAAAGTATGAAAGATCTAAAATTGACACCCTAACATCACAATTAAAAGAACTAGAGAAGCAAGAGCAAACACATTCAAAAGCTAGCAGAAGGCAAGAAATAACTAAGATCAGAGCAGAACTGAAGGAAATAGAGACACAAAAAACCTTCAAAAAATCAATGAATCCAGGAGCTGGTTTTTTGAAAAGATCAACAAAATTGATAGGCCTCTAGCTTGCTAATGGCCTAATAAAGAAGAAAAGAGAGAAGAATCAAATAGATGCAATAAAAAATGATAAAGGGGATATCACCACCGATCTCACAGAAATACTAACTACCATCAGAGAATGCTATAAACACCTATACGCAAATAAACTAGAAAATCTAGAAGAAATGGATAAATTCCTTGACACATACACCCTCCCAAGACTAAACCAGGAAGAAGTTGAATCCCTGAATAGACCAATAAAAGGTTCTAAAATTGAGGCAATAATTAATAGCCTATCAACCAAAAAAAGTCCAAGACCAGGCGGATTCAAAGCTGAATTCTACCAGAGATACAAGGAGGAGCTGGTACCATTCCTTCTGAAACTATTTCAATCAACAGGAAAAGAGGGAATCCTCCCTAATTCTTTTTATGAGGTCAACGTCATCCTGATACCAAAGCCTGGCAGAGACACAACAAAAAAAGAGAATTTTAGACCAATATCCCTGACGAACATCGATACAAAAATCCTCAATAAAATACTGGCAAACTGAATCCAGCAGCACATCATAAAGCTTATCCACCATGATCAAGTTGGCTTCATCCCTGGGATGCAAGGCTGGTTCAACATACACAAATCAATAAACGTAATCCATCATATAAACAGAACCAAAGACAAAAACCACATGATTATCTCAATAGATGCAGAAAAGGCTTTTGACAAATTTCAACAGCTCTTCAGGCTAAAAACTCTCAATAAACTAGGTATTCATGGGACTTATCTCAAAATAATGAGAGCTATTTATGACAAACCCACAGCCAATATCATACTGAATGGGCAAAAACTGGAAGTGCTCCCTTTGAAAACTGGCACAAGACAGGGATGCCCTCTCTCACCACTCCTATTCGACATAGTGTTGGAAGTTCTGGCCAGGGCAATCAGGCAAGAGAAAGAAAGAAAGGGTATTCAATTAGGAAAAGAGAAAGTCAAATTGTCCCTGTTTGCAGATGACATGATTGTATATTTAGAAAACCCCATCATCTCAGTCCAAGATCTCCTTAAGCTGATAAGCAACTTCAGCAAAGTCTCAGGATACAAAATCAATGTGCAAAAATCACAAGCATTCCTGTACACCAATAACAGACAAACAGAGAGTCAAATCATGAGTGAAGTCCCATTCACAATTGCTTCAAAGAGAATAAAATACCTAGGAATCCAACTTACAAGGGATGTGAAGGACCTCTTCAAGGAGAACAACAAACTACTGCTCAACAAAATAAAAGAGGGCACAAACAAATGGAAGAACATTCCATGCTCACAGATAGGAAGAATCAATATTGTGAAAATGGCCATACTGCCCAAGGTGATTTATAGATTCAATGACATCCCCATCAAGCTACCAATGACTTTCTTCACAGAATTGGAAAAAACTACTTTAAAGTTCATATGGAACCAAAAAAGAGCTCACATTACCAAGTCAGTCCTAAGCCAAAAGAACAAAGCTGGAGGCATCATGCTACCTGATTTCAAACTATACTACAAGGCTACAGTAACCAAAACAGCATGGTACTGGTACCAAAACAGCATGGTACTGGTACCAAAATAGAGATATTGACAAATGGAACAGAATAGAGCCCTTGAAAATAATACCACACATCTACAACCATCTGGACTTTGACATACGTGACAAAAACAAGAAATGGGGAAAGGATTCCCTATTTAATACATGGTGCTGGGAAAGCTGGCTAGCCATATGTAGAAAGCTGAAACTGGATCCCTTCCTTACACCTTATACAAAAATTAATTCAAGATGGATTAAAGACTTAAATGTTAGACCTAAAACCATAAAAACCCTAGAAGAAAACCTAGGCAATACCATTCAGGACATAGGCATGGATAAGGACTTCATGACTAAAACACCAAAAGCAATGGCAACAAAAGCCAAAATTGACAAATGGGATCTAATTAAACTAAAGAGCTTCTGCACAGCAAAAGAAACTACCTTCAGAGTGAACAGGCAACCTACAGAATGGGAGAAAATTTTTACAATCTACCCATCTGACAAAGGGCGAATATCCAGAATCTACAAAGAATTTAAACAAATTTACAAGAAAAAAACAAACAACCCCATCAACAAGTGGGTGAAGGATATGAACAGACACTTCTCAAAAGAAGACATTTATGCAGCCAAGAGACACATGAAAAAATGTTCCTCATCACTGGCCATCAGAGAAATGCAAATCAAAACCACTGTGAGATACCATCACATACCAGTTCAAATGGCGATCATTAAAAAGTCCAGAAACAACAGGTGCTGGAGAGGATGTGGAGAAATAGGAACACTTTTACACTGTTGGTGGGACTGTAAACTAGTTCAACCATTGTGGAAGACAGTGTGGCAATTCCTCAAGGATCTAGAATTAGAAATACCATTTGACCCAGCCATCCCATTACTGGATATATACCCAAAGGATTATAAATCATGCTGCTATAAAGACACATGCACACGTATGTTTATTGCGGCACTATTCACAGTAGCAAAGACTTGAACCAACCCAAATGTCCAACAACGATAGACTGGATTAAGAAAATGTGGCACATATACACCATGGAATACTATGCAGCCATAAAAAAGGATGAGTTCATGTCCTTTGTAGGGACATGGATGAAGCTGGAAACCATCATTCTGAGCAAACTATTGCAAGGACAGAAAACCAAACACCGCATGTTCTCACTCATAGGTGGGATTTGAACAATGAGAACACTTGGACGCAGGGTGGGGAATGTCATACACCAGGGCCTATCGTGGAGTGGGGGGAGGGGGGAGGGATAGCATTAAGAGATATACCTAATGTAAATGACGAGTTAACAGGTAAAGCACACAAACATGGCACATGTATACATATGTAACAAACCTGCACGTTGTGCACACATGCCCTAGAACTTAAAGTATAATGATGATGATAATAATAATAATAAAGAAGATATGCATCAGGCTTCATGTGTCAAAATGCCTGCCTTATCCTATCTTTCCATCTTATTTATTTATTTTTTGAGATGAAGTTTCACTCTTATCGCCCAGGCTGGAGTGCAAAGGCACGATCTCGGCTCACTGCAACCTCTGCCTTCCAGGTTCAAGCAATTCCCTGCCTCAGTCTCCTGAGTAGCTGGGATTACAGGCATGCACCACCATGCCTGGCTAATTTTGTATTTTTAGTAGAGATGGGGTTTTGCCATGTTGGTCAGGCTGGTCTCAAACTCCTGACCTCAAGTGATCTGCCTGCCTTGGCCTCCCAAGGTGCTGGGATTACAGGTGTGAGCCACTGTGTCCAGCCCATCTTATTTAATTTTTATACCTCCTTTGGGAAGCCAAGGTGAAAGAATCACTTGAGGCCAGGAGTTTGAGACCAGCCTGGGTGAAATAGTAAGACCCTGTCTCTACAAAAAAAAAAAAATGAGAAAATTAGCCGGGTGTGTAGCCTGTAGTCCCAGCTACTCAAGAGGCTGAAGCACAAGGATCACTTGAGCCCAGGAGTTCAAGGCTGTGGTAAGCTATGATCAAGCAACTGAACTCCAGCCTGGATGACACAGCAAGCCTTTGTCTCTAAAAAAATAAAAAATAAATAAAAAATTTTATATACATTAAGATTTAAAGGCCATGAAAGTTGTTCTTCAATAGAAAACTACGTTAGTGTTAGATATAAGTTCTAATTTTCTCTTCAAAGAATCAGCATGTCAGTATGTTTAATTCTTTGCCTTCTACTTTTAAACTTAACTTCCTCGTAAAGCAACTTTTTTCGATTACTTACTCCACCCTGACTCATTCTGATTATCTACTCCACTCTGACTCATTCCAATCACCTGCTCCACTCTAACTTATTCAGATTACCTGCTACCTGCTCCGCCCTGACTCGTTCTTCACCCTGCTTAACCATTTTTTCCTGCCAAAACACCCACCCCCTCACCCTCTTTAAATTAGCCAATCGGAATTATTTTAGCCTGTGCAGTCTAACCCTAGCCAATAGGGGAACGACACAGCAGCAGGTGCCACGTGCGTCAGGGATAAGAACCTCTTCCCCTCCCTTGTCCAAGTGTGTGCTCACCATTGCTCCATCTATAAGGGTGCACCCTTCTATAGAAGTAACTTGCCTCGCTGAGAATTAAAATTTTATATTTGAGTGCTATTTCTTTTGTGGCATTGAAACTTTATATATAACAATTTGGGGGCTCGCCCATGATTGCATTCCCCTCTTGGGATGGTCTCTGGTTCTGTCTCGTGAGGAGGCGCGCCCCGCCCCCTTGTGGCAGCCTCAGGGGTGAGAAATGATTCCTCAGTATGGGAATAACCCAAGCTCTCAGCAACATGGAAAAAAAAATAAAGGCAAGAACTTTCCAGTGGGGAAATTGAGCCTTATCCCAAAAGGCAAGAAATTTCCAGTGAGGAAATTGAGCCTCACCCCAAAACACAAGAAATTTCCAGTGGGGAAATTGAGCCTCACCCCAAAACACAAGAAATTTCCAGTGGGGAAACTGAGCCTCACCCCAAAAGGTGAGAAATTTCCAGTAGGGGAAATTGAACCTTGAACCTTACCCCAAAACCATCAAGATGGGAAATACACCAAGCAAGAGAGGGAGCAAGGAGGATAAAGATGGTAACAAAGATATCACTCTGGATAGCCCCCTAGGTCTCATGCTAAAACACTGGAAGGCTAATGAAAGGACTAAACATAGGAAAAAGCAACAAATGATAAAATATTGCTGTTTTCTTTGGACTCAGGGACCCATCCTCAAACCCTCAATCTTCTGGCCGAAGTTTAGGTCGAATGAGGATGCAATGTGTCAGTTTCTAATCTGATATGTTAATGATAGAAGTCCAGTGTCTCAAGAAGAACTAGGCTATGGAGGCAAGGACCTGCCCTCCTTTTTCCCTTAAAAACAAATAGGGAAGAACCCAATCTGGCACCTCAAAATGAAAAGTCAGAGGAGCCAGCTCTCATGCCTAAAAATTCCAGCACATGGGATCCCCTAGACTATCTTCCCCCATTCAGTGTCCCCAATTTTTCCCCTCAGACAGCCACTGCTGCCTCAGATCCCATTCCAAATTCCTCCTCTACTCACATTATCCCTCCTCCTTATAACCCTGACTCTTGGGAATTACCATCCCATCAGCCTGTTCTCTCCCAACCTAAATACCCCTCTCTAAAAGGACTCCAGCATGAGGTAGAACAATGTAAAAAAGATATTCAGGATTTCCCATTTCCCTTGGTACCTAAGAGGTCAGCCCCAGTGCTCTTCGCTTTGAAAGAGGTACCACAAGGAGGGGGTGGCCATTGGCTTTGTAAATACTCCCCTAACCAGTTCAGAAGTCCAGAATTTTTTTTAAAAAGGAGCTTAAACTGCTACTAGGTGACCCTTACGGTGTGGCAGACCAAATTGAGCAATTCTTAGGACCTCAGTTGTAAACTTGGGTTGAGTTAATGTCCATCTTGGGTGTCCTCTTTTTAGGGGAAGAAAGAGTAGCTCCACTACTGCAGGTCCTTCCCCTAGGGGAAAGGGAAGGAGAGAGGAGAACAGCAGCATAAGCAGCTGGCAGAGGCAGGGAAAGAACAGTAGAGAGGAAAGAGAGAAAGAGAGGGGAAAGAGAAAGAGAGAGCAGAAAGAAAGAGAGAGACAGAAAGAGAGGCGGAGAGAGAGGAAGAGACAGAAAGACAAAGAGGGAGTCAAAGAGAGAGATAGGCAGAGAGAGAGAGGAAGAGACAGAGAGACAAAGAGGGGGTCAAAGAAAGAGAAAGAGACAGAAAGTCAAAGAGAGAAAGAGAGAAGTAGTAAAGAGAAAACAGTGTAACCTATTCCTTTAAAAGCCAGGGTAAATTTAAAACCTGTAATTGATAATTGAAGGTCTTCTCCATGAGCTTATAACACCCCAATACTACCTTGTTGTCAGTATAAACAAGGGCATAGCCGGAAAGCACTGAGGCCTTCCTATCAAAAATCATTAACCCAGTAACTTGTGGATGGCCCAAATGCATTTAATCTGTAGCTGCAACTGCTTTGCTAGCAGAAGAAAGTAGAAAAATAGCTTTTAGAGGAAACCTCATTGTGAGCACAACTCCCCAGTTCAGAACCATCCTAAGTCAAAAAAAAAAAAAAAAAAAAAGCAAAAATGTAGCTTACTAACTCAAAAATCTTGAAGTATGGGACTATTCTGTTAGAAAAAGATGATTTAACATTAGCCACTGATAATTCCCTTAACCCAGCAGGTTTCCTAACAGGGGATCTAAATCTTAATTAATTACCATACAAAGGTCTGACCAGACCTAGGAGGAACTCCCTTTAGGACAGTTCCCGGGAGGACAGATGGTTCCTCCCGGGTGGGTGACTGAGGGAAAAAGACACAATAGGTATTCAGTAATTGATAGGGAAACTCTTGTAAAAGCAGAGTTAGGAAAATTGCCTGATAATTGGTCTACTCCAAGGTTTGAGCTGTTTCCACTCAGCCAAGCCTTAAAGTACTTACAGAACCAGGAAAGAACCATCTATACCAATTCTAAATTTGGACTAAACAAAGTCTTATTAACAGCAAAGGATAATTGAAATCCAAAACTTACAAGGTTTTCAACAAAAGTAAAGTTTGCTCAAAGTTAACAGTGTAACATGTATTATCCTAACTTCAAATCTTATGGCCTTAGGCAGTCTAGTCCACAGACAGGAAGGAAGTTCGCTTTGGAAAAGAATGGTTATCATCTTTAGGGGGAAAAAAGTGGGGGTGTGGGGTGGGGGGGAGAATTTATGTAAAAATAATGTTATATGGTAAATTCTTATCCTAAAATAAATTAACTGGTTGTTTAAAGAAAAGGATGTTTGCAACAAGTCACAAAGTTGAGGCGTGTCAAAGAATTGTCTGTGAAAATCATGAAAAAAAAAGTTATAAAGGGAATTTATGCAAGAAATGTTGTAGAATTTAAAAGTAATTAGGCCTCCTCAATGTAAAAATATTGAAGAAGTAGTTTATGTGCAAGGTGAATAAGGTAAGTAAAATATACCTTTGGTAAAAGGATTATAAGGAGGCATAAGAATGTGGATTTTTACCTACATTAAAAACTTTAAAAAAATATTTTGTTTTAAAGGTTTTAGCAAGTTTTGAAACATTAATTGTAAAGGAAATTCTGTGTGTAAACATATTGGTTAAAGTTAAAGAGGTATCATCCAGTTTTTCTGTGAACTGGACATTAAAATAAAAGCTCAACAGGTTTTTCTTAAAGCACTAACCCGCTCTTTAACAGAAATTATAAAAGGTTAAAGAGTCTATAAAAATCTTACCTTATGGTCAGACATTAAAAAGTGAATAAATATGTCTACAAAGTTTTATTAAAACTAAGTTTAACATTAATAACACACTAATATAAAGGTGAAATATAGCTTATCTGGTATGAAAACCATACAGGAAGCATTGTCAAATATAAAATATAAAATTGTCAAATATAAAAATGTTTGGCTTTCTTTGGTCTAAAAACCAATAAAAAGAGGTGCTAACGGAAATTTCTCAGTAAGAAGGCACCAAGGACTATAAAGTCCACTGCTGATGTCCCTACAATTAAAACAAAAGGTCAATTTCTTAGAAATTATATACTTGGTGTATCTTCCACTTTCCTTTCCTTCAAAACTAAAAGTCTTTTAGCACAGGTACCACCCCTAGAATTTCCGGTAAACCAGCACCAGCCTGAAGAACATGTTTTCATCAAAGAGTGGAAAGAAGAAAAACTCGAGCCAGCCTGAGAAGGACCATATCTTGTGCTGCTAACCACTGACACTGCTGTTCATACAGCAAAAAAGGGATGGACTCATAACACCTGAGTCAAGAAAGCGCCACCGCCTCCAGAGTTGTGGGCCATAGCCCCAGGGGAAAACCCTACCAAATTAAAGCTAAGAACAATTTAATTCTCTTTCATTTATTCTGTTACTCTTTCTTCTTTCCTCACTCTATTGTTGACCACCTAGTTATTAACATAACCAAGTCAATTTCACCTCAAACTATTGCATTTAATACTTGCCTTGTTATACCCTGTGGGGACTTGTCAAGTCAAAGACAGCTCTCTCCTTCAGAAAAGTACCTCTGTCCCTCCTGACTCTCTTCAGACTGGGCATTAGTAAACTAGGACCATTTAATCTGGGGAGATATCGATAAAGACCCCAGTGTCAACCAGGAGTCTTGCCCCCGGATGTAGTGCTTTTATGCCATAGTTGGTCCAACATTCTGTGGGCCACTAAAGAGCAAGGATGGACTGCCCCAACTGGTTTTTGTAATTTCCTAAAACCATACCTTCATTTTACTGGAAGATCATAGAAGTTAAAGACTTAAAACAAACTTTGGCAATTAAGGCAGATACCAAGATGCAAACGCCTGGTTGGAATGGATTAAATATTCCATCCACACGTTAAACAAAAGCAATTGTTATTATGCTTGTGCACACGGCAGGCCAGAGGAACAGACTGTCCCCTTTCCTCTAAGGTGGTCCTTAGAGGCATGGGCTGCATGGTGGCTCTTTTCCAGGATTCTACAGCCTGGAGTAATAAGTCATGCCAAGCTCTCTCTCTGCTATATCCCGGAGTCCGGCACCCTGCGGGTCAGCCCCTGAGGGCCATCCAGCTTCCATCTCCCAACACTAAGTTCACTTTGTGTCTCTCATGACAGGGGGAAAACTTAGCATTCCTTGGAGACCTGAAGGGATGCAGTGAGCGTAAGGATTTTCAAGAGCTTATCAATCAGTCAGCCCTTGTTCATCCCCGAGCAGATGTGTGGTGGTATTGTGGTGGACTTTTAGTGGACACTCTGCCAAATAACTGGGGTGACACTTGTGCTTTAGTCCAATTGGCTGTCCCTTTCACCCTGGCATTTCATCAACCAGAGGAAGGAAAAATGAAGCATCGTAAAGCTAGAGAAGCCCCTTATGGGTCTTTCCACTCTCACGTCTATTTAGACACAATTAGAGTCCCATGGGGAATACCAGATCAATTTAAAGCCCAAAATCAAATAGCTGCAGGATTTGAGTCAATATTTCAGTGGGTGACAATTAATAAAAATGTAGATTGAATAAACCAAATCTACTACAACCAACAGCGATTTATTAACTACACTAGAGATGCTGTTAAAGAAATAGCTGTAAAATTAGGTGCTACTAGCCAGAGGGCGTGCGAAAATAGGATAGCCTTAGACATGATATCAGCAGAAAGAGGAGGAGTTTGCATCACGGTTAAAACTCAATGTTGCACCTTCATCCCAAACAACACCGCCCCTAATGGAAGTATAACAAAAGCATTGCAAGGTCTGACTGCTCTATCCAATGAGTTAGCCAGCAACTCAGGGGTAAATGACCCCTTTACAGGATGGCTAGAAAAGTAGTTTGGTAAATGGAAAGGAATAATAGCCTCAATTCTTATTTCTCTCGCAGCTGTAATAGGTGTACTTATTCTTGTCGGGTGCTGTGTCATGCTGTGCATCCGTAAGTTGGCACAGAGGCTCATAGAAATGGCACTTACTAAAACCTCCCTTAACTATCCTTCACCTTATCCAAAGAAGCTTCTTCTTTTGGAAAATCAAGCAGAACAAATAAGCCAAGACATGTTAAAAAAAAGTCTGATGACAAAAATCTGTAAGGAAATGCAAGAGGAAGGATTGTTAGATATAAGTTCTAAATTTCTCTTCAAAGAACCAATATGTCAGTATGTTCAATTATTTGCCTTCTACTTTTAAACTTAACTTCCTCATAAAGCAACCTTTTTCGATTACCTACTCCACCCTGACTCATTCTGATTACCTACTCCATCCTGACTTATTCTGATTACCTGCTACCTGCTCTGCTCTGACTCATTCTTCACCCTGCATAACCATTTTTTTCCCGCCAAAGCAGTCACCATCACTCTCTTTAAATTAGCCAATCAGAACTAGGTTAGCCTGTGCGGTCTATCCCTAGCCAATAGGGGAACAATACAGCAGCAGGGGCCACGTGCATCAGGGATGAGAACCCCTTCCCCTCCCTAGTCCAAGTGTGCATTCACCATTGCTCCATCTGTAAGGGCGCACCCTTCCACAGAAGTAACTTGCCTTGCTGAGAACTAAAAGAAAATTTTATATTTGAGTGCTATTTCTTTTGTGGCACTGAAACTTTATATATAACGTTAGTCTTATTTACGTATGCATATATTTATTTTTAGCAGACATTCATTCACTGCCAAACACCTACTATAAGTCAGGCAGCATGTGTTGGAGACAAAGAGGTAGTAAGACAGATGGGACTTCAGGCTTCCCAAAGCTTGGATCAATTTGGGTAAATTAATGGGGACTAGGCATTTAGGAAACAACCCCTATTGTATTTTATGGGAAGAACTGAGTTGGTAGTGTTATAAATAAAATTTCGGTGCCACAAAAGAAATTGCACTCGAATATAACATCTTCTTTTTAATTCTCAGCAAGGCAAGTTACTTCTGTAGATGGGTGCACGCTTACAGACGGAGCAATGGTGAGTGCACACTTGGACAAAGGAGGGAAAGGGGTTCTTATCCCTGATGTACATGGCCCCTGCTGCTGTGTCATTCCCCTATTGGCTAGGGTTAGACTGCACAGGCTAAACTAATTCCAAGTGGCTAATTTAAAGACAGTGATGGGGTGAGTGCTTTGGTGGGAAAAATGGTTATGACAGAGCAGGTAATCGGAATGAGTCAGGGTGGAGCAGGTAATGGAAAAAGGTTGCTTTACGAGGAAGTTAAGTTTAAAAGTAGAAGGCAAAGAATTAAACATACTGACATACTGATTCTTTGAAAAGAAATGTAGAACTCATATCTAATGGTAGGACTCCAGGTGTAAAAGAATCCATGAGAATCCATGAATATTTGATGTTTTTATTTCTCACTGTGTTCCAGAAAGGATTTGTGGGGGCTTAAATTTTTTATTGACATAAAAACACCCAGTAAAGTAGTATATGCATAAAAAATATCAACGAAGTGCTATTATACATTAAATTAATAATAATGGATACTATGCATTTGAATACCCACTTTCCTGTGGCAGGATGGTTTGTAAAATATGAAGTCTTTTTTGCTAGCTCATGTATTGAAAATCCAACATTCTTGGTTTATATATTCAAAAGGAAAGGCCCAGGTGTGATGTAGAAACAAGTGGAAAGGAGAACAGATGATGAGTGGAGTGGATATTGTTGTAGCACTCACTGGTGTCCCCTCTTCTGGGAAGAGGCAGCCATCTCACAGCAACTGAGAGCAGCAGGTGTCTCTCAGCTGGGTCCCTCATCAGAAACTGCCCTCAGCCACAGGGAACTGATTAGGCATCACCCCCTTCCACAAGATAAGGCATCACCCCCTTCCTCCAAGAAGTGGTGGGTCTCCTCATCCAGTCTCTGTGCTTGTGCCAAGTGACTGGGCAATGTGGGGATATAAAAGCCCAGCCTCCTTGTCTCGGTTTGGGCCAACTCTGAAGGGCCATCCAGCTCCCCTTAGGAAAGGCTGGAGCTGCAGTTTACAACACACTGGGGGGAAACTTCTCTTTCAGCCCCCAGTCCTGCCTTTCTCACTTCTGGAGGTTAATTGGGAGAGAGAGAGAGAGAGAGAAGGAGAGAGAGAGAGAGAGAGAGAGAGAGAGAGAGAGAGAGAGAGAGAGAGAGAGAGCGAGCGAGCAAGCAGGACTCGAGACTGGATGAGGAGACCCACCATCAGAAGGTATGGCGTGGACAGTTGAGGATGCAGCTGTGTCTCATGGAGACCATTGTAGGCAGACTTCTGAGACCCCCATCGCCCTGCCCTGGTTCCAAGTCCCTGGTATATATGCACCTAGAAGCTGCTGTGATGGCATTTTGCAGGTGTCATTAAGTTACCACGTAAGTTGGTGTGAAGATAGGGAGATGATCTGTGGCGAGGGGAACCAACCTAGTCACGTGACCCCTTTAAAAGCAGTTTTCTCCCTCTGGCTACAGATAAGGAAGTCAAGTTTGAAGCCCACGATGGATTTGATGCAGCCTTGCTGGCTTGAAGATGGAGGGGTTCATGTGCAAGGACGTGGGTGATCTCCCAGCTAACGGCCAGCAAGGAAACCAGGACTGCAGTCTCACAACCAAAAAGAATTGAATTCTGCCAACAACAAGAATGAGCTTGGAAGTGGATTTTCCCCCAAAGTCTCCAGAGGACTTTGCCCCCTGAGCAGCGAAGCCAGCCATGCTGTGCAGAACTTCCGACCTACAGAACTCTGTGCTAACAAATGAGTGTTGTTTTAGGCTGCTAAGTTTGTGGTAGTTTGTTACACAGCAATCAAAAATTAATGTAGAGGGGGGAAAAGAAACAGGAGGAGCTCAGATAAGCTCCTCCCCACCACCACAAGCTGCATTTAAGTGGATAGCATCAGCTCCAGGTAGAAATCCAGGAAGGTGTGTTCTGAATGTGATTAAAATGGAAAACTCACTGCATTTGATTAAATTTATCTGAGGCTGGGTTGAGTTTTCAAACTAAAGACAGAATGAGGGGCTCAAGTTAAAAATTGGTAAAATGAAGTTACATTTTTGTGCTTTTGAATCTATGACTTGTGAAATTTATACTCACTGTTATTGGTTGCTTAAAGTGGTTAAGAATTTTGCTTTGTTGCGGACGATTTATGTGCATTTTCCCTTGTGCCTGGATCTTCATTGGAACATGGATTAAAAGACTCGAAGGGAAACATCTACCAATTATAACACATGAAACTTTATATAAGTTTTTGGATCCCGATCCAAAAAATCTGTCAGGAAAACAAATTATGTGGTAATGGACAAATTTGAACCTGGTTGAATATTTTATAATGTTAAGGAATTATACACACACACACACACTGACACACACACAGATATGGATATATACATATACAGTGAAAGGCTTGTAGGTGAAACAATGTAATGTCTGTGATTTGCTTCCAAATAATCAGAGGTGGAGGTGGGGGATTGGTGGGTTTATAGATGAAATGACCACGAGTTGATGATTGTTGAGTCTGGGTTGGTGGGTTCCTGGAGGTACATTATATTTGTTCATTATGACAAATATGTATTTTTAAAATTTGGTATATTTGAAACTTTTCGCTAACAAAAAAAGAAGCCCATTTTGGTTTCTTTCTGATTTTGATTTCTGAAGCCACAGCCAGGCCATGCCCTGCTGGGCACTAGAGTCCCTCGGCAGGCCCCTCCTCACCAAGCAGGAGCTATTCAAGGCACAAAAGGCCCTGCCCTCAGCGACCTTCATTTCTGTCAAGGTTTCTTTGCAAAATTCCCACTGCTCTTCTTTTATATCATCTCTTTTCTATTTCTAAACTCCATTTTATGCTTTTTCTAATTATTCTCAAGAAAGAAGAAAATTGAAATCCACATATGTTGAGACTAAAGATTGCATTGCCGAAAGGGCATACAGAAATAGCCCAAAGAATAGAATTCTTTTCAAGGAAAGTAGCTGGGAAAGGACTTCTGCTTTATGTTTCTTTAAAATAAGGTTATTTAACATAGGTCTGAGGAAAGCATAGTGGGCCACATTTTGTTTTCCTGCTAATTGCATTTGAACTGAGAAACAAAAGTAAATAAAATGAAAAGTAAGCTCCTTGAAAATATAAATTTAATTTGTTAGACCCTATTGGATCAGGGCAAAGGAAAATCTTTATTATGTAGTTTATTTCCAGTTGATTAATTGTAAAATAGCTAAGGCTTAACCAGAAGCCTAAAACTCCTACATAACTGAAATATCTGTGTAAGATAGAGCCATTAGCAAGGAAGACCTTCTTAGTAATGAAAAAAGAGCAAGAACTGTCCCTTACAATAGCATCAAAAAGAATGGAATACTTGGGTATATATTTAACAAAAGAAGTACAAAACTTAAATGCTCTGAAGACTACAAAACATTATTAAAAGAAGTTAAACAAGACCTAAATAAATAGAAAGACACCTCATGTTCAAGAATCAGAATACCTAATATTGCTAAGATGGCAACACTCCCCAAAAAGATCTATAGAGTCATTTAGTGCAATCTCCATCAAAATTCCAGCTGGGTTCTTTGCAGACATTGATAAAATCATCCTAAAATTCATATGGAAATGCAAGAGACTCAGAATAGCCAAAATTATCTTGAAAGAGAAGAACAAAGTTGGAAGACTCAATTTCCTGGTATCAAAACTTACCATAAAGCAATAGTAATCAAGATACTGTGTTAGTAGCATAAGGAGTGATATACAGACCAATGGAATACAATTGAGAGTCCAGAAATAAATCTTCAAATTTTCAGTCAATTGAATTTCAACAAGGGTGCCTAGATAACTCAATGGGGAAAAGAATAGTCTTTTCAATAAATGGTTCTGGGACAGCTGGATATCCACATGTAAAAGAATTAAATGGATGTCCTACCTCACACCATATAAAAAAATTAACTCAAAATGGATCAAAGCCTAATTGTAAAAGCTAAAACTATGACACTTGTTAAAAACAATAGATGTAAATCTTCATGACCTTGGATTAGGCAATAGTTTCTTAGATATGGCACCTAAAGCACAAGTAGCCAAAGAAAATACAGACAAATTGGACTTCATAAAAATCAAAAACTTTTGTGGTTCAAAGGAGACCATCAAGAAAGTCAAAAAAGGGCTGGGCACAGTGGTTCATGCCTGGGTCCCCACTACTCAGGAGGCTGAGGCAGGAGGATCACTTGAGTCCAGGAATTTGAGGCTGCAGTGAGCTATGGTTGTGCTACTGCACTCCAGCCTGGGCAACAGAGCAAGGCCCTGTCTCAAAAAAAAAAAAAAAAAAAAAAAAAAAGACAACCCATAGAATGGGAGAAAATATTTGCAAATTGATATCTAGAATATACAAATAACTGTTAAATATCTAGAATATACAAATAATTATAATACGACATACAACCCAATTAAAAATGGGCAATGGATCTGAATAGACATACTCCAAAGAAAATATGCAAATGAACAATAAACACATAAAAAGATGCTCAATATCATTAGCCATCAGAGAAATGCAATCAAAAGCACAATGAGATAAAACTTCACACACTAGGATAGCTATAAGCACAAAGACATATAATAAAATGTGTTGGCTAGGATAAAGAGAACTGGAGTCTTCATATATCATTAGTGGGAATCTAAAATGGTGCAGCCTCTGTGGAAAACAGATTGGCAGTTCCTCAAATTGTCAAATATAGAATTACCATATGGTCTAGCTATTCTACTCCTAGGAAAATACCCAAGAGAAATGAAGACATATGTCTACATAAAAACTTGTAGATGAATGTTCACAGTAGCATTATTCATAGCCTTGGGGCTAGATGACTACTTACAAGATGGCTCACTTGCAGGACTGGCACATTGGTGGTGGCTGTTGGCTGGGAGCCCAGCTGGGGCCATGGGCCTGAGGACCTGGGTCTCCTCTCCGTGGACCTCTCCATGAGCTGTTGAGCTTCCTCCCAGCAGGATGACTGGGCTCTGAGAAGGAGGAGCACCCCAGGAGACAGCAAGTAGAAGCTGCTGGTTTCTTAAGGTCTGCATCCAGAAGCTGGTACCATAACTTCTGTTGTACTTTATTGGGTAAAGCAGTCACAGAGCCCAGATTCAAGGGCAATGGACCCCAACTCTTGATGGAAGGAGTGTTAAAATTTTGATAACATGTTTTATAACTTTCGCACCCCATGGTGATTTTCAGAGCTGGGATTGAATCTAGTTATGTCTGACTTTAGAGTTCAAAATCTTAATTCTGCTTTGCATTTTAAGTAGGAGGGGTGAGAGACCCTGGGATGGAAAAATGGACAGGCTATTTCAAATAGAATTAGTTGGTATTGAAAGGGGTGCTTGTTATGGCTACGCTACCCTGCTCATAAACCAGATCATTTTGAAAAAAGTGCTTGCAGTATTTATGGCAAATTTCAATGATGTCACTTTAATGCTGAGTTTCTGGAGGTGGGAAGGCTGCTTATATCAGAGATGAGGCTATTAAAGAACAAACAGGAGATGGGCTTGTTTTCCTTTTAGCAACAGATCTGTGGCTAGGAGTCACCATTAGTGGAAAGAGCTCTGTCTTTGCCTTGGTTCAGGCAGAGAAGAGCATTCTCTTTACTGTGGACATGCCTTAACTCAACACCGTGTAACTCAGCAGGGCTTTAATACTTGGGCTACAATTAAGCCACTCAAAACCCCATTATTCCACCTGACAGATGGGCATGTGTCAGCATGATTCAAACTTGGTAGCACATCAAAACGGGGAGTCAGGGCTTCATTCAGCGGTTGGTGTTAAGCTGCAAATAGAATCCAGCCTCTTTTTTTATTCTATTCTGTTAGTGTTTCCAAAAGTTGCTGCCCACAGGATGGGGAAATTCCAGCCACCGCCCACATTTGGTTTAGAGATCTTGGATTTTGATACCGTAGAGATGAAGATGTGCATAAGTCACAGCTGCTAAAAGATGGGTCTAAGTGAATACAACATGGCAAATAGGATCTTGTTGCGTGGATAATAAGAGATTTTCCTGAGTGAACCTGTGTGGAGGGACTGGAGCCTCACCATGGAAGTGACCTAGTGAGTAGGTCCAGGGATGCATTGTCTTCCAATGGTACCCATTAATAAGGAGAACATAGCCACCTTTGCTAACCATAAAGCTTATTTTCTAGAATAAGACATCCTTACTGGGATTTCCAAGAGCCGTGATCCTGGAACCACACTGGGATGACCCCCTCCCAGTGCAGCACGACACAGGCTGTATCTATCCAAATGCTTCCTCCAGGTCCTCATCCTTGGAGTGGTCCAGCTTAAAGTGCTCTGTGAAGATAATTCGCAGAGTGGCTGCAGTCTTTGGGAGAAGGATGACGGTCTACAGACAGTTCTGTTACAGGAATAACCAAGAAAACTACTTTATGGGATGACTGGCAAGGGGTTGTGTCCCTAGGATTAGGAAGGATGAGGAATCTGGCATAGGACAGAACGGTCTGTCAGATGGCCCTGTGACAAGGTTTTTCCTTTTACTGTGCCCTGTTCTGAGTGACCAGGGAACTACCAAGGAATATTCCCAGAGTCTGTACCTGGCAGAGCTGATGGTGCAGTTCGCTGCAGACTTGCACAGGCTGGAACTCTTCCACCTCTAATGGACCAGACACCATTAGCACCATTGATCTCTGGCCAGGATGCAGACTGAACCCCTCCCTGGCTGATTTATGAGAAAGGTACCGAGACAAGAGCATCGACAGACTGGCTCCTGGGGTGTGGTCCAGGCTGTGGCTGGAATCCTTTCAACACCAGCCTTCCATCAGGAGCGGAGACCTCAGAAGTGAAGAAGAAGAAAAAAGCAGAGAAGTCGAGGCCGACAATTTGTCATCAGTTGGTAGTCTGAAGCAGCATAGGTAGAAAAAGCAGCCTGGAGGTTTAGGAGGACAAAGCTGGTAGAATGAGGACCATCAGAAGAGCAAAGGTTTAGGTGAGCAGTTTATCTGGAGAAGTCAGGGTCAAGAGTAAAAGCTTAAAGGCATCTGGTGGCCTCTGCCTTCCCACTCCTTGCAGATGGGGACTTGCCTGTCATTTTCAGATCCAGCTCTGAAGAATTCCTGCATCAGTCCTCACTGAGAAGACAGCATTTTAGCAGTAAGCTCAGCCTCTGACCCAGGGGATTTAGAATTGTCAGTGTTCTGGGATATAGAGGCCTGGTCACAGTGGGCAGACTCCCTCTTCTCTCTCAGGTATGATTCTCCTTTGCTGTAGTCCTGGGTCCTGCTCTGCTGGCCCGAGCCCCAAAATAGGTATGCTCTGTGCTGCCAAATTGGCCTTGTATGTGACTTTGTGCCTTCCGTCTAACCTTCTGTCTGATTATGCTACCCAAGGCTTCTGAATCCTACCCTATGGGGGCTTGTAACCTGCTGCCTCCCATCAGCCTCCCATCTCCAGGCATTCATAGATCCCTGGGGGCCCTGTGGTGGTAAGAGGTATGTGCTGACTGTTACCCCCTCTGCCTGGCTGGCAGCTGGATTGCAGCCTGCAAGATCCTGAGCTGAGGACCCAGTCTGCTGTGACCAGGCCTTTATATCCCAGATCACTGACTTAATTCTAAATCCCCCAAGTCAGAGGCTGAGATTGTTGCTGAAATGCTGTCTGCTCAGCAAGGACTGATGTGGGAACTCTGCCAGGCTGGATCTGAAGGTGACAGGCAAGCCCCACCTTCCATAGACTCCCAACCCTTGGACACTGTGAGATAATAAACACAGGTTGTTGTAAGCTGGTAAATATCTGATAATTTGTTATCCAGCAATAGAAAAAGAGCCACCATATTCGAGCTTTCTGCTGCCTCCTCTGGCCAGGCTGTCTTGTTTGTATGTGACCTGGTCCCCCCAGTGTCATGTTCTATCCTCCCAGGGCAGAATGTCCTTCCAGCAGCTGCTCTGGAGTCTGGCTGGCGGGACTTGCGTGCCTCAGTGGGTGAGCTCTGCTTCAGACGGAGGACCCTGCTTCCCAGGCTGCCTTCCCCTCTGTTTGGGCTGAGATGAGACCCAGAGCATGACAATGTCCTCAGAGGAATGTAGCAACTCATCCCCTAGTGGTTTCAGGAACACAATAGTAGATCATGCTTAGATCTCCAAGCCTCCTGCTGGTATTGCTCTTGCCACCCAAGTTCTAAACGGATTGAGAAAAGACAAAGGAGTTGGCAGACAGAGACCAACCTAGCACCTTTCCTACTGATGAGGATGGTATGTGAGGAAGAGGGTTAGATCTATAGGCATGGGGGCATCCGATCACAACAGCCCAGCACCAGGCAGGCCCCAGCCCAGGCAGCAGGCACGGGGAATGTGGAGCAGAAGGTGGGCTTCCTCAGCGGGGCTACTCCCAAGCAGATGGAGACAGCAAGGGGCTGGATACACGAGGCTCTCCCTCATGGTGGAGGCCACTCCACTTTTGCTGAGCAGAAGTGAGGAAGACCAGACGTCACAATGGCCTGTTTGTTAAGATTGTTTCTGCACGGAAGAAAATACCAGGAGCAAAGAGGCATCTCCCCTGACATCCACTATTGGTAAAGGGGAGAAGCCTCAGATACATGATGAAGTCCTCTCTGGCTAACCTTGCAAAGCGGGGACAAACCATCCCACCCGCAGCTCAGCTGACAGGCTGGGCATGTTCAATTCCAATGAGAGTGGAGGCGAAGCCAAAATGGCAACAAAACACACCAGTAGATACACTTACTGAGCACATAGTTCTTAACCTAATTGAGCGGTTTGGTCAGAGATTTCCTGGTGAGGGGAATGTCTATTAGTTACACAGTACCAATTCTTTAAAAAAAAAGTTGTGGTAACATATATGTTATTTTATATGATATAAAATTTACTATTTAGCCATTTTAAATGTACAGTTTGGTGACAATAAATACATTCACACTCTTGTGCAAACATCACCACTATTCATCTCCAGAACTTTTTCATCTTCCCAAAGCAAAACTGTATCCATTACACACCAACTCCCCGTTCCTCCCTCTAGCTCCTGGTAACCACCAATCTACTTTCTGTCTCTATATGTAGATTGAGCTACTCATATGTCTGAGTCAGTTCAGGCTGCTATATAACAAAACTACTATAGATTAGGTAGCTTAAACAACATATATTTATTTTTCACAGTTTGGGATCTGCCCCCAGCCTGCATTCATATGGACCAAATACAGAGTAGACTTTCACAGGATTTAGGTTGTCTGGCCAGTACATGTGGTAAAAATTGCTCACTGTCAATATTACCCTCAGAACCCTTAAATCACCCCAAAATTACACTGAGTGACGCCGCTCAGTGAGTCAATCACCACCAGTTTCCCCACCTGCGTGGCAACTGCTGTTTTTTTCCCCCTTGAGTTGAGCATTGGATGCAGCGGTTGACTTGTGTTTAGAGGCCATTTTATATGAAAAATTTGAACCTGTATCAACAAAATCACCTTCAGGATGGCAAGATGCTCACCAGGTGGGCTGCCCTAGATGCTGAGACTGTCCTTGAGGACAGCAGAGCCCTAGCTCCACTCCCTGCTTGTGCCAAGGCACAGGCCCACTGGGTGCAAGAGGTAGGTGGCAGGTGCTGTGACGTGGTCTTTTCTCACTCTCTGCAGGTCAAAATGGGTTTAATTTGCATATTCCCTCTTAAAGGGCATATAATGTGGCTCCACTCTCAGCCACAGGCAGCTGGTGGCAGCTGGTTTTCCTCCTGGTTCCAGGGTCTTTCTTGGTCTACCTCTGCCTTGCTCCTCTTTGGCCCCATTGGCTGGGAGCACCTTTGCTTTCTGACCTCAATGTGGCTTTTGGTGTTGGCTCCACTCCTGGATTAACAGCTCCCAGTGATTTGGCTTCTGGATTGTTGGATCTCTTTAGCCCTTACGTTGTGGTCTTTTGTGGTGTGGTTTGCTTTGCGGTTAACTTTTCAGCTTGGACTGTTGGACTTTGGGGTTCAAGTTCAGAATGAAGTGTCTTGTCCCTACCTCAGAGTGTTCCAGGCCACCTCTTAGCAGGGGCCCTCTCCATTGGAGGGCCAGGTCACACACTGGAAAGCTCTCGTTCTTCTGGAATCTGCTTACTAGTTTGGTCCTGGTTATTGCTTCGAATTTCAGGTCTGCAAATGGGTTGCTCTTTCTCTGGGATATCCTGGTTCTGCCCGAGCAAGGAAGGAAGTTTTCCATATCACTTCTGAAACATCTTCTGGGATCTAGGTTGTTATGTGTACTCTGATGGAGTGTTGGAGCAGTGCATGAGGTTCATTTCCTGAACATCTCTGTGCGCCGTTGTTATGCTCCATGCTTTCCCTGCCCAGTGGAGGACGGCTTATCATCACAACCCCAGGAGGGTGGCGTTAACATCTCCCCACTGTGGTAAGTGGAAACAGATACAGATAGCTCAAGCAACTTGCCCAGGGGCTCACAGCTGGTGATCAGCAAATCCTGTTCTGCCTGATTCCAAAATTCATACCTTAACACTCCACCACAGAGTGCCCAGTGAAATCCTAAAAGTGGGTAAATCTTATCTTAGTTTCTTTCAGCATCTTTCATCCCTCTACACTCCATCCATGAAACCACAGTTCAATACGGTACCAGATGTTGTCCCGGGCTCTTGGGCAGAACCCTAAACTATAGTTTATTCCTTAATTTCCCCACTCATTCTCAAATAATTTGCCCTGAGGCCATCTCAGCAGGCTTGGCACTGGCCTGGGTAATTTATAGGGCAAAATGACTGCAATGTTAGTAGGAGTCCATGATTCCATACTCTTTCATTCTGTTAAAATATTTGCACTTTAATGAAACTCTAGCTCAGAGGACCAATGGTAGGAATTTGAAATGTGTGGTAGCCCTGGAATGGCAAATGTTTTTGGGTAGGTGTTGTGGCCTGAACCGTGTTCTCCCAAAATGTGTATGTTGAGGTCTTAATTCCCAGTACCTCAAAATGTGGCTATATTTGTATTTAAAGAGGTAATTAAGTTAAAACAGTTAGAGCACTAATCCAATATGACTGGTGTCCTATAAGAGAATATTAGGGCACAACTGGCACAGAAGGAAGATGATATGAAGACATAGGGGAAAAAATGGCCATCGCCAAGCCAACTCCAAAAATGGCCATCTCCAAGCTTAGAGAGGCGTCAGAAGAAACCAACCCTGCTGACACCTTGATCTTGGACTTCCCAACTTCCAGGACTGTGAAAATATGTTTCTGTTGTTTAAGTCAAGTCTGCAGTTCTTTGTTATGACAACCCTAGCAAACTAATACAATAGGCCTTGTCAATATACTGCAAATCTCAAGTCATGCAGCAGAGGCCGATGCATATGGGCGGGAATCGCAAGCTCCAGCGTCCCCTTGGCAGGGAGGGGAAAGGCACCAGCTCCTTCCTGGCTTCCTGTCAGTAAGTGCTGTAAGGAGCTAAGAAGAGCTTTGTGGTCAGCACATCTAAGCACTTTGATGGGATACATGAGATCAGAGACATTGTAATTACCTTCCAGGAGCCAGACAGAAAGGCAGGGTGATGGAGTGGTAGGAACAGCTTGGAGCCAAGCATATGTAAATCCAAGATCTGCCATTTGTGCTACGCAACCATGGGCAGGTCAGCACCCTCTCTGGGCTGTGGTTTCCTGAGACAGGAATAACAAGGCCTACCTCACAGGGCTGCAAGGATTAAGTGGGTGTTCCATATTATTAGGAACACATGTCCTTCAGGAGCAATCAGGAAATGACATCCCATAAAGTGCAAAATGGGCTGGGTGTGGTGGCTCGCACCTGTAGTCCCAGCACTTTGGGAGGTCCAGGCAGGAGGATCACTTGAGGCCAGGAGTTCAAAACTAGCCCCAGCAACACAGTAAGACCCTCTCTTTACAGAAAAAAATTAAAAATTAGCCAGGCATGATGGTGTATACATGTAATCTTAGCGACTTGGGAGGCTGAGGTGAGAGGCTCTCTTGAGCCCAGGAGTTTAAGGTTGCAGTGGGCCATGATTGTGTCACAGCACTCCAACCTGGGCAAGAGAGACCTTGTCTCAAAAAAAAAAAAAAAAAAAAAAGTGCAAAATGGCAGTGTGACCTTATGGCTGTCTTTCCTTATTCTTTCCAGATTAAGATAATTCACTGTGGGTGGCACCTGGCTTCTTGCTCACATCTCAGCCATATGTCCCAGTGTCAGGAGATGCAGGCCTGGCTCTCCTTTTCTGGAGCTGCAATTTAGGACTTGTCCTGTCTGGGCCTCATTCTCACCCTATCAATCACACATAGGCCCGTAGAGGCAACTCTGACCTAGACAACAGCAAAGTTAATAAAAGGGATGAGAATAAGCCCTTTGTGGCTACTGTGATGGGGAGGAAGCAATGCTTGCTCTTTTCAGCCCAACATGCACTAAGAACCAGACCAAGCATGAGTCTGTTAGCCAGGAATGGCCTACTGTCATTGTCACCATTGCTGGGTCATGTGGCCTGGCAGGTGGGAGCAAGCTGACTTTAGGTGAAGTCTGGTGAGAATTCCCATGTTGCAGCATGCAGGAAACTCCAGGGCCAGCAGCCGTGCCCTCACTGGGGGCTCCAGTTGCACTTGCCTCTTGGCAAAGAATTGATATGAGCCGTAGCAGGTTATGGGCGTGGAGGACACTGGATGGGTGACTTTGGCTGAGCCTCAAAGGGTGACCCACCCTCATCCTCAAAGAAGAAAAGCTGATTGGCAAAAACAAAAACAAAAACAAAAACAAACAAACAAAAAACCAACAGTGGAGAGCACATCTTTTCCAACAGACAGAGCCAATCCGAGGGATCTTAGAACCTTGAAGCTCAGCAACAGAGTCTTAGGGAGCTGGTAGGGAAGGCAGCTGGGAGAGAGCCCTTTGCTGGCAGTAGTGGGAAGACACATGGGCACTGTGGAGGAGGCAGAAGTGCTGGCAGAGAAAGAGTGACAGGACTTCAAGGAGCTTCGGTAATTTAGTGAGCAATTGGACATCAGGCAGGAAGCAAGCACAGAAAGTCCAAAATGTCCTTGAATTCAGGAAAGTCCCCAGGCCAGTCTGATTGCACTAAACCAAGGCTTCCATCGCCCCCATCAGTGAATTATTTAAGAAGCTATTTCCAACGTGTGGCAGCGTGGACATTATGTTGAGTGAAAGAAGTCAGATAAAGGAGTAGGTTTTCTATAATTCCACTTATGTAAAATTCAAGAAGAGACAAAACCAGTTTATGCTGGTAGAAATCTGAACAGTTATTTTCTAGCTAAGGATTGGCTAGAACGGGAGGGGATTGGCTGGAATGGGAAATAGAGAGTGTTCTGGGGTGATGGAAAAGTTTTCTATCTTGATTGGGTGGTGGTTACTTGGGTACAAAACTCAATGAACAGTACAGTTGAAATCTATGCATTTTATTGATTTAAATTGTACTCCAATAAAATTAACTGATACACACACACACACACGCACGCACTTACTTCTTGCTATGTATAATGCATTGTGATAAGTGTCTATAAGTTACAAGCAAATCAAAATAGAACCTGCCCTCAGAAAGTTTACAAAGAATTATAGTAGAAACAAGATAAAAGACATGGTCCCCAAGTCATAGTTCAAGATAGATAGTGACAGCGTCCCCAAGAGAAATAGGTATAAAGTGACATCAGTAGTCAGAGGAAGGAAGACGACCTCTGGCTGAAGGGACTCATTAGGCTTCATGGAGGAGGCAGCACTTGAGCTGGGCCTTGAAAGAGGTGGACAAGAACATTCCAGGTAGAAGAAAGAGCAAAATAAAGGCAGCGTGGCAGTATGGCTGGGAAGCAGCAATAGTTCATCTGCTTGAGATGCAGATCATGAGAAGAGAGCAATGACAAAAAAGGTTACAAAGCAAGTAGGATCAGTTTGTACAGGACCTTGAATGTCAGGCAAAAGAGTGGATTTAGCCTGGCCAACATGGCGAAACTCTGTCTTTACTAAAATATACAAAAATTAGCCGGGTGTGGTGGCACACACCTGTAATCCCAGCTACTCCAGAGGCTGACGCACGAGAATCGCTTGAACCCGGGAGGCAGAGGCTGCAGTGAGCCCAGATCACGCCACTGCACTCCAGACTGGGCAACAGGGTGAGACCCCATCTGAAAAAAAAAAAAAAAAGAGAGTGGATTTGAGCAGAGGTGTGATATTGCTGTAATGTACAGGTTGGACCTGGGTGGAGAGAGTATGGAGGGTGGGCCTACTTTTCACAGCCATATAGTGCCTTGCCTTCCAAAGACTGATCCATAGACCAGAAGCATTGGCATCACCTGGGAGCTTGCTAGAAAGGCAGAGTATCTAACCAAGAAGACCTAGTGCACCACAATCTGCATTTTAACAAGATACATGGATAATTCTTAGGCAAATCTAAGTTTTAAAAGCACTGATCTAGATGTTAAAAGCACTGGTCTGGAAGTGAGATAATGGATTGTCTTCTGTACCAGCAGAGGGATCTGAATCAATCCTTCACTACCCCAAATCCTGAGCCCAACAGGGAATATAGGTAGATAATTGATCCTCATGTTGCTGTTTGACGTAACAGGAAGGACAGTTCAATCCTGGAGGCCCACTGAAGAGCATGTGAAATCTCAGGGTGAGGAAGGGGTAAACAATCTAAAGCAGAAATGCTGTCACTCTTCCATTTCATGTTGGCATCTCATCATGAAGGCCTCTGTGGATTAGTGATGCTCATCATCATTAGTGATGATGTGGATCAATGCTCTTGGGCTATGGTGAGTGGAAGCCAAGATTATTTCATCTGAATAATTTATCATCCCCCAGCATTAAATATTGAAGATGTGGCCAGGTACTATTGAGTTCTTTTAAAGGTTATGGACCCTGCTGATCCTTTCTTGGCTGCCATTTTTAATTAGGTCTCCATATGCTTTGCCAGACTTGGTCAGACAACAAGCTACTTCTGTCTGAACCGTCTGTGAATTCTCCTGTTTTGAGTCTCCACTTAGCCAGCACCTTGACTTGTCAATGATGAAGAAGCAAGAGGCAAGGAAATCATGGGCCCTTCCCACTCAAAGGCTGACTCCCTTCAAGCTGCTTCCCAGTGTTTCTGCTTCATTGATGATCTTACATCACCTTCCAGAGAGTGACGGAGGACTGGCAGAAAGGATGTAAGCATGGGCCATTCCGAATATACTAAGAACTTAGTGAAGACATAGGGATCTATAACTTCCATTCAGACTCACAGGGAATGTTCTGGAGATAGGTCATGGTTCTCCTTTAACTACAAATCTGGCATCAGGTCTCAGGGAATGCCTGACAGCTTCAAAAGAAGTCATGAATCTAAATAGCAACAACCGAAAATGCTGAGTTCAGACTCCCAGTCTATTCTGACAAGTATTAGCAGGAGTGCTTTAATTGCTAGCACCTGGGAAAAACAGGCATTCAAGTTCTGTTGTGAAAAGACCAAGCTGACAGTCAAGAGACCTCACCTGGGCATGAAGATCAGTTCTGCCTTCTCTTGTTCTTCTTCATACCAGCGGAATGACTTCATGAGTTATTTGATCTATTTGAGTCTTAGTTCCTCATTTGCACAATGTGAACAAAAACACTGCATCAACGGGATTTTGTGAGAATCTCTGAGTGTTCTGAAGCAGTTCAGCCACATTAACACCAGAACCTGCTGATGAATTCCAGTTCTGTAAAAGAATCTAAGTAGCCCAAAAGGCCCTACTATAAGGAATCCCATTCCTCTTGTACAAAGAAGCAAATAGGCTTTAATCTCGTTGAAAGAGTAGTTTGGGAGCATCTTTTTTAAAGAAACCAGAATAGAAAATTATTTTGAGTGCATCTTTAGGGGAGGCATTCTTTTCCATTACCCAGCCTACCATATAGAACTGTCTTCAGAGCACTTAAGAAAACCAAATCTAGAGATGGCACAGGCAGACCTGTCTTCTCTGGAAAACTCAGAACCTGGAGCATGCCTGCTCTGGCCCCTGGCCTCTCATAAAGCAACTCTCTCCCACAGATTAGGAATCTTTCAAGAAGAGGCTTTTGTGGTTCTCATTTGTGCTATTGCTGTCAGGTTAGAATCTTTGCTCTTTCTCCAGCAAAGAGGGAGAAAAGTGATTACAAGACTCTTTTACTATCCTATATTTGTTGCTAGCCTGAACAACCTCTAAAGATCTTCCAAAAGTCAAGATTCTGAGACTGTTCAGAACTCTTACAGACTTCTTGGCATACATTAAAATGTGCAAAGAACACCTCCAGTGTCAGCAACAAACAAACGAACAAAAAACCCAAACAAAAACAACAACAAAAAACCTCTCCAGGAATAAGCCATTCAAAAGAAGTTGCATTCTTTTGGAGAATCTCAGAAGTACAGTTTGAGAGAAATAAGATTGATCTAGAAAGATGATTTTCCCACTCACGTAGTCACATTCCTGCTTGAGAATTTATAATGATCTGTCTGGTTTCCTAGTTCTGTATGTATTTATTCATTCACTGGTAAACATTTGTGGAAATGCCTATATTTGCCAGGTACTGTGACTGTGGGGTTATAGCAGGAACACGAGAGGGATATGGTCCCTGCCCCATAGAGTGCATACTGCAGAACCTCAGTTCTGACAGCCCTCTCCTAAACTCTGGAGTTCATTCTTTGCCCAGTCAGAAGGAATTTAAAATACAGTCCCATAAGATTATAATGGAGCTGAAAAATTTCTATAGCCTAGTGACATTGTAGCTGTTGTAAAGTCATATCACACTTACTGTATTTTAAAAATAAATTTAGCATAGCCGAAGTGTACAGAGTTTGTAAAGTCTACAGTAGTACACAGTAATGTCCTAGGCCTTCACATTCACTCACCACTCACTCACCCAGAGCAACCTCCAGTCCTGCAAACTTCATTCATGGCAAGTGCTTTATACAAGAGTATCTTTTTTTTTTAACCTTTATATCAAATCTTACTGTATCTTTTCTATATTTAGAAATGTTTAGATACATAAAATATTTACCATTGTGTTTCAATTGTCTACAATAATCAGTACAGTAACTTGCTGTACAGGTTTGTGTCCTAGCAGCAGTAGACTATAGCATATGATCTAAGTGTGTAGTAGGCTACACCATCTAGGTTTGTGTAAATGAACTCCATGAGTTCACACGATGATGAAACTGCCTAAGGATGCAGTTCTTGGAATGTATCCCCAATGTTAAGCAACACAGGATTGGACTCTAATATCCCAGTGACTCATCAAATCAGCCCTGCTCTAATCTTAAATGCTGTTGGTTCAAGTAGCTCCAGCCTTCCCTCTGAAGTATAGCAAAGGAGGAACAGCATGATGCCTGGGATCTGATAGACCAGGGCTCCAACTTGGCTCACCCACTTTGTGGCTGTGGGGTGGGGCTTAGGATGAATTATATAAGTTCTCTAAGCTTTAGTGTCTTATCTGTAAAATGGGTATGTTGGAAGGCTTAAGCAAGCTGAGTTTTGAGAAGTGCCCTGTTCAGGGCCCAGTACAGTGAGTATCCAATAAATAAATGATGGCCATTATTACTATTATTCCCCTGTGTTTGTTTAACTGGTCTTGTCCTATAATCTTGTACTTGAGTCCCTGTCCTAGTACTTTGGCCTGAGACTAGCATCTTGCCCTACTCATTTAACAACATTTTTCTCATCACTTTATATTATGAAATTTTCAGGCACAAAGAAAAGTTGAAGGAATTTTAAAGTGAACATCCGTATACCAACCACCTAGACTTTACTATTTTTTACTGTCTTTGTTTTATCACATATGTATCTATTTTTCCATCCCTCTATTCATCCATCAATCCATTTAACTTTTTTCTTTTGAGGTAAATTTTACAATCAAAGCAATGCTCGAATATTTAATGTTATGATTTGTTGAGTTTCGATAATTGCCTAAATCTGTACAACACAAACCCCTATCAAGGCATAGAATGGTACCGTAATCCCAGAAAGTCCCTTATGCCAGCTAATTCCCACCATTCCTTCCTCCCCAGTGGCACCATCAATCTGATTTATTTTCTATCACCGTTTTTTTTGATGGATAGCTCTCTTTTTTGTGTACATTCATTTTGCTTATTCTAGATTTCAAATAAATGTAATTATAATATATATACAGTAGTACATACTCTTTTTTGTCTGGTTTCTTTCACTTAGCATGGTTTTGAGATTCATTGATGCTGTTTTGTGTATTAGTAATTTGTTCCTTGTTATTACTGAGCAGCATCACATTATACGAATATACTGCAGTTTGTATATCTGTTTTCCTATTGATAGATACCTGGGAGTTTCTTAGTTTTGGATATTATAAATCTGAGCTCTTTTAATAAATATATATTTCATTTCACTTGGATAAATGCCTAGCATAGAACTTCTGGGCCGTAGGGTAGGTGTATGCTTAGTCTTACAAGAAACTGCCAGATACCACTATACCTCCACCAACAACATATGAGTTCCAGTCACTCCACTTCCTCACCAACATTTGTTGTTGTCAGTGTTTTTAATTTTAGACATTCTCGTGGCTATGTAATGGTATGTCTTTTGGTTTTAATTATTTGCCGCTCCCTGATGACTAATGGCATTGAACAACTTTTTACGTCCTTATTGGCCATATGTATACCTTCCTTGTAAAGTATCTGATCATATTAATTGACTACTTTATAGTTGTCTTTTTATTATTGAATTATAGTAGTTCTTTATCATCCTAGATAATAGTTTCTAGTTGTGTGAATGTTTTATCCAAGTCAGCAGCTTGCCTGTTTTTCTTAACTGTCATTTGATGAGCAAAAATTTTCAATTTTGATAAAATCTATCATTTTTTTTCTTTTATTATTGTTATTTGCTGTTTCCTATCTAAGAAATGTTTTCCTACTCTTAAGTTTTAGAGACATGCTTTCCCTTAAAAGCTTTATTATGTTTATGTTAACTGCTATGTTCAGGTTTACGCACACATCATGTAACATTTTCTGTTTGATGGGAGGTAGGTGCTGAGGTTTATTTTTTAGCATGTGAGAATCTAGTTGTTTCTATATCATTTATTGAAAAGGCATTATTTTCTTTATTGTATTGCTTTAGCACCTTTGTGGAAAATCAAATGAACATTTGCTTCTGACCAAGATGATGTAACAAGTACCAGACTGACCGCTGAGACTTAAAATACTAAAAACCTTAAGGAAAATCTGTGAACCAATGGCTTCCACACTGGGCAACAGGCAGCATGAGAAAGTCATCCCCCTGACAGGGGAGGCAAGTGAGGCGGCCCGCGACGGCCCCAGCTGACTGTCTGGAGAGTCTCCGAGCTGCAGCGCTGGGAGGAGGGACCCGTGCAGAGCCTGGTTGTGTCACCGCTGAGGAGTCCGCATGGAGGCCCCGGAGGCCACCGCCTGCCGGACGCAGAGGAGAGGGCCGCCCAGGACCCGGAAGTGACCCGGAAGTGGGCGCTCACAGCCGCGGGGGTAGGGCAGAGTCCTTCTGGGCCGCTTCCCTGTGCTTCGTGTGCGGCCCACACCGTCCTGGGCTTTCTCAGTGTCCCTTCCCCACCTTGGCCTTCATGGGCTGACTCTGCATCCGCGCTTGTTGCTACTCTGTGTTAGGCTCGTGGTGGGGGACGGGGCTTCTCTGCTCTTCCGTCCTGCCTCCCAGTCTTCTCAGGAGCCCCCCACGGAGGCCTTGGAAAAGAGCTCGCGTGTGAGTACGGATGCCCGCTCCTTGTGTCTGGGGCTAACATTGTTGTGCTTAGGCCACACTTAAGAATTCATTACCATTTTAGCTGTTTCCTTCCAACCTGCTTTTTCTGGCAGCCATGTCCTCCTCCATTTCTGACAAAGGCGTAACAACCGTGTGTCCCCCACTTTGGTCGCAGGCGCTTGTCACTCTTTGGAATTATGTTCACTTCATTGTGTCCTGGCCTCACCTCCTCAGATGGGCTCAAGAAAACTTACGATGTTTTAGAATGTCAGGCTTTTTCTCGTTATTAGAATGAAATCCACATCCTCCTAAGCGAAGCAGAACTCGGCCTCATTCATTTTAACAAACATTTGCTGAATGCCTTGCTTGTCAGGCTCTGCACATGCAGACAAGATGAAACATGGCCTTCGCTGTCTGCTCGCAGAGCATCTACTGAATCAGACGAGGAGCTGTCACTGCAGGATGTGGTCATTGTCTTTGTTTATGACAATTGGGCACCCGAGGCTGTCTGGGACAGCCAAGAGAGCTTTCATCTGGAAAGTAAAGCTCATGTGGATGTCTTGCAGAGGAATAGAGGTTTCCAGGTGGGCAAAGGAGGTGAGGACATCCTAGGCAGAGAGAATACCACACCTACAGTCACAGTGGGATGAAAGAGCAAAGCTGTCCTCATGAGGGCCTGGCCCTGAACCCCAAGTTTGCTGCTGGAGCTCCCTGACAGTCACCAGCCATCTAGATTTTATACCAGACAACTCCCCACCACAAACACAAGCCTATGCAGGTGGGCCTTTCAGGGATCCTGTTGTTCTTGTCATAGCTTTATTATGCCCTCCCATGATGCAGGATCCCCGAGTCTTTGTCATCCACCCTCCCAGACCACGAGCTCCTCAAAGGCGGTGATGGTTTTACACATCTGTGCATTCCCTGCACCCAGCCCAGTGTCTGGCTTGCTAGAAGCTCAGGAAGTGTTGGATGAACTGAAATCAAATAATGTTCCTGAATGCCCCATCAGGGTGTTTGGATCACTCTCTGGCTGCTGCTCCTCAGATCTGAATGCACCCCCAAAAAGCGGGGTGTCTAGGAGGTCAACATACAGATTTCATGGTCTTTTTTTTTTTTTTTTTGAGACGGAGTCTCACTCTGTCACCCAGGCTGGAGTGCAGTGGCACGATCTCGGCTCACTGCAAGCTTTGCCTCCCGGGTTCACGCCATTCTCCTGCTTCAGCCTCCCGAGTAGCCACCACACCTGGCTAATTTTTTTGTATTTTTAGTAAAGACAGGGTTTCACCATGTTAGCCAGGATGGTCTCGATCTCCTGACCTCGTGATCCGCCTGCCTCGGCCTCTCAAAGTGCTGGGATTACAGGCGTGAGCCACCGCGCCCAGCCTTGTTTGTTTTTAATTGCAGCAGGTGGCGGAGGGGTAGGGACCATCTTACTCCAGGCTCTCATTACCTCCTGGAATTTGCAAGTCTGGTGTTTTCTAAATGTTAACTTTAGTTAGCTGAATTATTCATTCATTCCCCTACCCCAGTGACATTTTGATTGCTGCATTCACTGTTTAAATTTTGAATGATCTGAGATTCTATTTGAGCCTGCCTTGGACACAGTAATAACTGCCACAGGAGAACAGAGAATCTCTTGCTCTGCAGCAATGGTTTCAACTGTAATTTTACAAACAAGTAACTTCCGCTTAAACCAAGGAAACAACGGAGGAATCTGTTTTCAAATGTGACATTCTTTCCCATGGGAAGTGCTTTCAAATGTGTTTTGGTTCTGCCTTTTGCTTTTGCCTGCCTTCTTGTCTCTCACCAGGAGAACAATGTCATATTTTACTAGAACATAACTCTATCTTGGGTACATGGGATAAAAGGATGACTTGAAATAAAAAACACTAAAATTTTCTATTTAGTAGTTAATTGTGGGGAAGTTAAAATTATCAGATGAAAATATAAAGAGTAGTTTATTTACACATAGTTTAGTACTCACTCAGATGTTTAAAATAAGTAAAAAACACACTTGTAGTTATGTTTATAGTTTTGGTTGCAGAGCAGAGGGAGAAATGAAATCTGGAGCATTCGGGCAGGAAAGCCCAGGAATGGCTTCAGATAAGTCACAGTGAAGCTGGTTCTTGAAGGATGCGTGAGAGCTGACAAGGGAGGGCTGTCCAGCAGAAGAAACAGCAAGTGCTACGACGCAGGATTAGCTAGTTTCTCAAATTTAATCTACCCAATTGTAACTAAATACCTATTTTCTTCATATCTCCTTTTTATGTACTTTGAACTTTTCCCTTTGTTTTTAAATGAAACTACCCCACCACCTCAAACATGAACTCGTCCCAGATGATGGGTCCATGTTATTGTCTCCTTCCCTGTTAGAACTCTCAGCCTCATTTCTGTTTGACTCCCATTCCTTTTGTGATTTGACTTCACATTCTTTCTCATAACCTTCCTGAAAACTTCTTTCCCCTCTTGCTGCCATCTGGCTCCCTCTGGCCCCTCCCTGTCTGCTGGTGTGCAGTGAGCATGCAGTTGGAAGGCTCCTTCTGAAGATGGATGGTGGCAGGGTCTGAAAATGGAACAGACAGCAAATAAATGCACAAATCTCTGTTTACATTTTCATCAATAATATACATTTAGCGAGTTTTTGTTGAATTCCTACTATTGAGACAGACATATGAACAAAAATTATCTAATATCTTATGCAGTTATTTGGGCAGATAAGTTATACTAAAACATATTAAGTATTAGACATAAAGTGCTGTGGAACCTCGGAGGACTTCCCTTTCAGGAGGTCATGGAAAGCTTCACAAAAGTGATGATCAGGGCAGATCGAGGTTTAGAGGGTTCTGAAGCTTTTGAAGGTTGTCAGAATCAAAATGGAGTCACTTGAATTAAAATCCTAACAAATGGGGGCAGAGAAGGCTGTGAAGGGAGGGTCCTCATGCATGTGTGCCTCATAACAAGAACAGTCACAAAAGATGGCAAAAACTACAGCCTTGCACAAAAGCCACAGTAACCTTACATAGAAAATACTTCTGCAAGGACGTCTATCCAGCAACTGCCGTCTAACCTTGGACTGATGCCACCCTTGTTATTGAACCTTGTAGGCAACGATACTTGATTCAAAATGCTTGATGTATTTCTTCTCATTTTGCCTTTAAAACCTTCCCCTTTGGCCGGGCGCGGTGGCTCACGCCTGTAATCCCAGCACTTTGGGAGGCTGAGGCGGGTGGATCACTTGAGGTCAGGAGTTTGAGACCAGCCTGGCCAACATGGTGAAACCCCGCCTCTGCTAGAAATACAAAAATTAGCCAGGTGTGGTGGCGCGCACCTGTAATCTCAGCTACTCGGGAGACTGAGGCACGAGAATCGCTTGAACCTGGGAGGTGGAGGTTGCAGTGAGCCAAGATTGCACCACTGCACTCCAGCCTGGGCAACAGAGTGAGATTCCATCTCAAAATAAATAAATAAATAAATAATAAAAACTTCCCCTTGCTCCACTCTCCTGGAATATGCACATAGTTTATTATGACATTCACATTCTTATTACAATACTATTCCCAGATAAATATCATTTTCTTTAGAGAGTCTCCATCTCTGTTTGTTATTTAGCTTAAGATTATATAATTTGGATGGCCCATTAACAAAAAAAAACCTTAATCCTATGATTTTACAAAAATGCAAATGTGCACATGGATACCTTGCTACATCTCTCCCATGGTCTTTGTAGAGACCTGTGGAATTGAGAGGCCTGAAGCTTAAATTTCACTGGCTTTGAAGTAAATCTGCCTCTGGAGATGGCATTTGCATTGAGTTTGGAAGGTTGTCTAGGAGTTTGCCAGACACAGGAGGAAAGGAATAACCTACCTGTCAGAGCTAATAGTATTTGAAAGGGCCAAAGACATGAAAAGCATGTATACCACAGCATGAATTGCATGGGGTTGAGTGATGGGACATGACATCAGAGAAGTGGTCCTGATTGAAGATGACATTGATGTACTGAGGGGTTGATTATATTCTACATCATATTTGATTTAACAAAAGAATATTGTGACCACATTTGTTTAAGACAACTTTTTAGGTATAGGATGAAGAATACCTTTTCACTGAAAGTGCTTGAAATGCTTGGTGATTGATATCATCTAATTGCTGAGTCTTGGAATTACTGTACTGAAGTTTCAATCAATTAATTAAATCTATATGTTTCAATATAAATAGACTTTGGAGACATACAGTTAAGTGGAGGAAGTAAGTTGCAGAATGTTGAAATGGTATGATACTGTTTGTGTAAAACATTTTATAAACCCTACACGACCATACCACATTCTGTTCATGGATACATACGCCAGAGGCTCACAGGAAGCTAATCTTGTATTTCCTCTAGGAGCAATGGTTTGGTAATTGAGAATTCAGTGTTTGTGGTAACTCTATAGAACATAAATACCACATGTAATGCGGGTCAATTGTAATTTATATAATATATAAATGCTAACAGATTTTAACTATTCATTCTGATGGTGGATACGTAGGTATTGTTAATTACTCCGTTATCTATATTTTGTTTTTGAAAAGAAAATTTGCTTTGGAATGTAAGCTTAGGATAACTTATACATTTTTTCTGTCTTGCTATGGATATTAGCTAGATATGTACACTCACAGTTCTCAACAAAAAAATAAAATAAATAAAAAGGAGGGGGCAGTGGATTTCTAATCAAGGGTTTCAAGAAAGAAAATTGCCAAGGTGGTTATCTTCTGTAGTGCATGAACATTGAAAGGTTCTTTGCAATCTCTGCATAGTCTCATTAGACTTGGATCTCACTTGCTTTAGAATCTGCATGAAGTCCTTTCAGGATTTTGACCCTGTCTCAGCTGGCGGAACTTCACCCATTTGTCTTCCTCTTTGTAACACTGAGTAGATAAAAGTTCCTTGGAGCCAGCTTTTGGAAGGAGAAAGAGAGAAGGCAGACAGAATGAGACCCTCCCTTGTGCACTAGGCAAGACATGGCCTGTGGCTCAGCATCCCTGCTGCCGGTGAGGGCAGCAGTCAGACACAGGACTCTCAGTCCTTCCAAGCTGCTTAGATGGTTGCCTTTTAAGTGCATAGTTCATATGGAAGCCAACAGGCTGGCTTTTCATCTTCACAGGAAGGAGAAAGAAGTTGCTCTGTCCCTTACTCCCCAAATCAGTGATTCTTTTGAGTATTTAGTAATGAGAATAGGAAGAGAATTCCCTTCTGTCTGGCTGTTTTGGAAACAGATGCTGCACTCAATCTTAAGTCTATTCTCAGTCTCCTATAGTAACACAGCACACATATAACTTCCTTATTTTTTCTTGTTTTATGTATTTTTTTCCCTAGACTATTTTCAATCTTCAAAGAACAGGTAGTATATTTCAAATATGCTGCTTGTTAAACTGGACAGTTTACCAAAATGCTGCAATACAACAGAAAGAATATTTGTCATTTTCCTAATGCCTGAGTCAGCAAGAGCTTTTGGGGGATAGAACATATTTGGTTATCTTTCTGGGGTCTAGTGAGGGTTTGTGACTCTTTTGCGCAACTTGTATTAAGTGTGTTCAATGTCTCCGGTACTATGGGAAATCAAAAGTGAAATAGCAGAGAATATTCCTGATTCTTTAAGTTGAAATAATTATAGAATAAACTTAAGTCAGTGGTTCATGTGGTTTCAAGGTCTACCATATAGCTACAATATCATCAGTGGCCTCCGAATCTTCCTCTTCACCCTAACTCTTCAGTTAACCTATGTGGCTTCGTCTTCTGTGTTGTTAATGATCCATCCCATAAATAAACCTCACTGTCCCTTGACTTTAATATGTCAATGACCTTCAATTTGACTGCCTTTCAACCACCTATTCCTGGGGTCATATTCTTCATTGTGTCTTTACCTGGAAGTGCTCCATCTCTGAGATCTTAAACTTGAGTGTTTACACAGGACTTTTGCAGAGACTGCTATAAAGCCTTCATTTGTCACTGAAGGGCACAAAGTTGTTCAGAATAAAGCCTATATTTTCCAGCCTCCCTACTAGGTGGGTGTGGTGATCTGACTAAATTCTAGCTCAATGGGATGCGAGCAGAAGTGGTGTATGCAACTTCTGAGAACTGTCTCCATAGAAAAGGGGCAATCTATTCTTTACTTCTTCTTTCTTCTTGCGAGGTGGAATAAGGATGTGATGACTGGGTCTTGAGCAGCCATTTTGGACCATGAGTTGGAAGCTATGACGTTCAGGGTGATGGAGCTACAAGGTAGAAGGAGCCTGGGTTCCCTTATGATCATAGCACTCTGTAACAGCCCTGTGTTGCCTACGTTTCTATGAGAAAGAAATAAGCCTCAGTCTTGTTTAAGGCACTCTTCTTTTGAGTTTTCTGTCCTGTTAGCCATTTTCAGTCCTAATGTCTACAGCCACAATCTCCTGTTAAACTGTCTTTTCTCCATTTTGTTTATTTCAACCTCCTTGAGACTTCAGTCCTGCTTCTTCCAAATTCTATCTTGGTATAATTTCCTTCTTTATCCATACTTCTTTCCACCCTCCATAGCCCATGCAATATACATCATGAAGTGATTCAGAGTTACATGGTGACCTGTCATTCCATGGGCTACACAGAAATTGTTTGTGTCTTTGTGTCTATGTAATCATATTTTTGCAGATCATATTTCAAAGGGAAGCCCAGTTTCTCTCATCACAGCAGCTGTAGCCCAGGAGGACAACAATTTTACCAAGACCTCTGACTCTGCAGATGGAGCAGTGACACCAAGCAGAGCACTCAGTTTTGAGAGATGAGGCTGCAACTTTGGAGACAGCACCTCGTAGAGCTCACTGGAGGGATGCATGCCCATTCAGAGAGGCCAGTGCATGAAGATGGTTCTCTTAGCGCTTGTGTCAGCAGAAGCCTTGGATGAATCAGACCTGGCAGCCCAGGCAGGAAGGCACTGCAGAGCATGAGATGAGCCTACATACCATACTTCCCCTGGCCACACTAGTTAGCAGGCATCACTGCCTCCTTAATGACAAGAAGGCTGCAAGCCACAATCAGAGTTCATGATTCACTCATTGACTCTAATGTGGATGCTACATTGTAATACTTCTTCAATCATTTGTCACACCCATAAAGTTCTGAATTAAAGAGTCTAGCTAGATATTTTTCATATAGGAAACATGAATGAGAAAGGTGAGCCCTATCTAAGTCAAGAGTCTCATCCCTAAGTAGGTGAAAATAGTTATCTCCAGAAAGTGACATTCATGGAGTTCCCTTTTGTTTGTGTTTGCTACCCCCAAGGTAGAATTAGGTCTACCCTGTCCATCACCATAGTACCTTGTGCTATAGTAAAGTGGATTTACACCTTTCTCCTCCACTGGACTCTGAGGAGTCCCTTGAACCACTTCTCTACATGCTCATTTCTGTATCTCTGGCTCCGAGATAGAGATGTGGTGGAGAGTTAATCTTTGTTGATTAACTGAGTGAAAGAATCCTGACTACAGTATGGATCTGTAATCAGACTTTAAACTGGACATATAGTCACATAATAACAGAGTACACTGGGAGACTGCACACACACAAGGTGGATGCACGGTGCGATGCAAGCTTCCTGGGGGTAATTTAGCAGCAGTGTATGATCAGAAGTTGGAAGGAAGGTAGTATTGTTGTTGGATTTGGGTTCTATGTAGAATCATATCATGACTGATAGGTTGGCACAAAAGGCCTGCATGAGCTGTACTCTTAACTCACTCTCTTACACTTCATTCGGGTAAGAAATAGCAAGTGGTATGAAATAGCATCACTCCTTGCCCTAGGAGATCTTGGTGTACAGTCCATGAACAGGAGCTGCCTTAGAAGGAGGAGGAGAAAGATTTCCCCTACCTGCTTCATGGAGGGTAGCCACCTGGCCCAGAGCTGTGACTCCCTCAGAGTTGGGGCTGGTCTGCTTGGGAAGGAAGTGTGGCTTTAGGGGTGGCAGGATTCCTGGGGGGCATCTTGTGTGGGTATAACTGTAACACCCAGCTGGAGGCTTACCAAGTAGCTCTTCCCTGTGGGAGCCATGAGTCTATTATCAGACAGAGCTTTCCAGAAAATATCTTCTCACAAGCCTTGCTGCTGTTATTTTATTACTCATACAAGCTTCCTCACTATAGCCTTCTTTCTTTCTCTGCAGAATCATCTCTTATTCTGAGCCAGGAGGATGCACTGGGGATCTCTTAATAACCAGTGCCCCGGAATGAACGAGAGAATGATGTGAATGGAGGATGGATGGATGGATGGATGCGAGGTTGGGGCTGGACAGAAAGATGACTGAATAAACGGGAAGAAATAGTAATAATAAGAGTGAAACTGAGAATTGAGGCAGAGACATTGAACATCTGTTTATCATCTTGCTTGGCTGGCAGGATAGGCGCTAGAGTTATCAGAGTCCAACAGTAGTTTCAAATACAGTTGGGATTTTATGCACATCCTACTCCAAGCCCTGCTCATTTATTATCCACTCATTGTAAACTCTTCATGATAGCCTTACCTGCACAATTAATAGAAGAATGGATATTGGAGGGTAGTGATGAGGATGGGAATGAAATATGTACATATCGTATTTCCTGGAAGACTTTGAGAAATGGGCTCATTCACACAGATCACCTATTTTTAACAAAATGTCACCTTACAGAAGCACACTGCTTGGCAAACATCAACATGTCAAGGCTCTTGGCCCTGGGCCGCTGCAGATACTGGCCATGCCTCTGTCCTCACATCACCCACAGCATCTGGTGCAAGAGCTCTGACTTAAACTAGTTTGTTTGCAACAGTGCATGTGCCAGCTTTTCAAATTGCACCACAAAAAATTCCTGTTAAGAGTCAATGCTTTAACAAATGCCTGGGCAGTTTTTCGGTGTGTGACAGGTCTGGTGACAAAGCCGTTAGCTCCGTGAAGCTGGGAACCTGGTCTCCTCTGGTTCCTGCAGTATGTCCAGCCCCTTGCAGAGCACCAAGCACAAGGTAGAGCTGAAATATCTGCCAAATGATTGCAGACAAGGGGCCACTGTGCAGGGGCTGGGATAGGATTTGTCTCTCCAGGACTAAGGGAGTTGTCTGTTTGTAAGGTCTCTGGGTATGAACCCTGGACATACCACCCATGGGGCTTAATCAGTCTTACTTGAAGATGATGACAGGACTTGAATGTCTCATCTACTCTGTGATGTCATTGCTGAGCTACCAGTAGAGTGGCTACGCCTTTCCCCAAGCCTCTCGGGCCTCTCCCTGCCTTGTCTAACATGCTCTTCTGAATGTATTTGCTTGGATATGTGTCTCCTTCTCTTGAGTGCAGGAACTAGGTTTTCTTTGACTTTGTGCCCAGAGTGTAGAAGAGTGGCCAGTCAGGGTGGGTACTCCTGAAATGTTTGCTGAGTGAATGAATACACGGATGTGAAACCTCTCTGCTACCTTTCACTGATGGTCCCCAAGTGGGGCATGGGTAGGGAACAATAGTAGTAATGATGCATTTCTGGAGATATTCAGAAGTGCTGCTGGGAGATTTCTGTATGGAATCAGGGCAGAGAGGCTGAGTCACGCAGAAGGAGCATGAGCTGGCTTGGCTACAAGCATGGGTTTTGGGTCTGATGGTCCAGGATCTGAATTGCTGGTTCCACTCTTACTCCCTATAAGTGACCTCACCTCTCTGAGTCTCCATTTCCTCATCTACAAGACGCTTAGGGGGAGAAAAAAGATGCTTAGGATTGTTGTATTATATGAGATAATACGTGGCACATGGTCAAGTGCTTAATAAGTAATTGTTATCATGTTTGTTTATTATTGATTAAAAGACTTAGACATATTTGGCCCAGCCAATAATTCTGGGGACTAAGTGGAGGCGGTTTACTGGAGGTAGAGGAGAGAGGTGACGTTTCTGACACCTCCTTTTCCTGTCTCCCCTTTCCCTTGAGTCTGGAATAGCTCAGGACCTGTTTTGATGTCTTCTGGAAGCCCCTCAAGGGGAATCTGAGGGGAGCAGGGCCCTCTGAGAGCCTCCCAGGGAGAGCAGTTAGTAGCTTCGTGAGCACCTTAGTGACAAGGAGAAGACCTAAGCAAGGGAGAGTTGTAGACAGGGCTGAGAAAGTGACTGAGTGTGAAAACGTGCTTCATTCAGGTCCCCAAGTCCTGAACAGTCAGGGAATGATGTGTATAACAGCACTTTGTGAAACCATCAGTTAGCATATGCACTGTAGTTATTAGCATTACAATGTGCTTATTATCACGTGTGTTTATGCTACGCAATGAGTCTTTCAGGTTATATGGCTTAGGCTATGTTCTTTACATTTTATAATTTTTTATTTTTATGTTTTACTTTTTCTTTCTTTCTTTAATTATTTTTTAGAGACAGGGTCTCTCTGTCACCCAGGCTGGAGTGCAGTGGCATGATCATAGCTCACTGCAGCCTCAAACTCCTTGGCTCAAGCAATCCTCCTGCCTCGGCCTCCTGAGTAGCTGGGACTACAGGCACATGACACCACACCTGGCTAATTTTTAAAATGTTTTTTGTAGAAATGGGTTCTTGCTATGTTGCCCAGGCTGGTCTTCAACTGGAGCTCAAGCAATTCTCCCACCTCAGCCTCTTGAAGTGCTGGGATTGTAAGCATGAGCCACTGTGACCAACCTATATTTTTTATTTTTAAATTGACAAGTAAAAATTATACATATTTATGTTGTACAGCATGATGGGTTTTTTTTTTTTTTTTTTTTTTTTAACAGGGTCTGGCTCTGCCACCCAGGCTGGAGTGCAGTGGTGCCATCTCCGTTCACTACAACCCCTGCCTCCCAGGCTCAAGTGATCCTCCCACCTCAGCCTCCCAAGTAGCTGAGACTACAGGTATACAACACCGTGCCTGGCTAATTTTCTGTATTTTTCTTTTTTTTGTAGAGATGGGGTTTCACCATGTTGCCCAGGTTGGTTTTGAACTCCTGAGCTCAAGTGATCTGCCTGTGTCAGCCTCCCAAAGTGCTAGGATTACAGGCATGAGCCACCGCGTCCGGCCGTGATATTTTGATATATGTATATATTGTGGAATGACTAAATCAAGCTAATTAACATATCATTTACCTCACGTACTTATCTTTTTTGGTGTGATGAGAACATTTAAAATCAATTCTCCTAGCAGTTTTCAATTATACCGTACATTGTTCTTAACCACAGTCACCATGTTGTATAGCAGATGTCCTGAACATATTCCTCCTGACTAATTCCTCCTGATGTTATACTTTGATCAACATCTCCTCAACCCACCCCCACCCCCGCAGCCCTGGTAACCTCTATTCTCTGTTTCTATGAGTTCAATTTTTTTAGATTCCACATATAAGTGAGATCACGTAGTATTTGTCTTTCTGGGCTTGGCTCATTTCGCTTAAAATAATGCACCGGGTTCATCCATGTCTCAAATGACAGGGTGTCCTTTTTTACATATTCCTTAAATTTTAATGCACCTACTCCCCCCAGAATCATAAATGAGGGTATTGGATCCAACAAGCATTTATTGAAGGTCACCTAAACTTATGCAGAACACTGTGAGGTCACAAGGAAGAGACCTCTCCTGTTTCCGTGGGGCCTACAAGCCAGTGTGCCCATTAAGCCCTAATTTGTTAATTCGTGGTTCCAGCAAGGACAGTAAGTTGCCTTAGCTTTCCTCTCACTGCACGTGGCAGAGCGGCATTAGCCTGCGGAAGCTGGAAGCAGAAACCAGCCTTCCCTGGCAAGTGCACAGCAGCCTGCTGGGCTGCACCACCTGGCCGGACACACACAAGGTGCGCTTCCGCCCTGGGGAAGAATATCTTGTCATCTTAAATGCAGAGGCAGAGGTAGGGGTTCTTGCCTCTGACGCACATGCCCCATCCGCTGCATTTTATCTGCCACCTGGAGCAGTGATTGAAAGCTCATTTTATGCTTTGTTGAAATGCCAGAGTAATGTGTTAACCGGTTGTGGCTACTGATGCTCCAAAGAGTGACGTCTGCACGGCATTGCTAGGCAACAAGGCGGGCTCCTGTACCTCACTGGGCCACTCGCGTCACTGCCCCGCCTGCAGCCCCCCGGGCGCCAATGTCGTGCTTAGGTGTTAACTGCAGCCTTTGCCTTGACTGCCGTGGATGCACTTTGCTGCCTGTCTGATCTCACAGACAGCAAGTTAATCATTGGATTGAATCTTGAAACTATCGGTTTTGAGGCTGCTTTATGGGGCATTTGTGCCTTGAGTACAGTGTCCCAAATTTCATTTTTAAAACATCAGCTTGGTTCTGGCTCCTCCCCTAAGTGGGGCAGGGTAAAATTAGACAAGATCTGTCATGGCTCTGATAATTCAGTTCAATTTAGATTTGACTTTTAGGGACACAGTGTTCTCAGGGGGATGATGCTTTTGCTTTGTTATTTGGAGTGTTTGCAGCCAGTAGGGTCTAGAAGTGGCCTTGTTCACGTTCATGGTGGAGCCAGCAAGGCAAGAAGTGACTGGTAGGTCCTTTCTATGGCCAAGAGGATGGTGGCTTTTCACATGCAGAAATCCCTTCTGCATTCTTGGGGGCATCAAAATTACCAGCACAGGCAGTTAGTCCTGCAACCCTGTAGCTCCTCGTCTTTGCAGGGGAAATTTTGCCTTAGCACGGTTGTGGCTGTTCCGGAGTTCCTATGTAGGGGCAGCGTAGGGGTTTCATTCTAATTGAATGGGGATGAGGGAATTTCTGGAAATGGTTGTGTCACTTTACATAGCAGGGAAAAGTCAATTGTGTATGTCCAGATATAGGAGTAAGAGGATGATGGAGATGAGAGAAGATGAGCTGAACACTTGTCTTCCTTTCCCCAAGATTTCAGCCCTCACACAGGGCGGGGCCTTGGTGGGGGTACCTGGGGCGGTGCACTGATGGCATCTTCTTAGTGATGAACACACGTTTTCAGTAAACAAAGTAAACCTGTGGTCCTAAGGGTGCTGGGTACCCCATCTAGTACTGTGGTTGTATACTTTTTTCACACATTGGGTCAAAGTATTATATATACTTCAGGGTGTAGAAGTGCTTTAGGCAAATTCCCTGTCTTCTCCATAAGCCATTTGGCAAATATAATAATGTGTCAGTAGTGTCTGAGTTCATCCTTCTGTCATGAGTTATGTGAGGATTTAACAGGCCATGATCCCTTTAGAAATGGTACCACATTAATAAAAGAAACAGTCATCAGTAGCTATTGCTTTTCTAGAATACACTGAGGAAAGGATTCTGGTCAAATAGGTCATTTGAGGCTATTTTGCAACCTTGAAAAGAGATGAAATGAAGTCGGTGAAATTCAAGACGTAATTTAGTCTATTAAGCTCTAGGGCAGAAGCTGGTGAGCTGAGATGGGCCCAGGTCCACCATGACAGCCTACATCGTGTCCTTTAGTGAGGCCAGTTCAACAACGTGCAGCCTGGCTCCATTTGCTTTCCCAGAGGGGTGGTTATTGCAGTGGGTTTGGGGTCAGCTTGCAAGTACCTGGTCAGTATAGCATTGGTGTGAAAGCCTGCTTTGCTGGTAATTACTGTGTAATCTTGAGACAGCCAAATACCTTTCTGATCCTCAGTTCCTGTAGCTATAAAAGTAGGGCAGTCACCTTGATTGGCAGGTTGACTGGAAGAATTCAGTGAGACAACAGCAACTTGCACTTGTTGAGCAGTTCTCATGTGACAGGTCCTGCAGTCACTCACAGCCTCATTAGTCCCTCAGAGCCACCTTGGAAAGATGCTGTCGTTCTCCCACTTGACAACATGAGAAAACTCAACTCCAGAGAGGGCAAGGAACAATGCCCAAGATCACACAGTATGGTAGGGAGAATTTGCACCCATGTCTGTCTGACCAGACCTCAGACTCTTAAATCCGCTTACCACCATGGCTCCCAAATGTTGCTGCAAAGTGGAATTACCTAGGCAGCTTTAAAAAGTTCTGATGCCCAGATCTCACCCCAGACCAGTTACATCAGGAGGTCTCGGGTGGGGCCAGGCATTGATTTTTTTTTTTTTTTTTAGACAAGGTCTTGGTCTGTCACCTAGGCTGGTAGTGTGGTAATGTGGTCATTGCTCACTGCAGCCTCAAACTCCTGGGCTCGAGTGATCCTCCCGCCTCCGCCTCTAGAGTAGCTGGAACTACAGCTATGCATCACCACACCTGGCTAATTGTTTTATTTTTTGTAGAGATGGAGTCTCACTATATTGACCAGGCTGGTCTCAAACTCCTGGCCTCAGGGGATCCTCCCGAAGTACTAGGATTACAGGCATGAGCCACTGTGCCTGGCCAGGCATCAGGGTTTTTGAAACTCCCTGGTGATCCAGTGTGCATTATAGTTTAGGAACCACTAGCTTAAGAAATTCTCCTCTACTGTTGGCTGTTGATCCCAGCTGCTCATTAGAGTCACAAGGGGAAACATTTAAAATATTACCAGAAGCCACATCCAAGAGATTCTGATTTGCTTGGTCTGGGGTGGAGCCTTAAGTCACTCTAGATGATTCTAAGATGCAGCCAGGTAGAGACTGCTGTGCCACGTTATAGGGAAAGCACCCGGCACTAGTAAGCAGCTAGAGAATGTGGGCGGTTATTGAAAGTATGTATAAAATGAAGGTTTGGTTAGGATGTTCTTAAGGTCCCTTCCCACTTGCATTTGTAATTCCCTAGGAAAATTACTATTCACCTTTGTCTCAGTGTGCTGGCTCAAGGGAGGAATGCAACCTGTACTTTTTCAACAAGTGTTTGGAGGAAAAAGGAGTAAGTGTAGGAGCAGCATCCTGGGAATATTTAGCCCAGTCCTTTTGCCTCATATGCGTAGCTAGTTCACTAGTGAGCTCAATTCTACTTTCATCTACCTCTTAGCCAAAGGAACTGAAAGTTTATTTTATTATGAAGTCAGAGAGTTGAATAAGGGAGAAAAAATCTTTGGAGAGCTTGAAATTCTTTTACCTCTGTTAATGTGAAGTGGCATTTTTATATGCTGTGGAAATTCTGTCTTCTGTTTTGATTTCTTTCCCTGATGTTACTTATATATGTATTTCCATTTTTTTAGACAGTTATTCAGTCAGTATTGGCCAGGTTATGCCGCATTAATGAACAATTCCCCAAATCTCAGTGGTGTAACGTAGTAAGAGCTCATTTTTCACTCATGCTTCATAAAGTGAGTCCATGCATCCCGGTCACTGAAGGATCCCCTCATGTGATGCTTCTACAATTGCTGAAGCAGAAAAAGGAATATGGTAAGTGGGCATTGGCTCTAAAAACTTCCCGCAGGAAGTGACACATGTGGCTACTGTTCACATTTTATTGGCCAAAGAACTGTACCTCACTTCAAAGGGCAGTGGAAAAGTGTGATTTTATTATGTCTTCAGAGGGAGCAAATGGAATATTTTGAACAGCTCTAATGACTAACACAACAAAATTTATATATATCTCCTTTTTGTTAGCACTACCCTGAGAACTTTGGCACCTGTCTAGAGTGTATCTCACAAGTAAACAGCCACAAACCCACAAGACAGTATGGATGTTGCTGCCCATGTCAGTAGGACACGCTGGAGGAAGTTGACATGAACTGATGGGGTGTAAGGAGGGAGAGTTTTTCACGGGAATAGGATGAAAGGTGACTGTTCCTACAAAATGCCATAGAAGATGGTATGCCTGGAAAGGAGTAAACTGGTGTTCTGCTAGGGCATGCACTGCATGCTGTTAGCTGTTACTAGGGGATTACTATGTTAGGATGGATGGCAGGGTCCTGGGTATCAGGAGGGCTGAGCTCCTTTTCCCCACTTGGGTTTTATATTTATCTTGCAAAATCCGAAAGGAGTATTACATGCATAACCTAGGTAGTACATTTTGAAATTTTCTCTCTCACTCTTTCTGTTCCCTCACCATTTCTACCTGCAGAAATCTTATGCATTCTACAAAGGACTCTTACCAAACAGGTCAGTGTGAGGTCTTCCTAGACCATCCTCCCAGACAGAATGAAGCCCTTTATGTCCTCACTGTATACTTACATATACTATTATAGCACTTTTCATATTGTGTTATAATTTGCCATTTATACAATTACTTCTTTTAACAAAATTTAGTACCAGGTACTATTCTAAGTGCTTAACCAGTATTATCTTGTTTAGTCCTCATAACCTGCCTAACAGTGATTACTGTTATTACTTCCATTTCGCATATGAGACAACTCAGGCTCAGGAGTAGGTACTTTCCACAGGCCATTCAGTGAGAAAGCACTGGAGCAGGATTGGAGCCCAGGTAATTGAACTCCCTCAACTAGGTCAGGAGCCCCTGGGGAGCAGGTAGGTCGTGGTTAGCTTTGTTTCCTCACCAGGCTAGCCCAGTACTTGGCCATTAGGAGTGTTTATTAGGTGAACAAGCACAGTAGTGAAACCTGTTGATGGACCATAATTTGATTAGCCTGTTTCCAAATTTTACGGTATTGTACTGCTACAAATATATTCTGTAAATTAGTTTGATTTCATTGGGGTTATTTGGGGTAAATTCCCTTAAATGAAATGACTCAAGAAATACAAGCAGTTTTATAGATAATTGCTTACATCACTCTCCCGAAATTTGGCATTTATCATTCCAACGGCTACTTTTAGGTGCACTGATTTTATCATCGCTTCCTCAGTGCTTTGTTTTTATTTTAACCAATTTAAAATGATATTTATAGGGGACCACATGGGCTGGGATTGGCCTGTAGATCTGGGGCCACTGATGATTGATGAATTCATTCTGGGATTACCATGAGAATTATGAACTTTTATTTGGATTCCTGGACCCCTGTTGAAGTTCATTAGCTTGCTGGGAAGTTATAGAAGCCTCTGTCTTTGAAGTGGAGTGGGTTTTTTCAAACTAATAGACAGAACTGGGGCCTTTCAATCTAATAGACAGAACTGGGCCTAGGAAAAAGAAGCAGTCAGCTTTCTTTGTGCTCCTTTTCTATTCTCTCAGATTAGACTGTGCAGTAGCATCGAGAGCTGTGCCTACCCAGCCCCACACTCAGAGACCTCAGTTGTCCCCTGATGAAAAAAAATTTAAAGAGAAGGAACTCATTTTTACCAAATTATAAATGACTGATAATAGTTTGGAAGCCCCAACCTAAAAGTTGGAGAAGGCGTTTGCACCTTAAAAAGACAAGGTAGAAAGGCCTGTGAAGCTTGCTGTGCAATCCTGTGCCCTGAAGAGAATGGGGTTTGGAAGGTTCTTCTTGGCCCAAGGCCATTTGCAGGAAGACTGGCCTGGACTGAGAGGCAGCAGAAGAATAACCAAGGGCTTCCTTCAGTTTCTAGCTGAACAGCTGGGGTAGATTCTGGAGTTTGGCAGCAGGGCCTGCTAGATCGTGGTTCCTGCCAAGCAGCATGCGGCTGGCCTGGTGGTGGTGAGGCTGATAACAGCAGCAGAAAACCTGTTCAAGCCATCGTTGGTGCTTCCCTGGGTCAACACCACAGCCTTGCATCTGGAAGCCTTCCAATCTCATCCACTTCTAATCCTTAACACAGTAATCTAAAAATGCAAATCACATTTTGTAACTCCTTGCTTTTTATCTTCCAATGGCTTTTTTTTCCCCCTCACCTAGAACAAAATCTAAACCCTTTACTGTGGACCACTAGGCCTCTTTTAAGCTCCCTGACCCCTCCTCCTGCCCCTCTCTGGTGCCCTTGCCCACCTTGCTGTGACCACAGTGGCCTTCGTCCACTTCCTGGAACACACCAAGTTCATGCCCCCCAACCCATCTCAACTTTCCACCAGCTCTTCCCTCTACCTGGTAGACAGATTTTTGTTCATAGGCCTCAGATCAAACGGCACCTACCCAGGGAAGCCTCTTAGTTCTCTATCCCACTTAGCCCTGTTTGCTATGTGTTTCTCATAACTAAGCTTCACAAGGCAGGGAGCTTGTCTTTTCTGTTTATCTCTGGTGTTTGCAATTCTTAGAATGGTATCTTGCACACAATAGGTAAACAACAAACCTTAATCCTTACAATAGCCCTGGGAAGTATTATTGTTGCTGTTTTTCAAATAAGTCTTGGCTGGGCGTGGTGGCTCATGCCTGTAATCCCAGCACTTTGGGAGGCCGAGGCGGTGGATCACCTGAGGTCAGGAGTTCAAGACCAGCCTGGCCAACATGGTGAAACCCTGTCTCTACTAAAAACACAAAAATTAGCTGGGCGTAATGGTGCATGCCTATAATCCCAGCTACTCGGGAGGCTGAGGCAGGAGAATCATTGCTTAAACCCGGAGGTGGAGGTTGCAGTGAACTGAGATTGCGCCATTGCACTCCAGCCTAGGCAACAAGAGCAAAACTCCATCTCAAACAAAACAAAACAGAACAAAAACAAATAAGTATTAAAGAGATGGCCTGAGGTTGCATTACTTTAAGTGTGTGAACCAGGATTCAAATCCTGATTTGTCACTCTCAGTGCCACTTGATTTTAGTGAACCAGAGTGCACTAAAGACCCATGGTCATCAAATTCACTCAAGTGACCAGTTTGTGTATGATTCAGAGCCTAATTTCCTGCTATACTGGATTCTGATACACACTGCATTCAAAGAATGATGCTGAAAGGATTAAATGCAATCAAAGAAGAGCATGACAAGTATAAAATATCTATTGGTGGTCTCTTGAAACAACTAAGATGAAAGATTTAAGATTAAAGACATCAAAGTGCCTAAATCATGTAAACTGATTGTTGAGTGTTCTAATGATTCACTGTGAATTACCTTCTTTGGGGGGAATGCTTAAAGATGTTTAAGGTAACCAGCCAGGTGCAATGGGTCACACCTGTAATCCCAATCCTTTGGGAGGCCAAGGTAGGAGAGGAGCCTGGGCAACATAGCGAGACACCCTCCCCCCGCTGAAACAACCTTCCTCCTCTACCACCCCTGCCCACACAATACATTTTTCTTTAAAGTTAGTTTGTTGTGGCGGTGTGTTGCTTGAGCCTGAGAGCTGTGATGGTGCCACTGGACTCCAGCCTGTGTGACAGGGTGAGACTGTCTCTAAAAATAAATAAAACAAGGTAATCAAAGGTTTTGTTTTACAGATAGACACATACCATTACCAATGAATGGATAAATAAAATGTGATATATCTACACAGTGGAATATTATGCAGCCTTATGGAATGAATGATACATGTTACAACATGGATGTGATAATGGCAGGAGGCAGGCAAATGCCTAGGCAGATGGGGCAGGTCCCTGGTGAAATCCCACCTCCAAGCCAAAGACAGTTAAAGCCTGAAAGTCAAGCTAAAAGTCAAATCCATGAACCGGATTGAGAACCTGTCTTCCCATTTGGTGTGCTTTCCTTTGATTGATCCCCACCTTTCACCTATTTTACATATACCTACCCTTTCCTAATTGGTTTTCTACACTGTCATGCCCACCTTTGAGCAGTGTCTTCATTTTGATATTTTTTGCATACTCACAAACCAGTCAGCACACACTCCCTATTCTGAGCCCATAAAAGTCCCAGACCCAGCCACACTGAGAGAGGAACCACCTAACCATGGAGGTGGAGGACCACCCCCATGGCCCCTCTCTGCTGAGAGCTGTTCCATCACTCAATAAAATTATTCTCTGCCCTCCTTACCCTTCAAATTGTCAGTGTATCTTTATTCTTCTTGGATGTGGGACAAGAGTTCAGGAACTGCCAAACATGGGTATAAGCTATAACACAGGTGGGCTTAGTGGGTGGGGTACCTCCAGTGGCAGGCCCGGGGTTGAATGAGACACGGGCAGCAGGGGGGCATCTCTGGCCATGGAGGTCCCTGGTTGGCAAAGTGGCTGAGAAAAATCCTGTGTCAGATGAACCTTGATAACTTTATGCTAACTGAGGCTGGGCACAGTGGCTCACGCCTTAATCCCAGCACTTTCGGAGGCCAAGGCGGGTGGATCACGAGGTCAGGAGTTCAAGACCAGCCTGGCCAAGATGGTGAAACCCCGTCTCTACTAAAAATACAAAAAATTAGCTGGGCGTGGTGGCAGGCACCTGTAATCCCAGCTACTCAGGAGGCTGAGGCAGGGGAACCGCTTGAACTCAGAGGGCAGAGGTTGCAGTGAGCCAAGATCGCACCACTGCACTCCAGCCTGGGCAACATAGTGAGACTCCAACTCAAAAACAAAAAACAAAAAACAAAACTTTATGCTAATTGAAAGAAGCCAGACACAAAAAGCCACATGATACATGATTCCATTTACATGAACTATCCTGAATAGGCAAATCCATGGAGACAGAATTAGATGAGTGGGTGCCAGGGGCTGGGTGCAGTGACTGCTTAATGCATATGGGGTTTCCTTTCAGGTGATGACAATATTCTGTAAGTAGATAGTGGTAGTGACTGCACAACATTGTGAATATACTAAATGCCACTGAATTGTACACTTTGAAATGGCAAGAATGATAAATGTTACGGGTATTTTACCACAGTTTAAAACAGTGAACTGGAAAATAGAAAATGGTAGTTGTACTTCTTAGTTGCTTTTTAAACAAAATAAATAAGCATAACTCTATCATGCTTAATAAAGTGCAGAGATCTAATGTACAACATAAGGACTATAGCTAATAATATTGTATTTGGGATTTTTGCTAAAAGAGTAAATTTTAGGTGCTCTTGCCATAGCTATGTGAGATGTTAATATGTTAATTGCCTTGACTATAGTAGTCATTTTACTCTGTATATGCATATCAAAACATCATGTACACCTTAAATATATACAATTAAAAACAAATTAAATTTAAAAAATAAGGAGTTTGTAAACATTACATTCATTGTATAGGAACAAAAAGGGTGAAACAAATGTATTACATAAGAATTACAGGCCATTCTACAGGAAAAAAGGTTGAAGCAAATGTGTTTAAGAAATAGAATTACGATGTACACAGATATAAAAAATAGATGCATAATACTGAAAACGCTGACATGTTACCTCCTGATAAGAAGAGAGGGTGAAATGTGGCCACTATTGCCCAATTTGGCTGCAGTTGGACAAGAAATGTCTCTGGGCTGGTGGTGCTGGCTGTTACCCAGGAGGCAGGGCACGCCTGACGTGTGGTCTGTGGCTATGTTTGAGGAATCTTCTGCTGCTTTCTTTAGGGCATAAAAGCAACTGGCACATTCATGGCAGCTCATGAAGCCATTCCCTTCAGGCAGCTGCTCCCCTTTCACACCATGTGTGACCCACATAGCAGCCTTGGCATTCATCTGGACAGTGGTGTGGAAAATGATTTCATCCTACTGTCTTGCCTGGCCTTTAACAGTTGGAGTGCTTCCACCCTAGACTTAAGAATACACATGTCCAACTTTTAGAAAATAAGATGTGAGAAGAAGTTCCCAGACGGCTTTTCAAGGCACTGGTGCTGCCAGATGTGGCTTTTTTGATGAAAGTTCTGCTCCCAGCCTGGTTTCTGCATCACTGCCCAATGCGACCTGTGTCTATTACTGCCCCTCACACCTCTGCTCCTCCCACCTCCCACTTGCTTCTCCTCCTGCACATTGGAATGCTTCCCGTACTGCCAAGCCTAACTCAAGCCCTACTGTACTTAGAATTTCTACCACACCATTTTTCATTTTATTGTTATTGTGCCTGGGAATGTTATCTCTTCCAACCAGTTGGCAAGTTCTGTGGTGCTCAGAGCTTTTTCCTTGCAATTTTGGGGTGTCCCACAGTGGTATACGCCTTTACTGCCTTTCTGACGCCCTCTATTCTAATCGTACCCTGCTTTTCCTTTGCTGGGTCTTCCCGTCACCACGATTGGCTCAGAGCCAGACATGAGACTTAATCCCTACCAAATGAGAATCATCGGTCCTGGGCTTTCACTGGAGCTCCTGGTAAGAGATCCCCTTTCTCTAGGAGTTGCTAAACTAATAGCAGCAGCTAGGGACCATTGTTGCCAATTTTTGTGATGCTTGTCTGAGTATAAAGCCATACAGAGTAGACAGAGTTAGGAGACTGAGCAAAGTCCTGATGGCACGGTTTGAGGCTCTCAGTCGTGACAGCCACAACTTCCCTTCTTGTTGGTGGCTGGTTGCTTCCAATTGAAGGAATACCAATGTACCTCTCAGCATTTGCAATCTGCACAGAATAGGCAATGAATATTTACTGACCTGCTGATTGTTTGTTTGCAGGTATATCTAGAGTGATAAAGTGAAATATTTATATTTTGCATTTATTGGAAGTTTTTATTGGCCAGGCACGGTGGCTTATGCCTGTAATCCCCGCACTTTGGGAGGCCGAGGCAGACAGATCCTCTGAGGTCGGGAGTTCGAGACCAGCCTGACCAACATGGAGAAACCCCATCTCTACTAAAAATACAAAATTAGCTGGGCGTGGTGGCACATGCCTGTAATCCCAGCTACTTGGGAGGCTGAGGCAGGAGAATCTCTTGAACCCAGAAGGCGGAGGTTGTGGTGAACTGAGATCACGCCATTGCACTCCAGTTGGGGCAACAAGAACGAAACTCCATCTCAAAAAAAAGTTTTTAAGCTGGGCATGGTGGCTCACGCCTGTAATCCCAGCACTTTGGGAGGCGGAGGCAGGTGGATCACGAGGTCAGGAGATCAAGACTATCCTGGCTAACAGAGTGAAACCCCGTCTCTACTAAAAAAAAAAAAATACAAAAAATTAGCTGGGCGTGGTGGCTGGCGCCTGTAGTCCCAGCTACTCGGGAGGCTGAGGCAGGAGAATGGCGTGAACCCGGGAGGCGGAGCTTGCAGTGAGCCGAGATGGCGCCACTGCACTCCAGCCTGGGCAACAGAGTGAGACTCCACCTCAAAAAAAAAAAAAAGTTTTTATTGTGGTAAAATCTATAGGCCATTTATCATTTTAACCATTTTTAAGTGTACAACTCAGTGGCATCAAGTATATTCACTGTGCACCATCACCACTGCCCATTTCCAGGACTCTTTCATCATCCTGAACTGACACTGTGTACCCATTACACACCAATTCCCCATTCCCTCCTCAACCCTTGATAACCACTGTTTTCCTTTCTCTCTTTGACTCTGACTACTCTTGATATATAAACGAGATACATGGAACCAAACAATAATTGCCATTTTGTGGTTGGCTTATTTCACTTAGAATAATGTCCTCAAGGTTCATCCATGTTGTAGTACGTCAGAATTTACCTTTTTTAGGGCTGAATAGTATCCCTTTATATGTATATACCACATTTTGTTGATCCATTCATCTGTCAATGGACAACTGAAGTGTTTCCACCTTTTGGCTATTATGAATAATGCTGCTATGAACATAGGTGTGCAAACACCTGTTTGAGTCCCTACTTTTGGTCCTTTTGGGTGTATACCCAGAAGTGGAATCCCTGGATCCTATGGTAATTTTATGTTTAACTTTTTGAGGAAGTCATACTGTCTTCCACAGCAGCTGGGCCATTTTACTTTCCCACCAACAGTGCTCAAGGGTTCCAATTTCTCCACATCCTTGCCAACACTTGTTGGTTTTTATTTTTTGAAAATATTTCAGTTTAAGGATGAAGCTGTGGTAATGCTAGGATAGCCTATTACATTAGCAGCTCATCTATATAAGAAGAAAATTGTTGGGTTAATGAAGCACTAAATGAAATACTAAAGCCAGAAGCTTCAGCCTGAAATCATTCTTTTTGGGCTCTTCAGTAGCATCACTTCTTTCTACTCCACCAAACACTGAGAGGCGGGCTCATCTCAGGATCAGAGATGGAAAGGCCTCTTCTAGAGTTATTGGCCACTCCCTCTCTCCTAATGAGCAGAGCGGGCAGAGAGGCCGGGCACACTCTGACTTGTAGGTAACCAGTTTCCTCACATCCCTGCCCACACCACAGTTTTGGCTTTTCAACAATAAAGCTGTCTCTCTATCCTAGGACTCTCTTACGGGGAACAGTAAAACTGCAACATGATCACGTACCCAAAGAGTGCATTCCCAGCAAGATATATTAGCAGCTGTTGCCTCTTTACATGATCTCCTCTCTCCCTCATTCCCCTAGCTATGGAAAACTTTCCATCTGAGTCCTTAGGAAAAGATGGAGGGTGTGTGAAATGAGAGACCGAGACATGCTGCCATCTCAGAAGGGCTTTATTTCTACTTCATCACGGTCTCATACAGACCCAGAGGCATCATCATGTGTTTCCATTTGGTATCCTTGTGACTTTTTGTAGTGTTTTCCCTTAAGAAAACTTTGAGTAAACTCTGTACATTGCCAGTTAATCTTTTCACAATAATTTAAAAATGGTGTTGCTGTTGGATCATCGATGCAAGAAGACCAACAATAAAAGTACAGTACAAGGAAATTCACAACATATTACAGTGGAACAGACTGAGTCACATTTAGGTGATGGCGAGGACACAGTAGCGGTATATACATGCACCCGAAGACGTGCAAGCCAAGTAGGATAATATAAGGATCATACAGTGAATTTTCTAAGCCCACTGAGGACTTTGTACCTTTTCAAAATCATCCTGTATCCCCTCCAGCATACAGAATATCTGTCTTGTCTACTGGCTTCATGGCTTTTTCACTACAAAAAGTTCACTGAATCAGACAGTCTGAAGCATTAAAAAATTCGTAAAAAACAGTAACACTGACAAAATAAAATTAACTTAATCCACTCTAATTCAACATGGAAATAAACTGAACCAAAATGTAACAGTGCAAATTTAACAGAGGCAGTCAGGTATTGACAGCGAGGGTGTTCAGAATCTCTTAAAATGTACATTTTTTAAAACTTTTATTTTTTAAATCTATTTATACCTTATTTACCTTTTCGTTTAATATACTGTGTGTAAAAAAGATGGAGACAAAAATAGTTTTCTGAGCTATGAAAAAAATTAAGTTATTACAGGCACATTTACTGTTTCATTCTAGAAACATCTCAGTTTCACAGGTTGAACATTCAGCAGCTTTGTGTTTTTAAAAAACATTCTTTGACCTTGAGAAAACTAGATCTCTCCTGTTGGGCAGAGTTTTGTTCATGGTGATGGTGTGGTTATGCAAATTACAGTGAATTATACTGTGATAATCCATGCAAGCTTGCATCTCGGTGTGGCTGCTCCTCGGGCGGCTCCTCGCCACCATGCTCCTCCAAGGACGTCGGGTCTCCGGGTGACTGAGGCTGTGAGGCAGTGGGGGAATGTGGGGCCCAACGGGACGGAGGGCGACGGTTTGCTGGTCTCTCGGGCCTGGAGAAGCAGGGCTCTAGGGATGGAGCTAGTGCAGAACAAGGTAGTTCCTTCAGAGCCGAGAAAGGGAGACAGGGTTACTCAGACCGGCAGTGTCACCAGTGGATGATTCCCCCAAACACACTTCTCAACAGACTCAAGTGAGATGAAGTATACACCACAGGCAACTCGTGAATATTAACTACTTTCTATGCTCATGCAGAATAACTTAAAATAATAAAGAATTCAACACAAATGATCAGTGACATGAATGGGAAGAGACCAATTATGATTAAACACAGCAATACTGTGAGATGAGTCAGCTTGCAAAGCTCCTTTAGAATTGGGCTGGGGTATACAGAAGGCATGACACAGTGACTGTGGCAGCGGTCTCCACAGGCCACTTCATCATATTCCTATCTGGTAGATCTGTTCATTTGGCCCTTTTGTATGATCTATTTAGCTACAGTGGACAAGTGAACTGGTCCTACAGGGCCTGGATCTACTGGGAGCCCACAAAGAGACCTCTGATTTCATTCAGCTGTGTTAGCAATGGCAGTCGTCTTAAACGAACTCTGCTACTGTTTATTTGAAATTGACTGGGAGTAGCTTAAACAAACTCCCACAACATGGCAAAAATGCTGCAGGCAGAAATTTTAATTTGGGTCTGGTTTTCTTTAATGACTGTTCAATTGCAGCAGCATTTTAAAAAGGTAGAATCAGAATGTACTGGTGGTTTTGTGTTTCAGGCATCCTAATGTTCTGCGAGCAGGTGATGCAAGACACACTCAACCATGTGCAAATCACCTAGAATCCTTATTCTCAAGCTACTTTGTTTTTAAAGAATGTTGAGCTCCTTGTCCTTACATGTTACAAAACCAGGACACCCAAATTTGGAATTTGCTGATACACAGAAATGTAAAAAGCTGTGGCATGAGAAAACTGAGTTGCCCAGCATGGAGCCCGCTGGCTGGAATGACACTCAGACACTGGAAGCTTGAGGTGAACTGAATGGAAGGCACAGGAAGGATGACAGAGAACAAGGACCCTCAAAGAAAGGAAGTGAGTTGGAGGATTTAAAAAGATGTGACAAGCAACTGAAAAGACCAGGATGAGGACAGCCCAGCCAGTGGTGCAGGGGAGCAGCAGCGGGGGAAGGACAGACGGCTGCACGGAATGGGCAGTGTCACTCGGGAGAAGATGGAACACGGCAGAGACAGCATGGCCCGAGGACAGCGTGGGAGCCACAGGCTTCCAGAAGAGCAATGGGGCGAGCGGTTTCCCTGCCTCCCTCTGGGGTCAGCAGAAAAGGAACAGTGGCCCTGGAGACTATGCTTCATGCTCCCTGCTGCTTTTGTGGCTGGAACTTCATACGGCCACAGGGAGAAGCTTCTGTTCCCAAAGCATTATGCTAACAGTACCGTGACAACCAGAAATACCTCTCCAGTTAAAACTCCACCAGCGCCACCAGCCACCAAGATGCAGACTAACCCAAGGTGCTCCTGTGTCCTCATCTCACTGCAGCCCACAGTGCTTGACTGGGACACACGGTTTGGGAAATCTGTGTGTTTTGTGTCTGCGCTCCCCTTGTTATAGAAGTAGTGTGTGTGTTGTGTATTGTGTATCTGTTCTGTGTGTGTTGTGTGTTGGTGAAGCTGCTGTCATAGGTTTATCTGACACCACCGTATCCCGTTCCGCCTGGCTGGTGCTGAAGAGCAGGCTTTTTATGAGACCATTCAGTACCCCCTCTTTGCCAGCCTCTGCTTGTGAAGGAAGAATCACTGTGAGTCTGCATTCAAGGGAATCAACCTTTTCCTTAGTAACACACCGGCATGTACAAGCAAACGATGCTGCGCTTTCCCGAGAAGCCACTGTGGTCGCTGCATGGCATGGTGTCCTGGGATGCTGCCCCTGTAGCACGTTTCTGGGAATTGACCCTCCCTGTGTTCCCTGTCATCTTTTCATGGGGATACATCTGTTGTATTTGACAACAGATACTACTGGCTTCGAGTCAAGGCCAGTGGATGAGGTGGGTGGATGACTATATCCTTGATCAAAAAGTATATCTTTTCTCATGTGCTTTGACTCAGACTCTGAAAGCAATTCTGAGGGAAGGTCTCAAGATATTTGGAGTGGGGATGATTTTGTTGTTTATTCATTCAACAAATATTTATTGAGCATTTACTCTGTCACCCACGGTGCTCACTTGGAAGGACAAGATATATTTGGGTTCATTCCTTGTGGTATGGTTGTTGAAAAATGAAAAACAAAAGCCTTATCACATTAGGGTCACACCTCATTTCAGCACATGCCAGTGCACGTATAACCAAAATGTTGACCAGTCCTGGGTGGCTGGGCCCAAAGACCCCCTCAGGCAAGACCCCTGTGCCTAGGATGTCCCCTCCTGGCCAGTATCTACTCAATTCTCTGAAAGCATATTGGCTGCAAATGTACAAAAGCGGAGAAATCTCAGCAGAATCTCTATAACCTAAAAACCCTTCTTTGCATTGAGTGGTCAACCCTCTAGCAGAGCAGATGAGTCTCTGGCCTTATCAATCTGTTCCTGGGTTTAGGCGAACCTCCTGGAACTTGGGGTGAGCGAGGGTACCGCCACCGGGCAGAACTCCCTCAGGTGATGAGCGTCAGGTGCCAACTGCGAGTTACACAACACGACCTCTCCAGACAGTTGGGAAACAAGGAAGGAAGCACTTACAGCGTGAGGCGGGCAGGGCTAGAGTCCCCAGGGGGCAGTTAGCAAGACAGTTTGGTTCTGGACAGAACAGACAGAGAAAGAAAAGAAAAGCAAGAAGGTTGGAAAGTGTTTTTTAAACAGGAGAACAATAAAGGTTTAAAGTCAGCAAGCCCGGAGGTAGAGGACCATCCCTCTCGCTCAGGGGTAGCCACCAGGAGAGACTTGCGGGCTCTCAGATCTAGCACATTCACTCCAAGGCAGGTGTGGGGAAGTGGCCAGGCACTAGGCACACAGGCCTGCCCTCTGCCATCTGCCCAGAGAGAAGAAGGAAACTCCATGGAGGAGTCACAGACCTCCCTCTAGTTTCTATGCTTCCGAGTCACCCTTTAGCATTTAACATTTCAAACAGCACTTTGGCAAACAGAGATATGGAAATTGCATGACTGGTATCTAAAACAGAGACTATTATACGGCTGCGTTTGTTTCGGTCACAACAGCCAAGCTACTGCCACTTACTCTAAAAAGTTCCCCTCACATTTTCCACTTAGGGGAGGGAGGAAGAGCATTCCATTTTCAGATTCTTTCTCTTCACACCGGAACTCCTCACGGCTTCTCTCTGCACTGCTGAACTAGTGCCATGGTGTCAAGAGAAAAAGAGGCCCGAGTGGCTTATGGGATGACAGTGCAGTGAGAAAGGGAGATTTCTTGTCACCTGCATCACTCCTGGGTGTGGATGCCTGAGTGAACATTCGGGGAAAGATTCCGCAACAGCGCACTGGGTGGGCTTGGAATCAGAAGTAGTCCTGGGGATTTGGGAACGCATACCGAGAACTACTGCATAATTCATGGAGCAATGGGAAGGGGTTGCAATGGCCTGAATATATTACATCAATTCAGAACAATCCCACTGGAATCTAGAACGAGGAAAATTCCAACAGAAATGGAAAAAAGAGCCCGTGGCATTTAGATGCTGCCGATGAGTGCTCCATGCCCGCTCTGAGGCCCTGCAACTGTGCTCCCTTCACATCATCTCTTTTGGTGGCAAACACACCAAGTGAAGAGAAAATCTAAATGAATACTTTACGGAGGACAAAAGGGGTTGGGCGCCACTTTGTACTGATAAAACCGTTTTCATGCCATAATGCTGGGATTCCATCAAGAACCTATTTTTGCTTGCAGGATTCACTATTCGTAATTCAAAGCATTTTTTTGGTTCTTAAAGAATAATTTCTATTTGGTGTGTAATATAAACAGACAATACAGACACAGCCGGTTAATGCTTTGTGACATAGCCCCAATTTCAACTGAGATTCAGAGCCCTAAGAAGGCAGGGCACTCACATATAAACAGACCGTTCCACGGCAGGAGGACTTACCTGAGGACCCCAGAAGGATGGGGTAACAGTAGCCCAAAGAAGACACCATTTGTCACCTGAGAACATTCAACCAGCAGTTTGTCCTCAGAGCATGCAAACAACTTTATCACAAAGACTCAGATCTTGGAACATGTAGGCCATGTAGTATCAATATTTGTATTAGGTGTGAACCATATGGAATTGCCACTTCTGTAAGCCATTGGCAGTTCCACAGGTCTGACCTATTCAGATTTCAAGCCTGCATTCTGAGTTAAACATTCATTGGTGGGCCAGGCTGGGAAGACAGCCATCATTTACCCTCTTGTGGGAAACGTGGGCCAGGTGAAACAGGCAATACACCTTCCTCCTCTCCCTGCCCATGAAGCCAGGGCTGCTTGGGTCCTGGCGAGGAAGCAGCGGGCAGACCAGGAGCAAGCTGCCGTCCTCCTCCTCCTCTGACCCCCGCCATCTGCGGGAGCAGCCTGGCTCGGAGAGTGCTCATGGGGCCAGGTGTTCCCAGTGTGAAGCCTGTTCATCCGGACTCCTGGCGAGTTGGAATCACTCGCTGGACAGACACGTCCTCTCTGTGCTGCACGAACCACAAAGTGGCATCACCATAGCCATCACCACCAGCATCAACATCAGGCTTTCATTTTGCTCATTGTTGAAGTGGAAATGGGAAGCGTTTTGTAAAGTGGTGTACAAAAACACCACATGTGGATGTGCATCAGAACCCAATTCACAGTGGATTGATTTGTGAGTAATATCAAGGGCAATAATGATAATCATATTGTATTAGGGTAGGATTTTGATTTTGTCTATATGTTTCACTTGGTTTTACTGCTAGGGGGGCTCATGGCCACAAAGAGGGTAAGTGATTTGTGAGCTGCCAGATGGCTGTTTTGTAAGGAAGCCAGCCCAGGAATCGAGATCTTGTGGCTCCTGATGAGAAGTGCTCGTGCTCATGTGGTCCAGACCCTCTCCAGCTCACCTCATGCTGTCACATATGAAGGTCTGCAGTATGCAGCAAGCCTGACACAACTATCCCATAGTTTGTACATGTGCACGAATTCACACAGAAAGAAGGCAAACTGACCCCAAATAAAATGCCCTGATAAATAAGGATCAATCACTTAAGACTGGTGACAGAACCCAAATCAAACCATGTACTATATGATTTCCCAAGGACAATAAAATAACATTTTCTTCAAAAAAGTTGCTCAGGGCTTTTTCTGCCTATTCTATTCTCCCATAAACCTAACACCTCCCCAGCTCCCAATAACCAATCATGGACGATTCCTGAGATCAAATGACAGAGCACAATCCCAAGTCCCAACCTGCCCCACAGCTAAAGGGAAGAGCTGGTGGGGAAGGGTGTGGGGCACTCAGCATTCATTACCTCCATGGGCCCTGGCTCGGCTGTGTCCCCCAGCGAGTGGCTGTCACTGTGGAGACCCGGGGGCCCGTGGGCAGCCTGCCTCCTCTCCTCCTTTAAGGCATGTTCCAGCAGCTTCTTGTTGAGGATCCGGGCCACGTTCTCAGTGAGCGTGTAGCCAGGGGGAGCAGATAAGTCCTGCTTCACTGGCGTGCCCTCTCCCCCTTCCTCCCTGCACATCTCTGACCCCACCCCAATGGGGCTAGGCGACCTTCCTCGGGAATTGGTGCCTGTTTCCTGGCCTGGGCCCAGCTCTGGTCGGGGCTCTGCTGAGCGAGACCGACTGCCGGCCCGCAGCCCCTTCTGGAAGGGGTCCTGCACCACGGGGCTGTGGTCAATGATGTTGAAGAGGCTGGAGAGGCCATCATTAATGGTGGTGTGCACGGGGCTCTCCCTTGTGGTGGTGGAGCGGGCCCAGGCTGACTCACTGTACCCTTTCTGGGCCATCCCTGGTGACGTCCTGTTATTTGGCTGGTCGGCTTTGGGGAGGGGCTTCCTCTGCAGCTTGGGAGAACCATACTTGGGGGAGCAGCATGTGCGTTCAAACTTGGCCTGCACCTTCTCGATGGCAGGGGCCACCTGTCTGCTCCTAAGGCTCCGGGAAGGAGACGACACGGGTGTAGCACCGCCCCCAGCCTTTGGAGTGAGACACTTGTGGGGGCTGCTGGTGACACCGCTGCCACGCAGGGCTTCAGTCTGCAAGCCCACACTGATGGTCTGAACAGTCTGGGTCCCCATCGTCCGGGACCCATTGGTCTGGCAGGCCATGTCCTTGACTTGCAGCTCGCCAGGGCCGGAGCAGATGGCATTCCTGACAGAGAAGGCCACCTCCTTCATGTCATCACTCAAGTTCTTGGACATCTCCAGGCTGTGCAGTGGGGAGGCAAACCCCAGGGAGGTACAGAGGGGACTATCAAGGGGGCGCCGTGCCCCCTCCACATAGTCCCGGGAGTGCCTGGGGGAGGTGCAAGGCCACCTGCTGAGCATGGGTTCTGGAGGGCCTCCCTTGGTGTCTCCCGGGCTCCCTCTGGCTCTGCTTGTGGGAAAGGGACCCTCACCACCTGCCGCCGTGATGCTGTCGACCCTGCGCACGGCAGGCGGGCTGTGTAACACGCGCAACCCCGACTGCTCGGTGAGGACGTGGCTCCGCAGTGGCTGCTTCTGGCAGTGCTCTGGGCTGGTCATGGTGTCCGTGGTCATGGTGACACTTGTGGTTAGGTACCAGGAGGAGTCGGGGAAAGGCTCTGTGCTGTCCTCGTGCCCTGCCCGCCCCACCTCGGTCCTGTCGGCCCAAAGGTCCGGCCCCCCACCATTGTGGCCCCTGTTGGGTGTGTAGTCCCAGCTCTTGTTGAACTCCTCGATGTACTTGAGGTCGTCTGGAGACAGGGGTGGGGTGACATCCTCCTTGCTGCTGGTGGACGGCAGGCCCTTCTCAGGCAGGAAGGGGGAGATGTCCATTAGACGCTGGAACTCAGACATGGAGGACACGGACACCGCCCTGGGAAAAGCAGAAAAGAGGGTGTCAGTACCTGCCAGGGAGCCTCTGACACACCACAACACCCATGTCCTGCCCTGCATGAGAAGTGTCAGTGAAGGCACCCGCTGCCACCCACACCAGGAGAACACTGTCAGCTGCTCATGTGCTGCACTCACAGACTTACCCTGCGGGCATTTATTGGACTCTGCGTGGCTCTGGAATTGTTCCTGAAGCCTTGCATTGGTCAGAATTTAATACAACCAACTCTGGCTCACACCCGTAATCCCAACACTTTGGGAGGCCAAGACAGGAGAATCACTTGAGGCCTCAGTGCCTCAGTGAGAATTCTCAGGAGACTCACTCGGACCACAGCTGAAGGGTGAAGACGGTGAGCCACGGCGATGGCCAGGTTTTGGCAAGCTGCCACCTGATGGACACAGATTTGGTGTGGATTCTTCCATGTGTTAGCACTTTCAATTTGCCATGAGTTCGCTGAATGCCTCTCACATGCCTGGCAGGTGCTGCAGGGGTGCCAGCAATGCTTCCAGGCTAAGACAGAAAGTGGCCGGAGTGCTCGGGCACGACTACCACCAGGGCAAAGAAGTGGTGGTCAGGAACGGGGCTGGGGCTGCCTGTGCCTGCTGGCTCAGGCAACAGAACCTCTTTGGCCTGGAATCCCTCCAGCTGGGGTGGGATGGGGCGATGAGGTGTCTGTAGACTCACTGTCCAGATTCTTACAGGACATACTGATACTCCTTTCACCCCACAAAGCACAGGCTTAAACCTAGGGATCTAGACTAGTGCAGGCCCTGTGGAAGGGGTCCCAGATTGAGTGTATGGACCACTCCTCCATAGGACCTATTAATGATGATGAGGCCAGAATTGGGGTCTGCTCTGAGCAAGTCCCTGTACCGTGTGCGCTGGTACACAGAACCAGCAAAGCTCTGGGCAGCTTTGCTGACAGCTGGCTTCACCTTGGGGGCAAGGCACCCGTCCATGTGGTCAGCACCACGGGGTAAAACAGCAGGCTAAAAGTGACATCGTTAGGCATTCCATCTTGTTATCTTTTTGTTGTTAGAAATAATCTACAAACTGTCCAGTGGTGCTTTGAATAACCACAAGCTGGCTATATCCAGTGCCGGAAAGGAAGGGCAATGGTAGGGATGGGTTGATTTGTCCCAAGGTCATGAGCTTTCCAGCAAGTATGAATTTCCCTCTTCTCAATTCAAGGAGTTGCTGAATTAATGATGAGTTTCAGAACACTGTTCGCTGGGGACTGTAAGTGCCGGACACATGCCAACACCCTGGTCCTTTCCACATTTCTGTGGACATAGCTCATCTAACTCCCACTTTTGCCCACAGAGGAACTGTCTCAGAGTTAAATCAGTGGCACCTACCTGGGTGGGAACTCAGTGCCTCTGGGGCATGGATGGATATGGTGGAACAGAGATGATAAAGACAGAGAAAGCAGAGGCATTAACCTCAGCAGTGGCCAAAGCAAACAAAACCATGATGAGAAAACCCGGGATACATCTGGAGCATGTGTAGGCGCTTGCAGGTGGAACGAAGAGAGTATGGTGGAAACATACCGGGCAGTCAGAATCAGAGGACATGGGGACAGTGGGGAGGGCGCATCCAGTTTCCACTTTGGATATTTTGAGACTATCTATCTATCTATCTATCTTTTTTTTTTTTTGAGACGGAGTCTTACTCTGTCGCCCAGGATGTAGTGCAGTGGCGCAATCTCGGTTCACTGCAACCTCCGCCTCCCGGGTTCGGTCAATTTTCCTGCCTCAGCCAATATTTACATTTTATAACAAGCATGTGTTACTTTTGAAAGCATAAAAGTTGATGGCTTGAGTGGTGAAGTACAGTTGCTCCAAAGCCTAACCGGAAACACTGATGTGGCTGCTGCTGTGAACGGGGAAGGTGGGAGGGTGTAATGACTAAACTCTGTTTACTGTTTGTTTTGTGCCATGTGCTGCTTTCATTATGTGTATTAACATACATAAGCTGCAAAAAAAAAAGATAATCAAAATACGTCCTGTATACAGATGAGGAAACTGAGGCACAAAGCAGTTGAGTAACCTACCCAAGGAGGCAGAAGCGATTCAAACCCAGGCAGTTTGGGCTGGGCACAGTGGCTCACGCCTGTAATCCCAGCACTTCGGGAGGCTGAGGCGGGTGGATCACCTGAGGTCAGGAATTCGAGACCAGCCTGGCCAACATGGCGAAACTCTGTTTCTATTAAAAGACAAAAATTAGCCGGGTATGGTGGGGTTTGCCTGTAATCCCAGCTACTTGGGAGGCTGATGCAGAATTGCTTGAACCCAGGGGGCAGAGGTTGCAGTGAGCCAAGATTGTGCCACTGTACTCCAGCCTGGGAGACAGAGCGAGACTCCATTTCAAAAATCAACCAACCAACCAACCAACCAACCAACCCAGGCAGTTTGGCTCTAGAGCCTGAGCTCTCAAGTACTGTCCTGTACCACCCAAGAAAGACCAGAGAAGACAGCGTGAAGGACAGAAGTGTGCCACAGGCATGGCTAGGTGCTGCAGAGATCTGGCAGGGAGCAAATGGGAAGAGGACAGTCATTCACAGACTCGAAGTTCAGAGGAAAATCAAGGATGAGGCGATCTGGAAATGCTGAATTGCCTGAGAAGAAATTTCATGTAGTAGAAACGGTATGTATTCATTTGGAGAATGATGAAAAAGTAAAACTGGAGGAAATTAAACTGGGGAGGAAAAAACTGGTGTGTAACTAACAACCACATCAACCACTATATATCTTCTTCAAGGACTACTGCCAGAAAATATTTTAATAAATTCTCTTAGTGGAGCTTTTAAATACAGTGTATAAAGCATCTCACAGCATACAAAAGAGAGTTTTCCCAGACTTTAAATGAGAAAAGAGAGGTTTCCATGGACCTTTCAAAAACCACTCAACACAAGCATTCCTTTGTATACATAACACAACAACAACTGGAAAGTCCTTACCATAAAACTCATACACATGTGACACAGCACGTCTAACTTCTTTGTTAATAATCAAAAATACCATGTTTATGAAATGAATAATAAAGCAGCCACTTCTTCAGAAGTGGCATAATTTTAAGTCATTTTGAAGAGAGTGGTAAAATAGACTGCATTGACAAAACAACATTTTAAGACCAAGACATTTTTATTCTAGTAATCTATTATTTTCATCAATCTTACTTACCTTTGAAGATTTCCTTTGTGATTTTCTTCTTCCTATAAAGAAGAAATAACTTCATCTGAATCGGTTAATTTTGGTTGTCCAGAAGCCCTGAATGTACTTAAGTGATTTGTTTGCTCTGCACCCCCAGGAAACCACCATTTAAAATGTGCACTGAGGCCAAGCTCTGGTTAGGAGTGCTACTGCCCTGAGGCCTTTAAAGTACAATCATCAAAGCGAGTCCACAGCATGATGAGGGGCTGGAGCTTCTGTAGTCCAGGGAGAAGCCCACATGAGTGAGAACAACTGGCTATAAACTTTGTCATGGAGGAGGTGGCTCTTCTGTGCTTCCTCAAAGGACCTCACTGACTACATGAATTTCAAAGCGGGATTTGTAACAACCTAAGTGTGAGAGTGAGACTGAGAGAGAGAGAGAGAGTGTGCATGTGTTATGTTAGAGAGAAAGATGGAAGGTGATAGAGTAACGTTAGTGGTCCCGATCTTGCTGTAGAAGTTGGCGTGACATCCTTAGACTCGGGCACTTGGTTGGTTTTAAACATTCCCATTTAGAATCAGAGGCAAAGTACAGTGCCTTCCCCTTTAAGAAGAATGATAGCTGTGTTTGTAGAGAACGGCATAAACACGAGGTTGTCTGCTGAGAAAACACTCTTGTGCTGATGTGGTTTTGAAGCAGCAAGACTCTGACTAACAGTAAGGGAAGCATATTTTTCAAGACAGTAAATAGCAAGGGGTACCCTTCCCCTTAATGAGCATGCCCCTTGTCTCTGCCATGCAGGGTCCAGTGGGCTGGAACCCACGCACAGGCTCCTGACCCCACCCCACGTTACCTCTACTATGTAATCGGACTGTATAAGATTGCCAATAGATCAGACAGGGTGGGACTGTGGCAATGTCCTATCAACCTGGTACACATTGCTGAGGATAAGGCATTTGACCTTACTGATGTGGGTGAAATATAATTTCTGCATACTTCAATAACACTATTTGATATGAACTCTTCTAAGTCTTGAGTGTTTAGGAGACCAAATGATAGGTGCAGCAACTGTTGAACTGCTTCACAGGTAATGAGTCCTAGAATCAACTTTTTTTTTTTGGATGGAGTCTTGCTCTGTCGCCCAGGCTGGAGTGCAGTGGCGCGATCTTGGCTCACTACAAGCTCCGCCTCCTGGGTTCACGCCATTCTCCTGCCTCAGTCTCCCAAGTAGCTGGGACTACAGGCACCCGCCACCACGCCTGGCTAATTTTTTTGTATTTTTAGTAGAGACAGGGTTTCACCGTGTTAGCCAGGATGGTCTCGATCTCCTGACCTCGTGATCCGCCCACCTCGGCCTCCCAAAGTGCTGGGATTACAGGCATGAGCCACCACATCCGGCCCTAGAACAACTTTTAAAACAAGGTTTTAAAAATATTAAAACCAGAAAAACATAACTAACGCTGTGCCATGGAAATGTCTACAGCTTAGCTCACCCATTTGGTGGTCTAATTTATGTAAGGTTTCTAAGTGTTGGATTTTTTTCCCTTTGCCCAGAATATTTTTGGTTATTAGTTTTCTAGACTCAGAAGACTGTACTATTATTTCAAGAAAAGTTGAGGCTGGGTGTGGTAGCTCATACCTGTAATCCCGGCACTTTGGGAAGCCAAGGCAGACAGATCACTTGAGCCCAGGAGTTCGAGACCAGCTTGGGCAACATAGGGAGACCCTGTCTCTACTTAAAAAATAAAACAAAATAAATTAGCCAGGCATGGTAGCATGTGCCTGTGGTCCCAGCTACTCAGGAGGCTGAGGGGGAAGGATCAATTGAGCCTAGGAGGTCACGGCTGTGGTGAGTCGTTATCAGACACTCCACTCCACCCTGGGCAAGAGAGTGAGACCTCCATCTCCAAAAAAATCAAAAGAAAAAAGAAAAAGTTGAGCATATACACTTCCCAGAATTATTTACTTCCTCTTGTGTGTTTTATGGGACACACTTATTTGTGAGACCTTCCTTTTGTATAGGACTCTAGTCCAGTATTTCTAAACCTGAAACAAGGGGGCAAAGTTAAACTGACAGCAGAGCATGCTAATTTAGGGTGAAGCAAAACCCTTGGTGTTGTGAAGATTTCATTTTTACTCAATTCGGAGGTTGCTGTATGCAAAAGTGCTAGAGCCTGCCAGGAGAGGAATCTGGCAGATGCCTCTTAGGTTTCATGACGGCTCCCTCATTCCACAGTGGTTAACTAGGATGGACAAAACCTGGCTGACCTCAGGGAGGCGGTTCCTGAACTCCCTCTCGGGCCTGTGGGCTGGTGGCTCTTCTGGCTCGTCATCCAGGGACAAGGCATCCAGGTAGAGATTCTCACTGGCCGAGCACCTGTCCGACTCCTTCAGCTTGGACAGCGGCCGGTCTTCAAACGGGATGGAGTCAGCATCTGCACAAGGCCACATGGCCACTGGACGGGGCATGCGGAGGCTTCCCTGGTGGGGAAAGGGGCGAACGTTGCCGTCTTTTTGATCACAGAGGAAACTGCCACCTCTCCGGGGACTGTTCTCTTTCTGCAACTTGAGAATTTTAAAAATGAAAATAATTAGCCTCACTTTTCTGTCTGATGGTCTCCCTAAGAACATCGTTTCTCCACAATTTGCAATTACACATAGGTCAGTTTGAAAAATATTGTGAGAAGCAAATGTTCTTAAAGTTCTGATCTTAATTTCAAAATGTAACACAACATTACAGATGCTTTACAAAACCCACAATTTTATCTGGCCCAGAAAATCTGCATTAACCACGTACGAGTATGGTGAACTCTTTCTGACACCAATATATGTGTTATTGTACATAACTCTGAGTGTTGTGCTCATGGGAAATTTTACATTTATTACTATTTTTTAATCTAATACTGTTAAAGAACATGTTTAAAACTCTCTTTGGAACTTCCTTCAGAAGTGAAGACATACTCAGTGGAATACTATCAGTGATAGCAAACTTCTGAGTGTGAATCTGATTTTCCTAACTAGCCCCAGGGCATGTGGAACAGGTCCTATCAGTAATTCAAGTGAGCAAACTTGAGTTTGTAACCATTTGGTGTTAAACATAACTTACACTTTATTTGAGAGGATACAAACTTAGCTATAACGCAAGTAAAGATCTGGTATGACTGAGTGAAGAAAAAAAAAAAGCCACATTACGTTAGAGTCATACTTTTTTCCCTGACTTGGTTGAACTCAAGAAGCGGTAGTGGGCAAGCACAGGGCCACCTGGAGTTAGAAGACCTGAGTTGGAACCATTAACGTGTGGCTTGCTGGTTTGCAGGCAGGTGCAAGTTCCCGACTCTCCTGAGCTCAGTTTCCTTATCTGTAAGATGGGTTGTGCACGTGGGCTCACCGGAGTCATGCCGTCTAGTGGGAGCCCAGCCCACATAAGGGCATTATGCCTTTCTGGGCTGTTTTGCGGCACTAGATGGAGATTTCGTGGAGGTGGCTCAGGAAGGGAGCCCATATGAAATCACAAGGAACTGCTGAGGCAGGCAGGCAAATGGCTTGCAGGGCGCACGGCCTCCCTCCCCAGAGGAGCCCTCACCAGCTTCCACTCCATTCTTCTGATCCCTCCTCATTGCTTCCCTTTCTAAAACAGCCACAGAAAGCACAACTGAGACCTGAAGCTATTTCCGCCTATGAATCTTTAATGGTGCCTTTATTGGATGACAAGCTCACACTACTGGATTGACTGCTCTTTTGAATAAGCAAAGTATCTGAACGATGAAAGTGACATTTGGATTTGACCTGAAGGAGTGGCCAAATAATGATTTGAAGTCCTCAAGTGCTGAGACCGTTCCAGGAAATTCTAAAACCTCCTTGAATGCAGATCAATTCATTTTTTTTTAAGCATCACTACAAACTGCATCTCTGTGTCCTAATTGGAGCATTCATCCACAAGTTGGACGTAAATATGGTTTCTGTATAGTCAGGAAGAAAGCCATATGAGACAGTAAAGACAAAAGGACGTTTGCTCATTGTTAGTGATTTCTAAGGTGGCAGAACAGAGATTTATCTTTACCTTTGAGAAAGATGGAGTCTGATTCAGCCAAAGCTGACACGTTAGCATCTGAGGCAGTTCACAGTCAAATTAGGGACCCAGCAAAACCTAAAAACTCTACGTTTTAGCTTTGCCCCTCTGCTCTCTCCTCCTCCACCTCCCTGATGATGACACAGTTCTTTGCAGTTGTCTTAAAGATGCTAACTGCTTTCTTTAAAAAAAAAAAAAAAAAAAAAGGGAAGGCTTTTTATATGTTCATTTAATGCATGTCGGCACAATTTAGTTTCAACACATGATCATCTCTAAGCTATTTTGGGCAAGAAATTAAAATGCAAGAATCCCATCTGAAGCTGCAAATGTGCACTGAGGGTGTGAGTGAAGGGGGAAAAGAATGACTAAAGAGGAGGGCTATGAACAAGCACCTTCTAACTCAGTAAAGTAGGATTTCAAAAATAAACCCAGGCAGCCAGGAGCAACTTGTACTCAAGCTGCTAAGTGTTAGGTTTCCTAAAATTGAACTGGAGTGGTTGTGGTGGAGATATCTGCTGCTAAGATGCCTCTGGGGTGTTGTAATAGAACGAGTCCTCAGAGAGGGAGGGTTTCCTATAGGAGTCATTTCAGCCAGCATCAGCACCTACTTGCAATCTTGCAGTAAAACAACTTTTAATGCAAGTCGAACATTTTAAAGATTTGTATTTTAATACAGGAAACAATAAACCCTCGAGAGTGTCACCTTCCCCAGACTGGTAGAAAGAAAAAAGGCCACTTTGTAACAGGTTTTAAAAGAATGGAGTTTTTAAAAGAATGGCAGCTGATTTAAGAAAGTTACTGGAAGGAGAATGAATGGATGACCCTTTTTGCTTGACAAGTACAGCAAATATAACAGCAAGTTTTACATCATCTGCATGTTAACTGGGAACTCAACAATTCTAAGGAGAAATGTAGTGTGACTCCATAAAAGTCTCCTACCCCCACCCCGCAATCAAACTTGGATTGAGACAAGAGACGCTGATAAGAGAGATAAAATGTGTTATATGACCTTAGCCACATTCCCACAGTCATACATCACATAACATGCCTCATGTGGTGCAGAAATTATGTAGGAATTTAATGACAGCGGACAAGTATGAAGCATGTGTTCTGAAAGTGGAAAATGGATTTAGTGTTACTGCTTTCACCATCTGTATTAGGTTATCACAGTCAAGGTTATATTATATGGCTTACCAAGTAGTCAAATGTTGAGAGTATACATTGTGAAGAATGTTCAGTTACATCTCTCATTTATCTACGGAGTATGTAGCTAAAAGTTAAATGAACAAGCAACCCAATAACTGATAAATGAACAAAATCTATATACACCCATACACACTTGAACCAACATCCTCTTTTCAGGAAGTCTGGTGAATGCCTATAATTGCTTTACCTCAATTTCCGGATGGGGCACTGAGATTTAAGAAGTCTTCTTTAAAAATGTTTAATATTTTGGGGAAAAGGCCAGATTTATTTTTGAAAGCCACCATTGCATGTCTGAAGCATCAGTTCATTTGTAACCAATCCTCTTCTAAAAACAGCAATGACATCATTGTACAAAGACTGTGGGATCCATCACACAGATTTCATGAACAGATGCATGCCCGAAACTCACGTGTTTCAGATCTATGATGCTCAAAGATGTCCACCTTGAGGACTGGGTTCTGAGGCTGTCAGTTTGGCCGAACTGTTTCAATACTGATAACCTGGAATTGGAGGTCAGCTCCTGACCACTATTACCTTTCCAAAATATAGTCTCAAAATGAGGCTGTGGTTCATCTTTAAGTCACTGACTTTTCTTTTTTTTTTTTTAATGTTAATGTTTTTTTTTTTAATTATTATTATACTTTAAGTTTTAGGGTACATGTGCACAATGTGCAGGTTAGTTGCATATGTATACATGTGCCATGCTGGTGTGCTGCACCCATTAACTCGTCATTTAGCATTAGGTATAACTCCTAATGCTATCCCCCACCTCCCCGCACCCCACAACAGTCCCCAGAGTGTGATGTTCCCCTTCCTGTGTCCATGTGATCTCACTGTTCAATTCCCACCTATGAGTGAGAATATGCGGTGTTCGGTTTTTTGTCCTTGCGACAGTACTGAGAATGATGATTTCCAATTTCATCCATGTCCCTACAAAGGACATGAACTCATCCTTTTTTATGGCTGCATAGTATTCCATGGTGTATATGTGCCACATTTTCTTAATCCAGTCTACCATTGTTGGACATTTGGGTTGGTTCCAAGTCTCTGCTATTGTGAATACTGCCGCAATAAACATACGTGTGCATGTGTCTTTATAGCAGCATGATTTATAATCCTTTCGGTATATACCCAGTAATGGGATGGCTGGGTCAAATGATATTTCTAGTTCTAGATCCCTGAGGAATCGCCACACTGACTTCCACAATGGTTGAACTAGTTTACAGTCCCACCAACAGTGTAAAAGTGTTCCTATTTCTCCACATCCTCTCCAGCACCTGTTGTTTCCTGTAAGTCACTGACTTTTCGAAAGTTGAGTATCACCACATGTATCTAATTTTTCCTTTACTAGAAATTCTTCATTCCCAAAAGTAAAAATAAAAACCTAAAAGACTTGCTTAATTTATATCCAAGGTGTGACTTCCCAAAGAAATGAAGCCTGTGACAAGTCCAACAAGCCACCATGGCTAACAGGCGAAGGGCACCCTAAAGGGGGCATGGCAGGGATCATGATGGCCTCACTGGGGTACAGGAGGGATGTAAAAAGTGAGTGGCCCTAGAGCACGGGCCAAGAATGAAGCTCCCTGGTGACAAGTTGCCTGGAGTTACTGTGACACCGGTCAACTAAGTTGGATATAATAAATTAGTGGCCATTTTCAAAGAATATATGCCACTTCTATCCCTAAAATTTCCACCTAACCATAGAGCAACGACATACACAGGAGATTTAATACAGGAGACTCTTCACAAGTGCTGCATTTCCAAGCCAGAAAGGAAATGGCCAGCATTCCTCTTGATAGGATTTGGGGAATATCAAAGATTAGTAAGGTGACTCATTTGTGTAAGTGGTCAAACCTACGAAGAGTTTCAGCTTTTCTATCTGCAGTGTACTTTCCTTCTTTTGTTTTTTGGAGACGGGGTCTCGGTCTGTCGCCCAGGCTGGAATGCAGTGGGGATCATAGCTCACCTGCGGTGTATTTTATTCTTCTTAGTGGTTTCCAAGCCAAAGCCTCTTGGTCTTTCTTACCATTTAGTTCATTCTGCCTCCCGCCCTATCCAACACATGCATACACTCACCTTTGTCATTGTACCTGCGTAACACAGGCACCATGTCTATGGATAATAGAGCACATTTGTCAAAAGGCTCTATGGGTATTTAAAATAGAGTAATGAGGTTATTTTTCCTGAGCTCAATTTCTTACTGATTAATACATTTCCTTGAGACCTCATAAATTTATAAGTGTGTGACTGGCTGAAATAAACAAAATATATACTATGTAAAAATCCAGCCAGGGAAGAATTCCAAATCTTCATCAATTTAATTTGTGTATCCCTCAGGAACTACTGCAACTATGCAAACTGTTCTAAGTCTGATGCAATGCAGAGAATGGTTATATTGGCAGAAAAATGACTACCCCCCTCCTCCCCAAATTCATCTGAGTTTCTGAATTGTTTGTTTAGCTGAAGATGATGAGCTACCAGCTACCTCTCTTGACAATGGTCCATCTAATCACAGCTCAGCAATATCCACAGCAGGAACACTCACCAGCAAACAGCCTGACTTTCAACTGAATTCAGCAATTTCTTTTCTAATGACAACAATTCCATTCAAGTTGGAGCAGTCACTGTGACCACATCTTTAGTGGCAAACTTAAAAGTTATAGTTTGTTTTCAATTGAATAAGACCTGAAATAACCTCCTCTTTCCAGTTTAGTCTTTAAATTCCTTTAAAAAGTTATCCCCCCGCTCCCACAAGCCCCACCCACCCTGCTCTGCCACTACCACATGTACACATAGGAGAGTTACCTATGAACTTTGCAAAGAAAAGATCTGTGTCATGGAGAGGCATGAGCCTTGGTCTCCAACACAAGCAATTCTAGAATTTCTCTCTCTTCCTTTGGAAGCCCATGCATCCTGATGCTGCAAGGACCATGAAGCAGCCTAGTGCTTTTGCTTTCTGGGTCCACTGAGCAGTCTACACTCTGTGCCTATGCTCCAGGGCCCCGGGGTGCCTCCTTACCTGCTCTATCCTCCACAAGAATTCCTTCTTCTGCCGCTCCCACTCCTGCCGATCTCTGTCCAGGCGGTCGAGAAGTTCCACCTTCTCCCGGTTCCAGTTCTTCTCGCTGTGATGGATCTGCCAGCGCAGGTCCATGACCAGGCTGTGACTGTCTGCCAGGAGCTTCTGGTGCACCTCTCTCTCCTTCTTCAAGGCCCCCTTGCTCTCAGCGGAGGAGCCTAGTTCTCCCAACTTGTTCTCAGTCTTCTCTTCCAGCTGTCAAGGAGAAGAGACTTAGGAATTCCCTCTCTGACAAGTCTTGCATTCAAGGATGAAGTCTCAGCACATTTACATGTGATCCCTGGAAACATGTTTAAACCAAGATTTGACCAATCCCACAGTATAAACAAATTTTATTTTTAAAGTCCTAATTAAGAGCGTTTGACACAGTCACAAAGAATGTTAAGCGGTGAGTAAACTGAGCTTCCCATGGCCAGCTTCCCTGCTCCACTTTCCTAGTCTAAGTCACCACTATCTCTTGCCTGTACTTCTGTGTAACTGCTTGTGGGCAGGTACCATGTCCGTCCCTATATCCTTAGCTCCTATATGGAACCTAGGGATGGGACAGTGACAGAACCTAATAGTTTTCAATAAATATTTGTCAAATACCCAGGAGGTTAAATATCAAAACCAAACAAGATTCTACATCTTATGTACTCAAACCTGTGAAAACCAAAGAGAAGACTTAAAGACAGGGAAAAATGACCCATGTCATAGAGGCACAAAGACGAGAGAATTCCAGCAGACTTCTCATCAGCAACTTTGCAAGTCAGAAGATGATGGAGTGGCATCTAAAGTGTTCAAGAAAAAAGATCTCAACCTAGACACAATTCTGTACGCAGAAAAAGTATCTTTCAAAAAAGAAGGAAAACACTTTTCAGCAAATGAAAACTGAAAAAAACAAAAAAACAAAAAAAACCATTGCCAACAGACCTGTACTTCAGGAAATGAAAAAGGAAGTTCTTTAGGCAGAAGGAATATACCAACAGGCACTTTGATCTATACAGAAAATAAACACTGGAAATGACATCTATGTAAATATAAAACTCATTATTTTCTGTTTTAATATTTGATTATCTAAAGCAAAAATTGTTACAGTGTGTTGTGTGTTTACAGAATATGTAGAGGTAAACTATGACAGCAATGGCACAGAGGATGGGAAGGAACTGGGAATACACTGTTGCAATTTCCTCAGGCAGCATGAAAAGTAGCCTAATAGGACTTCAAGGTAGACTCTGATTAATTAAATACGTATATTATAAACCCTAGGGCAAACACTAAAACTGCACAACAGCTTGCTGTTCAGTGTCTCGTTTTTATCCTCATAAGCAATCTCTTATATTTCATTAAGTGCACAATTTTAACAAATTGTATACTTTTCAAAGGAAGGCCTTTCACATAGATTGCCTCATTTGGTGTCTACTGCAATCCTGTAAATACGTATAGGTATCCTTATTCCCAGTTTATTTGTGAAGAAATGGCAGCTCAGTGCTTTAGGGACTTGCCTAAGGGACATGGTAAGTCAGTAACCATTATTCCTATGTAGAGTTCAATTAACTTTCTTAAAATGAGTTACTTCAAGACCCACTAAAATAATTCATAGCTGATTATCCATGTCTGAAAAGATTCTTTTAACTTTTTTGAGACCATAGATATATATATGTATATATATATAAAGATTAATGACTTAAACCACCCAGTATTATTCTATTTAGAAAGATGTCTGTATCAGTGCTGTAGTTTGGATGTTTGTCCCCCAAACTTCACGTTGAAATCTGATCCCCAGTGTCGGAGATGGGGCCTAGTGGGAGGTGTCTGGGTCATGTGGGTGGACTGTGCATGAACAGATTCATGCCCTGCGGCGGGGAGTGAGTAACCTCTCCCTCTATTATTTCTTTAAGAGCTGGTTGTTTAAAAGAGCCTGGCACCTCCGCCCACCTGTACTTCCTTTCTTGCCATGTGATCTGCACACATCGGCTCCCCTTTGCCTTTTGCTGAGTGGAAGCAGCCTGGCCCTCTCCAGCAGCAGATGCTGGCACCATGCTTCTTGTGCAGCTTGCAGAACTGTAAGCTAAATAAACCTTGTTGTTAAATAAATCACCCAGCCTCAGGTATTCCTTTATTGCAACAGTAAACGGACTAAGACAGGCTGCTGAGTGGTGTGCTCAGTTAAACTGGAAGTTTTTGCTCACAAGGGACTCACTGGGAGAGAGCTAACATCGAATCTCGCCTCTGTAATAAAGGCAAATGCTTCATTAAGCGGGGAGAGCACACTGTTTTGTCCCTGAATCTTAGTGGAACTCAGGCCTGCTTGGAGAGAAAGCAGGGAAAGGCTTGAGGAAGCAGATGACAGCCACGGGCACAGGTCAGTGGTGACGCTTCTTGATCAATTATTTATAAAATGTAAATCTGGGGAAAATAAAACTTTTTCTAAGTAGAAAGAATGCAGAAACAAAAGAGGGGAGAAACCTCCAGTGTTAGTTAACCAGAAGACTACCAGAAAAGCACCAAGCACCACAAAATCCCAGTTTAAAAGAGCTGCTGGAAGTCCACGTAACCCAGAATGAAAGACAGGCTGCTGAGCCCCTCGCACGTACGTCTGTTCACCTGTAGATGCTTCCAGCAACCAACAGGTCCTCTCTTTAGAATCTCCTCATGCAGCGTACCCCTTCCTGGGCCCCACATCACTTCTGCTCACCCGCTTTGTGAAGACAGTGAAGGGACACTCCTTCTGCCCACAAGCTCCTCTGTGTCCACACCTCTCAGGTCTCTCATGGTCAGGGTCACCCCTCCCCTCAATGCTTAGAGCCCAATCCCCCTGCCTACTGAGGAACCTCGTGTCATCAGTGGCCCTGCACTGTCAGGTCTCACTGGACAGGCGTCCCCATGACTCCGCGGCTCCTGTTACTGCACTGTCTGTGCTCCTTCTTTCCCCTTCACCGCCAAACTCAACTTCTGTCCCTCGGCACAGCGCACAGTCCTTCAGCCCCGCACACCTGACGGCAACTGTTCTTGTCAAGTTTTGCAGTGCCCTCCTCACTGCCAAGTTCAACAGAACTTTTTATCCTTCATCTGTCCTGTCCTCTTCAAAGCATCCGATATCGCTGAACTCCACCTGGAACGCCACAGCGTCTCTCCCTTTGGCTTCTGGGACAGCATTTGCTTTGGATTTTCATAAATTTCTCTGGCTGCTCCTTTCCAATCTCTTCTCCTTCCACTAATTTCTGCAAAATGAATATTTTGGTTCCTTCTATGAGTTCCTTTCATTCTGTGCACAGTCCTGCAGCGTCCTCCATGGCCCTGCCTCCCACCTCCTCATTCACACCCAGGTATATACATCTTCAGCCCAGCCCTTTTCAAGTCCCAGTGCCTGTGATGACACACACCTCAAATCCAACCTGTCCCCTTTCCATCCCAACTGGTTGTCTCTCTGCGTTCCTGTCTCAGTGATGGCCCATCGCCCAGGCACCCGTACTAGAAACCTGACAGCCGTGCGAGGTGCCTGTTGCTCCACGGCGTCTCATGAACCGGCCACCAGGCCCGGCCACTCTCTACTTGCTCCGTTTTTTTCAGGTGTGTGCCCTCCACTCCTTCTCCACTGCTGCTGCTTTACTTCAGAGTCACCCCTCTCACCTCCAATCTCTGCAACCCAAGGCTCTTCAACGTTTTTACCGTGGACCCAGCTGGCAGCCTGGTGAAGCCTAAAGTCTCCTCCTCAATGTTAATTCTGGGATATCCACAACAATTCTAACGGGAAATGGAGAGATGTGTGTGATTACTTTTTATTCTTTCATTCCATACTTCCTTTCAAAAAGATCCGTGATTTCTGTTGGGCTTGTTGCCTATGTTTATAACCGGAGGACATGCTAAATTTTAGTGGAAAGTTAGTGACCATAAAGATGCGTCTCTTTCCTATTCTGGTTTGGCAATTCCCTGATTTCAGTCTACAGACCATTAACCCCAGGTTAATCCATTCGATTCTAATGGCTCCTAATCCATTCTCTATCTTGAAGCCAGAATAATCTTTTGAAAAAGGGAATCTAAACTTTCATGATAAAATCAGGATTAAAGTATCAATTCCTTAAAATTATTCTTTCCCCTCATACCTAAGCTTCTCAAATGAGCCATGCTCCTTTCTTCATGATACTTTTTTTTTTTTGCCTGAAACTTCCTTTCTCTCCTTTTCCACATTCCAGTTCTTGTCCATCCTTTGAGATTTTTCTCAGCAGGACTTTCACTTTCACAGCCTTCCCTGAATTCTCAAGCCAAGGCATGTGCCTTGCACGTTCCTGTTCCCTGACAGCCTACGTGCAAAAGCCCTGTGGGCACTTTCCACGCTGTTATAAAGGACAGCACTTGTCTAGGTCCCCCCACTGCACTGAGAACCCCTTCAAGGAACATCTGATTTGTTGCTGGATGTTCAACATTTAGAGCAAGGTCTGACTTAGGAGTCTGCTGAAGGAATCGTGGACTTGGGAAGTGTCATCAACGTGGGCTCCACTGAAAGAAGGTAACTTGTAGCAGAATTAAACTGTTTTGCATTTAAGCAGAAGAGGGTAAATATGGGATTATTACAAATGAGCTAGCATCATCCCATATTCATTGCTTCCTGGGTTGCAAATGTTTAAGAAACTTCCTAAATGATTTGGGCAGAAGATAAACTCTCTACCTATTACCACCTGGCTTCTGAATTTGAAGTTCTAGCTTTATTTTTTGGTATTTAGGGACACTCTCCCTGAGGGTTTATTTGTGGCAAACCTGTGGGTGGATACTACGTTCCTATAAAACAAAGATGAAATGTTTTGAAACTGGCTTGCATCGAAGATTACACCTCCCTTCCTTAGCTATAGTTCGGGCTTTGGAAACACTTAACTCCCCCTATAAACATATTTTTTTTAATAGGGTTAAAGACAGCTCATCAGAGACTGTCCTTAGTCATTTCTCCTCCGCTGCTGATGCTGCAGGCCGGGGACTAAGATAAACAGAGCATCTAGGTCAAATCCCCCGCGGGCAGCAGGCAGGAGCCACAATCAGGCCAGCTGCTCTCTCACTTGATGCCCAGGCCTGCAAGGCTGTGTCCCTGCCCCACCCAGGGCTATCAGCTCAGCATCACTGCTTGCTGTGGCCAGGTGGAAATGCAGGGGAACTTGTGGGTACCAGGAGAGCTGGAGTTTTTTTTTTTTTTTTTTGACACATCAAGTCTTTTTCATCTTTTATCAAGACCATGTGACAGGGGTCTCCTTTCCAGGCAATTCTTTTCCTTTCATGACCAGGCCAATCCCTACAAAATTTTACTTACTTTATGGTTTGCCTCAAAATAGAGTCTAGGAAATAGATTACCAAGGATACACAGACCTTCCCTCCCTCCTCATGATCAAGGGGCTGGAAGAAACCTCGAGAGACGCTCTCAGCAGCAGATACCATGTAGGAAGTCACATGACATTCAATGGTTTCCAAGGAAGAAACACTTAGGAAAGGATGTTTCTTGTTATGTCTGATCTTAACTCCTATGGCTGTGGTGTAAGACTTCAGAGGGGGCTTCCCTCTGTGGTGTGAGGTGGAGGCAGGAAACCCGGGCTCTCTTCCTGCCCTAGCACTACATGGCTCTGTGATCTGAGCTGAGCTGTTTCTTCTGGGCCTCAGTTTCCTTTGATATAAATAAGGAGACTGAAATGTATTAGAATTCTTGGGCATGCAGTGGGAGGTCTCCAAGTTCTTTTGATATTTTGAAAAATCTCAATGAAAGCATGCATTTACCTTTTTCAAAGACAACTAAACCACAGTCTGCTTTTGCTTTGCTCCTGTCTAGAGTTATGTCAGCTCAGTGTGATGACAGCTTCAGCCTGGCCGTCCTCTGATGCAGCTAAATACAAGCTTGTTTAATGCAGAATGGGAGAATACATGCTGCTCTGAAAATGCTGCTTGGTGGGGGCCGTACTGCATACTTGGGAGAGGGGACATCAGGGAAAATGGGGACTCTGCACTTTAAGAAGAGACACAAGCAGCCACTCCTCTCTTTTTTTCCTGGACAAGAAGCCCATGGTTCTGAATCTCTCTGTGCCCGCTCCCCCGCCACATATCCTGGACAGCAGAGACACACAGTCAGGATCGAGGGAGACCTGGGAGGGTGGTACCTGTTCCAGACGGCACTTGAGCACGGCCCACTCCACGTCCCAGGCCGCCTTGTCGCTGGCATATTGCTGCTGCAGCCGTAGTCGGGCACGCTCATCCTCCCGCAGCTCCGCACGGAAGTCCTCCAGCAAGGCCTTGAAGGCGCTGAACAGCTGCTGGTTTTCCACCACCTGCGGGAACACTGAGTCAGGCTCCACCACCTCCTTTAAGCGTATTTTTTAGGTCAGAAGAGGAGAGGATCTGGCTATCAAGGTAGTGTGGGGGCTGTTTCCCAGGTGTTGTTGGCAGTGGGTGCAGGGTGGGTGGGGAGTCTGCAGTTAGCCGGGGAGCAAAGAAAGGGTCCCTGTTGCTGGCCATCGGTCTCCTGGGCCTGAGACTGAGGGCCTGTTTGATCAGGAGGAGGGTAGAAGGAAGGCTGCCCTGGTGACCTGGCAGCTGTGTTCAGACGCCGGAACCTGGGCTGGCACTGTGGGAACCTGCCACAGAGGTGCTGTGGGCCCTGAGGAGCAGGAGCAAGGAAACTGCAGGAGGCCACAGGGAACCCCAAAGCCAGGGCTGCCAGTCACTGTGTGACTTTAGATGTCCAGAACACTGAGTTGGGCTGACAAGACTGTCATGAGGGTGCAGATATGACAAGACCTACACACTCACCTACATATATGCTGCCATTCTAGTGCCAGATGTTGTACTAGAGGAGAATTAATAAAGACCGAGGACTCCTATGCACATAGGGTAATCAGACTCCGATTGGTGGTTACTAAAAGGTCACAGATATGACACACATGGCCACTGTGTGTGGGTGGGTTTAATTATTAAACATTTTGATGTTTAATAATTAAAGCCAAAGGTGAAATGCATAACCTGTTCAGGAAGGCTTTATTGTGGTCCCTTGAGATAGAACTATCAGCCCCCACTTTTCTGCCTCTTGGAAAGGACAAGCCAGACCCACCCTCACATTTCCAGTATTTGGCACAATCCTTGGCTCATGTTAAGCATGCAAATGTGTCTGGTAAATGAAGAGTGGATTTTTATTACTAATCTGCTTATATCTAACTTAAAATGGTTTATATGTTCTGAAACCTGCCCAGCCCTTTGAAGTCAAATTTCAAAGCCATGATTTCTGTCTTAGTACATTTCAGCAAGGGCATTATATCAGAAGGGTTTGGCCAAATGAATGAAACACGCTGAATCAATTATGGTACCTTGATAATAAAAGCCTCGTGAGCCCATCTCTTCCAACCAGCACGGAAAGCACATCACAAGCTCTCAGGGCGGTCTCAGGGCATTCTTTTTTGGTGCATGTATGAAGCAAGAGTTATAAAAGCTCTCTAAGTCCCACTGGACATAGATAAGCTCTACTATGGAAAAACAGAGCCCCACCCTCTCAGAATTCCTCATCCCCCAAACTTGATAAACCTCTCCTCCCTGGTTCAGCAAGTACACTGGGACCCCTCCTTCAGGTTCTACACACACACTGGCCTTCACTCCACAGTCATGCTTCTAAATCCATCTAGTTGATCCACTAAACATACACAAAAATGGTTAAGTATATATGGGAGGAATTTAAGATACTTTGGATGGATGTTTGTATTTACATAAAATTGTGCAGCCACAAAAAAGAATGAAATCATGGCTTCTGCAGCAACATGGTTGCAGCTGGAGGCCATTATCCTAAGCAAGTTAATGCAGGAACAGAAAACCAAATACCGCATGTTCTCACTTATATGTGGGAGCCAAACATTGGGTATACTCGGACAGAGATGGGAACAACAGACACTGGGTATTCCAAAAGGGGTTGCGAGGAGAGGGGCAAGGGTTGAAAAATTACCTATTGGGTACTATGTTCACTACTTAGGTGATAGGGTCATTAGAAGCCCACACCTCAGCAACATGCAATATACCATATAATAAACCTGCACATGTACCCCCTGAACCTAAAATTCTATATATATATATATATTCAAAAATAAAGTTGTATTAAAAAGAGAAATTCTTTAATATGAGCAGATTTATTATAGAGATCTCCATAGTTGTCCCCAGCATTTAATTAAGTGGACTTTTTTTTTTTTTTTTTTTGAGGCAAGGTCTCGCTCTGTCACCCAGGCTAGAATGCAGTGGATCACGGCTCACTGCAGCCTCAACCTCCTGGGCTCAAGCAGTCCTCCCACCTCACACTCCCAAGTAGCTGGGACTACAGGCGTGTGCCGCCATGCCCAGCTAATTTTTGTATTTTTTGTAGAAACAAGGTTTCATCATGTTGCTCAGGCTGGTCTCAAACTCTGGCCTCAACTGATCCACCTGCCTCAGCCTCAGAAAATGGGATTGTAGGCATGAGCCACCGTGCCCAGCTACAATGGACTTTTGATGGAGTAGAAAGGCCAGTTTGTTCATATTTATTGCTCTTTTTCTCACAGGGAACAATTTTTACTTTAATAACTCTGGGACAAAAGGCATTAAGAGTACAAGTCAGTTAACATTTGAAGAACTCGGCAGATAGGGAACCATCTATGAGTCTTATACATTCTTACCAACCATCTGAATAGAAATAAATTACCACTATACTCAAAGACATGCTCACCATATATGTGAAGCTGTAACAAACACAGAACAGTTTTTAAAATTCCACGTCAAAAAGTACCTAAAAATTAGCGTTGTGGCTCTTGCCTGTAGTCCCAACTACTCAGGAGGCTGAGATGGGAGGATCGCTTGAACCCAGGAGTTCAAGGTTACAGTGAGCTAAGATCACACCACTGCCCTCCAGTCTAGGTGACAGAGCAAGACCTTGTTTCCAAAAAAAAAAAAAAAAAAATCTAAAAATTATATAAGTACAGTTGAGTGACAAGAGGTGTCACAACAATCTTTTCAGAAATATACATCTTCATATAGAATTTGCTGAATAATCACATACATTTTGTGGTAGATTTGTTTGGGAGTTTCATCTTTAGATTTTAAATTAAAAATCACTGCTTTTTGAGTCAAGAGTATTTCAAGCAGAAAATAATTATAATAATTTTGATCCAGATTTTGGAGTAGTCATTTAATTTTCACTGAAGAGAAAGCAGAAAACCATATGATACATTCTTATATGTAATCGATGGTTTTCTATGAATGCCAAGTTACATATGGTATCAGCCTATGCTGTTCTTGGCCCATACACCACATGACATTAGAATCAGAACTGTACAGTCCTCTTGCAGATTGGAAACTTGGTTTCTCTGGAAGCAAGTACTTTTTGGCTTTAACAGATACTGAATTCAATAAAATTTAAGCCTTAATGATTTATGCATATTTGCATCAGAGTAATCAAAACAGTGCTCTATTCAACCAGGATAATATTAATCATTGCGGAATGAGCTCCAGAATTGCTTTGGGGTGAAGGTGGCCAAAGGGAGCAAGAGAGCCCAGCTCAATGCTATTGGTACCTGTTATCATCATTCCTCAAGAGCAGCATGTGGCACAGCAGGAAGCCAGGCAAGCTCCTGCCATTAGCACACAACGGCAAAAGTGGATGTCTGTGTCAACATTTCTGAAGACCCAGAATGGGCCGTAGATAGGCATGATTTTCCTAATGACTTTCGCACACAGGCAAAAAAATAGTAATGATAACTACTAATATTATAGGTGCTTCCTATGGCCAGGGGATGTACTAAATTATTTGCCAACATGACCTTATATATATGTCACATCAATTTTGAGTGCATATACTATGTTCCCCATTTTACAGAGGAGGAACTATGGCTTGGAGTGGCTGAGGGCCAAGGTCCCACTGTCAAGGAAGTGAGATCCTGGACTGCAGTCCAGGTTGTCGCGTTCCAAAGCCAACAAACCGAGCCAGGAATATTCGAATTCTGACATTATACCCTGCCAAGCCTTTTTCTTTTTCTTCTTCTTTTTTTTTTTTTTAAACTTTACCTTGCAGAAGCCATCTAATCCCCATGAAGCTAATTCAATTTCCCCTATCAAGGGAAATTAATGATAGTGAGTCATCCTGAGAGAATACCTAAAAGTTAACTGCTCTTATTTTCTTCCCCTGGTGGTACCCCTTGCTGGGTTACCTTTTGGGTAAAAAGATGACCCAAATCAAGTCAAGAATCAAATTAAGACTCGGTTCCATTGAGATGTCTTTATGATGCAAGTCTTCTTGGACAACAGGCTTTCTGAACCTCTTGTGCCGGGGTCTAGCCGTGCAACCTTTTAGCTTGTACATCTGGTGAGTGTAGGTCAGTTTCAACTCAAAAATCTGGCTTTTCATTCAGAGATCAGCTGGCTGATTTTCTAGCAAAGCAGCAGGATAAAAAGCTTCCACTTATTTCCCTCTCCTCCACCTAAGGGCATTACAGCCTCACCTAGCTCAGCTCTCTTGAGTGAGACTTACAATGTGCTATAATATGTCAAACTTTTTAACAGGTTCAGAATTGGTCTTTGGTCCATCAGACTGCTATCCAAGTCTGTCTATCCAAGTCTAATATCCAAGTCTATTTATAAGTATTACTAATAGAAAGTGAAATGGAAGTTTGTAGATAAGGTAACGTATCAAGGTATCTGTGATGCAATGCTGGCTAATTTTCAAAATTGTTCTTGCCTAAGATTTCTAAGATTTCAGCAGGTGAAATCACAGCTCCACAAAAGAGCTAAACCACCACCGACTACTTTGCTTGCATCACAGCCACTAACTTTGGAGATAGGATTAATCTAAAGCTGGAACAGACATATTGACCTGCTGCTATGGGTTAACCCACAAAACGCCAGTCACAAAATAGAGGTGATAGCATCCACGTTTATTCAGGCTCCTTGACAGAGGCAGGAGAATTCCAGAATGATGTGGTAGCTGCCCAGACCCCCACAAGGCACGCACAGCTCCTTTTTGAGACCTCACTTAGCATTCAACACAGGCAACTCCTCCACCAGCAGGAGTCCCTGGACAAATTCTTTACTGTGAGATTAGCTAGAATTGATACATTCACACAGCCAGCAGCATTTTTATAAATGAGCCATTTGTCGTTCTCCTCAATGTAACCTTCATTGTTACATCCAGAAAAGTTCTTTTCTAAAAACCATTATCCCCTACAGAGAATGGGCCACTCAAGACAGACCCTGAAAATATAATCTATTAATATCATGGGAATTAGAGTCATTTACACACAGAAGTCCTCTGCCCTCTGGCCAAGAGTCTGCCCGGTGATCCTGTCCAGGAGGGCTCTGGGCTGTGGTCTCCACAAATGCCACTGAGAGCTTCCCAAGAATGAATGTGGATCCGGGAAAGAATAAATGAGGCACATATTTAACAAGCTGTAAACACAGTTATCAGCCCAAAGGCTTAGGAAACCAGGGCAAGTCTGATGAAAATCAGGTGGCCATTAGGGAAGAGACTTATTTGTGAGGTCCCAGGCTTAGTTACGCACTTTGGAAGGCCTGTGGCAAACTGCAGGCCATGGTTAACTCTGGGAGGTAGGATGGGGCAAGGAGAGTCCTTTCATCAAGCACCCATCTGCACATGTGAATTTTTACCTCACGCAGGGGCTACTTAAAGAGTGACAGAACAACTGCCACCACAAGTACACGGCAAAGATAAAACGCTTCAGATCCTAAGCTCTGGTCTGGTTCCTCTTACAGAAAGAGTAGCACGCCTTATAGGGGAGGCCTCCCAGTTGCAGGATAAACTGAAGAATGAATCACGGTATGACGTACAAAATTGAAATGTAAATACCATCTAGGCTCAAGATAACTTTCTAATTAAAAAAAAAAAAAAAGTCAGGCAGATCACAGTTCTGATGTGAGGCCTCCTCTGGCAAGGGTGCTCTTTCTGGAAGTTTTTCATCTTGGGCAAGCAAAGGTGGGCAGCCTGCATGGCCAGAAAGGAAGACTGCTGGGGCCTGGGAGAGCCACAGCCCCGGAAGCCCAGGGAGCCAAGGGCTCTCTGTCTGCAGGAGAAAGGCTGACTTCTCAGGCAGCCCCCGAAGGCCCTAACGCAGCACAGAAGCCCCGACAAGGAGCAGAGGTCCAGGGAAGTGGAGTCTACTCAGTCCTGAGGCTGGACTGGATGAGGCTCTTCAGTGGCCTGTAGCAGGTGAAGACTTAAATATGAAACACAATTCCTTCAGCTCTTGCTATGAATTTTATATTAAGTTCTTCACACTTTTTTTTTTTTTTACTTAGTTGTTTTACTAAATGATAATTAGGTCACATCCCTGAATGAAAAAGTAACTTCTTTTCAAATCAGTTAATCCAAGTAGGGAAAACAAGCTGTTGGCACCCCAGGGCCATCATTCCCACACCATTAATCACCTTGTGTGAAGTAGCTGGATTCCAGGAATTACTAATCAGCATGAAATGCATAAACAGCCTTAGGAATGCTGGCCTCAAATGCTTAACGCAGTGGCGTGAGTCTTGGAGCTCAAGGAAAACTGTAAGATTCCCTCTTGCGTGTGCGCAGCCTCTGCTCTTCAGGATGGCTGGGGAAACTGAAAGCATTCACTGTGGCTCTAAAGCGCCCAGGTCATGACTGCGAGCTCACGTGGCTGAAGACAGGGAAACAGGGAATGTCTGCGGAGCCAAATGTTTGCCAACCTGATGATTTGTTATGAGCCATCCCAAGGTTGATCGGTATATGCAGTTTTTTTTAAACCTCTGTGGACGTGATAAATGTTGCCATCTACTTGAGTTCAATTGTGAGAACGTTCCATATGTCACAAAGCAAAGACCAAGGCCTGAGGAATACTGTGACTGAGAACTTGTCCTTGGGAAAACGGCTTGGCTAGGTTTCCCATGCTACTAATCGCCTTGCGAGGTGCTCGGCGTTTCGGGAACGGCCCGGCTCTGTGCAGCTCTGTGAGACACGTACCCTGGCTCTTGCATCCCAGCTGCCTGGCTAATACTCATGCCAGTCACAGAGAGGCAAATCCTCTAACCGGGAATGTTCCCTCCCAGAGAACCAGCTGTCGTTACAGTAGAGCTCGTCCATCTTCCGTCCTTGGACAGACAGAGGGTTGTGCATGCGTTAGTGAGCTCCTTACTCACTACTGTGAACACTGGCCCACTTGGCAGACCTGGGTCTGAGTGTCTGGACCCCACCCCGCCACGTGCTTCTATCACACATGGCCCGCAGTGGAAGCTCACGGGTCCATCTCCACTTTCGTGGGTAATCGCTAAAAACTAGTGTTGGAAGAAGCAGGAGGCAAAGGGAAATGACAATAAAATATGCTGAATGTAAGGTTCCAGCTGAGTGACTTCACGTTATTTTCCACCCTGACAGTAACATTTTCTATGACTGTTGTTTAGAAAACCAGATGTGCGAGGTTTTCTCCTTGTCCAGAGCATCTGCGTGAATGCGTGGGAAACACGTTTTCTTAGACGCAGCAGGTTTGTGGCGAGGTGGGAACAGTGGCCATCAGTGGCAATATTATGGGAGGTAAGCACAGATGCTTTATGGGATTGAATGACAACATTTCTTTTCAAAAAGTAAAATTAGTAGATTGTAAAGCATTATTTGCAAAGTAGCATTTTCATTTCTAACTAGATTATTGCTGGAAAACTCATTCCATGACCTAAATTCTCCCCATGGACACTGGCATAATGGCATACTTTCTGATGGCTGTGAATAAAAGTTCCTTTGCAAGTATCATCTCCTCCTTGAGTCATGTTATTCAGGGAGAATGAAGTGGGGACAGGTGTACATAGGAAACAGCTGTTTAGGTGTGAAAATCTGATTGTACAGAGAGGGAGCAGGGGGAACCCAAATTCCCCTCAGCCTGCACTCAGAAGGTTGCCGCCTGTCCTCATCTGGATCTGAGCCAGGGCTCTGGCGACAGCGTGCTCCCATTAGAGCTCCCAGAGGCTCTGGGCTTCGGGAGCCTGGGCCAGGGAGGAGCAGCAGTTGTGGCGTCCAGTGCAGAGGGAGTGCCCCAGAGTGTCTGTGGCTGAGAGGCTAGAGCCGCGCCCATATGACTGCCGCATCCCCGTGGCCACCTGCCCCTGCGCCCTCAGCCCTGAACGCAGGCTTCCTAGGGCAGGGGCATCCAGCTGTACTCCAGGAGCCCCCTGAGCAGCTTTATTATTATTAATACATAATAAAGTTGGGTTAGAGGGGACTCAGAAGCCTGAGAGCGAGACAGCGTTAACACAGGGTCCTGCTCTGGAGCTCCTTACTCCAAATCCTCCGTCACTGCCATTTTGGTATAAAAATGCAAGCAGTTTGGATGTTATTAGTAGCATCTTTTGCTTTATTAAGTAGAGTCTATTTCTGTGGTCTCTGGCAACAATAACAGCTACTTAATAACACTGAAGTCTCACCTCTCTTTATACATTAATTTTTTTCAAAGTGTCATCAAATACTTTTATTTGGGAGCATTATGTTTCAAGTGGGCCAAAGAGAACTTGAAATATTTTGTCCATGTTGGGGGATTTTTTTTAAAACGTGTCCTTTGCTCCTTGTACGTTATGCTGCCAAACGAATGATGTTGCCAATGGCAGACCCTCTGAGGTCAATTCACTGGCCCCAGCAGCGACACGCAGCATTGATCTGCCCTTACTACAGTCCTTATTTATATGGCAACTCAAATGAAAGAGTGGGCTGACATTAAGATGGAAAAGGTTTGATGAGGTGATTTCTAGGAAAAACCCAGCATCACAAATGACAACAGGTGACCGCAGTCAGGCGGTGGAATTTTCTGCTACCTGAATGCCAACACTGGAAACAAAACGACCCAAATGCAGCTTAGGAGCCTCCTCTCCCTGGTGTGGGCAGGGCGACAGGCTCGGGTCGAGGTACCCACCTGTTTGTGGGGCTGTCCCCTGTCCGCGGTCTGCAGCCGCAAGCTGTGATCTCCAATCTGCACCCGGGAGTGTGGGGAGTGCTCCCCCACTGGAAAGCCACAGCCTCGGTCACTGTCGTGGTCTGGGCCATCCGCCTGGTGACCCCCCTGGACTCCAAGCTCCCCGAGCCTGGAGAGGGTCTCTGGATGTTCACCCTGAAACAGGCAGGAGGTGACGATCACAGCTTCAGCCAAATTCTTTTGCTGTACAGCCTGATTTTCACTGTCTGAGGATAACCATCTACTTTATGGATTATCAACGCCTATACTTCTCAGTCCTTACCCCTAAAATGCTCATTTTGGCCATCTCACTCATTGGCACTTGCTGCATTTAAAGACCACAGGGTGGATGCTCAGCTTATTAGAAGACATTAGGGAGAAATTTTAATTCTACTGCTTTTAAATTAGTATTGCTAATAGCTATGGTTTTATAAGTTAAAGGAGGAGGAACTCCAGAGTACTGATCAACAGGAAACTTTAAAACAATTTCTAGGCTTTGCTTAATAATGGTTATCTATGTCACGGATAGTTGGAAGCTGGCGGAATTAGTTTTTCAAGACTTTCTTCACTCTGAGGAAAGAGAATCACTGTATTTTCCCATTCCTAGGATGAGAACTTAAAATTACATACACTGTTCCCTAGAGTGAAAACCAGACAAAAGGTCTTTGGGAGCTAAAAAGAAACCAAGTATTCACAATGCCTCGAAGCAGCTGGCCAAGAAGCCAGGGTCAGTGATGTACAGAATACACAGAACGCCAGTGGCGCCAGCCCCGGGTGTGCCAGGAAGCAAGGCCAGGAAGGAGCCTGCAGTGCAAACGGCCACTCTGACTTAATCAATACAAAAGCAAACAGAAGGCAAAGATCTCGCTTCTGTTTCTATTATAAACCTGGGAATCGAGGCATAACAGGAAGAACATATACAAATTCCAGAGGTGGCAAAGTGACTCATCTGAAGCTTAGAAAAGATCCTTTTAAAACTGTGTGGGCAGGACAGGCTTCCACATCTAGGAACAAAGCTCAAATAGAAAGAAGAGCAAAAGTTTTAGAAACCAGCTTTTACACACCAGCAAGGTTGAATGAGATGGCGCAGGACCTCAGGGTGATAACGTCAATGAATTTTATAAATGAGCAGCAAAGGAGACGGGAGCGGAACTTTGCTACAGCACGGAGTTATGGACCAGGGCACTCTTAACACTAGGTCAGAGCGTAGCACAGAATTCTTGGTTTCATATATAACTGGACAAGCTGCTGCATTTCCATTTCTTGGACCAAAATTGATGAAATAATTTACAATAATAATGACTTCACCACAATGCAAAATATCCATGTGGAAAACTGCAATTGTATCCCATGAATATGTACAAATAAAAAAAGAAAGAGTAGACATTGAGTAGGCAACCAACAGCACCTGCCTCTGCCAGTCCCTCACTCATGAACATCATGCAGGTTTCACAGGGAAGTCTGTAGTTTTCTTCATGTCATTCCTGCACTATTCTCAGTAAGTTTATGCCTAGCACTGCATACCTGCTCTTGCTACTGTAACGTTACTTCTGTTATATCTGCTTGTGTATAGGAAAATGATTGATGTTTCAGTCACCTGTGCTCAATTTTCTCTTATCTAAGTGTCTGTATGAATTGCTCTACATCTTTTTTGCAATATTAGATGTTAACCAAATATTGAGAAATAAAATAATAGAACATGACTGTGTGTAGGGTGGGTGAGGAGAAAGCAGTGTCTGGGGTCAAGGACAAAACAGATGCAAATAAAAGGAATTCGACAGTGGAGTTACCTCAGTGAACTCCTCTCCTTCCTCCTCCATCTGCTTCCCTTGCCGCCAGTGTTTCAGCAGCCACCTGAGTTTGACGTAGAAGAGGAAAATGTTCTGCTTCAAGGACCGGAGCTCCTGCTGCATCAGATTCTTCTCATCACTCCAGGTTCGCTCATGGAGGGTGTTTTGCAAAGCCAGGCTGTGCATTTCCAGTTCTTTCCACCTCAAGGCATAGAGGTGCTCCTCCTCCATCTTGAATGGAATAAGAGAGACAGTGTGACAAGCAGCTAATCCAATCCGCCACCCAAACCAAACCAAGAGTCCCTGCAAACTGCCACTCAGTCTCTGTCATGCTGCATATGAGACGTGAAACACAGGAGTCCCCAGAAGTTCAGTTTGATAAAGGGCTTCAGTTTCCTGTTTACAAAACCTCATGAGTATTGCGATTCAGAATCAAGTGCTATTTCAAAATAAGGTATTATGATCATTTTTCATTGCCAAGTCTCTCATGGTGTTTTTAGATGTCTCTAAACTCCTTCAGGAAAACCGTGTCTTGGAAGTGCGGCTTACCACTGACTTGAATCCGGTGTAAGCAGATTCCACTTCCCCTCTGTACATGAGCTGGGCACTCAAACGCACATTACAGTTGTAAAGGAGAAAACAAGTGGAAATCCTTCCCCTCTACTTCCTGAGCCCCCTGACTCCCCACAGCCCCGACAGAAGAGAACCCCAGCTGGTGGAGAGCACAGCAGGCTGGGTGGAAGGAATTCTTCCGAATATGCAGGCCTCAACTGCATACAACAGCCAGGAAACAGAAAAGTGAGTCTGATAGCCTATTTCCATGCTGAAAGACTTGACATTCCTATTAGATGTGCATATCTCTTAGGAAAAGAAAAGTGTCACTGAAAAAGAAATATCTGGCATCTCCACATTAAATTCCTGTTTTTTAAACACCCCCGGTATAGACACTTTTTCAAGCAACAATTATTGTGTATCAATACTAAAAAGTAAGCGTGAATAAAATATCACTTTGCACATAAGGCACAAGAATAACATCTATAAATATTTATAGTAGCTAAAGTGATACTATGGGATCAAAGCTTTGTGTTCCATAGGCCAATAAAAGGTTCGAATGCCAGCCTTAAGGTTATCAGCTGTCCTCTCTTAACACTCTCTCTTATGCCAAAAACCAAGTAAGGGATTTGTTTTTCTCCTTAAAGTACTAGATTAATTCTCAGAGGCCATGGGAATAGAACCACAGCTGCCCGAGGCCAATGTGCTAAAGGCCAGTGAAGAGTCAGAGGCAGCTCTGGAAAGGTCCATAGGTCTAGACAACGACTTGCGTGGCCGCTCACCTAATACCTGACCTTTACTGTAGTTTTGGCTGAAATAACAGAAAACAGGTGATTTTATTCATCATCTCAGCAGCCCTCAGCATTCCACCGATTCTCCCCTGTGGACACAAGGGCAGCCTAGCGTACCAGACACCCAGCATCTGCAATTTCCTATTGATAAGGCAACGTGGTCTTTTTTTGGGTGGGGGAAGTGTATTTAACATTTCACACTGAAGATGTAACGGTCATGGGATCTTTTGCACCATCTGGTCTGAGTTAGGTACATGACAATAAAAGAGGCAGTTAATCTATAACAAAGATCAGTAATTAAAAAGAAGGGAGGTCTGGTCTCTGGTCTCTTAGTCATTTACAGAACAAGAACAATGAGGAACAGAGTTCACCTATAATCTAAGAAACAAAACTGCAAACATGTTCATGACTCAGTCTCCAGGACTTAACTTTGCCCTTGACATAATCAATTTAGAGAGTCCTGTAGTTTTATTTTCTTTTACATGTCTTAGCCAACTGACTCATGCTGGGCAAGCTTCACTGGCCTCAGGGGCAATGTGAAGGTAACGTGAGACCCTTCCCCGCCTGGCTGTGGAGAGGCGCTGAGACACCCGGACCCGCACCACGGGAGGCAGCATCAGCAGCACCGCGCCTAGGCCCTCCTGGAGAGCCTTCTTTTCTCTCCCTCACATCTCCACTGCCCTTTCCAGTTCCTTCTGTTCCATGGCTCCATGAACTTCCTAATTCTCAGAGCTCAGTCTTCTGCCCCCTGGGTACCTTGGGGGACACTTTCCCTTCCCTTCTGAACAAGCCTGGAGGACATCTCCTACCATCCGAAGCCTCTTCCGCAATACTCCTTCATCATTAACCCACATACTAGAAACACGTGGGCCATGGACACTGTGCTAGCAGCATCTTCAGTGATAAACTCACTTTTCAAACAATTTTTGGTGCCATGCAAACATTTTTTTAATTACTTAGGAATCTATCTTTCAAGTAATATGGAATTATTTTCCTCTGATAATAAGATGTGCAACTTGACCCCTAAATGAAACACTTAAAAAGAGTCATACATGTAGTGGTAGAAGTTGGCAGAAAGTATTTACATCTTGGCATTCGGCCCTGCCTTCCCTAAGCTGCAAGGTGCAGAGAAGGAGCTCACTCCCTTAATCAGTTTGTGACCCATTTAAATCACATGGCCTCAGTCAACATGGGGGCTTATGTGTAGCACACATTCCTTGCCAAAATAAGTTCTTAGATATACCAGGACCTTATTTGGATAGGATATGCATTTTAAAACACCAACGTGCTCTATTCAAGATCAACCGCTTTGCTTTGTTTCGTTTTAAAGACATAGCTATCTTTCAAGAACAAATACACGGGGGAAGAGCAGCTGCAGCAATTCTGAACCTAGAGATCTGTTCACAACTTAATTAGATTTGGGGTGGCCGGGATTGGGCTGTTCTCATGGATGTCCAGGGCGACGAGTGCCCACATCTGCAAATCCCTTCTACTCGGAACTCTGGGGAAGGATTTGCAGATAAAAGATAATTAGCCAGTACCAGGTTATTCGAGAGTAACAGAGGTTAATGAGGCCACAGCTCAAGTTGCGGCAGTTTTCCGAAGGCAATGGTTTAGGGTGAGGTTGCTGATTTTTCTATCGGAAAATTCACCCAACATCAGCAGAGGTGACAGACACACTTTTCTGTCCAGTTGCATTTAGGCCCTTACTTGATGTTAGGCTGGTATTGCTGCAGGAAAGTTTAGATTAGGTATGAGGAAGACCTTGCTGAGACCACAGTGTAGATGCTGAAAAGCATGTGCCAGAGCAGAAAAGCAGAGTTATCTTTAGGGGTGTCTGAGAGGGGACAGCTTGACTGGGTGACCTTTCCATACGTGCCCAGGAGTCTAGCAGCCTGTACGCAACAGACAGCCTTCTTTGAAAATGTATCGTGGCATTTCTCCTTTGGGGCTCTGCAGTTCACAAAGCGGTTGTGCTGAGTCCGTGTTAAATATTTACCTTATGGATCTTGTTTGTAAATGTCTCTGTCTCCTCTTGATGCAGTCTGGCCGCCTGCACGAGCTGACCCTGTAGCTCCTCTATGGATACACTCTGCTCAGGTAAAACGGGGGGGCCCCTGAGCTGATCGGTGGGATAAAGGAAGGGGTTTAGTGGAAATGAGAACTCTGCCTGAGGTGACGACGCAGGACAGACATCTGCACAAGCTGGGGACGCACACGGAGCGACACAGCATGTGTGGGCACTGCAGCAGTGGAGTGACTGTGGCAGCTCCGCTGGGGCCTCCCTCTAGACTCCACAGCTCCCTGCGTTACCTGGGGAGGGACAGTTCCACCTGCCCTGCATCTCTTACCCAGGAGGGGAGTGGGCAGCTTCACCCACCACCATAACCACAAACCAGACTGAGAGAAGGAAGTCAAAGTACACCAGAGGTGTCCTTGCTCCCACAGTGGCTTCTGGACGCCGGGATGGTCAGAGCCGACTATGACCGAGGCAAGCATGACCACCTATTACACGTCAGCCTCTTGGATTCCTTCTCTAAGTCATGGGGTCTTTCTGTGTTGCATAATTAATTTTTTCATATGCTTTCTTATTAGAGTTTTTCCTTCTCAACCGAGGGTGTCTTTATCAAGGTGGTCTGACACCGATGCTCAGGGCAATAGGGTGGGGGTTCATCAATGAGCAGAGATGCACGGCTTCAGGCCTCCCAACGGCACATGTTGTCTACAGGGAATCGCACAAAGATGTACTTACTACGTTTAAAGACAGGTGGTGGAATCTGTATCATGATTTTTATTGGTAAAGTCTACCTTTTATGTTCTAATGCCATGATAGAGGAGTCAGGCACATGAAATGTGCTTTTTAGAGATGGAAACACTCTTATGCTAAAAATCTCAGGCATCATCGAAATGTAAGCATGACATTTTACCCACTGGATTATGCTACTTGAAGACAGGTGATTTATACAACTGGGAATTAGAGTAGATTGTTGCAATAAAATACGTGCGGTTTCACTGGTTCATTCTGAGTCCCTTTAACTTATCTACTACTTCTCCCTGAGGATACTGTTTGTTCTTCCTAATCGGTACCTGGGTAGTCAAGAGTGAAGATCATACCCAAGAACAGAAAATGCAAAAAATAAAAGAGCAGAGCACCTCCCTTAGTACTGGGGATATGAGAAAGGGGTATTAAGGAAAGAAGAACGGAGACAGAAAATCAGACACTGGGGATTCACCAAGTTCAGCATAAAACTTTGAAAGCTAGAGATTTAAACATCTTATTTTCAAAAAACTCAGTAATTTCTGACAGCATTAAATGCTTCTTTGATTTGCTAGTTGTTTGAGACTACTATAGTCTCTTATACATATTCAGCATTGTTTGGGGTTCTCTGAAAAGATGCATTTCCCTACATGTTGAATTGACCTCAATGACTAATTTTGCATTTCCAAAAGGTCTATTATTTAGAAAATGTGTGGTCTTTTATGATGGTGACATACTCTTCTCCTGTTTGCTTGCCTTTAATAGCTGTGTAGGCACTTATCTGATAGCGTCCATCTGATAATTCTATTACCTGCAGTCTTAGGGTTGAATCCTGCTATTTGCCGTGTCTGCCAACTTGTGTCCCTGTTGGACGTTACTGGCTTGTGTGACTTCATCTCCCAGGGGCACTTATCTATGGATCTAGTATGGATTTGGGTGGAGGATGTGCCTCCAGATTGGTTTCCTGTTTGGTGGAGCTAGCAACATAACATAAATCCCTTTCTTTGGGGATTCCCGGACCAAACTGGTAACATCAATTCAAAGCCTGACCTTGGGTGAGGCCAGCTTCAGTCCTCCCACTCCTGATCCAGAGGCTCATGCTGGGGAAACAAGTATCAGTGCTGCCTCCCTGCTCCCTGCCCTGGGGCCAGCAGGCAGATGCTTCTCTTGTTCATTCATTTCCTTTCTTTCCCTGCAATGTTGGGCCCAGGCCCCATCTCCTGTTCCCTTGGAGCTGCTGAAACCCAAGGCTCCCAGTTACCAGTTCTGGCAACAATCTCCCTAATCCACCCACCCAAGGGCCACAGAGACCACTCTGGTTCTCAGTTCTTTGTTTGCTTGTTTTTTGAGACAGGGTCTCGCTCTGTCGCCCAGGCTGGAGTGCAGTGGCGTGACGTCGGCTCACTGCAACCTCCACCTCCCAGGTTCAAGCGATTCTCCTGCCTCAGCCTCCCGAGCAGCTGGGATTATAGGTACCCACCATGACACCCAGCTAATTTTTGTATTTTTAGTAGAGATAGGGTTTCACCATGTTGGTCAGGCTGGTCTCGAACTCCTGACCTCAAGTGATCTGCCTGCCTCAGCCTCCCAAAGTGCTGAGATTACAGGCGTGAGCCACCGTGCCTGGCCTTCTGGGTCTCAAATCTAAAATCAATTCCAACTCTTGAAGATTCCCCTAAATTTCCTGGGAATTCAGCGATGTATTTAAGAGGATACTTTCTATTTTATGCAGTGTTTTATTCAATATTTATTGAGCACCTCCAGTGCTAGGCATCATCTAAAGCGTGGGGGATACAGCAGTAAACACAGCGGCCACATCTGCCCTTGGGGCTTCCCTCCTCTCTCAGGTGTTCCGTGCAGGACTGTTTCCAGGTCACCTAGGCTGCTCTCCTGCCAGCTTTACTTTCCAGCTACACATTACTCTATAAACTCAAAATGTAAAAATCCTTCTTATTTAATGCATTAGGTGCTAGCCAAAAGCTTTATTAGGTGTAAAAACAGACATCCTAATCAAGCTTATTGTTTAAGAAAAGCAAAGATCTATTAGTTTAGTTTCTATACATTGCATGAACTATTTAGTTTGGTTTTAATTTTAATAAATAATATATATGTTAAGAAGCCATTTTTATCTGAAACAATATATGAAGCTCATACTTCAGTGTCATTGGATTTAAAACGTGCTCTTCTGTTTGAACCACACCTTTGAAGAGTCACAGAAAGGGAGGTCCTTGAGCCAGTTCACTGGGGAAGTCGGACTCACCTACGATGGCTCCAGTGTTGTCTCTGGAGACTGCTGCCTGCCCAACAGCAGACAGGTTTAGATCCTCCTGATTATCAGAAGTTTCATTTTCCTTTATTGTCCATTTTTGCTAATGCAATATTAAAACTCCCACGGACAACTGCCCCTAGCTGGGATGCCAACGTCACTCCAATGTTACAAAAAACAACATACAAAACGTGCTATGGCAAAAGGTTCAGCCTAGAATTACTCTACTGCCACACAACTGCATACAACCACATACATTTGGAGAAAAGTTTCACATGACACATAAATGTCTTCTAAAAAAATAAATATTTCCCTTTACCACCCAATCCCCAAAGGTTTGATTCTAAAAAAAACCCTTTTTTTGTTCACTTACCTAGGATTCTGATTATACATCAAATTCATCTTGATCTCCCTATTAAAGCAGCTTATCTAAACCACCACCACCCTCACTTGTTTCCGAGGCTGCTGAGACACTAGTCTTGACAATTGTAACCATTCTCCCCACGTCAGTGTTCCGGAACTCCCGTCCATGTCTTCCCCAATAGAGCTGCATCCCACACTGATTGACAAAGGCTAACTTCCCTACCTCCAGAGAAAGTGGCTTACAAATTACTTCCCACACTTAAGAAGATAACTTCACAATCTCAAACACAAACAGAAAAGGAAGGCTTTTCATGGCCATCACTAGAGTGCCTAGCAATGCTACTCCTCTATTAGGACAATTCCATCACCATGACCATGGCTTCATTTTCTGGAGGGTTCCATTTTGTCCTGGCCAGTTTTGCAACCACTTATTTCAAAAGCAGTACATGAGGCCAACACATGAGTGCAAATACTTGGCATAAAACCCCACGTAACTTCCTTGTGGCTGGCATTTCACAGCTGAGGCACGTGGGATTGTGAGTGCTTTGTGTGCTTCCTTGATTGAAGGATAAAAGCAGGCACTGAGGAGAAGAGCTCTTTGAGATTTCTGACCCAGAAACTCAATCCTCTGGGCACAGGCCTGGTCTCCTTTATACCTGAAATCTGACCAGCGTCCGTGCATGGCTACTTCTCATTCAGGACTATTTTTAAGGTGCCTCGCACATTCCAAACCATTCTACACACCACTCTCTCTTAACAAATGTGATTGTCTCACATTTGATGGGAACCCCAGGGAGTGAAGTCAGGGAAGAGTCCAGTGCACAGTGTGAGCATCTCGCTAATATCTCCTGAGAAGAGCAGGCAGCAGAAACACTCGTCCTGAAGTGTTTTTTTAGCAGTTCATTTTTGCGTGGTTGCATTGATGTGTCAGTGGGTGTCCGTGGGTTCTGACTTCAGTTTGCTCTGGCTGTGGCTGTTTATAAGAATGCCGGCCTTGGAGAGGCCGCCCCTTTCCCAGGTTTAGTGAATGGTGGTGTCTGAGCAGCAGGGCTCCTCCACTGCCCAGATTTGCAATCTGCTAACATGTGTCATGTGTAAGAATGCACTTCTTTTTCTCCTCTTTAGCGTTACAACTGCTGCTGCTGGTACAACTATGAGTAGTAGTCACAGTTTTGGTCGGGCCAAAATGCCTCAATCTTTCAAAATAATCACTTATCTTCTTTCCTCTTTCCTCAAATATAAAAATCCATAAGGCAGAAGACACAGAGGCATTTTGTAAGTGCAGCTTGAGGAACAAATCCTTTTTCTGCTTAAATTTGGAAAAGTTTCTTCTTTGATGTCGCTGATACTAGGTGTGCTATTGGGCCCCCTCCCACACCCCTGAGGAGCTACGGGCAGAGAGCTAAAGGGGATCCACACAGGTAGAGTCGTGGTTGGCCTGAGGGCAAAATCCGTGGTTATTTCAAGGGAAATGTAGAAGGGAGCAAAGAAAGCTGCCGGCAGGACCTCCAGCTCCAGCCCTGCCTCAGTCTGCATGAAGGTGTCCATGTTGTCTTTCCCCCAGTTAGTCCGGCGGGGTCTGTGTGAGTCTCTGGCCGGGCTGCTGGGCTGACTTATGGGAGCTTTGTGTACTGTTTCCATTAGAGCCTCATGGGAAAGCAATTGTTGGCAGCAAATTCAGGGATATTCTCATTAAAAGGCTTTTAAGAGTTCTGCCCCCAGAATTATCCATTGTACAATTCTTTAACACAATGTCATATTCAAAGACCAAACTAACAAGGCTGTCAGAGTGACATTCACACCAGGGACAGGGCGGCCTCTCCCGACCCAGGCTCTGCGACAGATCCACATCCAGCTTCTCTAATAAAAGGAAGCACTGTGGAGATTCAAAGTGGCTCCAGAACATGCCTTATTAAAAAATAAAATAAAATAGGATGTGTTTGCAGCATAATTGAGTTTTCTTTTCTGTGTGAAATGTCTTTGTGAATAAAAAACATCAGAATGAGGGATGTTTGCTTAAAACTCCTGATTCATACTGCTTCCCCTTCTAGGAAATGACGCTCCCTAGACCTGGCCTTTCACTATGGAGATTTTTAGCTCTCTTGTTAAAATATAGAAAATTAAAAGAAACTAGATGGATGTTTTTAAAAGGTGCCATTCCATGGCAAGACAGCGGCTGTACAATTAGTCGTTAGAGTGACTCTTTAGAAACACACCCAGGGGTCAGTGCAGAGCCGTCCCACTACTGCAGATCAGGCCCCTCCGGGGATGTGCTGGGGAGCGGGGGCTGCAGCTGGCTGGAGGCTGTTCTAGACCCAGTTCTGCCACCAACCAGGAGGAGGGCTTACTGGCAAGCCGCTTCACTTCTCAGGCCTCACTTTTCTCATCCGCAGAATGAGAGACTTCATCTGAAGACCTGCTGTTCCCTTCTGAGCTGCATTGTTTGGAGATCCTGTGCTGTCACATGGCACCAGCTCACTCTGCTAATCTACTTCTTGTGAAGCTTTATTGCTCCTCAGTATTTGGTTTGCTTCAACTAAGTATGCTTCTCTCTCCCAAATCACTCCCAGTTTCTGAAGCTATGCGATGCATTCATGATGGTGACAACTTATCACTGCTCCAGGTTACACAATAAGGACCTAGGAAGAATCCAGGAGGAGAGCTCTCTGACACAGGCTCTAACTGCACACAGCTATGTGTGACACACCTTGAAGGACGGAACACTCGGGAAGGGAGACGCACTTCCTGTAAAACCAGCCATCAAAGGGAAGGGGGCCGCCCTGTGTAGCCGGAGCTGTGGTTCCAGAAACAGCCCATGGCAAAGAAGAAAGAGCTACAGTGGGAAGGGAAAACTGGGCCCCTGACTAGGCGGGCTGTGACACGCTTTCCCCCTTGACAGTCCCCAATGGCAAGACATTGCATTCTCTATTATTCATACTTTACACTGACACAGCATTTGGACTTTTAAAGGTGCTTCCTCATTCAACAGCTCCTCGGGGATCCCCTCTTTCTGTCCCGGGTCGGGTGACCCGCATCTAAGAGCTTTCACTCTTCCAGGCTGCTGACAACACTTCCAACCATGGTCTCTGTGGTGGCTGAAGCCTTGTGTATACCGGGTTACTGTGGTGACAGACACTGCTAGGGGTGCCCACAGGTCAGGAGCGAGCCTCCCTGATTCTACCAACCTGCCAGCAGTGTCACTCGAGACCGTGGGATGGTCACATGAGACACAGGCAACAAAGAGCTGAAAAGGGGAACTCTAAGGAGAGTTTCCTCCAGAGCAGGGAAGCCCGTGCTGGGTTTTCATCCCTTCTTTCTCTGCGACTGGACAAGAAGCCACTGCGCACTCACCAATCAGCCTACTTCCAGGTGCTCCCGGTCTGCGGAAACAGGAGGTGGACAGTGCCTACAGTGAGCTGTCCCTCTGTCTGACGAGCACAGCAGTTCACCGCAGGCACCTGCGCACACCTGCCTGTCCCAGTGCCACAAAATGGGTTTGCTGTCAAGTGAGTTCCACCTAGTTCCACCTCCTCCTGCCATGTTCCCTCAGGGCCTCGTCCGGGACAGAAAACGTCACACAGCCAGCCACACAGAAAAAGGAGGGGGAGGGCGGGGGGGGGGGATTGCTTGCCCACGCTGACCTCCAGGCTGAAGCAGGTCTGGCCTCCCAGCCCGTGGCTCCCGGTGTCCCCGTCTGCGCGGCGGTGCAGCTCCCGCGCGGCTCGGAGGCGCAGGCTCTCCCGCTCGTCCCCTCGGGCCGGCCCGAGCTGCCACTCCAGCTGCTCTTTCAGTCTGGACTGTTAGGTGCACGGGAGGAATTTGTTGTTGTTGTTCTTTAAAATTTTAAACAAAAAAACAAACAAACAAAGGACAAGGGTGGAGGCAGGGAGGGGGGATAAAGAAAACAAAAATGGACAAGGGAGACGACTGAGAAAACGACCAAAGAACAGCACGAACAGAAACACAGGCTTAAAGACAGTGGTGTAAGAAAGTGAAGAAAACAGACCCAAGATGAGGATGAGCAAAGGGGCGGGTGGACACATCTGAAAAGCAAAAAGAGAAAGTGGGGGTGCAAAACACTGGTTACGGGGCACATGCGATGGCGATGCGTGAATCCAGAACTCAACCGCAAGCACGCTACCCGTGAAGGAAACGGAAAACGAGGCTCTTCCTTCCTTACTTGTGGGTCGAGCAGCCAAAGCCACAGTCCAGGGCGGCAGCTGGGCCATGCACCCAGGCGAGGCTAGGACAGCAGTCCTCGGAGACCCTCCGCGCCCTCCCCAGCGGCGGCAGGGCGGCAGGAGCCAGCAGAGCTTTTCCACCAAAACCATCCTTCTCAGCACCGTGCTCCTCGCCCGCTTTGGCTGATCCTCCAGTGGGAGTGGGGGCCTGGGCTGCCTAGGGCCTTGGACTGCACTGTGTCCCTTGAAACACACCCAGGAAGGGACGTGCTCGTTAGCGAGTCTGCTAATTATCCTGACTGTGACATGCGTTTGTCTTAGCCTCCTCACGGCTTCTTCAGCGGGTGGCTGGTTGGTTGAGATACCAAGAGAGGAGCAAGGCCGGCATGCGTCGAGCCCTATCGCTTCCACTGGGCTCAGCCTCGTGTCTGGGAGGGCCTCTAAACCATGAGCCGCGGCGCAGTTAAAAATAAGACAGGAGAAAGGAAAAAGAAACAAGGCAATACAAGAGAACTTAAAAAAAAAAAAAACAAAAAAAACGGAGCCCAACCAAGAGAGAGGATCCGGTTGCCCCGGAGGCTTTAGTACAATGCAGGTTTGAAATCATAACCAAGCAGCCGTGAGCAGCGTGAGCCCGAGTGCAGCAATGCCAGCGAGAAGGAGGAAGAGCAAGGCGGAGCAGGGAGGCGAAGCCACGAGCCCCCTTACCTGCAAGTCTGGGCCCAGCTCCTTCCCCAGGTTCCCGATGGGGGAGTCCCGGGACACGGAAGTCACAGTGGAGAGGAAGCTAGAGGACTCTGTGAGGTGGGGCAAGGGGGATAGGCCATCCCCAATGCGGTTCACCTGCTCCAGGAAGGCCTGCAGCTCTTTCTTGAAAGCCTTCATCTTGGCGTTGATGGTCCCCAGCAGCTGGGGCTCCTGCTGGTCCCCCTCACCCTGCTCCTCTTCGCCCTGGAGGCCAGGCCCCGGTAAGGGCGCACCACCCCGCAGCCCCGCATCATGGAGGAAGCTGTCGGTGTCCGTGATGAGGCGCTCCACCGTCCGCTCTAGCCGCTGGGCCTCGTGTTTTAGGGTCACTAGGTACTCAGAGTCCTCCCGGGCCTTCAGGAGCTCCGTGGGGCATGGCTCGCTGGCCTCCGATGGCTTCCCGCTCCCGAAGCCCGACGTCTTCTCAAACATTTCCTCCGAGTCACTCTCCCCGCCAACAGGCCCTTCCCGCTTGGGCTGGGGCAGGCGGCTCTCCTCCCCATCACTCTCCTTCTTGCCCGCATCACTCTCGGCATCGCTGTCCCGGGGACTGGGGGCACGCAGCCCCAGGTGGGCTGCCAGGTCGCAGCGCTGGATGTTGGACAGCAGCGCGTGGTTCTCGTGCTGCAGTTTGAGCACCTTGCCGCTGAGCTCGCTGATCTGCAGCCTGGCTGACTTCAGCTCCTCCTGCAGGGGGGCCCCACCCCCGGCACCAGGACTTGCACCCTCTCCTAGCCAGCCCGGCTCCCGGGGAGGCTCAAACTTAAACTTGCTGAGCTCGTGGGTCAGTTGCCGGTTGTGGTCTTCGATCTCGGAGATGGACCTCCGGAGCAACTCCGCTTCCTCTTCTACAAACTGCAGGTGGCGGCGGAGCTCAGTGGAGGACTCCAGGGAGTCACCGAAGGGTGAGGTAGGAATGCTGGGTGCGTGGTCCCGACCCGGGCCCTCCCGCTCCTGCTGGCCCCGCATGTCCTCCATCTCTGCCTTGAGGCCACGGTTCTCCACCTCCAGCTCCACGATCTTCCGGCCCAAGATGTTGGCTTCCTCCTCCACCAGCTTTAGCCGCAGCTTCAGCTCGGCCTCCCGGGTGCTGGGGGGCCCGCCTGCTTCCCCCGTGGGCAGGGGACTGTCCACATCCCCATAGAGGGACTTGTACTTCTGGAGCTCCTGCTCCAGCTCGTCCTTCTCCCTTCCTAGCTTGGCCATCTTTTTGCGCATCAGGAAGGCTTCCTCTTTGGCAAACTGGAGCTGGCACCTCAAATCGGCACTGTCATCCTGCCAGGAGAGAACAGCCCGGGAGAAGGGTTATTTGAAAATACCAAATGTTCGTGTTTTTCATGATTCCCCTCACACCTCGCCCCCAATGCACACAAACATCAAACACCGATCTTCCCATCGGTGCCGCTGAGTTACATAGAGAAACAGCCAAGACAAAGCAGAGGTGGGCCCAGGGGCTTTGTGGAGGGGGCCTGTGAAAGGCCTACAGTTTGTTGCTTTGCCACAGAAGCAAAAGAAACAAAAAAAAATTAGTTTGGAAAAAAAAAAGTGCACGTGGAAACCATCATACAAGTTATGGGCAAAGAAGGGAAAACGAAATGAGGCCCAAAACCCAGCGGGAATGCGCAACCCCTCCTTGCTCTCTGGATCCCACCTGGTTACTCACCAGCACCAGTGAGAGACAGCAGGACCCCTCACCAAGGCCTGGTGCAGGCAGACAGGGTTCCACCCTGCTGCACTCACCACCTCCAACGTGCAGACCTCCCTCTTTCAAAGTGGCCCACAATCCACAAGGTCTGACCAGGATGGGGAAGTCAGGCCACCCCAAATGAGAGCTCAGCTTTCCCCTGGTTTCCTAAGGTACCTGAGACAGGGCAATTCGCTTCTCCCCATCCCGGTCTCCCCAGCCCTAATGTCCCACAAGAATGACATGACAAAAACATGAGGTATGAGCATGAAGGTGTTTGGAAGTCCAGGCACGTACTGAGTCAGTACCGAGCTCTGGGTACACACTGGGTACTGCAGACCCAGACACCTGAGCTCCTTGCAGCCTCTTGCCATGCAAGTGCAACTTCAGAGCCTTTACTTACGTTCCTTTCCCTTTAGTTGCTATAACACAGCAGGAAATTAAACCCAGAGACCCAAGGCAAGGAGGTAAGTGTTGGATAGAGTCAAGTGTATCAAAACCTAAGAAGTGTCCTCATAGGGCTTCCAGAGGGTTCTGGAGGATCCTCAAAAGCTGACTCTGCTGTTCACAGCCTGCAATGCTTGGCTGAGGTCAAAACGGCACTTTTTGGGTCCAGTGGAAAGTCAACGCTGCTTTGCAGGGCTGGTCTCCTTGTTTTGAAGCCAGATGAACTCCCCGTTTTGGTTTTGCAAAAACGTTTTACTGTTCACATTCAGCAGATGGGAAAAATAACCGATTTCACGAATCACTCCTCTTTGATCGGCCATCAAAAGTTTCAAAAGGCTTCAGCAAAGGTTTCCCCCATCACACAGAGAAACTGTCAACAACAGCACTGCGGGAGTCAAATCCCACAGCCCTCGTGGAGGAAAAGGCTTCAAACTGCTCTCCAGGCCTGTCGCCCCTTCTGTGGAACAAGTCAGCCCCCGGGGGAGAATTAACTCCTTCGGATCGTCACGTGTGCTCACAATGCAGCTTTTACACTCAGAGAGCATGGCTCGTTCTCTGCCGCAGTCTGGTCGCACACTCATCATTTGGCAGAAAGAGAAATGCCTCCCTCGGCGCCTCCCAACTTTCCTCCTTCCACTCTACCTGGTCCCTCCTTGCTCACCACAAACCCCATGGAAAGGGGGAAAACGATATGACCAGGAAGGCTCAGCCCAACACCTACGACCAAGTGTGCAGCCACTGCCACAGGGAAAGCTTGCCCTGGCGCTATCTGTGCGTCCTCGGGAGGATGACACGCCCACTGTCATCTCTTAGCTGAGGACAAAACCAGGCCTGCTGGACTTGGGGTCAAACATGCTGCCCGGAGTCCTAGCTTTGCCCCTCCTACTGTCTAAGGGACCTGGGCTCATCACAGAGCCCCGGTGAACCTGTCTCTTTGTATCTAAAGCAGGAATGCTCACTTAACCACAACGTCGTTGTGAGGGTCAAATGAAATAATGGTCTGTATATGATAAATCATAAACCTAAAAAGTGTATTTATTATATATAAACTGGTTTGTGTATGATAAATCACCATGCTCTAGCTCCCTGAAATTAATTTTCTTATTTGTCTGAAACACAATTAGTATTGGGTAAAGGAGCCGGTAAAGAGTCTTTTTCCTTCTTTGCACGTTAGGAGAATAACATATAAATGTCACATGGTCTTTGAGTTCTGAGAACTTATCACATGAAGGATTTGGTTGGGTTTGGGTTAGGTAGACATAAAAAGCAATCCTGTGACTAACTTGAAGTAAGGCTGTCTGCCCTACTCACAACTACTGAGGCAAATGGGCTATGCTATCATCGCTGCTGGGGTAATGACGTATTTTTTGAAAGAACCTACACAGAATACATGGGCTGTAAAAGGCATACGTTGTGTTTAATACTAATACTAGAGGAAAAGCATGCTCGTTTATCTGTTCATTCATTCTTTTTTTTTTTTTTTTTTTTTTTTTTGAGATGGAGTCTTGCTCTGGAGTCTGCACTCTGGCTGGACTGCAATGGCGCAATCTTGGCTCACTGTAACCGCTGCCTCCTAGGTTCAAGCAATTCTCCTGCCCCCTGCCTCTGCCTCCCGAGTAGCTGGGACTACAGGAGTGTGCCACCATGCCCAGCTAATTTTTGTATTTTTGGTAGAGATGAGGTTTCGCTATGTTGGCCAGGCTGGTCTCAAACTCCTGACCTCAGATGATCCACCACCTCAGCCTCCCAAAGTGCTGGGATTACAGGTATGAGCCACCACACCTGGCCTTGTTCATTCATTCTTTCAGGAAATATTTATTAAGTACCTAGTATGTACCAGAAGTTGGCATGTTACTTTTAAACAACCCCAGCTTCTTAGAACTTTCAAAAGTACAGCAAACACAAGCACCTTTTCAATTTTTGTTAAACACAGATTTGTAAGAAATCCAAATACATAGACAGGTCTTTGTTGTTCCCATGAAGGAATGGAGTTTAAGCTAAAATATCTATCAATGGAAATGGATTGTAAACACTTAAAAGCTTGGGACCAGAAAACAGGGGAGTGCCCTCAGCCCCATTGTTAACTTGAGAGCCAGTGTCTGTCCATTGTCAAAAATCATCTAAATGATCCCATCTCCACCTCTAAAGCAGAGAAATCCACAGCAGCAGAGATCACAGAGGGCAGCATTGTCCAGCTGCAAGGAAACTCAGCCCCACTCTCCACCCTTCTTGAGCCTGGGGCTCGAGACTGGGCTGGACAAGGTGGGGGCAGGGCCGCCTGCTGTGACCAGCATCCGTGGAAACTTGCAGCTGGTGAGGCCTTGATGTGGTGGAGCCAGTCCAGGAGGTGCAGGCGAGGGGCAGAGTTGCCTGCATGGTGCGGGAAGCTTTTGGCTCAAACAGGCGTGTGGACCAGGGACTCAGGCAGTCCCACTCTGCCTGGTCCCTCCTTGTTCACCACAAACCCCACGGAAGGGGAAAAATGATATGACAAGGAAGGCTCAGGGTAATACGACCAACCCCTGGGGGTCTTCCCCAACAAGTTGAAGTGAAAAATTGGGGAAGGAGGTAAGATCTCTGAAGGGTCCTGAAACACGCTGGAGGTTATACGTGCTTATCTGCACCCCCTCATGCAGGCAGAAGGTCCCCATAGAGCCCTCAAATCACCTTGATTTCTGGAAACCTTCAACCTCACACCATCACCCTCTGTCCACCATCCACTACAAATCTATCATAGAACAATTCTCCTCCGTCTCCATGAACCTAAACCCAGGTCAGTTAAAGCAGCAAGATCCTATGACATACTCTAACAAGGGTCAATTTGTAGATTACCTGAGGATTGATAAAATGTCCAAAACGTCTTCTCGTTCCTTAAAGAAAAAAGCTGTCAGCATGACAGCATGCTGTCATTTCTACTTAACAACCACACATGCACTATGAGGCCTGCCACCAAGACTAAAGCAGGGTTTGAAAGAAAGACTGTCCTGGAAGCCATGGGAGAGTGTATATTAAATGAAGGAGTCAGACGTCTTCCGTGAGGTCGAGGCAGCTGGAGCAGGGCCCGCTGCACCTGCCGGGTGTTGTGTACAGGAGAGGGGCGGCCTGAGGGAAGCTGAGCTCGGCCTGTTCTGAGTAGGGGAAGCCACTCCTTCTCATAAGATGTGGAATCACAGCTTCAGCTCAGGCAGCGGGAGGCTGGATGCCCATCTTATCTTGTAACCGTAGACTTCTTAAAACTCTGCCAAGAGTCTAGCGGAGGCGGGGGTTCAAGGCCGAGTCTAAACTGAAGCATATCATTTCTGGTTTCGAGAGATCATTGGATAGCCCCAGGAATGTGGTATGAAAGTAGGTCAAGTCCAACTTTCCATATGACACACGATTCCTGTTGCAGGCAGAGGGCAGGCATGGCCAGGAGGGGAGACACCCAGGGGCCCACCACCATCACCACCAGCGGGAAAGGCCTTGTCAAGCAACAGAAATATATCGCTCTCTGTATATATTCTTTGGCTTGCAAGTCAGCCGTCCAGCCAGCACCCTGAGCGGGTGACTGCCCACGTGCCTACCTTGCGCCGGGGCGCCAGCTTCCTTTGGGTTTTGGTTGCGGGCCTGCAGTTCCCAGGGCGCTCCATTCCACCATTCTGCTGAACAGAAACTCCTTCCTCAATAATCCCACCGGCTGGGTGGGCGGCTCAACGCATCCCAGGTACCAGGGTTTCTGACACGCGCCCAAGGAGCAGCAGCTCCTGTTCCTGGCCTGTTTTACCCTCAGGGCGAATGCAACTCCATGCTGTTCATTTCACAATGGGGCAGAATTTCCCCTTTTAAGGAAAAGATCTTCCCTGGGCAAGAGCCAGTCAACTGAAAACACTCTCAGCCCAGAAGAGTATAAGCACCCAGCAACGGGATGGCAGACTTTAATTTCCCTGTTATTAATGGATTCCAAAATGAGACTGGGAGGTTGGGGAGGGTGGAAGGGAACAGTTGAGCTTTCTGCTGCTGCAGGGGCCTGCCCCCCCTTGAATGATGCCCTGGGGATCAGTGAGTTTGGAGAATGGAGAAACCCAGGGGATCCTTCAGAGGGGAATTCACAGGGACAGGGCTGCAGGAGGTCGGTGGAGGTTGCTGAGCTCTTAGTTACCCCGACTCATTGTGTCTCTCTAATTACTACTTGCTCTCAGAGTGCAGTGAGCTGATATCCCAATAACACCTTTGTTCTCTCCACCACCTAATGCTAGCAGCAATTTAAAAACAGAATCCAGTAAAACAGCTTTACAGAAAAGCTAAGAAAGTTTTGAAGAATACATACTGTGCATCTAGAAAAGGCTGAGAATATTTTACCTTCAATTAGGACCATTCAAGATATCGTTCAGCTTGCACATTTAAAAAACAACAACATTCAAAACAATGTCTTATGAATGACTCGACACCACAGTGGCTGTTTCATTTCACTGTGTGGATGACTTTGAAGGTCAAAACACTTTTTACCATTTATAAGTACTGTCAGGCCCCCAAACTACACTTAATTCTGTTTTACACAAAGCCAGTTCTTTTTCCTGAAGAAATCACCAGCTTGTCAGCGTGAGGGAGAAACAAGAGGGAGGAGCTGTGGGTTTGCAAAGAAAATGTTCACACTGTGGAGGTTAGGAATGAGTCCACGTGTTTGGGCAGGTAATGTTTCTTTGGATGTTTTAAAGGCAAAGCTAACACTTACTGAAAAACATTCAAAATGAGTTGACTTCACTTATAGGAGATGTAACATTAGAATGAAAACCTCTGCTTACCTGGTTAAAGGTTTTCTTCTCCTTGTACATTTCCCGAGTGCTTCTTCTTTTTAGGGAACTCTGAAATAGATCCAAGTGACATTCTGTGACCAAGGGCTCACACGTGATAGCCAGCATTAGCAAACATCGTCCCCATGGGTGGGGACACACACACTGAACGGAGGCTGTTTCCCACCAGAATCAAGAAACAACTTGTGTAAATTTGTTTCTTGCTTTAGAATCAAGAAGCATCAATGTGTAAATGCAGTTGGAGAAGTTAGATGAGGTCTCTGAATCTTAAGATTCTTAAAATCCTAATTATTGTATTTGGGGTATTCCTTAAGTGTTCAGTTTAATGAAAAAGGAGAGTGGCTGGGATAACTTTAACAGTGCAGAGAAGGCAAGAAGAAGAGGAGAAAGGCAGGAAGTTTGGGAAACAGATAACTCATATTTCTGGAGCTGGTTCACGTTCCAAATCATGTTTTGTTTGGGCTAATGTGAGAATTAATTGGTGTTTCCTGGCCAGGTGCAGTGGCTCATGCCTATAATCCCAATGCTTTGGGATACCAAGGCGGGAGGATCACTTGGGGCCAGGAGTTTGAGACCAGCCTGAACAACAGAGTAATAAGACCTTGTCTCCACAAAAAAGAATTTTGTTGTTGTTGTTTTTTATTTGAGATGGAGTCTCACTACTTTGTCACCCAGGCTAGCGTGCAGTGGTGTGATCTCAGCTCACTGCAAGTTCCACCTCCCGGGTTCATGCCATTCTCTTGCCTCAGCCTCCCAAGTAGCTGGGACTATAGGCACCTGCCACCACGCCTGGCTAATTTTTTTTGTATTTTTAGTAGAGACGGGGTTTCACCGTGTTAGCCAGGATGGTCTCAATCTCCTGACGTCGTGATCCACCTGCCTCAGCCTCCCAAAGTGCTGGGATTGCAGGCGTGAGCCACCACGCCCAGCCACACAAAAAATAATTTTTAAAAACTTAGCTGGGTGTGGAGTCATGTGCCTGTAGTCTCAGCTACTAGGGCGACTGAGGCGGGAAGATTGTTTGAGTCCAGGAGTTCGAGGCTGCAATGAGCTATGATCAGGCCTATAGCCATGTACTTTAGCCTGGGCAACAGAGCAAGACCTTGTCTCAAAATAAATAAATAAATAAATAAATAAATAAATAAATAAATAAATAAATAACTAGTGTTTCCTGAGTGGCCAGATAAAAAGTGGTGTGAAGGAAGAGAAGGGCGGCCCTTGTTTACAGAGAAAACCTAACTAGGTTTTGAAATTCTCAGGAAACCCACTCCAACTCATGGCTAAACCTCTATCTTAAAGATCTTACAAAGCTCATAACTTATTCCCATGTGAAATGAAGGCCTTGGCTGTGTCCTTCAGTGCCTGGGAACCCTGCCTAGTTTTACATTATAGACAAGAAATTGCAAATACATCTGAAAATACAAACAGGAGTATGAGTGAAGGGGCCTAGAGGTGTCTGCAACAGACCAACTGGGAGATATGCCAGCTCCTGCAAAGGGAAAGTGTGAAGGCAGAAAGAAATGAGGAGTGAGAAGCATCCTAGAGGAATATGAAGGGATTTGTAGCCTCTTAATCTGCAAAGATTAAGTTAATCCTGAGGAAAGCTAGAAGGAAGCAGGTGGGGAAGCAGAGCTCTGCCGGCCCCAGACCTGTCAAGGCAAGCCTGCGAAAGGAAAGAGACTGTCCCCAACGCCCACCTCCCTCCCCTCTGCAGTTCCACCTCGGGGTCCAGGGCCTCATCTGAGGTCTGCTCAGAGCCCTGACTCTCTCGGCTTTATTCCTGGGTGCCCACCCTGTATCAGAAGAGTTTGCAAAGGAGGCTCTATGCAAGTCCCTTACATCGCAGTTAGAACTTAAGTTCATTAACTCAGCACTGTTCACATTTTAAGTGCCTCACTCTCAGAATGCCAGCCCTTGCCATTTGTGGGAAGAATCCTAGGTTAAGAAACAGTTAAAATTCTAGCTGCCCCTGAGCCTCTAGGAGGCTGGAGACCCGGAAAATATAAAATAGATAACTGAGAGAAGGCCCTCCGAGCAGAGGGCTGAAGAGGGTCACAGAATCATCATGGAGCAGGGGCAGCAGGCTCCCTGACTAACAAAGGTGGAAGGAACCCCAGCTGCAGAAGGCTTTATTTCCTTTAGTCTTTTTGGTAAAGTGGGTCACACTACAAAGAGAACCAGTATCCTCCAACAGGTAAAGGTAAGCCTGTCTTAAAGACAGCTTGAGTTTCTCCACCCTTAATAAGGAAGTTCCCCAAGATTTCTACCTTCATGCTTCAGTTAAGAAGTTTCTTTTGTTTTGTTTTGTTTTGAGACGGAATCTTTCTCTGTCGCCCAGGCTGGAGTGCAGTGGTGCAATCTCGGCTCACTGCAACCTCTGCCTCCCCGGTTCAAGCGATTCGCCTGCCTCAGCCTCCCCAGTAGCTGGGATTACAGGTGTGCACCACCATGCGCAGCTTTTTTTTTTTTTTTTTTAGTAGAGACGAGGTTTCACCATGTTGGCCAGGCTGGTCTCGAACTCCTGACCTCAGGTGATCCACCTGCCTCAGCCTCCTAAAGTGCTGGGATTACAGGATTGAGCCACCGTGCCCGGCCAGAAGTTTCTTTTATTTGAATGAGCTGAGTGAGATAAATCCTGATGAATCAGCAGGCTCTCTCCCAAGCTTTAACCTAAGGGACTTAATTCCAGGGCTGTAATAGCGATCAGGGCCCGCAGTGAGGGCAGAGCCTGCTGTCCCTGGCTTTCATCACATTCTCCCAATGTACGCACTGAAAGAAAACTAAATGAAGTAAAATGAAAGCTAGAACTGGAGACAAAATCTACGCAGAATCATGGGCTGCTGCAAATGAGGCTGGTGGCTAGAGCACATTCTGGGTGGGAGCCCTTGGATGGACTCTTCTAGCCACCCCTACCCCATGTGTCCCTTCCCCTTGCTTATGGGCTGTCAACTGTAGCCCTGAGTCCTGCCATCCTCCTAGCAAATCACAGAACAGGCAGGGAGTCATGGGACACTCCTCCTCCATTCACAGACTCCATTCACAGTGGCAACTAGAATGAAAAACACTGCAAGGGTTAAAGTTTTAAAGTTAACCAGAGGCCAGGGGCGGTGGCTCATGCCTGCAATCCCAGCACTTTGGGAGGCCGAAGTGGGCAGATTACTTGAGGTCAGGAGTTTGACACTGGCCTGGCCAACACGGTGAAACTCTGTCTCTACTAAAAATACAAAAATTAGCTGGGCGTCGTGGCTTACGCCTGTAATCCCAGCTACTCAGGAGACAAAGGCAGGAGAATTGCTTGAACCCGGGAGGTGGAGGTTGCACTGAGCTGAGATGGCGCCGTTGCACTCCAGCCTGGGCAACAGAGTAAGGAGAAGGAAAGAAAGAAAACAGAAGGAAAGAAAGAAAAAGAAAAGAAAGAAAAGAAAGAAAAGAAAGAAAGACCAGAAATTTGCAGAACCTGTATAAAAGAAACCATAGAACATTGAAGATCAGCATAAAATAATGCTTAATGCTGCCTAATGGGAAGACCTTGTAATAAAGACGCCATGTTTCTTCCAAACCATTTTGTAAGCATGATGTCATTTTAACCAAATTCCTTAAAAAAAAATACACACACACACACACACACATTCGAAAAGAGTGTGTGTATGTGTTTGTGAGTGTGGTAAGAATGGACAAAGTAATTCAAAAACTCATCAAGAACAGAAGTTGGCGAACCATGGCCCTCAGGACAAATCAACCCACAGCCTGTTTTGTAAACAAACTTTAATTAGAATACAGCTTCATTTATCACTGTCTATGGCTGCTCTCCACTGCGAGGGCGGAGTAGAGCACTAGTGACAAACTGTTGGGGCCTGCAAAGCCTCAAACTACTTTGCTGACCTCAATTTAGAAAAATAAATTGGTGAAAATTGCCAAGAACACTTTGAAAAGGAAAAATAATGACAGTATTTGTGCTATTAGATATAAAAATTCAATACAATGGTTCGGTGCTGGTATAAGATAGACAGATTAATGAAACTAAATAGAAGGCTCAGAAATAAAGAATATATGAGATTTTAATAATCAATACAGGTCATATTTTGAACTAGTGAGGAAAGGATGAACTATTTGGTATGTGTTGGTGAAACAACTAAACATATTGTGAGATCAAAAAAGGTGAGACACACACTATATACAGATAAATCTTAGATGAATTAAAATTTTAGATGCAAAAAAACATACAAGGAACGAGAAAAAAAAGATGAATTGATGTGTGTTCTTTATAAACACAGAAACAAAAGCAGAAACATCCAGAGAAAAGATTGATAGATTGGTAAGATTTTTAACTTTTAAAAAGAATACATCAAAAGAAACCACTTATAGTATTAAAAGGCAAATGACAAACTGGAAAAAAGATTTTTCTAACACGTGACAGACAAAAGAGTAGTATCTTGCAAGCAACAGAAAACACATCTTAATAAAATAAACAAACGGCCAATAAACACAATTACTGACAATTAAAACAAGATTTTTTTTCACTTAGACATTTATAGACTCAAAAAAGTAGGGCACTCAGTGTTAGCATGAACCCAGGGAGACGGGCACTTCTGTGCACATGAAGGGGCATGAGAAACCCGCAGCATGGCAGGGGGTGCAGGGGGATGGTGGTGCAACTTGGCCTTACAAAGGCATAGGTTGAGAGGTGTAATTCCACCTCTGAGAACATACCCTAAGGACAAGAGACATGCACCAAGATTTATAAATGAGAATACTCTTCACCGCACCTTCTATCATCGTGAGTGAGTACTATGGAGGTATTACAATTTTTTCCTTTTATTTTATTGTATATATTTAAGATACACAACATGATGTTTTGATATGCTCATCTCAGAATACACATAGTGAAATGATTGCTACAGTTAGGCAAATCAACATAACCATCATCTCATACAGTTACCTTTCTTTCTTATTATTTTTATTATTTTATTTAGGGTTAGCATCCCTAAAAGCTATGCTCTTAACAAATCACTAGTACACAATACAATAGGACTCATTATAGTCCTCATGTTGTATACTATATTTCTAGACACAGTCATGCTTTTGAAGACTATTTAAGGATATAGGAAATGCTCATAATACACTATAAAGAAAATACAGGTTACAGACAGCATATATTTAGTGATCTCAAAATGCTTAAAATATATTTATATTTAAGATATAACATACTTTTTATGTTATATACATAACATGTATGTTTATGTTAACATACATATTAAATACTAATATATAACACATATATATAACATAATAATATATAACATATATACATATAAGGAAAGTGGCCTGGAGCAGTACACCCCCAAATGTTAATGGTCATCATGTTCAGGTGACAGAATTATTAGTGATTTTCATTTTCTTTCTTTGTGGCTTTTCATAAATGATCTACAGTAAGTACTATTTCCTTTAAAATGGAAAAAAAAAGGTCAGGAAAATAAAACTTGTATTTTAAAGACGTCAGAGAAAAGAGACTATCACAGATCTCCTATGTGGGATTGCAATGACAATTCAATGGAAGTTATTCACCGATTTCTTGGGTCTCTTCCCACAAGCTGATATTGTTTTCATCAGCTTGGTCCTTCGAATATAGCCTATGCATATGTGGTTGGTTAAAAAGACCAGGAAGCCCCCTGAGGGTTGGGGAAACTGGCCAGGTATCCCACTGCATTACACAACTCCAGGCATATGGTCCCCTGGCCAAGTGCCAAGCAGTCATGAGGAACAATCACTGTGCCTCCAAGCACAGAGCCACGCAGGCTCCTCAATGGCCACCTGCCAGGGTCTCGTCCAGTGTAGCGTGCTAGATGCCACCGGACTCTGGGTGAAGTGTCCACGGGTGCAGGACAATTTGCGTGTACATTAGTCATGCCCAGTTTATTCCTCTGGATGCCTCAGAGAGCCAGTGGAGAGTCTCTTCCAAGGAACAATGAAGGGAACAGGTAAATGCAGACTATTAAATAACAGGAACCCCCCCAGTGGGGGCTTTGCCTGGTGACTAATTCTACTCCCTCCTTTTAGCCTGATCAATTGCCAGCAAATCAATTGCATATTCCTACTGAAAAGAAAAAAAAATTAAGTTTGTGAATCCAAATTGAATCCATCTAAAGCTGATGCCTTGCTGAGTACTGAAAATGATTAAATAAAATATGAAGTTAGGCAATTATTTGGACTTTCATGTCAATTCTTAATGCTTCCTATTTTAAGTTGGCCAATTTCTTCCACACAATTTCAGAAAAATTAATAAGCTCTCAATTGCTAAAGTGTGTCAGAGACAGACTTTGAAAGTCTAAATTTTTAAAAAATTTAGATTGGTAATAAAAGGAGACAAATAAAAATTAGGATGCTGTAAATTATAAGTCAGTATGGGAACGAGGATGTAGATGCAGACTGATAATTTTCAGAATTCTTACAGATTCTTATTATTTAGAAAGTTTGTAGGTTTTTGGGGGGTAGTTTATAAGACACACAGGTATAAAACCAGATTAAGGAAATGAAGGTGCAGAGGTCTTCTTCTCCCTTTTAGAAGGAAGTTATTAAGATTCCTTTACTCATATTAAATCGGTCATGGGAGCTCACGCCTGTAATCCCAGCACTTTGGGAGGCTGAGGTAGGGGGATCATTTGAGGCCAGGAGTTCAAGAGTAGCCTGAGCAACATTGCGAGACCCCATCTCTATCATATAAAATAATTTTTAAAAAAAGATTATTTTACCCATATTAAAGTTGTCATTTAAGTGCCAGAAGATGTGAAGGATGCGAATTAATTAGCCTCTCGTTCAGCCACGGGCACTATGTCCTGGCTGGAAGATGCCTCCTCCCCCTTCCTCCTGTTCACTCATCCCTTTATTTTATTTGTTTTTATTCTAAATATTATGCCATAAGAGGTATTATTTATTTATTTATGTTTTCACCTATCCCTTTAATAGTTCCGGGGAGCCTGCTTCCTTTCACACCATGGAGCTGCTTGCTTCACCTTGCACTGGAATTACACAACAGGACCCAAAAAAACAAATCCACTTCTCAGATCCAGTGGAAAACCCTCCTTAGCAATAATGCAAAGGAAACCCTTTCTCCTTGGCCTTGTTAAGAGCACAGTGATGATAATGATATTAACAACTACCATATGTGTTGGGCACCCACTCATGCCAGGCACAATGCTAAACTCTCTTTACACATCTGTTATGGACTAAATGTTTGTGTCTCCCCAAATTCCTATGTGGAAGCCCTAATTCTCAACGTGCTGGTATTAGAAGTGAGGCCTTTGGGACGTAACTAGGTTGCAATGAGGTCATGAAGGTGGAACCCCCACAATGGGATTAGCGTCCTTGTAAGACGAGGAAGAGGCACCAGAGCTTCCTCCCTCTGCCACGGGAGGATTCATCGAGAAGGCAGCTTTCTGCAAGCCAGAAAGAAGGTCCTCACCAGAACCCAACTCAACCCTGGACTCTGAGGCTTCCAGAACTGTGAGAAATAAATGTGTTCTTTAAGCCCCTAGCCTGTGATATTTTGTTACAGCAGCCCAAGCTGACTAAGACAATATCTAATCTAATTCAATCCTGTCAAGAGTCTGGGGAGGCATATGTTATTACCACTGAGTAACAGACAAGAAAACTAAAACACAGTCAAAAGTTGGGTAATGTTTCAAGATCCCCTAAACTTGGAGATGGGCCACCAACCTGGGCCCAACCCTAAGCCTACATTCAAGGTCACAGCCCTCAGACCCTCAGAGCTACCTTCCAGGACTCTCATAGCCCAATCGCCCATATTTGGGCTGTTTTCTGGTTTCTTAGCCCCAAATTGCCAATTTTTCTCATCCAAAAAATCTTTGCCTTTCTTTAGCAAAAGAGCACAAAGGACTATTATAGGAATGGTTACAAGTTGCTACATTCGCAGGTGCTGCATGGCTATGAAATAATATTTGTTGGCACTGATGATTTCTCAAAGGATCTGAGGCTGCAGACAGCAGAATTCCTTATTTGGAAAAGTAAGACAGAAAACTATTATTAGAGGACAAATGTTATAAGTAAATGAGGGAAAGAAGAGGAAAATTACATTGAGACACTTTGGCTAAAGAAGAGTGGGGCCATGAGCCAGAGCATGGTTCAGGATTCCCAGCATCCAAGTCAAAGAGTTTGGGAAGGCCCCAAAGGCAACAGCCTGGCCAGCAAGTGGAAGGTCAGGGTCACCAGGCCACCTGGGATGGACACAGATGCCCAGCACACCCCCTAGCAAATGCCACTTTCTCCTGCACATGCAAACTCGGGAACATGACATACATTTGCTTTGCAATATGAGCTGGTTGGCTCATTTTAACCTTTGTGATATGTACCTTGAAGCCTAGTTTTTGGAAAAAACTAGGTATGTTTTGGCTAAAACATACTATCACATAGTACTCTGAACCAAACATTGCAAAATAAACTAAATCAAAGGTAATAAAGTAAAACTGTAAATTATAACTACAGTGCAAAGAAAAATTGTAACTGATGACCATGACAAAACCATAATGATGACTGCACCAAAAACAAAGTATCCTTCCCCCAAACTGCAAGAATCCCAACTCTGTGCACATCCATGCTGGCACTTAGCAATACCATGGAGCATAGTAGGAAATATGGAATCAGAATCCTACATTTGAGAAACCCCTACAGATGGGCCCTTGGGCATTTATAAAAGTTGAAAAGTCTGTAGAAACATGACATTTGCCTGTCAGACTGAATATAAGGCTGTGTCTTTTAGAAAATATTCTGTTCCTGGCCAGGCGCGCTGGCTCATGCCTGTATTCCCCGCACTTTGGGAGGCCAAGGCGGGTGGATCACCTGAGGTCAGGAGCTCGAGACCAGCCAGGCCAACATGGTGAAACCCCATCTCTACTAAAATACAAAAATTAGCTGGGCCCACGTGCTGATGCACACCTGTAATCCCAGCTACTCGGCAGGCTGAGGCAGGAGAATTGCTTGAACCTGGGAGGTGGAGGTTGCAGTGAGCCAAGATCGCGCCACTGCACTCCAGCCTGGGTGACAGAGCGAGACTCCATCTCAAAAAAAAAAAAAAAAAAAAGAGAAGAAAAGAATCTGTTCCCACCTCTGCCATTGGTCTAATGGAAGGAAATCTACCAGTCCATCAAGAGAGGCAAATTATTTCCTAGTTTCATGAAATAAAGCAAGAGAGTTAGAACTACTTTGAAAACAAAACAAAGCTGAAAAATCATACAAATAAATGATATATTAAAATGTTGCCCTCTTTTCAGAGAAAACCCATCATCAGTTTTTCAGATGCATGTAATGTGAAAAAATATTTAACTGTCAAAGAGCACATAGGAAAGTTCTGAGTTACTCCTCATACTATTTTATATTAATCTGCCAACATACCCTACAGACCCTCTGATTTGACTTTAAGTATGATTCTAATTATAGAGTACACCATTACAGTAGTAAAACTTTGTATATACAGTTGTCAAAACTCAGTGAATGTGAACTAAGATCTGTGCATTTCTGTCCACGAGTTTACTCAAAAAAGATATAAACAAAAATTTAGCTCTAGTTAACAACATGTATTTTGGAGAAAGTGAATAGGCATCTACCATTTATTTTCAAATGCACCAAAAAATACGATGGGTAAATGAATAAAAAGATGGGTAGACAGACATGTGATAAACCAAGTATAGTACAATGTTAACATACAGTGTGAATGGTGGGGATAACAGGTGTTTTCACTACAGAACTCTTTTTGCTATCTGTTTGAAAATTTTCAAAATAAAATGTTGGGAAGAAAGAAATCAGGCACATAAATTTTCATTTGCACTAAAAGTTAATATAATATTGTGTAGCCATTAAAAATCGTGATTACTAAAAAATTTTAATGACAAAATTTTTCATAAAACATTCACCTTTTAAATGTAGGATTAAAAATATATACTTAATATCATCTCAACAAGATTAAATATTTTTGTCTTGGAAATGTTTGGAAGCAAATACACTAAAACGCTAACAGGTCTTATCAATGGGGAATAGAATTATGGATGACTTTATGTTTTTGTTTATAGATTTTTTTTCCATTCCCCCAAATAGTCAAGATTAATTTTTTTTTTTTTCAAATCAGAAAGGTTCTCATTTTTTAAGGACAATGGAATTGACCTAGCGTAATGCAAACATCCCACACCTCCATTAAACCTCTGCTCCGCCTCACCTGGAAATGATGGACAAGACTGATGGACCCCGGGTACTCAAGTCAGACAGAAATGAACAGGAGATTAAACTGCAGGATTAACCCCCAGGCAGGATTAGCTCTGTGCCACTGGGGATCATCAAATACATCTTTGTGCAGAGGACAAAGTAGGGCTTAATGTATATTTGAGGACAGTAAATGAAACTCTGAAACCCTAATTGCCTTCCCAGGCTTAAGGCTTCCTATCCAAGAGACTCTTCCACTAGGGAGGCCTAATAACACCCTGTCCGACTTACTGACCCATACCTGCCTAGGATCCTTGCTATCTGGAGCCACTGCTTGGTTCCATAAATCATCTACTAAACTGTGCTGAAATATCAAAAGCATCACTGGCTAGCATTACTCCACAAAAGCTACTGATGCCCCTTGGGCAAATCTTCAGCAATTCTCATCTCCAAGCACTGGCAGCTAGGATCCCTAGCTCTAAGCCCCAGGGCACAATACTTTAAGTGATTCAAGAGGAGGGGGTAACTTTCTGCTCCATGATCTCATGATTCTTAAGGAGCAAAAACCCTCCCTCCTCCATCAGCCTCTGCCACTGTCCTGGAAACTACAGATTATTTAATTAGGCAAGAGCAGTGAAAGCTGCAGGGAGAGGCACAGGATGCAACCTGCTCCTACAACAGGACAAACCCCTGGAGGCTAGAGAGCTGCTCTGAGGCTGCGGAAGGGGCTGGCCAGCCCTGGTCTTTGAGGTGGGTCAGCCAGTGAGGGCTGGGAATGAACAAGCTTCCCCTAAAAGGCAACCTGGAAACATAAGAAAATCACCAAAGAACAATACCCAGCCCTTGGACTAAGGATGGGCATAGGGCAGAACAGAGGGAGGGAAGTCCCAGCTGCACCTGCCCACCCTCAGCTCTGTCCTGCCCAGCCCTCTCCCAGGAAGGCGGCTGGGCCAGGGCTACAGCTGGGAGCAGGCATTCAGCAGAAAAACAAAACAGCCATGGTTTCATGTGATGAAAACCAAAGAAGTCAGTTTGATTATCTCTGGTGCTGTCTGGAATGAACACACAGGCTAAGAAAGTTAACACCCTCAACTGTCAATATCTCTGCTAGTATATTATATTTATGAGACACAACATTGCAGACAATGTTGAAAAGCAGGATCAGTTGCCAGAGCTGGTGTTTTCACTGCAGCCTTTCAACAGCTAAAGCTATCGTCTGCAAGTCCCCACTGGGGCGCCCCAGGCCCCAGCCTCTGATGCAGACCAGGGCACAGAGCCTACACAGTGTCCCTGCAGCAGCCACGGCAGAGACAGCTGCTCCTTTCTCCCAGACCTCCGACAACTCATGCTTCACCTAGTGGGGAGCTCGGTGGATCAGCTCACACAACAGGCGCTACATGGAGGATGATGGAGGAGGCCTCATGAGGCATCATTCTTTGGCACACCCTGCTGAAACGCAGGCCTGGAGTGCTCATTAACCACGCCTTTCTTGTGTGCAGCATCCGCTGCGTGCTTTTAAAACACATCAATCTCATGTTTTGTCTTCTAAATGACACCAATCTATGACCAGCTTCTCACATCTGAGAAAATCCAGATGTTGTTGGATCTTTATCTGCAAGCTATAAAAATCCAGAAGACCTCCTGTGGGTACATAAGGGTGAATGTGTGCATTATTCAGACTTGTGGCAGCATTGTGTCGGGATGGCTCCTCCTGGGGCTGTCTAGATCCATTTGTGCAATCAGGCTGGACTCTAATGGTTTCTGAGTGGACAGAAGGAAAGAGGCCCAGTCAGGGAGCTCTGTTTGCTGGAAGCTCTGCCTGCTTCCTTCTTTGATGTGGCTGCTCCCTGCTGGGACAGACCTCACATCTCCCAGGAGCCCGCATGACTACTTCTGTTCTATCACTGTTCCAAGGATGAAAGTACATGTCCCGGGTCCTTCTAATGCTTCGGTTCTCGATTTTATTATTCAACAGAATCACTCCCACCCAAAAGAGAAGAGAGAAGCTTCCTTGGAGGAAGCATGGGAGGAGTGGCTTGCCCGAGTAGCTGCAGCACCCTCCTGTTGGCACTTCCATCCCTCGTGTGGTTGGGTCCACTTCTTCCCGAGGACGGGCAGTGTGAGGCACTAACCCAGGAGAAGATGGAGGTGTGCGAAGGTTAAGTGACTTGCCCAAGGACTTGTGGGGGAGGAGGCTCTTGCTCTAGGGTGCTCTGCTTGCCCATATCACAGCTGCCTCTGGCGCACACGCAACCAGGCCACCAACAGTGCAGGGACTTGGCATGGAGGTACTTTTGCTCTTTCAATCAGTCGTCTGTTCAGCCAGTCATTTCTTGCCCCTTGGGCTCACTGGGGCAGAGCGTGAGTGTGTCTCTGGCATAGTTGCCCCAGCTTTTCATCTTCCTTCTACCTCCACCCCGCTCACAGGCTGCATCAACCTTCCTAGGGCACACAGGCCTGCTGCCACGACATTTATCCTGAGGTGCAAATGTGCTTCAAAAAACTAACTGGTGTTCAGAGAAGGAGCCACTTGGAGATCAAGCAGCAAATGGCCTGCAGGTAGGCGAAGGCCAGGGGAAGAACCTTCCTTCATCCCACCGGGTATCAACTCACTTGTTCTTCTTGCCACAAGTTCAAGCTTTGAGGCAGCCCCATGGTGCCCTAGTCACATACCTACATAGGCCACTATTTTGTTTTGACTCTTCCGGGCATTTTATTTCTTCTCTTTTTATCATTGGGAGTAATTGCACCTGTCAGTGCCTCTCAGAGTTAACTGTGTAATTTTAACTGGTTTTTAAAAGCCTCCATGACAATGCCTTTAGAAAAACTTTGAAAATTCAAAGTATAGTTTGTTTTGCATTGGATAATGCACTTTACTCCAAAGTTGACCCAACATCCTTACAAAGTCTCAGTTGTCCAGCAACCATGTGAAAGTGCCCAGGCTACGTGGGTAAAAGGGAAAGGTGAATTAAGGACATGGATGCTCACATCCAAATCCAGGCATATCGAGCCAGCCTGTGGTCTCAATTTCCTTATTTAAAAGTGGGGGGCGGGGGCAGGGGCCAGGGCCAGTGGCTCATGTCTGTAATCCCAGCACTTTGAGAGGCCGAGGCAGGTGGGTCACCTGAGGTCAAGAGTTCGAGACCAGCCTGGCCAACATGGTGAAACCCTGTCTCTACTAAAAATACAAAAAATTATCCGGGTGTGTGGTGCACACCTGTAATCCCAGCTACTTGGGAGGCTGAGGCAGGAGAATCACTTGAACCCGGGAGGCAGAGGTTGCAGTGAGCCAAGATTGCACCACCGCACTTCAGCCTGGGCAACAAGAACGAAACTCTGTCTCAAAAAAAAAAAAAAGTGAGAATAGTACCTTCCTTATATAAAGCATTCTTTTAAAGATCAAATGAAGTAATTTGCTTAACAAGTGATAACCATAAAAAGCAATATTACCCTGCCAATTATGATTCTCTTCTTGTTTAATATTTTCAAGTCCTAATCACCCCCTCCTTTTTTTCAAAGTAGAAAAAAAGACCCACTATTAATCATTTTGGCTTTCTTCTCTCTCTAGGAGAAAAACCAATGTTTAGAAAACAGGCTTTTTCACTCTGCATGGAAAATGTGTGTTTGAAGTATGAACTTTTTCAACTGTGTGATTTCTATATATTCTATATATAGAACAGAATTTAGAACCCTAACTTCACCAAGTATATAAAGTCTGAAATAAAAATCCCAATCTGTTAATTCATAGGAAAAATTTCAACAACAAAATTCGCTCCCACAGTAAGAGGGCATTATTTCTATCATTTCAGGGAGGTAAGTGGGTCAGATTTTCCACAATGCAATTAAGTATGCCAAGAGCCAATGGCAAAAGTGATTTCACATACAATTTATAGGATGAGTCAAACCACCAGGAGAAAACCGATGATGTGTGTTCTCTCCCCTGCTATTAGGACCTAATTAGCAAAGGACAGACACTCCTCTTTGGAACTGACAAGACTTTTTGTCAACATATTAAAATCAAATGAGCAATAAGGCTGAGAGAGACCACTGAACCAAAGGATATGTAGAAGCGTGAAGCAAAGGAAAGGGAAATAAAAGGAAAAGAAGTTAGGAAACCTCTTCCATACAAGAGCTTTGGGTTTAGATGGAAATTGAGACGCTGATAAGAGTGTGACACAAGCTGGGCTGGAGACTCTCTGCCTTGGTGGTGGCCTGAGCCAGATTCACAGGCACATGACATCTCTTTGGAAGTGAACTGGCATCCAATTGGAAAAAATGAGGAGAGACTTAGATTCTGTTCTGTGGTGGTTCTACAGCAGGTTGGACCCTGGGGTCTGGGCGGGCCCATCAGGGAAGCCCCAGCCAGCAGGCCTCATTCCTGCCCCAGGATGGCCACTTCCACGGCTGTCCCTTTCTTGGACATCGTTTTCCTCTTCCTTGATTTCTAACCCCCTGGTAACTCCTGGTTTCAGTTCTGTTTTCTTGCACATAACTGAAGCCAGACAGAACAACTCGGCACATCTTGTCACAGGCCTGCTTCCTCCAGACAGACATGGGACATGTTATCAATGAGGATGTATTGAGCGGGCTTGGTTGGGGGGAGAAGAATTTCTTTGTGCAGCTGGCAGGTCATTTCAGCCTGTAGACTATATAGAAGACTTTATAGAAGCTACCAAACAATAATTAAGAATGAAATTAACAAAGAGGAGAAAGAATACACAGAAACGGAAAGATAACTCAGCCCAGAAACAGCCACTGTAACAACAGATGGGTGCAGACGCTGCTTCCCAAGCCTGAGCCGGGCACCACACTCGCCCCTTTCCCCGTGCTCTCACGCTCATCTCCTCCTTCCCGCCCTATCCCGCAGAGCCTCAGTCCTCCTGCTTTTCCTGCCCCTCACCGAGAGGGGCTCCCCAATTGCTTCCTTCCTGCACATCCCATGCTGTGTGTGCCGATGTCTTCTTGTACCTCCCTTTCAGCTATCAGTGTGATCACTCCTGTTGCCACCCCTGTGGGGGTTCTGGCAGCCGCTCTGTCCTCAAGGGTGGAAGCCACGAAGTCATCATCAATTTCCGTCCTTCCTCACTCCACGTAGGAAACTGCCTTCTGTGGGACAGCATCTTTTCTATCCATTCTTCTCCATGGCCAAGGAAGACTCCATCACCCCGACTGTTCATTTGAGAGCCTCCTTAGTGGGGGTGTCCCCCAAGGGTTGCTCTCCTTAATCAATCCTGAACATTGAATAATGTTTGGGCTGAGAGCAGTCGCGGCAGCTACCCTAGTTTAAATGTCCCAGCGCACACTGCATGGCTGCTTCTCAGCTGATGCTGAGTTCTGTATTGTGCACATTCACAGGCAGGGGTGCAGCTTTACCATGGAGACAGCACAGCAACATGCCTGGTGCCTGCCCTCATGACAGCAAGAGGATGCCATTCGGCGAGGTGTCCTTGAAACTTCTCTTGGAAAATCTCAGCTTACAAAAAGACACCTTTTAAGACACTAATTATCAGGGACTCAAACCTATACCTGAACACCAATACTCACAGGAGCACAATTCACAATCACCAGAAGGTGGAAATAACCCATGTGTTCATCAACACCTGGATGGATAAACAAAACATGATCAGTATGTACCATGGAATTCTATTCAGACATAGAAAGGAATGAAATTCTGATACAAGAATAAACCTTGAAAACATTATGCTAAGTGAAATAAACCAGACAAAATATGAACAAATACTGTATGGCTCCCCTTATATGAAGATATGGTTTGGCTGTGTCCCCACCCAAATCTCATCTTAAATTCCCACATGTTGTGGGAGGGACCCAGAGGGAGGTAATTGAATCATGGGGGCAGGTCTTTCCTGTGCTGTTCTCGTGATAATGAATAAGTCTCACGAAATGTGATGGTTTTATAAAGGGGAGTTTCCCTGCACAAGCTCTCTTCTCTTGTCTGCCGCCATGTAAGATGTGCCTTTCACCTTCCACCATGATTGTAAGGTCTCCCCAGCCATGTGGAACTGTAGGTCCATTAAAGCTGTTTCTTTTGTAAATTGTCCAGTCTTGTGTATGTCTTTATCAGCAGCACAAAAATGGACTAATACATATGAGATACCCAGAATAGACAAATTCATAGAGATAGAAAGAACAGAGGTCACCAGGGTGAAGGGCAGGAGGGGAGTGAGGGATTATTGTTTAATAGGTATGAGCTTCTGTCTGAGATGATGATGAAGTTCTTGAAATAGATAATGGTGATGGTTGCCCAACACTGTGATGTACTTAATGCCACCAAATTGGTGCTTTAAAAAGGTTAAAATGGTAACTTTTACGTTATGTGTATTTATCACAATAAAAATACTAATTTACATCAAAAATTTTCAGTCATAAGCACCCCAAACAAAGATCTACATGTGACTCAACCTGGCTTACATTTTGGGCATCACTGTGCAATCTATGATTTATTGCACCTTCCATGTGAACAGCCCTATATATTCTCTTTCCTCTCCTTTTATGGCCAAGAAGCAAAGACAGGCGAGTACTGCCTTTAATCTGTAAAATACACATCTAGATGGACCCAGACTGTTTATAAATTTTGTGAGGGCAGCCTTTAAACAGTGACCAAAGCTTTAGCAAGTTTTTTCTCCAAAGACCTTACTTTTTAAAAAAATGGTGACACACATTTAAAATTTTTATATTATTACATATCTAAAGGCAGTTTCTTCTCTCTGGACATTTCAAAGCAGCATATTTTAATCAACATGCATGGTTTCTTCATAAGAAGTCATCATTTCTCAATCCTTAATTTATTTGTGGAAAAATATTTCTAAAATGTACCAGAAAATACTAGAGGGAGAAATTTTGATTTTCTAACAGAGTTGTAAAATCTTAAAATTTGTTGGAAATAATGGAGGAGTGCCTTCTACAACAGCTTATCTTTGCTTTATGTAAATGCACACATACACACATGCAGACACACACACACGGTTTCTTACGGAAATATGGGAAGAAAAAAGAAAGAAAGGAGTAAAGAAAGTTGGAAATAATGGAGGTAAAGAAAAAAGGAATGAAGAAAAGGAAAACACTGCAAGCATTACTTTCTATTCCTGATATAGCTCTAGCTGACCCTCTGTATTGACTGAGAAGTCAAAATCCTAACATTTGCTTCCTAGCAGGTGAGTGGGGCCACCCCGCTGAGATGACAACACACCCCTCAAGGCACTGCCCTAGAGAATGTCAGGGGCGTTAGCAAACATGGCACTTGCATCTGCGTCTAACAAGTTTAGACAGCCAACATTTTATATTTGAGATCCCGAATCCTAATACCACCAATATGAGGTGGGGACTCTTGTTCTCATTTCCTGTGTGAGGGAACAGGCTCAGAAGAAGTAACTTGCCCACCACACGGCCAGGATTTGAACCCGTTCTCCTTCCTCACAGCCTGAGACCCTCCATAGCCCGGCACTGCATCTCGGAGAAGGGACTTACAAGGAGGCAGGTTGGACTCACTGAGGGACTGTCCACCTCCTGCTGACCGCTCTCGCGTTCCAGATGGACATGAGGTGAGCCCATGTTCCAGAAGAAGGTATGACAAGGAATGTGCTGTGGCTTTGGGATTTTGGTGACTCCCAAAGGGGGCAAATAGGGGTCTAAGCGCTTCTCATACAGCTGGAGTCGCTT